>NC_000008.11:121964222-123214222 GCF_000001405.40 Homo sapiens | reverse complement strand
GTGTCCCGGAAAGTGCACAGCCCTGTAGACACCTTGATTCGAGCCCAGTGAGACCCGTCTTGAGAGTCGGAATGAGAGAATTGTAGATGAAAATGTGTTGCTCTAAGTCACTGTGCGTGTGGTAATTTCTTACAGCAGCAATAGGAAACCAACACACCAAGTAACCCAGTCCTTGCAACTCAAGAATCCTAATATGGGCCACTTGAATCCTTCTAACCTTGGCTTGAGGATAACACTTCGTGTCTCAGAAGGCTCTTTATAAATGACATACTTTCACTCATCGGCTTAATGGTAAACCTTGGTTTAGCATTGTTGTAGGCAATATCAAAGATCAGAGGCCACACTGGCTTTTAGGCAGCTCCCATCTACTAGAGTTCAGGACATCCACAGAAGTGGAACTGTTTTGTTTGTTTGTTTTTGAGATGGAGTTTTGCTCTTGTTGCCCAGGCTGGAGTGCAATGGTGCGGTCTCGGCTCACTGCAACCTCTGCCTCCCAGGTTCAAGAAATTCTCCTGCCTCAGCCTCCCAAGTAGCTGGGATTATAGGCGCCCATCACCACGCCGGGCTAATTTTTGTATTTTTAGTAGAGATGGCGTTTCACCATGTTGGCCAGGCTGGTCTCAAACTCCTGACCTCAGGTGATCCGCCTGCCTTGGCCTCCCAAAATGCTGGGATTATAGTTGTGAGCCACCACGCCCGGCCAGAAGTGGCACTTACGAGAGGGCAGGAGGGAGCGAGGCCTGGATAGTGCAGCATGCAGACAAGGGCTAGGGCTCTCAAAGAAGCTTCAGGAAGGAGGTAACATCTGAGCTGGGCCTCAGGAGAGACGAAGGTTTGCAGCAGGCTCGGTGGAGAATGAGAGGTATCGTGTCAGGGTCCTCAGCTGAGGGATAAGGAGAGCAAAGGCAGAGAGGAAGTGGAGGCTGGTGGCCAGTTGAGCGGCCGGAAGGGAGGTGGTGGGGAATGGGGCTGGCAGGTGAGCCAGCGCTGAATCACGAGGCCCCATCGATACCCTGGTGAGCAGCTTGGCTGTAGTCAGACGGAAAGCTTGTGAACAGGAGAATGGCTGGTATTGGGCTGTGCTTTAAATGGCAAATCTGATTTTACTTTCTAAATGTTAAACTACCTTTGAGCTTCAAGCAGTATGTGTTTTCTGGGAGAGCCCCAGGTATAAGTGCTCACCTGGAGGGTGGAGGTGAGCTCAAGACACCCAAGAAGAGGTGCCTTGGGGATCCACACTGATGGAGAGGGCATCACTCTCGGCTGCTGTTGAACAGAGCCAAGCTCTTCCCCAAGGCTCTCCCCTCTGGCTGGCATGCCTTGCCTGCCTTTTGTGTGGCTGGCTCTGTCTCCCTTCCAGGGCTCAGCACTGATGTCTCCCCTCATACAGACCTTCCCTGGCCCCTGTCACTGCTCCATATCATTCTCTCTCAGTCCAACAAACCTCAGATCAGGGCAGTGCAAACCCCAGAGGCAGCAAGGCTCCGGACACCTTCATGTGAGCTGAGTGCCAGCACCATTCTCTTTCCCCTGGCACGTTGTAGGCCACAATTGTGATGAAATACATGAATGCAGGCCCCTTTGAAGCGGAACCCAAGGCTGGCCTCACCAAGCCCAGACCTCCAGGGCTCTACACCCCCTTTTTAATTGCAAATCCAGGATTTGGAATAGGATATTCAGCAGGGGAACCACTGCATGAGTCCCGTCCGGATTAGGAAGGATAATCTGCTTTACTCAATCTACAAAGTCAGGTGTTAGTATCATCCAGAAACACCCTCGCAGAAACATCGAGAAGAATGTTTGTCCAAATATCTGGACGCTCCGTAGCCAAGTTGAAACATGAAATTAACCATCATAAGTCCACCTGGCATCAGTGCACAGCTCCTTAAACTCTTCATCCAATTGACTGGTGTCCTTATAAGAAGAGGAAATTGGAGATGCAGGGAGACCCCAGGGGTGCAGGCACACAGAGGGATGGCCACATGAAGGGGTAGCAAAAGAAAGGAGAAAGGCTATCTGTGAGCCAAGGAGAGCGGCCACAGAAGAATCTAGCTCTGTGGACACCTTGGTCTTGGACTTCCAGCCTCCAGAACTATGAGAGAATACATTTCTGTTGTTGAAGCTGCCCATTGTGTGGTGTTTATGTTTCAGCAGCCCTAGCTAGGTACACACTGCCCTTCCAAACACAAACAGGGAAAGCCCCCTGCAGAGGATTTTTCTTACTCTTCCCTTTTCTCTGGGCTGCTTTGTGTGCTTCGTCGGTGGCATCTTCCTTATCTCCAGGGTTTGCATTTGTTATTCCTCCACGTTCCTGAAAATCAAGGGAAAGGCCTGCTTGTATTTTTCCGGGGAGACTGGGAAGATAGGGCTCAACGACCTTGGGGATTCTTCACTCACCACCATGTCAGTGGGAGAATCTGAAAATCTCTGTTCTCAAGTCAAGGCCACTAGCCTAGAAAGTGTCTTTGTGTGAATTTGTGAAGGGCGTCCTTGCCTGACTCAGGGAGTGGGCAGTAGGGGAAGGTGGCCTTGGCAAGCATAGCTATGGTGGACTTCAGCCTCCCCGGCGCGCCGCCGTCGTCTGCGCCGCGTCTCTCCATCCGCCCCGTGTGCTGCATCATGGTTTCATGCTCTCCTTCACCACACGCTACAGAGGAAAGAAGGATGGAGCGCCCTAGGAAGCAATGCCTGGGTCAAACGAAATACAGTGAACAACAGCAAGAGGAGGTTGTGTTTATGTTTGCACGTGTGTCTGCAGTATTTACATCCTCTAATAACAGTTCCAACACAGAGACACTCTTCAAGAGGAAGCTAGGAAAGTGAGTGACAGTTTCTCTGTGTCCACCGGCTTTTTGGATCAAGTTCAGAAAGTGAAATATTTGGGCCGGACACAGTGGCTCACGCCTGTAACCCCAGCACTTTGGGAGGCTGAGGTGGGTGGATCACCTGAGGTCGCGAGTTTGAGACCAGCCTGGCCAACATGGCAAAACCCCATCTCTACAAAAAATACAAAAATTAGTCGATGTGGCGGCGGGCGCCTGTAATCCCAGCTACTTGGGAGGCTGAGGCAGGAGAATCGCTTGAACCTGGGAGGTAGTGGTTGCAGTGAGCTAAGATCGCGCCACTCCAGCCTGGGCGACAGAGTAAGACTGTCTCAAAAAAAAAAAAGTGAATTATTTGAAGAAGCTGCTTTGACATTTTCATGACAGGCTAGCAGGGTCAGCACGAAGACTAAGTGAAGGCGAGGCAGCCCTTCCTCCCCTACATTCTGGAGGGACAGAGAGTGAAGGTGGTCTGGGGTATCTGATTATTCGTCTCCCCTGTAGGAGCAAAGCTCCTCACCAGTGTTCAACCAGGGAGGACTGACTGTGCCCTTGGACTGTCTGTGGCACCAATGTAGCTCTGGACCTGTGGGTCCAGAGAGATACCTTTGGTCTCTGGGCTCTTATGATGTAAATGGAGAGACAGGAGAGCAGTATCTGATGAGGACCAAGTGCAGGTAACAGATCATTCCTAGGAGACAGGGGCTCTGAGGAGCAGCGTTGATCATTAGCAACCCACACCTCAGTCCATGTTGGCTGACTGTCCTGTAGATAGGTCCTATGATCCAAAGTCCCTGGTTTGGGGGATGTGTTTGACCTTAGGTGAGGTACCCCAGGACATGAAGATCATAGTATTTCTTCATTCTCTCATGTTCTTCATGGTGGCTGTTCACATGAAGGTCCCTCCCAGCCCTCTCCGGAGCTGACACAGTGCCTGGCACATAAGAGATGCTAAGCTGCAGCTGTTGAAATTCACACTGTAGTAGAGACTCCATATGTTTAAAGACACGGAGTGACACTCTAGCAAGCAGGCCGCAGTGAGGGAGGTACAGGTGTGATTATAACCCAGAGCAGAATTAAAGATGGAACGTGACCCGGTTTTGTAGGATTTGAAAGTTGGATAAAGACTTCTTCTAGCTTTCAGATAGACAATTGCCAGGTGTGTCAAACCACCCCTAATCCTGTGGTGGAAATAGTGTATGTGTCGGGGGGTCTTGGGAATCCAGAGCAATGGCCTAGCCTGGAGTTGGGGGGTCTCAGAGGCTGTATCACTCGGGCAAAGCTAGATCATGGTGCAGGAAGAAACAATCCCCAAATCGCAGTGGCTTAAACAACAAAGGTTTATTTCTTGCTCACTACATATCCATTGTGGGTTGGTGGGGTGGGAGTGGGGGATTCTGCTCATCGCTTAGGACCCCAGGCTGGCAGAGGAGGGTTTCAACTGGAGAGCTGCTTCTATGTGGCAACCTGGACCCAGGCTCTCAAAGCTTCTGCCCAGAAGTGACCCTCGGCGGTTCTGCTCATGCTCCACTCGCCGGGGCAGCCCCGACCTAACCTCCCAGCAGGCAGCGCATCACATGTTACAGGTGCCCAGGAGAGGAGAAACTGCACCTTTGTCAACAAAGACGACCACGGAGGGGAGACTGCTGATGGAGGGTGGTCAGGAGTAGGGGGGCTTGTTCCTGCCTGCAGGTTCTCCCCTATCTCCCAGGACTGAGCTCGACACAGGCACAGGCTGAGGCCTTTGGAAAGCTGGGCTTGGGAGCTTCTGTGACCTGGCAAGCTTTGCCTTCCTTAAACTTTCTCAGCAGATGGTGAAATCCAATTTGGAATGTTCAGCCGGGCCCAGTCATTCTAACCTCATCTCAGCCGTCAGCTGTGAAACAACAAGGTCAGGGCTGGGTTCAGAAAGCCATCAGGAACCAAAGTGTTGTTTGTTTTTTTGTTTTTGTTTTGTTTTGTTTACTTTCAGGAACTAAGGAGGAAAAAAGTGAAGGACAGGAATACAATAATTAATAATAATAATAATAATAAAAGAAACCAGAAGCCAAGATGCCCCAGATCATGCTGGGAGCAGTGGAGAATTGGAACAGAGGGATGGATGGGCAGAGGGGACTAGGGAGGATGCCACAGGCCGTCAGGGGTCAGAGGCCACCAGGAGGAAGAGCTCTGTGCTCTCGTCCCTCCACAGCGAAGGCTGAGCTTCCCCGCCAAAAACCGACAAGGGAGGAGAGGGCCTAGAAACAGGAGAAGGATGTGGAGTTGGCACCTGCTCCCCTCTGGCTCCCCAGCCTGGATCACATACCACTGACCCCACTATCACACCTGAGGTGCAGGGTTAACTCTTACTTTATCTGGGAAGTGTCTCTGACATCCCACCCACCACAGGGCTGGCCAACCCTCCTCTATGCTCTCTCTCTTTTTTTTTTTTTTTTCTGTGACGGAGTCTTGCTTTGTTGCCCATGCTGGAGTGCAGTGATGCAATCTCAGCTCATTGCAACCTCTGCTTCCTGGGTTCAAGCAATTCTCCTGTCTCAGCCTAATTTTTGTATTTTTAGTAGAGACGGGGTTTCACCATATTGGTCAGGCTGGTCTCGAGACCAGGTAATCCACCTGATCTCAGGTAATCCAACCACCTTGGCATCCCAAAGTTCTGGGATTACAGGCATGAGCCACCACGCCTGGCCCCTCCTGTATGCTTTCTAAGCATCCTATATTTCTTTGCACTCAGCTAGGCTGTGCCCTCAGGACCTAGTTCCACCCCAGAAACAAAGAGGGGCACTGTGAATTGAGAAGAAATGAATGATGGGGCTTGTGAGGTTCAGCATTTATTCCTCAGGAGGTGACCAGGCTGGTCAGAGGCACCTGGATCTGGGGACAGCTGAGCCCTCCCTGCTGCTCAAGACTGGCCTGGGCACTGCAGTGGGGCCAGTCCTGGCCCCTGACAACTCAAGCTCCTAGGTCCAGTCTAGACTCCAGGGACCTCCAGGCCAGCCCAAGGCTCTTTGAAGCAAGAATCTGAGTCTACTAACCTGCCTTGTCCAACCCAACACCCCAAACTCCTCAGCTAGCTGCATCCCTGGTGGCTACAGCTTCAGATGGCTCCCCCATACAACTCATAGATAACGGGTTCTGGGGCCTCACCCCTAATTCATTGGGCCCAAGGATACCCTAGTATTAGCCTTTCCTAAGAGGAGGAGTTTCCCCAACTCTCCCGAAACATCCAGAATGTTCCCACACCTTCTCCTCAGTCTTTCTTTCCTGAATTTCTTGGGAGTGGACCATTCCTGGGCACTGGGAACCAGAAGTACCAAACTACCATCTATCTCTCAGTGCCTCTGTTTACCCATTTGTAAAACTTGGGCTGCATTTCCTGCTTCTTACGGAGTTTTGGGGGCCATTAATATTAAAGCCCCGGATGATCTCTGGAAGACAGGGACTCTGTTTTCATGATTTTGTCCTCTAGCTGCCCCACAACCTCCCTGGAACCTTCTGGAATGTGCTGCACAGGTCAAACTAGAGCGGGGAACCCAAGAACTGGTGGGGGCCGGCAAGTGGATGGCCTGGGGCCTGGGAACATTGAACCATGGCAGTGATTTTGAGTGTCTTTTCAAAGGGAAGTGGCTCAACGCCACTCGTCGTTGAGGTGGGTCTTTGGGTCTCAGGGAGTGCCCAGCCCTGGGCCTGCGGAGGGCAGCAGGGGATGGGACCTTCAGAAGTGAGGGGAGGCCTGCAGGAAGGGCCTCCAGGTTGGAGTCAGCCTCGGCACCAGGCCCAGCTGCTCCAGCTGCAGCCGCGTGGGCCTGTAGGCCCCCAGGTTGCTGTAGACAGCGGCGGGCGGGCCGTCGTGGGGCCGCGGGGAGAGGTGGGCCTGGGGACTCGGGGCTCCCCAAGGGCCTTGGTGGGGCTGGAACCGGGGCGGTGGAGGCGGGTGTGGGGCCGCGGGGCTACAGGGCCCTGAAGACGCGGACACACTTCGGGTACCGGGGTGGCTGCCTGCCGAGCGGCCGCTGAAGGGGTTGGAGGACGTGCGGTCACTGGCGGAGCCACTGCTGCTGCTAAGGCGGCCATTGGCCGGGGCTGCTCCGGGCGGGACGGGGGCGACCAGCCGCGGGGACTTCAGGCCCATCACAGGCTTGGAGGAGGCGTAGAGGTGGCGGAACTCCTCGTCAAACAGCTCCACCGCCTGGCCTGTGAACTTGGAGAGGATGTTCCGGTGCACGTGTCCGCAGAGCCAGGTGAAGCTGGAGGGGAAGAGGAGAGAGAGTGATGGAGGAGAAGGGGGAAGGATGGGGAGGGGAAGTGGAGGAGGAGGGGGAGGGGAGGAAGAGGGAGGGAGGAGGTGGAGGAAGGAGAAGGAGGGAGAGGGGAAGTGGGAGGGGGAAGAGGAAGAGGAGGAGGGGAGGGGGAAGGGAAGTGGGAAGGGGAGGAGGAGGAAAAGGAGGGGAGGGGGAGGAGGAAGAAGAGGAGGAAGAGGAGGAGGAGGAGGACAGATAGGAGGCTTCGCCGGCCCAGGCCCCAAGATCCTCCTGGGGGACCAGTCTGGGAGTTGTGGGTCCCCTCGGGGCAGGGACGGAAGGGGACCAACCCATGCCCACTGCCCCTCCTCTTGGGCTCATTTCATCCTGGCAGAAACCCTGAGAGAGAGACATTGCGACACCTCTCTTACAGACGACAAAACTGAGGCTCAGGGGCCAGAATGTGTTTGCGGGTGAATAATTAAGATGCCAGAGCGAATCCCTGGTCTCAAGGCTCCCTCCTGGTGCTCAGATTGCAGCCCCTTAGAGGCTCCCTGAGGAGGCAGAAGGGAGCTGAGTCTCAGGCCCCCAGAGTCTGCGCTTAGGGTAGTCACCCAGCAGCCGGGGCCTTCTCGTCTCCACCTGTGGAATGTGGAGGGCCAGCGCGCCTTTAACCACACAGGGGTCGGGAAAGCCCCTGCAAAAGGCGGCTGCTCTTGGGAAGCCGGACTGTGTTTTCACGAAAATCTAAAGCGTTCCTGAAAGAGGATTCGGCTCCATTTTCAGGCACAGGGACCCAGCAGGGATGAGTGGAGGAGGAGCACCGTGCGCCTCCCGTTGACGCTGACAGGAGTGGTTTATGGAGGAAGCACCCAGACACGGGGCCGAGGCTGTCGGGGCGAGGGGTGGTGGAAGACACCCTCAAGGAGAGGCCTGGGGCCACCACTTACAGGTTTTAGGGAAAAACAAAATGCCTAAGGCAGTTATTACTTTGTATGATTCCCAGATTTTTTTTTTTTTTTTTGAGAGTCTTACTCTGTCACCTAGGCTGGAGTGCAATGGTGCGATCTCGTCCCACTGCAACCTCCGCCTCTCAGGTTCAAACGATTATTCTGCCTCAACCTCCCAAGTAGCTGGGATTACAGGCGCCCGCCACCACGCCCAGCTAATTTTTGTATTTTTAGTAGAGACAGGGGTTCACCATGTTGGCCAGGCTGGTCTCGAACCCCTGACCTCGTGATCCGCCCGCCTCGGCCTCCCAAAGTGCTGGGATTACAGGCGTGAGCCACCGCGCCCGGCCTGTTTCCCAGATTTAACCCCAACTCTTTTCTGTTTCCGATGGAAAACTCCTTTCGTTTCTCCCCCCGCCCCCTCAATGCTTGAAACTCTGGTAACAGCATAGACCTCCCGAGAGCAGCAGGCTAGAGGCTCCTGGGCTCCTGCTCAGGTGAACTTGAAGCAAGAGGGAGAGGATGGTCGGGGGAATGGTCGCCGAGCCGGGACAGCGCCAGAGCTAAGCAGAAACGGGCCCGTCAAAGATAGGATCGCAGCCCCCAGCCCCCAGCCCACCTGTCTTGCCACCCAAAGGCCTGGCCTCAGCCCAGGGTTGGGAGTTCCCTGCTCTGTGAGGCAGGGCGGGGCCGCACAAGGCTCGGATAATCCTGGGAACAGCAATGAGGCTTTGTTTAAATCTCACCTCCCGCCGGGAACCACCCACACCCCCAGAGAGGTGAGCAGTTGATGCCGAGCCAAGCGCCAGCCCCGCCACGGGACAGGAGGCAAGCGCAGGGACAAAGGGCCGCACTGCACTCAGAAGCCAGTCGCCCTCTGTTGTCTGAATCAGGCTGCATGGGGCAACATAGCTGCTGCTTTGCTCAACAGAACAAGAACAAGTCCAAAGAACAAGTCCAAAGACTTCCTGGCAACTCCTCAGGTCCCCAGCACCTGTGTCCCCGATTGCACTGTGCCCCGCCCCAGAGCCCCGCCACACCTGCACACCCGCGCATCTCATGCTTTAGCTTTTTTTTTCTTTTCTTTTAAAATTTTTTTTTGAGACGCAGCCTTGCTCTGTCGCCCAGGCTGGAGTGCAGTGGCGTGATCTCGGCTCATCGCAGCCTCTGCCTCCTGGGTTAAAGCAATTCTCTGCCTCAGTCTCCAGAGTAGCTGGGATTACAGGTGCCCACCACCACATCTGGCTAATTTTTTGTATTTTTAGTAGAGACAGGGTTTCACCATCTTGGCCAGCCTGGTCTTGAACTCCTGACCTTGTGATCCACTTGCCTCGGCCTGCCAAAGTGCTGGGATTACAGATGTGAGCCACTGCACCTGGCCATGCTTTAGCTTTTATACTTTTGATCACAGCCCATGAGCAGAGAGGCGTTTCCTTTCTTTTTTTTTTATTTGAGACAGAGTCTGGCTCTGTCGTCCAGGCTGGAGTGCAGTGGCGCGATCTCGGCTCACTGCAAGCTCGCCTCCTGGGTTCAAGCCATTCTCCTGCCTCAGCCTCCCAAGTAGCTGGGACTACAGGCGCCCGCCACCATGCCCGGCTAATTTTTTTGTATTTTAGTAGAGACGGGGTTTCACCATGTTAGCCAGGATGGTCTTGATCTCCTGACCTCGTGATCCACCCGCCTCGGCCTCCCAAAGTGGTGGGATTACAGGCGTGAGCCACTGCGCCCGGCCAATACATTTTATTTCTATTGTTGTTTGGCCCATAAGTACGTAGCATTCACTTAATCATCTTTGGCTCATGACCAAACTCTACTCATTGGTCTATTCATCACCCATTTTCACTTATTTAACTATTTAATTGGTGATTTTAAGTAATATAGTAAGCACTTATGAACCCACTACCTAAAAGAAAAGGTCACATCTTTTTTAAAAATTTTTTCTCTTAAAAAAATTTTTTTGGGGGCAGAGATGGGATCTTGCTATGTTGCCCAGACTGGTCTTGAACTCCTGGCTTCAAGTGATCCTCCCTGCTTGGCCTCCCGAAGTGCTGAGATTACAGGCATGAGCCACCACACCTGGCCAAGGTAGCATCTTGAGGATAGTCCACATCTAGCCATAGGGTCCCTTCTTGCATCCCTTTCCCAGGACCCCTGAACTAGAACTCAGCACATCATGAATCCTGTGATCATAACGCCCTTGCTTTCCTTTTTCCATAATTATAGAATTTTTTTTTGTCCTTTTTTTTTTTTTTTTTGAGTTGGAGTTTCACTCTTGTTGCCCAGGCTGGAGTGCAGTGGCGTGATCTCGGCTCACTGCAACCTCTGCCTCCTGGGTTCAAGCGCTTCTTCTGCCTCAGCCTCCTAAGTAACTGGGGTTACAACAATGCTGGCTAATTTTTTGTTTTGTTTTTTTAACCATATGTTGCCTCTTTGGTGAAACGCCTGCTTATGTCTCCCACCCACTTTTCTGCTGTGCTCTTGTGCTCTTGTGAGTCTCAGCACTAATCTCTGTCAGGGGTGTGCATCTTGAATAGCTGCTTCCAGTTTGTAACTGACTTTTCACTTCCTTTAAGATGTCTTTCTTTTTTTCTTTTCTTTTCTTACTTTTTTTTTTTTTTTTTTTTTTGAGACAGATCTCATTCTGTCCCCCAGGCTGGAGTGCAGTGGCTTGATCTCAGCTCACTGCAACCTCTGCCTCCTGGATTCAAGTGATCCTCCCACCTCAGCCTCCCGAGTAGTTGGGACTACAGGCACGTGCCACCACACTCGGCTAATTTTTGTATTTTTAGTAGAGACAGGATTTTACCATGTTGGCCAGGCTGGTCTTGAACTCTTGACCTCAGGTGATCCACCTTCCTCTGCCTCCCAAGGTGCTGGGATTACAGATGTGAACCACCGCACCCAGCCAAGATGTCTTTCAATGAACCAACATTCTTAATTGTAATATAGTCAGATTAAGCAAACTTTTATGGTCACTGCTTTTTTTTTTTTAATGTGTGTATGTTTTCCTTTTAAAGAAATCTACTGAGAGTTTTAGTTTATTTTCAACATTCAAATTCTTTTCAACTATTGCAAGTCGATTTGTAAACAAATGCGTGCATGGTGGGTAGTAATCCCATTTTACATACGGGGAGTTATTTTTTCCAGTTCCTCCTTTCCCCACTGCTCTGTCATGCCCTGTGGTGTGTGAATATGTGCCTGAGCTTTCTGTTCTGTGTGTCAATTTGTCCCTCCTCCAATGACACATTGTCTTGATTACTGCAGTTTCATGACAAGTTCTGAACTCTGGTAGGGCAAGTCGTCCCTGCTTGTTTTTCTTTTTCGGATTTATCTTGGCTATTCTTGGAAAAGCACATTTAACATCATGACCCACAAGTACATAACCACACAATAATTTCCAGAACATCCTTTACCTCAGCGTGGTCTGATTATTTTTATTCTATTCCGTGTCATTTAAAAAAAATGCTAGACATCATCTACTAAATTGATTTCACACCCCGCTAATGGATGGTGAGGCACAGTTTGAAAAACTGCATTCTTTCAGGACACTGAATGGTCAGAACCCAATGTGCTTTTATTCATTCATTCAACAAATATTTGTGGCCATGTATAATGTATCAGGTGCTGTATTTACTGTACTTCATGCCAGGAAAGCAACAGAGAAGAAAACATACCCAGTCCAGTCCCTGACCTCATGTCATTTACAATCTCGGCTAATCAAGTTCACAAATAAATAATTCCAAATCATGATGGGAGTGAAGCCATAGAGGATAAGAGGGCTCGGGGTGGTGATCAGAGGTCTCTGAGGCAATGATCTGGAAGCTGCCACCTACAAGATAAAGAGTAAGCAAGATAGAGACAGCAGGAATGAGCTCTCCGACGGAGGGCATGAACAGCAAGTGCAAAGGCCCTGCGACTCGAAAGAGCATGAAAGACTGAGGAAGCGGCCAGTGTGGCTCCAACACAGTGGAGGAGTGGGGGGATCCTACTGAGATAGAGGCCCTGGTAAGGATGTAGATTTTTGTTGTTGTTGTTGTTCCTAGGAGCAGTGGCGAGTACTGAAGGATTTTAAAGTGGTTTGATCTGGTTTGTGTTTCTGTTCCTGGGAGAGAAAACCCATGGATGGCAGTGGGGGCGGGGCAGGAGGCCAATTAGAAGCCAGGATGATGTCTTGCTGTTGTTCCCCATCCTGTTCCCAATGCCCAATTTTGCCTGCCTCTTCCCCACCAGGGCTGAATAATTCTCATCCTTCAAGGCCCAACTCCAGCCAATGGCACCGACCTCCTGGACCTGCTAGGCAGAAGTGGTGGCTCCCTCTCAGCTGACCCCAGAGCACTTCCTTAGCTCCTGCTGATCTCAGAGCACACACACCAATCCACTCTGGCCACTCAGCAATTTTTCTTGATGGCCCTGGCATGGCACCTATGCTGGGGTCAGACCCTCAACCAGCCCTTCAGTGTTGAAATGCACAACCTCAGCCCTCTAGCCTCAGCGGAGGAAGCAGGGCTCTTCAGTTTGGGAGAACCATATACAACCAGAAGAAGGGGCCAAAATATCTGAAGCCCCCAGGTAGCGGGGCTAAAAGAAAGGGATAAATGGCCTCTTCTGGTTTTTTTTCTTTGTTTGTTTTTGTTTTTACTGGAAACAACTCTAAGGGGAGACTGGTCCCAGTGAAGATGATCCCCTGAAAGGCTAGTAAGCAGGTCACCTTTGAATGTCAAGGGCAAAATCACTGTTGGTGTCCTGTTCTCCCTCCAGGAGCTGGCTCCTCCACAGCTCTCAGGAATGACAGTAAACACAGACGGCCCTGCATGTATTCCGGCTGTGGCAGCCTTCCTCCTGGGCTGCACATCAGGCTAACAAGCCCAGCCCTCAGCTTCACAGGGATTGGAGAGCTGGTGACCCTAGTCAAGGAAGCTGGTGACCCTGGATCAGTTGCCTCCCCTCTCTGTGCCTAAATCCCCCACCCCACTTCTGTCAATTAGGAGGATGATGCCTTCTTCAAAGTGTTGTCATAAAGATTAAATCCTTATTAAAGTCTGTTTTTGTTTTTGTTTCTGTTTTTTTTTGAGACAGTCTCACTCTGTCGCCCAGGCTGGAGTGCATCTTGGCTCACTACAACTTCCACCTCCCAGGTTCAAGTAATTCTCCTGCCTCACCCTCCCTAGTAGCCAAGATGACAGGCACGTGCCACCACACCAGCTAATTTTTTTTTTGTATATATGTGTATATATATATATATATTTTTTTTTTTTGTTTATTTGTTTGAGACAGAGTCTTGCTCTGTCACCTAGGCTAGAGTGGATCTCGGCTCACTGCAACCTCTGCCTCCCAGGTTCAAGCAATTCTACTGCCTCAGCCTCCCAAGTAGCTGGAATTACAGGCACCCACCACCACATCTGGCTAATTTTTTGTATTTTTAGTAGAGACAGGGTTTTGCCATGTTGGCCAGGCTGGCCTCGAACTCCTGACCTCAGGTGATTCACCCGCCTCGGCCTCCCAAAGTGCTGGGATTACAGGTGTGAGCCATCGCGCCCCTCCTGATTTTTTATATTTTTAGTAGAGATGGGGTTTCACCATGTTGACCTGGCTGGTCTCAAACTCCTGACCTCAAGTGACCCACCCCGCTCAGCCTCCCAAAGTGTTGGGATTACAGGCATGAGCCGCCACACCTGGCCCTTATTAAAGTTCTGATCACACCTGGCCCAGTCCCTGACATCCTTCAGCAATGTTAGTTCTGCTTCCTCCTGCCCCTGCCCAGGGCGAGGGCCCCCCAGCTGCGTGATGGACTCTGGAAGGGCAAGTGCAAATTAAAGATGAGATGCTTAATTCTTCCCACTGAAAATAAGGGAAGAGACCTTCCCCTTCTTCCTTTTCTACTTCAAAAATTTTAGCTGTATGTAAATCACACTCCATCCTCCGGTGTTCTGGAAGAAGGTGGGCCTGACTGCAGCTGTCCTCTGACTCCACAAGCAGAACCTCCCTACTGTAATGGGTTGGATCCACTTTGCTATATGAAAGAGAGGTTTTGTTCTGCCTGCTGTCTCTGTAGTGAGTTGCCCATCATGTGCATCATATTCTGGTCCAATGCTTACTTGATAACACAATTGTTTTCCTTCACTTCTACTTTCGTAGGGAAGTTTTCTGAGAGAAGATTTTGTTTTTCATTTTAATTCCCCAGTAGCTCCCATAAGACAGGGAGAGATGAACTCCACTCCCATCTGTCTTGTGTGGAAATGGTTTCAGACTTCTCTGCTGGCTTCTTTAGTTGGAGAGTGGGCTGGGCAGCGGGGCTGAGAGCTGTTAAGGGTTGAGGGCTGGGGGAAGGCATGTTTTCCAGCACTTTCCCTCTAACAAACCCTGCAGAAGGATAACACACAGGAAGGGCCCTTACTTCCTGGAATAATGCTTCACAAATAAAAAAATTAGTATACTTTCATAATAATAGCTCTTTTCTTTCTTTCTTTCTTTTTTTTTTGAGACAGAATTTCGCTCTTGTTGCCCAGGCTGGAGTGCAATGGTGCAATCTTGGCTCACCGCAACCTCTGCCTCCTGGGTTCAAGCTATTCTCCTGCCTCAGCCTCCTGAGCAGCTGGGATTACAGGCATGGGCCACCACACATGGCTAATTTTGTATTTTTAGTAGAGATGGGGTTTCTCCATGTTGGTCTGGCTGGTCTCGAACTCCTGACCTCAGGTGATCTGCCCACCTTGGCCTCCCAAAGTGCTGGGATTACAGGCGTGAGCCACCGCGCCTGGTCAATGATAGCTCTTTTCTAATTCACAGAAACCCACTGGAAAGTGAGGTCAAACCACTTTATACAACAGACCAATGTTAGTTAAGCATAAAAATGCTGGTAACAGTAATAATCACGGCCTGCCTGGTAAAACTCACGAATCCTTTTCAAACAGACCCTGCTTGGAATTATAATTATTAATATCAAAATAAATTTGAAAGTATAAGTAATACCAATGTCTTAACAATACACTCTCAAGTGACCTTTTTTTAGTGCATCTCAGATGCCCAGCAGCGAAGTATTTACACTTGCTGTTTTACTTAATTTTACAACAATTCTAATACAAATGGAGTGCGTTATTGTTTTCCATTTTGTTCTGATGAGGAAACAGGCCCAGAGAGATGGCAGGTACACAGCTATTAAAAGTTGGGTATAGAAGCTGGGAGCAGTGGCTGACGCCTGTAATCCCAGCACTTTCGGAGGCCGAGGAGGGCGCATCAATTGAGGTCAAGAGTTCGAGACCAGCCTGGCCAACACAGTGAAACCCCCGTCTCTACTAAATATACAAGACAATTACCCGGGTGTGGTGGTGCACGCCTGTAATTCCAGCTACTCAGGAGGCTGAGGTGGAAGTATCTCTTGAACCAGGAGGCTGAGGCTGCAGTGAGCCGAGATCACGCCACCACCACGCTAGGCAAAAGAGCGTCTCAAAAAAAAGAGTGGGGTACGACCTAACACATTCAAATTATTCTTCTTCTAGGAGAAAGCATAATGTATGAGATATTGTTTGGTTTAAAAGTGAAATGATATGGATTTGAGGATTCGAGGGTGGAACAATTCATATTTCGAGAAGCTGAAGACAGACATTCTGTTTTCCTGAAGGTGTTAAAGGGAAGTTTATCTTGGGAATGTGTTTCAGCTTAATCTGCCCAGCATTTGACACCATTTGGTAGAGGGAGGAAGCCCCCACTCCTAGCGCAGTTCTGATCTCCCTGAAATGTTTGAAATCCCTCCCGGTCGCTTAAGCTCCTTCATCAGTTTTCATCATGCACACAGATAATAAGAACTTGTTTCTCAGCCTTTTATCTTTACATCTTTGTTTCCAAATGCCTGTGTTCCCAGGCCTTCTCCTTTTTTCCACAGAGATAACTGCCCCATGGTCGTGTGCAATGCAGCTAGTGGGTCCTGGGAGGGCGTAACGTTTCTCAAAAATAATTGCCTAATCTTGAACTTTGGGGCAGGACATTATAGATAAGAGCCTCCGGGTAAGAAGACTTTTTTTAAAAAACATCCAAACCTTGATCTACTGAAGTTCAGATCACTTTATTTATTTATTTATTTATTTTAAGGGAGAGTCTCACTCTGTCACCCAGGCTGGAGTGCAGTGGTGCGATCTCTGCTCACTGCAGCCTACGCCTCCCAGGTTCAAAGTGATTCTCATGCCTCAGCCTCCCCAGCAGCTGGGATTACAGGTGCTTGTCACCATGCCCAGCTAATTTTTGTATTTTTAATAGAGGCAGGGTTTCACCATGTTGGCCAGGCTGGTCTCAAACTACTGACCTCAGGTAATCTACCCGCCTTGGCCTGTCAAAGTGCTGGGATTACAGGCGTGAGCCACTGCACCCGGCCCAGATCACTTTAAAGTGTATCATGTGCTTTGGGGCTACTGAGGAGACAGCTCAGCTGCACCTGTTCTTTGATTTCAAACTGCACCTGTTCTTTGATTTCTTCGGGAATCCTCAGCTATTCTAGCCCTTGGCTCAACCTCCTTCTTCCCTTTAGTGATGCAAAACCTGAGTTCCCCAGGGAAGAATGTGTGCCTTGAAATGGAGTGTCAAGAGCGCTGCAAGAATTCCTCAGCTAATATTCACAATCGCCGAAAGGGGGAAACAACCCAATGTCTATTGATTGGTGACCAGATAAACCAACTGTGGTCCATCCTGTCCATGGAATATTTGCTCAGCCATGAAAAGGGAGAAAGCACTGAAACACGCTACAGCTCGGATGAGCCTGGAAAACGTTATGTTAAGTGAAGGAAGCCAGCCACAAAATGCCACATATTGAATGATAATTCCATTTACATGAGACAGGCACTTACATGGGGACCCTCGGTGCTATGAAGGACATTCCAGACCTCAAGGCAAGCTGGGAAGGAAGGTGTGAACTGCACTTGTGTGAATGTGCCTCCTAAGCCACATTCTCTTTTTTTCCCATAGCCTTGTTCTCCTACCTTCAAATTCTATAACGTTTGAGGACGGAATGACATATTTTAGAGATTCTTCTCTGAAAACTTGCCCCACCCTAGGCCTGAGTGAAGGGCAGCCATGTTTTTGCCACATGCCAAGTTCCCTTCTGCCACCCCTGCCCCAGCCACAGGTAACTGGCTCAGGGGTGGACACCAGACTCAGAGACAGCTCATCCACTGGTGGGTGATCTGGGCTGACAGAATGGTTGGACCAGGGGTGATGGTGGTGGGGGCTGGGCTGGGCAGCCCCAAAGTTTAGGGATGAGGAGGTCAGATTTAACTTATACAATCCATGAGGCAGGAGAGAGAACCAGGAAAAGTAGCTAAACAACAGGCCTGTGGACCCATGAAAGCCAGAGTGAGCAGCTTTTACCCTAGCTTTTCCCAGACTTGGGGAGGCCTGGCAGCCCCTGGTCCTGCCCTTGGCTGTGCCTGAGATTAATTGCCACAGCCTTACAACACCCCCTCCCTTCTGCCTTTACTTAGCCAGTTTAAGTAGATTTTCTGTGCCTTACGGTGAAATAGCCTTGACGAACTTAATAGGAACCAAAATGTCGAAAAACAGTGCAGGAAGGTCCTTGTTGTATTTGGGAAGAGAGGAGAATTATCACACAATTTTGGACTTTGTTTGGAAAATGTGTAAAGTATTTTAAAAACTGAAGGAGTCCCATTAAAAGAAAAGAGTAAAAATATAAATTATTAAGCTTCGTAGCAAGCAGAGAAAAAAAGGAGCTATCTAAAAAAGAAGTAATATGAAAACCTCTCCATTCAACTGCAAACACAAAAGGGGAAAAGCAAAGCAAAGTCAAAATGTAAATATTAGAAATAAATCCAAATACATCAGCAATCACAATAACTAACTGGATTAGACCTATTAAAAGACAGAGATGATAAAACTATACTTTTAAAAACTTTAATGAGGCTGGGAGCGGTGGCTCATGCCTGTAATCCCTGCACTTTGGGGGGCTGAGGTGGGTGGATCATCTGAGGTCAGTAGTTCGAGACCAGTATGGCCATCATGGCAAAACCCCATCTTTACTAAAAATGCAAAAATTAGCCGAGCGTGGTGGCGGGTGCCTGTAATCCCAGCTACAAGGGAGGCTGAGGCAGGAGAATCACTTGAACCTGGGAGGCAGAGGTTGCAGTGAACTGGGATTGCACCACTGCACTCCAGCCTGGGTGACAGAGCGAGACTCCGTCTCAAAAAAACAAAAATTAATGATATGTTGTTCACAAAAGACACACTTAAAATCTATCAGCAAGTTTGAAAATAATGGGATGGAGAGAAAGTTATACTCTGTGCTGTAGACTGAATGTCTGTTTCTGTTCCAGATTCATATTTGAAATCCTAATCCCCAATGTGATGCTATTAGTGTGTAGGGCCTTTGGGGCATAATTAGGTCATGAAGGTAGAACCTTCAGGAATGGGGTTAGTGCCCTTGCAGAAGAGGCCCCAGTGAGCTCCCTCACCTTTTTTTTTTACCATGAAGGGATAAAGATACACTTTCACTGTGTCACACAGTGAAAAGGCAGCAGTCTATGAGACAGAAGGTGGGCCTTCCCCAGGCACTGAATCTGCCCACACCTTGACCTAGGACTTCCCAGCCTTCAGGACTGTGAGTAATGGGTTTCCATTGTTTATAAGCTACCCAGTCTATGGGATTTTATTATAGCAGCCCAAATGGACTAAGACACTGTACAAATTTAAGCCCAAGGAAGACTGGAGGTAGCAATGTTAATATCATTAAAAGTGGAATTTCAGCTAAACGGCACTAATAAGGCTAAAGAAAGATAGCACATTTTAAATGTAGGGGTTTTTCCGCCCTCCCTTCTCTCTTTCCCTTTATGCTCATTTGTCTCTGGCTAGAGATTTGCCAGTTGGCTTCACCTAGCTTTGGAACAGCATTGCGGGCTCCTGCTCCCTGGGGAAAGACTGCATCCTTAACACCCCCTGGAAACCTGCCTTCCACTCCCAGCTTATCCCAATGTTTGTGCTCATATTTCACTGGTCACTACTATGTGTTTGCAGCAGAGGAAGCAAGAAAAGATGTAACCAGTTGCCCTCCTCTGCACTCTCTGTCACACTCATCACCTTCCTAAACAAATGTTCCCAAATGACCTTCGGCTGTTCCTCCCTTCCTCAATTGCTCTCTCATTTCATCCCTCTCACAAAATCCACCATCAAATCCACTTCCCTAGCGCCGCCACTGAGAACATTTCAAAGAATATCTTTTAAGCTCTGAAGTCAAGTTTCAAAGGCAGACTCAGGCAAGGTAGCATTGTTAGAATAAATGGGTGGTCAGTCATTTGGATGTAGGAGTCTATGTGTGAGGGTCTAAACACAAATTGAGGCTGGGCGCAGGGGCTCATGCCTGTAATCCCAACACTTTGGGAGGCTGAGGCTGGTGGGTTGCTTGAGCAAATAATAAAAATTTAAAAAATAAAACGGGGCTGGGTGCAGTGGCTCACGCCTCTAATCTCAGCACTTTGGGAGGCCACATGGGTGGATCACCTGAGGTCAGGAGTTTGAGACCAGCCTGGCCAACATGATGAAACCCCGTCTCTACTAAATATACAAAAATTCGCTGGGCGTGGTGGCGGGTGCCTGCAATCCCAGCTACTTGGGGGGCTGAGGGAGGAGAATCTCTTGAATCCTGGAGGCGGAGGTTGCAATGAGCTGTGATTGCACCACTGCACTCCAGCCTGGGTGACAGGGCGAGACTCCATCTCAAAAAAAAAAAAAAAGCAATGGGATGTGCACACACACAACTAAACAAATTGCATCACTTTATAATCACGTCTAAGATATCCGAGGAGGGAAAAGAAGAGGATTCTACGTCCTATTGCAATATCAAGGGAAACGGAGGCACCTGGAAATGCCTCTCTACCTGGAATTCTTGCCAGAAAGGGTCCACATTTCTTGCCTCTCACCCCATCTATGTGATGCAGCTCCAGCTCCGGGCAGAGGGAGACCTTCTGGGAGCTGCTGGGGGTGTTTGTGTCTGAGCAGCGGGAGCTGGTCTGCACCTCACTCAGCCCTTGTTCTCCATGAATCCTTGACAGGAGATGAATCCAAGGCTCACCTGTAAGATCCAGACAGGACAAATCTCCAGTCCGAGATGATGAACTTCTCCCGGATTTGGCCAGCGAATTTCCTGCCTGACTTGGCACAGTATATCTCTCCTTCCACACTCCGGATGGAAATGTTCTGTTGGAGGGAAAGTCAAGGTGTCACTTCCTAATTCTGTTTATAGAGATACATTTGGGCTTTAGGCTGGATGTTTATGTTCCCTTTACCCCCATTCTGTGTTGAAACCTAATCCCCAGGGTGACGGTACTAGAAGGTGGGGCCTTTGGGAGGAGATTAGGTCATGAAGATGGAGTGCTCATGAATGGGAGGAGTGCCTTATAAAGGAGGCCTAGAGATCTGCCTCACTCCTTCTGCCATGTGAGGACACAGCAAGAAGACAGCCATTTATAAGCCAGGAAGTGGGCTTCACCAGACGCCGAATCTGCCAGAACGTTGATCTTGGAGTTCCCAGCCTCTAGAACCATGAGGAATAAATTTCTGTTGTTATGAACCACCAGTCTATGGACTTCTGTTATAGCAGCTGTGATGGACTAAGACAATTTGTGCATGAAAATGTCTGGTAGAATGTTCATCAAGATGGAAATGTGTTATCTCTGGTTGGTGGGATTCTGGACCATATTAATATTTTCCCTGGGCTGAATTGTCTAAATTGTCTTCACTGTCCTGGCATCAGCTGGCAACAAAAAAAAAGGAAGGTGGTAGAATTCAAATAAGGCAGCAAATAAAAGAAAAGCAAGGGCCTAATGCCTATGGAGCCCCGAGTCTAGGCCCCCATGAGCCACAGGTGGCCTGGCAGTTACTTGGAGGCAAGCCCAGCCCTGCCTTGTAAGTGGCTTGACCTGAGTCCCTGACCCTAAGCTGTTCAGAGGGAAGGCTCGGTGCAGCCAGAGGAGGTGGTTTTGTGGAGGTAGCAATAGACCCTGTATTGTCTTAAGCAAAGGTGAGTCTGCAACCCTACCATGGCTCTATTTATCCCTTGTCTTCCCTGTAGCACCTGCTGCTCCCGCCGTACAGCTGGAAGGCTGGAGAAATGGAAGAGTGGGTAAAGTGTGGGAGTCTCAGGGTTAAGGCTGAGGGAGGTGGAATACTGTCTGGATTCCTCAAAAGACTGCTGGTGGCTTGGCAGGTCCTGGGAAGGGCAGTCCTGCCTCCAGCCGCTTCCCCTGGGCTTCTCCATAGCTCTGTGAGATCTTGAGAGGAGGGACACCATTGTCCTATGGTGAGCAGAGTACTGTCAGGTGTGGCCAGCATAGGCCATGAAAGCAAGGCCAGTTCTGACACTTCTGACCTGTTTCAATGGCCTCGTGCCAAGGAGGTATGATCTACGTCATGCCAAACAGACCAGCAGCCAGAGGTCCCAAGGCCTGTGGCAGCAGGAGGCAGCACTGAACTCAGCTGCATCTGTGCAGAGGGGAAGGGAGGGAGGGAGGAGGCTTCATTCTTATCTGGGAGGTTCTCCCAGAGGACAGAACCTCTCTTGCCTGAACTAGAGGAGACTGATCAAAAGAACTCTGAGGGCCACCAATCAGCTGTTCACCCAGGCCTACTCATGAAAGCTATGGGTGGTGTTCACATTTGAATTAGTTGTCCTCAAATTTATGTGATGAATCAAACCCTTATCGCTGGGTTTCTTTTCTCTTTGCCAGGAGAGGGAAGTACGGGGTTCAGTTAAGTCCAAGAGGATCAATGTCTTGTTGGGACCAGGGAGTTCTGAACATGCACCCACAGACCCTGGAGGTTGCCTGCCCTGTAAGATGCAATCCCTGGGCTTCCCCAGCTGAGAGGAGAACTGGAGTACATGGCAGAGATGCTGCTCACCAGATACCCATGACCCTTTACATTTCCCAGCATCCGTGCATCTGGGTAAGGTCAATGAGTTATAAGAGAAAGCGATGGAAATCTCCTCCAGGTCAGATCCTGGAAACATCCTGCAGAGTCTCCCAGCCTTCTCTTTCCCTGTCATGGTTATCTTAGAGGCCGTGTATTTCTCATGATGTAGCTACAATATGGAGGAGGGCCATCTGACCTACATAGGAGTTTGTTTGAGCAAGAAATGAACCTTTATTGTGTTAAGCTATTAACACAAGATGAGGGACATTTGTTACTATTGCATAGACTATCCTATCTGGGCTAATATGAGTACCCTTAGGACTCTCATTGGGGCCCCTACCTTGAGGTGACTGTCAGAGATCTGGACTTTGTCACACATCTCCTGGAAGAGCTTCACACCTCCCTGGTCCAGGAGCACACAAACGAACACCCCACGCTTGTTGGCTGCCTCTAGAATGTCACAGAAGATCTCCACATCCGTGAACACATCCATCAGGATGACCAGGACCTGGGCCAGGGCAGAGTGCTCAGTTACCAGAAAGGTCAGGGGCAGGTGCTAACTGGTTTCACCCAAACTGCCTGAGTCCCAGTGGGCCTGGGAGAGCTGTTCCCATTGGGCCAGAGGGGAGAGGATGGGGTAGAGTGGGTCTGACTGGGCAGGATTAATGGAAGGAAAAGGAAGAGCTGGAGTGGAGGCCCCTGCGCCTGTCCTGATACCATCTCTCCAGTCCCACCACCTATCTGTTGGCCCCTATGCCCATTGTGGGAGTGGGGAGTGCAGAGGAGGAAGGGAAAAGTCTAGAAAGAGAAGGAGAGCAGAGAAGAACAAGAAGAAGCATCTCAACCGGTTCCAGAAGAGGAATAAAGTTAAGGTTATGGATTCTCAGCCACTTGGAGCTAGAGGGCACACTATGGCCACTGATTTTCAAATGCTGTTAAGCCGTGGAATCCTATCCTCAAACAAAATCCCATGTGGAGGCACCGTATATAAGCGCCTAGAGCAAGCTGCTCCCCGTGGGATGGAGAAGGGAGTCACGCTCTACCCACAGCTACTGCATCATGTGTCACAGTAGAAACTGGGGAGGGGAGTTCTAGACCTTCAGTGAGCAGGAGAGACATCTGTGTTCCTCCTGCCAAGCATTCATTCTCCCTTCTTCTGTCAACAGCATCCCAATCTGACTTTAAGTAATTGCCTCCCCTCCACAATCAATGTGGTTTGGAAGGGTCTATTGCCATTCTTTGACTGGATATGGGGAGACCACATGACCAAGGCTAGACCAATGGGAGCATGGCATCCCCTGTTGGCCACAGACATTGGTCCAGAGGTGGTCACATGATCTAAGTTATTCTAATAAGAGTCAGCCCAGGACTTTAGCTGGGACTCCTGGGAAAAGGAGGTGTTCTTTCTACGAGGTTGCTTAGCTGGTATTTTATAAGCAATGGCTGCTGGCAACCATTTTTGCTACCTCTTGGGGAGAGCCTGCCTGACAATGAAGCCATCCCTGGAGAAAGCAGCCAGGAGGTAGAGACAGAGTCCCAGCATTGTCATTTGGACACCTGGTTCCAGCCATGCCTGAGACCAGTGCCACCCTTGACTTTTCCACTGTGGATGTTAATGAATGTTTCTCTTCTTCTTAAGCTTGTTTGGGTTTACTCTCTGTCACCCAGTCATGAGTCCTTTCTAATACCTTAATTGTGATATACTGACAAGCAGCTTATTAGGCAGTCATTAAAAATGTTAATTACTGCCGGGCGCGGTGGCTCACGCCTGTAATACCAACACTTTGGGAGGCCGAGGCGGGCGGATCATTTGAGATCTGGAGCTCGAGACCAGCCTGATCAACATGGTGAAAGCTCGTCTCTACTAAAAAAAAAAAAAAAAATTAGCTGGACTGGTAGTGCACGCCTATAGTCCCAGCTACTGGGGAGGCTGAGGCAAGAGAATCGCTTGAACCCAGGAGGCAGAGGTTGCAGTGAGCCGAGATCGCACCACTGCACTCCAGCCTGGGTGACAGAAAGAGACTCTGTCTCAAAATAAAAAAATAAGAAAATACATAAAAATTTAAAATGTTAATTTTCTTTCTTTCTTTCTTCTTTCTTTCTTTCTTTTCTTTCTTTTCTTCCTCTCTCTCTTTCATTTTTTTTCTGTAGACATGGGGTTTCACTATGTTGCCCAGGCTGGTCTCGAACTGTTGGGCTTAAGCAATCCTTAAGCCTCAGCCTCCCAAATTGCTGGGATTACAGGAGTGAGCCACCCCACCTGCTCCATTATAATCTTATGGGAGCACTGTCATAGATGTGGTCTGTTAGTAACCAAAATGTCATTATTCCGTACATGATTGTAGGTAAGCCCAAAGCAAAAACTAACAGTCATGTTAGGATGGGGGATGTGAACCCAGAAAATAAAACAGGGCTCAGTTAATTTAGAAAGTTTATTTTGCCAAGGTTGAGGACATGCCCGAGGAAGTCCTGACGACATGTGCCCAAGGTGGTCGGGGCACAGCTTGATTTTATACATTTTAGGGAGACATGAGACATCAATTAATAGATGTAAGAAGTACTTTGGTTCAATCTGGAAAGGTGGGACAACTGGAAGCAAAGGCAGGAAGACTCAAAGCCAGGAGGGAGCATCCAGGCCACAGATAAGTAAGACAAAAACTGTTGCATTCTTTTGAGTTTCTGATTAGTCTTTCCAAAGGAGGCATCAGATATGCATCTATCTCAGTGAGCAGAGCGGTGACTTTGAATAGAATGGGAGGCAGGTTTGCCCTAAGCAGTTTCCAGCTTGAGTTTTCCTTAGTGATTTTGGGGGCCAAAGATACTTTCCTTTCACAGGGAATACGGCCATTCCCTTTCTTCAAGATTACCTGTAATAATAAGTTTCCACTATCTTTCTAATCATTGCAATATATTTTTTAAAACCACCGCCATCTGGGAAGTAGCCAAGGAAAGAGAGGTGTCTTACTGGCAGGCCAAACTGATGGCTGGTATCCACTTGGAATCAACTTTCTGTGATGTGGATGGATAGCTGGACAGGGGAGGGAACTCCTCAGAGATTGCTCACCCTGGGCAGGAAATCGGAAAAGATGTTCTAATAATGAGGCTGTGATCATTAGAACCATGGCCCTGTAATCACACAATTAATTGTCTTGCACACATTTAGCCTTATAGCACTGAAAGCAGCTTAGGCTTTCCCTGTTTGCTGAAAGATAAATGCCTCCTCTTCCAAGGTATTGACAAAAGAAACAATTCCCTCCCTCCCTGATAGGTCAGTAAGTACTTCCAGTTCTATGCCAATGAATCATCATTTTCCTGAGACAGGGCTGGTGAGCTGGTGATTGAACAGAGACAGGGGCAGGTTTGGAAATAACCCAGCATCTTGAATTAAAGGATGCTTGGAAATACAGGCTCACCCTGTCTAGGTTTATCTTGTTTGCTTCCTGTTGGGATTGTCTTCCAGCTGGATTAATTTGAAGCCAGTAACTGGTTTGGACCACTGTTCTTCCTAAGAAGGTATAGTGGGTTGAAGGCCAGGCACGGTGGCTTATGCCTATAATCCCAGCGCTTTGGGAGGCCGAGGCTGGTGTATTGCTTGAGGCCAAGAGTTTGAAACCAACCTGGGCAACTTGGCGAAACCCCATCTCTACTAAAAATACAAAATCAACTCAGTGTGGTGGCGCACGCCTGTAATCCCGGCTACTTGGGAGGCTGGGGCAGGAGAATCGCTTGAACCTGGGAGGCAGAGGTTGCAGTGAGCCGACATCTCACCACCGCACTCCAGCCTGGGTGACAGAGCAAGACCCTGTTTCAAAAAAAAAAAAAGTAAGAAAGAAAAAGAAACGAAAAAAGAAAAAGAAGGTGCATTGAATGGTGTCTCCTCAAAAGATACGTCCAACCCTAAACACCAGAATTGTGCATATGACCTCATTTGGAAAAAGCTTCTTTGCAGATGTAATTCAGTAAAGGATCTCAAGATGATCATCCTGGGTTATCTGGTGGGCTCTAAATCCGATGATACATGTCCTTATGAGAGATATCAGAAAGAAGCACCGAGAGAAGAGGAGAAAGCCGTCGTGTGAAGCCTAAAGCAGAGATTGGAGCGATGCGGCCATGAACCAGGAATGCCTGGAGCTACCAGAAGCGTGCAGTGGCTCATGCCTGTAATCCCAGCACTTTGGGAGGCCGAGGTGGGCAGATCACTTGAGGTCAGGAGTTCGAGACCAGCCTGGCCAACATGGTGAAACCCCATCTCTACTAAAAAAAAAAATAATAATAATACAAAAGTTAGCTGGGGTGGTGGCATGCGCCTGTAATCCCAGCTACTTGGGAGGCTGAGGCACAAGAATTGCTTGAACCTGGGAGGCGGAGGTTGTAGTGAGCTGAGATCGCGCCATTGCACTCCAGCCTGGGCAACAGAGCGAGACTCAGTCTCAGAAAAATAAAAAATAAAAAAATAAAAAATAAAAATAAAAGAGCAATAATTCCAGCCCCTAGTTTCCCTGCCAGGAACATCATCCTGCCTCGTCCCCACTTCACTTTCTCCACTGGCCCTGACTTGCCTGAAAAACTCCCTGTCCATTTTGTGTCAGGACCCCCTTCCACTCTAAAAATTATTGTTGATCTCAAAGAGCTTTTGTTCGTGTGGGTTACAGCTATTGGTGTTTGCCATATTAGAAACTAAAACTGAATAGTTTTTGAAATAGTTCTTTACTATTAATAGTTATTTTAAAATATCAGTAATAAGCCCATCGTATGTTAACATAAAATAACAATTTTAATGAAAAAGAAATGCATTTTCCAAAACAATAACAAAAATGTGGTGAGCAGGGCGGCACTGTTTTGCGTTTTTGCAAATCTCTGATGTCCGCACCTTCACCTGGTCAGAGCCGCTTCTGCGTGAATCTGCTGCGAAGGGTTGTCTGGGAGGAAGTGGATGGGAATAATCCAGCCCCACATGGGATAAGTGGTTCGAAAGGGCAGGGTCTTACGGCCGCTGAAAGGGCCCCAGGGACCTCAGGGATCCCCCACACCATGCTTTGGGAACCGCTGCTCTCAGTCTTTGGCTCTGGCCCCGACAGCCTCTATTCCTGTCTTCACCCTTTATCACATCCCCAAGCTCTGGTCCCATCACCTCCAAGACACATGGGCCCTCTCAAACCTCCTGACTTTCGCATGTGACCCTCCTTAGGCCTGGAATTCCTTTCCCTTCCTTCTCTGCCCAGCAAACGCTTACTCAGCCT
Source organism: Homo sapiens (assembly GCF_000001405.40). Lineage (NCBI taxonomy): Eukaryota > Metazoa > Chordata > Mammalia > Primates > Hominidae > Homo > Homo sapiens. The sequence goes on along the minus strand of NC_000008.11, from coordinate 123,187,070 downwards.
TTGAGACTCTACTCCGAGACCACCTCTTCCGTGAAGCCTGCCCTAATCCCTTCCTCCACTTCCAGGCACCGAGGGTTGCCCAAGCCTGGGACTGCCATCGTCTAATTCTTTCTCCTCTCTCCTAAGGAGCAGGTGGTTGGCAGGGAGCTCCCCAGAGGGAAGGATCCCTCTTGGTCCACTCTGCCGTCCTGGGTGTGGGGGCACATTAGGCTTTGTGGAATAAGGGAAGTGTTTTTTTGAGACAGAGTAATCTTGCTCTGTTGCCCAGGCTGGAGTGCAGTGGCACCATCTTGGCTCACTGCAGCCTCCGCCTCCCAGGTTCAAGCGATTCTCCTGATTCAGTCTCCTGAGTAGCTGGGATTACAGACATCTGCCACCACACCGAGCTAATTTTTGTATTTTTAGTAGGGACGGGGTTTCACCATCTTGGCCAGGCTGGTCTTGAACTCCTGACCTCAGGAGATCCACCTGCCTCAGCCTCCCAAAGTGCTGAGATTACAGGTGAGAGCCACCGTGCCCAGCCTGGAATAAAGGAATTTGGGCATGAAGGGAAGGAAAGAGAATTCCTGCTTCTTCCAGAGCTGAAACTGCTCCAGGAAACATCTCTCATGCTGGGACTCTCAGTTGGTTCCCTTCCGGCTCCGCTCGGGGGCTGAGGCTTAGGAGAGGGAGAATTCAAATATATTTCCCCACTCTCTCCTATTCTTCTCATCACCTACTTCCAAGGACAGCCTAGGCTGAGGCTCCAGCTCCCCAGCTGTGTCTATGGGAACTGGCTGTCCCTGAGTCCCTGCACGTGGGGGGGTGTGTAGGTGCATTTGTGTGCATTCGTGTGTGTGTTTGTGTGTGCATATGTGCATGTGTGTGTGACAGGGACATCACAAACCCTTCCTTCCACTCTTAAAAATTATTGGTGATCTCAAAGAGCTTTTCTTCATGTGGATTATAGCTATTTATGTTTGCCATATTAGAAACTATAACTGGCCAGGCACGGTGGCTCATGCCTGTAATCCCAGCACTTTGGGAGGCCGAGGTGGGTGGATCATGAGGTCAGGAGTTCAAGACCAGCCTGGCCAACATGGTGAAACCCCATCTCTACTAAAAATACAAAAATTAGCCTGGTGCGGTGGCAGGTACCTTTAATCCCAGCTACTCGGGAGGCTGAGGCAGGAGAATCGCTTGAATCTGGGGGGCAGAGGTTGCAGTGAGCCAAGATCGAGCCAACGCACTCCAGCCTGGGCGACAGAGTGAGACTCCGTCTCAAAATGAAATTAAAACTGTGAATTGTTTGAAATAGTTCTTTATTATTAATAGAGTGCCTGTTAACCAATAATTATAACCAATTAATTATTATTGGGTGCCTGGCAGACACCCAAACGGGTGAACCCCTGAGGGTCCCAGGACAACAGGGAATGGTGGGGACTGTGGCAAAGGGGACCCACCCAACGAAGCAGCCAAACTCCATGCCAGCAGAGCCCACCTGCTAAGAGGAGCTGGAAGTTCTAACTTTCAGGTGAAATCTTCAGATTTTTAAGTGTTGTCCTAAGTTCGTAACACGCTGTGTTGGTCCAAAGGACATCAGCGGTGTCAGGGTCCTAGAGGTGGATGCAGAAGCCTCACTGGGTGTGGAGTGGGGAGGAGAGGGACTCAGCCAGGGGACTGTGTTTTACAAGCCCTAACCAGGCTTCCTTCCAGGGATCCTTCCTCACCCTTCGAGCAGCTGCGATTGACAATTTCCCCCAACAGCATTGGTCCCCACCCCTCGGGAGAGCACTGAACTTCATGCGGAAAGACCAGAACTGGCACACTCAGGAACAGGCCTTTGGAGCCTGGAGGGACTTTAGTCCGGCATAGGAGCTGAGCCCTAAGGAGTCCAGGGACTTGCCTGAGGGGATACAGCCAGCGCCGGGCCACAAAGGCAGCGTGGGCACTCCTGGCCGCTTGCCTGGATGCATCCTCAAATGCCGCCCTGCCACAGAAACATGAAATACTGCTCCAAGCAGCCCAGCCACACTAAAAGCCAATGCCCCACCTGTTGTTACCTTCGACTAAATTTTCCAGAACTCTGCTCCCTCCCTCCTCCTCCACACATGGCCTCTTCACCCTTGGATGGTTTATCTGGAAGCTTAAGATTTCACACGGTATTGAACTTGGGAGGGAATTCAGTTATGAGACTGGGACCCTAGCAAAAAACCAACCCAAACATCAGCATGTTCTTTTATGACTTCTTCTAAGTGTAACAAAATAAATAATTTGAATGAGAGAGAGGGAGAGAGGGAGACAGAGAGGATTTTACAGATGATGAATGTTTTTCCTTGGGGTCCATTCTCCCCTGCCCCTCTGCAGCAGCAGGAGTGAGGTGTGGGCACCCACAGCCTGGTGCTGGAGTCATTTTGTGCACCTGGGGTTGAACAAGACCCCTGAGCTCAAGTCCCTTCACTTGTCTCCGGCTGACAGCAGGATATCACTTGAGGGTGGAGATCTCGGGGCATTGGGAGAACTCCTGATCCAGCTCTCACGGTGCCTGAAATCCTACCAGCCCAGCTCTGGGCTTGAAGGGTTTTTCTCTTCTATCTAAAGATACTTATCAAAGTGTGAATATTCTGGGGAGAGAGAAACCCCCTCTGCTGCCTACTCCATCTTCTGCCTGGCCACTGGCTGGATTCAAGAGCCACAAGGTCATCTGTGGGCAGACAGGTCTTAGCAGAGTCTGAGAGGAGAAGGGGCAAAGGTGAGCCCAGCGGAGTGGCCCCGTTACATTTGGAAGCGCAGAGGTGGGCACCTAACACAGCCTGGGGAATTCAGGAAAGGTTTTCTGGGGAAGAGGCTTTCATGCTGGGTCCTGAAGCAGGAGTAGGTGTGTATCAAATGAAAAGCAGGGCAGGCAAGCATGGCCAGGCAGAGGGAACAGCACACGCAAAGGCCCAAAGACAAGCTCTACAGGGCACTTGGTATGGAGCAGGAGGAGGTGGAAGCCATGCTAAGGAGTTTGTTCTTCCCATTATGGGCAACTGGGAGCTACCGAAGGCTCTAAGCAGGGAAAAGACCAAATTAGATTTGTCGTACAGAAAAGGTTGCAGGGCACTGGGGCTCACACCTGTAATCCCAGCATTTTGGGAGGCTGAGGTGGGCAGATCACCTAAGGTCAGGAGTTCAAAACCAGCCTGGCCAACATGGTGAAACCTCTTCTCTACTAAAAATACAAAAATCAACTGGGCGTGGTGGCATGCGCCTGTAATCCCAGCTACTCAAGAGGCTGAAGCAGGAGAATCGCTTGAACCCGGGAGTTGGAGGTTGCAGTGACCCGAGATAGTGCCACTACACTCCAGCTTGGGCAACAGAGCAAGAAGAGCAAGACTCTGTCTCAAAAAAAAAGAAAAAAAAAAAGAAAGAAAAAAAGAAAAGAAAAAAAAGAAAAAAAAAGAAAGAGAGGAAAAGCCACTTTACTGCAGTATGGAGACTGTGACGCTGGGGATCAAAATGGAAGAGGGGGCCAGGCAGGAAGCGATTGCGGGAGTTCCAGTGATAAGTGTTGGTGGCCTGGACCCTGGCTGTGACAGGTGGGATCAGGAGGTCAGTGGTCCAGGGCAAGGCGGACAGCAAAGCCCCTCCATCCGAAGCCCCAATTATCTGGACTCTCGCCCTGGGAGCAAAATGCACCCCCCTCCCTGCTCTATCAGCCCCCGATCCTCCCTGCTACTTGGCCACGGAGACAGGGGCTTTGCCATCGGTACCTGGCTAGTCCGGGTGATGCAGCGGCGGACGAGGTCTCTGATGTTGTTGTGCTTGACGGTCTGGAAGTACACAGTGGCGCTGGATTTTTCCTTCAGGTAGGGCTTCTCAGCTGAGGCCCAGCTGTGCAGTAGGGCCGGCTCGCTGCCCTCTGAGGCCACAGGGAAGTAGGTGCCGGACTGTAGGGAGCTGGAGTCCAGTCCCTTAGGGCCTGCTTCCGCCCCTCCCAGGGTGTCTGGGGGACACGGGGGCTCCCTGGCCTGGGCCTGGATGTACTGGGCCTCCACCGAGGACAAGAAGTCCACCTCGCCTTCCTGGCTGAGCACCCGCCAGTAGGCTTCAGAACCCCCATCCAAGAGGGCGTCCGTGGCCAGCCGGGCACTCTCGTTGTCACTAAAGTCAGCCCTGGCTGGCCGGACCCACTGGCTCTTGACATCTTCCAGACGCTTCCGGATTTTGCCCAGGTGCCTTGACCGGCTCATGCCTCCCGTCCCTGGGTGGTGCTGGGGGAGGCTGGCACGTCAGCTCCTCCAGATGTGGGAAGCAAATGGAACACACCACGGAGGAGTGGGGCTCCCGCACCCCCGGGAGGCCGCCTGCTCCCAGGACCGGCGTGCAGGGCACCTCCAAGAAGTGATTTACCGCTGTCCTGAGCAATGCTTCTCAGAACTCCTCATCTGCAGCTGCGGGATTGGCTTATCTCTCAGGGCCACCTGCCCTGCCCTCGGGCCGGGAGGGCTGGCTCAGACACCTCCTTGGCACAGTCAGCCATGGGATATTTCCTCTCCTCCCAGCCGCAGGGGGAGGCGAAGGTGAGCCGGCTTTCCTGCTGGGTTTCGCAACTCTCCCTCAGGCCTTTGTTACCAAGCAGGGAGCCTCCCTGGCACCACCAGCCCAGCTGGAGGATGGGCCTGAAGGAGGCCTGCCTGCCTCTGCTCCCCTCCTGGGTGCCTCGATTCCCATGCTGTTTCAAAGATAAGAATTTCCCTGTGGGGGGGAAAGATGCCATCCCTGAGATGCGCCCCCCTCTCTGTGTGAGGAGGGAGCTGGACACGGGCCAGGGAGAGCTGTTGACCAGGCGCGCCTCCTCTCCTTGGTCACACCCAAGTGCCCACCCCTCCCTGCCCTATGAAGGAGCTCCTTTCTCCCATGCCCTCTCAAGTGTTTGTCATTGTCGTGTTTGCAGAGACCGCAGAGGTTCCAGTTCTCAGGCCAACGCTTCCTCGCTGGAAGTGGCTTCTTGGAACACTGTCTGGAGAACGAGCCGAGGCTGCCGGCGGCCCACGAGCCCAGGGGACCAGTCAGTGTTGGCGCTGGAGTGAGAGGAGCAGCACGTGGGTTTGAAATCTATGAACTCTGAGGGGAGTGACCACGTGTTCTTTCCAGATCAGATCGTGATCTGGCAATGGGATGGACTGCCTAGAACCCTGACTCTCTTTGGGTGGGCTCTGCTGGAAACAGGCTCTGAGACTAGGATTTCAGTACAAGTGGTTGGTCGGAAGATCATTCTGAGAAGTACAGAGAGAAGTGGGGAAGAGAAACGGGAAGGGAAGGAAGCCAGGCCAGGTGAAGTTGAGGAGCAGGCCACTGCTGTGGACATCTGGGTTCATGGACATCTCTGGGGACATCAGGGGGTTCCAGCCTGTGGGAACCTCTGGGTGATGGTGCCAAATATATCTCAAGGTTTTCCTGCCCAAAGGGTGAGAAAGCTGCGGAGTTTATCTAAGGAGTCCTAGTTATCATTGGCTGAGGGCTGCTCCCGGGGCCAGTTCACCAAGCACAGCCCTGAACCCAGAGAAAGCCTTCAGGCAGTGTCAGGTGCTACAGGCAGAGTGCTGTGGGAGTGGTGAGGAGCGAATAAATGAAAGTAAAGAAATGAAAGCAAGGCCCTGACGCTATCTGCTCAGGGACGACACCAAGAAATCAGGATTGTGTGGTCTTCAAAGAGCCAGGATATGGTAAGAACCTGATGTCTGTCAGTGGCAGAGCCATTCTTTGGAGAAAAACAGCTATGAACACCTGTAACCCTACTGTAGCTGTGGCCCTTGTGCCTGAACCCAGCAGTACCACAGTATTTTTTAAAGTGTGGCGCGGCTGGGTGCAGTGACTCACACCTGTAATCCCAGCACTTTGGGAGGCCAAGGCAGGTGGATCACTTGAGGTCAGGAGTTCAAGACCAGCCTGGCCAACATGATGAAACACTGTCGCTACTAAAAATACAAAAATTAGCCGGGCCTGGTGGTATGCGCCTGTAGTCCCAGCTACTGGGGCAGGAGATCAGGCAGGAGAATTGCTTCAACCCAGGAGGCAGAGGCTGCAATGAGCCAAGATCGCACCATTGCACTGTAGCCTGGGCAACAGAGCGAAACTCTGTCTCAAAAAATAAAATAATAAAATAAAATAATATAAAATAAAAGGAATCTCTCTCTTTCTCTTTTTTTTTTTGGAACATCGAAGGAATCCAATTCACAATCTTGAGCAATCCTCTCTTTATTCCATTTTATCTCCTCCCTACAATCCCTGGAGGTCAAAGAGGACAAATCCAATAAACCCTCTCTCCCATTGCCTTTTTGGATCTATGCCTTTTCCCTTCTGCCTTTTGCCAACTCTTGCTTCTGGAGATTGATGTAAGCCCCTTTCCCGCATCCTCCTCTCATCTTCCTTCCTCTCTGGTCTGGTCTGTGTCCTCCTCAGGCCATTCTCTGTTCCTGCATCACCCAAGTCCTGTCCCTAGTCTAGCGAGATAGACCGGGGGCAGGGCAGTGGTCCATGGATTTGCTCGGCTTCACTCCATGGCTCCGAAGCTGTCCATAGAGACTATACTCTCAGTGACCAGTTCCTGAGTTCATTACTAGAGAAGTTTCTCTGAACGTGTAGAGCACGGGGAGCCAGGAGGGGAAGGTGAGCGTTTTCTCCTGAGCATGAGGTGGCTTTAGATATTGCTTCATGGCAATTTGGCAACTGCCATGTGCCATTGAAGATGGTTGTTATCTTCCTCTGGAAGAGGAAGAGGACACAGTCTGAGTGGTTCCCATTTATGTTATTTTTTTTTTAAGTTGTCAATGGCTCCCCATTGCCTGTTAAACTAAGTACCAAGTCTTGAGCCTACCTGAGAAACTGCACAAAATGGTCCCACATGTTCATTCCAGCATGGCTTCTCCCATACTTGGCCATCGCTGAGTGCTCACTGCATGCTGGCTGTCTGTACTGAGGGAGAAATGGATTATTAGTCCTCATTTCACCAAAGAGGAAACCGAGGCTCAGAAAGGTCAAGTTACTTGCCCAAGATCACTTAGCTGGTAAATGGCAGAGCCCATGTACTTTCCACCATTCCAAGCTTCACTTTTTTCTTTCCCATTCCCCTTCCCTTTCTACTCACAGCGCATTACAGATCCTCTGATTGGTTCCTGAATATGCATAGGGGAGAATTTTAAAAGTAGGTGGGTATTCTGGGGTTCTCCTTTCACCTGGAACTAATTCTCTTTCTTGGTTGAATAAATGCTTGAGTGTCTCCCTGAGACAGAGGTGAGTATCCTGTAGGGACCATTTTCTCCTTGTCTTCTCACAGAGCAGCTCTTTAAAACAAAACAAAAAAAAGGAATCCGAAAGAAACTTTTCCCTCTAGAGCCCTGCTTCTGTTCCCAGCTCTTGGTCTTCACACAGACCCAGAGATTCTAGTTGAATCCTGTAGAACAGTGAGCAAACACACCGTACATGTTAGTGCCACTCATCCTCCTTCCCTGGCAGACATTACTAGTTGATCATAGGATTCTGCCAGTGAGCTGGGAACTGTTCTGTTGCCACTCTTTATAGGGATTATCTTAGTCCATTTATGCTGCTCTAACAGGATGCCACAGACTGGGTGATTTATAATGAACAGAAATTTATTTGGCTCATGGTTCTGGGGGCTGAGAAGTCCAAAAGCATGGTGCCAGTATCTGGTAAGACCTTCTGCACTGTGCATCCCATACTGTATGGCAGAAGAAAGAGAGAGAAGGAAGGGGCCGAACTCATTTTAACAAACCCGCTCCCATGATAATGACATTAATCTCATGAATACATGAGGGCAGAATACTCATGGCCTAATTACTTCTCATTAGGCCCCACCTCCCAACACTTTTGCACTGGGGATCAAGCTTCCAACACATGAACTTTAGGAGACACATTCAAACCATAGCAGTGATCAAAGAGAAGTCCTCACCTGAAGGAATGTTGAAGGTACTGCAAGCTCTTCAGTTACTGATGAGAAAACTGTAGCCCAGAAAGAGGAAGTGACTGTTCTCCAAGTCATCAAACTGGTTGGTGATTCTCATCAGTTTAGTCTCTCATCTTTCCTCGGCAGCCCAGCCCTGTGAAGTGTCCTCGTTCTTGCCGGCTGTAATAACAAACTTCCCCACCTAGGATTACACTTCTGAACCAGGAAGTCTGGCCAGCTGTTGAACTGCACGTTCATACCTTGAAAAATCCTTATCAAGGAGCCCTCAGTGACAGGCACTGTGGATTATGGAGGACTCCACTTCCCTTCTTCCTTCCTGTGGCCATCTGAAGTGTGGTTGTCTCCTTTTCATGAGGTCATCCAACAATAAGAGAAAGGATGAGAAGCCGGGCTCCTGTTAATAAATGAGTGGCATTGGGGCTTCCTGAAAATTCCATTTATCTAGGACAGTGGCACTCAGCTGGAGATGATTTTGGACCCCCATCCAGGGGACATCAGGCAACATCTGTAGCCATTTTTGGTTGTCATTCTGGGGGCCTGGGTTGCTAACTGGCATTAGTGAGAATAAGCCAGGGGTGTTGCTACAACCAACAACGCACTGGAAAGTCCCCCACAATACAGAGCTGCCTGGCCCAAAACACCTGCAGCGCTGAGGCTGAGGAACACACTCACAGGTGACGGGCCCTCACCCGGTGACTGATGTGGGGATCCCAGTCCCCTGCCATTGTTCAGTCTGTTCTCCAGTCTTTCCTTCCACCATCATAACTTATTCAAATCTTTCCCAGCGTTCAAGGTCTATATCCTGAATCCGACCTATGCTGGGAAGCCCTCGTGGTGAATTACCAAGTGACTGTAACTACTCCTCTTCTGGTCCGCAAGGCGCTTGTAGAATATGTCTCAGGGAGTCTTGTCCTGGTTACTGGTGTATTACCCCATCTCCCACTGCTTCTAATTCCTTGAGCAGTGCAACAGCAAAAGGCTTACATGAACTTTGAGTTGGGCACAACTGTGTCCAGACTGTGCCTATGATAGGGGACCTCAGGAAGGTAACATAGAGGACCTTACTGAACTTCACTTTCCTCATCCCTATAGTAACATTTGTGGGGCACGTCCCATGTGTGTGCGGTGGTGTCCTATGTGCTTTTCATGTGTTAACTCACTTCAGCCTCACGACAACCCTGTGAGTAAGTGCTACCAGCATTCCGTTTCATGGATGAAGGAAATAAGGCACAGCGGTAACCTCAAAGGACGTGAGATCTTAGGGCGCTGCACTGGGTGGTCAGTGAACCAACCTTGTCCAGTTTCTGCTTGGCTCTTTAGCTGGAGAGAGTGCCAATGTTTCTGAGCTTTCTACATCATTGATATTGTACTCTCTGTGCAATTTTATATATTTTGCCTTCTTTTTTGCTTAGCATTACTCAGAAGTGTATTTTCCATGTCATTAAAAGTGTGCACGCTTCCCTGCTCCACACCTCCCCTCTCTTTTCTTCTGGAACAATTCAGTCCTAAAGCCACTGGGTGGGTCAGAGCAAGATGGGTGTCAGTGGTGGGAATGGGCTTGGTGGCTCAGAGCATGTGTCGGAGCCCAGGCCAGGTGAGGAGGTGCAGGGGGCTGAGGGGTTGAGGGAATGCCTGCACAGGGTGTGAGGGTGTGTCCTCACAGGGGCCAGTCAGAGCCCAAACAGGGCAAAGAGGGTGTCCATGTGGGCAGGGGAGCTGCCTGTAAGGGGTGTCAGAGCTCTAGCTGGAGGAGGTGGGGAAAGGTGGGAGATTGGTTACATACAGGAGCATTGAGCAAATAAAGAGATTAAAGGTAAGGGAAACCAGGTTTCTTATTGTCAGAGCAGGGAGCATGTAGAGAAAAGGGGGAAACTGAAATGGACTTATTAGATATGAATTGGAGACACAGATTTGAACTCACAGCTTTCAATACAGATAGATAAACTTAGATAAAAAATAAATCTGAATATATAATATATATTATAAATGAATAGAATATAAATACAGAAAACAAATTCTAGAAATATATATACATATACGTGTTTATATATATACACACACACATATCTCTGTGTGTGTGTGTGTGTGTGTGTATATATATATATATTCTCCTGTTCTGTCTGCTAACAGCGATGCTCAGACTGCAATGTGTGTACCTAGTGCCCAGGGCTTCTTGGAGAAATGGCCAATTTCAAGTCCAGAGCAGACAAAGTACAAAGTGATCATGGAGCATCTGATGCCAGAAAGCAGGAAGGAGTTCAAAGAGTGATGAGGCCATGTCAAAAAGACCTAGAAGCCAGCTTGAAGGGGTTCCCACTGGCTTACCTGGGACAATCTGAGCATGAAAATCATGGCCATAAAGGATTATAATGCATGAAATAAAGTAGGAAACCACAAGACCAGATTAATACAAATGAATACAGATTTTGAAAGTTTGAGAAGGAATGGGATAAAGTTTCAAATAAACTCCCTACAGGGCGTGGTGGCTCACACCTGTAATCCCAGAATTTGAGGAGGCCAAGGTGGGTGGATTGCTTGCGCTCAGGAGTTCGAGACCAGCCTGAGCAACAGGGCAAGACCTCGACTCTACCAAAAAAAAATTAGTGTGGTGGTGCGTGCCTGTAGTCCCAGCTACTTGGGCAGCTGGGGCAGGAGGATCACTTGAGCCCAGGAGGTCCAGGTTGCAGTGAGCCATCTTCGTGCAAGGCACTCCAGCCTGGGCAACAGAATGAGACCCTGTCTCAAAAAAATAAAATAAAATAAAAATAAACTCCCCATAAAATACTTGATAATTACAAAGGGGAACAAGAAACTTTACAACACAGACACTTATCAGACACCACCCTAATCAAGTGATCAAAGTGACCCTCATCAAAAAGGGACAAACTGAAATCTTGAGCCACCTGAGAGGATGCAACAAGATGACAGAATCGCTTCTGTGATGTTCCTGGCAAAGATACATGATCAGAATAGAATTAGGAGGAAATATCAGACAAAGCCAAATGCGAGGACATCCTACAAAGTAACTGCCCTCTCATCTCAGAGCTATCAAAGCCATTATCTTAGGGAGGTCTGGGGAACTGCTCCATATTGAAGGAGACTAAAGAGCTCTGATAACTAAATGTAACGTGTGATTCTGCACTGGATTCTTTTGCTACGAAAGACATATTGGGACAGTTGGCAGAACTTGTAGGGGACCTGAGGATTAAAGGGCAGCAATTTATCACTGTTGATTTCCCAATATAGATGGTTGATTTGTAGTTTGTAAGAGAGAATCCTAGCTTGTAGGAAACACACAAAAAATAATAGGGATGATGGCACATTCTGTCGGCAGCTTTCTCTCAATGGTTCAAAAGAAAGGAAATGGCTGGGCGCAGTGGCTCATACGTGTAATCCCAACACTTTGGGAGGCTTGGGCCAGGAGTTCCAGACCAGCCTGGTAATATAGTGAAACCCTCATATCTACAATTTCTTTTTAAATTAACCAGGTGTGGTGGTGCATGCACCTGTAGTCCCAGCAACTTGGGAGGCTGAAGTGGGAGGACTGCTTGAGTCGTGGAGGGTGAGGCTGCAGAGAGCCATGATCACACCACCACCCTCCAGCCTGGGTGGTAGAGTGAGACCCTGCTCAAAAAAAAGAAACAAGACCCTGTCTCAAAAAGAAGAAGAAGAAGAAAAAGAAATAGGAGGAGGAGGAGGAGAAGGAGAAAGGAAATACTTTGTATTGGTTTTGCACTGCTTCAATAAGCTTTTGATTTAAAAAAATGTTTTTAGGCCGGGCGCAGTGGCTCACACCTGTAATCCCAGCACTTTGGGAGGCCGAGACGGGCAGATCACGAGGTCAGGAGATCGAGACCATCCTGGCTAATACGGTGAAACTCCGTCTCTACTAAAAATACAAAAAATTAGCCAGGTGTGGTGGCGGGCGCCTGTAGTCCAGCTACTCGGGAGGCTGAGGCAGGAGAATGGCGTGAACCCGGGAGGCAGAGCTCGCAGTGAGCCGAGATCGTGCCACTGCACTCCAGCCTGGGGAACAGAGCAAGACTCCGTCTCAAAAAAAAAAATGTTTTTTAGGTCATCCCATGAGAAGGAAACAATCAGAAAAATCCAGAACATGGGACAATCTACAAGACAACGGGCAGGGCGGGTAGAAAGGGCAGCAGCAGGGACGGATAGTCCTGTTGCATATACTCTGCATCCTGGCGCAGCCCGGTAATGTTTTTCTAGATGAGGAAACTGAGGCACAGGGAGGTTAAGTAAATTCCTTAAGGGCCCCATGACAGAGCCTGGATTGCGTTTGTCTGTAACTGCTGGTTTAAGCGGGAATCTCCTCCTTTAGGCTGTGAGCAATTTGGGGTGGGGGTGGGGTCAGGCATGACTTAGCTTCTTGGAACTCCAAGTGCCTATCCCAGTTTGGGGCTGGCACGTCGAAGGCACCGAATGAGCACTTAGGTGAATAGACAGCAAAAAGCTCCTGAATCACAGGCCAGCTCACGCGGATAGAATGCACACAAATAGGACTCCAGAGCTTGTCCACGGGGCAGGAGTCAGGCCAGGGACACAGCGACGTGGAGGAACAGGGTGCCTGTTTGACCTCCAGGAGCAGCTGCCACCCTCTCCTGCCACTTCCTCATCAAGGCCTGCAGCAGCATGAAAATCATACAGTCTCCTTACCCAATGACCCGAGAAGTGCAGTTAAGTTGAAAATTAGTTGGCATAATTAATTAGACGGGTAAATAGCTCCCTGTCAACATCAATCAATCCATTCTGCCTAAAATCAGCTCAGCGAAGGCAGGCCAAGGAGCCCCTGCAGCGCTGGCCTCTGCTGGCAGGCAAGGTCAGAGAGTGGCAGCTGGAACAGGCCAGGGTGTCCTGCCGGGCACCCTAGACCCCACTCCCCCATCCACAGGTCCTTTACAGTTGCTTTTTTTTTTTTTTTTTCTTTTTTGAGACAGAGTCTCACTCTGTTGCCCAGGCTGGAGTGCAGTGGCACAATCTAGGCTCACTGAAGCCTCCGCCTACCAGGTTCAAGTGATTCTCCTGCCTCAGCCTCCTGAGTAGCTGGGATTACAGACACATGCCACCATGCCCGGCTAATTTTTGTATTTTTAGTTGAGACGGGGTTTCACCATGTTGGCCGGGCTGGGCTCGAACTCCTGACCTCCAGTGATCTGCCCACATCGGCCTCCCAAAGTGCTGGGATTACAGGCATGAGCCACCACACCTGGCCTTACAGTTGCTTTTCATGGGAGCCGTGTCTCTGCAGGGTTGTCCTCAGCGATTCCATCTTCAGCATCTGGCAAAAGCACTGCTCCATTCCCAGAGAGCCACAGCTGCAAATGCCTTTGCCCTCTGGAGTTTCCCAGTTCAGAGTCCCCATTCCATTGCTCAGAATTTCCGACATGCATAAAAACCGTGGGACCTCTGATGGTTGGTTAGGACATTGCAGAAACTTAAATCAAAGTATAACTTATTAGCAATAAAATGTACCCTTGTTAGTGTACAGCTCTCTGAGTTTTGAGAAACACATACAGTCGTGTAACCACCACCATGGTCGAGATACAGAATATGGCGGGGCATGGTGGCTCATGCCTGTAATCCCAGCACTTTGGGAGGCTCAGGCAGGCAGATCACCTGAGGTTAGGAGTTCGAGACCAGCCTGACCAACATGGTGAAGCCCCGTCTTTACTAAAAATACAAAAAATTAGCTGGGTGTGGTGGCGCATGTCTGTAATCCCAGCTACTGAGGAGGCTGAGGCAGGAGAATCGCTTGAACCCGGGAGGTGGAGGTGGCAGTAAGCAGAGATTGTGCCGCTGCACTCCAGCCTGGGCGATAGAGCAAGACTCCGTCTCAGGAAAAAAAAAAAAGATTGTTAGCATTCATGTTTACATTGTGCAATGACATTTTAAATGCAAATATCAGAGTGTTTAACTTGTACATGGAATTACTGAAATTACACAACCCATATTTTGTTTGTACATGCATATGTATTTCATTCTTACCAGAAAGTAGAAATGCTTCACAAAATGAGCTCAACTATTTTTATTTCACTTCTTGATATGCACACATTCTACCAACACTCTCTACCTTTGGCTTACTGATGAATAAGAACGGCAGAGCAGAAAAGAAACTTTGGGTTGCCTTATCTTTTTAATTTTTTTTGAGACAGAGTCTTGCTCTGTCACCCAGGCTGGAGTGCAGTGGCATGACCTCGGCTCACTGCAACCTCCACCTCCTGGGTTCAAGCGATTCTCCTGCCTCAGCCTCCCGAGTAGCTGGGATTACAAGCACAAGCCACCACACCCAGCTAAATTTTGTATTTTCAGTAGAGATGGGATTTCACCATGTTGGCCAGGCTGGTCTTGAACTCCTGACCTCAGGTGATCTGTCTGCCTCGGCCTCCCAAAGTGCTGGGATTACAGGCGTGAGCCACCAGGCCTGGCAGCCTTATCTTTCTTGGTCTTTCTGTGTCATCATTTTGAGTGTAACCTGGTTGGTCAGTGTGAGGAAACAACACAAGTAAGAAAGCATATGGTAGAATTCCTTGGTCATTTATGTTTCTTGGAACGCCATTGCCTTTTTTCTGCATTTAGGCAAGTTGCGGTTTGAACAGAAAGTGTGGCTTCTCAGCTCTGTCACACCCACTGAGTCACAGAGGTAGAACACTTACCTTGTGCTCACTTTGAGTCTCGCTGACCTCCCATGCATCATGGGTCTCCTGGAATTAAGTGCTCACAGGACAATGTGAATGCTATATGGGGATGGGTCAGCAAGGGACTCTAGATGCCCGAGTTCACTTATCCTTCTGTTCACACCAGCATCAGACCTCACTTATGAAATCCAAGTTCAATGATCAAATCATCGAGAATTTTGAGACATTTGCAACAGAGTATTAAACCAAGTGTGGGGTCCTTCTGAATGTGGGGCCTGTGGGACTGCACACATGAAGCCAGCCTTGGGTGACAGCATAAGGAAATTAGTTTTCTCACATTGCATTATTTGTGAAACCAAATTAAAATATTTTTTGTAATATAAAAATATTAAATCCCCGAAGTCCCATCTAGTTGCATCATTTGGGGAGTTTTTTGTGTTTATCTATCTAACTTGTGCCTTGTCTCTCTGGTGAAATTGTCTCTTTTTCTAGAACGAAGATAATAACTTCTGCTCTTTCATATCCAGCATAGCACCTGGCCGAGACCAGAGGACCCAGTTCAGAAGCTCAGGAATTCAGAAGGGACTAACTGCTTTTTGGGGAAGTCCACTAAAGGAAGACCGTTTCTTCACCCACAGCAAACTTCTGACACCAAAAGTGTGGGTTTTTCCACACCCAGCAATTATCCAGTTCTCTGCAGAGACCAGCTGGATGTCCTGCAATTTACTTTTATTTTTGAGATAGAGTCTCACTCTGCCACCCAGGCTGGAGTGCAATGGTGTAATCTTGGCTCGCTGCAGCCTCTGCCTCCTGGCTTCAAGTGATTCTCCTGCCTCAGCCTCCAGAGTAGCTGGGACTACAGGTGCCCACCACCAAGCCTGGCTGAGTTTTTACATTTTTAGTAGAGACAGTGTTTCAATATGTTGGCCAGGCTGGTCTTGAACTCCTGACCTCAGGGGATCCACCCACCTCAGCCTCCTAAAGTGCTGGGATTACAGGCATGAGCCACGGCACCCAGACGTGTCCTGCCATTTAATTCAACTCTGACACTAAGTACCTGGACTTAGCACAGACCCCACAGGTTAAGGGCTCAGTCCAACAAGACCACTCCCACTTCGGATGCCAGCTGCAAGCAGTGGGGCCTCAGGTTTTCCCACATTTCTGTCTGGCTTGGCTACAAATCAGGAGTTCCCACAATCCTCTCTTCTCATTTGGTCGCTTGCTATAATGGCTCACAGAACTCAAGGAAACACTTTACTTATGCTTACTAGATTATCATAAGGGATATAAATGAACTGTCCGATGAAAAGGTACAAAGGGTGAGGTGCAGAAGGGTCCCACCCACAGGAGTTTCTGCCCCTGTGGAGCTGGGGTGCACCCTATTCCTCGAATATGGATGTGTTTACCAACTGGGTTTAGGGTTTTTGTGGAGCCTCTGTCCTCCCCAGAGGGTAGGGGTAGGAACTGAAAGTTCCAGCTATCTAATCATGTCTTGATCTTTCTCATGACCAGCTCCCATTCTGAAGCTATCTAGGGGCCCCCAGCCACCAGTCATCTTACTTTCATCAAAAAGGTACCCTTGTCACTCTGGAGATTCCTAGGGTCTTAGAAGCTCTTGTATCAGGAACGGAGGACTAAGACCAAATATTACAACAAAAGGTACTCCTATCACCCCTGTCACTCAGGAAATTCCAGGGTTTCAGGAGCTCTGTGCTGGGAAGTGGAAACAAAGACCAAATATGTCTTTCTTATTGTATCACAACGTCTCACACACACTGTACTGGAATAAGCTCCCAGAGCCACCCTAGCTTTGTCTGGGTGCTGGGTGGGGAGCAATAGCACTGAAGCCCCCTGCACCACACACACACATACAGCTGTGAGTGGGGGCGAGGAAAGGTTGAAGATGTCAGACGGCACAGGAAGGAATGTATAAGGAGCTCATCCCAACGCCATCTCGTTAACAACTTAGAGATGATTCTCATGAATAGTAAATAGTTCAGGCCATCAAACAGTCAGAACCTGCCCAAAGTGGCCCTCAGGCTGGCAGGGGTAATCAGAAGGCCTGTCCCTCCAAGCTGGGCTGGGAAACCCTTCTTCCATAGGACTCCATTGTGTCTCCTTTCCTTGAAAATAACACTACTGGCGTTTGCACTTTGTTTTGTAAATATTACATGTTCATTGTAAAAATTTGGGAAAAACAGACAAGCAAAAACAAATAAAATAAAAATTTTAAAAAGCAACAGAACATCTTTCATAGCTGCACCACTGGACATCAAAATAGTTAGGCTGGGTGTGGTGGCTCACGCCTGTAATCCCAGCATTTTGGGAGGCTGAGGTGGGCAGATCACCTGAGGTTGGGAATTTGAGACCAGCCTGACCAACATGGAGAAACCCTGTCTCTACTAAGAAATACAAAATTAGCCAGGCGTGGTGGTTCGTGCCTGTAATCCCAGCTACTTGGGAGGCTGAGGCAAGAGAATTGCTTGAACCTGGGTGGCAGAGGTTGTGGTGAGCCGAGATCGCGCCATTGCACTCCAGCCTCGGCAACAAGAGCAAAATTTCGTCTCGGAAAAAAAAAAAAACAAAAACAGGCCAGGTGCAGTGGCTCACGCCTGTAATCCCAGCAGTTTGGGAGGCCGAGGCGGGTGGATCACGAGGTCAGGAGATCGAGACCATCCTGGCTAACACGGTGAACCCCGTCTCTAATAGAAATACAAAAAATTAGCTGGGCCTGGTGGCGGGCGCCTGTAGTCCCAGCTACTCGGGAGGCTGAGGCAGGAGAATGGCGTGAACCTGGGAGGCAGAGCTTGCAGTGAGCCGAGATCGTGCCATTGCACTCCAGCCTGGGCGAAAGAGCGAGACTCCGTCTCAAACAACAACAACAACAACAAAAACCTGTTACCATTTTGCTGTGTGTTGCAGCAACAGTGTAGATTAGATACCTTGGGGTTCCCTGCAACCTCCCTCGAGGGTTCTCTTCCAAGGCATCTGAGAAGCTCAAAATGTCTTTTCCCTGGTGGGGTACCGTGGCTGATGCCTGTATTCCCAGCACTTTGGGAGGCTGAGACAGGTGGATCACCTGAGGTCAGGAGTTCAAGACTAGCCTGGCTAACATGGTGAAACCCCGTCTCTACTAAATATACAAAAATTAGCTGGGCGTGGTGATGCATGCCTGTAATCTCGTCTACTGGGGAGGCTGAGTCAGGAGAATTGCTTGGACCTGGGAGGCGGAGGTTGCAGTGAGCCAAGATCGCACCGTTGCATTCCAGCCTGGGCCACAGAGCAAGACTCCATTAAAAAAAAAAAAAAAAAGCCTTTTCCCAGCCCTCCCCAAAGCCAGAGCTCTTCTACGGACCTGGGTCTGACAAGCAGGAGCATCCCCGCATGACTTGGAAGGCATACATGAGCCATCTGAGCAGGTCACATGCAGGTATTGGTTCTTCTTCAGCAGCTTAGACAGGAGCAAGTGCTGGTGCCAGGCCGTGTGTCAGAGGGGGAGGTGAGAGTCGAAGCAGGGAGGTCCCATGGTGTGGCTGGGCCTCCTCCTGGCTGGGTTGTCCTTGTTTTGTGGCATCCAAGCATGGTTCCCTGATCCTCCTGGAAATTCTGTAATGAATTAACACTCTGTAACAAATCCCTTTCTGCTTAGCTAGCTAGAGTGGATTCTGTTGTCTGCAACAAAGAACTTATTCATTAGGCTTCAGCTTAACTCTCATCACCTCCTTCACAGCACTTACCATAATGTGGAATTAGCTCATTTATGTATTTGTTTACCTACATAATGTCTCTTAATGAGGGAGGAACCATGTCTGTCTTGTTCACCAGTTTAATCCCAGTGGCTGTCTCATAGCTTCACTTCATCAATGTCTGTTGAGTGAAACATCTGGTCACCTTCCAGCAGCCTCTGTCCCAAGGGAGAACAGAATACCAGCTTCAGCCCCTTCTGTGGACCAAGTGGGTTGTATTCCTTTTATGTGTACTGTACAACCTCTCGCCACCCTCATTGCCAACTCTTGCCGACTGCCTCTTTTTGCAGAGAAAGGCAATGTTCTATAACAGGGGTGTCCAATCTTTTGGCTGCCCTGGGCCACACTGGAAGAAGGAGAATTGTCTTGGGACACACATAAAATACACTGACACTAACAATAGCTGATGAGCTAAAAAAAGAAAAAAAAAAAAGGGTCCGTGCATAAATCTCATAATGTTTTAATAAAGTTTATGAATTTGTGTTGGGCAGCATTCAAAGCTGTCCTGGGCTGCATGCAGTCCTCAGGCCACGGGTTGGACAAACTTGCTCTAGAAGATTCTGGTTTACACCCCTCTTTGGCTCTAGTCACTTGCAAATTGTAAGGATGAATCAACTCACTGTGACCAATTCCCTGCTTCCCTTCAATAAGAAAAGACCTGCTCTCTCTCTCTCTCTCTCTCTCTCTCTCTCTCTCTCTCTCTCTCTGTGTGTGTGTGTGTGTGTGTGTGTGAAGTGGGGGCAGATGTTTGAATATTAAAAGGCCGATGGACTTATATCATGCATTCACTTATAAACTTATATCATGCATTCATTCCACACTCAGTGAGTGCCTACTGTGTATGTATGTGGGGGTTGCTGGAGTCCTGGTTCTGGGACCCCCAGATCAATCCCTTTTGGGGGCCTGGACCTCCCAGTAAATGCCACTTTGTAATCAGACTTTCTCCCTTGGGCCATCGAGCTGTCATCTAAAGTAGTGAAACCTCTAAGCCTTAAACTATGAGCCAGATGATGCAACTGCCACAATCCAATTGTGCAATTTCAGGCACAAACGCTATGTTTGAGATATAGGCTCAGGGATAGATTTTCGTGATATGATTTCAAAGGCTTGGTACTCAGACAGCCCAGTCCCTGTGTGCCTGGCTCCTGGAGATAAGAACCATGAGACCCAGTAGCCTTGTGAAGGAGGGGGCCTCATGGCTCTGTGTTCTCATGGCTCTGGCCTGGGGTGATGGGGACACATACTATTACCCCGTTGCTGTTATACCTGTTGGAACTGTGGGCAGAACCACTGTGTTGTTCTAGGCCTGAACTTGGAAGGAGCAGGCCCACAGTTCCTTGGGGCCCCAGGGCTGCTGGGAACACACCCACTCCGACTTATCTCATCTGTCAGTAGGTGAGTCAGAAGGTGTCAGAAGGGCCCTGTGAGGTGAGTCCTGTCACTCTTTCCTCTCCTCTGGCTAGGGGGCCTCGCTGTCTCCCCACCAAGTATACTGAGAGAGGGCAATGGCCTTAGAGCCCACTCTGGGCCAGTCCATGGAAAGGTTTACTCAGTTACAGAAATCAGAGCCTGCACGCCTTTGGAACTAGAAAATAAGTCTGATCAGACTAAAACCTGGGGATGCAGAAATGAATCAACAACAGTCCCTGCCTTCAAGAAAAGCTGAGCCATTACAGTGCAGGGTGGAAAATGTTGCATGCAGTCATCAAACACACAAATGCTCGAGGGCCCACCATGGGCTCTGCACAGTGGGTACCGCATGGCCCCTGCTGTGTGCCTGGTGCTTGTGATCCGGTGGGAACGGCAGTAACTGAGAAATCATGGCACCGCACGGTGATGAGGCTAAGGTCTGGGGAGTACAGGGCTGGGAGGGTGAGCAGCAGGGAGCCAGCTCAGGAGGCCTCTCTGTGGCCACAGAGGAGAGCAGCAGGACAGTCATCAGCCGGGTGGGTGGGGTGGAGGGAATGGGGATTCCGTGGGGTATGGGGTGGGGGAGGAGTGGGAAGAGATGGGCTGGGAGGTGAGCCCGCAAGGGCACGTGGGCACCCTGGCTTCGATGTCATGGTCAGCGGGAGCTTCCGAGGCTGTTCAGCAGGACACGTTAGCTTTTATGACGGCTCCCTCTGGCCACAGTGTGGGGACAATGGAGCCCCTCTG
Organism: Homo sapiens; assembly: GCF_000001405.40. Lineage (NCBI taxonomy): Eukaryota > Metazoa > Chordata > Mammalia > Primates > Hominidae > Homo > Homo sapiens. Next base: position 123,166,566 of record NC_000008.11, on the reverse strand, counting down.
GGAGCATCTGGGCCTGCAGGGGCGAGGCCTTCCTTCTTCTTCTGGGTCCTCTGTCAGCACCACGCAGAGCGATGGCTCTCAGACCCGTCCAGCAACAACAGGCTGACTCACACCTCGCCGGCCACTTGTTGAGTAGGAAGTTGAGCTGGGAGGACCATGGCCTTCCGCTCCCCTGCACAGATGGCAAAAGAACTGCTGGCTGCTTCCTGCAGGGCACGTCTGGAGAAAACCCTGCTCCCTGCTCTGTACATCCAGGCTCCCTGGGCCTCCCTCAGCTTGCCCAGCTGGCTTGTCACAGCCAGAATGAGGAGCTGAGACACTTGGGCTTACCGCCAAGTCCTGCCATGTCACCAAGGCCTACGGGGAAAAGGCCAGACCCGGGAAACCTTCGCTGCTTCCCAAAGCTCCACAGGAGAACTGAAACCCACCACAGGCCCTTCCTCCCCAGCCCCCTCCCGGCCCTGATAATCCTTCCCCTCACCCAGCCCCCGACTCCCTCTGTATCTTTATTATTTTTATTATTTTATTTTATTTTAATTTATTATTTTTAGTTTTGGAGATGGGGTCTTGCTGTGTCGCCCAGCCTAGAGTGCAGTGTCGTGATCTCGGCTCACTGCAACCTCTGCCTCCCGAGTTCAGGCAATTCTCCTGCCTCAGCCTCCTGAGTAGCTGGGACCAGAGGCGCACGCTGCCACGCCCAGCTAATTTTTTGTATTTTTAGTAGAGACGGGGTTTCACCGTGTTGCCCAGGCTGGTTTCGAACTCTTGAGCTCAGGCAATCCGCCCGCCTTGGCCTCCCAAGGTGCTGGGATTACAGGTGTGAGCCACCGCGCCCGGCTATTATTTTAAGCAGAGAGAACTGGAAAGGAGAGGGGAGTCATGGTGTGCATAGATTCTGGAGCCAACTCACCCTGACGTCCCTCCAGCTGGAGCAGCCCCTGCAGAGAACTGTTTCAAGAAAGCCAGGCTGTGGCTGTGGCCAGGCCAGATGCAGCCCACAGTCCAGCTGTGACCCCTGCCAAGCAGATGGAGACAGTGACCTGTGGCGGGGTGGGATGGAAGTGCAGGAAGAGGCCGGGAGTGAAAAGCGAAGCCCCAGCTCCTGATGCCTGTGAATGCCCTGGCTCGGCTTAGGCCATTCTCGGGGCTTCCGGTCCTCACCCTCAGGGAGACGGAAAATTATTCTGGGTTCCCTGGGGTGAAAGAGCAAACCTGCCGAATCTAGGACAGCACAGATTTTTTGGCTGTCCACAAGCTCCGTAGACATTTGTTATCAAATACATGCATAAGATGTTCACTTAGTATTTGTTACTAATTGGGAAGAATGAGATGTTCTAGAATTAGAAGACCTAGGGCTGCTAGGGCTAACATAACAAAAATGCTACAGCCTGGGTGGCTTAAACAACAGAAATTTATTCCTGCACAATGCTGGAGGCTAGGTTGAAGGTGTTGACAGGATTGGTTTCTTCTGCATTCTCTCTCCTTGGCTTGTAGATGGCCGCCTTCCTCCTGGGTCTCCTTATCATCTTCTCTCTGTGTGTATCTGTATCCAGATCTCCTCTCCTCAGAGACACTACTGCAGTTACTAAGAACAGGGAAGATATCTATGTATTGGCAAGGAAAGAGGTCCAGCTTACTGTTAAGTGGAAAATGTCACAGAACAATAAGTACCATATGATCTTACATAGATACCTAAAACCCAAGTGTTTATTTTTATGTTTGTGTGTAGGAAGACCACTCACAGGGCTTCCCTATGGAAGGGGAACAGTATTAGGAGTGACTTGAGGGGACTTGACTTGTGTACATCTATATGTGTGGCACATTGGATTATTCTTTTTTTTTTTTGAGATGGAGTCTCGCTCTGTTGCCCAGGCTGCAGTACACTGGCGCTATCTCAGCTCACTGCAACCTCCACCTCCCGGGTTCAAGAGATTCTCCTGTCTCAGCCTCCTGAGTAGCTAGGATTACAGGCACATGCCACCATGTCCAGCTAATTTTTGTATTTTTAGTAGAGGTGGGGTTTCACCACCTTGGCCAGGCTGATCTCGAACTCCTGACCTCAAACTATCTGCCAACCTCAGCCTCCTGAAGTGCTGGGATTACAGATGTGAGCCACTGCGCCTGGCCTGGATTATTCTTCATTCTTTTTCCTTTCCTTTGGCCTGAGACTCTGCACCCTCTGCCACAGTAAGCTGAGTATTTTTCCCTGCCCCAGTAATGTTGAACTTGGCCATGTGACTTGCTTGGGCCAAGGGAGTTTTGATGTATATACCCAGAGCAGGGGCCTTAAATGTGCCTCCTTGGCATGGCTTTGTCCCTTGGGCTGTTGTGACTCTTTCAGAAGAATATACCTTAGTGAATGGCTGGTCCAAGGAGAATGCGAAGACTTGAAGAGCAGACTGAACCCAGGCTCAGCCTGGAGCTGAACCCAGCTGATACACAGATTCATGAGCAAGAAAAAGACGTGCTTACCTGAAGCTGAGTGAAACAAGTCAGACACAAAAAGACAAATATGGCAAGCTCCTACTTATATAAAATATCTAGAATACATACATAGAGATGGAAAATAGATTAGAGGTTACCAGGCACTAAGGGAGGAGGAATGAGGAATTATTGCTTAATGAGCACAGAGTTTCTGTCTGGGGTGATGAAAAAGTTTTGGAGCTAGAAAGTAGCAATGGTTTCACAATGCTATGAATGTACTTAGTGTCACTGAATTATAAACTTTAAAAATGGTTAAAATGGTGAAGGATAAAAGACTACACTTTGGGTACACTCCTTCGGGTGACGGATGCACCAAAATCTCAGAAATCACCACTAAAGAACTTATCCATGTAACCAAAAACCACCTGTACCCCCCAAAGGTATTGAAATAAAAAATTTTTAAAAATGGTTAAAATGGGCTGGGTGCAGTAGCTCACACCTGTAATCCCAGCACTTTGGGAGGCTGAGGTGGGCAAATGGCTTGAGATTAGGAGTTCAAGATCAGCCTAAGCAACATGGCAAAAAATCTGTCTCTGCAAAAAATACAAAAATTAACCGGGTGTGGTGGCACGCCCATGTGGTCCCAGCTACTTGGGAGGCTGAGGTGGGAGGATCACTAAGGCTGGGGAGGTGGAGGTTGCAGTGAGCTGTGATCACACCACTGCACTCCAGCCTGGGTGACAGAGCAAGACTCTATCTCAAAAAAAAAAAAAAAAAAGGTTAAAGTGATAAAGTTTGTGTTACATATATTTACCACAATTTAAAAAAAATAGGATAACCAAACTCATTTACTTGTACACTTAAAATAGGTGAATTATATGGTATGTGAATTATATGTCAGTAAAGCTGTTTAAAAAATAAAAGGCCAGGTGCGGTGACTCATGCCTGTAATCCCAGCACTCTGGGAGGCCGAGTATATATAAAACTGAGTATATGACATTTAAAAATATACCCAATGGGCCGGGCGCAGTGGCTCACACCTGTAGTCCCAACACTTTGGGAGGCTGAGGTGGGCAGATCACGAGATCAGGAGTTCGAGAGCCGCCTAACATGGTGAAACCCTGTTTCTACTAAAAATACAAAAATTAGCTGAGTGTGGTGGCGCGCCTGTAATCCCAGCTACTCAGGAGGCTGAGGCAGGAGAATCGCTTGAATCTGGGAGGCGGAAGTTGCAGTGAGCTGAAATTGCACCACTGCACTCCAACCTGGGCAACAGAGTGAGACGCCATCTAAAAAAAAAGAAAAGAAAAAGGAAAACACATGCTTGCTGTTTAAGCCATTACGTTTTGGGTGGTTTGTTAAGCGGCATTAGCACAGTAAGAGCTGACTAATACAGCATGGCTGTATGCGTATATTTTATAATTAGTACATATTATTCGTGCAATTGAAAATAAGCAAAACCAGAATTTATTGCATTCATCCAAACAGGCCCCTCTTTCCTGCTTTCCTCCCCGGCGGTGGCACTGGAATGTTTCTGGACATTGCTCATCCCTGTTTGGAGTGACTTGGCTTCTCTTGACAGCCAGACCCAAGTCCTGTGTCTGTGGAATGTGCCTCCACATGGCTCCCTCCTTTAGCTCTCTGTAACCACCTGCCAGGATGTGTTTTCATCACCTGGGCCTGGATGGTTGCCTGGGTGTGCTGGGGGTCTCCCTGCCTGGGTCCATTTGCCGCAAGGGAAAAGGAATCACTCTCAACAGGTTTCCATTAAGTTACCCTGCTCAGTCAGCCAGGAGCCCGCCTCCCAGAACACACACACATACACACACACACACACAGATACACTTTCCACTCTGTAAAATGGGCTTCTAATAAACTCTATTTTTTGTTGCTCAGAGGCATGCTAGGTGATCAATGAACGCATTCAAACATAAAATATGTACTGTAGGGGGATAGTATTCTGTGGGGGGAAGTAGAATGGAAATGAGTTCAAGGAGGCAGTTAAATGTAAACTTTCCAAATGTTGGGAGACATATTTATATATATTCAAAATAGATTTTGGTTTGTATGGAATCCATAGCATATATAGATGTCATTGGGTACTTTTTTTTTTTTTTTTTTTTTTGAGTCGGACTCTCACGCTGTTATCCAGGCTGGAGTGCAGTGGCACGATCTCGGCTCACTGCAACCTCCGCCTCTCGGGTTCAAGCCATTCTCCTGCCTTAGCCTCCCGAGTAGCTGGGATCACAGGCGCCCACCACCACGCCCGGCTAATTTTTTGTATTTTTAGTAGAGACGGGGTTTCACCATGTTGGCCAGGCTGGTCTCAAACTTCTGACCTCAGGTGATCCGCCCGCCTCGGCCTCCCAAAGCGTTGGGATTACAGGTGTGAGCCAATGCACCGGGCCCATTGGGTATATTTTTAAATGTCATATACTCAATTTTATATTTTAAAAAAATCACCATTTACATACACTGGTAATTACGTCTTTTGCAATTGTTTATAATGAAACTGTTTTGATATCAACTTAACATTATGAGAGGAGATGCCCAGAAGTTTTTCAACATTATTTTAGGGAATGCAAGTGAGGAAAAGGATTTGGAAACTGCTGAGAAGGGGGGCGGTGATCGTTTGAACTTGGTCAGGTCGCCTGACCTTGAGTTTGAGTTTCGCTTTCGTAAGTGAGGGGCAATTGAAGCACTGAGCCCTTCGGGTTGCTCTAGGAGTGGAAGTAAATCAGCCACCGCCGGCAAGGCGCTTAGCTGGGAGGAAGGAGCGCGTTCAGCCTGGGGAGGAGGGTGGGAGAAGGAGGCAGATGAAGGCAATGGGGATCAGGTTTTCGCGGGGGTAGGTGACCTCCGACCCGGCTGACGTAGGGCAAGGAAGACATCCCCGTCTCTACAGAGGGGCCTGAGGGCAGGACACATCAGGCCTAGAGCTGCCGGTGCAAAGGCCTGGGGGCCGGAAGGTCTTGGTCGGGGAGCCCCGGCGCAGGCGCAGGCTGAGGCCCTCGGGTCCCCAGCGGGTCCTCGCCATCAGTCACTCTCTACGGGCCAGGCCTGGGGGTCACGGCCTGCAGGAGCCTCCCTGCGCGGCCCCACTCCCTCATCTGCGACCCCGTGGGGAGGCGACCCTGACCACCCTCGTTCCGGACTCCAGCAGGGCGCCTGCAGCCAGCGGTCCCCTCCCGAGTCTCCGCTCCTGCCGGGATTCTGCAGGAGCGGGACCTCATCGCCGCAGCTGGGAAGCCGTTCGAGTTTCATTCCACTCGAAGGCTCAGAAGGTCTTGGAAAATTGGGGACATACATCTTTAAAAGCTGGAGACACTTTACGGAGCGAAATATCTGCACCGCCCCCACCCCCAACTCCTGTTCTACCTCCCTTCCCTGGGCAGGTCTGGGTGATGGGGCCACCTTGGCGTGGGGATCGGGCCTGGTACCCTGTACCGGCTAGTGGCGCGGTGTGTCCCTAGGCTAATTTGGAAAAAGCCGAAACCTGCGGGGCAGCGGCGGCAACCCCTGGGCACAGCGTCCCCTGGCGGCCGCCGGGCTCAGCCAGGTCTGGGAGCCGGGAGGTCGCCGGGAGAGTGGGCCCAAGGCAGGATCAGCCCAGCCCCTCCAGGTAGCCTCCTCCTCCTCCTGCTCCTCCTGCTCCCCTGCCCCCTTTCTCTCTCTCTTTCTCCTTCTCCTCCCCAACTTCCCTTCTTCCTCTCCCTCCCCTCCTCTCCTCCCTTTTCTTCTAATTCCTACAGTTCGCCTTTTAAATTAAGGTACGTCAACATTTAAATAGCTTATAGATTAACATAGTTCAAGTATGTTTTTAAAAAACCTGTTCAAAGGTATACAGTGAAAAGTCTTCATCCCAGAAAAACTGTCAGCCAAATGTTAAAATTGAGGGGCATTCTACAAAATACCCGACTAGTACTCCTCAGAACTGTCAAAGTCATCAAAACCCAGGAAGAATCTGAGAAATTGTCACAGCCAAGAAGAGCCTAAGGAGACAGGACCATTAAATGTAATGTGTCATGGATGAGGTCCTGGAGCAGAAAAACGGACACCTGGTGAAAACTAAGGAAATCTGAGTCAAGATGGACTTTAGTTAAAGCATCAACACCAGTTCATTACTTGTAACAAACAACCCATACCAACGACCAATGCTAATAATATGTGAACCTGGGTGCAGGCTTTATGGAGACTCTTATTATCTTTGCAATTTTTCTGTGACGCTAAAACTGTTTAGAAAATAAAGTGTATTTTTTTTAAAAAGAGTCTTCCTCTCACCCCTACCTCCAACCATACAGTTGCCACCCCTCAGCGTATTAATCATTGATCTTAGCTTTTTTTTTTTTTGAGACGGAGTTTCGCTCTTGTTGCCCAGGCTGGAGTGCAGTGACGCGATCTCGGCTCACCGCAACCTCCGCCTCCCGGGTTCAAGCGATTCTCCTGCTTCAGCCTCCTGAGTAGCTGGGATTACAGGCATGCGCCACCACACCCGGCTAATTTTGTATTTTTAGTAGAGATGGGGTTTCTTCCATGTTAGTCAGGCTGGTCTCGAACTCTCGACCTCAGGTGGTCCTCCCGCCTAGGCCTCCCAAAATGCTGGGATTACAGACGTGAGCCACCGCGTCCGGCAATCTTAGCTTTCTGTGTGCAAATACTAGCAAATATAAACATCTACCCCTTTCTACAGAAATAGTCTCATACTCTTGTTAGTTCTGCAGTTGTGTTCTTCGCTCATTTCATGTCACAACATACAGCATCCCTTTTTCTTGTTTACAGCCTGGACAGACCATTATGCCTGTGACCAGTCAGTTCCCTGTTGTACACTTGGGTTGTTTCCTTTTCGTTTTTTCTTTTTCTTTTTTTTTTTTTTTCCTGTTCAAATACGACTTCAGGGAATAACTGTGGAAGTGGTGAGTTAATATGTTGGGTAGCTTGCCAGTCCTGGGACTGCTACACCCGAAAGTGGGGCTGTTTGTAATTGTGGTAGACAGGACCGTTGGGATTTAATCTGCATGTTAATCAGCATCTCCTCGGGCCTGCAGATCTGGGAGAAACAGCTGGATCTAGGTGACACTCCCAGTCCGCAGTCCGCAGGGGATGCCCCAGCAACCTTACCAGGGAGTAAGCCCCCTGGGTCGGATTCCCGCCGGTGCGTGTGGATGCGCGCTTCCCGAGGCTGGCAGAGGTCCTGGGCTTCCCACCCTAGACCGTGGGATCCAGGAGCTTCCCGAGGACTGGGTGTCAGTCTCCGGGTCTGGGGTCCCGGCAGCCTGCCCCACCTCCAACTCCTCCTTCCTCGCCCCTCGGCCACCCGCCCGGCAGCTCCCAGTCCTTCTCCCACTGGGAGGTGGAGCAGGCCCCACCCCCATCCACTCCGAGATTCCTCTTCGCCTATCCTCAGCAATTGTGGTGCCTGCTGTCAAGATGGTATGTCCCTACCTGCTTGTACTCATACTGCCTTTTGCCCCCTTAACACCCCGCCGTATCTCTCAAATTCTAGGTGATTAACAAAATTCCACCCCCAATATTTTCTAAGGAAAAACTTCAGACAAACAGAAAAGTTGACAGAGTTGTGCCGTGAATATCCGCACACCCACCTAGGTCCACACGAACCTCTCCCCACTCCCTGTCCTTCCGTCGGTCTGTCCATCACTCGTCCTTTCCCTGGGAGGCACCCAGACCCGCGGGCGTCCACACACTCTCCCCAGGGGTCCCCACGCCTGGCCTTGCCCAGAGTTCTGTCTCAATTTCCTTTTATAAATGTACCGTATAAACGCCGTATAAATGTACATACGGCGAAAAGTACAAATCCTCAATGTGCCACTGTCTGGCTGATTTTAGACAGTAAGTGGAAGAGTCTTTTTTTTTATTATAATAGTTATGTATGTATTTATCTGAACATGTGTTAGGGAAAAACCCTTACCTGTTTTCCATTTATGATAGGGGCACGCAGTTTCCTTTAGCAATAATGTAGGTAAATGAGCTTATATAAAGGGCTGGGAGGAAGGGGAGGGGAGTGAAAGGGAAAGGAGAGCGGGCTTCCCAGTTAACACATTAACTCACCGCTTCCACGGTTATTCCTGAAGTCCTGTTTGAACAGCAAAAAAAAAAAAAAAAAAAAGGAAGAAAAAATCAGAAGCAGCTCAAGTGTGCAACAGGGCACTGGCCACAGGAATGGTGGTGAAAAAGACTGCAGTCCTGCAGTCTTGCAGTCAGAAAGTCTTGCAGTCAGTCCTGCAGTCAGAAAAAGACTGCAGGACTGCGTCCCGGAGCCCGGCAGCCCCTACGAAGCGCAGCCTCAGCCGAGGAGCTGCAGGCGGCCGTGGAAACCTGGGGCGCCGGGAGGAGTCCGGGGACTGGCGGGATCTGGGGTCTGCAGTGGGGGCCGTAACAGCGGGTGTGTGTGTGTGTGTGTGTGTGCGCGCGCGCGCCCGTGTGTGTTTTCCAATCGTTATGCATCTTCGCCCAACTCCTTGACCCTGGGTTTGTTCCTGTGAACGCAGCACCCAGCACAGGGCCGGGAACACAGTGGGTGCCTGATAAGTGTTTCATGCGTTCACGAGTGTGCAAACGGTTTGTACGCACTACACAAAAATAACGGTTCACAACAATAGGAGGAAAAATCCCCCTTCTCCGTGTCGTCGCTACCCAGTGAGGCATTGACAAGCCAGCCACAGTGTTTGTTAATTGACAAACGGGACAGGGGCAGGACGCAGCGGAACTAGAATTCCGAGTATTCTGGACGGGATTTACAGCAGCAGTAAAAGTAAAAGTGGGCATGCGCAGCAGACCAGCTGTATAGCCTCAGAATGATCCGTCCGGAAACCCTTACTAGGTGCCTCGTTAGCGCAGTAGGTAGCGCGTCAGTCTCATAATCTGAAGGTCGTGAGTTCGATCCTCACACGGGGCACAATAATTTTGTTTGCTGTCCGTACAACCCCGCCGGAAAGAAGCGTTGTTTGCTTGTCAAAGTCCGGGGGTGACAACAAGGGGAAAAGACATATCTGCGACGAGTGTCCTGGGACCAGGTGAACCTGATAAGTACCCCCGCCAAGACCACCCTCGCACTGCGGCCCGAGTGTCCAGGAAAGAGCACGTGTAAGGGCCTGGAGCAGTCCCCGACTGCTCGACCTGCCCTCGCCCTTGCCCTTGCCCTTGCCCTTGGGCACTGGCCGTCGCGGGGGGGAGGAGGGGGTGTCGCGCACAGCTCTGGGTTAGGGTAGGAGTCCGGGTGGTCACAGTCCAGGACGGCGCTGCGAGCGCGGCCGAGTTCAAGGCCGTCTAATGGAGGCAACAGAGGAGTGGCTGGGAACACGGTGTGGGCCGGCGAGGGAGCTGCGGGATGGGTAGGCAGCATTGATGAGAGAGGCCAGCGGTGGGCACTGAACCTATCCGGAAATGCAGGTCATGATAGGGTCTGGGAGAGGGGTGTCAGGGAGCTCATGCAGGCAGCTGCGGTATACCATATGCCGGAAGCTGTGTCATGACTGCATCTGAAACAGACGCTGCTACTGCGGTCCTCACCTGCTACGTTCTTGATAACTCAGCCATTCTCAAAGATCCATCTCCCTTCTGCCCAGGTCAAACAGCGAATTAAATTATGATGGAATAGCTATAACCAGCCCTTCATCTTTCAACTCTTTGCTGGTGGCATGAGTCTCTTCAATTTCCCTGGGGTATTTTTTTTTTTTTTTTTTTTGAGACAGGGTCTCACTCTGTTGCCCAGGCTGGACTGTAGCGGCATGGTCTTGGCTCACTGCAACCTCCGCCTCCCAGGTTCAACCAATTGTCCCGCCTCAACCTCCCGAGTAGCTGGGACTACAGGCACGTACCACTACACTCGGCTAATTTTTGTATTTTTAGTAGAGACGGAGTTTCACTACGTTGACCAGGCTGGTCTCGAACTCCTGACCTCAGGTGATCCGCCCACCTCGGCCTCCCAAAGTGCTGGGATTACAGGTGTGAGCCACCACGCCCGGCCCCTGGGGATAATTGCGATAACTTTTTACTAACCAGGTTTACTATCCTGGTAAGGAGGAAATTCCAGGGGCTTTCACTTGAATCTTTCTAGGATAATAGCTCTTACTCAATGGGTCTTAGTGCCAACGAGGAGAGTCTGCCATTTTTCATGTATGTTTATTTCAATGATATATTCAGGTACTCAGAAAATAACCACGGGTTGGTTTCATGGCCCTATTCACCCTCTGTAATTCAAACTTTGCTCAAGACTCCTTTGATCAACTGACCACCATTAGCTGTGACTTTCACTGGTAGGCCATAGTAATTAGTGTCAATTCAGAAACCATGTTTAGTAATCCCTGTGAGATATGGGTGTTTTCTTTTCCCTAGTATGCAATCCTTCAAGTAAATGGCAAGAGGTTTCTTTGGGGAAGGGTTAAAGAATACTCGTAAGCATGTATATGTGGCACTGCTTCAGGGTCCTTCCTCAGGGGGACCTGGCCTCCCCTTCAATCAAGAGGCTTTGGATCTGAGAATTATTTTCATACTGGAAACTGGGTGACAGGTATGACTCTCCATGGTGATGACTCGAGTCAGTTTTTCGGCTACCAGGTCTGGAGTTTTTCCTGTTACATATCTCAAGCAACATTTTAGTAGGCTGCCTATCTATTTCATTCTTAGGGACAGTGTAGTCAATTACCAGTAGCCCCAAATCCTTTACTACTACTACCGCCCTGCTGCCCTTTACTGTAAATGGTTGTCTGGTAATTAAATGCTTCTGCCTGGCCTCTGCTGCCCCAGAATTCCATTATTCCCACTGAAACCAGGGAACACATCTGTGGTGGTGGCATCTCTCACCATCATGTCTTGTTGCATGAGTCACCACAGAGTTTTTCAGGTTTGGGGGTGCTCCTTGTTCAGTGCCTTCATAAAGGAAGTAGCTTTTGGGCCCAGAGCATGGCATTGGGAGGTGAGTGAGGAGGCCAGATGTGATCAATCCACCCCTACATTCCTACCTCCCTGAGCCTTTGGATACCTGCATCCACATCATGCCAGGGAAATTCTGGCATCTGTCTCATTAGATAGAGGCCAACATTGAGTCCACATTCCTGTCAACCAACCAAGTAAACTGTGGAGCCACTTTCAATGGTATAAGCGTGGCAGTTATCAATCATCTCAGGTCTGCAGTGATGGGCTGGGCTCTTGAGGTATTTCTCCTTACAATGCGCATGATGCTGAGCTGTCAATAGAGGGTGCTGGAAGGACACTGCAGGAGAAACAAGGCTTCTCTTCCTTGCTCCAATGTGCTGTTTGGCTTACTCTTGCTCTTGCTTCACGGCCCACCAGTGGTGCGTGTGCATGGGGGACATCTAGTCGTGCTCTGCCCCAACCATGTGCCTAGTGTGCACAATTGCCTTATGACTTCACAGTCCTAGCCCAATGACCATGTCACTATAGTCTTCCCAGCATGGACACTGGCATGTTCCGGGTCTCATGCCAGCAGTACCACCCTGATGCACTCTGAGCACCTGCCTGCTGGCCTGTTTGCCTGTGCCTGAGGGTGGTTTCTTGTGGCTCTCTGGATATGGCCAGCCTGCACACTACCCTGACAAGCGGGGTCCTTATGCCCTGCCTCCCTGTGCATTTTTACCAGCCTTGGATTTTCTGTGCCCAGATTTGTTTCCTGCTGCCTGGGGACATGGACTACCCCTGGCCTGGCCAACTCTGAGACCCTCCCCAGTATCCAGTGGTCTGCAACCACACCTTCTTTGACCAGGTCTGACCTAAGCCTGGGGGAGGGAGGAGCCTCCCTTCCAAGTCTGTCCTTCCTTGAGTACTCTCCTCAGTCCTACATACCCTGTAGAGTTCTCTTTACGTCTTCATAGTTGCTCCCATCATAGTTTAGTCTTTACATTAAACTTTCCTTATCCAAACAACTGTGTAGTTTGCTTCCTGACTGGACCCAGACTGATACAATGAGATTAAACATTAAATCCAGACTCTCAGATAAGCACACCCATATTAATAAATTAAGCCTTATGCAGTCCTTGCAGTCAACTGCTGTTAACGACCCACATGCAATGACTGTGGAAAGACCTTTACAAATGCCGAAATCTTGCTCAACCTGGGAGAATTCATACTAGAGAAAAACTCTATGAATGTAAATAAATTTGAAAAGGCCCCTAACCAACTTAATAACTTATTTAGCACCACTGAATTCATATTGGAAAATAACTTTCCAAATGTAGCCCAATGTGGAGAGTGATTTAGCTGAAGCCCAACATTTAGCCAACATTGCAGAATTCACACCAGAGAGAAACTTTATGGATGTAATAAATATGAAAAGGCCTATAGGGACCGCTCTTCTTTAACAAACTCAAGGGAGTAATGGAGAGAAACTTTTTGAATGTAGCAAGGAATTTTAGCCAAGTTCAGCCCCTATTCAATTCCAGAGAATTCACATTATAAAGAAATTGAAGATTGAAGATATAATGTCAAGAAGCAGGAAGAAATAATCAGAAATGTCTTTCACATATTTCATTAAATGTGATAACCTTTGCAATGTCAACCAAGCACATATGACTGAGGGGATTCAACCAAGTATCTGAAACGTGCTAAGGCAGTGATTGCATCAAGATTACTGGAGAAACGTAGGCTCAGAGACAACTGGAAGCATGTGATAAAAAGAACTTCATTTGGGTGAGAGCATTCATAGTGCACTTTCACTGAATGAACAGGAACTTTTTTCAAAAATTAACTACTGCAGTTCTATATATAAAAAAGAGGGTTTTGTATGCGTATGTGGCGTGTGTAGCTGCAAAAGAGACCTGACTAGGTATAAATCCTAGTCAAAGAGGACCTGAAATAGAGGTAAAAAACTGCAATAGACAGCTGTTTCTGGGTGGCAGAACCACAGAATTTTAGAATTTCAATGCTTTCCGGTGAGCAGGCAATTCTAGTCTACCAAAGTTCCCATCACACTCTACATATTCTATATCCTGGGATTCCTGTTGTCAAAAAACACACACCAGCTTGGCCCATGCAGGCATATGTTTGCAGTCACCTAAAAACGTATGGAAAACTAGGCTGAGAAAAATACTCTTGGGAAACCAATGCCGTGTATAATGCCAGGAGATCATTTTAGAACTTTGCTTATTGGGCAAGAGAGCACTTTGCTGAAAATATTTGATAAACCATAAGATTATGCTTCGTGGCCCCAGAAAAAATAATTAGTACTACATATTATATACTTACTATGTGTCAAGCACTGGGCCAGGAACTTTTTAGGCCTGATCTTTGTTTTTGTTTTGAGATGGAGTCTCACTCTGTTGCCCAGGCTGGAGTGCGGTGGCGTGATCTCGGCTCACTGCAACCTCCGCCTCCTGGGTTCAAGTGATTCCCCTCCCCCTGCCTTCCAAGTAGCTGGGATTACAGGCATGTGCCACCACACTCGGCTAATTTTTCTATTTTTAGTAGAGAAAGGGTTTCACCATGTTGGCCAGGCTGGTCTCGAACTCCTGACCTCAAGTGATCCACCCACCGCAGCCTCCCAAAGTGCTGGGATTACAGGTGTGAGCCACCACGTCTGGCCTGCCTGATCTTACTGAATCGTCATATCAAGTATTTCTACCCTCCTTTTAGAGAGTAAGGTTCAGGAAGTCACAAGCAGCCCCACTCTGGAGCTAGGAAGTGGAGGGAGGGAGGAAGAGCAGTCGGTGCTGCCAGAAGAAGCAGGCAGAGGGCAGAAGGAGCTGGGCAGAGATGAGATGTTACAAGTCCGGTGGGGTCCCTGACAAAGAGGGGGTCCCGCTGGCAGAGGCGGGGGTGGGCAGGAAGATGGTGATATAGGCCACTCCACGCTGCTGGCGCTCTCCACCTGCTGCTGAGTTCTCCCTCAGTCCAGGCTATAGAGCTGTTGAGATGGTTTCCTGTTCTTTATTTCTCTATTCATCTTTAAGATAAACCTTTATCAACTAAAGTTACTGAGGTTTATGCTGGTCCCTGCAACCTGAAAGCTTAACACAGCTTTAACAGTTTCTAAAACATTTTTATTGTAAAAAGTTCAAGAAGCCATTTACAAGCCAAAAAGTATCAGAATTAAATAACACATAATTTTTATAGACACATTTTTCTGTACAAAGGGCTGATCTTTATAGGAATTTTAAATAAATAATCTAAAAATCAATGTCACTGATTGCAAAATAGGTCTCTCTCTCGACCGTCTCAAGGTGACATGCATTCTATGCAGCCAAAAGATGAGGGGTTTGACATCTGTGACGAGCCCGGGCAGTGAGTCTCTGGCGAAGATTTCTCACTTTCTTAATAAGATTCTGTCCCGTGGTGTCCCATTCTACTGCTCTTCTATTTAAAGAAACTTGAAAACGAAATTTAAAATTTAGAAAAGCTGAGTTTTCTGATGTTAGCGGTGATACAGCATTTATTTTAAAGATAAATGTGTTGTAAAAACAAATAATGAAATGCAATTCTAAAACCTAAATTTTACATATAACCTGGCCCTAGGTGGTTCCATTTACAAGCCAAATAATTATTTGTTGGACTGAATGAATGCTAACAGAGAACTTCTCTGCTTTGAAATACTTGGGATACAAACAATCTTAAGTTAGAAACAAAGCTTGTTAATTTAAGAGAGAATTTGAGTTTGTGCAACTGTAAGCTTCCTCACAATGATGCTTAATAGTAATGAGAAAAGGCATTCCAAGTCATAAAACTGTGAAATATACACCATGATTACCTTTCCAATAAATAAATAAAAATAAGTAAATCAAATGCTTTTTAATATTGGCTAATATCAGGAAGGTCCAGAATCAAGATTAAAATACTACAACATGTCCAAGTGTAAGAGCGTTACTGATTTAGAGGGGCTAGTGAACACTGAAATTTTTTTTAAAAGCCCTTAAAAATATACTTCTCTGAAATTTAGTTACATATTCAAATAGTCAGTCAGCTTCAATTTCTGAAAAACTGTTTTTCCTCCCAAAGAAATACAACTTTCATGCTTTTGTATTTTGCTGCCAAATAACCATTTGATATGTCAGAATAGAGAGTAGCTGAGAATCTCTCATACTTCATCTGACTCTTGAATGATTTTTGGTTTAATTCATATTCTGGCACAGAATTTATAGATGCATATAAAAATGTGAGTTAGCAAAAATATTTTACACAATACTGGAATCTCATGACTTGGTATTAGGCATATTTCTTATAAAGCTCGTCTTTTTGGGACATTGTATAAAAGTTTGTTCTTCCAAAAGAAGTCAAAAGATCTTGTTAAATACTGCTTCATCTATATGGCAATTTTATTGAAAAAAAATAGTTGAAAGTAAGTTTAACAGAGTGTCTTTTCTCCTCCTCCCTTTTAAAAATAAATAATATACTTTACTGGGAAGATTGTTAGCTTCTTTATGGATGGCCTAATGCTGTGATTACATTTCTGTAAGATGTTTCTACCCTGTCCCTTCTAAAAAACCCCAAACCCTCCAATGAACCACGTCCAGGGATCAAAAGTCAGCTCATCAGCATGAAGCCATTTGCCTTTGGCCATTCTACTGCTGCTGGGGCCCAGAATTCCATCGGAGTGCCCAGGGCAGACACATGTTTTCAATGGTTGTTGGAGGGAGCCCAGCCCAAATGAACAGAGTCAAGAAAATTCAACTATGCAATAGCTTTGAAAAACAACGCTGAGATTTTTTTTCACAAGGATGTCAAAATAGTTATGAATTTCATATTATCAACCTAGTTAGAGACTTCTGTTAGAACCTCCAACTATGTTTTTGGGCAGCAGTGCTGGTGCTCAAGAACTGGAGTGGCTTTAGTGGATTCAGCACATTTTCTTTACTTGGAATTTGGTCTGCACCCAGTTCTCCCACTGAGGAATCTGAGAGAATCTTGCTGCCTCCCTTTTAGGATTTCCATTATCAGTGCCCTGGGAAAATGGCGTCCACATGCTATAAATATAATTTAAGCCACAATTTTGCTTAAATATTGTGAAATTTAAAATGGCAGAATAACATTTTCTTGCTTATCAACTTACTCTGTGTTGAGGGATCCATTTCAGAAGAGTCATTTAATTGTGAGGTTCTAGGCAAACAGCTTGAGTCCTGTTCATTTTGGAACCTGGGTTCTTCTGTTATAAAAGTGAGGAGATTAAGATGATGTTTGGGAGTGAGTAGAAAGGCTTACTAATTCCAAATGGTCCCTAGTAAGTTACAATCACCAAGGATGGCTAAAAACTCCTTTCTTTTCTATTTTAAGAAGAATGCGGTCAACATTCAAAAGGCAAGGAAGTGTCATTAGTGAGAATTAAGAGCTGAGCTGATTTCTGTAAAACGTACTTTAAAAACACTTTCAGCTAAAACAAAAAGCCAACAAACTCAAAAATATGGATATTAAGATAGAGATTACGAAATGTGATCAGCAAGGCTTCCCTGGAAACTATTATGAGCTGATCACTACTGGTTTTAGCTAGGCAGGGCCTCATCACAACATACAGCAAATCAGAGCCAGCCATAGGCAAGTTTTACCCGAACCCTTCTTAGAGTAGCAGGCAGGGCAGTGCCCTAGCAACTAGTGGTGCCTCCCCTACTTTTATCAATTACTCTCCTCATCTCAAAACTTACACTCACCCTCAGCTGTGTTTTCACTGTTCCCTAACTCCTACAGCAGCACATCCAGTATGACACCAAGGTGTTTTTAAAAACATTTGCATCCTGACATGGCTTATAATGGTCCCTTCCTTTCTACTCCCACCGCTAGCATCTAAGCTCCATGTGTCGAGCCCAGAATGCTGGGAGTCTCATTAAATCGGTAAGATGTCTGCCTTTTACCTCTCTGAAAAGCTTTAGCTAATGGTTTTACCTCATAGTTTTAGCTCAATGAGTCATTAAAGTAATGTGACTAATCACCAATGACTAATTTGAACTGGTGGGGGACTGGAATCTAAGAGTCATCTTCAAACATCTGAAGGGCGGGACATGGCGGAGGTAGTAAACGTAATCTGCAATCTGCACTGTTCCAGAGAACGGTTTCTGCGGACAGAACTCAGCGGAAAAAGAAAAACAGAAAAGAAAAAGCAGATTGAACTATTTTACTAAGAAATAACACTTTTTTTTTTTTAGACGGAATCTTGCTCTGTCACCCCAGGCTGGAGTGCAGTGGCGTGATCTCGGCTTACTGCAACCTCCACCTCCTGGGTTCAAGCGATTCTCCTGCCTCAGTCTCTGGAGTAGCTGGGATTACAGGTTCACGCCACCATGCCCGGCTATTTTTAGTAGAGACGAGGTTTCACCATGTTGGCCAGGTTGGTCATGTTGGCCATGTCGGCCAGGTCGAACTCCTGACCTCAGGTGTATGAGGGGTTTTAAAAGTAGGCATGATTTGGCCTCCCAAAGTGCTGGGATTAGAGGCGTAAACCACTGCGCCTGGCCAGAAATAACTCCAAAATAAAATACTTGTAGCAAATGGAATAAGGTCACGAGCTTCCCAGTCTACCAGCATTCTGGCACAAGCACGCTGGCCACTGCTACATTTGCTGCACAGACAAGACGCGAATCAGGTGTGGTTCCTCAGATCTTTTTGTTTCTTTATTTTTTAGAGGCAGTCTCACTATGTTGCCCAGGCTGGTCTTGAACTCCTGGGCTCAAGCCATCCTCCCGCCTCAGTCTCCCAAATTGCTAGGATTACAGGCGCCACCGTGCCCAGCCAGAGCTGAGATCTCACAGCTCCCTCTCATCTGTCCTCCAAAATTCAACCTGCCCACTCCTGTTCAATTCATCTTCCCAAAGGGCTGTGTTGTAAATATTATCTCTGTTCAAACAACTAATGATTACCTTTTGTCTCCAGCAATGTTTCAAACACTGGCTGGGGATATTCACTCGTGAAACTTTAAAACAAAAATCTAGCTCCCTAGTTTCTACCCTAGAGCTACTGACGGAATTATTACTATTATTAGATCTACTGAATTAAATCACTATTGGTGAGGTCTTGAACATGTGTATTTTTTGAACACATATAGGTTTGTATTTTTTTTTTTTTTTGAGATGGAGTCTCGCTCTGTCGCCCAGGCTGGAGTGCAGTGGTGCGATCTTGGCTTACTGCAACCTCTGCCTCCTGGGTTCAAGCGATTCTCCTGCCTCAGCCTCCTGAGTAGCTGCGATTACAGGTGTGTACCACCACGCCTGGCTAATTTTTGTATTTTTAGTAGAGACGGGGGTTTCACCATATTGGCCAGGCTGGTCTCAAACTCCTGACCTTGTGATCTGCCCACCTTGGCCTCCCAAAGTGCTGGGATTACAGGAGTGAGCCACCGCGCCGGGCTCAAAAATGTCATTTTCTTAATGGTAGGTGATTATCTCCTGCTTTTAGGATTAAATGAATCTGATTAAATCTATATACCCTGATTAAGAACATGACTGACACATCATTCAGTCATAAACTTAAGACTTTTGAAAACTGGATGTTTATTAATCAAATTATCTCTATTGGTGAAATTCAGCAAGGTTAAAAAACATACATGGCTGACTGGTCTGCCAAAAAAAATTTAGCACGAAGGGAAGACATCATGGAGGCAGAGGGGCAAAGGTGTAGGAAAACTACCGATGACGAAAGCTTTTCACAGTTTCTTACCTTTCTCTATTTCTACGTAGATAGCTCTCTAAAGATTTTCTATTTTTCTTTCTAAAACAAGGGTAAGGCTGGGTGCGGTGGATCACGCCTGTAATCCCAGCACTTTGGGAGGGCCACGCAGGAGGATCACAAGGGTCAAGAGATTGAGACCACCCTGCCCAACATGGTGAAACCCCGTCTCTACTAAAAATACAAAAATTAGCTGGGCGTGGTGGTGGGCGCCTGTTGTCCCAGCTACTTGGGAGGCTGAGGCAGGAGAATTGCTTGAACCCAGGAGGTGGAGGTTGCAGTGAGCCGAGATTGTGCCACTGCACTCCAGCCTGGCGACAAAGCGAGACTCCGTCTCAAAAAAGCAAACAACCAAAAAAAAAAACAAGGGTAAGTGTGAGAGGGTGAGGGAGAAGTGACAGCTCCCATGATTAGTATCTTTTGTAAGCCAGTTTTAAATATTTAATTCGTGCAGAGTCACATTCTACTCCTCTCCACCTCCCTGAAGTACTCTTGGTGCTATTTGGGACCACTAAATCTCAAGTATGAGCGGTAATGAGTGGTTTTAAGAGTCGGCATGATTTGGCCGGGTGAGGTATAATCCCAGCACTTTGGGAGGTCAAAGTGGCCAGATCACTCGAGGCCAGGAGTTCGAGACAAGCCTGGGCAACATGGCGAAACCCCATCTCTACTAAAGATTAGCTGGGCATGGTGGCATGCGCCTGTAGTCCCAGCGACTCAGGAAGCTGAGGCAGGAGAATTTCTTGAATGCAGGAGGCAGAGGTTGCAGTAAGCCAAGATCGTGCCACTGCACTCCAACCTGGGCAACAGAGTGAAGTTCTGTCTTTAAAAAAAAAAAAAGGTAGGCATAATTAAATGACCTAACCTATATTTTCACTCTTCAAATTTGTGAAATGTAAAAGTAATGCACATAGCATATTCATGAAGCCAAAAATTGGAAAGAATCCAGATGTCCATCGACTGATGAATAGATTAAAAAAATACATAATATCCACACAATGGAATATTATTCAGCAATAAAAAGGAATGAAGTACTGGTACATGCTACAACATGGTTGAATCTCAAGACATTATGCCAAGTACAAGAAACCAGACACAGAAGACCATATATTACATGATTATATTTACATGAAACTTCCTGAATAGGTGAGTGGACACAAGGTAGTTAGTAGCTGCCAGGGGCTTGGGGGAGTGAGTGGAAATGGGGAGTGACTGCTAATGGGTACTGGGTTTATTTTGAAGTGCTGAAAAATGCTCTAAACTTGCTTGTGGTGATGGCTGCATGACTATGTAAGTGTATTTTTTAGTACATGATAATATAATGACATTGAATAATACACTTTAAATAGGTGAATTAGGCTGCGTGCGGTGCTGGGCACGCCTGTAATCCCAGCACTTTGGGAGGCCGAGGCGGGTGGATCACCTGAGGTGAGGAGTTCGAGACCAGCATGGCCAACATGGCGAAAACCCATCTCTACTAAAATAAAACAATTAGCCAGGCATGGTGGTGTAGGCCTGTAATCCCAGCTACTCAGGAGGCTAAGGCAGGAGAATCACTTGAACCTGGGTGGTGGAGGTTGCAGTGAGCTGAGATCGCACCACTGCACTCCAGCCTGGGAGACAAGAGCGAAACTCTGTCTCAAAAAAAAAAAAAAAAGAAAAAGAGAAAGAAAAAAGGTGAATTATAGGGCATGTGAATTATGTATCAACAAAGCTATTATTTTAAAAAGCAATGTATACACATTATAAAAGACTGAAACAAAATAAAACACAGTAAAATAAAAGCTCCTTGTTAACTGTACTCTATAATTTTTGGAAATCTTTTTTTTTTTTTTTAAAGAGACAGGGTCTTCTCTGTTGCCCAGGCTAGAGTTCAGTGGTGTGATAATAGCTCACTGCAGCCTCAAACTCCTGGGCTCAAAGAGATCCTCTCGCCTCAGCCTCCAGGGTATTTTACAGTTTTAAATTATAATTTTGATTTTTCAGTTGATGCCACTGTAAGCCTTGTATCGAAACCTAATGTTGGATCAAATCCTATGAGAAGTTTCCATGTGATACTTGAATATACTGTTGTTCTGAGGACCAGCTTTTGGCAAAGTACATATTTTACCTTGGAGCAACAGAATCAAACAGAACTCCACAGGACAGTCTGCACAAACTTTTTCCTCGACTGGGACTCTGTTTCTGTAATAGTCCCACCTCAGCCCACCCTTTCCCACCAAAAATATGGTAACCAGTGATTACCTTTTACTTGAGCAGTAGATTGAATAGAAGTGCCAAAATACATCCCAATAATTTATTCACTGGCCAGGCACAGTGGCTCACGCCTATAATCCCAGCACTTTGAGAGGCAAGGCGGGAGGATGGTTTGAACCCAGCAGTTTGAGACCAGCTTGGGCAACATAGTGAGATCTCATCTCTACAAATAATTTAACAAATTAGCTAGGTGTGGGGATACACGCCTATGGTCCCAGCTACTTGGGAGGCTGAGATGGGAGAACTGCTTGAGCTCAGGAGGTCGAGGCTGCACTGAGCCATGATTGCATCACTACACTCCAGCTTGGGTGACAGAACAAGACCCTATCTCAAAAAAAAAAAAAAATCATAATAATAGACCCTACTAAAAGAATAAATCTGTAACATCATGGAGAGAAAGGCCTCTCAGACACTCACCTTTATGACATGGATTTTCAGCATGTTCTACAGCCGCATTTATCTCTTGCTTTAAAAACCACTTTCTAGACGCATCTGAAAGAGCAGAAGCTTTCTTTGCTGATCTCAAACGGAACTCTTTTCCTTCAGCTTCCTTCCACTAAATTCAAATAAATGGAAAAAAAGATTACATAAAAAGTATAGTAATACACATTTCACAGTGGAATGAGCCACTTCTGTCTTCTCTATCCACTTTCCTTTATATTCCCATGGCAAGTAGGATCTGTTTGGTGTTATGGTAACTGGGGTGCCTGTGTTGGCCCAAGGCTATTAAGAGCCTTGAAAGCAGAGGCAGGTTTTATCCAACCCCCAGTATTGCAGAGTGCCACAAAGCACACAACTATATCCCAATAATTGCTGAAATAATAATGCATTTCAATAAGTTTCAAATCTCAAATCTTATGAGACTAAGCTAGTTTTGAATTAGTGGCAATTGCATTTTATTTAATTTGAATGCTCTATCTTAATAATAAAATCTACAAAATTCAGAGAATGAACTCTTTGCCCAGCTCTGGTCCACATGATGACCACAGGGAAGTCAAGTGATTTCTATTCACCCTTATTTTCTTCTCCATAAAATGAGAAAATAATAATCTTAAAATTAGCTCAGAAGGTAACTAAAATAAATTTAAAATCCAACTCCTAAAGTTTGCCGAAATTCTGGAAAAGCTACAGCTTTTACATGGAAACACATAATTTTTATGCTATAGAAATAATAATGCATTAAATAACAAAAACTTTTTTAAAAAATCACAAAATAGGGTAAGGAAGGATCACAGAAATCCATCCCTTTCATGTTACTGATGAGGGGGCTGATTCTGAGCAATTTCCCAAGGCCACGCAGTAGTCAAGTCAGCTTTACAACGCAAGACACTAGACACAAGGAAGGATTTCTGCAGAACGTGAAGGGCCCCTACAATGATTCTCAGCCAATTCTCAAAAGTACCATTTTACCCAAAGTCCAGCAGCAGTGAATTTCACACAGTATAGCCCTAGTGTCAGCAATGTTTAGGATGAGAATGTGAGCTTCCACCCCTGTTTTCCTGAGAACAGCCTCAGGGTTCTGGATATTACCCCCACCCTCTCCAAGCCCTTCTTTCCTGTCCTAGAATGGAAGGGTTATAAGATAAGGCTCCATGCCACTGGGATGGGGTAGGAGGAAAATGAATCTGGAATAGTGACTTGAAGGAAATACACTGTAAGAAGCCAGCTTTCAGAATAGACATTGTGATACAGCAACAGAGAGAAGCAATTAAGCCAGGTATCTACATCTTGATCTTTCCCCAGCTCCTCAGGGTCCTTAGGAAAGTCTATGGTACCTGCGATAATATCTCCAGAGCACAGATCCCAGAGTCTTTGCGAGGATCAACCAAAAGATACACACGTGTGACATATACTATTAATTACCTCCTCGGACTCCATTCTTTGATTCTTCTTTAGCAGTAGAATCTTTTGTTTTTATTTTTAGCTATCTTATTAACTGATAGGAACAGAATCTTAATTTTATTTGGGATGATAATGCTCCCTGTGAAGAATACTATTTTTCTCAGCATCCTTTGCTGACAAATGTGGCTTGAAATATGATATGGAACTCCTGGAAAGAAGTTAGAAGGGAGTGTGACTCAGATGGGAGGCAGAACATTCGCACTTGTGCTCTCCCTTCTCCCCGCTGCCTGGAATGTGTATGTGATGGCTGGAACTCCAGGAGTCATCTTGGATGGTAAGGTAACCTTGAAAATGAAAGCCATACACTAAGAAGAGGTGCAGAAAGGCTGAAAGATGGCATTTCCCTGATAACCTTGGAGCCACAATACTAACCCTAGACTCCCTACCTCCAGACTATATTTCTATCCTGTTCATAGTCACTGTAATTTGGGGTTTTGTTACTAGCAGCTACGTACCATTTCTACCTATTCAGCATCTTTTACATTGTAAGTATAAAGAATTAGCTAAATTAAAGTACTAATATTATTCAATCAGCCAGAACAAAAATCCAGGAAGTTGAGAAATTGAAGCACACTAATGTAAATGAGAAAGACGCTTAGTCATTTTTAGGTAGAATCAATATTAGACGACGTCTCTGACAAACACCTATTAAAATCAGATTATCTTTTCCAGCAAAAACGACTTGGTATGATGCTTTTGTCATTTGACTCTGTACTATTTCAAAATTTCAGTGCTTAGGCTGGATAAAGGGGCTGACGTCTGTAATCCCAGCACTTTGGGAGGCTGATGCAGGCAGATTGCTTAAGGCCCCGAGTTTGAATTTCGAGGCTGTACAACAAAGTGAGACTCTGTCTTTTAAAAAAAAAAAAAAAATCAATGCTTGATATTAAAAAGTTTATAACACTATTTTTTACCTTCTTGGCTTCCTCCTCCACCATTGCATTTATTATCTCTATTTCTTTCCTTCTGTTTTCCCTAAGGAGTTTGGCTACTTCCTGGTAACATTTGTTTCGTTGTAGATCATCACATTTTTGTTTATGTAAAGACTGAATCTGCCAGTCGGTATTTAGGCATGCTTGTTCAGCCTTTGCCAAATTTTCTTTAATCACCTAGGAAAAAGTTATACATTTCAGAAACAAGGTCAAACTACTAGTACATAAAATGAAGGTATAACCATTCAATGTATCCAAGTGTCTGGGGCAGTTGTTCACAACTCTGGCTGCATATTAGAATCACCTGGGAGTGTTTAAAATAAGCTGATGACTGGGCCCTGCCACAAGCCAATTAAACCAATCACTGGACAGCGGGGTACCAGCACCTTTAAAAAGCTCTTCAGGTAGAAATTAGCTGGGCGTGGCAGCGCGCGCCTGTAGTCACAGCTACTCAGGAGGCTGAGGCAGGATAATTGCTTGAACCCAGGAGGTGGAGGTTGCAGTGAGCTGAGATTGTGCCACTGCACTCCAGCCTGGGTAACAGAGTAAGACTCCATCTCTACAAAAAAAAAAAAAAAAAAAAAAAAAAAAAAAGAGCTCTTCAAGTGACTCTAATTTACAGCCAAGGTTAAGAACTTATCGGCTAGGGTATGGGTGGGATTCAACAATTTCCATGTTTTCAGCACTCTGAAGAGGAGACTCTGAAGAAGAGCCCATTTTAACAGACTGGACACAAGCCTATTAAAAAAAAATGGAATATCTTGAGGAAATCACCTAAGAGACTGTTGTACAACAGAAGGTATCTACGGTACACTATTCCTGGTTTTTGGAATAGGAGCAGACCGGTACACATACCCATTTAACATTTTGTTAAAGAGATAATAGAGAAAGCTCTTCTTTGAAAGTCTCAAGTTCTATTTCAATTCACTTAAGTCAGCATTTCTGAAAGTGTACTCCGTAAGAAATTCTCTGAAATACATCTTGGAAATTCTCTTAAATCCTCAAATTTGGCGTGAAAAATACCTCACTTTAAGACAGCATTTCCAATACTTATTTGACCATCCCCCATCTTATTGAATAATAGTTAATAGTCCACACAATACACTTGGAAGTGCTGGCTTACATACCATGCAGGGACCTGATGCTTTGAACCTAATCAACACAGGGACAATTTCAGAGGCAGAACACAGAAGGACAGTAAAATTTGTAAAGTCACTATTCCTTTGCATTTTCTTTTAAGTCACTATTCCTTCGTATTTTCTTCTAAGTCACTACTCCTTTGTATTTTCTTGTAAGTCACTATTCCTTTGTATTTCCTCAAACTGTAGGAAAAAGACATGCATATCATGTGATTGTCAGTGAAGTAAGCATCCCATATATAAAAGGAAGCAATGTGAGATTCTAGGAACTGTGACAACTGAAGCAAAGAAACAAACTAACTCAACTTCACAGAGTTTAATTTCGATTTTGTTCTCTTAAGAGGGTGACAGATGAAAATTTCTCCTCTGCATGTATACTAAATGGATCATATTTTTACCTTCTGAGTTTTCTGGCTCTGGGTTTCACCTGCTTCTATCAGCTTATGAAACATGTGTTCTTCAAGATCCACTTTTCGTCTATAGGCATCTGCATCTGCTCGCATTTCTTTTGCAAGAGCTTCTTGATTTTCAGTAAGATTCTGTTAAAATCATTTGTAAAAAAAAATCACTAATTTATATAACGCTAGAATACAAAAATGACTTTTTTCAGAATAGTAATATGCACACAAATAAAAGCTGTAATCATCTAATTTTCAAAGTAAAATTCAACGACTGGAGACATCAGCAAAAATGGCAGAGTAAGGACCCCTGGAAATCCTCTCATCCATAAAAGCATTGAGAACACTGATAAAAAAAAATGTCAAAATGAACTTCTTCAGCATTCTGGAAATTAACCAAAGGCTTGGAGCTATCTGGGGAGCATTTACTTATAAAAATGGCTGAATCTTGGTAAGAACAGCTAGCTCTCTGACATTTCATCTTGCATTTTTCCTGTTCCCACCCCACTCCCAAGCTATGCATTAGTCTTTTTATTTTTTGAGACAGAGTCTCACTGTGTCACCCAGGCTGGAGTGCAGTGGCACAATCTCAGCTCACTGCAACCTCCACCTCCCGGGTTCAAGTGATTCTCCTGCCTCAGCCTCCCAAGTAGCTGGGATTACAGGTGCATGCCACCACACCTGGTTAACTTTTTTGTATTTTTAGTAGAGACAGGGTTTCACCATGTTGGCTAGGCTGGTCTTGAACTCCTGACCTCATGTGATCGGCCTGCCTCGGCCTCCCAAAATGCTAGGATTACAGGTGTGAGCCACCATGTCCAGCCTATACATTAGTCTTGAAAACCAGCAGCCTGGAAGCCAAGGAAGGAAGCCAAGCAAAAGGGGGTTGGACGGAGATCCTTCAAACCACCATTGCTGGAGAACTGTCACTGTTTGACCTGTCTGGTGGTCCCTGAAAGACCACTCCTAAGGCTGTCTTTTTTGATCTCACTCAGAGCTCACCTAGTGCAGAATAGCCTTATCCCTGGGGAAGTTGCTGAAAACAATTAGAGCAAACTGTTGAGTATCTTGGCTACTTGGGGCAGTAGATCTTAGAAGAGCAACCAATAGGCTAAGTAAAAAGCTTAACAGGAAAAACTGGAGAATCAGATGTCCACAGGAGGCTTAAAAAAGCTGATAGGTTCCTGGAAGGTCATGTGCATGTGTAAGGCTGTGTATATGCTACGGGCTGTGTTCTCAGACCACAGAAAGACCTAAGATCTCACACTTCTGGTCAACTCTGAGGTTTTGCATAACCAGGAAGCGGAATCTAGAAAGTATAAACTGCCTAGCTGAGTGATAAAGGCGTGCCCTAACATGCACACAGAGCCCCTCAACAACTACTAGAAGCTTACTGGTTCAAAGAATATATTAAAATCTCTGTTCAATCATTTGCTGACCCCCAAACTACCTGAGTAGAGACATCAGTGGTTATATACAACAAAGAATAGGGACTTTCAAAATTAGTTCAGAAAAGTCACTAAGCAAAGAAACAAGAAGAAACCCTGGGGAGGGGAGACAATCTTATTTCCAAAATTGCTACATTATATTCCAGACGGTCTTTGAGTTGACGTAATGATTTTTTGATTTTATGATGGGTCTATCAGGGTGTTACATGAATTTTCAACTTACAATATTTCTATAAGTTATCAGGACATAACCCCATCATAAGTTGAGGAGCATTGTATTTAAAATGTCTAGTTTTCAACAAAAAATCACATGACTGTTTGAAAAAAAAAAAAAACAAGAAATATGTGCCAGGCATAGTGGCTTATACGTATAATCCCAGCACTTTGGGAGGCCAAGGTGGGAGGACTGCTTGAGCCCAGGAGTTTGAAACCAGCATGAGCAACATAGTAAAACCCTCTCTATAAAAACTACAAAAATTAGCAGGGTGTGATGGTGTGCGCCTGTAGTCCCAGCTACTTGGGAGGCTGAGGCAGGAAGATTGCAGGAGCCCGGGAGGCAGAAGTTGCAGTGAGCTGAGATCACGCCACTGCACTCCAGCCTGGGTGACAGAGTGGGACTCTGTCTCAAAAACAAAACAAAACAAGAAATATGACCCATACATACTTTAAGTAAACATTAATCACACTATCTCCAAAGAAAATACAAAATGGCCAATAAACATATGAAAAGATGCTTAACATGCTAAGTGAAAGAAGCCAGTCATAAAAAATCACACATTGTATGATTCCATTTATATGAAATATCCAGAATAGGCAAATCCATGGGCACAGAAAGTAGCTTCGTGGCTGCCAGGGGCAGGGATATAGGAGAGTAAATGCTAACAGGTACAGTAGTTGGGAGAAGGATAGTAAACAGCCTTCATGAAAATGTAGGTTAAAAAAGCCAAACACAAATTGTATGTACCAAATAATCTCATATCACTATTAATGACATTAGCAGTTGTTATTTCTCGAGGGATTTTTTCTACTTTTCTAATCATCTATAGACAGCATAATTACCTTATAATTTGCTAAAAATAAAAATATCTTTCAATTATATGCAAAAAGATATATATGTGAAGATGCTTATTATCAAAAATTGTAAACCACTTAAACATCTAACAACAGAAGAAAGCTTAAATAAGTTATGGTTCACCAGCAGCCACTACCAATGACAGTTACAAAAATATGTAGCCATTTAGAAAAAGAATTTTAAAAAGAATTTTATTAAGCGAAGAAGACAAGCAGAACATAGAATTTTAGCTACTCCATAAAGAAGTAAAATCATGTATGTGTAGAGATTAAGGACTAAGAGGAAACAATGGAACTCTAAAAATGGTGAAGAGGATCAAAGATTGGGTAGTGGTATGAAGAAACATATTGGACGACGTGTGCATACTGGAGTTGTCCATTAGCTTTTTAAAATAATAGAGCTTTTTAGGCCAAAGGGAAAAGAGGGAAACTAGTATCTATCCAATATGTATCATACATCAGACACTGTGCAATAAAGGGTTAACTCAGTAGGCCTGAGTAATTAAAAACCTGCACATTCTAAAGAAAAGACTGGCCCTTGATCAGTTCCTGGGAGATAATCTCTAAGCCCCTGGAATACTCTGCCTGATAAGAGTGTCTGTATACCTGGAGATATTGGCCATGCCAGCTGGTTTCTGCTAAATGATGGGATCTGGTGGGAACCATGGGCCATGCTCTGTCAGTTTGACCTTTGGATGGGTTGTAGAGAAAGTAACTAAAGTCAGCCACATATGCACTCCATGTCTACATGACCCCCAGTAAAACCCTGGATACCAAGGCTTGAGTGAGCTTGCCTGGTAGGCAATAGTCTTACATACTGTCGCACATCTTTGCAGGAAATTAAATGCTGTCTGTACAACTCCACTGGGAGAGGACAACTAGAAGCTTCTGCCTGGTCTCTCCTGGACTCCACTCCATGTGCCTTTTACCTTTACTGATTTTAATCTGTATTCCTCTACTATAATAAAATGTAACCATGAATATAAGAGCTTTTCTGGAGTTCTGTGAGTCCTAGTGAATCACTGAACCTGAGGGTGGTCTTGGGGACCCCTGACACAGACAAATACGTATTAACTCATTTAATCTTTATAGCAATCTTTGCAAGACTGGTATTATCCGAAGGAGAAGGTACATACATGTGAAAGACAGATAGAAAACAGACTTGATAAATGAGGTCCTAGAAGATTATGAGGGGATGGGATCTGGAGTACAGGTTAGTATTTACTTGTTTCTTTTAGTTTATACTTAGTTTCATTCTTTTGTTGAACAATAATTTGATTCAAATTAGATACGTATGGAATGTTGAGCTCATGTGGAGGTAATCATAATATTGTTGGTTTTCTGGGACATAATTTCTTTAGAAATAGACACATTTAATCAACCTAATGTAAGAGATAAATTGGGCAGGTAAAGTGGCAATCACTACAGCCAATTTGAAAAAGGTAGTGGCAGCACATCCGTACCTAACTGACCAGATAAAGTTCAGGATTTCATATATTTGTTTTGATGAATAGTTTAACTCTTCTCTAATCCTATTGGTTTGTTTAAATAAATAATTCCTTCAAAAGACAGCAAAAAGAGATTAACAAACATTTGCCTCCCATTCTGATACACAGAAAAAAAACTCAGCATAGGCTGGGAGCAGTCACTCACACCTGTAATCCCAGCTTTTGGGAGGCCGAGGCGGGCGGATTACCTGAGGTCAGGAGTTTGAAACCAGGCTGGCCAATATGGTGAAACCCCATCTCTATTAAAAATACAAAAATTAGCCAGGTGCGGTGGTGGGCACCTGTAATCCCAGCTACTCGGGAGGCTGAGGCAGGAGAATTTCTTGAACCCGGGAGGCAGAGGTTGCAGTGAGCCGAGATCGCGCCATTGTACTCCAGCCTGGGTGAGAGAGCGAGACTCCATCTCAAAACATAACTTCTGTTGCAGGAATGCCACAGATTAAAGTTATGCACTCCTATGGGTAACTTAAATCTTCTCATGAAGAAACAACAGCCAAATGCTAATTAAGGGACATTCTACAAATTATCTGGTTTACATGCTTCAAAAAATATCAATGTCATAAAATACAAAGACAGAGTCACGAACATTTCTTATTTTAAAGGAGACTAAAGTGACAACAACAAAACAATGGATGAGATCTCAGATTTTCTTTTGCTCTAAAGGACATTTTGGATACAATGGATCAAATCTGAATAAGGTTTATATATCAGATCATCTTATGTTAATTTCTGATTTTGAGAACTGTACGGTGGTTATATAAGAGGATTCCTTAGTCTTAGGAAATATACACTGAAGTATTTAGAGGTAAAGGAGCATCACGTCTGTAACAGTTCAGAAAAACAAGTATATGTTTGTGTGTATATATGTGCATAGGTAAAGAAAAAGAGGAAGAGAAAGCAAATTTAGTAGAATGTTAGTGTTTAAAAATCTGAGAGACAAATATCTGGAAATTTTTAGTATTTTTCTTGCAAATTCCCTGTTAGTTCTAAAATTATACCCTTCGATTGCCACTATCCTCCACCCCCAAAGAAAATATAGTAAAGTTTAGCTTAGTCCAAATGAATTACATCTAATTCCAAATCATGGGAGACTCAGCCAAACTGTAAATCCCTTGCTCTGTTCTAGAAGAAATTCAGTGTGGAGACTTTAAAAGTGTTATAGGTGTAAATGGATGCTATATGGTTTAAATCTCACCTAATGTGGATATCAAACATATATGTTATGTGTTGTGAATTCACAGTTATCACTAATTTCAAACTAAAAGTATGACTTTTTTTTTGAGACAGGGTCTCACTCTGTCACCCAGGCTGAAGTGCACAATCTTGGCTCACTGCAGCCTCCGTCCCCCGGGCTCAAGTGATCCTCCCACCTCAGCATCCTGAATAGCTGGCACCACAGGTGCGCACTACCACATTTGGCTATTTCTTTGTATTTCTAGTAGAGATGGGGTCTTGCTGTGTTGCCCAGGCTAAAAGGTCTGACTTTTTAAGTGGGCTGAAAGAAGTGAAAACTTACAGTTTCAACACTAAATGAGTAACAAAACATTTTTCCTAAATAATAAAAATTTATATTAACAAAGCTCCTTTTTTCCAGTGTCTTGAAAACTGAATAGTAAGTACTAAGCAGATATTTGCTGAGTTAACTCCAGAAGATTCCAATTTAAAGTACTTTACAGGCCAGGCGTGGTGGCTCATGCCTGTAATCCTAGCACTTCGGGAGGCCGAGGTGTGCAGATTGCTTGAGCCCAGGAGTTTGGGACCAGCCTGGGCAACAAGGTGAAACCCTATCTCTACAAAAAACACAAAAATTAGATAGGCTTGGTGGCGCACGTCTGTAGTCCCAGCTACTGGGGAGGCTGACGTGGGAGAATCACTGGAGCAGGGGAGGTGAAGGTTGTAGTGAGCTGAGATGGTGCCACTGCACTGCAGCCTGGGCAACTGAGTAAGACTGTCTCAAAAATAAATACATAAAAATACAAATAAAGAAAGAAAGTACTTTACAGCTCCTGACTGATTTACCTTTCAGGATCCTTGTGAGGTATTGAGATAATTTTGTAGTCACTATTACGTAATTACAGGAAAATTTAGTAAGTTGGTAAAAAATCCTGAGGCAAAATCTGGGGCCTACATCTGGTGCTTCAGACACTAGACTAAGCTGCTAACAGAAACATGAATTAAATAATTACAACAAACTGTACATTCAGACATTTTGGCTACCTTACAATCCTGTGTGGCACTATATTCTGCTTAAAAAGTGAATAAAATGAACGCTAGAAAACCATGAATAAATACAGTCTAAAATGGGCTTATACAAACCCTGCTTTTCTTTTTCCTTCTTTTTTTTTTGGAGATAGGGTCTCGCTCTGTTTGCCCAGGCTGGAGTACAGTGATGTGATTATGGTTCACTGCAGCCTCGAACTCCAGGGCTCAAGTGATCTTCCTGCCTCAGCCTCCTGAGTAGTTGGGACTACAGGTAAGCATAACCAGCTAAATTTTAAACTTTTAGTAGAGATGGGGTCTCACTATATTGCCCAGGTCTGGTCTGGAATTCCTTAGCTCAAGTGATCCTCCTTCCACCTCATCCTCCCAAAGTGCTGGGATTACAGGTTTGAGCCACTGAGCCTGGCCAAAACCTGCTTTTCTTATGTTGGAAATAACTGAATTATACCTTCTCATAAAGTCTCTTTTGTGATTCGAGTTCCAGCTGTCTCATTTCTAGGTCTCTGGCTGTGGCAGCAATTTCTCGATCTCTCATATATACCTATGGCCAAACAACAAACTGTAAATACCAAAAAGAATTTACAAAATAATTTTTAATATATTTAGTAATCCTGTAATCTGAACGACCTACTAACAGTATTTAAAATAACAGCAACTGGGTTTTTGAAACCAGAGTAACAGACAAAGATTAATATTCACTGCAGAACCTAGGAATAATCTCTCAGTTAAAGTTAAGTTTAATTTAAAAATAAAAAGCACAATACCATATGCCCATCTACTCAGACTGGAAGAACAGATAGCAGTTCTTACAGTATTACAGTAACCAATATCATGAGTTAGAAAAACTTGAGCAATTTAAATCTGGGGTAGATAAAAATATAACATTTATTTAATGCTCTTTTTGACTAAACTTCTCTACTTTTATAAGTATGGTTTGACAATTAACAATTCTAGGTTTAAATTTCTTGCAGATGGTTCAACCTGTATGTGTTCTGCTCCAAGTGAATTAATTTAGAGTTCACCTATTTCCAAAATTTGATTAGTTGGAGGCTTTTTATTCCTATATACTAGAGGCTTTGGATATGGGATATGGAACTCTCTAGAGACTCTTAGAAATGATCTTAGATATAAAGTGAAATGTTAGATATTGTCATTATGGTAAAAGACATGCTATCGAATACCTAAAATAGGAGAAACACTAAATGAGAATACAGTTGGATGTGCAAACATATATATCCAAAGACTAAAAGAGAAACATGGACCAGGACCAGTTCAATTTAAAGAGGTTATTGGGAAAGGAGCTAGCTCAAAGGTTGGGGGAAGCTTGATTGTGTGAAGCAAGAACAGTAATAATGCCAGGAAGTGGAGGAGAGGTGTGGCCTAGCAAATCACGCTTTTTAGGAATTTCAATTACAGAGCTCTTTTGCTTATGAATTTTCAGAGATACAAACAGCTATGTGCCACAGCAAAAACCGATCAGCTTTGCTTGCTGCTAACAGATGTTCACAGTCACATGTACTTGTCACTTCAGATTCAAGCAGCCTTTCCTGCTAGAGTCTGAACCATGAGAAGAGCTTTTGCAGTTTGGCAGGGTCAGAGCACAACATCAGAACAGGTAGCTGGGAGGACAGGAGGCTGCAAGGGTAGGCGGAGGCCAGATCATGTTGCTGAAAGGAGTCTATAGAATTCTTGGACCAAAAAATGCCTCCTCCTGTTTCAAAGGGGTTTGGAATAAAGACATCAGAGTTCTGAGCTTACTTTGCGGGAAGAACATACACTTTTCTACAGTAATGAAATATCAATGTCATTCACTAGATGAGAAAATTAAAAGAAATCTTGGATTTTGAAAACCAATTTAAAATTAACAAGCTTTAAACAAAACAAGAAGTATCATGCTATAAAGAGATGATAGATTTCTAATACTATTGAATTAAAAATACTTTGAAAGACTTAGGCCAGGTGCCTGTAATCCCAGCACTTTGGGAGGCCAAGGTGGGCAGACCACTTGAAGTCAGGAGTTGAAGATCAGCCTGACCAACATGGTGAAACCCTGTCTCTACTAAAAATACAAAAATTAGATGGGTGTTGTGGCAGGCACCTGTAATCCCATCTGCTCAGGAGGCTGAGGCATGAGAATTGCTTGAATCCGGGAGGTGGAGGTTGCAGTGAGCCGGGATCGCACCACTGTACTCCAGCCCAGGTGACAGAATGAGACCCTGTCTCAAAAAAAAAAAAAAAAAAAAAAAAAAAAGACTTAAAAAATACTTAGTATTTTATCAAA
This sequence comes from Homo sapiens, assembly GCF_000001405.40. Classification (NCBI taxonomy): domain Eukaryota; kingdom Metazoa; phylum Chordata; class Mammalia; order Primates; family Hominidae; genus Homo; species Homo sapiens. The sequence continues at coordinate 123,132,373 of NC_000008.11, read as the reverse complement.
ACTAGGCTTGAAACTCTAAATTAGTGCATAAAGTCAGTGTAATCCTAATAAAAATTCCAATAGGATTGGGAGAGGTGAGAATTCCAAAAGTGAAACAATTCTTAGAGTCTACTTGGAATGATAAACATTTGAGAATACTGAGGAAAACTCTGAAAAGGAAGACTAATGAGTGAGAACTAGGCCTAGTTGGTAAAACACTTCAAAGCTACTGTCATTCAAACAGTGTGGTACTGGCTTAGGAATAGAAAAAGCGAGGAAGGAGATCAAATATGTAAGAGAATTTAATATGTAAAAACCATCAGTTGGCAAATGACTTGGATAATAGTCAACAAATGGTGTTGGGACAATTGACTTGCCTTTTGGAAATAAGTAAGCTAACCTGACAGAAAGTTAAGTCTAACTTGACAAAAAGATGGACAAATGATACAAATATGTAATGTGTAATTCTACACATGGAAGATAAGTAACAGAAAAGATACTTAACCTCACTAACAATAAAAAAAGGCAAATTAAAATAGACGATTTGTCATCTATCTGCTTGGCAAATATTAAGACTGATGCAGTACAATTGACTATACTAGGGAGTGGGTACTCTTACAGACTTAAAACAGCTGAAACTGTTTCATTTTTAGAGAACAATTTGTCATAATTTAGAAGTTACTCAACAAAAGTATGTGTGCAAGTACTCAAAGACTTTTACAATGTAGCATGGTTTTGTAATTTGCAAAACACTGCAAATAACCGAAATGTCCAATAGCAAAGGATTAAATAAGCTATTAATTCAATGGAATATTATACAACCACAAAAAGAGAAATAGATACACATATAACAAATATGAAAAGATATTCAGCATATGAAATTTTAAAAAGCAGGTTACAAAAACAATGTATAATGAGAATAATCCCATTTTTGTATAAATATAGGAAAACATGACTATAATTACTCCTCTATCTATAGAACATACCTGAAAGTCTATGTAATTAACCTTTTTTTTTTTTTTTTTTTTTTTGAGACTGAGTCTCACTCTGTCGCTCAGGCTGGAGTGCAGTGGCATGATCTCGGCTCACTGCAGCATCCACCTCCCAGGGTCAAGCAATTCTCCTGCCTCAGCCTCCTGCGTAGCTGGGATTACAAGCGCCTGCCACCATGCCCAGCTAATTCTTGTATTTTTAGTAGAGACAGGGTTTCACCATGTTGGCCAGGCTGGTTCCGAACTCCTGACCTCAGGTGATCTGCCTGCCTCGGCCTCCCAAAGTGCTGGGATTACGGGCATGAGCCACCGCACCCAGCCAATTAACCATTTTTTAATAGTGTTTCTCTGGGGATGACATGAGAACTAATGGAGAAGGTCAATTTTTAATTCTGTATGTTTTGTACTGGAAATTATTTTTATACTGGCCACAGATAATTTTTATATGAAAAAAGAATATGTCCCCTAATTAAAAATTAACTGCCGGGCTTGGTGGCTCACGCCTGTAACCCCAGCACTTTGGGAGGCCAAGGTGGGCAGATCACCTGAGGTCACGAGTTTGAGATCAGCCTAGCCAACATGATGAAATCCCGTCTCTAAGAAAAATACAAAAATTAGCTGGGTGTGGTGGCGTGCACCTGTAATCCCAGCTACTTGGGAGGCTGAGGCAGGAGAATCACTTGAACCCGGGAGGCGGAGGTTGCACTGAGCTGAGGTCACGCCACTGCACTCCAGCCTGGGCAACAGAGCAAGACTCTGTCTCAAAAAAAAAAAAAAAAGAAAAGAAAAGAAAAAATAACTTAATGGCTAACTGATACTGATATTTCTAGTTTTAGAGAAATAGTCACCAAGGACACTTGACTAATTTTCCTGGCATTTCTTAAATATTTAGCCATTCATGAAATACAAAAGAGAATGAGAAAGCTGAGGGGAAAAGTAAATAAAATTAAAGCGGCTATTTAGTATTCATGGTGGACTCTAAGAATATTATTTAATTTGAAGGTGTTCATTACATTTAAGTGAGAGTAAATGGAGATGATGTATGAGAACTAAGTTAAGAATAATAAACCTTTCTCCCAATTTCATCATCCAGTCTTCTTAGTTCCATTTCCTGTTGATCTTGCTGAAGCTTCAGAAAACGCCTTCTTGCAGCATCTTGTAAGTGCATTTCCTTTACTTTCAGCTCTCTTTTCACAGCAGCTAGCCTTAAATACAAAATACATCAAGTGGAACAAATACAGCAATTCCTAATATGATTTAGTTTTTTCATAACAGGTCTGCCATGCTGATCATTTCAATACAATTGATATCCTTTATTTGAAAGAAGAATGCGAGAACTGCTCCACCGTTACCAAAGATGATGTATACTTATGCTTTAAGAATTTTAGTAGAAAGCTCACTGGCTCAGTTCAGTAATTCCTTTTAACCCACACTATAAATCTGTTACATAAAGTTCCATCTAAGAATAGGAATCAATAAACACAGAAGTGAGTTTCCCAACTATTGGGCTTAGTCTCAATGTTTATCCCATTACTTTACTTAATTTACACATTTTACCTTATTAACATACTTTTATGTATTTATTTTTAAGTTTTTTCTTTTTATTTTTTAAGAGACAGGGTCTCACTATGTTGCCCAGGCTGGCCTTGACCTCCTGGGCTCAAGTGATCCTACCTAGTAGCTGGGACTATAGGTATGTGGCACCACACCCAGCTAACGTACTTTTGAATACGCATTTAATACTCATTCCCCTGTCCTCCAAAGTGTTAAATGGGTAATGACATAATCATTCTATGTTACAACTGTCAGGTCACACAGGTATGTTTAAAACACAATTAAAAAAATTATACTCTACTAAAGGTGATGTACCTAGCATTCTATTACAAAGCATTTCTGCCCACTATAGAATAATGTTTCTAAATAATGTCCTTCAAGGAACATTAATCCATGCAAAGCTATATTATATTCAGCATAGCTTCAGAATTACATTTTACTACATAGCAATTTTTTTTGAAAAGTGGTATATAAAGATTCTTTTTATTAACTTAATAGTTGCTTTATAGAAATGCTACAGCTGGGTAATCCTATATATAATGTTGTTTCTAAAATGAAAAAATGAAAGAACATAAAAATTATTCAACTAACTTATATGTCCAGATTTTTTTTTAAAGTGATAACACATACCTCTGTCTTTGTTGTATCATTTTCTCCTCCTCTTGTAAGAGCATTTCTCTTCTTGTTTCTTCAGCTTTACGAAGCAGCTCCTGTTTCTGGTACCAAGCTTCATCTTCAACTCTTTGCTGGTCGACTTTAGCTTGCATATCTTCAACTGTCTGCCTTAAGTAGGTAATATTATTATGAAAACACAAAGAAGAAAGCTAAGAATCATCAAAACACAAAATGTATACCGATTAATGTATAATCTATTTTATTTCCATATGCAAGAATTAACTATCTTTAATATTTCTAGCCTTCAAACTCTGATTTTACACAAATACTCATAATTTAAATGCATTTTTTTTTTTTTGAGATGAAGTCTCACTCTGTCGCCCAGGCTGGAGTGCAATGGCATGATCTCCGCTCACTGCAACCTCCTCCTCCTGGGTTCAAGTGATTCTCCTGCCTCAGCTTCCTGAGTAGCTGGGACTACAGGGGCGTGCCACCATGCCTGGCTAATTTTTTGTATCTTTAGTAGAGACGGGGTTTCACCATGTTGGCCAGGCTGGTCTCGAACTCCTGACCTTGTGATCTACCTGCCTTGGCCTCCCAAAGTGCTGGGACTATAGGCGTGAGCCACCGCGCTCAGCCAAATGTATTTTTCATTAAAACTTTCTTATGTTTATAACATATTTCATTGTATCAGAAAAAGAAAAACTATTCCATAATTACCTCTCTCTTAAGTAATCCAATTCATCATTCCTTATTCTTTCTCGTTCCTGTGTTTGATAGTCCACAATAAACTTTGGATATTGATTAAATACTGGATACTGCCCTTTTGTCAGTGCAACAAAAACATTAAGCATGCTGTCTGGATGAATGTCAGTAGGCGTGGTCTCCATGAGATGATAAACTTGTCTAATCACAACATTTATATCCAGGTTATTCCGATGGTGAAAAAAAAACTGTAAGAAAACTTGGTGTTTAAATCGAGATTTACCTGACAAAGCAATTATGAGGTAGAATTAAAACAAGAATTTAAAAAAAGTGTATCTATCTTTAAGAATATATATTTTTTTGCAAATTCATTAAAGCTTTTCTTTACTCAAGTTTTACAACAAAGACAATTTATTTAAAAAATGTAAGAGTTTCACAATCATAAGAAATTCTGACATAAAATTAAAAAATGAAGGCTTTTCTTACAATAGAAAAAGAATGCTTCAACAATGGAACAAACTCTGCTTGGATTTTTTTTTTCTTCAAAATCCAAAATAAATTATAAATTAGCCTTTGAAAATAAATTAGCTTGCTTCTTTAAAAATATCTAAAAAGTTTCCACATTATCTTGTTTTGCTGGAAGATCCAAATTAATGTATCACAGGATCATGAAGTAAAAATAAAGTTTAATTGGACAGTAACCACTAAATAAGTAACACATACACACACACACAAGAACCCAACTAATTCATCTTGTCTACCAAAAGAGCGTCTACTTTTTATAATGATCTTAATGCTTTCTTTCAGACACTTTCCTGCCAAGTCTCAAAACTCTCATAGTTACCTTTTGCATGTGTAATAAGCATTCAGACCCTCTAAGACCAGATGGGTCATGATAAGATTATGCACAGAATAACAGAATAACCTGTTAAACATCCTTTATAAAAGCAAGAAGCAGCCGGGCGTGGTGGCTCATGCCTGTAATCCCAGCACTTTGGGAGGCCGAGGCAGGTGGATCATCTGAGGTAAGGGGTTCGAGACCAGCCTGGGTAACCTAGTGAAATCCTGTCTCTATTAAAAATATAAAAAACTTAGCTGGGCGTGGTGGCGGGCACCTGTAATCCCAGCTACTCGGGAGGCTGAGGCAGGAGAATCTCTTGAACCCGGGAGGCAGAGGTTGCAGTGAACCGGGACTGTGCCATTGCACTCCAGCCTGGGCAACAGAGCGAGACTCTGTCTCCAAAAAAAAAAAAAAAAAAAAAAAAAATGCAAAAAGCACAAACCCCAATATTATCATGATTCTTTTCTTAAGCTATGATTATAAGACTACTAGCCTGCTATAATTGCCTACTTTATTGTCTATAAACTGTACACAGGTAGGGATGTGGTCTAACTTGTTATCCTTTATATTCCTACTACCTAGCACCAGTGTCTGACATATAACAGGGACTCAATAAATAAATGGATTTTTCAATTGAAATAACTGATATGGCCTGGCACTGTGGCTCACGCCTATAATCCCAGCACTTTGGGAGGCCGAGGTGGGTGGATCACGAGGTCAGGAGTTTGAGACCACCCTGACAGCATGGTGAAACCCCATCTCTACTAAAAATACAAAAATTAGCTGGGCATGATGGTGCGCACCTGTAATCCCAGCTACTCAGGAGGCTGAGGCAGGAGAATCGCTTGAACTTGGGAGGCGGAGGTTGCAGTGAGCTGAGATCGCGCCATTGCACTCCAGCCTGGGCAACATAGCGAGACTCTGTCTCAAAAAATTAAAAAAAAAATAGAGAGAAATAACTGATATTTGAGAACCTTCTCTTAAGAACAAGGACCGTTACCTCAAAGTCATCTTTAAGATTACAGCTGAGCAGAGGCGTTCTAGAACATATGTTGTAGGCTACAACAGTCATCAGAAGGAAGGAAGGATGGTTGGAAAAGATATTATCGAACAATTTCAGCCACTCCTCTCTTGTCAGCACTTCTGAGAACACAGTTTCAAGAAGAGGCCATGCATATAGCTAAAACAGATAAGGAAAAATTTATTATTTTTCTAGGGAAAAGTAAAAAGGGAGTCATTGGTAATATTCCCTTACATTCGATTTAAGCTATGAAAATCATATTAAATACATAATTATGAAAATAACTACCTTAATTTGGACCCTTCTTTACAGACTTTCAGGAAGGCAGTTTAATGAAGAAAAAGAATGGAATACTGTTAAAAATACAACATGTAGTATGCTTTTTATTATACTCCTTCAAGAAAAGACTGTTTATACCAGAACCAATGTTAGCTTACAAAATAAGGCATGTTATTCTAAAAACCTTATGCTTCTTACCTGGGAGGTTATATCATGATCTATGAAGTGTTGCAGCAGTTCCTTGTCATGAAATGCCAAAACATTTTCTATCATGCTAAGAATATTGATAGGAGGATTAGGAAAATATTCAAACCAGTGTTGACACCAATTGACTATGAAGGAAAAAAAAGAAAACATATCTTTAAATATCTTTCCATGTTATCAAAACTCTTTGCAATTCTTAAATGTATCCAATCTTTATGTTCTCAATATGTCCATGAATAATAAAAAAAAACTCTTTATATTGTATGACAATCGATTTTAAAATCCTATCATGTTAACATAGTATGTTTACAGAAATTTTGCAAATTTCCTTACAGTAGTCAATGAAAAAGTGTTAATTAAAACAAACAATCACAACTTCCCAAAGTACTCCTGATGGCATTCTGGCTCCTGACTCCTGCTTTGTTCATCACCTGATTAACGAAATGATCTTTTTAAAAAGGGCCCCTATTTAACCCTTCATTAAATGTAATCAACATTAGCATGCCAATCTCCTCAAATCTACTAAAATTCACATGTAATCAAAATTAGAAAACTTAAGGAAAATGTTCAAAATTACATCAGCAATATATAAAAACAAATGTGTATATACTGTATCCCTAATCCCTTAAACATTATAATGACAATAAAAATGTCCTCATTCTGAGGAAAAGACTGATTGTTCTATAAGCATGGTAATAAGGAATAACCAGGAATAGCCACCAGGACTGGTTTTATATCTAACTGATCATTGACAACTTGTTTCAGTAAACTTGACTTGAAAACCAACCAATCGGTAACAGTGGCATTCTTTGAAAGTCAGTTAGTCCAAAGTAGAATATATTCAACTAACTCTAAGGCTGACTTTGACTCACTTGCACTCTGTAATCAGTAGAACGACCCACAGATTGTTCTCAAAGCCGTATATAAGACCATCGGTTTGTTTTGTTCAATAAGACTATGTTTAACTTAATTTTAAAATTTTTTTAATTTTAAATATTGAGTTGTAGATTCATCCTTTGATAATAAGATCTCCTATCTCAAAATAGCAAAAGAAGGCTTTATCAGCAGAATATTAGATTACAGTGGTTTATAAGAACTTTCCAATTCTGGAGTTCCATTATTTCACTTATTATTGATTATTTAAATTTGAGTTAATAATGAAGTCAGAAATAAAATCTTGCAAAGACTGAGCTTTAAAAAATATTTCAAATTCTCTGTAGCTCTTAATTTTTTTTTTTTTTTTTTGTGAGACGGAGTCTCACTCTGTGGCCCAGGCTGGAGTGCAGTGGCGCGATCTCGGCTCATTGCAACCTCTGCCTCCCGGGTTCAAGTGATTATCTTGTCTCAGCCTCCCAATTAGCTGGGATTAGAGGCACCTACCACCATGCCCAGCTCATTTTTTTTTTTTTTGTATTTTCAGTAGAGACAGGGTTTCACTATGTTGGCCAGTTTGGTCTCGAACCCCTGACCTCAGTTGATCCACCCACCTTGGCCATCCCAAGTGCTGGGATTACAGGTGTGAGCCGCTGCGCCCAGCCCAGCTCTTAATTTTAAGTGGAAAAATATGGTTCAGCACCTGAGTACTTGTTATGTCTCTGACACTGGTAGTTCTGAGAACTTAAAACACCACACATATACCCAAAGGCCTGATCCTTACAATCTTCATTAAGAGAGCGCTGTTTTTCCTTAGCAAGAGGATATCCTACTGCATACAGTAACCGTCTGCCTGCTCTTAAGTATTTTTATTCTGCTTTGATGCCACCACAAAAGCATGGGTAGAGGACCTAGAGAGAGAACTGACAGATAGCAAAATACAGAGAAATGATAATTGTGTGGAGAGTCTTTGTTAAACCAAAAGACTTTATGTCTGGTCATAAAAGAGACTCTAGTGTCTAAAAAAGACTTTTACAAATACGTTCCAAATTATATGTAGATGTGACTTTTCCTTCAAAATGTCTTCTAAGTCCCAACTAGACTACAAACCTAAAAGCCAAAACGATGGCATATCCCAGCAGTGCTAGTGCTTAGCTGAAGTTCAGTAAATTTTTTAAAATTGTGCTTACTTAGAAGCATTCAGAATGTCAACAAAACAGTTGCAACTTTTTTTTTTTTTTTTCAATTATGGAGTGGTATTCAGTTAACAAAACATTTATTTTGTATAAGCTACATTAGAGAAAACTGAAGATGAAAAACTACTATCCCCATTCAAAATAACTAATTTGTGCTGTGGATTAACAAAAACTTGCTTTTAAATTTCCATGCCAATTTATAATCCCCATAGTGTACCAAGCGAAGTTAATCCTATTGAAAATATCACCAGGACAAGACTATCCAAAGACATTCGATAGGGTGTTAACTATACAAAAAAAGACACTGTACAGTTTAAACAAATGTTCTGGAGCCTTACATTTCAAATTTTTTCTTTAAAAGAAGTGAGTGTGTACAGGACTGTTAAGTGCTCTATAGACAAGAAGAAAATTCTGTGCCAGAACCAACTTATTCATTGTCTTCTTGATCTTCCTCATCCTCCTCCTTTTTCTTGCTTTTTTCAGCCTTGATGGTTCTCATTTTTGCTGTATCAGGCTTTCCTTTAGGTTGGTATGCAGCAATATCCTTTTTACATTTTTTCTTTGGCTTTGCATACTTCTTGTCAAAAGGCTGTTTGTCATCTGCAGTGGTGTTGCTCCACGTCTCTCCCAGTTTCTTTGCAGCATCACCAATGGATAGGCTGAATGTTCTCCTTTGATTTCAAGGCAATATTAAGAACAGAACAAGAAAAAGGCCAAAGGAGGCCTCTTGTGAGATGCATTGGGATCCTCGAACTTCTTTGTTTCCCCTTTAGGAGGGGTGTAGGTTTTCATTTCTTTCATGATGAAACTTAATCTGCCTTTGCCATGTCTTCAACTTTTCCCTTCCCTTTAGCAGACGTGGCCTGCCATTTCTCTGAAGCCCTTCTTAGAAAACTCTGAGAAGGTGACTGGAGTATCTGGGTGCTTCTTATGCTTCTCCTGGCAAATCTGCACAAAGAACGCATGTGATGACATTCTGCCTCTCAGCTTCTTGGAATTGCCTTGCCAGTGTTTAGTTCTTTTTCCTCAGCAAGGGTAGAGTCACCCAGTGTCCACTGGGCTTGCATCTGTGCAAGTGGAGCTCCAGGTACTGCAATGGCCGTGAAAGCAGGAGTCAGACGCAGCCTCCTCACTTGCTCCCCTCTGAAATGTTACTCTTTAATAAATGTTTATTGAGTAAAACTACTTTGAGACCCTTGATAAAAATCCACCACTCATGCTGACCATCCAAGAGGAAACAATAATCTCCCAAATTTAGATTTCAGGCATGTTTGTTTAGAAGAGAAAAATCAATTTCCTTGGTATAAAACATTTTAGCTATGTAACAAGATTTTACCAGAAATAAAAAATTTAGTTTGGCATACATACCTAAATTAACTACAATCCATTTCTTTATTAATTATAGTAAAATAGATGTTATTTGCCACTTTAACCATTTTTAAATATACAATTCAGAGGTATTAATCCCATTCAGGGTTATACAATGATCCCATTCAGGGTTATACTATCTATTCCCCAAATCCTTTCAATACCCCAAATAGAAACTCTGTATCCATTCAGGACTAGCTCTCTGTCCCACTTTCCCTAGCCCCTGTAACCTCTAATTTATTTTCTGTGTCTATGAATTTACCTATTCTAGATATTTCCTAAGTGAAATCATACAATAACTGTCCTTTTGTATCTAGTGTATTTCACTAAGCAGGATGTTCTCAAGGTTCACCCGTGTAGTAGCTAGCATGTGGCAGGACCTCATTGCTTTTGACAGCTGGATAACATTCCATTGCGTGTATTTACCACACTTTGCTTACCCATTAATCTGTTAATAGATTGTTTCCATCTTTTGGCTATTGGGAATAATGATGCTATGAACATTCACACGTGGGTATCTGTCTAAGTCTCAGTTTTCAATTCTTTTGGGTATATACCCAGGAGTGAAATGGTTGGGTTATACGGTAATTCTATGTTTGGAATTTTGAAGAAATGGCAAATTGTTTTTTCATAGTGACTGCACCATTTTACATGTCTACCAGCAATAAATGAAGGTCCCAATTTTCCCACATCCTCATTAACATGTATATAACATTGTTAAATTACAGCTGTCCTAGTAGGTATGAAGTGGCATCTCACTGTGGTTTTGGTTTGCATTTCCCTAATGACTAATGATGCTGAGCATCTTTTCATATGCTTGATGGTCATTTGTATACTGCCTATGGAGAAATGTCTATTCAAGTCCTTTACTCATTTTTTAATTGGCTTGTTTGTCTTTTTGTTATTGTGTTTCTTTTGCTTTTAAAACACGGTAGTGCTATTGGCAGGTAAACTAATACTTGTATTAGTTTGATTTTCTATTGCTATAAAGAAATACCTGAGACTGGCTAATTTATAAAGAAAAGGGTTGAATTGATTCATGGCTCTGCAGGCTGTGCAAGCAGGGCTCCAGCACCTGCTTCAGGAAGTGAAGAGAGCAGGAGCGACAGATGAGGTGAGGGCCTCTGGAAGAGGGCAGGAACGAGAGCACAGGGCAGGTGGTGCCACACTCTTTTAAACAACTAGATCTCGTGTGAACTAACTGAGCGAGAACTCGCTTACAACCAAGGGAATGGCACTAAGCCATTTATGAATGATTCACCCTCATGGTCCAATACCTCCCACTAGGCCCCACCTCCAACATCAGGGATCACATTTCAACACGACATTTGGAGAGGACACACATCCAAACCATATGACAACCCTTTTGGGGAATCAATTATTCACATTTTATGACCCGATAACACCAATTCTGGAAATCTACGCAAAGGGAACTATTATGTTTGCATGCGAAGATAGTTACAACATTGTTACTTTTAATAGATAAAATGTCGGGTGCCAGGGGCTCACGTCTGTAATCCCAGCACTTTGGGAGGCCGAGGTGGGCGGATCACTTGGGGTCAGGAGTTCGAGACCAGCCTGGCCAATGTGGTGAAACTCTGTCTCTACTAAAACAATACAAAAATTAGCTGGGCATGGTGTGGCGGGTGCCTGTAATCCCAGCTACTTGGGAGGCTGAGGCAGGAGAATTACATGAACTCAGGAGGTGGAGGTTGCAGTGAGCACTACTGCACTCCAGCCTAGGTGACACAGTGAGACTCCCGTCTCAAAAAAAAAAAAAAAAGAGGTTAAAATTAGGAACAATCTAAATATCCAAGAAGATTAAACTAGTACATGCACATTATGTAATAATAGCCAATAAAAAATGTTTATGAAATTTAATTTATAAAAATAAGGGAAATATATATAACATGAAGTAAAAGTAGTATAACAACAAAAAACTGCTTTAAAAGTGTGGAAAAATTAGAAAAATAAAATTCTTGCACTTGGGGAATATATAAATGATATATTCATAAGATGAAATACTATATTATGCAGACAATAAATTATTATTATTATTTTATTTTTATTTTTGAGACGGGGTCTTGCTCTGTCTTGCCCAGGCTGGAGTGCTGTAGAGCAATCTCAGCTCACTGCAGCCTCCACCTCCTGGGTTCAAGTGATTCTCCTGCCACAGCCTCCTGAGTAGCTGGGATTATAGGCATGCACCACCACACCCGGCTAATTTTTGTATTTTTAGTAGAGACAGGGTTTCACCACGTTGGCCAGGCTGGTCTCGAACTCCTGACCTCAGGTGATCCGCCTGCCTCAGCCTCCCAAAGTGCTGGGATTACAGGCATGAGCCACCGTGCCCGGCCTCCAGATTTTCTTCTAAATAAAAAGGTTTACATATAAATGCTTCAATTGTCTATTTTATGTTTGATACCTTATTGTTTCACACTTTCGTGACTTAAAAGTAGAGACATCTAGAATTGTTAAATGTTGCAAAGGTGCAAAGACATCAGGAAAATGTATAAGAATCCATTCTTGATCTTATACTTTAACAAGTATTTACTTACTTATGAGAGTAGCAATAACTTCAAAACAGATGAGTTGGTTGTTCTGGAATAATTTTACAAATGGAAATGCCAAGAGTGGAAGATATGGTGTGTCACTAAAAATGACAGACCAGTGAGCTAATGCAGATAAGGTTCTGTGAATAAAATAACTTAGCATTAAAATTTATTTGAATAAATAATATCTTCACATGATAAAAATTTGATACAAAAAGTATATTTGGTGAAAATTCTTCCTTGTACCCCTATCATCTAGTTCACCTCTCCAGAAGTAACCATTGTTAAAAGTATAAATCCTTTCTTAAAAAACCACAAATGGTAGTATATTATAAAAATTGTTCTGTACTTTGCATTTTTCAATTAATGGTATCTTGGAAATAGTTTATATCAGTATATGCAGAACTTCCTTACATTTTACAGATGGATATGATAGCTTCGTACCGATACACCTTCATTTCTTTTTTTTCTTTTGTTTTCCCGAAACAGGGCCTTGCTCTGTCACCCAGACTGGAATGCAGTGGCATAATCATGGCTCACTGCAGCCTTAAACTCCTAGGCTCAAGTGGTCCTCCTGCCTCAGTCTCCTGAGTAGCTGGGCCTACAGGTGTATGTATGCCACTATGCCTGGCTAATCTTTCTTGCGGGTAGAGACAGGGTCTCACTATATTACCCAGGCTGGTCTCAAACTCCTGGGCTCAAGCGATCTTCCCGCCTCAGCTTCCCAAAGTGCTGGGATTAGAGGCGTGAGCCACTGTGCCCAGCCACCTTCATTTCTTTAACATGATCTCTATCGTAGGGCATTTGCTTTCAGTCTTTTATAAGCAATGCTGTGCTTAATGCCACTGTATGTGCCACACAGTGTGTATCATTCTTCACATGAGAATACAGACTTGGAAATTCCTAAAGTGGAATTGCTGAGTCAAGAATACGTGCATTTGCAATTTCGAAAGTCAGTGCCAAATTAGCCCCCACAAAAAGTGTCTATTTACGTTCCTATGACTCGCGTAAAGGGATGCCTGTTTTTCATACTCTTGGCCGCATATTATCAATGATTTTTAAAAAACCTTTAATCTAGGTGAGAAATGGTACTTCAACGTAGTTCCAATTGGCATTACTCTTTCTATGAGAAAGATTAAGCATCTTTTCATGTTTAAGAACCATTTCTAGGCTGGGCACAGTGACTCATGCATGTAATCCCAACATTTTGGGGGGTTGAGGCAGGAGGACTGCTTAAGCCCAGGAGTTTGAGACCAGCCTGGACAACAGAGCGAGACCTCATCTCTACAAAAAATTTTTAAAAATTAGCCAGGTGTGGTGGCACACGCCTACTACTCAGGAGACTGAGGCAAGAGGATTGCCTAGGTCCAGGAGTTTGTGGCTGCAGTGAACTATAGTCACACCACTGCACTCCAACCTGGGTGACAGAGCAAGATCCTGTCTCTAAAACAAAAAACTAAAATAAATAGAAAGAACCATTTTACCACTGTAAACTGTATATTACATTGTTTATCCATTTTTTTTTTTTACTGGCTGGTCCTTTACATGTTTATTTATATAAGCGCTTCATACATTAAAGAAACCAGCGTTTCATTTGTCAGGTTTTGCATATGTTTTTTCAGTTTTACATGAGTCTTTGTTTTGGAAATTATTTTTACATGTAGAGATTTTTATTCTTATCAACCTCTTCTGGATATGTCATACTCAGAAAGGCCTTCATTACCTCTGGGATTATAATTCTCCCACATGTACTTCTAATACCTGTACTGTTAATTTCCTTTTTTTAACTTTCTGTTTTGAAATAGTTTTAGATTTACAAAAAAAACTGCAAAAATAGTAGAGTTATTGTATACCTTTGACCTAAATTCCCCTAATGTTAACAGCTTGCAAATAGTACAATGATCAGTACTAAGAAATTAACACTGGCACATGCTATTCACTAAATTATGGACTTTACTCAGATTTTACCGTTTTTCCACTGATATCATTTTTCCGTTATTTCTTTCATTTCACCAACCCCAGATTCAACATTACATGTGTTTTGTCTCTCTAGTTTCTTCCAATATGAGAGTTCCTTAGTCTTTCCTTATTTTTCATGATGATGCCATTTTTGAGGAATATCAGTTATTTTCTAGATTGTTCCTCAATTTGGGTTTGTCTGATACTTATGATTAGAATGAGGTTACATATTTTTGGAAAGAATATCACAAAAGTGATGTGCATCATATTGACATCTTATTACCAGTCATTTTATTTATTTAATTTTTGAGACAGGTTTGCACACTGTTGCCCAGGCTGGAGTGTAGTGGTGCTATCATGGCTCACTGCAGCCTTGAATCTCCACACTCAAGGAATTCTTCCATTTCAGCCACAAGTAGCTAGGACTATAGGTGTGTGCCACCACGCTCAATTAATTTTTTTTTTTTTTTTTTTTTTTTTTTTGAGACGGAGTTTCGCTCTGTCGCCCAGGCTGGAGCGCAGTGGCGCGATCTCGACTCACTGCAACCTCCGCCTCCCGGGTTCACGCCATTCTCCTGCCTCAGCCTCCCGAGTAGCTGGGACTACAGGCGCGCGCCACCATGCCCGGCTAATTTTTGTATTTTTAGTAGAGACGGGGTTTCACCGTGTCAGCCAGGATGGTCTCGATCTCCTGACCTCGTCATCCGCCCGTCTCGGCCTCCCAAAGTGCTGGGATTACAGGCGTGAGCCACCACGCCTGGTGTACTAGTGATTTTAAATGTGCTTACTTGGTTAAGCTGTTATCTGCTGAGTTTATCTACTACAAAATTACTATTTTTCCATTTGCCATTAATAACTGTCTTGGGGGAGATATTTTAAGACTATGCAAATATCCTGTGAATCCTAGAATTTTTTTTTTTTGGAGACAAAGTCTCACTCTTTCACCCAGGCGGAGTGCAGTGGTGTGATCTGGGCTCATTGCAGCCTCTACCTCCCAGGTTCAAGCGATTTTCCTGCCTCAGCCTCCCAAGTAGCTGGGATTACAGGTGCATGCCACCATGCCCAGCGAATTTTTGCATTTTTAATAGAGATACGGTTTCACCATGTTGGCCAGGCTGGTCTCTAACTTCTGACCTCAGGTGATCCACCCGTCTTGACCTCCCAAAGTGCTGGGATTGCAGGCGTGAGCCACCGTGCCCAGGCACTCCTAGAACTTTTGTCCAGTAATTTTAGCATCAATTGGTGGATCTTGCCTCCAACAATTATCACCGTGGTGTCCCAATAGTGATTTTCTATATCTCTAATTCCTTCTATATTTATTAGAACTGTCCCTTCTCCCTCATTTATATCTTTATTTATTCAATTATTTATGTCAGGATGAACTCATGGATATTTATTTTATTCTACAAGTTATAATTGATTGTTATTTATTTTGTTCCTCAAATTGTTCCAGCTTTGGCCACTGGAAACTTTTAGGTTGAGTCACGTGCCCTTGTGACATGCCCATCCTTTCAGAGCATTTCCTTACTTTATGGCACTAAAAGATGCTTCAGGTTCATCTTGTATTTTCCCCACACCAGTAGGTGCGCTCACTGTTACCAGGGTGTCATTGTTAGGCCTTCTCGGTAGAAAGAGCTTGGCAATATATGCATGTATACTAACTCCTGCATACATGCATATCTATATTCCTTTCTGTGTCTATTTATCTGCATATACGTTAAGAACTAACACTATCGATTCCAATCAACTACTGCAAGATTCATTCTAGCCCTTTTGCTTATTTATCTTCTTTCTCTGAGAGTAAGAAACCTGGCTCTCGTCTCTATTGAGCTATTTGTATACAAAAAGTGGCTTCTACACATAAAGTAGTTTCAGACTTGCTAACTCCACATTTATTTCTAATACTTTGATGGTTTTGTTTTTTTAAAAAGGAATTAAATCTTTAGTTCAAGCAGAATTTATATGGTGTAAGATATGAGGTATGCTTTCAACTTTTTCTAGATGGCTAGCTAGTTATTCCATGTCATTTACTAAATAACCTATCTTTTCTTCATTACTTTGAAATGACATCTTTAAAAACAAGTCAATTTTGGAATGTAGCTGGGTCTATTGTTAGACTCTGCATATCTATTTATATGTCAGCAGCAATTTCAATGCTTTATAATAGCTTTTAATATTTTTAAGGCTAATTCCCTTTCATTACTGTTTAAATATAAATTATTTTTCTGAGTATACTTTATAGTTAATGTGGCAAGCAGAATAATGAAAACTGTCCCCCTCCCCAAAAGATGTCCATGCTCTAATCCCTGTAATCCATGAAGATATTATTTTACATGAGATTTTGCAGATATGATTAAGTTAAGCACCTTGGGGTGAGGGCATTAATCCTGGACTACCTGGGTAGGTCCAATCTAATCACATAGGTCCTTAATATCAAAGAACCCCTTCCTGGTTGCGGTCAGAGGGAGATACGACTACAGAGGAATGGTTAGAGAGGTGCTTTGAAGACAGAAAAGGTGGGTCTGAGTCATGAAATATGGGAAACCTGCAGAAGCTGGAAAAGGCAAAGAAAAGGATTCTCCCCAGAGCCTCTAGAAAGGAATGTGGCCCTGCTGACACTCTGATTTTAGCCCAGTGAGATCCAACCCATGGTGAACTTCTGCCTACCAAACTCTAAGGATAAATTTGTGTTGTTTTTAAGCCACTACATGTGTGGTAATTTGTTATAGCAGCAATAGAGAACTAACATAGTTAATGGAGTTAATAAGCTATGTCAGACATTTTTTATTATTCGATACAATACTCAGAACAACCCCAGGAGGGAGGGATTAGCTTCATTACTGAGCCTAGGACATGGAATTCCAGAGAATGTAAGGAAATCCTCATTTTTGGAAGGGCTAGAAATCAACCTAAATACAAGAACATATTCTCCTAAGGATAGTACTTTCATAATTACAGAAGTTACATATTCAATGCTGAGTTGCCATCTTTTGACTGACTCTCAGACTGACAACAAATAAAGACTGATAACATCCAGTGTCGGTGAAAACACAGTAACACTGGCATTTCCCAGGGTTGGCAGAATTTTCTGAGAGAGAAAGAAAAAATGAATGATTTGACCTAGTAGTTTCAATTCTAGAAGTCTACACAAAAATATTCACACAAGATATTTATGAGGGTATTTATTATAATATTGTCTGAAAAGCAAATAAACATAAAATAACCTAAATGTCAATTAACAAGATGAAGACTTAAATCCTGAAACATCCATCCATGTGCATTTTTTAGAAAGAAGTAAACCTACATATACTGAGAGAAAGAGGTCCATGATAGACTTGAAAGTAAAAAGGAAGATAAGCGGCAAAATAGTATGTATAGTATGATTCCATTCTTGTTAAATGTATGTGAATACTTTTGCATTATATACATACAAAAATATCTATACAAAAGTAAACCAAACAATTACCTCTAGCAAGTCAAATTGGGGCTGGAAGAGGTGCTGATTTTTTCTTCATAATCTTCTGTACTGTTTGAATTATTTTACAAAGAAGGAATATTCTTTTTGTCATTGAAAATGAATACTTTAAAGTTACTTTTAAAAATACTGTATCACAGGCCGGGTGCAGTGACTCACACCTGTAATGCCAGCACTTTGGGAGGCCGAGGCGAGCAGATCACCTGAGGTCAGGAATTCCAGACCAGCCTGGCAAACTTGGTGAAACCCTGTCTCTATTAAAAACACAAATAATTAGCCAGGTGTGGTGGGGGGTGCCTGTAGTCCCAGCTACTCTGGAGGCTGAAGCAGGACAATCACCTGAACCTGGGAGGGGCAGGTTACAGTGAGCCAAGATGGCACCACTGCACTTCAGCCTGGGCAGCAGAGTGGAAACTCTGTCTCAACAACAACAACAACAACAAAAAACAAACAAACAGAAAACAACAACAAAAAACTGTATCACAAAAAATTCCAAACATATATAAAACTAGAAAGCACGATCATGCCCCATGAGCCTGTCGCCTGGCTACAACAATAAATCCATGTTTTATTATACTTCTTTCATTGACTATATCCCCTCAATTTTTGGCTAGACTATTATAAAGCAAATCCCAGACATCATGCCACTTTATTCTTTTAATACAGAAGTCTACAACTCTTTAAAAAAGTGGGGGAGGGATGATTTTCTTATATAGTCACAACACCACTGTAACGTAAATAAAATTAACAATTATTTTGTAGTATTGTTTCATAATCAGGCAAGACTCAAATTTCCCCAATTGTCTAAACAAGACTCATTCATTGATCCATTTTTGTAGCAGAAAAAAAAGGCTCACTCATTGAATTTGGTTATCGCCCTTAAATCTCTATCTCTTTTAATGTAGAATAATCCCTCCCTTTTAAGTTACAATTTTGAATTTTAGTAGAAACAGAAATGTAAAATTTAAATTTAAAAATTTAGAAAAACAGAAATTTCAGAACCAACAAAAAAAATTGCTTTGAAGCTTTAACTAAACTAGGATTATAATTTAAAGTACACCTACACAGAATTAGTTACAATGGTAACTTTAATTGTAAATGTACTAGTAGGCATATAAGTATATAAAGCGTAACAGCTTATTACATTTTATGAGAAACTTCAAATGATATGAGCAACCTCTTGTCACTTTAGGAAGATCTTTTGGAAAATACATCTCAAGAAGGTCCCCATGTATACACTGTATTTAGGTAGAAAACATCAAAATTATTTCTCTGATAATTTGAATTTTTAATCAAATTTATAGCTTACACTATGATATTAAAAGTGTTACCTCACTCTTTCCCAAAAAGCAGAGCAGTATTATTTGCTCTTAATGTGAATGTGAACAGAACTTAATGAAAGAGTGAAAAAATCCTAAAATATTCTGTTTTTAAGTTGTACTACTGGGGATAAGGAAGAAGCATCAACAAGTACCCAAGAAAAGCATTCATAATTTAGAAAGTCTAAAATCCTAGGATACGGAAAAATTATAAGAAATTTTAGATACCTTAAACAGTTACTTGAGTAACTTTTACTTATTGATAAAATCAGTTCTTCATTCCCTACAGTGAGGGGGTCAACAGAAGGAGAAAATGTTTTCTACCTTGTCCTCTGAACTCAGGAAATTTATTATTTCAGAAGAATGCACAAAATCATCATTTTTGAAGTAATGTACTCTCCTCTTTTAATTCCTTCGGCATCTGATGAGAGACTTCACTCTCTACCCAAGATATTTACGGCTCTCAACCTAGAATATGAACCTAAAAAGCAAAGGCAAGGCACTGACAGTCTACACTGGTATTCTGACAAACGTCTGAACTGTGATGTTATCTTACACACAGACAGGAAGCATAGTAAGTGTGAAGACCAAATAGAAAAAGTAAGCAAATTCCCATCTCTAAGTCATCTCTTAACAAAGTTATCTGATGTTTTCTCTAATTGAAAAGGGCAGTATATTATGTATTTACCCTTTGACTCAGCATCTAACATTTATGAATCTATTCCAAAGATACACTTAATAGAAAAAGACTTATGGGCCAAACTAATTAATGCAGCATGCTTGTGACAGCAGAAGATTGAAAATAATCTACATGTTCATTAAGGGACAGGCCAAATAAATAATGGTGCATAATGCAGGTATAAAAAAAAGATGAATATTTCTGTACATTGCTTTAAAATGATATCCAAAATACGTTGTTAAATTTAAAAAGCAGAGTACAGAAAAGTGTAATAGTATACAACCATTTACCTAAGGAGGTAAATACAAACATATTTGTAAATACAAATAAGATATTTGCTAAAAGGATGACTTATTGGGAGGAGAAGTAACAGGACAAAGGAAACAGAAGTCAGCCTGTTCTGAATGTACCTTATTTTGTAGATTTGATTTAGAAAACATGTAAATGTTTTATAAAAGTATAAAACAAATTAAATTAAATACAAAAATTTTTCAAAAAACTGAAAACAAATGAAACAAATTAACCTGTGTAGTGAGCTAGTGGCATTATCATATGAAGAGGAGTTATTTCAAGTCATTTTAAAACAATAATTTGGGCTGGGTGTGGTGGCTCACACCTGTAATACCAATACATTAATACCAATACATTGGTGGTAGAGGCAGAAGGATCACTTGAGCCCAGGAGATCCAGATGAGCCTGGGCCACATAGTAAGACTTCATCTCTACTTAAAAATAAATAAATAAACTAGCCAGGCATGGCGGTGCATACCTGTAGCAGCTACTTGGGAGGCTAAGGGGGGAGGATCGTTTGAGCCCAGGAGTTCGAGGTTACAGTTAGCTATGATTATGCCATTGTACTCCAGCCTGGGTGACAGAGCAAGGCCCTGTCTCAAAAAACAAAAACAAAAATGAAAACAATAATTTGATTATATATGCCTAGTGGGATATAACCTAAGGACAAAAAGAACTATAAAAGATATTTTGGACTGCTTTCAATAATCATAATATTCACATTGTTATTATTTATAGTTATATAGTTTTTATTATACAGCATAAATATATGGAGCTTAAAAACCATTGTGTGAGTGTGTGTGTGTGTATGTGTGTTAAAGAAAATAAGGAATTATGTCAATGCTGTTAGAAATCAAGATTTTTAGCATAAGAAAAAAATACAAATATAAAATCAAAGCAGCTATGCAAATTTGTAATCTTAAATCTGAATTGAAAATATTAGTATGAACTCCTGGTTCTATGTACTGAAAAGGTCTATATGTTCAATCTGAGTTCATAATCAATACACTGATTGCTCTGGGGAGCTCCAAGGTAATAAGTTTACTATTCTGAAAACTGTTTAAAAAAAAAGATACCAAGCATTTAACTTGCCTTTTCCTACATGGGTTGTATCTTCCGGTAACCAAGTAGTTGATCCTAAGAACTTTTTCTTTGGAGAAATTTCCCGGTTTATAAAATGAGAAGGAACAGAATTATATTATCACTGTTTTGCTAATCTCTGGTGAAATAATGGATGTAGGCAATAATCATCAATGGACAACATCACGAAAAGAGAGACAGCCAGGTATTAATTATAATCCGCCTAACAAGTACATAAAACCACCTAGGAAGTTTTCTTGCAAGTGAAAGAAACAAATACCAAAGGGGGGAAAAAAAAAACCTTGACTCAGATCAAGCCCCTAGCTCTAACTGCCAGTTTATAGTAAATTCAGGAGATAGAGAAACATGTTAAACAATACTATGAAATAAAATCAGCAAAACCCAGAACATAGAGGGCTGTATGGGTTAAACGATCTGGTTTCTCCAACAAATAAATTGTAAGAAAAAAAGAGGTATCAGAGTCTATAGATTAATCTCAGTGGGGTATCAACCAAATGTAATGTGTACATGTTGTTTGAACCCTGATTTGAACAAGTTTACATAAGAAAATTTTTAAGACAATCAGAGGAATGCTGATTGAATATTTGAACATACTGAAGAATTATTAATTCTTTTTTGTGTGTCAGTATGATAGTGTACTTATGTTAAAGAAAAAGAGTCCTTATCCTTTAGGGATACATATGTATATATTTAGCAAGGGGAGTGTGTGTATGTTGGGATGTGGGGTGTAGAGTGAGTGGGAATATTCACCCAACGTGATTGGCTATGAGTTGGCAATTGTTGAAGCTGGGTGATGGGCATGGGGATATTTGTTACATTATTTTTTATTTATGCTTGAAATTTTTCATAATAAAAATTATTTTTAAAAAAAGTCTTCGGCTCTGGAACCTGGGCTTAATCTTAGCTCTATCACTGCTGTGACTTGATCATATTTCCTAGTCTCTCTATGCCTTAGTTTCTTTACCTATAAGTCAAATGTGCCTAACACATGAAAAGCAGGTTAAAGGATGAGCTACTGTTATTATTAACATTTACTGGATGCTTCCTAGGAATGGACTCTAGCATATGCATTCTAAAAGAGATTCTCATCTAACTTTCCCAATAGTCTTATGATGTTGGTGTTATTACCCCCACTTTTAGATAAAAAAAATTAAGGCTAAGAAGTAAAATAACACGTCTTACATCACAATCATTAAGTGGTAGAATAAGAATTCAAAACTAGGTCTTTTGCCTTCAAATTCAAAGCTCTTTCCACTATGCCTCTGTTCTTTTTTTCTGAGATGGAGTCTTGCCCTGTCGCCCAGGCTGGAGTAAAATGGCGTGATCTCAGCTCACTGCAACCTCTGCCTCCAGGGTTCAACCGATTCTCCCTGCCTCAGCCTCCTGAGTAGCTGGGATTATAGATGCCCGCCACCACACCCAGCTAATTTTTGTATTTTTAGTAGAGATAGGTTTCACCATGATGGCCAGGCTGGTCGCCAATTCCTGACCTCAGCTGATCTGCCCGCCTTGGCCTCCCAAAGTGCTGGGATGTTCTTTCAGATTAACTGAAAGAGTCCTATTTTCTAGAACACAACACAAACTAATATTCACATGTAATATATGTGCATGTACATTTTTAAAATTAAACCAACATATCACATAAGGATAATCAAACTGACAAAACAATATTTTATAAACAGGAGATTTTATAACATTGCAATTATTAGTTACAGGTCTCATACACATTGCTGCAATATATAGAACATACCTCTGTAATACTCTGAGTAGCTTCCTACTTTTGATGGGGTATTTCTTCTGAAGGTTGAGAAATGCCACATGAGTCCCCTTATCTATGAGGGTACTAAACGCAGTATGATTTTCAGGCAGTTGTAGCAGAGAGCGCCAAATGAACATTCTGAAATAAAAATATATTTTAATCCCCCCAATTTTTTTTGAGTAAAACTGATGTAACATACAGAATTTAAATTGTACCTGTATTTTGTTGGATATTCACCATAGCCTTTTAATAAGATTTGTAAACGCTTTTTGTTTAATCCATCTGGTAATTCATTCTACAAAGAAAAAGACAATATTAATAAATGACACAATCATTAAAACTGAAAAGGTGACAAAGGTAATCTAGTCCACAGTGACTTCCCAACTTTAGAAAACAACACATAGTAAGACATATTTGTGTATCATAGGTCTTTTCCCCACTCCCCTCTCTCCCTCTCTTGAGCATGCATATACATAGCCAATAAAGTTCATGATATAGTACCTTCCCTAAACAAGCTTGACAAACTTTTTCTGTAAAGGGCCATGATATGCTTTGGCTCTGTGTCCCCACCCAAATCTCATCTTGAATTACAATCCCCACAATCCCCACGTGTTGAAGGATGGACCTGGTGGGAGGTGACTGGATCACGGGGGTAGTTCCCCCATGCTGTTCTCATGATAGTTCTCACGAGATCTGATGGTTTTGTTAAGTGTTTGACAGTCTCTCCTCCACATATTCCTCTCTCTCCTTCTGCTGCCTTGTGAAGAAGGTGCCCGCTTCCCCTTCACCTTCTGCCATGATTGTAAGTTTCCAGAGGCCTCCACAGCCATGTGGAACTGTGAGTCAATTAATCCTCCTTTCTTTATAAATTGCTCAGTCTCAGGTAGTATTCTTTATGGCAGTGTGAAAACAGACTAATACAGGCCAGTTAGTAAATATTTTAGGTTTTGTGGGCCAAGAAGAAAAATCAAAATTATATATTTATATATAACTACTTAAAAATGCACAAACCATTCTTAGCTTGAATAGCCGAATTAGGCCCATCGGCTGTCATCTGGGACTCCTGCATCAAGAGCAATCCACTCTGACCGCTCCTCCCCCACCTCTCTCTTTCCTTAAAATTCTAGGCAATTCCTAGCATTAAAGCATCAAGGACAAGTCTGGCAGAAAAACATGTGGGAGTTCATCATTTTATCCTAACAGACATCAGCTCCTGCTGATAGTCCCTTATATCTAAGACTTTAAAGTCAATTTTTATCTTAATAAAAAATATTTTATAGAATTTAGGATTATAAAGCTGTTTGCATATATTATCTCAACTGGATCTAACAACTATATGAAACAGATGAAATGTCTTCCTTTATTTGAAAAAATGGGAAAATCAGAGAAGTTTGGTGAATTGCTTATGGTCACAAATCTGCTAAATCTTGGCTCAAGACTCGAAGCCAGACTTTCTGATTTCGTTTAGTGCTCTTTTTACAAGAAGAAACAGGTAGTCCAATGTAAGAGAAGGGTGAAGGGAAAACCTAAGATGATGGTGAATGAAGATACTTGAGTGCCATATTAAAGGTATAGAGGGCAACTAGAACAAATGAGAGCAACATGATCCAGGAAGACTGACTTCATCATCAAGATACCTGCTGCCATTGAAGCTTCTTTTTAAACAAAGAAAAAGATGCCCTGGGGAGTTTGGCCTCAATTTGACCTGTCCTTGTCTTGGCCATGAGCTGATAAAGTTCCTTCTTTTCTTTCCACGTGCTAATGCAAAGATTAGTTGAGGACTTGCACTTCATGCCATAGAAGTGTTCTACTTTGACCTACTTTTTAGAACTGGCTATGGTTTCCTTGGAAGCAGCTCCATTCCTTGACATATTTCTGTAGGATATCCACATTGGATCCACACTACAATGCTGCCAGATACCCTGACATGATGAGGCTTTTACTTCCCAAAGTTGCTCATGACCATTCCCACCAGTTTTCCCAGAAAAGGTCCTGCAAACTCTGAAGCCAGAACATCTCAGAGATACCATTCAGCTTATCTTTGCATTAAAGCATTCATTAAATAGGAGCAACATTGCCCAGTCTTTACACAACTAGGCTAGGCTTGTGTCTGCTATTCAGTTTTTTCTTTAAAGAAGTAATATTTTGTTTAGAGTTACATGAAGAAGTTATAAAACTATAAAGAAAATCAACGGCATAATTAACACAAAAGTGAGGACAATGGTTATATATATGGGGTAGGGAGAAAAATGTGATGGGGGATAAGCACACACGGGGCTCCAAAGCTACGGTAATGCTCTATTTCTTCATGTGGAAATGGGTATGTGCAGAAAAAAGTGAACACAAGCCGGTCTGAGCCTGCTACCCTCAGAAGGCTTACTTGCAAGGTCAGCCTTTGGCTGGTGTCTAGAAGTTGAATTTCAGGAAAGTTCTCACCACCCCTAGAACCAATAAAGAGTGGCTCATTGTGCTTAAACTGTTTGTACAATGTGGTTTATGCTTAATGCCCGCCTTCCTTCTGGGAGTCTGAAATTTGAAACCTGTTAAAACAGGGTACCTACAGAACCAGCCTCTAGTAAAAATCCTGGGCACCAGGTCTCTAATAAATTTCCCTGGTAGACAATATTTCACACATATTGCCACACATATTCATTGATGGAGGAATCAAGGATGTCCTGTGACTCCAGTGGGAGAAGATTCCCGGAAGCTTGTGCCTGGTTTCTTCTGGACTTCACCCCATGTGTCTTTTCCCTTTGCTGATTTTGCTTTGCATCCTTTCACTTTAATATATTATAGCTATGAATATGGCTACATGCTGAGTCCTAATAAATCATCAAACCTAAGGATGGTCTTGCAGCTACCTGACACAGGATACATGTGTAATCTTTTTATTACTTTTCATTAAGCTGTAATCTGTTTTAGACACTCTTCTGTGTTGCAAATTTTACAATTAAAAAATGCTTAAAGAAAAAAGAAGTTACAATAGTCCCCACTGATTTGACGAGGAAATGTTCCAAGATCCCCAGTGGATGCCTGAAACCTCAGATAACACTGAACCCTAAATATATTATGTTTTTCCCTATATATACATACCTATAATAAAGTTTAATTTATAAATTAGGCACAACAATAGATTATCATAACTAATAATAAAATAGCACAATTCTGACAATATGTCAGTATCAGTACTTTTGTGCTCTACAGAAGTTTTTTAAGTAAAATAAAGGTTACTGGAACACAAGCACTGTGATACTGTGACAGTAGATCTGATAACCAAGAGGCTACTGAGTGACTATGCTAGACAGAATGATGGTCATGTGCCAGGTGGAACAGAGCAAGATGGCAGGAGATTTCGTCATGCTACTCAGAACGGTGTGCAATTTAAAACTTATGAATTGTTTTTTCTGAAATCTTCCTTTGAATATATTTGGACCACAGCTGATTACATGTAAACAAAACCATGGAAAGTAAAACCATGGATAAGGAAGGACACTGTATTAAAATCAATGTGAAAAATATCAGGTATTATTAGTGAGAATATGGAGCAACTAGAACTCTCAAATACTGCTGGTAGGGATGTAAATCAACTACTTTTCAATCAACCACTTAGGAAAACTGACAGTATTTACTAAGTTAATCTACAGTGTATCAGTCGAGTAGTTATTCTGGGGTGGGTGGGGGTGAGGGAGAGAGAGCGTGGAGCAATAAGCTGATGGTAATGTTCCAGTTTTTGATCTGGGTGCTGGTAACATGGTGTGTACATTTTGTGAAAGTTCACTGAGCTCTATATTAATGTGTACTTTGTATATGTGTGTGATTATATTTGTCATTAAAAAGTTTTCAAATCCCTTGAAAATAATGTCACTTCTCTATTAATAGCTATATTTTCTTTCTTTCTCAAAGCTGCCATATGGCTGGGTGTGGCAGCTCATGCCTGTAATCACAGCACTTTGAGAGGCCAAGGTGGGAGGATCACTTGAGGCCAGGATTGAGACCAGCCTGTGCATAATTTAGGTTACAACTTTATTCTCTTCATTTTATTCTCTTTCTTTAATTCCCAAGAGAGAGAAGAGTGGTGATGGCTTAGAAATCACAAGACTTGTCTACAGCAGAATCATGACAAAGTTTAATTACCAAATATTCTTACCTTTTTACTTTCAAAATCACCAGTCAGGTCTTGTTTTAATATTCTAGTTTGCATTTTGCTTTCCCTAGATTTTGCTGGCTGCTGTACTCTCCCTGATGTTACTTTCATCTTAAGATCACTGGAACTCAGTTTATTCTTGGGCAAATCTTCAATAACTTTCACTAAAGGCGGAGGTGGCTAAATGGAAAAATAAATATATATATATTCTAATGGATATCCTTGGAAGACAGGCCTGTTAATGTATGATTTTCAAAATTTGCTTTAATAACATGCCTTAATATGTAGAATTATTCTTCAGGCAAAAAACTTAAGTAAAATGTCTAGGAACATTTGCTTTGACTAATAAATCAAAGCAAATTTCTGCTGAATCCTTTTGAAGAACATAATAAAGATACATGATTAACAATAGCAATAAATATAATTATTCCTTGAAAGCTGGCCTTAAATCATTTAATACCAAATCATGTTTACACATACATGGTAAAGTTAGTATGGTGATTATTATCTACAGCAAAAAAGGTACAGTTAGAGGTATGGCCCTCTAGAATTCTGACAGAAGTACCCTAATATTCTTTGGGGTCAAGTGAAATTTCTAAGAGGAAACTGCCAAATGACTTTCTTCTAGAAGCATGGAACCTCTGCCCCTCTATCCCTTGGTTAAATGTTTTAATCTGCTTAGTGATCACTATTAGTTCCTTATTGTATCAACAGCTTAAGCAGTTCAGACAATGTGACTTAGAACCTATACCTTCATTTTTATGGGGCCCATCAAACACGGAAAAAAACCTGAACAACTTCAATTTACTTAAAGTAACATTACTCACTAGAACATTTTCTCCATAAACAATATTCTCTTTGAAATCAAAAGATCTTCCTTCTTCAAAGGAAGTGAGCAAATAAGGTAACTCAGGCTTTCTAAGTTCTAAATACAATTAAAACACAATGACCATTTACAGTTTATGATTCAATTCTTCAATTCATCTATGGGATGGGATTAATAGTGGTCTGACTTATGAATATTACCCATATTTAATATCCTTAAACTATTTTTTGACTTCAATCCATTCTTCTAAATTTTTATTAAAAACACATATATTCTCTGTAAGGTAAGCCACAGCCTGTGTTTACAAACAATAAATAGCGCTTCAATGCTACGCTTGGGGAACATTTTAACAAGTAAAATCTTAACAAAAAGCTTCAAAACACAGAAAAAAATGGCATTAAGTAGACCACAAAAAGGATACTTGTTTACACCATGAGAGCTGAAATTTACTAAAATTTTATTAAAATTAAAATTTATTAAAATGTCACAATTTCCCGTTTGAGCCTTATCCTCTACCATGAAGTATAACCTCCCAAAAAAGAACCTGAGAAACAACCTGACTTGACATACCTTTGTAGTGTTAAACCTTCAACACTTAAGAATTCATTTACTCTATTACCACAATACCAGAAATTCTCCAATGACAAGAAAATAAAACTGGTAAAAATGAGACAAAGGTGAGTTATGATTTATAGAGAATATAGAATTGAACATTAATGTAGCCTGGAACAGCCATAAAGACACTGATGGTACTGGGAATGTGTCAAAAAATAAAAAAGATCATTCTACTTCCAAGCTAGCTTTTCTATTCATGTGATATCAATTTGCTCAACAGATAACAAGCAGAAAGGAACTCAATGACTCATTCTTACCATAGTTTTTCTCAGCTCTCTGCCTGCCTCTATTAAGAAGGTTTGCAAGGCTGGACACGGTGGCTCATGCCTGTAATCCCAGCACTTTGGGAGGCCAAGGCGGGTGGATCACCAAGGTCAGGAGTTCAAGAGCAGCCTGGCCAACATGGTGAAACACCATCTCTACTAAAAGTACAAAAATTAGCTGGGCGTGGTGGCACGCGCCTGTAATCCCAGCTGCTAGGGAGGCTGAGGCAGGAGAATTGTTTGAACTCGGGAGGCGGAGGCTGCAGTGAGCCAAGATCACACCACTGCACTCCAGCCTGGAAGACAGAGTGAGACTCCATCTCAAAAAAAAAAAGAAAAGAAGGTTTAGCTAGTACTGTAAAACTGACTATTCAGCAGGCTGAAAACTCTCTCAGTAAGAGCAGATATTAATACATTTAAAAAAATTTATTAATATATAGCACATATTATAATGTAAAAATATACTTATATAGTATACATAATGACATAAAGAGCAAAACAGCAGCAGAGTATAATCCCATATGTTTAGAGACAAGTATGCATACACACACATGTGCGTACACACAGAAACATATATGTATAGTTAATTCTCACTATTTGCAGTGGTTCTATAAAGTCACCATGAACACTCGATTAGTGAATACTGAAACACTGCTCCTAGGGGAAACACAGAGTCAGGTTCCTGAGAGCCTCATTAATCAATCAATACATATATGTGTGTTTCTGTTTAAAGACATCTTATTTAATACACATTGCTGATTCCTTATCATTGAACTCACAGCTTAGCACTATAACTCATTCCTGAATGAGTTTATTTAACACATGTATTTTCTCTGTAAGGTAAGCCACAGCCTTCCTGTATTTAGAAACAATAAATAGCGCTTCAGCGCTACGCTTGGGGACCACTTTAAGCAGTAGAATCTTAACAAAAAGCTTCAAAATGCAAAAAAATAAATGGTATTAAGTAGATCACAAAAAGGATACTTGTTTACACTATGAGAGCTGAAATAAGAAGACAGAGTGTTGCCTCATTTGACTTCAGCTGGGAAAAAGGGTATCTGGTGACTCAAATTTTCACTGCTCTGTGCATGTCCCTGAATGACCATGAAAGCACTGCAACTATTAATTTTGAAGTTACAAATAAATTTTAGTGAGCAGGTGAATTCTCATGTATAGAATGCACAAATAATGAGGAGTGACTATATATATTTACACACATAGAAAAGAAATTGGGAACATATAAATCAGAATCTTCTGAGAATGGTGAGACTTTCAGTGATTTGTATTTGTCTGTTTGCTATTCTGTACATTCTTATTTTTTTCTGCAATAAGACACTACTTGTATAATTTTTTAAAAGATAAAACAAAAAGGAGGAGGCACAAACTTTTTTTTAGAATAAAAAAAGGTGGCAAACGCCACTCCAAATGCACCCAATCTCATGTAATCTTGGAAGAATTGGAACACCCAGAACTGCTAGTTACTCGCTGTGTGATTAATTTTGAGCACGAACTTCTTCCTGTGTAAAATGAAAGGGTTAGACCAGGTGATCATCAAAGTCTCTGTTAGAGCTACCAAGGTGCAATTTCAGACTGGAAGACACACGGACAATATGACTGGTTAGCTGGGGGAATTTTAGATAACCAGAGAAGAGAAGTGAGGCATGCATTTTCGTGAAATGGATGGTGTGGATAATAGATGCAGAAATAAGGATGGTGTCTATGGGGATAATGAGGGAAGCTATAAGTTCGAGGAAATAAGTTAGACAGGTAGACAAGATTAGAGAGAACACTGAGAGCCAGGCAGAAGAGTCTGGACTTAATTCAACAGGCGAAGGAAGGAAGCCACTAAAGTAGCACTAGTTAAGAAATGATGATGAATTATTTTAGAAGATGGAAGGATGGGCAGGGCAAGCACTGAGGGCTCTGAGTTTAAGATATTTCTTTAAATTACCATTAGTCCAGAGTAGTTAATGAAGACCAATACAAGGATAGCAATTATGGAAGTGGAGAACAGACAGCACATTTACAGATATTTCAAATTTAAGAAGTTGGGCTGGGCGTGGTGGCTCACACCTGTAATCCCAGCACTGTGGGAAGCCAAGGTGGGTGGATCATGAGGTCAGGAGTTTGAGACCAGCCTGACCAACATTGTGAAACCCCATCTTTACTAAAAATACAAAAATTAGCAGGGCATGGTGGCGTGCGCCTGTAATCCCAGCTACTCAGGAGGCTGAGGCAGGAGAATCACTTGAACCCAGGAGGCAGAGGTTGCAATGAGCCAAGATCGCACCATTGCACTCCAGCCTGGGCAATGAGAGCAAAACTCCGTCTCAAAAAACAAAAACAAAAACAAAAACAAAACAAAAACAAACAAGTTATATGACTTAGTATTGACTGGATTTAGAAAATAAAGGCATAGGAAGTCATAGAACTTCAAGGTTTCTAGCCTATGAGATGGGAAGAAAACATGAGAGAGAATTGCAGAAAGAACTCTTTTGGGAACGAGATAATGAGTAACACCTAAATGAGAGACATCAAACGGAGATGTCCCTCAGGAAGGCAGCAATTTAAGAATGGAGCATACGTGAGAAATCAAGGCCAGAGATGTGGCTTTGGGAGTAAGAGCAACAAAATATATCCAGAAAAATGGATAAGTTCCAGGTAAGTTAGAAATAGTAGCATAAAGATTTTATTCTTGATGATATAATATATAAGTGTTTATAAAAAGCTGATGTTGATTACTTCATCATACATACCTTATTTATTTCTTGTGTTAAAGCCTGAACTGAATATATGTTTAGACTTCCATTTTCCATAATAGATGCAATGTACCGTCCATGTGGGCTAATTGCTGATGAGCTAATTCCTTCATCGAGGCTCCCAATCTCAAAGAGAAGTTTACAAGTCTGCATATTGATAAATCTCATAATACCATCTTGACTTAGTACTCCAAGAACCTAAGAGAGAAAAAATATAAATTCCTAAAAACATGTGATAGTCAATGTCTGAAAGTCCTACTATATACACGTCTTTACGTGTATGCAACGTTTGTGTATGTATGTGTGTGTGTATATGTGTGTATGTGTGTATAAATATATATATTTTGAGAGGGACACCTAGAGGAAATTCTATTCTCAGTGAGATATTATATATTTTATTTTATTATTATTATTATTATTATTGTTTTGAGATGGAATTTTACTCTTGTTGCCCAGGCTGGAGTGCAGTGGCACGATCTCCACTCACTGCAACCTCCGCCCCCTGGGTTCAAGCAATTCTCCAGCCTCACCCTGCTGAGTAGCTGGGATTACAGGCATGTGTCACCAGGCCCGGCTAATTTTTGTATTTTCAATAGGGATGGGGTTTCACCATGTTGGCCAGGCTGCTCTCGAACTCCTGATGTCAGGTGATCTGCCTGCCTCGGCCTCCGAAAGTGCTGGGATTACAGACAGGCATGAGCCACTGCACCTGGCCTGATATTACCTATTTTAAAATCACAACTTATGGCTCATGTTGATTATGCCCTGGCTCTAATCAGAACCAGGAGGGAACCTATCATGGTAGACTATGGAAAGGTGCCCTAAGAATCTTCCCTTCCCACAGGCAGATCATGCCCACTGATGACATATACAGGGGACAGAGAGGATTAGACAATGATATAATTTGAATGCGTCTCTCCAACAGCAAATATTGGAAACTTGCTCAATGCAACAGTGTTGGCAGATAGGGCCTAATGAGAGGTGATTAGGGCATGACGGCTCTGCCCTCATGAAAAGATTAATGCTGTTATTGTGGGAGTGGGTTTGGTATAAAAGGATGAGTTCGGCTCCCTCTTGTCCCCTCCCATTCCTCCCTCCCTTTCTCACCCATATGAGGCCTTCTACTATATTATGACAGAGAACAAAGGCCTTCAAAAGATGCCAACCTCTAGATCTTGGACTTCCCAGCCTCCAGAACTGTGAAAAATAAACTTACATTGTTTATAAATTACCCAGTCTGTGGTATTCCAATACAGCAGCACAAAACAGACTAAGACAGACAGTTCCCAACTTTTGCCTCCACACTGGCTATCAGAAACAAGGAGGGTGGAGGGTTTGCCTTCCTGTACCCTTTCCATAGCTAATCAAAGCTAACAGCCCTGCTACCCCCACACAAACCTGTCACTCCCACTGAGGCTCCCCACTGTCTGCCTGTTTTCAGCAAATATTTTAAGTAACATTTGGAGAATGGAGAGTTTGTGAGTTGCAAGGGTAGTGGAGGGGTAGGAGGGAAGCTAGGCTTTTAAGGGGAGAGAAAAGTTTAAATTTTAACTCATAATTTCAAAAATTAAGAACATGTAATAAAGGCTGGGCATGGTGGCTCACATCTGTAATCCCAGCACTTTGGGAGGCCGACACGGGCGGATCACGAGGTCAGGAGATCAAGACCATCCTGGCTAACACGGTGAAACCCCGTCTCTACTAAAAAATACAAAAAATTAGCCGGGCGTGGTGGCAGGCGCCTATAGTCCCAGCTACTCGGGAGGCTGAGGCAGGAGAATGGCGTGAACCTGGGAGGCGGAGCTTGCAGTGAGCCGAGATCATGCCACTGCTCTCCAGCCTGGGTGACAGAGCGAGACTCCGTCTCAAAACCAAAAACCAAAAACCAAACCAAAACAAAAAAAAATGTAATAAAAAAGTTTAAGCAAATAAACCCCCATGCTGCCTTGTCTAAGTGCAGGTTCTCTTCCCAGTGGCAGTGGCTGGTAAGTGATGCCACCATGTGATTGCTTGAAATGCTGATGTCACTTATCATACAAAAGATGGTAAAAGGCAGTTTGGAGGTGACACTCTATAAAGTTCTCCTGTTGGTTGGCTTGTAGGAAACAAAGCCCCTCATCTGCAGTTGATGCAACTCCTCTGGAAGTCAACTGGGCAAGATCTACCCAAATTACAGATGCACATAACCTTTATGCCACTATTTCAACTCTGGGATTTTATCCTACAAAGAGGATGTGTGAAATGACACTTGTGAAAAGTCATTCAGTGAGCATTATTTGTAACAGAAAATGACTAAAAATAGGTTAACTGCCAATAGGAGACTGGTTTAAAAAATAAACTGCAACACTATGCAGTTGTGAAAAAGAAAGAAGTTCTGCACTGATATAGAACAATTTCCAACTTAAGAATAAAAGGTAGACTGGGCGCAGTGGCTCACGCCTATAATCCCAGCACTTTGGGAGGCTGAGGCAGGTGGATCACTTGAGGTCAGCCTGGCCAGTATGGTGAAACCCTGTCTCTACTAAACATACAAAAATTAGCTGGGCATGGTGGTTCATGCCTGTAGTGCCAGCTTCTTGGGAGGCTGAGGCGGGAGAATCACTTGAGCCTGGGAGGCGGAGGTTGCAGTGAGCCAAGATTGCACCACTGCACTCCAGCCTGGGAGACAGAGCTAGACTCCATCTCAAAACAACAACAAAAAAACTGGAAGAATAGAAGGTGCAAGGCTGTATAAAATAATGGGAAAAACATAACACTATATATAACAACAGTGGATATGGGGGGAGGTGAACAACTAGACAAATGGTAGAAAGGCGTGACAGACTTCCTACTGTATGCTGTTTTATGTTTTCAACCATGTTAATATATTACCTAATCAAAAAGTAAGTAAAATGGACATGATATATACATACATGCATATGTATACATATATATGTAAAACATATATCTAATCTGTTAAAATACAAGATCCACGACAGTCTATTTGAAACAAGAAAGTTAAGGTTTGACAGAACTCAAGTCTTAAAAAGGAATAAGCGAAGGGGGATGAAGGAAGAAGCACTCTGTAAACTAAGGAAAGATACCAATAAAAACATGTTTCACAGGAGTGAGCAACCAGTTAAGATAAATAAAATAACAACACAATAAAAACATTTTAGTTCTAGTCCAATCTTTAATCCTTACAATTAACAGGAATGTTGACGAGTCAATGTTTCTGGTCGTTAGTGTTATAATCTGTAAAATGGGGAGAATATCTTTCCTGCCTATGCCAAAGAATTAAGGATCAAATGAAAAATTGCATGCTAAAGCACACTGCAAACCATAAAGTACAATATAAATTTACAGTATGTTGATTTTATAAAAAGAGCAAATTGTCAATGGTATAAAGAATACAAGATTTTGAAATTTTTTTCAATCCTAGACTCTTCACAAAAATAACATATTTGTAATTTCAAATTATTGTAACAGCCAGGGTGTAAGTTAAATAAATAAGAGCTAATATAGTTCAGAGACGGATGCGTTCTTTCTCAAAAAGTACAGTGCCCTACATTTATGTTACTAACCTGATTAGAACCAGCATCAAAACTATCAGGAAGAAATTCCAGATGGCGAATGGCTCGAACTTTAGTGGGCATCTGGATAATTCTAAAGAGCTGCCTAGCTTCCAAGCACCACAAATGAAGATGATTTGACTTGCCTCCAGCAGCCAGGATTCGGCCATCTCTATATAAACAAAAAAGTGAGAAAGAAAAACGGGTTCAATTGTTTGTAGCAGCACTGTCCGACAGAACTTTCTATGATGACAGAAATGTACTGTGTCTATGCTATGCAATATGGTCACACTAGTCCCATGTGATTATTGAGCACTTGAAATGTGGCTAATGTTAATAAGGACCTTATTTTTAAATTTTATTTAATTTGTATTAATTCAAATACTTGCATGGACAGCTCAGGTTTATAGTATATATTTTTTTTACCTACTGTGCTAAGGCACCAGTTTACCAAACACTTGTTTAATGACCTGATTGTGGGTTTTTCACATAACACTTATATTTTATAGCATAATCTCAAAGTCACTTATCACTATCCAACTTTCTATATTTCACGTACAGCTATATAGAATTGGTGGTACATGGCTATATGAAAAAAACAAAACAGCCCAAACTTTTTTCCTGCTCAAAGAAAGCTACCTTAATAAGATACAAAAAGAGTAAGTTGTTTTGACTTGCAAGGCCGTTGCTCACTCATTCAACAAGAACTTGTAAAGGACTTACTAATTTTTAAAAAGTGTGGTAATACTATGGTTATGTTTCAAGTGTCTGCTATAAGCCAGGTATGGTCCCAGAAGCCATGGACACAGTCAGTTAAGGCTGCACAAGCCAAGTAATCCTGCTCTTACAGGACTTCTGGTCTAGAGGAAGGCAAACAAACAAATAAATGAACTTGATCTCAGCAGGTGATAAGTTCTATATAGAACTATAAAATAAGGTGATGAAAGCTGGGAAAGGAGGAAGATCTGCTACCTGAATGACACAAATAGGCCAGTCATGGGATGACTTGGAGGAAGAATTCTATCCTGATCAGTATTCCAGACTGGCTGGTACAAAAGTGCTGAAAAAGCAATAAGGTTAGTATATAAGGAAAAGTAAGTAAGAGGTCATACTCAAGTGCATTGCCATATGAAAGTACACTGCTATACTCGGATGTGGCTAGAGCAGACTAAGGAAGGAAATGAGATGAAGCGAGGGAGGCGTAGGCCAGGTGACAGAAGGCCTCAGGGGAAATGAGGGGTGGGGGGTTGAATTTTACTCTAAGTGATGAAGGAGGTTAAATAGGAAAGTGACATGATCTGACTTACTGATTTATAAAAACCACTTTATCTGCTGTGTAGAGAATGACTATAGGAAATGAGATTGAAAACAGGGAGAACAAATAAGAAGGCTATTATAGTAGTCTAAAAGAGGCTAGGGTAGCTTGGATTAGGGTAATAACCACAGCAATGAATAAAAACAAATTGACCAATTTGCTATATGGTTTGGTTGAGTTGATGGTATTTACTGATGACTTAGAAGAACAGCGTGAGAAAAGAGAGGAATTAACATCTATTTTGTAACTCTTTCCCCTGACTAGAAACAATGATTGGCCCAGTCAAAATGAGAACCCCTAGCATCCGGATTAGGGTCTTGAAATACCATTTCCCAAAAAAGAACCCAGACTCTTTAGAGAAATGGCTGATTCCAGGGTTAGGGCGGGAATTGTACAAGATAAGCTTGGAACATCTTGTCATACCAGAAAGCATGAAAGCTATCACAGGCAACTGGAGTTGTAGTAAAAGGATGCCAAAGTCAGCGAAAAGAGGATCCTATTAGTCAAAGATGAGAGAATTGGAACATCTCTAAGAATGACAGCTGCAATGTATTAAAACTTGTCAACTACTCTAAGCCTATGAGTTTACAAAGATTCAAGACAAAAATCTTCATTAGCCACTTTTGAAAGATGCTAATAAACCAATTCATTACTTCAAAAACTAGTTTAAGAAAAAAGAGGGGAAAATTAAGCATTTATCCTGCCTTTCCTTTACAACTGTACATCAAAATAACCAAAGGGTTGATGAGAGGAAGTTTCTTTCTATAGAAGGTTATTAACTAATAAGTGAAGAAGAAATGAGAGAATTAGAACAGCAGCATTTTGCTAACTTCTAAGGCAGTACTAGATCTAGGGAATGATCACTAATGGCTACTGACGTCACAAAAGAAAACTGTTCTATGTTGTTCCTTATGAAAGTACACAAACCACCTATAATGTCTTCTTGTCCTTAAATCAGATCAAGCCTCCAGTTTTTAGAAAATACAGGTATAACCAGTATACAGGAAAAATACAGGTAACAGAGGATCATATTAAACAATACCACATGAAGACAAGAGCAAAATCCAGAATATAGAAAACTCTAGAGGAGAAATGACCAGTTATTTAATGAATAAACTATAAGGAAAAAAAAAGACGAATATATCAACAAAATACAATCTGTGAGCCTTGTTTTGCTTCTTATTCAAACAAATCAATCATAAAAACCAGTTATTAGACCAATCAAGGATGTTTGAACAATAACTAGATATATGACAATATTAAGACATTCTTATTAATTTTTAAAAAGTGTGATAATAGGTCGGGTGCAGTGGCTCACGCCTGTAATCCCAGCACTTTGGGAGGCTGAGGCAGGCGGATCACCAGAGGTCAGGAGTTCGAGACCAGCCTGGCCAACATGGTGAAACCCCCGTCTCTACTAAAAATACAAAAATTAGCCAGGTGTGGTGGCAGGCACCTGTAATCCCAGCTACTTGGGAGGCTGAGGCAGAAGAATTGCTTGAAGCTGGGAGGTGGAGGTTGCAGTGAGCTGAGATAGTGCCATTGCACTCCAGCCTGGGGGACAAGAATGAGACTTCGTCTCAAAAATAAATAAATAAATAAATAAATAAATAAATAAATAAATAAATAAAGTGTGATAATACTATGGTTATATTTCCAAAAGCGCCCTTATCTTTCAGAGATAAACTGAAATATTTATGGATAAAATGATATGCTTAGGTTTTGCTTCAAACAATGCATTGGAGAAGTAGGTGAAGTTATTGATAAAAATAGAAATGGCCGGGCACGGTGGCTCATGCCTGTAATCCCAGCACTCTGGGAGGCCGAGGCGGGCGGATCACAAGGTCAGGAGTTCGAGACCAGCCTGACCAACATGGTGAAACCCTGTCTCTACTAAAAATACAAAAATTAGCCAGTATGGTGGCACGTGCCTATAATCCCAGCTACTCGGGAGGCTGAGGCAGAAGAATCGCGTGAACCCGGGAGACAGAGGTTGCAGTGAGCTGAGATCATGCCACTACACTCCAGTCTGGGTGACAGAGTGAGACTCCATTTAAAAAAAAAAGAAAAGAAAAGAAATGGCCATTCGTTGATGATTATTGTAGCTTATGGAAATATTTAGTGGTTCTGATGGAGGAAAGGCTGGTATAAATAAAACAACACACACACACAAACAAAAAAAAAGAAGAAATTCTTAGGGGTTCATGTATTTTTCTATTTTTGTGTATATTTGATATTTTGCAAAATAAAAAAAGTTAGCAGATCATATCTAAATTTGAAGGTAACTTTTTCTAATATGACAAAAAGATACTGAATAAAAACTAAATGAAAATTTGTAATTTTTTACCAGAAATTAAATTTCTTAAATATTCCTAGTGTCTTAAAATGCACATTACCTGGTTACAGCAAACACTTTGTATAATATACTAGAGCTTTCAGGTGGAGCTGGCAATTGATATTTGCAAAAAAGTGTGTCACATTCCCAGGCAAAAATGGAATTATCTTTAAAACAGCTGAGGATGGTATTACTTAATGGTAGAAAGAAAACCTAAGGAGGAATAGAGAAAGTTAGTTTTCACATAAGGTTCACATAGAGACTTTAAATTTAAAATTATACAAGTAGTCTATTTTTCTTTATTAAAATATTATTTTCTTAAGCTGGGGAAAATACATTTCTAATATATGACAAGGAGTAATACTGATTATTTCATAAATTATTATTAACTAAAAAAAAAACCCTTCAAACGAAAACTAGGTACACTATAATGACTAGGCAAGTCACAAAATTCTAAATGACAGTTTAAAAAATTTCACCTAATATTACTAAAGAGTTAAATGAAAACAAGATATAATTTTGAGTATCAATTTTACTTTTAAAATAAAGCACATTGGTCAGGTGTGGTGGCTCACACCTGTAATCCCAGCATTTTGGGAGGCCGAAGCAGGCGGATCACTTGAGGACATAAGTTCGAGACCAGCCTGGCCAACATGGTGAAACCCTATCTCTACGAAAAAATACAAAAATTAGGCCAGGCGCAGTGACTCACACCTGTAATCCCAGCACTTTGGGAGGCCAAGGCGGGTGGATCACCTGAGGTCAGGAGTTTGGGACTAGCCTGACCAACAAGGTGAAACCTCGTCTCTATTAAAAATAAAAAAATTACTCAGGCATGGTGGCAGGCATCTGTAGTCCCTGCTACTTGGGAGGCTGAGACAGGAGAATTGTTTGAACCTGGGAGGTGGAGGTTGCAGTGAGCCAAGACCCCGCCACCGCACTTTAGCCTGGGTGAGGGAGTGAGCCTTCGTCTCAAAAAAAAAAAAAAAAAAAAATTAGCCGGGTGTGTGCCTGTAGTCCCAGCTACTCAGGAGGCTGAGGCAGAAGAATCCCTTGAACCTGGGAAGTGGAGGTTGCAGTAAGTCAAGATTGCACCACTGCATTCCAGCCTGGGTGACAGAGCAAGACTCTGTCTTCAAAAAGAAAGCACATACATGCATAGACAAAATGGGGTGTTTGTCTATATATATTACTCCCACAAAATGGGGTGTATGTATTTATTACTCCCCGTGGCAGTGTATGACAGTGTCTTTTCCCTATACTTTCACCAACATTTGATATTTTTTAAACATCTATCAGTAGTTAGTATTTAATACAGTGTTTATATTAGTATATAGTTCTACATATACTATATATAGAGTAAAAAAAGGCACTGTCATACACTGCCGCTGGGAGTAAAAATTATTTAAAGATGTTATATGATATGTGTCAACAGCCTTAAAATATATATCTTCCCAAATTAGTCAGTTTGCTTTTAAAAGTTAGTCCTGGCTAGGCACGGTGGCTCACACCTGTAATCTCAGCACTTTGGGAGGCTGAGGTGGGTGGATCACCTGAGGTCAAGAGTTTGAGACCAGTCTGGCCAACATGGTGAAACCCCGTCTCTACTAAAAATACAAAAATTAGCCGGGTGTGGTGGCAGACGCCTGTAATCCCAGCTACTCAAGAGGCTGAGGCATGAGAATCACTTGAACCTGGAGGGTGGAGGTTGCAATGAGCTGAGATTGCGCCACTGCACTCCAGCCTGGGCAACAAGAGTGAAACTCCATCTCAAGAAAAAAAAGTTAGTCCTTTGGGAATACTGGGCAAAGTGTTTCAGGATAAGTAAGTGTTAAGCCATTTTTTTATATGAGTAAAAAGGTGCAAATGCATATATAATCCTATCTTATTACAGATTCAGTTCATTTAATGGACAACTGAGAATGAAACTGATAGTAAAGTTGAAAATGTCATCACTTTATTCTCCTAATTTTCATTTTTCTATCACATAAGCATAAACAATGCTTCCTTTTGTTAATGCAAAATTATTAACGGAAATTAACCAATATTTTCTCGTAAAAGTTTCAGTGGCCTTGAATATAATTTTGTGTGTCATCTGTACAACACACACACATATATAATGCACTAGAGAACAGACTGGTTAGCAAAAATAATCTACTCAGGATTAATGCCAATAAGACAATAAAAAATACGAACTCAACTACATCAGATACTGACAGATCAGGCAAGGGCCTGATCAAGCTCCTCCCTTCTTCCTTGGCTCACTTTGCTAAAGACAATCTGTGGTAGATCTTTTGCTATTAGATTCACTGTTAGGAAGATTTATAATATGAAGGCCTTACAGATTTCTATAATCTATAATGAACGCATTAGAACACTGTTTCAAAACTGATGTCAAAAAGTGACTTAAGAAAATTATTATTATAATTAGCAGTCATTTTTCTGGAAAAGTAATAAAGTTTATTCCTACTGGGAAAAGCAGAAGCTTAAAAGTTAATGAGCATCAACTGCTATTTTAGCAGAATAACTGTGATAGATTATTGCCTACATGATTATTCATTACTAGATTTGTGATTTTAATTGCCATATTTTAATGATTATAAAATTGTTCCTAATGAAGCATGTCATTATTATTTAGATAGTGTCATCTCTTGAGAAACATAAAAACCTTAGGAAAAACTTCAAAACATTAACAAAGTATACTTTTTGGGGGGTTAGGTTCAAGGACGGAGCTGTAGTTTTTCCTTGTAGAACACAAAAATCCTAAGCTTTCCAATTCAGTTTTAGGAGGTAGATGAACTCTTTTCAAGGTTTATTTTACCTTATTATTTATTTATTTATTATTGATTTATTTATTTATTTTGAGACAGAGTCTTCCCTCTGTCACCCAAGCTGGAGTGCAGTGGCGTGATCTTGGCTCACTACAACCTCCCAAGCAATCCTCGTGCCTCAGCCTCCCAAGCAGCTGGGACTACAGCATGTGCCAACATGCCCGGCTAATTTTTTGTATATTTTAGTAGAGATGGGGTTTCACTATGTTGGCCAGGCTGGTCTTGTTGGCCAGGCTGGTCTAGAACTCCTGACCTCAAGTGATCCGCCTGCCTTGGCCTCCCAAAGTGCTGGGATTACAGGTGTGAGCCACAGTGCCCAGCCCTTTTTCAAGGTTTAAAGAGTTTAGGATACTAATATTAGCAAGTTAAGGTCAAATGTATTATTTGTATATTTAGTATTTAGTGAGTGTCCTGGGTACACAGGCTGAATTGAGTTCAGCAAAACACTCTTTATTAGATGTTTTCTGATATCCATCACAAAGCCTTTTCTGATACCTGCTGAACCACAGTAATCACAAATCCCGGGGATTCCAAAATCCTTAACTAATGAGCTGAATATCTTACCCCCAAACATCAACAAAAGAATAAAAATGTACTAATTTGAAGAGGTGTAACTGGTTTACCTGAGAAGCAGTAAGACTTTAGATAAAGACAGGTTTGAATTCAAACTGCAATTCTCTCCTAAACTATGTGATACTGAACAAATTACTTAATATTTCTGGACAAAGTACTTAATATTTCTGAACTTCGGTTTCCCTTCTTGTAAAATGGGGATAATAATATCTACCCTTTAGGATTAAAGCTTTAAAATAACTATTTAAAATGAAGGTTCATGGAACATACTAAATAACGGGTATCTATTACTATTACTAATAATTACTGCTATTACTGCTTACAAAAATCAGCGGAAAGAGGTTAGACTGGTAGGTTCTTTAAAAACAGTCTGAAATCAAAGTTCCATAGTTCCTTTTCTGAAACCCTTGGGGCCAGATGTGTTTCAGAATGCAGATTTCCAATTTTAGATAGGTAGTATGATGTATATTCTATAACATTATGTAGAACTTTAGGAGACCTGGGGCAATGCCCCATACTCAAATATATTAATATTTCAGCCTCATGTCAATTCAGTTCAGATTTTGCTGCCAAATGAATTGAGGTCAGATCGCATTTTGCCACTGAGTTATTTAAATACTTTTGGGTTTCTGAATTGTTAATATAATGTAACTAAAAAATAAATAACAGTTACTCCACAGTTTTGTTTTTTTGAGACAGGAGCTCACTCTGTCGCCCAGGCTGCAGCACAGTGGTGTGATCTTGGTTCACTGCAACCTCTGCCTCCTGGGTTCAAGTGATTCTTATGCCTCAGCCTCTTGAGTAACTGGGACTACAGGCACACACCAGCATACCAGGCTATTTTTTGTAGGGACAAGGTTTAGCCATGTTGCCCAGGCTGGTCTCAAACTCCTGGGCTCAAGCAATCAGCCTGCGTGTTAAAGTGTTGGGATTACAGGCATGAGCCCATGTGCCTGCCACCCTACAGCTTAAGCAAATTATCTAACTGCACTGAGATAATCCTATCATAGGCTTGATGGTAAAATTGCAACAGATGCAATTTTACTAAGCACTTACTATACAACCAGCACTGTGCTAACTTTGCATAGATTATCACACTTAATGTTGAAACCAACCCTGAGGGAGGTGCTACGGCTGAGTATTCCTTATGCAAAATGCTTGGAACCAGAAATGTTTTGGATTTTTTGGACTTTGGAATATTTGCATTATACTCACCAATTGAGTATCCCTGATCCGAAAATCTGAAATCTTAAATGCTCCAATGAGCATTTCCTTTGAGCTTGATATTTGAGTATCATGTTAGCACTCAAAAAATTTCAAATTTTGGAGCATTTGGGATTTCAGATTTTCAAATTGGGAATCCTCAACCTGTATTGTTTACTATTTTTTCCCATACATAAGATAAATAACTTGTCAAAAATGTTTAACAGGAATCTACTCAAACCTTTAGACTTAATGTCTAGTTTACAGAAAATGCAGGTGAAAGACAGACAAATTAAACAATAATGATGAAACAGAAAAAACAACTCCAGAATGTGGGGCATTTTCTGAGATAACTGGTCTGTCTGATCTCTCCAGAAAATTAATGTCATGAGAAAAAAAGTAGAAGACTGTGTGAGATTAAAAGAGCCATCAAAAATGAAATCCATAACAAAAGACCCAAAGCAAGTTACTGAAGGGTCGCATGTGCAATCAAAACAAACAAATAAATAAAAGTTCTATTTAAAATATAGAATCAGAATCTGTAATAAAAATATGAGTTTAGTAAGAATTTGGTAAGAATTAACGTTTTTAGGGGCACATGTTCTCAGGCTCTCCTGAGGGCTGTGTCAGGGGAAAAAAATTTTTTAAAAACCGAACGTTTTACTTTAATATTAAGGTTACAGTTATTTCCTGTTTACAACTGAAGTGGTCATCACCTGGCCCATCTCTAGTCTTTGTACAGCCCAGGAGCTAAGAATGGTCACTTTTTTTTTTGAGATGGGTCTCACTGTGTTGCCCATCTTGGTCTTGAATTCTGGGGCTCAGGGGATTCTCCCACCTCAGCTTCCAGAGTAGCTGGGTACCTGGCTTTAAATGGTTACATTCTGAATGGTTATATAATTTTGCTCTTGAACTGCAAAGTCAAAAATATTTACTGGCCCTTTAAGAAAAATTTGCTGATAACTTAAACTATAGTGTATTTTATTGTATTGTATTTTTTTTTTTTTGAGACAAGAGTCTCGCTCTGTTGCCCACACTGGAGTGCAATGGTGCAATTTCGGCTCACTGCAACCTCTGTTTCCCGG
Organism: Homo sapiens; assembly: GCF_000001405.40. Taxonomy (NCBI): domain Eukaryota; kingdom Metazoa; phylum Chordata; class Mammalia; order Primates; family Hominidae; genus Homo; species Homo sapiens. Next base: position 123,088,111 of record NC_000008.11, on the reverse strand, counting down.
GTTCAAGCGATTCTTCTGCCTCAGCCTCCCCAGTAGCTGGGATTACAGGCATGTGCCACCACACCCAGCTAATCTTTGTATTTTTAATAGAGATGAGGTTTCACCATGTTGGCCAGGCTGAGGCTGTTCTTGAACTTCTGACCTCAGGTGATCCCCCCGCCTGGGACTCCCAAAGTGCTGAGATTACAGGCGTAAGCCCCCGTACCCGGTCCTGTTTTATTATTTTAGAGCAATTTACTATATGCACACATCACACTATACATACATTTTCACATTTAGTTTTATTCTTATAGCACTAACATTAATATACTTAGGCACACATCACACTATACATACATTTTCCACAGTCCTAATTTTTAAACTAAAATGTCTAAATGTCCAAGCAAGGTTTGCGTTGGCAACTATTCAGCGTATACTCATTTTAATTTCATAGTAAAAAGAACAGATGGCTTTTGTGTCATGTGTCATTGTTTCATAACTCTGTTTCCATGTGGGTTCAACTCCCAATGTTCTCTTCTTTGGAACTTAAAATTCAAAATGTAAGTACTAAAGCAATTAAAGAAGAAAAGACCTTTGGCCTAAATTAAAGAAGAAAAGACATTTGGCTTAAATCCCTAATGAATAAGCTGGCACAACTTTTATCTCTTTTTAATTGTTAAAAGCACATTAAAGAACTCTGGGATTTCCATGGAGACTACAAAGTAAATTTTTGGTTGACATGCATTGCTAGCTGTTCATGTTAATAACCTAGAAATTAAAAGCAGTACTGCATGCATAATACAACCTGAAGCAAAATAATTAATCACACAAGAGACTCAGATACTCCTGAAAATAATATTTAGCTAATGAAATAGAAAGAAAAAAAACCTGAAAACCAAAAGACAGTGGGAGTTAAGGAGACGGCCTTCCTTGGACTAAAACAACCTAGCAATGCCACATTTGAAGTGGCTTTGAGGAATAGGGCCTGTGTGCTCATTTGAATAAAATCAGCCAAACAGAAAGCTTTGAAGAGGAAAGACCTATAATTCCATCTTCCTCTGACTTCTCCACTTCTAACATTTTGAACACCAAAGCCTGGCACAGAACAGGTGCCCAGGCTGGGCATGGTGGCTCACACCTGTAATCCCAGCACTTTGGGAGACCAGGCGAGTGGATCACTTGAGGCCAGGAGTTTGAGACCGGCCTGGCTAACATGGTGAAACCCCGTCTCTACTGAAAATACAAAAATTAGTTGGCTGTCATGGCGCACGACTGTAATCCCAGGTACTCAGGAGGCTGAGGCGAGAATCGCTTGAATCTGGGAGGCAGAGGTTGTAGCGAGCTGACATTGTGTCACTGCACTCCAGCCTGGATGCCAGAGCCAGATTCCGTTGCAAAGGAAAAAAAAAAAAAAGAACAGGGAGGAAGAAGGAAGGGGAGAGAGGGAGGGGGAATCGGTGATGTGGACAATGTAGCATGACACAAAGTGCCAGCTCCCTTAGGGTGGAAGTCACAGACAGGCCCCTAGAGCTGAAGAGATATGACAGGCTTGGATATGGGGACTTGGAGGAGGAAGAGTGACCGGGGCACTACCAAAAGGGTGGGACAGCCAAAAGCTCCTTGACTCCATCCCAGGATTTGGGAGGCCTGACTCTGCAGAAAGCCTCCAATCTGGCTTCACACCCTGCCGGCTCTGGCACTTGCAGCCGCCAGTGCTTCCAGTCTCCAGACCCCGTGTCTTTGTGTTTGGGGAGCAATAAACACTGCCTACTTCATTGAGGCAGTGTCAGGACTGAGTTGAGATAATGTATGGAAAGTTCTTAATACAATGCCTGAAGCATAGTAAATGCTTCAGTAACTATTATCACAATTGAAGAAAGGGTTAGATTTGACTAGGTGGAGAGAATGGGAAGGTTACTGGGTGTGGTAAGGAGGGAGGAGGGGTAGCAGCGTGGAAACCCTATGAAAGAGACCAGTTTGGATGTCATATAGGAAATCACAGGAGATGACAGCCAGGGGACATAAAGGACAAAATAACAATGGGAGCTACTATATAAGGGCCTGGCACTCGGCCAAGCCGTTGACATGAATTATTTATTTTATCTCATTTTCTCACCAGCCCTGGTAAGGTGGTTACCACAGACCCATTTTCCTGCTCAGGAAACGGAAGCCCAGAGAGGTTGGTTATGTGGCTTGTCTGTTAAAAGAAATGATAGAACCAAACTGGGGCATCTGTGGGGCTCAGAACAAGAGTACAACTGGAGGCCTATATACCATATGTTTCTACATAGTTGGAAAAAAACAAAAGAAATGGATTTTTAAAAGGTGGTATATTTACACAATGGAATTCTAAACAGCAATAAGAAAGAACAAACTACTAATAAATATAATATGGATGGATCTCAAAAACATTATGCTGAGTGGGGCCCGGCGCGGTGGCTCACGCCTGTAATCCCAGCACTTTAGGAGGCTAAGGCGGGTGGATCACAAGGTCAGGAGATGGAGACCATCCTGGCTAACAACAAAAAAAATTAGCCGGGCCTGGTGGCAGGCACCTGTAGTCCCAGCTACTTGGGAGGCTGAGGCAGGAGAATGGTGTGAACCTGGGAGGCGGAGCTTGCAGTGAGCCAAGATCACACCACTGCACTCCAGCCTGGGCAACAAAGCAAGACTCCATCTCAAACAAACAAACAAACAAAATTATGCTGAGTGAAAAAAGCCTTACATAAACTATTATTGTATAGTTCTATTTATATGAAATTTTAGAATAGGCAACACTAGTCCATGGTGGGAAAACGTAAGAGTGGTGGTCACCCAGGGAGGGAGATGATGGAATTTTCTGGGATAATGTAATGCTACAGCTGCATAGGTTACACAGGTGTGTGTATTTGTCAAATTTAACAAATGAATACTTAAGACTTACATATTTCATTATATATAAATTTTAAATCAACAAATATTGACCCCTAGTTAATTAAGTACAGGCTTAAGTATTCACAGGGGAGTATGCTGATGACCAAAGTTTACTTTAAAACACACACACAGCTGGGCATGGTGGCTTATGCCTGTAATCCCAGCACTTTGGGAGGCCGAGGCAAGAGGATTGCTTGAGCCCAGGAGTTTGAGACAAGCCTGGCCAACATGATGAAACCCTGTCTCTACTAAAAATACAAAAATTAGCTGGGCATGGTGGTACATGCCTGTAGTCCCAGCTACATGGGAGGCTAAGGCAGGAGAATCGCTTGAACCTGTAAGGCAGAGGTTACAGTAAGTTGAGATCATGCCACTGCACCCCAGCCTAGGTGACAGAGCGAGATTCTGTCTCAAAACAAAACAAAACAAAAACCAAAAAAAAAAAGAAAGATGGATAGACCCATAAGAGAGTATGGTACCATGTAAAGTAGAGTAAAGGATAGTACAGTAACATGTTAATGGTAGAATCTAGATACTGAATGTACACGTGTTCAAAAATTCTCACAAATCTACTGCATGTTTCAAATTTTTCATAATAAAATGTCAGAGGGTTAAAAATGAAAACAAAAGCAATCAACTAAATAACTTTCGCCTTAGGACAGTTGAAGTTACATAGCTATAATTTTAGAAAAGAGCTCACTAAGTTATAAATTGTAGCTATAGGCAACATCTTTGTGTTGGCCACTTTGCTTTGCTTGTTGCTGAGTTACAGAGCTACAAGGACAAAGTGAATCATTACTCTTATATCATCTATACATCCTGTTGACCAAGAAATTAGCCCGAGAAGCACAACAGACCAAGATGTACCCCCTCACTGACCTTCTGTATACCCACAGACTGGCGAATATTCAGCTTTCTTTTTCTCTGAAAGGTATCCAAGTCCCATAATTGTGCTGTATCAGAAGAAGTTGTGATGGCATATTTCCCTGATGCATGCACAGAGATCGAAAATACTGATGATTCATGTCCTCTCATCCAGCTAACTAGCTCCTTGGTGACTGTGGTAAAAAGTAAAATTGTTACCCAGGTAAAACACTGTACGTCTAGAAGTAACATTACATATAAACACCATAGATGAACTGATGCAATGGGTGGTTAGGTATTATATGAGGCACCTCCATTAATATCCACAAAAATGGAAGCTTGTGGCTAGTTGATAAAGTGTATGACGGAACATGTTAGCAACATCTCATTCATGTAGGAGACAAGGCTGACAAAGGCTTTGATGAAGAATAACTTCAAAATTGATGCTAGTGAGTTTGGGCTTTCTCTTGCAGGTAATTTTATGTAAAAGAGTACCATATCTAGTCTATGTTTTAGAAAGAGCACTTTGAGGATATCTGGTGGAGGGGAAGAGATTGAACAAGAAAGACTAATTTATATGTTGCTGTAATAATTCAGACAGGAGATATGGAGGGCCTCAACTAAGAAAGAGGCAATGGAGAAAAGAACAAATCCAAGAGCTACTAAGGAGAAAAACAAAAAATATTAGTGATCAAATTGATGTCCTGAGATATAAGAGAAGTGAAGGCTCCAGTGGTTCCAGCTTAGTTATTTAAGCAGATGGTGATACTGTTAGCGGAGGTAGGAAATACATGAGGAGGGGCCGGGCGGTGGCTCACGCCTGTAATCTCAGCACTTTGGGAGGCTGAGGCAGGTGAATCACTTCAGCCTAGAAGTTCGAGACCAACCTGGGCAACATGACAAAACCCTATCTCTAAAAAAATAAAAAATAAAAAAAAATAATAAATACATGAGGAGGAACAGGTTTATCAGTGTGAGATACTGATAATACATTTGGTTTTTAAACTTGATTCTGATGTACTTGTGTGTATCTTTGTAAGCAGAGAAAACAGCTTGGTAGGGAAAACACCAAAAACACCAAAGCTTGGGTCGACTCCCTGCGTCAACAGTGCTTGGCGCAGATGGCCAGCCACACACCAATGCTGGGAGTGTCATCTGAGAGGGCAATGCATCCCTGAGGACAATGGAGGCTTCCCTTTTGGAAGCCTCCCAAATTCCACCCCATGTTTCTCTTCCTTTGGCTAGTTATACTTTGTATCCTTTTGTTATATTAAAACTGTCATTAAGTGTAGTGCTTTCCTGAGTTCTGTGAGTTGTTCTAGTAAATTATCAAACCTGACAGTAGTCAGGAAACCCTGACTTTGTAGTCAACTGATCTAAAGTGAGGCTGTTTCTAGGACCCTCAGCTTGCACCTAGTGTCTGAAGGGAGGGCTGTCATGGGGACTGCCCCCTCAAGCTGTACAGAGTGATAAAGTTCTTGCAGTTCTTCAGTTTATATTTTACTCTGCTTCAAAAGAAAAATAGGAGAACTTCTTACCTGTATCAAAACATTTAATAGAATAATCAGCTAATGCCACAAGGAATTCAGATTTCCTACGAAGATTAAAGGCCAGAGCTGTGCAAGCTTGTGCTGTTCGCTGAACAAGATTGAACCTATTAAGAGATCATTGCATTAGTATCACAAATTCTTCCAATAATTACAAATTCCATGTGGAAGGAGTCCGTAGAGACGAAGAAAATGAAACCCAGAAAAATGAGCTACCATTTTAGGCCAAAAATAGATTATGAAGGGTGCTATGTGCCATATTAAGGAGTTTGGATGTTATCAGAATAGGAAACCACTGTAAGTGTTAGCACAGCAGAATCACAATCAGGTATGTGTTTTAGGAAGACGATCCTGGCAGCAATGGCAAATGGATAGAGGGACAAGGAATAAAGGAGATCACTAAGAAAGTTACTACAGAAAATCTCAGCCAGAGATATGGGAGCATAAATAGGAGAGGTTTCAGAAGCCAAGCAGAGGTTCGGTATGGATTCAACATGGAGTGAAGAAGAGGGAATCAGGACCCGATCTTGCGTAAAATGAAGATAAGAATAGATACAGGGCTGTTGTGATGACTAAATGAAAGAATACATGTTGAGTGCTCAGTAGAGTACTGGGCACCTAGCTGGAGTTTAATTTACAAAAAATTAAGCTTTTGAACTTAGGCAAAAGAGGAATAAGTTTGGGGGTAGGAAATAATAAACCTGCTTTTAAACATGTTGTTTAAGGCCCTTGTGAAACTCATCTAGAGTCATGCTGTCTGAAAGAAATACAACGTGGGCTACATACGTAATTTAAATTTTTCTAGGAGCCATATTAGAAAAGTAAGAAGAAACAGGTAAAATTAATCTTGATAATATATGATACGCTTTGGCTCTGTCCCCACCCAAATCTCATCTTGAATTGTGGCTCCCATAATTCCCACATGTTGTGGGAGGGGCCCAGTGGGAGATAATTGAATCACGGGGGCAGTTTCCCCCACACTGTTCTCATGGTAGTGAATAAATCTCATGAGATCTGATGGTTTTATACGGGGAAACCCCTTTCCCTTGGTCTTCATTTCTCTCTTGCCACCACTACGTAAGAAGTACCTTTGCGTTCTGCCATGATTGTGAGGCCTCCCCAGCTACATGGAACAGAGAGTCCATTAAACCTCTTTTTCTTTATAAATTACCCAGTCTCGGGTATGTCTTTATTAGCATGAGAACAGACTAATATACTTTATGAACTCAATATGTGTCTAAAACATTAGTATTTCAATATTTAATCAATTAAAAATTATTGAGATATTTTACACTTTTTATCATATTAAGTCATCAAAATCCACTGTGTATTTTAATTTTACATGTGCTTCATATCTCAATTTGGACCAATCACTTTTCAAGGGCTCAAGACTTACATGCAAGCTAGTGGCTCCTGGGAGCCCAATCTAGAAGATTTCTAGTAGGTAGTAGTAGCAGAAGTAGGTCTAAGTCAACAGTGTTTACATGGCAGATGAAGCCTGAGGCTTGGTGGTGATGTGATTATCGAAAAGAGTACCTGAAATATGGAAGGAAGTAAGCCAAAGAAAGATGTCTGGGGAGCACAACATGAAAGGGGAAGGCACTGGAAGAAGAGTCAGTAAAATAAGGGGGAAAAATGATCAGAGAGGTAGAAAATTCAGCAAAAGCTGTACCATGAAGCCAAAGAAAATAATTTCAGGCAGGATGGGAAGACAAGAGTATTTACTGTTTCAGTAAAATGAGAACTGAAAAGTGACCAATGGATTGAACAATTAGGAAGATTTTTAGGGAGCCCAGTATACTGGGCTTTATGATCAAGTCTGATTTTTAAGTCCCAGCTCTGCTGCTAACTGCTCAGCCACAAATGTTTTTAGTGAAGGGTGGCAGAATATGCCATCCCGAACATCCCACTTTGGCATAAGGATTACTTTGAGCTAAAGGTAAATGAGAAAAAGCAGATATAAGAAAAGCTCTCAGCCAGGTGCGGTGGCTCACGCCTCTAATCCCAACACTTTGGGAGGCCTAGGCGGGCGGATCACGAGGTCAGGAGATCGAGACCATCCTGGCCAACATGGTGAAACCCTGTCTCTACTAAAATACAAAAAATTAGCTGGGCGTGGTGGCACATACCTGTAGTCCCAGCTACTTGGGAGGCTGAGGCAGAAGAATTGCTTAAACCAGGAGGCAGAGGTTGCACAGTGAGCCGATCACACCACTGTACCCCGGCCTGGGCAACAGGGTGAGACTCCGTCTCAAAAAAAAAAAAAAAAAAAAAAAAAAGAATAAAAGAAAAGAAAAGAAAAGCTCTCTGCTCTTGTCTAAAAGTTTACATAAATTTGCATACATTTACAAAGGGGTCCCTCTTCCCTTCTCTACCAGGAAGGACAACGGTTGATCACAGGAGTTGACTTTAGATCTTTATCACCCTGAAAATAGCACCAGAGAAATGTATATAACTACCATTAGTTTCCCATATATTTGCCTTCCCACAATTTGCTGCCCCTAGAGACTCAAGGTCCTCTTCTTTTGTCTTGTCACTTCTCTAAAAATGTATTGTTCTTTGATGAAGATGCTATATAAGCCAGAGCATAAGCCACTTTTTGAGTTAGCAATACCTGGATACTGTCACGTGTTACATGCATGACACAAGTTGATAACATCTCATACTAATACCTGGATACTCTGGGTATTCTAATGTGTTACACGCATGATAGATATTAATAACTTATTCATTCTTCTCTTGTTAATCTATCTTTTGTTACAAGGGTCCAGTTGAGAATCTAGAAGGGTAGAGGAAAAATTATTTTTTCTCCCCAACAACCAACAGTGAAAAGGGAATGGACAAAATAGTAACACTTATGGTGCAATATCTCAGGAGAGGCTATCGAAGATAGGGATTAGCACTAGAAGAAATTAAGATCACCTGTTTTTATGAATAAGGTAATGAGGGCTGAACTTTATGAATAAGGTAATGGGGGCTGAACTTACAATATACTTGAGGCTGCAATGGGGAAGGAGAAAGGAAAGCTTGAAGGTATCTATTTTCCCATGAATCAGGAGGCCTGGCAGTCAGAATAACAGTAGAGTCCAATGCAAGGAGACAAGGAAATTGGTAAAGGTTTGCAACACTTGGTGGAGAATAGGAAACGTTAAGTAACCGTAGACAAGCAAATGAAGTGCAAAGAGTCCTCGATGTTGAAGTTCATTAGTCATGAAATCAATCAACAATTATTTTTATTTTTTTCAGAAGTATTAGCAAATAGACAGTGGTACTGATTTAAGATTAGGAATTGGTGAGGTAAGTTAAGCAAGAATAAAGGGTAGAAAAGTTGGGCCCATTACTTTTTTGGTAAAGGGCAGAAACAATGATTTACAGATTTTTACCTAATGAATCACAGAGAAGTAAATTATATGTCACATCTTTTCTTTAACTATTTAAGTTACCAAGATCAAGTTTCCCATAATAAGAAAACTCTCCTACATAATCACAATATAACCATCAGCACCAATAAATTACATTTATACATTACCACCATCTAATCCTAAAACTCCAATCAAATTTTGCCAATTTTCCTAATAAGTTCTTTATAGCAAAAGGATCAGTCCAGATTCATGCCTTTGTCATGTCCCTTTCATCCCCCTCAGATTAGGAGTTCTTTAGTCTTTACCCAACTTGCATGATCTTGTCCCTTGTAGAGATATCAGCACAGTTTTGTTATTAGATGTCCTTAATTTAGCTTTGTGTGATGATCCCACTGATTAGATTCAGGTTATATATCTTGGGAGGAATATCACAGAAATGATGCCGTGTTCTTTTCACTGCATCCTATCAGGTGGCACACAAATTTTGATTCATTCCACTACTAGTTATATTAACTTTAGTCATTTGATTAAGGCAGTGTTTGCTAGGCTTCTTCATTGTATAATTTTTTTTCTTCTATAATTAATAAGTATTTTGTGGGGGGGTACTTTGTGACTATTCAATATCCATGCCTTACTAAACTGTTTGTATACTGGTTACAACATGAACTCATAGATTTCAATTTTATTCAATGCATGACCCATCTCCAATATGACCAGAGGGAGCTCCTTCAAGCTGGCAACTGTGTCTTTTTGACACATCCCGAACATTCTTTGAACAATTCCTTCTTTCTGGCTACAAAATGTTACAGGCTCATCCTGTACTTTCCCTGTCTGCATTCTGAAATTGGCCATTTTTGCAAATATCCTTGATTCTTTTTAGTAGAAAGTGGTATTTTGAAAACAAGAACTCAACACCGGGTATATTCATTGCTGCTGGCATGCTGTTGCTCCCAGGCCCTCTGGGTGTACGAAGCTAGGGAATGTGTACATATATGTGTACATACCTCTATTTAGTGCTATATCTATCTCTATATATTCAAAACCAGGGGTTCAAACTGATATATCTAATTCCAATACAATACCATGGGGTTTATTCTAGTTTTCTGCCCTCCATATATGTAAGTCTCTTTTCTAAGAGTGAGAAACTTGGCCCTCATTATCCCTAATATATTTAGTTGATCAAAGCCCCCTGTATTAAACTAGCTTCCCATCACTGCCCCATTCGCTATGCAGACACCCTCTGCCTCTCTGCTAGGCTGCTGCAGCTGTCCTTCCCTCTTAGCCCCGCTGCATGAATACCTATCTCCATCAATCCCACCTAATTGCTTTCGGACTAAATTGTTTCACAAGGGAAGAGAAGAGGAAGAAGAGTGAAAACCAACTTTTTTTTTTTGAGATGGAGTCTTGCTTTGTCGCCCAGGCTAGAGTGCAGTGGCAGTGGCACGATCTCGGCTCACTGAAACCTCCACCTCCTGGGTTCAAGTGATTCTCTTGTCTCAGCCTCCCAAATAGCCAGGATTACAGGCGTGCACCTCCACACCCAGCTAATTTTTGTATTTTAGTAGAGACAGTGTTTCACCACGTTGGCCAAGCTGGTCTCGAACTCCTGACCTCAAGCGATCCGCCCGCCTTGGCCTCCCAAATTTCTGGATCACAGGCCTGAGTCACCACACCCAGCTGAAAATCAATTCTTTAAAATTCTTAGATCTGGCACCCCACAACAACAATGTGCAAAGAAAACTGTGTTATTTCTACATTGCCTCATGATGTACCAGAAATTGACAAACTAGCAACTATGGGCTGGGTGCGGTAGCTGGAACCTGGGAGGCGGAGTTTGCAGTAAGCTGAGATCATCCCACTGCACTCCAGCCTGGGCGACAGAACAAGGCTCCGTCTGAAGAAAAAAAAAAAAATTAGCAATAATAAATTTTTAAATTTAAGAAAAAAAAAAGGAAACTACTAGAGATACTATTAAAACCAGCACTTTAATTCTTTAAAATGTGAACCATGTTATCATTCTGTTTTTTCCCACTTTCGTCCTTTAGCACTTATGACAGTATTTTGCAAGGTACCTGAAATATAATAGAACTTAATAAATCTTTCTGAATGAATAATGAATAGCAGGTACGAAAACAGTCAGTGAATTAATAACTTGTTAAAGAACGTAGATATCAATGGTATCTGCTTACCTGTTTCCATGTAAGTCAAAAACATAAATATTTCCTTGGTGGTCCCCAGCAATTAAGCAGTCGCCTGTGCCATCAAAAGCCACATTCAAAAATCGCAAAACTTTTGGATGGTAATCGGAAGTGTTGTGAATAATGTTCACTATAATTCTGTCAAAGAAAAAAACCCAAACATTGAATCTATGTCACGTATTACTTGATATTATGAAAAATATGGCAAGTAAAGCATTTCGTCTGTTCATTCTTCCCTCTCCTACTGCTACCGCTATACCCCCGCTCCTCTAGAATCAATCTTACCAGGATTTCAGAAAAACAGGTCAGAAGCTACTCATTATCAAAATAGCTACTGTTTATTCATTCATCAAATACTTGAAAACTCACTGTGTCAGACACAGAACAAGCCAGGTGCTAAGAATAATTGATATGGTCCCTGCTTTCATGGCACTTACAATTTAGTAGTAAGGACAGATATTAAAAAAATAAACACACATATAAACAGATTTATAAACTGTGATTAAGTGATAACAACAGGGTATGAGATTTTGTTTTTGTGTATGGAATGTTTCACAGTGAATTACGCGTGCATGAGTTTTACTTCCATTTCTAATGTATCTACCATGAATACCCTGGCAGGCGAGTTCTGTAAGGACAGGACCACTGCTTGCTCATTACTGTACCCCAGCACCTGGCCTACAACACACAAAAGACACTCAAAATATGCCTGCTGAATGAACAAATGCTTTAAGAAATCATTCTTTAAAACCCACATTAATCATACTGCCATATAAAACAGTAAGGGAGCTTATTTTTCAATCTTATTCTGGAGACACATATGTAATGATTAAACTTAAATGAAAACGAAAATATTCTAACCTGAAGTTTTAAACACTGATACACACACACACACACACACACACACACATACACACAATTAAAAGAAAAAATAAAGAAGAAAAATCAAAACCAAACACGTCTCCAGAAAAATTTCAAAAAATTAGCCAGGCATGGTGCATGTGCCTGTGATCCCAGTTACTCAGGAGTCTGAGGTGGCATTATCACTAGAGCCTGGGGAGGTCAAGGCTTCAGTGAGCCATGATCATGCCACCGCACTCCTGCCTGGGTGACACTGTAAGACCCTGTCTCCAAAGGAAAAGAAAAATACGTATAGGGAAAAAAAGATGAATACAGCTAAATATTAACAGCAGCTGTCTGCAGGTAATAGCAATATGGTTAATTTTTTTCCCCTTTCTACTTTTCTATCTTTTAGACATGTTATTTAATGATTACATACTATTTTCATAACAGGAAAGACAAGAATACATGTGTTTAAAGTTACCCTTTTTGAGAGAAGGATTATATACCCTGTATCTGTTGAAAGAAAATTTATAAAATTAACTTACAGCACAAAATAACTCCTTAAAATAATATATGTGCGTATATTCTCGTCACAAAGATCAGAATAATCCCATTCTTTATTGCAACAATAGTTTTTAATCATGAAAATTTTATCTTAATTGATTTTTCATAAATTTTTGGATTTTGTTTTATTTTTTTTTTTGAGATGGAGTCTCGCTCTGTCACCCAGGCTAGAGTGCAGTGGTGCAATCTCGGCTCACTGCAATCTCCACCTCCTGGGTTCAAGTGATTCTCCTGCCTCAGCCTCCTGAGTAGCTGGGATTACAGGTGCACGCTACCATGCCCAGCTAATTTTTTGTATTTTTAGTAGAGACAAGGTTTCACCATGTTGGCCAGGCTGGTCTCAAACTTTTGACCTCGTGATCCTCCCACCTTGGCCTCCCAAAGTGCTGGAATTACAGGCGTGAGCCACTGCACCTTGCCTAGTTTTTGGATTTTATATTAGAAACATCTATCTTCATTATAATTTCATTAAAGTATACTAAATTGAATTAAGTGGATTAAACATTTTCTCCATGTGTATCTAAACATAAGGCTTTTTAGACTCACTAAAGGAAATAGCAAAATTCTTAACAATGCTTATTTTTATCTAGTCCCCAAGGAATTAAAAACACAAAAATAAACATACAGAAATGACAAGCAATATCAAAATGTTTCATGGCAACTAAACTCAGAGCAAACAACTTTTTCCTCCAGTCTTATTTTCTAGAACACTTATTACATGTTCTGGCTACAAAATTACACAATCATTGTTCAAAATATGAAAAATATAGAAATACACTAAGAAACAAATACTCAATTATAATCCTACCATGTAGATGTAATCACAATAGTGACATTCTGCCCCTCCGATTTTTCATATAAATCACACGTAAAAAATTTATTTTAGAGCAACTTCCTTTCAGATTCTCACAGATTGCCTGACAGAGTTCCTCAGTTCTCAAACACAAGAAGAATATCAAATATTTACTGAGCACCAAATGTGTAAGACAACCTGTCTGGTAAATCTGATTCTCCCCACTGACAGCCTTAGTGATTAACTTCCCCAAGGTCACAGAGTTGGTAAACGGACATTTACTTCAACAAAATACATCTGACTCCAAGTCAGTGCTCTCTGCCCGTCTAAACAGCATGAACAATGGGTTTTAACGAACACAAAGATAAGCTATGCTTTAGTGGAAGAAGCAAACAAGACATTTGGATAATCAACCCATTTCTTTCACTTTTTGAATCTTGCACATATATCTAGATATTTTGTATCATCAAGAAAGAGAAGGCGAGTGGGCTATAACTTTTAGAATGTTTAGAGAATACCAGAGGTGGGAGTGGTATTCACACAAACTCAGAATTTGAAAATGAAAAACTTGAGGAATCCCCACTTTAGAGAAAATTTTTTATTCAATGTAGTTGAGGCAGCGGCATTGATAAAGAGGCCTGACAGTAACCAGGAACCAAACAAGCTGCTGGTAAAACGTCTCGCATCGCACTTTGGATATACAGAGTAGGCACTTAAAACTGATTTGTCGGCCAGGCGCGGTGGCTTACGCCTGTAATCCCAGTACTTCGGGAGGCCAAGGTGGGTGGATCACGACATCAGGAGATCAAGACCATCCTGGCTAACACGGTCCGTCTCTACTAAAAATACAAAAAATTAGCCGGGAGTGGTGCGCCTGTAATCCCAGCTACTCAGGAGGCTGCGGCAGGAGAATCGCTTGAACCCGGGAGGCGGAGGTTGCAGTGAGCCGAGATCGCGCCACTGCATCCGACCCTGGGCAACAGAGCAAGACTCTGTCTCAAGAGAAAAAAAAAATTCTGATTTGTCAAGAAGCAACCAAAGGATCAATAGAAAAATCACTAGAGGCCGGGCGCGGTGGCTCAGGCCTGTAATCCCTGCACGTTGGGAGACTGAGACAGGCGGATCACCTGAGGCCAGGAGTTCAAGACCAGCCTGGCCAACATGGTGAAACCCCGTCTCTACTAAAAATACAAAAATTAGCCGGGCGTAGTGGCGCGCGCCAGTAATCCCAGCTACTTAGGAGGCTGAGGCAAGAGAATCGCTTTAACTCGGGAGGTGGAGGATGCAGTGAGCCGAGGTCGCGCCACTGCACCCCAGCCCAGGCGACAGAGCAAGACTCCGTCTCAAAGAAAAGAAAAATCACTGCTAGAACAAGAAACACACTGAAACAGGAACTCAAGCAATTTCCGTGAAATCCTAGGGAATTAGGAGCAATAAGATCACTCTGCGTGCAGAAATCGAAATCCAAATGGCACCGCTTTGTAGCAAAGGCTTCCAGGGAAACAAGACAGGCTGAGCCTCAAACAGGACAGGTAACTGGGAACAGAATGAAAAGCAGCGCTGGCCGTACTAGAAGCCCCCCAGCAATGCATAATGAACGCCCCAGCCCCTACATACACGCCGATATGTAAACTCCAGAGAACCGGAAGTGTGTTTTGTTCCATCGCCGTCCCCAGCGCTTAGAGGCGTGCTTGGCACACAGTAGGAGCTCAACAAATAGTTGATGAATGCTTGTGCGTCTAAACACATCCAAGGATTTAAGGATGGATAAACTGCAGCCTTTGGAAGAGGCAGAATTGTCCTGCTCTTCCACCCCGCATCTCCTCCTGGAGTTCTGCTCCAGCTGCAACTGTTAAATACTCACTGAGCACCTACTACGTGCCAGGGACACTAGCGGGATACCGTGATCATAAAAGCAGGAGAGTCCCGGTACACAGCAAAAGCCGCAAGTTCCCAGGTCTGAGAACCACCGGCCTCCTCCTGCTCCGCGCTGTCCCGGACCAGACCCCCGCTCCCAGAACTCAGAAGGGGATCTCTGCGGACCCTGGCGTCCGGAGCCATCTGTTCCACCGCAGGTCATCCAACCCAGGGATGCGGGGCAAGGTCAGAGCCAGAACCCGGAACGCTGCCTGACGCCCGGCGTCCCCTCCTCGCCGGTCTCCATCCCCTCCACAGCCCGCGCCCTCCCGCCACGGCCTTTACCCGTCCCGCGTGGCCGGGGACGGCTTGCGGTGCCATATCTTGCCGCTCTCCTTGTTGCCTAGGTCAGTGCTCTGCATGGCGAAGCTTGCCCACGACCGCCGGCGGCCCGCTGGGTAACCGTCCCAGCGCCTTCCCGGCAGGCCCAGCGCTCCCGGCCCGGGAAATTTGAGCTCCGGCCGCGGCGGCCTAGGTCCAGCACCAGCAGGCCGTACCAACCCCCTTTCTAATAACAACCAATTGGAAGGCTGATCCCTCCCAAAATCCGCCCAAGCGGCCACTCCCTCTCTGGACAATGTAATCGACCAAAGACCTTCTCTTAGAGTCCACCTCTTTCTGAGCTCAGTCTTCCCGCCCCCGGACCCAAAGCCTTCTGGGAATCGTAGTTTTTTGCAGGTGGATCATAGACGCGAGGAATTGGCTTGGGAATTCCGCCCTTTGGGAGCCTCGTGGGGTTTTAGGCTCCCATCAGAGGCAATAAAACTCATTTTCTCCTGTGGTCCCTGCATTCCGTTCTAAATTGCTTTTAGGGATTAAGGAATTGTATAGAAATAACTAAGAGAAGCAAGGAAACAAGTGCAGAGAAGCAAGGAGACAAATACATTGAGAACTGATGGGTTCCTTTCATAGAACGTTCGGGCTCAAATGAAACTTACAGATGAAATAGTTCATTCTTCCTGACCTTTTCACCATCCTCATGGTTTTGTTTCGTTTCTTCAGTTTCGTAATCTGACAGGCCTTCCAGCATTATGATGTCCAGTCCACCAATCATGGTCCAGAAAAGCAATAATATCAACAACTGGCTGCCTCGACTTTAGCGTTCCTTTGATAAAAATTCACTTAGTGCCTCCGGAGCGCTTACTAGGTATGGGGCACTTTTCTACTATACCGAATATATCAACTCAATTAATCCTCGTAGCAAATTTACAAGTTAGGTAGTACTAATTATCTCCATTTTTAGTGCTCTATGAGGTTGTGCATTAATTTCCTGAGGCTGCCCTCACAAATTACCACAAACTTGGTGACATAAAAAAACAGAAATGTATTCTTGGGAAGTTCTTGAGGCCATACATCGGAAATCAAAGTGTCTGCAGCCTCCTTTCAGGCTCTAAGCAAGATTCCCTTACTTGTCTATTCCAGTTTCTGGGAGTTGCTGGCGTTCTCTGCTTGTGATCGCATCGCTCCATTCTCCGCTTCCATCTTCACACGTCTTTCTCCTCCTGGATGTATCTTTTCCTCTTCTGTCTGTTTCAAATCTCCCTCTGTTTTTCTCTTATAAGGAAACTTGTCATTGGGTCCATATGAATAATACAGGAATACAGGATGATCTTTTCATCTCAAAATCCTTAACTTGATTACATCTGCAAAGACCCTTTTTCCAAGTAAGGTAACAGTCACGGATTTTGGGATTAGTATGTTGACATATATTTTGGGGGGCCACCAATCAACCTGTTACAGGTAAGTACTAATATTATCCACTTTTGCAGACAAGGAAACCTTAAATCTTTCCATTCCTAGTCTCTATGTTGTTCTACAACAGAAAAATGATGTTAAAAAAATTATATGGTCGTGGTATTTGAAAAGTTCAAACTCTTGATCAGAAAAGCAAATTCTCAAAAAAAATACTAATGCAGGTTTTTAAACTTTATGTTGTTATCAAGGGGTGGCTCTGAGAGATCAGACAACTTGTAATGACCTATTGCAGAGGAAGCAACTGCAGCTCTTATTTTTATTTATTGGTTTTGAGATGGAGATAAACTACATGTATCAATGTTTGCATTATTATTTAGGAAACTTAGAATCTTAAATTTAAGATACAGTGCCTAACCTGAAACAGATTATTTCACAACATTTCTATCCCACACCATTAACCAAACAACCTTTTTTTATCGGAAGCAAAGATGAATCTGCTGAATGATTTTCTTAACTTCTCTAGCTTAACCTGTCTGCAGCTAAGCTAGTTTGGGCTGTCTCAGCCCATGTGGCCATCCTATTCAATCTCAGATATGTGATAAAGAGGTTTATATGTTAGATCTTCTGGACTCCCACTTTGTACTTATCTTTTGATTTAGGGGGCACAATTTGAAGGTCAGGCTGAAGAGATGTGTACCCACAGCTGCTAAAGTTCTACTCATTAGATCTCCCAGTTTTTACAACACTAATTGGTAGTCTCTTGTGATCTAGTTCCTTTCTGAATTATTAGTCACTCAATAACAGGTACATACTATTTATATGTATCTATCTGTATATATACAGATAAATAATGTACAGATAAATATATATACATATATATTTGGATATCCAAATGTATATATATGGATATACACACACACATGTATACACTTACAACACTAATTGGTAGTCCCTTATGTTCTAGTTCCTTTCTGAATCATTAGTCACTCAGTAACAGGTACATACTATTTTTATATATATATATATATATATATATATATATATATATATATATATATACATACACACACACATATGTTATATATATAAAATATATATACATATATAAAGGTATCTATATGTATAAAAGTATATAGTATAAGTATACCTATATACCTATTATATATATGGTATACTATATACCTATACTTTATACCTTTATATATAAAGGTATACTACATACCTATTTATATATAAAGGTATACTATATACCTATTTATATATAAATATACCTTTAGTATACAGTATACCTTTGTATAGTGTAAAGGTATACTATTTATATGTACTTTCATATGTATTTATAAAGGTACACAGTATGGACCTTTATACATTTGTTTGTTTGTTTGTTTGAGATGGAGTCTTGCTCTGTTGCCCAGGCTGGAGTGCAGTGGCGTGATCTCAGCTCACTGCAACCTCTGCCTCCCAGGTTCAAGTGATTCTCCTGCCTCAGTCTCCCAAGTAACTGGGATTACATGCTTGCGCCACCACGCCCAGCTAATTTTTGTATTTTTTTTTTTTTTTTTAGTAGAGATGGGGTTTCACCATGTTGGCCAGGCTGGTCTCGAAATCCTGACCTCAAGTGATCCACCCACCTCGGCCTCCCAAAGTGCTGGGAATACAAGTGTGAGCCACTGCACCTAGCCTATATATATTTATGTGTGTATATATATAAATACATACACACACAAATAATATGTACCTTTATATATATTTATGTACATATAAATAGTATGTACTATATAAATAGTATGTACATATATAAACAGTATGTACATATATACATATATATATTATATATACACATATGTACCTGTTATTGAGTGACTAATGATTCAGAAAGGAACTAGAGCAGAAGGGACTACCAATTAGTGTTCCAAGTATATACATATAAACAGTTTTACTGAGAAATAATTGACATTCAATAAACTTTACATATTTAAAGTGTACAGTTTTATAAGTTTTTAGGTAGCTAACCCCCCCATGAAACCATCACTATAATCAAGATAATGAAAACATCCATCATCCCTAAAAGTTTCCTCATCTCTCTTTGTAACCTTTCGACTCCCACCCCACTTTGCCCATGAGCAACCACCGATCTGTTTTCCTTTCTTTAGTTAACATTTTCTAGAAATTTATATAAATGGATTCATAGACTACGTGTATGTATTGTACTTTGGTGTCTTTCCTTTTTTTTTGTTGGTCTGGTTTCTTTCATTCATCATAAATTTGAGATTATTTTGAGATTCAATTGTGTTTTTGTATGTATCAGTAGTTATTCTTTTTTATGGCATCAATTGATATGGTTTGGGTTTTTGTCCCCACCCAAATCTCATCACGAATTGTAATCCCCACATGTCAAGGGTGGGACCAGGTGGGAGGTGATTGGATGGATCAGAGGGGCAGCTTCCCCCATGCTGTTCTCATGATAGTGAGTGAGTTCTCACAAGATCTGATGGTTTTATAAGGGGCTCTATCCCCTTCACGTAACACTCTCTCTTGCCTGCTGCCATGTAAGATGTACCTGTTCCCCTTCCACCATGATTATAAGTTTCCTGAGGCCTCTCCAGCCCTGTGGAACTGTGAGTCAAATAAACCTCTTTTCTTTGTAAATTACCAACTCTTGGGTATGTCTTTAAAGCAAAGTGAAAATGGACTAATACATCAATATACCACAATTTTTTTTTTGAGACAGGGTCTCATTCTGTTGCCCAGACACGAGTGCAGTGGCATGACCATGACTCACTGCAACCTTGACCTCCCAGGCTCAAGGGATCCTCCCACCTCAGCCTCCTGAGTAGCTGGGACTACAGGTGTCACACCTGCCTAATCTTTTGTATTTTTTGTAGAGACAGGGTCTCACTGTGTTGCCCAGGCTGGTCTTAAACTCCTGAGCTCAAGCTATCCACCAACCTCAGCCTCCCAAAGTGCTGGGATTACAGGTGTGTGCCACCATGCCTGGCCCAATATACAACAATTTGTTTATCCATCCATCTGATCCACCTGGTGATGAACACTGGAGTTGTTTGCAGTTTTTGGCTATTCCGAATAACACTGCTGTGAATGTTCTTATGCAAGTCTTAGTATGAACGTGTGCTTTCATTTGTCTTGGATAAACCCTAGAAGTGGAATAGTTGGGTCATATGGTAGGAGTAAGTTTAACTTTTTAAGAAACTGTCAAACATTTACAAAGTAGTTGTGCCATTTTACATTCCCACCAATAGTATGAGAGAGTTCCAGGTGCTCCACATCTATGATGAGTCTGTAATTTTAGCTATTCCATGTTGTAGTGGTATCTCACGGTGATTTCAATTTCCATTTCTGAAATGACAAATGACGTTCAACAACTTTTCACGGGGTTATTTGCCTTCTGCATACATCCTTGGTGAAGTATTTGTTCATATATTTTGCCTTGTTTTTAATCGTTTTGTTTTTATTGAACTTATTAAAGAAAACTTATTAAATTTTCATAATACTTTACATATTTTGGATACAAACTTTTTATTCTGTATATGTTTTGCAAATATTTTCTCTCAGTCTGTGGCCTTTTTTTCCATTCTCTTAACAGTATCTGTCAAAAAGCAGAAGTTATTAATGTCTACAAAGATCAATCCATCTTTTCTTTTATGGATTGTACTTTTCGTGTCATATCTAAGAAACATTTTCCCAAACCAAGGTCACAAAGATTTCTTCCGTTGTTTTTTTCTTTGTATTTCAAATATATTCTTAGAAGAATGGAAAGTTGTGTGTGTCTAAGGGTATTTTAGATTTTGCTTTGCAAAGCCCTTTCTCCTTGTACTCTCACACACTACACTTTCGCAGCTGAAGGATGTCTTTCTTTTTACTATGATAATATATAATTTGGACAGAAAAAGAGTACTTCTAATTTGTTTGCTAGAGGGAGCTTAGTGGACATATAGATTGCCCAACATCTGACTACCCTTTTGGTCTGGGAAAAGTGTCAAGATATTTGGAAGTAAAGAAGTGAAGCTATTCTCTTTCCCAGCTCTTTGGTAACTATATTGATAAGTCTCAAAAAACCTGGGCCAGTCAACAGGTTAGCAAGCAAATTAAAGTAGTACAGTAACAAAAATAACTATCCCAGCACTTGGTGAGGTCAAGGAGGGCAGATCACTTGAGTCAGGAGTTCAAGGCCAGCCTGGCCAACACGGTGAAACCCCATCTCTACTAAAAATACGAAAATTAGCCAGGTGTGGTGGTGGGCACCTGTAGTCCCAGCTACTTGGGAGGCTGAGGCAGGAGAATCGCTTGAACCTGGGAGGTGGAGGTTACAGTGAGTTAAGATTGTATCACTGCACTCCAGCCTGGGTGACACAGTGAGACTCCATCTCAAAAAAAAAAAGTTAACAAACAATAATTGAAAATATAATTAAAATATTCTGTATAAGAATAAAATACAATTCAAATTAATACAATTTTATTCACATAAATACAATTCAAATAATCTCTTTAAGAGCATCAAAGAGAAAGCAGTTAATAACCTTTAGCAAACTTCTTAAAATATCCCCTTCCCACCTTATTCAGTGAGGCTAGACTAAGTTATGCCACAGTAACGAACAATTTCAAAATCTCAGTGGCTTAAAACAGCTTTTTTTTGGCTGGGTTTTCAGTTTATCTTAGTCTCTCAGGGATCCAGACAGAGGGAGCAGCTAATATTTCAAAAGTTTTTGGTTGATGTGTTAGTAGGAAAAGAGTTCTAGAGGTTCTCACACCAGCAATTAAATGTTCCAACCCAGAAACGTCATTATTGTTTTTGCTTCCAACTCATGACCAGAACTGATGTAGGAGTTAAGAATAAATTATTTAGGCAGATAGTGAGGGTAGGGAAGTCCTTGGTAAGGTTTTCCTTTTAATGAAAAGCAGCCCCCAAATCATTTTCTTTTCTAACAAGGAGCAGCCTGTAAAATCGAGCTGCAGACATAGATAAGCAAGCTAGAAGCTTGCATGGGTGAATGCCAGCAGTTGTGCCAATAGGAAAAGACTACCTGGGACTAGGCATGTTCAAAATGGCATCTCCATCGTCCCTTCTCTTTGCCAAACCATGTATACAGCAAGGAGCACACAACATGGTGCTGGCCAAGTAGAAAGCTCATTTGCATAATAAGATTAGGGTAGTGTGGCCAGCATTCCCCAGGTATTATGTAAACGTCACACCTGGTCCAACCAATCTGTGGGCCCTATGTAAAGCGGACACCACCTCCTCAAGACTTTCTATAAAATCTGGTTTACTCTGCCAAAGGCTGGAAGTCCCATTCGGGCTCCCCACTCTATTTCAAGAGAGAGAGCTGTTCTTCTTTCTCCTTCTTTTGCCTAGTAAACCTCTGCTCCTAAACCCACTTCTTGTGTCTGCATACTTGATTTCCCTCGGGTAAGACGATGAACCTTGGGTATTTACCCCAGACAATGATGCTGCCTCAGAACTATGGCTACACCCTTAACACAGAGCTAGGAAGTGCAATACTGCTAAATCAGTTATATATAGTTGCAATAAAGCTGTGAAAAAAAAGAAAACAACCACCAAACCTCTTTAGCATTTAACGATAAGCATTTATTGCTCATGCATCTGGAGTCAGCAGGTGGCTCCACTGATCTGGGCTGGGCTCACAAACACATCTAGGGGCCAGCTGGTTTTCAGCTTTGTAGGCTGACTTCATCTGGGGCAACTGCAGTAACTCTATTCCAAGTGGCTCTCATCCTCCCACGCTAACCAAGCATGTTCTCAAGGCAGTGGCAGTGGTGCAGGTGAGGAAGCAGACATGCAATTCTTCTAGTCTTGGAGCTGGCACACCATCACTTTCATTTCTTCTTAATGGCCAAAGCCAGTATGTGGCTGAGCCCAAGGGCTGAGTATTATATTGCATTCATGGCAGGAGAGCACTGAAAAGTTTCATGGATCCAGGGAGGAGTGGAGAACGGAGACCAATTATACAATCTACAACACCTACCATGTGTTTGGAAGGGGGAAGAACCTAAAATATTTGGTGAAAAGCATTAAAAACTCCCACACCATCCCTATTTCTCAGTACCTAAAATCTCCACAACCCTCAGGGCTTCCTCCTTTTCTCTTCTAAAACTTTTCTCAGCGCCCATAAACACTAGGGTTTCTGACTCTAACTTCTTTGTTAGAAGCTCAGCTTTATCTTTCTGCTTATTTAGCTCTTTTTCTCATTAACAGGAGTCAAATGGAGTCTAGAAGCTGACCCAGAAACTAGAATCTTTCCTTGTGAGAATGTTGAGGGCCAGGTGCGGTGGCTCAAGCCTGTAATCCAAGAACTTTTGGAGGCTGAGGTGGGCAGATCACTTGAGCCCAGGGGTTCGAGACCAGCCTGGGCAACAAAGACCCTGTCTCTATTTAAAAAAATAAAATAAAATAAAAAATTTAAAAAAGAAAAGTAAAAATATTAGGAAGAGTACACACTTATGGAACTCTCTTCCCTCCATGTCAGATACTCATTAATTGTGTGATTCTTTGATTAATGTTGCCTGCCCCACAGGACTGTTAACTTCATGAAGACAGAGCTCCCCAGGGCCTAGCATAGAGTATGGCATGGAAAAAGTGGACAAAAGACCAGTGCTGTGACTCACGCCTGTAATCCCAGTACTCTGGGAGAGAGAAGTGGGACAATCCCTTGGGGCTAGGAGTTCAAAACCAACCGGTCAACATAGCAAGGCCCCATCTCTACAAAAGAAAAAGAAAAGTGGACAAAATATATGTGTCGAGTGGGGGACTTTACCTGTTTTGTGCTCCCTAGCATCTGGCACAGTGTTAGGCACATAGTAAGCCCTTAAGACATGTTTATTGAACAATTGAGCTATTATTTAAACCTAAACAACTTCAGGCTATGTTTATATATATATAATTTATCAAACTATAGTGGGAAAGAAGAAAAAAAAACAAAACGAGGCTGAGTTTCTAATCCTAGCTCAGTCAATACATTGTTGCATGATCTTGGGTAAGTCACAACCTCTCTGAGTCTCATCTTCCTCACCTGCAAACAGCAGGAATGGAAAAATGCTCCCTTAACCCCCTTCCATTTCCCACATCCCATGCTGCTAAATATACAACATGGAAGCTCATTTATGCATCCCTTGACATTTTTCTTCTGTGTAATTGCAAAGAAAATATTATTGCATATTTTTAGGTATGCATTCAGAAGGCCACAAGCAGACATGATTTATGTTTACACACAAGTTTTCTTCCTGACACACATAAAAACATGGCTGCATTTTATGAAAATACCTCTTGAAATTGTCAATGTCAAGTTTGGAACTTCCGAAAGAGGTTTCTTTTTTGTGGGAAATAGGATTCCCTCATCACTTATTTCCCTGTTTCTTCTGGGATTTCTCATGACACACATGTGACATGTCACTTCATTTTGACTTTTGTCACAAAGAAACCCTGGTACCTATTTTCCACACCTCTATTCTTGTTACCCAAGTATAGCCAACTTTTGATGCCCCAAATTGGAGACAGCAGCGCAACCCAATGCTTCTCAAACAAGCTGGCTTAGTAACTACTCCTGAAAAACTTAAAGCTTATAAATGACCATATTCAATGTGTCTGCAAAATCCTTTCTATCAAAATCGGAAAAGGGCCTGGATTAGCTCTTCTCCTCTCTATAGGTAGGCCATATCTTGCTCTTGTCACTCATTGATTTAATCATCAGTGGATCATTCACTCAATATTTTGAATGCCAACTAGGCATCAGGCCCTGTACAAGTACCTGGAGTTGCAGAGACAAAATGAGATGAGTTTCATGTTCTTGGAAAGCTCACAGCTTAGGGTGGAATGGGAAGTTCTAGGGAGAAATAGATGTGTGACTATAATACCATGTGATCAGTGTTATACTGATGTGCCTCAACTTATGATTAAGTTGTATCCTGGTAAATTCAATGTAGTTTAAAAATATCATAAGTTGGCCAGGCACGGTGGCTCATGCCTGTATTCCTAGCACTTTGAGAGTCCGAGGTGAGTGGATCATTTGAGGTCAGGAGTTCAACCACCCTGGCCGACATGGTGAAACCTCGCCTGTACTAAAAATGCAAAAATGAGCTGGCATGGTGGTGAGTGCCTGTAATCCCAGCTACTTGGGAGGCTGAGTCTGGAGAATCACTTGAACCTGGGAGGTGGAGGCTGCAGTGAGAAGAGATTGCGCCACTGCACTCTGGCCTGGGCGACAGAGTGAGACTCTGTCTCAAAAAATATATATCATAAGTAAATACTTTTTTTTTTGAGTTGGGGTCTTGCTCTGTCACCCAGGCCAGAGTGCAGTGGCACAATCATGGCTCACTGCAGCCTCAACCACCTGGGCTCAAGTGATTCTCCCACCTCAGCCTCCCAAGTAGCTGGGACCACAGGTGTATGCCACCATGCTTGGCTAATTTTTTTTATTATTTGTATAGACAAGGTCTCACTATGTTGCTCAGGCTGGTCTTGAACCCCTGTGCTCAAGTGATTGTCCTGCCTTGGCCTCCCAAAGTGCTAGGATTATAGGTGTGAGCCATTGCAGCCTGCCAAAAAATGAATTTAATAACTCTGACCTACTGAATGTCAATCATAGCTTAGCCTAGCCTACCTTAAACATGCTCAGAATACTTACATTAGCCTATGCTTGAGCTAAGTCATCCAATACAAAGCCTATTATATAATAAATAATATTTATAATAAATTTATAGTAATATTCCATGAATAGCTCATGAAATCTATTGAGTAATGTACTGAAAGTGAAAAACAATGCTTATATGGGTTGAAGTATGGTTCCTACTGAATGCCTATTATTTTTGAATATTCATAAAGGCAAAAAAGCATAAATTGACCTGTCACAAGTTGGGACCATCTATAACTGAGGTATTGGTAAATTTCAGAGAAGGGAGTGATTAATTATCTGGGAAAGAGAGAGAGATGTTAAAAGAAGAGTGACAGGCCAGGCACAGAGGCTCACAAGTGTAATCCCAGCACATTGGGAGGCCAAGGCAGGTGGATCATGAGGTCAGGAGTTCAAGACCAGCCTGGCCAACATGGTGAAACCCTGTCTCTACTAAAAACCATAAAAATTAGCCAGGCGCATTGGCAGGCACCTGTCATCCCAGCTATTCGGGAGGCTGAGGCAGGAGAATCGCTTGAACCTGGGTGGCAGAGGTTGCAGTGAGCCGAGATCATGCCACTGCACTCCAGCCTGGGCGACACAGCAAGACTCCATCTCAGAAAAAAAAAAAAAAAGAAGAGTGACACTTGAGCTAGGCCTGGAAGGATGAGGTGGAAAAGGCTTTCTACACAGAAGAAAGAGTTTTGGTGGTTTCTTGTTATTGCCTGTATTAGTCAGGGTTCTCTAGAGGGACAGAACTAATAGATGTATATATAAAGAGGAGTTTATTAAGGAGTATTAACTCACATGATCACAAGGTCCCACAATAGGCCATCTACAAGCTGAAGAACTTGGAGGCCAATGTTTGAGGGCAGGAAGCATCCAGCACACGCGAAAGATGTAGGCGGGGAGGCTAAGCCAGTCTTGTCTTTTCACGTTCTTCTGCCTGCTTTTTATTCTGGCCTCGCCGGCAGCTGATTGGATTGTCCCCACTCAGATTAAGGGTAAGTCAGCCTTTCCCAGCCCACTGACTCAAATGTTAATCTCCTTTAGCAAGTCCCTCACAGACACCCCCAGGATCAATACTTTGCATCCTTCAATCCAATCAAGTTGACACTCAGTATTAACCATCACACTGCCCATCCCACCTAATGCAGTAATTTTGTCCCCATTTGACTAACGAGGAAACTGAGGCTTGGACTGGTTATATAACTTGCCCAAGGTTATACAGCCATTAAGCCAAGGTTGAAATGTAGACCTAGCTGGCTCCATTGTCTCACTCTGCATTTCCTATGCCTCTCTGCCTTTGTAGATGGGTCTGCTAGTCTGGTAGACTGATTAGTTCTATAATTCTTCCAAAAGACCCATCGCTCAGACCAGAAAACAATTTATTGCTAACCTGGGTTAAAAATTTCTGGGAACCTTTATAACAAAATTCTGTTCTAATCTACTGAACGTCAATCATAGCTTAGTCTAGCCTACCTTGTTTAAAAAAAAATAAATAAAATAAAAAAGTTTCAACCAAGCAAGGATTAAATTTAAAAAAAATTATTTTTAAAAAGAAAAGAAAGGGAAGGCAAGGCAAAAGAGTTCCTTTGCGTATGAAAGGGAGTCTTGGTACATAAAGAGGCTGTCAATGCTGAGAGCATTTTTAAAACATAGTAAAGCACAGAGGAAGTGGGGCTGGGGGAGGATTGTAACCATGGATAGTTCCGCCTGCCCAGCACTCTTACTTCCACCGGCAAACCTACCTACTGCCCTCTCCCAAACCCTTCCTGGACAGGCTCCTTAGCCCACCCTCATTGGTCGTATGATTGGCATGGGGGTGGGGCCTGACTCAGCTGAGCCAATCAGAACCCAGTGCTGGGGGGGAAAGAGAGAGAGAGAGAGAGAGAGAGAGAGAGAGAGAGAGAGAGAGTGTGTGTGTGTGTGTGTGTGTGTGTGTGTGTGTGTGTGTGTGTGTACTCCCTGGTAGCAAAGACAGGGAGTAGCCATAAGCAATAGCTTTGTGGTGATGAGTCTGAGAGGGGATAGCTAAAGGTCAGGACAAAGCTGGAAAAAGCGGTGGGAAGAGAGCATCCTGGCAGTATTTACGTCCCTTGCTTTTTTTTTTTTTTTTCTTTTGAGACAGAGTCTCGCTCTGTCGTCACCTAGGCTGAAGAGCAGTGGCACAATCTCAGCACACTGCAACCTCCACCTCTCAGGTTCAAGCGATTCTCCTGCCTCAGCCTCCCGAGTAGCTGGGATTACAGGCATGTGGCACCCCACCCGACAAATTTTTGTATTTTTAGTAGAGACGGGGTTTCGCCATGTTGGCCAGGATAGTCTCGAACTCCTGACCTCAGGCGATCAACCCGCCTTGGCCTACCAAAGTGCTGGGATTATAGGCGTGAGCCACTGCTCCCGGCCACATCCCTTGTTCTAATTGCCCCAGAAGTTGATCTGGCCTTCTGACTTTCCTGTACTGGAGCTAAAACATTGCCTCTTATTTGGAGAGTAGATGGAATTGGAAGAAAAAAGGGCGAGGGAAGGCTTCAGGAGGCGATGATGCATGAGCTCAGTAGGGAAGGATGAGTGGCGCTTACCAAGGCGGAGGAGACATTAGGGGAGGAAATAGCGTCTGTAAAAATCCAGGAGGTTGTGAAGCGACAGGATAGCTTCCAGAAACTAGAGTTCTGTTCAATTAAAGGGCAGGATGCACAAGGAGTCATTGGGCATATACAATGCTTAGCACTTTGAAAGCCTTCAATAATAACAATAAGTTACTATTATTTCTATGTGGAGAATGGCAGAGGAATAAGAGTTATGCTGAAGTTAGAGTATAAAAGACCCAGCCAAGCACAGTGGCTGAATCTTGTAATCCCAGCACTTTGGGAGGCCGAGATGGGCAGATTGCTTGAGGCCAGGAGTTCAAGACCAGCCTGGCCAACATGGCGAAACCCTGTCTCTACTGAAAATACAAAAATCAGTTGGGCATGGTGACACACGCCTGTAGTCCCAGCTCCTCAGGAGGCTGAGGCAGGAGAAACGCTCGAACCCTGGAGGTGGAGGTTGCAGTGGGCCAAGATCATGCCACTGCACTACAATCTGGGCAACAGAATGAGACCCTGTCTTAAAAAAAAAAAGAAAAAGAAAAAGAAAAAAATCACTAGAACAAGAAACACACTGAAACAATGTGTTTTTTATATGTGTGTGTGTGTGTGTGTGTGTGTGTGTGTATGTGTGTGTGTTTTAGGGGCCAGGCATGGTGGCTCACACCTGTAATCCCAGCACTTTGGGAGGCCAAGATGGGCAGATCACTTGAGGCCAGGAGTTCAAGACCAGCCTGACCAACATGGTGAAACCCCGTCTCTACTGAAAACACAAAAATCCGTCGGGCGTGGTGATACACGCCTGTAGTCCCAGCTCCTCAGGAGGCTGAGGAAGGAGAATAGCTTGAACCCTGGAGGTGGAGGTTGCAGTGAACCAAGATGGTGCCACTGCACTACAGTCTTGGCAACAGAACAAGACACTGTCTTTAAAAAAAAAAAAAAAAAGAAAAAAAGAAAAAGAAATCACTAGAACAAGAAACACATGGAAACAATGTGTTTAAAATATATATATATTTTAGGGGCTGGGCGCAGTGGCTCACGCCTGTAATCCGAGCACTTTGGGAAGCCAAGGCTGGTGGATCACCTGAGGTCAGAAGTTCAAGACCAGCCTGGTCAACATGGTGAAACCCCGTCTCTACTAAATATACAAAAATTAGCCGGGCATGGTGGCGGGTGCCTGTAATCCCAGCTACTCGGGAGGCTGAGGCAGGAGAATCACTTGAACCTGGGGGGCAGAAGTTGCAGTGAGCCGAGATAGTGCCATTGTGCTCCAGCCTGGGCAACAAGAGCAAAACTTCATTTCAAAAAAAAAATATACATATATATATATGTATATATACACACATACATATATATATACACACATATACATATATATACACATACATATACATACATATACAGATATATACACATATATATACATACATACATATATATGTATGTGTATATATATATACCGAGTCTGCCTTTCTAAGGAGTTTGGATCTTATCCTGAAAGGTTCTAAGGAAACTCCTTTTTTTCTAAATACATCCCTTTGACTGCAGTGGGAAGATCACTCAGAGGAGTCTGAGGCTGCAGGCAGAAGTTGAATATTTATTTAAGCAGCTTAGAACACAACTCTGATTTTTTCTGTACTGACTCATTAAAACTGGGAGAGGGGAGGTACACTGCGTCATAGTTCACAGTAGGGGAGCTGTTATTCCACAAAAAGTGAAGAAGCCTTGACCAAGTCAGGCAACAGTTAGGTGACAAATTTATGGAACTATTGTGTAGGAAAGTTGGCATTGCAAAAGAAATAGTTCTGTTTCATCAGTAAAACAGAAATATGTGTCACGCTGCTAACTGATGCAAACTTGGCAATGCTTTCCATTGCCTAAATGGCTCAACTATTTGGCCTTGTGAGGGGGAGGAAGAAGGCAGAAACCATTGCAGGTGAACTATGACATAGTGTACCTCCCTCTCTCCCCACTTTAATATGAGTCAGAACAGAA
Organism: Homo sapiens; assembly: GCF_000001405.40. Classification (NCBI taxonomy): domain Eukaryota; kingdom Metazoa; phylum Chordata; class Mammalia; order Primates; family Hominidae; genus Homo; species Homo sapiens. The sequence goes on along the minus strand of NC_000008.11, from coordinate 123,058,208 downwards.
AAAAATCAAAGAGATGTGTTCCAAGCTGCTTTAATAAATATTCATGCTTAGGTGTTCTCATAAAACATACATGAAAGCAACCAAGGGTAGTGTTTCATGTATAATCAAAAGGATTTGGCACCTACAGCTAAAATAGTACAATATCAGAGGAGAGGAAGAAATGTGACGTTGATGTTGACAGGCAGCAAGATCATGCCCACATACAATGAGAAAACTGCTGACATAGATTAGGTTTCTAAAAGGGTTTCTCCACTCTAAAGGAAGGAGGAGCCCAAACGGTGAAGCTCCCAGTCCCATGACAGAATGAGCCCTGCTTGCAGGTTTCGAGTCTTTAGAGCCCTTCCACGTGGCCAGGAGAGGAGGTGGGGGTGGAATTATCAGCCTTTATGACATCTAAAGCTGTTCTAAGAAGACAGTCTAGAGCCACTTGGGCCATAGCCAGAACTACATAATATTCCATCATATAGGATGTGGCATAATTTTGTAATCTCCCAGTTGTTGGCAGTTGGGTTTAAAAAAATATTTGCAGTCTGGGTGGTGGCTCACACCTTTAATCCCAGCACTTTGGGAGGCCGAGGCAAGCAGATCACCTAAGGTCAGGAGTGTGAGACCAGCCTGGCCAACATGGTGAAACCCTGTCTCCATTAAAAATAGAAAACTTAGCTGAGTGTGGTGGCAGGCACCTGTGATCCCAGCTACTCAGGAGGCTGAGGCAGGAGAATCACAATCTCACTGCAGAGGCTTCAGTGAGCCGAGATTGTGCCATTGCCCTCCAACCTGGGCGACAGAGTGAGACTCCCTGTCAAAAAAAAAATTTGCCATCTGCGTGCCAGAAAAATTAATATCTAATTGTGCTATTGCAGGAACTAGTATAAACCAGCTTGGAAAGATTCTATCAGTTAGGCTGTAAAATTATAATCTGCAGGTAGTGACCTATTCCAAAGATCCCCCTGGGCAGAAGGCTGTGGGGGTCAAAAGATGTTGGGACTGTCTCCACAGGACTGAATAATTAGCCTTGATTTGCAGGTGCCCAATAACATTTGTGAGCTCAGAGGACAAGTTGTCAATCAAGCATGAGAAAATGCCAGTAAACTATGAGTAAAATGCCTCTAATTGCTGTAAGGGTGGAAGACAAAGTGATTGAACTAAGCATTTATTGTCCAGTAAAGTATTCTAGGGCAGTGCAGTATCCCTCCTCGGGCACCCTCCCTGAGGAGTAAGGATGACCAGCAAGAAATCAGCACCTAACAGACCCCTCCTCAGCCAAACATCACATCAACTGGCTCTTCAGTTTCTTTCCTTCTCTGTGTGGCCTTAGCAGTACAAACCATTTTTTCCAAGTGTTTTTGTTTTTATTATATTGATGGGTTTGATAAATACTGCAAGCAACTTTCCATGTGAGAAAAGAAAAAGATAAGAGGATAAGCACAATAGATCACTGATTTATTCTATAGACTTTGGAAGAGTACTGTCTGTTAGTGAAATCAGGCCCAGCAGTTGGGCCCAGCAGCTTAACCCTGCAGAGAATTTCTTTTCAAGGAAGTAGGTGTGAACATCTGGGGCATGGAGAGGGTAATGGAACCAACATTGACTAGACATCTGTGCCAGGTATGTGTTAGCTGCTTTTCACTTTATTCTAGTTTGTTCTTTGGCCTTGCTTCCTTTTTTTTTTTTTTGATGGAGTCTCTGTCTGTCGCCCAGGCTGGAGGGCAGTGGCACGATCTCTGCTCACTGCAACTTCTGCCTCCTGGATTCAAGCAATTCTCCTGCCTCAGCCTCCCAAGTAGCTGGGATTACAGACACCCACCATCACATCCGGCTAATTTTTGTATTTTTAGTAGAGACAGGGTTTCACCATATTGGCCAGGCTGGTCTCAAACTCATGATCTCAGGTGATCCACCCGCCTTGGCCTCCCAAAGTGCGGGGATTACAGGCGTGAGCAACTGCACCTGGCCTCTTTTTTGTTTTTAAATCCCGTAGAAGGTCCTACTTGAATTTAGCATTATATTAAAACCTCTAACTCATAGGTACTGTGAACATAGAGTTCCAATTTCATGTTTTCTGTTCTGTTCTCCCCACTAAATACATTTGCATTTATTAGATCTTGTCCCTGAGTAATGGTTGGGAAAATATGCGTAGTATACTTAAAGGCATGAAACCCAGACACCTGAGTTCCACTCCATTGCTTACTGTAATAGTACTATAACCTTGGACAAAGTATTTAACTTCTCTGTTTCTTGATTTCTTCATCTGTAAAATCAGTATCATAATAGGACTCACCTCATAGAGTTGCAAAAAGTTTAAACAGCATCAGGCAAACAGAAGTCCTCAATGGGTGCTAGCTATTATTAAAGCCCTGCCAGGCGGGTACCAGTGATGTGCTATAAATGTTTAATGACCGCCGCCTCTCTGGACAAAAAGAGTTCTGGTATGTAACATTTGGCAATTTCTGTGGTGGAAATACTCCTGTGATGGCCAATTTCAGGCTATCAATGTAATATCACTGAATGCAGAGTTGGACAGAGGTAAGCAACAGTACACTATTATATAGTATGTTTACTGTACAGACACAGTAGACATAAATAACTTCAAGAGCATAGATAATAGTAAAATACAGCATTATAATTAGAAAGGCTGGGCGTGGTGGCTTATGCCTGTAATCCCAGCACTTTGGGAGGCCGAGGCAGGTGGATCACCTGAGGTCACAAGTTTGAGACCAGCCTGGCCAACATGGTGGAACCCCATCTCTACTAAAAATACAAAATTAGCTGGGCATGGTGGCATATGCCTGTAATCCCAGCTACTTGGGACGCTGAGGCAGGAGAATTGCTTGAACTGGGAGGTGGAGGTTGCAGTGAGCCGATATCGCGCCACTGCACTCCAGCCTGGGCAACAAGAGTGATATTCCATCTCAAAAATAAATAAATAAATAAATAAATAAATAAATAAATAAATAAATAAATAGGAAGTTGGTACTTATTACCTTTTGAAATATAATGTGTTTTAATGTAAGTTTATATAATTTAATTTAATTTTGTTTTTAGGGACAGGGTCTCTCTTCATTGTCCAGGCTGGAGAGCAGTGGTGTGATCATAGCTCACTGCAGCCTCAAACTCTTAGGCTCAAGTGTTCCTCCTGCCTCGGCCTCCCAAAATGCTGGAATTACAGGCATGAGCCATTGCACCCAGCCTAATTTAATTAGAAAAATATAATTTTAAATTTTTTGTTTCCATAGGTTTTTTGGGGTATAAGTGGTATTGATTATGAGTAAGTTCTTTATTGGTGATTTGTGTGCACCCACCACCCAAGCAGTATACACTGCACCCAATTTGTAGTCTTTTATCCCTCACCCCCTTCCCACCCTTCCCCCCAAGTCCTCAAAGTCCTTTGTATCCTTCTTATGCCTTTGCATCCTCATAGCTTAGCTCCTGCTTATGAGTGAGAACATACGAGTAACATATTCCTGAGTTACTTCACTTAGAATAATGGTCTCCAACTCCATCCAAGTTGTTGTGAATGCCATTAATTAATTCCTTTTTTATGGCTGAGTCGTATTCCATCGTATATATATATGCCACAGTTTCTTTATCTACCTATTGATTGATAGACATTTAGGCTAGTTCTACATTTTTGCAATTGCGAATTGTTCTCTAATTTAATTTTTAATAACAGCTGTGTTTAATAATTGACTCAGAAAATTCAACATTTGGCTCCAGTAGCTGGTGTGAGCTGGCTACAACAGTGCATTCAACTTTATCAACTTAGACATTTGATAATACTTTAGTTGTTTATTGCTGTGCAACAAACCAGCTCAAAACTTACTGGCTTAAAACAACCGTGATTTCCTTTTTTTTTTTTTTTACAATTCTGTGAGTTGACTGGGCTCAGCTGAACAGTTCTTCAGCCCTGCATGGTACAGCCAAGGCCTCTCATGGTTGCATTCAGCTGAAGCTCAGCTGGGGTAGAACATCCAAGATGGCTTCTCATCCATCAGGGCCTCTCTCCACATGACCTCTTATCATTCAGTAGTCTAGCTTGAGCTTCTTCACATGCTGTTGGCATCTAAGAAATGTTCCACTGGGAGTGGTGGCTCACATCTGTAATCCCAGCACTTTGGGAGGCCAAGATGAGTGGATCACTTGAGGTTGGGAGTTCAAGACCAGCCTGGTGAAACCAGATTCTACTAAAAATACAAAAAATTGGCCTGGCATGGTAGCATATGCCTGTAGTCCCAGCTACCTGGGAGGCTGAGACAGGAGAATCGCTTGAACCTGGGAGGCGGAGGTTGCAGTGAGCTGAGATTGTTCCACTGCACTCCAGCATGAGTGACAGAGTGAGACTGCATTTCAAATAAAAAACCCCAAACAAACTCAGTGTTTGTCAACCGGGGTGATTTTGCCATAAAGGACATCTGGCAATATCTGCAGACATTTTTGGTTGTCATACCTGGGGAAGAGGTTCTACTGTCATGGGGTGGCCATAGATGCTGCAAATTATTCTACAATGCACAGGACAGCCCCTCACAAGCAAAGAACTATCAACCCAAAATGTCAACAGTGCCCAGGTTGAGAAACTCTGCACGTAACCTGACACATGCACCATTTTGGCTGTTTAGTATGTACACTTTCTCTTTTCAACACATTTTCCCCTGCTGCTTTTGACAGCAAGTACAAGGTATAAAATTCTCTTAGCGCTCTCTAAATGTGTGTTCAGCCTATTTGGCTTGGCTTCAAACAAATATGACAGATGTAGCATTTTTGGCTCAAATGCCTTGCCAGTCAAGCATATGCATGTTTGCACATCACGTTTGCAATGGCAGCAATAATATTCTGTGACTAAAAGGGGTTGCACATTCAACTTTTACTGAGACATCTCAAATTATTTTGTTTTTCCTCTGAGTCTTTTGGCTCTCAGGCGTTCTTGGTGCCTCTCTCTGCTCTCTTCCTCAGGTAAACGGTTCTCTCCTGTTCCTCGTGATACCAAGGTTACATTTGCTCTTTTTTTTTTTGAGAAAGAGTCTCGCCCTATCGCCCAGGCTGGAGTGCAGTGGTGCAATCTCAGCTCACTGCAACCTCCACTTCCCAGGTTCATGCGATTCTCCTGCTTAGCCTCCAGAGTAGCTGGGACTAGAGGTGTGTGCCACCACTCCCGGCTAATTTTTGTATTTTTAGTAGAGACGAGGTTTCACAATATTGACCAGGCTGGTCTCAAACGCCTGACCTTGTGATCCGCCTGCCTCAGCTTCCCAATGTACTGGGATTACAGGCATGAGCCACCACACCCAGCCACTTTTGTGCTCTTTTTATAAAGGGATGCCCATTTATTAGCTCAGTTTTTTTTCTTTTCCTTTTTTTTTTGAGACGTAGTTTCACTCTTGTTGTCCAGGCTGGAGTGCAATGGCACAATCTCCACTCACTGCAACCTCTGCCTTCCGGGTTCAAGCAATTCTTCTGTCTCAGCTTCCCAAGTAGCTGGGATTACAGGCATGCGCCACCATGCCCGGCTAGTTTTTTGTATTTAGTAGAGAAGGGGTTTTATCATGTTAGTCAGGCTGGTCTCAAACTCGTGACCTCAGGTGATCCACCCACCTCGGCCTCCCAACGTGCTAAGATTACAGGCATGAGCCACCGCACCTGGCCAATAAATATGAATTGAGCTCCTACTGTGCGCAAGAGCTGCTCTGGGTGGGGGGGCTACAGCAGTGAACAAAACCAAGTCGTGCTTGCATGCAGCTTGCATTCTAGCTGGGGAGACAGACAATGAACAAATAAGAAAATAAATAAATGGTATGTTGGGTAATGAAAAGTGAGGAAACATTTAAGCAGAATAAAGGGATGAGACTGATAGCATGGGATGGTATTTTGATTAAAGTGTTCAGGGAATGTACCACTGAAGGGTGTTGTCTAAGCTGTACAGAAGGAAGACCCAAAAACTCCCCTCCCTTCCCCTCCCCTCCCCTCCCCTCCCTTTCTCTTCTGTTTTAGAGACAAAGTCTCATCTCACCATGTTGCCCAGGCTGATCTCAAACTCCTAACCTCAAGCAGTCCTCCTGCCTCAGCCTCCCAAAGTGCTGGGATTGCAGGTGTGAGCCACCATGCCTGGCCCAAGACAGGTTTTCAGTAATGCACTATACTGTGTGGAGGTTTGGTTTAAAAGAACAGAAATTTATTCTTTCACATATCTGGAGGCCAGAAGTCCTAAGTCAAGACTGGGCATGTTGGCTGGGATCACACCTGTAATCCCAGCACTTTGGAAGGCCAAGTCAGGCAGATTACTTGAGGTCAGGAGTTCGAGACCAACTTGGCCAACATGGCAAAACCCTGTCTCTACTAAAAAAATTCAAAACTTAGCCAGGTGTGGTGAGGCTCACCTGTAATCCTAGCTACTCAGGAGGCTGAGGCAGGAGAACTGCCTCTGTTCTCCTGGGAGAACTGGGAGGCAGAGGTTGCAGTGAGCAGAGATCGTGCCACTGCACTCCAGCCTGGGCAACAGAGCGAGACTGTGTCACAAAAAAAAAAATCCTAAGTCAAGGTATTGACAGGGCTGGTTCCTACTGGAGGCACTGAAGGGGAGTCTGTTCCATGCCCTCCTCCTAGTTTCTAGAGGTTGCTGGCGATCCTTGGCATTCCTTGGTTTGTAGATGTGTTACTCTAATTTCTGCCTCTGTCTCCACATGATCTTCTCTCTCTCTTTCTCCCTCTCTCTGTGTGTGTCCACGTTTTTTCTTTTATATTAAGACACCAGTCAGGCCAATTGAAGTGGCTCACGCCTGTGATCCCAGCCCTTTGGGGGGCCGAGGCAGGCAGATCACCTGAGGTCAGGAATTCGAGACCAGCCTGGCCAACATGGTGAAATCCTGTCTCTACTAAAAAAAAAAAAAAAAAAAAATTAGCCGGGTGTGGTAAAGGGCACCTGTCATCCCAGCTACTCAGGAGGCTGAGGCAGGAGAATCGCTTGAACCCTGGAGGTGGAGGTTGCAGTGAGCCAAGATTGTGCCATTGCACTCCAGCCTGGGCAACAAGAGTGAGACTCTGTCTCAAAAAAAAAAAAAAAAAAAAAAGACATCAGTTGGCTGGGTGTGGTGGCTCACGCCTGTAATCCTAGCACTTTGGGAGGCCAAGGCAGGTGGATTGCCTGAGCTCAGGAGTTCTAGACCAGCCTGGCCAATATGGTGAAACCCCGTCTCTACTAGAATATAAAAAATTAGCCGGGTGTGGTGGTGGGCACCTGTAATCCCAGCTACTCAGGAGGCTGAGGCAGGAGAATCACTGGAACCTGGGAGGCGGAGGTTGCAGTGAGCCAAGATCATGCCACTGAACTCCAGCCTGGACTCTGTCTCAAAAAAAAAAAAAAAAAAAAAGACACCAGTCATTGGATTTGGCCTCATCCTGATTCAGTATGATTCAGCTTAACCTGATTACATCTGCAAAGACTCTATTTCCAAATGTGACATTCACAGGTACTGGGTGCTAGGGCTTCAACATACCTTTTGGAGGAACACAATCCAACTTGCAACAGTGTTGTTTTGAGTTATCACAATAACTAGGGGACATGCAGCCATGTAGGGCAGGGGCCAGGGGTGCTAGGAAGACATTCCACAATGTGCAAGATGGCCCACACCCATTTGTCAATTCCTAAGATACTGCTGTAAGTAAAAACCCTGTTTGTAATATCTGAACCTAGAACTAACTCTGTTTTACATATAAACATAAAGAATATTTATAGGGATTCAGTATACACTAAATTTTCCTGAAATGCAACCACTCTTCTACTATATTCTTTCTTTCTTTGTTTTTAACTATTCTACTGTTTTCATCGAGAAAGACTGTACTATTTTTCCCTTTCACTTTTTTCTTTTTAGAGATGGGAACTTACTCTGTTGCCCAGGCTGGAGTCCAGTGGCACAATAATAGCTCACTGCAGCCTCCACTTCCTGGCTCAAGTGATTCTCCCACTTCAGCCTCCCGAGTAGCCGGGAATAGAGGTGGGTGCCACCAAACCTGGCTGATTTTTTAATTTTTATGTTTGTAGAGACGGGGTCTTGCTATGTTACCCAGGCTGGTCCCAAACTTCTGGCCTCAAGTTATGCCCCTGCCTTGGCCTCCCAAAGTGCTAGGATTAAAGGTACTGAGCCACCACACCCAGCTTTTTAATTCTTTTTTTTTTTTTTTTTTTTGAGACGGAGTCTCTCTCTGTCGCCCAGGCTGGAGTGCAGTGGCGCGATTTAATTCTTTTTTACTTGTGTGTGTATTCTTATTTCCTCTTCTTTCTTACATGAAAAGTAACATATTATATACTATTTTGCACTTTACTTTCTTCACTTACTAGGGTATCTGACATTTTTTGTACAATATTTTATGCTGTTACAAGTTTATCTTCAAGGTAAACTACTAAAATTGCCATTGTCGAGTTAAAGAGTAAATGTATACATTGTTTCTATTGTTATACAATATTTCCTATTGTACTATTTTTTGCCAATCTGATAGGTGAGAAATGGTATCTCGGTATGATTTTAATTTGCATTTCTCATATTATGAGAAAATTGAGTATCTTTTAATGTTTTAAGGTAATTTAATTTTTTTGTGAATTATCTGTTTGTGTGTTTTATCTGTTTTTCTGTCAGGTTTTTGGTCTTTCTCCCCCTCATTTTTTACAAGTTCTTATATACTTGGTTATTTTAGCCTTTTATCTATGATATATCTTGGAAATAATTTCTCCCACTTAGTCATTTACCTCTACGTGATTTTTTGTCATGCAAACACATTTTATTTTTATATCATTGAATCTGTCTTTTATCACATTTGAATTTTTATGCACTCTATTATATTCAGAATTTTTCCAAGGGCTGTCCACCATTGTGGACAGTCATGTAACCAATGCCAATCGATTCAGCTGGTGGTGTTTGAGCCACAAATACAACACATGGATATCTGTCTGCATTTATAGCTCTCAACTCGCCATAAATCTATAACTGCAAGTACCAGACGTTTTCATGACGTTTGCTAATATAGTTGTGCCTGATCATTAACATTAAAATCTATATTATAGTAGAAGTTGGTTTCCTTTTTTTCTCATTATATCACAATTAGGGCATTATATTTATTTTATTGGAGTTGTAATTTATAACCTATGGTTTTCATTGTGGCATTGGGATAGCAAATATTTTAAAAGACAGCATTTGGCCTCATAGGGTTGAGGACCACTCCTCTGGGGGAAGTGTGTTCCAGGCTAAAGGTACAGCAATCACATGAATGCCTTGAACTGTCCAATGCAGGGAAGGTATTGAGGCTGGAGCAGAGTGACAAGGGAAAAGTGAGAGGTCACAGAAATTGCCAAGGTTCACATCATATAGGGCCTGGAAGGTCATGGTAAGGACCTTGCATCATGCTTTCCACTCTAGCTAGAATAAAATGCAATGTGGCTTTGAGCAAGAGAGTGACAGGGTCTCATTTAGGCTCCTGTGGGATTGCAGACTGCAGAGGGGTGCAACGGAAGCAGGGATACCAATTGGAAGTCCACTGCAGAAGTCCAGGCACTGAGGACGGGTGTGGTGGCTTACTCCTGCAATCCCAGAACTTTTGGAGGCTGAGGCAGGTGGATCACCTGAGGTGGGGAGTTTGAGACCAGCCTGACCAATATGGTGAAACCCCGTCTCTACTAAAAATACAAAAATTGGTCAGGCTGTGGTGGCATGCACCTGTAATCCCAGCTACTCAGGAGGCTGAGGCAGGAGAATCGCTTGAACCTGGGAGGCGGAGGTTGCAGTGAGCCAAGATTGCACCACTGGACTCCAGTCTGGGTGACAGACGGAGATCCTGTTTCAAAAAAAAAAAAAAAAAAGTCCCGACACCGGCATGATAGTAGTTGGGCCAGGGGGTAGCTCAGTGGAAAAGTTGGGAAGTGGTTTAATTTGGGACATATTTTGAAGGTGGAGGGGTCAGGATTTGCTCACGAAATCTATTTAGTCTTGTGTGAGGAGCCATAAAATCCAGGCTCTACCTGGGCGGAACTTATACTCTAGAGGAGGAGACAGCTACCACACACACAAACAGTTATCAAACTATGTTCTAAGTGCAATGATGGTGATTTGTGCAGGGTATTCTAGGAGTACAGAGGAAGTTGGTGGTGGGTATTTAACCTAGCCTGGGTGGTGGTGACTGGGATAAGGGTAGGGAAAAGTTCTAGGATGAATCATAATTCATTGCAGTGAACAAGCCTTTATTGAGCACCTACTATGTACCGGGCACAGTTCTAGGCACTGGGGACACAAAAGTGATCAAAACAAAGTCCCTGTCCTCATGGAGCTCACATTCTAGAGGGCACGATCTGAGACCCTCTTCTTGTTTTGTTTGGTTTTTCTCTAGAGACAGAGTCTTGCTCTGTTGCTAAGGCTGGAGTGCAGTGTTGTGATCATGGCTTGCTGCAGCCTCGACCTCCTGGGCTCAGGTGATCCTCCCACTTCAGCCTCCCAAGTAGCTGGGACTATAGGCACATACCATAATGCTTGCTAATTAAAAAAAATTCTTTTTTTGTAGAGATGGGGTCTTGCTATATTATGCAGGTTGGCTCTTCCTGTTTTTGGTGAAAGCAATTTATATATATATATATATATATATATATATATATATATATATATATGGTATATATGTAACATAACTCATTGGTGTTGTAAAGCTATAGTCATAGGATTCTGGAATGCCATTCTCTTGGGGCATCTGACTGTTTTCAGAGAGAAAGAAAGAGGAAGGGGAGGGAAGGGCTTTGACTTGAGTGGGAGGAAGGGCAGGCAGGACTGGAATGAGACTTTTATTTTTATTTATTTATTTATTTATTTTGAGATGGAGTCTCGCTCTGTCACCCAGGCTGCAGTGCAGTGGCGTGATCTCAGCTCACTGTAACCTCTGCCTCCCAGGTTCAAGCAATTCTCCTGCCTCAGCCTCCCGAGTAGCTGGGATTATAGGTGCCCACCACCATGCCCAGCTAATTTTTGTTTTTAGTCGAGATGGGGTTTTACCATATTGGCCAAGCTGGTCTCAAACTTCTGACCTCAGGTGATCCACCCGCCTTGGCCTCCCAAAGTACTGGGATTACAGGTGTGAGCCACTGTGCTTGGCCCAGAGTCACCTTTCTAAGGTGAAAAGCAAGATGGCAATATGAAGTACGTGGGCAGATCTGGATTTTTTTGGGCCTAAAGTTTATACAGTTTGGAGGACCTACTTCAAGAAACATCATATAAAATTATGAATACAGGGCTGGGCATGGTGGCTTATGTTTGTAACCCCAGTACTTTGGGAGGCCGAGGGGGGGAGGTCACTTGAGGTCAGGAGTTCGAGAGCAGCCTGGTCAACATGGTGAAACCCATCTCTACTAAAAATATAAAAATTAGCTGGGCATGGTTGCAGGTGCCTGTAATCGTAGCTACTTGGGAGACTGAAGCACGCGCGTCGCTTGAACCCAGAAGGCAGAAGTTGCAGTGAGCCGAGATCACACCACTGCATGCCAGCCTGGGCAACCTGGGCAAGAGAGTGAAAACTCTGTCTCAAAAAAAAAAAAAATTTACAAAGTTTTGCACAGAGCCTTGGAAAGGCCTGTGCAAGTGAGGGGTCCTGTAGCCTAAGTTTGATTAGGTTCACAATCACACCACCTCTGGGAGGAAAAGTCATTGAGCTGTTAATATCTTTTTATTTTAAATCCTACTCCTGGAAATCAGTTCAACAAAAGGATCGAGAGGCAGTGTGGCCTAGTGGGTAAGAACAGTAAAATACAAGGTCCTTTCCATAACCTACAGTGTCCTCCATGATTCCAGTGACTCTCTCCTTCCTTTGTCTCTTGACCCTCCATCCCCACTCTCGCTCCACTCAGCCACATGGGTCTTCGTGTTTAAGGTCTCCATGCCAGCCACATTCCCACCTCAAGGTCTTTGCCATTCCTTCTATCTGAACTGTTCTTCCTCCAGATCTCCACACTGCTTGCTCTTTCACCACCCTGAGACGTGTACTCAATATCTTCTGAGTTTGCAGTGAGGCCTTCCCTCACCAGCCCAAATCTCCTTTTCTTCTTTTTTCTTTTCCTATTCCTATTGCCAGTTTACCTACTGTACATGTTACTTTTTTTTTTTTTTTTTTTGAGAGGAGTTTCGCTCTTGTTGCCCAGGCTGGAGTGCAATGGCGCAATCTCAGCTCACTGCAAACTTCACCTCCCGAGTTCAAGTGATTCTCCTGCCTCAGCCTCCTGAGTAGCTGGGATTACAGGCGCATGCCACCATGCCCGGTTAATTTTTGTATTTTCAGTAGAGACGGGGTTTCCCCATGTTGGCCAGGCTGGTCTCGAACTCCTGACCTCAGGTGATCTGCCCACCTTGGCCTCCCAAAAGTGCTGGGATCACAGGCGTGAGCCACCGCGCCCAGCCTGTACATCTTACTTTTATCTCTTTCTGTTGTCTTTCTGCCTCCTCTAGAATGTAAGTTCCAAGAGGGTGGAGATAATTGTCAGTTTAGTTCACTGTTTAGAACTGTTATTGGTATATAACAAGCACTGGACAAAAGCATTGCTGAATAAATGAATGAAAGAGCACCACCTTTGGGCTGGGCGTGGTGGCTCATGCCTGTAGTCCCAGCGCTTTGGGAGGCCGAGGTGTGTGGATCACTTGAGGCCAGGGGTTTGGAACCAGCCTGGCCAACATAGCGAAACCCTGTCTCTACTAAAAATACAAAAAAGTAGCCAGGCATGGTGGTGGACACCTGTAATTCTGGCTACTTGGCAGGCTGAGGCAGGAGGATTGCTTGAACCCAGGAGGCGGAGTTTGCAGTGAGCCGAGATTGCGCCACTGGCACTCCAGCCTGGGTGACAGAAGCGAGAGGGAGACGCTGTCTCAAGAAAAAAAAAGAAAAAAAAAAGCACCACCTTTGGCTTTAAATAGATCTGGGTTGAAGTTTTATATATGCACCTGCCGGCAAGTGCCAAGTTACTTAACTTCTCTAAGGCTGTTTCTTCATTTGTAAATGGAAATAAAAGTACTTCATAGGGTTGAAGCATTGTTGTAAAGACTAATTAAAACCATGCCCATAAAGGGCATAGCTGAGTGCCAATCAAACTGTAGACACTCAGCAAATGTTAGATATTAGTAAATAAAAAAGTTAGCTATTAGTATAAAATGTATATGCATAAAGGTATTCATTATAGAACTATATATAGTATTTAAAAACAGGTATCAGAAATAGGAAAATGGTCAAAAGATTCTGCCACATCACTAGTAGAATATTAGTCATTAAAATGATTATTAAGACTTTGTAGAAAGAGAAAGCCTTTAAAAAATAATTATTTAAATAATATTATTAATAAATTAATAATAAATTTAATAAATATTCAATATTATTTAAAAATAATAAATATTTTTAAAAGCCAGTCAAATTTAGCAGTGGGGGGTTGTATACCAACTTTAGTGACACTAATGTTAATAAGTTCTGATAAATCACTACCATCGGACCAGCCAGAAAGCCTTTGAATGTAAAGTTACAAGAAAAGACCAGACATACCTGGCCTACCGTTGCTCTGATTTAAACTTCAGTGTTTCTAAAGGCCGAAGTTGAATTCCAGAGCATTCACTATGAATTCTAGAGCACAACTTAGAAATAAACACTGCCAGGCCGGGCGCGGTGGCTCACGCCTGTAATCCCAGCACTTTGTGAGGCCGAGGCGGGCAGATCATGAGGTCAGGAGATTGAGACCATCTTGGCTAACACGGTGAAACCCCGTCTCTACTAAAAATACAAAAAATTAGCCGGGCGTGCTGGCGGACGCCTGTAGTCTCAGCTACTCGGGAGGCTGTGGCAGCAGAATCGCTTGAACCCGGGAGGCGGAGCTTGCAGTGAGCCGAGATCCCGCCACTGCACTCCAGCCTGGGCGACAGAGCAAGACTCCGTCTCAAAAAAAAAAAAAAAAAAGAAATAAACACTGCCAGATATTGGGTGTACATTTTTCTTGTTCTTGTCTTTTCTCATGCACGTGTACTTTTAAGTTTATCAGAGAAACTTTCCTTAGCCCTCCACCTAAGCCAGATAACCCCTGTTTTCTTTCACTGTACCTTGGTTATGAGTAGTGGGTACAAAACAATGGTGGTGGTAGTAGAGGGAAATAAACAGAATAAACCTCAGGCAATATCGTCAAGTATTATCTGTTATTTATATAAATATCTAGCTTTTATATCAAAATTATCTTTTTGTAAGGCTGTATCAATTTATATTCCCACCAGCTGTGTTCTTCGTAGATTTGCTATCCATTGGTTCCCAAATGTTGTATACTCTCATTACACTGTGGAATATTTAATGCCTTTTTGTTATGAAAAAACTGTTTTTATTAATTAACATCAAGGATATGGTGCTGACAAATATTCTCTAAAATTATGGAATGTTGGAAACTCTGCTGTCTGACATCCTTTCCGTGTGAATGGAACATCCCATTCTTGTCCAGAGCATCTGAGCCATACAGGTCACTTTGACACAGGATTTTCAATACAGGTACAAAGCTTTAGATAGAGTTTTCAGACCCAACGTTTCACATTTGTCGTAATTTTGAGATTTCCAAGGAAAGAGCCTGCTTCCTACTCAGGTCTGATGTTAACCTGATGCTGCACACAGCTCTGCTTTGCTTCGAGTCTATCAAACACTGCTCCAGTTAATTCTTACCAAAAAATCCCCCCATTCCCATAACCCAATAATGACACTTCCGTTTGATGAGAGGCATTGAGGTTCCTCTGGAGTGCAGTCTCCCTTGCTGCAGCAAGTTAATAAATCTAACTTTGTTGACTACAGGTTTGTTCCTGGTGCTCTTTATTGGAAGACTTTAGCAATCTTAAACTGCTGGCCCCAAATCCCAAAACAACGGGAAACTCTACTCAGTATCTTTTCTTTTTTTCTTTTTTTTGAGATGGAGTCTGGCTCTTGTCCCCCAGGCTGGAGTGCAATGGTGCAATCTCGGCTCGCTGTAACCTCCACCTCCCGGGTTCAAGCGATTCTCCTGCCTCAGCCTCCCAAGTAGCTGGGACTACAGGCGCCCTCCACCATGCCCGGCTAATTTTTGTATTTTTAGTAGAGACGGGGTTTCATCATGTTGGCCAGGCTGGTCTCGAACTCCTGACCTCGTGATCCGCCCGCCTCGGCCTCCCAAAGTGCTGGGATTACAGGCGTGAGCCACCGCGCCTGGCCAGTATCTTTTCTTAAAGATTCCTTCTTATACAAGTTGAATTAGACAAGATGGATCATTTTGGCTTTTAGTTCCTCCAACATTCCAACCTAGTTAGAGCGGCTTTTCTCTGTGCATGGAAAATTCTTCCCCCAGATCTCTTGCCTGGCTGGCCCAGTTCATACCTAAGGTAGCCATCTGTCCTCACACTGCCGCACCCCCACCCCGTCACTCCACCTCATCATCTCATTTCATTTTCCTATTTTTCTAATCACTCTCTGAGATTATCTTACTTCATTATCTATTTGTTTATAAATTATCCCAATGAGGATGTTAAGATCAGGAGAGAGGGTACCACGACAGCGCTGACAGCCGCAGCTGCCCAGTGTCTAGAACTGTGCCCAACAAACACTTGTGGAATGAGTAAGCAGACGAGGAACTAGACACTTCGTTTGCCTTCGTCCCCTTTAAATACCCTCCAGGTGGACCCAGCCGCATTAAAACTCTGAGAACTAGGTGAATGGCATTTGGCCTCGCCACTGGCCGGAGCGTTTGCCGTTGATCCAGGCAACCACTGTTTTCCCACCAGTCGTGTAGTCGCTCTACCTGGCTCCGCCCCCCAGGACGCCGAGCCTCGGCCGGGCGGTAAAATCGGCGCTTACCCTTTAAGCGGCGGGACTTCTGGTCACGTCGTCCGCGGTCGCCGGAAGGGGAAGTTTCGCCTCAGAAGGCTGCCTCGCTGGTCCGAATTCGGTGGCGCCACGTCCGCCCGTCTCCGCCTTCTGCATCGCGGCTTCGGCGGCTTCCACCTAGACACCTAACAGTCGCGGAGCCGGCCGCGTCGTGAGGGGGTCGGCACGGGGAGTCGGGCGGTCTTGTGCATCTTGGCTACCTGTGGGTCGAAGATGTCGGACATCGGAGACTGGTTCAGGAGCATCCCGGCGATCACGCGCTATTGGTTCGCCGCCACCGTCGCCGTGCCCTTGGTCGGCAAACTCGGCCTCATCAGCCCGGCCTACCTCTTCCTCTGGCCCGAAGCCTTCCTTTATCGCTTTCAGGTACTTACCGGAGACGGGGGGCGTGGAGACTACAGGCCCCAGGAGGCCCAGCGGCGGCTAAGCGTAGGCTGGCATGTTGCGGGCGCGCGGTGCCTGCTGGGATTTGTAGTGGGTCCGGCGCCGGCGGTTTAGGGCGGGGTCCTTTGGGCCCGGGGAGGCTCTGGGATCTGGAGCGGGGTGCTGGATAGCTGGAGTTGTGGGCTGGCCTGGTGGGGAGGGGTTGACTTCACTGGTATAGTGAGATTGTGCTTCCCGCTCTTCGCACTCAGTGAAGGAAGCAGTGAGATTAGTCGTTGGTAGTTGTCAATCTGTTGGACGCTGGCGATTAGGTCCGCCTGGAGCATTGCCCTCTGACCTCCCTCTGTCACCCACGTGGGTGGCCTGTAGGTGTCAACTTCACCAACTTATAGCTGAGTTCCTTTCACGTTTATGGAGTTTTTTTGTTTTGGTTTTCCTATAGGAGTGATTTAAAGTCAGAGATACAAAGAACGAGTGTATTGTTCTGCATTTCCCTCTAGACCTAATTTAGTGTCCCCCACGTAGTAATAGAATGTACGAAGGAATGGGCAAAGAGTACATTTGTCCAGAAATGGAAGGCCTTGTTATTTTCTTAAGCATGAAGGAAACAGTCCAGAGTAACATTTCTGTCAAGAGAGTGCCAGTTTTCTGAAGGTTATCTGTATTCACCAATTTCTGATTTAAAACTTCAATCAGTGGCAGGTCAGATAGCAAGATCTGGCATTAATTTCAGCCCTTTACTTGGCCTATGGATAACATTTTCTTGTCTTTCCCTGTCTTCACTGGGTGTTACTTCTTGGTTTCCTTTGCTGGTTCCTTATCTTCCTGACTTTTAAATGTTAGGATGTGCCTTGGGAATCAGTTATAGGACCTTTTCTATAGACTCTCCCTAGCTTTAGGTGGTCTCATTCATTCAGCCTCAGGGCTTTACATACTTTCTATAAACTGGAGATTCTGAAATATAAATATAAATATCTTCAGTCCAGATCTGTCTCCCTATTTCCAGATTTGTGCATCCAGCAGTTACTTGAAATCACGACTTGGATGACTAAGAGTCATCTTCATCTTAACGTGTCCAAAACTGAATCCCCTTTCCCCCTTTGCCTTAGAAGTGAATAGCAACTCCGTTATTAGAGGAGCTGAAGTTAATTGTCGGAGTCATCTTTTATTTTTCTTGTTTTTCTCACACCCCACAATCTGTCAGCAAATCCTATTGACTCTACTTGAGACATATATCCAGAATACAATCCCTTTTCATTCTCCATTGCAAGCCATTATCACTGCAATCTGGTTCCTTTCCATCTTTTCTCTAGACAGCTAGAGTGATCCTTTTAAAACCTACATCAAGTCCTGTCTTTCCTCTGTCCAGAATCCTACCATGTCTTCTTAATGAGTAAAATCCAAGTCCTTTCAGTGGCCTGCAAGGCCCCTGCTGCTTCTCTGACCTCATCTCCTACTACTCTCCAACTTGTACCTTAGGCTCCACAATGAGATCCTTGCTGTTACTTCAGTGCTTATCTGGATCTCTCCTCAGGGCCTTTGCACATGTTGTTTCTCTGCCTGAGGAAGATAACCGTGGCTCAGTTGTTTACCTCCTAACCTTCTTCAGATCTCTGCCCAAATGCCGTCTTGTTGACAAGGCCTTCTCTGATGGCCGTACATAAAATAGCCCGTCCTTCACTCCACTCCCTTATCCCTTATCCTTCATTTTTCTTTCTTTCTTTCTTTTTTTTGGAGACGGAGTCTCGCTCTGTTGCCCAGGCTGGAGTGTATATGGCGCAATCTTGGTTCACTGCAACCTCTGTCTCCTGGGTTCAAGCAGTTCTCCTGTCTCAGCCTCCCAAGTAGCTGGAATTACAGGTGCACACCACCATGCCCAGCTAATTTTTGTATTTTAGTAGAGACGGGGTTTCGCCATGTTGGCCAGACTGGTCTTGAACTCCTGACCTCAGGTGATCCACCCGCCTCAGCCTCCCAAAGTGCTGGGATTAGAGGCGTGAGCCACTGAGCCTGGCCTTATCCTTCATTTTTCTTGCTACATATTACCCTTTGGTATTTATTAGTCTGCTTCCCCTCAGAGAATAAGGCTCCATGAGAGCCGTTCACCACTGTCCTTGTTACCTGGAATAGTGCCTGGGACGTAGTAGGTGCTTATATATTAACTGAGTTGTTGGAAGTAATTGGGCACTTGCTGTGTGCTGGGCACTGGGGTACAATAGTAAATAGGACTGAAAAGGTTTCAGAGCCTGTGAAGACATAGAGGCACGTGTTTTAAGGGGTGTAATATTTGATAGGGTGTTCCACCCAGAAAGGCCTCAGAGAAGACATTTGAAGAAATTGGAATACTGAGGAGCCAGCCAGCCAGCTTTGGGTAGATCTGGCTCTGGAGACAACCTTCCAGGAAGGACTAGTAAGTGAAAGGCTCAGAAGTAGGAGCTGGGAACAGGAAGAAGACTGGGTTGCCAGCTGGCACAGGGTCAGCTGTAGGGTGAGGATTAGTAGATGACAGCAGGGAGATAGCCAGGGCTGGGTGTAGTAAAGCTAAGATGGAAAGGTGGGTTAAAGCTAGATCATAGTTGAGCCTTGTAGGTCATGTTAAGAGGTTTGAACTTTATTTTGAGGGCACTATGAAGTCTTTGGAGCCTTGTGAACAAAGGACTGACAGATTGCCCCGACTATTCTGTGGAGTGGACTTTGTGTGTGTATGGAGGGGGTTGAAGGAGGAAGGGCTAGGTGATGAGATCAGAGAGATGAATCCAGTTAGGAGGCCAGAGAGATGGTGGTTTGGATCAGTGTGGCTGTGAAGATAGAGAAAAGGGCATAGACTTGGCAGAGGGGACGAGATTACAGCCGAATGGATATAAAGAGTGAATGGGTGAAGCGAGCAGGACTGAAAGATACTACTGTTTTCACAGGAGCAGCTGAGTGGATGGCGGAGCCCTTGACTGAGATGGGGAATGGTCAGGGATACCTGGGTTGGGAGTGGGGGCTGGTATGGATGAAGAGTTAGGTTTTGGCTGTGCTAAGTCTTGAGATGCTTTTCAGGCATCCATGTGGCGAGGCCAAGGGAGCAGTTGGATATAAAAACATGACTCTGGAGTGCAGCTGGAATTGCATACTGTTCTGTGTTTATTACTTTACTAAATATTTGTTGGCTGAGAGAATGTTGTGTACTTTGTCCCTGGTGGCTTGTTGGGTAATGTGTGGTCATGGGGAGCAATGGTGGCATATTAATGTGTGAGAAGGACCTGGTCAAAACCGGCTTGTTGTCCCTGTTAGCAAAATCCTCACTTGTGTAGTGACACTAGTGACTACACGATGTAAATAAGCACATTGTAAAGAAGCAATGTAAATAAGCCTAACAGGCTGCGGGTGTATAAGGTTAAAAGTGGTGAACTGATTAAAAAGAGTAATCGTTCTTGTCACATCTTCCACAATTTTGTCATCTTCCCTGTATTATTTCTTCTCAGCTGCCAGCAGGAGGCAGGACAGTGTACTGCCCAGGTGTGAAAAGACCAACAGCTGTACCTTGTCTTTTCTTCCTGTTACTCTGATTCTTGCCTATTTTGGACACATGTAACTTTCAGACCCACCTGGAGGAACTCATTTGCAAATGAAGCAGTCAAGGAAAAACTGCATTTGAGAGGCTGCTGTGCACGGACAGTGTGCGGTGTGCTTTAGCAGAGTTCTGCTAGAAAGTTCCTTTTTTCCTTAGAAGCTGAATCTTTCACAACTTACAAAAATGGGGGAGTGATTGATTTAGAATTGTGTGCTCATGTTGGAAGTGACAAGTTATTTTTCCTCCTCAGCTCTAGATTCTTGTGTGTAGCTTGTTGGTTTAGAACGCTGAGGTTTATAATGTTATTTCTTTAGTTTGGATAGGTTGAAACAGGTGTGTGTTAAGACTCATTATACTGTTGTCTACGATTTCTCCCTATTCTGAGTCCCTCAGATTTATGTTCATCAATCAAATAGTTCACAATAATGAAATGTCTTCATATTAATCGTTGATTAACTACACAAGAGGTGGCAATTCCTGCTGCCTTTGTGTTTTCTAAGGTTATGTCTCCCAGGGCCGCCTGCATGGCTATATTTCTTCATTTCTTTGGACAAAATAACATCACCCTGTTACAACTTCCCTGAGGTCATGTCACTGAACTCTGACAGTCATCCTGAGATAAGTGTTACCCCCATTTTGTAGACAGCTTCAGTTTCAGTTTCTATTTCGTTGAGTCAAGGATAGTTCTAAGCTGTTTTGTTTAACTCCTTTGCATAATATCTACGAAAAAAATAAGTATGTAGCAAAACATTTTTGAAGGTGATTTCTTCCAAATCAATCATAGCAAATTGTTTTTCCTTTTCTATTCGAGTAGAAAGGCTGTTAGATTTCAAGTAGTTGAATCATGGTCTCAAGGCCTGGCTCAGTCCCCTGCTAGTTGTGTACCCTTAGGCAAGTTATTTATCCTGTCTGAGCCTCAATTTCTTTAGGATCTGAGGATAATATCATAGCATATTAACTTTGTTCTAAGACTCCATTGATTATACGATGCACCATCAATTTAATGCAACTTTTTTGGGGGACAGGGGAGTAGAAATTACATTCAACGAGTGTATTGATTGTAAGACACTCTAATTTCAGAAACACAGGAACGAGTACCTTCAAATTGAGGAAATATGTTATCTACTTCTTGCCTCTAGTATGTAGAACACATAGAAAAATGTTTGTAATACCCAATAAGTAGCCTGATAAATAAGCTATTCAAAAATAGTTGCCTCCTACGTGGTTGGTATGGGAAAAAAAATAGTTGCCAATTTTTATTTATCAGCCAATACTTTATGCCTTATTTCCTTCTCTCCTGGACAGTAAGATTCTAATTTTAATTAGTAATTGCAATTGAAATGTAACTGCTGGATGATTATTCTGCTTTGTCTTCTTAAAAGCATCCTGACTTGAAATGGGAAGATGTGAACTCTTGATTTCTCTAATTTATTTCCAGGAATAAGAAATGGTACCAACCAATTCTGTGACTCAGCCTTGTGCTTATATTTGCCAAGCTTTTGCTTATATATCACATTTAACCTGATGACAGCAACCTTAGGAGACTGATTTAAGGGTGTATTGGGGAAGAGAGACGTTTCAACATAGCAGGGAGGAGAATGAACTTGGACTATAGGCTGAGCATAGAAGTTCTATATCCATCAAGGTTTGGCTATAGAACTCTAGTGGCAAGTGTTCTGGTACGTAATTTAAGATCTTTCCTTAGTAGTCCTGTCCATGTTGAACAGTTCTGCTGTGTTCTGTAATAATGTTGCCCATTAGATTGTGGCTTTTTAAAAAACTTTTTATTGAGTTACAATATACAAGCAGGAAAGTGTATGTATAATAAGTTTATAGCTTGAGTTTTTAAAAATTCAAAACATGTATACAGCCAGCATTCAGATCAAGAAACAGAATCTCTAAAAGCTTTCTCCTGCTTCCTTCTGGTCACTGTCCTCTCTAAGGGTGACTATGCTCTTGATTTTTAATACCATGTATTGTTGTTGCCAGTTTTTATGCTTTTTATAGGTGGAATTATGAAGTATGTTCTCTTTTGTGTCTACCTGCTTTTATCAACATTATGAGAGTCACCCATATTGTTGCATGTGGTTATAGGTTGCTCATTATGGGACCATACCACAATTTATTTACTCATTCAGCTATTAATGGACCTTTTGGGCAGTTTCCAGTTTGGCTATTATGAATGGTGCTGCTATGAACATTCTAATACATGTCTTGGTGAACATATGTACTTCTTGGTGAGGAGAAATAGTAATTTCTGTTGCCTATATATCTAGGAGTAGATTTGATGGCTTCTAATTGCTCTTTTTAAAGATTAAGTGCCTTTCATTTGTTTAAATGAATGGAAGGGGCCTTTTCTTGCCTACCCGTTGTGTCTCCCCACCCAGCAAAAAAGGCCACAGTTTACTAAACTAGCATTTGTCACACAGGTGCTCATCATCTTTCTTGCTTGGTGACTGATATATACTTAAGTCCGAATCAAGTGATCCTTATTATTTCAGACAAATCCTCACTTTTCATACTTTAAAAAAAAAAACACTAGATTCTGGATGGCAAATTATTTCAGTAGCAGATTGTTTAGAAGATTTTAGCTAAAGGATGGCTGCAACCTACACTCTGAAGTTGTTGGACTAATAACTGAGGAACAATGTCTTATGTCTTCTTTAAGGGTGTATATAGCAGTGAGCACATGGGCTACATGTCCTTGTTAAGTGAGGAACTCTAATTAGGGCCCAGCTTTCCTCCTGAAAAAACTGGGATCATTATGGGCCTGGCCTTGAGGTTGCTGTGGACTTAAAATGAGATACTCCCCCACGAGTCCTCTCAGTAAGTGTGAGGCAGGCAGTCCTCTGTCTGCAAGTCGTGGCTCTTTGTGCTGCAGTTGGCTGCCTCTTAGGCTTTCCAGGGTTGAAAATGGGCCTCTTCACTCCTGGCACTGAACGTAAAGCCAGTTCCTTCTCCTTACTGTTTACATATCAGGTCGAGGAAAAAATGGGATTTAGTTGGATACTTACAATGGGGATTTCCGAAATATGTTACACTGTGTCCTTCTAAAGAGATAAGCTGTCTTCTGGTGTTTTCAGATTATAATTTTAAAGTAACACAAAAATAATATTAAGTCTTTTAGATCAATGAAAGCAAGTATAACTCAAGGGTAGGCTTAATGAACAGGGAAAAGAAGTGAGATATTTTGACAGACACTGATTTCCAAAGAACAGGTGCAAACAGTGACTAAAAATAGTCTTATGTCATCAGCATTAGAGAAAATGTAGTCAGACAAAAACAAGGTTTCTTTTCCAAAACCAGGCCTTGAGTAACTTATAGGAATATGGGGGTAGTTGAAATATGAATTTATAAAAACTGGTTAGCGGGTGTTTCCGAAAAGATTGTGATAATACAATTAACACACCCACACATATTAATTCTTTTTGCATAGTATCTTTTTAATTCACTTTCTTAATTCCAACCTTTTACAAATCCTGTAAGATAAGGAAGGCAGAAGTCATAGGATAATGTCATTGGGTAGATGATGAAGCCAATTTGACGTCCATACTTTTCCAAGGGTCCAGGGCTACCTAGAGGGTTTGCTTCTGGTCTTTACTCCCAGTCCTTTTCTTAAGCACAGAGAATTAATTAGTAGGTTTACTCTGAGTCTATTTCAGGATTACACAAGTGTCTGTAGTAGTGAACACTTACACTAATTGTAATTGTACCTCATAATACTGACGCCATTTGTGAGAGGGATTGTAAAAATAGGGGCTTAGTATCACAAACTCTGGAGTCAGACTGTCTGGGATAAAATTCTAGCTTCACCACTTACTGGCTGATACTTAACCTTTTCTCATCCTGTTTCCTCATCTATGAAATCCGTCTCCTGAATCAGTGCGTGTAAATAAGCTGAGTAGCACATTAATTTATTGATTTCTTTAAAAAAATTAACTATGGAAATTGAGGCTCGGAAGTGGTGACTTATAAGCAAAAACTTAAACCCAGGTCTTCTCAAGTCATCTCCAGTTCCCTTTCCACTAAACTATCCTGTTTCTGTGATAAAGTTGTGAATGAATCAAACCAAATGTTAAACTATTTTATTTTTCTGGTTTAATACACGTTTCTTGGAAAGTCACTTTTTTGGTATGCACATTGCATTTCCCTCTACAAGGAATTAAGCTCTGAGGGTTACATTCCTGTACTTGGAGAATGGAACTGGCCAGTC
The DNA here is from genome assembly GCF_000001405.40 of Homo sapiens. Taxonomy (NCBI): domain Eukaryota; kingdom Metazoa; phylum Chordata; class Mammalia; order Primates; family Hominidae; genus Homo; species Homo sapiens. The sequence goes on along the minus strand of NC_000008.11, from coordinate 123,034,179 downwards.
TGTATGTGGCCAGTCCCCGTGACTGACGTCCTCCATTCCAGCCACACTTGAATTGTTAGCAGTACCCATTCAGTTATTGTGCTCTTGCAATTCTTGGGGCCTTTGTAACAAGTCCACATGTCCCCTCCCTTGTGCCAACCCTTTCTTCCTTTGACAGCCTTCCCCACTACTCTGAGGAATTCAGGGGCCATGTCTTTTGTGCTTGGTACATGCTAGTGTGCAATGAGATAGACACATATCTCTCACACCAAAAGCCAGCATTTTGCTGCCATTTCCAAAAGTTTAGGAAGGCCATCTGCTTCAATCACTATTTAGCATTGTTCTGGTGGGGGTGCCAGCCAGTGAATTAGACAAGAATGAAATAAGATACAAAAGTTTATTTACAGCTAGGGTTGTATGCTTGGAAAGCCCAAGAAGCTCAATTTTCTTTTTTGTTAAGACATAGTTTCGCTCTTGTTGCCCAGGCTGGAGTGCAGTGTTGTGATCTCGGCTCACTGCAACCTCTGCCTCCTGGATTCAAGCGATTCTCCTGCCTCAGCCTCCCGAGTAGCTGGGATTACAGGCATGTGCCACCACGCCCGGCTAATTTTGTGTTTTTAGTAGAGACAAGGTTTCTCCACCTTGGTCAGCCTGGTCTCGAACTCCCGACCTCAGGTGATCTGCCCACCTCGGCCTCCCAAAGTGCTGGGATTACAGGCATGAGCCACTACTCCCGGCCGAAGCTCAATTTTCAATATTGTAGGCAGTAAGATACTCAGCTTTTGTGGTTAAGTATAAAAAGGTAGAAAGAGATAGCTCTATAGACAACTCTAAAAGCTATGAAAAACTTCTTGGCTGGGAATTATATCAATATCACATGGATATAATAAAAGAATGGTTCTAATTCATTTAGAAAAATAAAATATTGAGACTAACCAAGAAAATTGTGACAATTGTTGAAGAAAAAAAGGGGGAGATATTATTTAGCTGTTTAACTTTACCAGCTATTAAAATATGTTATAAAAGGAATAGAAACTAGGCTAGGCCCAGTGGCTCATGCCTATAATTTCAGCACTTTGGGAGGCTGAGGTGGGAGCATCATTTGAGGCTGGTAGTTTGAGAGCAGTCTGGACAACATAGGAAGAGCCCGTCTCAAAAAACAAACAAACAAAATTACCAGGTGTGATGGTACATGCCTGTAGTCCTAGCCACTTGGGAGGCTGAGTGGAGAATTGCTTGAACCCAGAAATTTGAGGTTACAGTGAGCTGTGGTCAAAACACTGCGCTCCAGCCTGAGCAACAGACTGAGACCTTGTCTCAAAAAAAAAAAAAAAAAAGAAAATAGAAATTAAAATAACTTGATATTGGCATAGGAACCAATTCCAAACAGAATGGTGTTAAAATAGACCTACATGTAAAAGAGACTAGAGTATAAACGTTCAATGAAAGTAGTTTTTCAAATAATTGGAAAAAATGTGGGTTACTCTGTAAATGGGGTTGGGAAAACTGGGTGACTATTTAGAAAAACAGTTGGATCTCTTCCTCATTCCTTGGATGCACCTTGAAAGTGCTAAAATAAAACCATGAACACTTACATTCTTGGAGCGAAAAGACTTTCTAAACATGACACATCATGGATACATATGCCTACATTTAATTAAACTTTTGTATGTCAAAATATGGCAAAAACACCATGAAAGTCTAATGACATCAGAAAATGCTTGCAATGATGAGAAAGAGAAATTTCATAATGTATGAGGAAATGCAGCCAGGTGCGATGGCTCATGCCTGTAATCCCAGCACTTTGGGAGGCCAGGACAGGTGGATTGCTTGAGCTCAGGAATTTGAGACCAGCCTGGGCAACATCAGGAGACCCTGTATCTACAAAAAATATAAAAATTAGCCAGGTGTGGTGGTGCATGCTGGTAGTCCCAGCTACTTGGGAGGCTGAGGTGGGAGAATCACCTGAGTCCAGGAGGTGGAGGTTGTAGTGAGCTAGGATCATGCCACTGCACTCCAGCCTGGGCATCAGAGCAAGATCCTATCTCGGGGGGGAAAAAAAAAATGTAAATCCAGAAAAACAAATGAATAAAGGAAATGCTCAGGTTTTTAAAACGTGAAAAGGTGCTTGACTTCTCATAATGCAAATAAAAATTAGTTTTCAGATTGGTGAATATATAATACATGAAATGGTGAGAGTATGGAGAGAAGACAGGATTCATCTACTTTTTAGGAGGAAGTATAAATTGAGCAAACATTTTTGTAGGCATTTGGCAGTATCTACCAAAATAAATGGTTATGTCTGTTGCTCTAGCAGATTTATTGACAGGAACTTATTCTGTATATGCACATATAAAGAGGATATACAAGAATATTCATTGTGGCATTGTAACAGTTTAAACAAAAGTTTAGACATTCACATACAAGGAATACTATGAAGCCAATTAAAATATTTTGTAGGGAATGAACCAAGGTATAAAACAGTGCCGTATAGAGTAGGATAAAGAAGAATGAGTAATAGTAACATGTATTTCTTAGAGGAAATACAAGACACTGATCAGCTGTTGTTGGGGAACTGGGAGACTGGAGGTTGGGAATGAGGCTTACTTGTTACTTTATTATTTAATTTATTTTAATTAAATTAAATTTAATTTTTTGAGACGGAGTTTCGCTCGTCACCCAGGCTGGAGTGTAGTGGCGCGATCTTGGCTTACTGCAACCTCCGCCTCCTGGGTTCAAGCGATTCTCCTGCCTCAGCCTCCCGAGTAGCTGAGATTACAGGCCCCCGCCACCTCACCTGGCTAATTTTTGTAATTTTATTGGAGACAGGGTTTCACCATGTTGGCCTGGCTGGTCTTGAACTTTTGACCTCAGGTGATCTGCCTGCCTCAGCTTCCTAAAGTGCTGGGATTACAGGCATGAGCCACCGAACCTGGCCTGCTTGTTACTTTAGACCCTTCTTATGTTTTGTTTGTTTTTTCAGGGAAATGTTTTTAAAGAAAAAGTGCCCCTATTGCCTATTTAGTGCATTGGTTTGAATAAAAAATTGTTGTTTTACTTCTGCCTTTGAATGTGGCATTTTTGGACAAGGTTTGTCATTCCAGAATATTCTTTCCCTAAATAGAGGCATTACTGTACTGTTGGAAATTAAGCCTTTGTAATTCATTTTTTGATGTAGGCTTAATTGTATGCCTGATCTCAGCAAAGACTAACCATATACTCATATAGTATTGATTTTGTTTCAACTTGTTTAGAAATATTTGTTGCTTATTTTATGATGTCGTTTTATTCCATTGATTTGCAAAGTGATGTGATTGTATTTGGTGTGAACACTTTTCTTCAGTTGTTTTCTTGAGTTGTGTTGGTAGGATCACTTTCACACCTCTCATTGAGGAGGATGCTTTGTTAATTTTGTTTAGTTAGAAGGGAAAGAAATAACCAGGCTTACAGAAACTAACAGCTGTGTTTATTTTGATCTGGACAGATTTGGAGGCCAATCACTGCCACCTTTTATTTCCCTGTGGGTCCAGGAACTGGATTTCTTTATTTGGTCAATTTATATTTCTTATATCAGTATTCTACGCGACTTGAAACAGGTATGTTACCCATAGTTGTTTTAAGCATTGTTTCTTTCTCATTTACTAATCCATGTGTTTACTTTGGAGGAATTTGGAGGGCAGTTAGCATTACAAAAAGAAACTGCATAAAGATAGTAAATGCTTAGTGACTGTGCCAGGACTGCACCAGGCACTTAGCTTACTCAATTTTTAATCCTCACAACATCCTGAGGTATAAGTAGCAGTGTTACCATTTTATAGATGCAAAAAGTAGCAGATCAGAGGTTGACATGGCTTGTCCATCTCCTTAGTGGCTGAGCTGTGTGCCTTTCATTTATTTTGAGGGTCTCACTCATTTCTTTTGCAGCAGTCCTTGTCCTTCAGTGCAGAATTGGGCTGGAGTATATATGTCTCCTAGATTGGGGTTGAAAAACATCAATTTATGTAATTAAAAGCCTAGATTTATTCTCTAATTGAAAAACTCAACTCTAAAATACAGTATATAGCCAAGATTTAATAATATATGGTAGTTTATCAGGTATGAGTACCAATGTAATATTTTATTTTATTTATTTATTTATTTTTTGAGACAATCTTGCTCCGTTGCCCAGGCTGGAGTGCAGTGGTGCCATCTCAGTTCACTGTAGCCTCTGCCTCTCGGGTTCAAGCAATTCTCATGCCTCAGCCTCCTGAGTAGCTGAGATTACAGACACCTGCCACCATACCCGGCTAATTTTTATATTTTTAGTAGAGATGGGGTTTTACCCTGTTGGCCAGGCTGGTCTCAAACTCCTGACCTCAAGTGATCTGTCTGCCTCAGCCTCCCAAAGTGCTGGGATTACAGGTGTGAGTCAACGTGCCCAGCCAACCTATGTAATATTATGGATAAGTTCGAAAAATCTTTTCGTAAAAGTGTCTTACTGAATTGTCATTTATTTCCTACAATACCTTATATGCTGTCTGAGTCACTTATACTAAAGAAACAATACATCAATACACTGTGTTACAATATGGATATAATTTTGTTAAATTTAAATGACTTTGAAAAGGCTGACTGACTTCAGAGACTTTATAAACTTGCTGGCTGTTACCTCAGGATAGAGAACTCTGAACTACCCTTAAGTGTATGTAAGTCAGTGCTCATATGGTTGAGAATTGCGAATCAGTCTCATCACTGCAGGGAAATAGTAGGATGGGTATTTGATGTCAAGTAACATTTTTCCTTAAATTGGCATTTGCTTTTAGGTTCTTTTTAAAAAGAAAGAAATTGTATTAATACAAAGTGTAAGGTCATAGACTATTATATTACTATTGGGAGGAACCTAGTTTATTTCCTGAGTTTTACCAAAAGATGAATAGGAGATTCAAGGAAGTAAAGTAACTTGGCAGAAATGAAACTGACAACTAGGCCTCTCACCACCATATTAGGGGTTTGATCTTTAAATCTACCAGAATATGTGATTTTTATTCTCCTTTGTTCCAGTTGGACCCATAATGATACTGAGTGCTTAGCAGTCTGCCTTTCTGGTATAACTTAATTGAGCATTAATTTGTTAGAGTAATTTTTTTTTTTTTTGAGACAGGGTCTTGCTCTGTCACCCAGACTGGAGTATAGTGGCACAGTCATGGCTCCCTGCAGCCTTGACTGCCGGGGTTCAAGTGATCTTCCCACCTTAGCCTCCCTAGTAGCTACAAGGATGGGTGTTAAACCGCCACACCTGGCTGACTTTTGTATTTTTTGTAGAGATGGGGTTTCACCATGTTGCCCAGCCTGGTCTTGAACTCCTGGGCTCAAGAGATTTGCCCACCTTGACCTCCCAAAGTGCTGGGATTACAGGCGTGAGCCACTGTGCCCAGCTGGAGTAATTATTTTATATTGATAGTAAACGTTATATCAATAGTAAAATAGATTAAGTGTGGATCATTTATGATCAGTTATTTAAAATTTTATTCTGGAAAATTTTCAAACATATGCAAAAGTGGAGGGAAAAGTCAATGAACCTTTTTTCTTTTTACTGAGACCAAATTCACATAACATAAAATTCATCATTTTAACCATTTTAAGGTGTACAATTCAGTGGTCTTTAGTATATTCACAATGTTATGCAGCCATCACCACAATCTAATTCCAGAACAGTTTCATCATTCCCTAAAAAAGCCAAAGCAGTCACTCTTTACCTCCCACTTTCCCTCCTCCCAGCCTTTGGCAACCACTAATCTACTTTCCGTGTATATGGATTTACCTATTCAGGACATTTCATATGTCCTTTGGTGACTGGCTTCTTTCACTTTGCACAATGTTTTTAAGGTTCATTCCTGTCATAGTGTGTGTCAGTACGAACCCCTCCTTAACCATCTAATGGTTATCACCTCTAATAGTTATCTCATAGCCAATCTTGTTTTATTTATATCTATTGCTGTCCTCCACCCCTGATTATTTGAAGCAAAATGCCAGGCATTTCATTTGTAAATATTTCAGAATTTAACTCTGAACTATAAGGACTTAAAACATAATTCTAATGCTATTATTAAACCTAAATTGCAATAATTCCATGGCCACTTTTTTTTTTTTTTTTTTTTGAGATACAGTTTCACTCTGTCACCCAGTCGGGGGAGTGCAGTAGCGTGATCTCAGCTCACTGCAACCTCTGCCTCCTGGGTTCAAGTGATTCTTGTGCCTCAGGCTCCCGAGTAGCTGGGATTACAGGTGCATGCCACCACATCTGGCTAATTTTTGTGTTTTTGGTAGAGATGGCATTTCGCCATGTTGGCCAGGCTGGTCTCAAACTCCTGACCTTAGGTAATCCACCTGCCTCAGCCTCCCAAAGTGCTGGGATTACAGGCGTGAGCCACTGCACCTGGCCAATGGCCACTTTTATTTTTAATTGCCTTCTTGTGCTTTGAATCCCTTTACCCAACCCTATTACCTGGTCAGGTAATACAACAAATTGTAATGTTATTCTCTCTGAATACCAATTTAGGACAAATTTGTGGGATTATTAGGTCACTGGTCTCTTTTATTTGCTTTGATTTTTATAAGTTGCCTCCTCATTCCCTACTCAACAACTACAGAGCATTTTGAAAGGCTTGAGCTGAGAGGCATTTTTTAACAGCTTTATTGAGATGTAATTCATGTACGGTACAACGTACCCATTTAAAGTATACACAATTCATTGGTTTTTAGTATATTGACAGAGTTGTACAGTCATTATCACACCCATTTTTATAATATTTCACCACCCCCAAAAGAAACCCTACCATTAGCAGCCATTCTCCCTTTTCATTCAATCCCTTCCTCCCCCACACCCTTAGGAGACCACTAAATTTTTTTTTTTTTTTTTTTTTTTTTTGAGACAGGGTCTCACTCTGTCGCCCAGGCTGGAGTGCAGTGGCACTGTCTTGGCTCTTTGCAACCTCTGCATCTCGAGTTCAAGCAATTCTCATGCCTCAGCCTCCTGAGTAGCTGGGACTACAGGCACGCACCACCACATCTGGCTAATTTTTGTATTTTTAGTAGACAGGTTTTCACCATGTTGGTCAGGCTGGTCTCAAACTCCTGACCTCAAGTGATTCGCCCACCTCAGCCTCCCAAAGTGCTGGTACTACAGGCGTGAGCCACTGTACCTGACCAAAACCACTGATCTTATTGACTCTTTAGATTTGCGTGTTCTGGGCATTTCTTAAAATCATACAGTATCTTGTTGCCTTTTGTGACTTATGTCTTTTACGTAGCATAATGTTTTCAAGATTCTTCCATATAGCCTGTATCAGTACTTCATTCCATTTTATTACCATTAAGATTCCATCGTATGGATATACCTCATTTTGTTTATTCAGTCATCAGTTGATAGACATTTGACTTGGTTTCATTTTTTGGCCATTGTGAATAATAGCTGCTATGAACGTGTAGAGAGGAACTTTTGAGATCATTCTATTTAACACTCTTATTTCATAGATAAGAAAACAGTGATCTAGAGTGGTGGTGACGTGTCCCAAAAGTTGCAGAGCTCTTTGAGTTAACGCAGTTAGGACTGGAACCCAGGTTCACTGATCCCCAGTTTTCTGTCAACCACACAGCTTTAAGTTAACATCTTGACAAAATGTTTGCCACCTGCACATTTTCCTGCCTGGCTAAATTGTTAGTTATATAGCAGAGTTGGCTTATTTGAGGTTTCTGATTTGAACTGGAAGACTGTAATTTGAAACCAGTTAATTTGTAAATTCTCAGTTGCAAGCATGTCAGATAATATAGTGCTGTAATTTATATGATTACAATATTTTAAGTACTCAGTCTAAAGACTCCTTAGGAATCAGACAGCCAAAGCCACATCAAAAGAAGCACAGCTATTATTAAAATCGGGAAATTGTGTTAGAATTTCAGCTGTGATTCATCATTGTGATCCTCTAGCATTAGGCCTGCTTAACACTGTGGCTGAAGTGTGCTTTGAGGTATCAAGGGAGAAATAAAGGAGAGTAGAAGACACTTTTGCTGGAAACCTATTTTCTTTTAATTATATCTTTTTGCCTTACTGACACTTGTTGGGTTTCTTTTTTTAAATTGACTAGCTGTATCATGTAACTGTGAGGGGGTGTGGAACGGGGAGGGAAAGTAACTTTCAAGCTAGAGTGATCTTACAGTCATTTCTGTTTCTTTTTTTTTTTTTCTTCTGTTAAAGTCTTCTAACTGAAGGCATTAGGAATTATGCTTACACGGGAGGCCGTTGTTGATTATTCTGCCCAATAAGGCATATGGCGCAGTGACAGGAGCACTGTGCTAGTAATTTGATGTCACTCTGGTTCTAACAAGCTCTGTGACTTTGGTCATGTGACTTTAACTCTGCATCTGTAAGAAGCAGGTCGTAGGTCTTTCCATTCTCCCTTCCAGATGCAGTATGAGGACTGAGTCAGAGGCTATGGAAAGGTTTGGCTGACGCTTTATTCCCTCCTTCCCCCACATTGTTTTCCCTTGGTAGAATGTACGTCTCTGGAAGACAGAGACTTTCTTTTTCAGTATCTAAGGCCAGTGTGGTACAGGTGGTTGTGTGTGTGTATGTGTGTTTCTAATAATAATGGTAAGTACCTCCCAGCATAGCCATGCTGGAGGAGACACAATGGAGACAAAACAGGCATGGTTCCTCCTCTGACAGAACTTAACGGTCTAGTGGAGGAGGACAGGGATCAAGCATGTAATCCAGAATGCGGCCATCAGGTCATGGCGAGAGCCAAGAAGGAAAGGCTGACAGGCTGGGAGGGAGCTTGGGGGGCCTCACTGGTCTTTGGGATACAGGGCTCAGAAGCTGTGGAATTGACTGTACTTTCTCTGGGTCTGTTTTAGCCTGTGGTAGTCAGAGCATGTCACTTACTGGAATTCAGTTAGGAGAGCATAGATTAACCTTACTCAGGTAACTTTGATTCAGGGCTTTATTGGGGACGTTGTTTAGATATTTTTAAAAATTCACTTTTTTAGAGAGGAGTGGTTTTTAAAATGTTCTCATTTTGGCTTTTTCTGTAACTTTTTGAAGTGTTTCTCTATGTAGATGTTACTTTGTTGTGAAATTCTGAACCATGACATTTGGCTTGTTTTTGTTTCCAGGAGCTTTTGATGGGAGGCCAGCAGACTATTTATTCATGCTCCTCTTTAACTGGATTTGCATCGTGGTATCCTTCAGTCTGTGATTTTGGGCCAGAAATAAACCAGTTTTTTTCCAGGTTTGGGGAAATAGACCATATTCTGTAAACGTTTCAAATTACAATATTTGCATCTTGGTTGACTACCGTTAATAAGAATAATTATAGTTTTTTAAAAAAAACTGTAGTAAATCATATAGCCCTTGAGTGATGCATTCTCTTACCATTTGTGGGATTTTTTTCCACCTTTGGTTGAGTAGTTTTATGACTGTTCCCTCTTCTTGTTCCCAGTTCTCTGTGTTCTCATGTGTGACAGCTTGTTGACTGAGGCACAAAGAGAGTCCGTGCCATGAGACAGCTTTTGAAATCTGTGGTCCTTATCAGAAAATTAATTTACAACCAGCATCCTTTTCTGACTTCATTGCTGTCCTTCTCTTGGGGTCCTACATAGTAATTCAGTCCCTCTGTGAAGTACCCAGCTCTGGGAAGGGACACAGTACGTTTCTCTGCTTTGTATCAATAGCAGTTGTCAGCAGCCCTCCAACTGCAGGACTCTTACAGATGGTGAGAGCAGCAGCAGCTCTCGATGTCTCAGGTCCTGTGCAAAATTGGTGAGCTCAAAATTGCCTTTGGGCTCAGCTGCCATTTAAACTTGGCTGAGGGCCAGAAAATGTGGCACTGTGGATGCCCTTTCCCCCCTCCTTTGAGGGAAGGAAAAAATATTTTGGACTTTAACCATGCTATAGAGTCCTGAGAATGTAAGTAGAATGATTATTTCCTTCAAAGGCTACAGGCATCTTCATCCTTTATTTGAAGGAGAGATGTTAAAATGCAATAGCAGAGAAAAAGGATGCCAGATGACCAGACTAAGTCATATGCGGAAGCTGTTGATTTCTACTATGTCCTTGTCATGGTATCGTCTAATGGAATATGCATAATGAAGATTAGATACCTTTGTGTTGTAGAATGTTTTAAGCAATCTGAACTATAGAAAAGTATTTTCCTTCAGAACACTGGAATTAACTTAAAAATTTTTTTAATTAAAAAAATATGTATATAAATTAGAGATGGGGTCTTGCTATGTTGCCCAGGCTGGTCTGGAGCTCCTGGCCTCAAGCAGTCCTCCCATCTTGGCCTTCCAAAGTACAGAGATTACAAGCATGAGCCAAATTACACCTGGCCAAGTGAACTTTTAAATGGGAGGAAAATAACCACATCAGTCTTGACTAGGTACAGAATGCTTTTTTATGTCTGATCTTTAACTTTACAAACCAAGATTACTGGCTTAGCAATGGATATGCAGGTAAGTGTCCATTTAAACTATCTATTTGCCCTTTTATTTGTTTCAAATATACTATTAGTGGCCTTTGTCAGAAGTTGAAATTGCATTAACTATGGGGTTAATTATGTGGTATTTTGAAATTATGGAATTACAGCTGTTTTATTTATTTATTTATTTATGAGATGGAGTCTTGCTGTGTTGCTCAGGCTGGAGTGCAGTGGCTTGATCTTGGCTCACTGCAACCTCCGCCTCCCGGGTTCAAGTGATTTTCCTGCCTCAGCTTCCCGTGTAGCTGGGATTATAGATGCACGCCACCACACCCGGCTAATTTTTGTATTTTTAGTAGAGATGGGGTTTCACCATGTCACCAGGCTGGTCTTGAACTCCTGACCTCATGATCCGCCTGCCTCGGCCTCCCAAAGTGCTGGGATTACAGGCATGAGCCACCGTGCCTGGCCTATAGCTGTTTTATTTTGAGGATCTTAAGTCAGCTAAATCTTTGAAGATCTTACATGAGCTATCTAAATCATTGCTTTCCTTGCTCATTTCTGGCCTCTTTTTGGTGTTTGAACATTGACAATAATGGTTGTCTAGTATTTTCTAGGCATGTGACAACAGTGGTTGTCTAGTATTTTCTAGGCATGTATATGGATGTTTTTTAAAAATTGAGATTATATGGTAATGCTTTGTTGCTTACTTTTTGTAAATAACAGAGCTTGACTCTTACATTTCTGAATCCATCTAAAATAATATAGTTTTGTTGTATTTTATTATAGGATTTTGTAATATTTATTGTATGATAAATAATAGGATCAATTTATAATTCTGATCAGTTGAGTTTCCCTTTACCCAGGTGAGGATTGTTGTGAAGAGGAGGGGTAAAAAGCATAGTAGATGTACACCTTTTTTAAGTGCCTCTGGAGCCTGGTTTTTACATGTCGACTTCTTTTGCAGTTGCTGATGATTCCTCTGATCATGTCAGTACTTTATGTCTGGGCCCAGCTGAACAGAGACATGATTGTATCATTTTGGTTTGGAACACGATTTAAGGTACTTTGCCTTGGTTGGAAAAGTGTCCTTTTCATTTGTCTGCAGAAATCCCTCTTCAGTCCAGAGATGTACTTTCTGACTCATCCAGAAGGGGTCACTGCAGAGCAGTGTACCATAGGCAAGCCCCTTTCTGCCCTCCTCAATCCCAGCTCTATTTAATTAGCCAGCCTGGAGTCCGTTGCTGGCCTTTGTTTCTTCACTCCCTCTGTACCTCGGGCCCCTCAAGGTTATGTCCCTGAGTGATCTTATGTGTCTGTGTTAGAGAGAAGGAGAGATAACTCATGTGAAACCCTGCTTTAAAAATCTGTTCTTATCCCTCCCTCGTTCCCTGTTATTTGCTTTATACTGTAGCTGAAACAGATTGTTTTTGCCCCCAAACACTTCTCTTTGTACATTCTTTCACAATTTTCCACCTGTAACATCTTGATTCTCTTCTTTGTATAAATCCTACCCATTCTTAATTTGAGTTGGAACTGAACATATTTCCTGAATCTCCTGCCTAGAATTAGTCTTACGTTTGGGCTTTTTCAATACTTTGTGTTTCTCTTTAGTACTTAGCACATGTAGCTGTAAAGTTATTTGAGTATAACCCTCTCTTTCCTAGTTTGTGAAGTTTCTTGCAACTCCTTTAGCTCTTGGTATGATGTCTTGGATTTGGTAAGGGGCTCAAATGTTGAGTTCATCTGGAGAGCTTTCTTATTTGGGAGAGTATTAGTTTAAGATATCAATGCATAATGAGATAAAAATTCAGAGGAATTTTGCAAGATATGTAAAAGAAGAACCTAAAAAGATGGGGTATGTTTATTTTATTTGTAGCAATTTGTTGGCTGGAATCTTAGTGTGATTCTCTCATGGGCCTTGCTTTTAGTAGCATCTGTAGGACACTCATCTGCTTTTTGAAGCTGTCTGTTTATAGCAGTTCAGCAGGGCCTGTATTGCATCAGACCTGTGGGCAAAGTACTGTGTCCTTCCAGTTACAAATACACAATTAAGTCTAGTTTTAGATAGGAAGGTTTAAGTATAGTGGGAATAATGCTAGATTGATCCTAGAAATTTTGCAGTGACCTTCCAGAGGATTTATATAAAGCCCTTGTCAGTGTATCCTTACCCACTTTAGTCCCCGTAGTAGCTGTGTCCTCGTCAGGTGTGGCTACTCACATTTGCATATATTCATTCCATCCTAGGCCTGCTATTTACCCTGGGTTATCCTTGGATTCAACTATATCATCGGAGGCTCGTAAGTGATATTAGATTTATTTAATTGGAAACTAATCCTTGGAAAATTTCCATTAGTTTTTATCTTTCTCTAACCTTTATACAACTTTAAAGAATCTCAACATTGACGCATTAGAACCCTATATTTATGGAATAATTTCACTTCGATTGAATTGATTAGATTGCAGGGCTTTAAGCATATTTAACCTTGAATGGTTGTGATTTTGTTAACTTATTGTTACACACAGTATGTTCCTATGTGTATAGTACAGGAATAAATATGTATTTCTGGATTCACTATTCTGATTGGGCAAACAGAGACCTAATTTTTGTCTGAGTTGGCTCCTCTAAGAGCTATGTATAAAATTACTATGTCTTATATTCTTAAGGCATTTCCAGAATGCCTTGGAAACTGCCTATCGGTCATAGAAATCCAGATTCTTAGATAGGATATAATTTTGCAAGTGGTTTGATGATACAGAACTTTTTTTTTTTTTTTTTTGAGACGAAGTTTCACTTTTGTTGCCCAGGCTGGAGTGCAATGGTGCGATCTTGGCTCATTGTAACCTCTGCCTCATGGGTTCAAGCAATTCTCCTACCTCAGCCTCCCGAGTAGCTGGGATTACAGGCGCCCGCCTCCATGCCCGGCTATTTTTTTTTTTTTTTTTTTTTGGGATTTTTAGTAGAGATGGGGTTTTGCCATGTTTGCCAGGCTGGTCTCAAACTCCTGACCTCAAATGATCTGCCTGCCTTGGCCTCCTAAAGTGCTGGGATTTCAGGCATGAGCCACCATGCCTGGATGATAATACAGAACTTTTGGCCAACCAGGGTCAAATATCTAGTCTATTGGTCAGGAATTAGAGCTAGACATAGGAATAGCTTTAATTTATCCAGTCAGAATTTTAAAGGGAGGATACCAAGATGCAACTTCTCTAAGAACTCCCATTTCTTCATTTTTTCTGTTTATTTATTTACTTATTTATTTTTTCAAGATGGGGTCTGGCTCTGTCACCGAGGTTGGAGTGCAGTGGCGTGATCTTGGCTCACTGCAACCTCTGCTTCCCAGGTTCAAGCAATTCTCATGCCTCAGCTTCCCGAGTAGATGGGATTACAGGTGTGCACCACCACACCCAGCTAATTTTTGTATTTTTTGTAGAGATGAGGTTTCGCTGTGTTGCCCAGGCTGGTCTCAAACTTCTGACCTCAAATGATCCGCTCACCTTGGCCTCCCAAAGTGCTGGGATTGCAGGCATGAGCCACTGCACCCAGCCAGAACTCCCATTTCTTATACTACAAACTACTTTTAATATTTCAATCCATTTTTATATTGCTGGTTCTTCATGTGTCTGACATATTTGCTCTGTGTGATCCTAACTTCTTCTGCATATTGCTGGGGAGAAGTGAATGGATGGAGCAGACTGTTTAGAGCAAAGCATGTTCTGAACTTGGCAAAGCTGCTCTTCCACCCAGGAAGGTGAAGTCTGAAGTAGTTGCAGGTGTTGATTTGCCCCTGACGGGAATCATGTTGCAGGTGAAGACAAAGAGGATTTGTAATAGTAACAGTAGATCTATACACTCTTGAGGTGACCTGTATGTAAGCCAAGGGAAAACTGAAGAAGGTCAGCGTTGATTTCAGGGTGCAAGTCGGCTTTCCTAAGTGATCTCTGTGGTGTCTTACACTCAAGGATACAAGAGGCAAGGGAGAAGTGCTTAATGGCTCCAGGAAAGGGGGAACAGGCATTTATTGTTCCTCTTTTCCTTACTCCCACGCTTCTCTCTTGGTAGCCTTCATGTTTGCCCACATTTTATAAATACAATATTCATGACTGAAAGCATTCAGAAGCATGCTTTGCAACTTCCCCAACTCTTGAGGCAGGAAGTAGCAAAAACAATATTTTGAGGATGGGCTGGTGCTTGAAAGAGAGGTCAGAGGGGCTGCTGGCCTTGAAGAGTGGCAGGCCTCATTGGTTCAGCAGGACTGATTTCCCGTCTCCCTCAGAATGCATTTGCCACTCAGACTACAAAAGTGCTCATTGTCAGCTCTCACAGACTCCCAGGGACTAAATGGGCTGCCTTGAAGGCTCTCTTCCTTATGCTATTAGTTAAAACTTGGTGCATCTCTATTGCTTGAATGTCTTTAAACTCATTTGGCTCTCTTTGCAGGGTAATCAATGAGCTTATTGGAAATCTGGTTGGACATCTTTATTTTTTCCTAATGTTCAGATACCCAATGGACTTGGGAGGAAGAAATTTTCTATCCACACCTCAGTTTTTGTAAGTGTTTTTGTCCTGTCTCATCTAACATTTTACTGCCTGTGTTCTTAGTGCATCCTAATGAGAGCTCCATGAGGAGTATGATTTACCCCTATGCCCCATCTGCTGGAGAAACCTGAGGCAACAAGTGACTTACCCTAGTCACACAGTCACAGGAAGTTAGGGATTAAAGCTTAGGCTCAGTTGCCTTCCTGTTACTCTTTTAGCCAGGGACCACTGACAACTAGATTCCAACATTACAGGAGGCATCTCAGCTCTCTGAGCCTGCTGAGGGACCTGATGCAACTCCAGAGTGCGAAACAGTAGGCTGGTGAATGGGCAGAGTCACAGGTTAGTGGGGTGTCTTTTCTTGGCCCATCAGTTTTTACCCATGATTTTGCCCAAGGAAGGGTAAGTTAGCGTGTTGGTCAGCAATTTTAAACATTTTTATATTAAATACTATGGAGTAGACATTTTACAGGACTGTTCAGAGTTAAAATGAGAGACTTGAGGTTTGTATAGGCCCAACCCCCTGGGAGTTTGTGCTCTTTATCTGCTTTTAGGGTTTACTGAAGTGGGCTGGTAAGGGCAACAGCTTTGATTTTTGAGACAAACTTGGATTTGAATCCCAGTCCCCTCAGATAGCAGTTTTTATACTGGGAAAGTTACTTAATCAAACCTCCAAGCTTCAGTTTGCAAGCCTGTAAATTGTGGGAGAAGCCCCTGTCTCACAGGACTGCATGAGGTAAGATACACTGTTGGGAAGCACAGTAGCGGGTTCTCGGTAAGTAAAGCTAGCTGCCATATTCCTAAAGGTGGGGGTAGGAGAGCAGGATTTTGACGATCTGAGAGGAGACGCGCACACACCCAGAAGCATGTAATAGTCGTGTGACCGTTCTGTCAGTGAGGCAAAAGGCTGTCGAAGAACGGGCCAGTTAAATCACCATCTGGGTGTCACAGCCTGCCTGACAATCATGCCTAATCTCATATCAGGGATATGCAGTAATAGCTTGCATTTGAAAGCTTTAAAAAAACAAACAAACCAAACCCTTCCACATCTTGCTAATTTTAATGTTTTGCAGTTCTGTCATTCCTCTAAGGGATCAGTGAGGGCAGTAAAACTTGAGCAGGCCTCCTCTTTCTCCCCTTCCTTTTATAGGGTAGGGGTATGTTTTTCAAAGACTTTTCAAATTGTGAACTGTAATATACAGAGATATACCATATTGGTGGTTGTGGTGTGTGTGTTTTTCTTTAAGAGAATAAAAAGAAACTTGTTTCTCTTCTGAGCCTTGAATTGCCTTCAGGCTAAAAAAACAAATGACCAATCTGGTTTCTAATTATCAAAGGACATAATAACAGCAGGTTTGGCTTTCTGATCTAGGTTTATCAAGTAGGATGGCAGATGCATCAATTAAAAAAAGCTTGGTGCTTTTGGGGGGCAGCCAACAGTTACTTTACTTTAAATGGCCATATTCTAACTTAACGGCTTGTAGCTACTTCTCAGTTGTGGGCAACACAGGATACAAGATTCTAGTGGCAAAATCAGCGAGCCCTGGAGCCTGCCTTCCACTTGAACTTTCTCTGTTGGGGGAAGTCCTTCTGCTAAATTTTGCATAAAGATCAGATGACAAAATACAGCTCCTTGCAAAAGCAGTAACTGCTTTGAAATTACCATAAATTTTTGTTGATTATGTATAATTGGGTATCTTTTTATACTAATTATTTGCATTTAATTTCACTATCTACTTAAGCAGTGGAGATGGCTTCCATATTGTCTTAGAGTGAGTAGCAAAGCAAGACAGCCCTAGCATTTTCTCCAGCAAGTGTTCTATTTTATTATGTACTTTGGAGGAATATTATTGTACCAGAAGGCATGGATGTTGAGAAACCAGCACTTGGAAAATACATTTTGATTTAATGGTAAAGCTGTATTTGTTTAAAATGGAGGAGGTGAGTATAGGAAGGTATAACTGCTTTTCTAAATGGAATGCTGATACATTTGTATCACCATTTTCCATTCCATTTAGAGTAGTTATATCTTCTCTGTACACACTAAATTTTGTGTTTAAAAGGGGTTTTTGGCCAGGCGTGGTTGCTCACGTCGGTAATCCCAGCATTTTGGGAGGCCGACGGGTGGATCACGAGGTCAGGAGATCGAGACCATCCTGGCTAACATGGTGAAACCCTGGCTCCACTAAAAATACAAAAATTAGCTGGACATGGTAGCGGGCGCCTGTTGTCCCAGCTACTCGGGAGGCTGAGGCAGGAGAATTGCTTGAACCCGGGAGGTGGAGGTTGCAGTGAGCTGAGATCATGCTACTGCACTCCAGCCTGGTGACAGAGTGAGACTCCGTCTCAAAAAAAAACAAAAAAACAAAAACCCGAGTTGTTGTCTGTTTTGGGAAGAGGCATGAAGGTATCGAGTATGATGTAAACAGACTCCAGTCACTGACTGCTGTCCCTTCCCAGGCAGGATGCATGTAGTATAACAAGTAGTGCAGGGCGCAGGCTCTGGAACCAGGCTGACTAGGTTGGAATCCTGTCACTTTCGAAGCGCTTCACTCAGTGTTGGCTCAATTTTCTTGTTTATAAAACAGGAGTAATAGTAATGCCTACCTCATGGGGTTATTGTGAAGATCAGATGAATTTATAAGCAGGCAGCACCTAGTGTAAGGCAATAATCACTGAGTAAATTCACATAGTAACTGCTCTAGTATAAGGTCAAGTATAAAGCCTGTCCTCTTCAGGGTTTCTGCTGTGGACAAGTCACCTGTCATGACTTACTCTTGCTGCCAAGAAGGGTTTAAGCGGAGGTATCAGATCATGCTCTCTGCCTTCAAGCAAAATTTTAAACATTAGGATCTGCTAAGTGGAATAGGTTTAAACACATTCTCAGTTTACTAATAAAAGAGTCAAAGATGGGAAATAGTTGGAAAATACTATTGAGAGTGTAGGCTTGGGTTTAAGTTCTCTTAGCTGTTCTGTGAACTCTTAGTTTATTAATTTTAAGGTGGGAAATCATCTAACCGTCTGGGGCCCCAGCTCTCCCACCATCTGTGAGAAGGGAAGAATGTACCTGGAAGGCAGATTCTGAATAAATTTTAAAACATACCCATACTTCCAACATAGAAAGCCTTCTTCCCCTGTCTCCTTTGATGGGCTCAGCTGAGAGCCTTTTAGAAATGCTGTGCAAGGCTCAAACATGCAGGCTGTGGATTTGGCCTTTGAAAGTGAATGTATTTTGTATCCTTTGATCCAGTTTGAGCCATATTTAGATATACCAAGATGCTATCAGTCATTCTTTGGTTGCTGGGCTTGTGGGTGTAATATTTTTGTTTCCATACTGTTCTGCATGGATTACTTTTATAAGCAGAGAAAAAAACGTTCAGAGTGTGAATTTAGCTGAAATCTGAATACATTTAAGAAACATGAAAAACGAATGCCGTCTGTGGTCAGGTCATGGGGCTGAGTACAGAAAAGACAAAGTTAAATAAGACGTCCCTCGCTGCCTTCAACATGACAAGTGCCATGGGAACAGCAGGAGAGGGAGGTGTTCTCGGAGGTCAGATAACTATGTGGAAGTGACTTTGTTCTCTTCTCTCCGTTTGTGTCCCCGTCTTTCTGCACCAGGTACCGCTGGCTGCCCAGTAGGAGAGGAGGAGTATCAGGATTTGGTGTGCCCCCTGCTAGCATGAGGCGAGCTGCTGATCAGAATGGCGGAGGCGGGAGACACAACTGGGGCCAGGGCTTTCGACTTGGAGACCAGTGAAGGGGCGGCCTCGGGCAGCCGCTCCTCTCAAGCCACATTTCCTCCCAGTGCTGGGTGCACTTAACAACTGCGTTCTGGCTAACACTGTTGGACCTGACCCACACTGAATGTAGTCTTTCAGTACGAGACAAAGTTTCTTAAATCCCGAAGAAAAATATAAGTGTTCCACAAGTTTCACGATTCTCATTCAAGTCCTTACTGCTGTGAAGAACAAATACCAACTGTGCAAATTGCAAAACTGACTACATTTTTTGGTGTCTTCTCTTCTCCCCTTTCCGTCTGAATAATGGGTTTTAGCGGGTCCTAGTCTGCTGGCATTGAGCTGGGGCTGGGTCACCAAACCCTTCCCAAAAGGACCCTTATCTCTTTCTTGCACACATGCCTCTCTCCCACTTTTCCCAACCCCCACATTTGCAACTAGAAGAGGTTGCCCATAAAATTGCTCTGCCCTTGACAGGTTCTGTTATTTATTGACTTTTGCCAAGGCTTGGTCACAACAATCATATTCACGTAATTTTCCCCCTTTGGTGGCAGAACTGTAGCAATAGGGGGAGAAGACAAGCAGCGGATGAAGCGTTTTCTCAGCTTTTGGAATTGCTTCGACCTGACATCCGTTGTAACCGTTTGCCACTTCTTCAGATATTTTTATAAAAAAGTACCACTGAGTCAGTGAGGGCCACAGATTGGTATTAATGAGATACGAGGGTTGTTGCTGGGTGTTTGTTTCCTGAGCTAAGTGATCAAGACTGTAGTGGAGTTGCAGCTAACATGGGTTAGGTTTAAACCATGGGGGATGCAACCCCTTTGCGTTTCATATGTAGGCCTACTGGCTTTGTGTAGCTGGAGTAGTTGGGTTGCTTTGTGTTAGGAGGATCCAGATCATGTTGGCTACAGGGAGATGCTCTCTTTGAGAGGCTCCTGGGCATTGATTCCATTTCAATCTCATTCTGGATATGTGTTCATTGAGTAAAGGAGGAGAGACCCTCATACGCTATTTAAATGTCACTTTTTTGCCTATCCCCCGTTTTTTGGTCATGTTTCAATTAATTGTGAGGAAGGCGCAGCTCCTCTCTGCACGTAGATCATTTTTTAAAGCTAATGTAAGCACATCTAAGGGAATAACATGATTTAAGGTTGAAATGGCTTTAGAATCATTTGGGTTTGAGGGTGTGTTATTTTGAGTCATGAATGTACAAGCTCTGTGAATCAGACCAGCTTAAATACCCACACCTTTTTTTCGTAGGTGGGCTTTTCCTATCAGAGCTTGGCTCATAACCAAATAAAGTTTTTTGAAGGCCATGGCTTTTCACACAGTTATTTTATTTTATGACGTTATCTGAAAGCAGACTGTTAGGAGCAGTATTGAGTGGCTGTCACACTTTGAGGCAACTAAAAAGGCTTCAAACGTTTTGATCAGTTTCTTTTCAGGAAACATTGTGCTCTAACAGTATGACTATTCTTTCCCCCACTCTTAAACAGTGTGATGTGTGTTATCCTAGGAAATGAGAGTTGGCAAACAACTTCTCATTTTGAATAGAGTTTGTGTGTACCTCTCCATATTTAATTTATATGATAAAATAGGTGGGGAGAGTCTGAACCTTAACTGTCATGTTTTGTTGTTCATCTGTGGCCACAATAAAGTTTACTTGTAAAATTTTAGAGGCCATTACTCCAATTATGTTGCACGTACACTCATTGTACAGGCGTGGAGACTCATTGTATGTATAAGAATATTCTGACAGTGAGTGACCCGGAGTCTCTGGTGTACCCTCTTACCAGTCAGCTGCCTGCGAGCAGTCATTTTTTCCTAAAGGTTTACAAGTATTTAGAACTCTTCAGTTCAGGGCAAAATGTTCATGAAGTTATTCCTCTTAAACATGGTTAGGAAGCTGATGACGTTATTGATTTTGTCTGGATTATGTTTCTGGAATAATTTTACCAAAACAAGCTATTTGAGTTTTGACTTGACAAGGCAAAACATGACAGTGGATTCTCTTTACAAATGGAAAAAAAAAATCCTTATTTTGTATAAAGGACTTCCCTTTTTGTAAACTAATCCTTTTTATTGGTAAAAATTGTAAATTAAAATGTGCAACTTGAAGGTTGTCTGTGTTAAGTTTCCATGTCCCTGCTCTGCTGTCTCTTAGATATCACATAATTTGTGTAACCAATTATCTCTTGAAGAGCATTTAGGAAGTACCCAGTATTTTTTGCTGGATTAATTCCTGGATGCAGAATTCCTGGGTTTTCATTTTAATGAAGGAGGATGCTTGCTAACTTTGAGTGAGGAGTCATATCTGATTGTAGCATGCTTTATGGCATTTTTATAGCTTCTACCCATGGATCTGAGCCCTGGAACTTTATAAAATTAGTTTAATCCTGTTTCCTCATAAGGCACACACAGACTAGATAGCAGGTGCCATGACATTCCTGAGCCCTTTTTTTTTTTTTTCCTCGAGGGTGAACATCCCAGTCTGTATCTTGGGCCTTCGACAGGCCAACTTCACTCATCACAAGGTGAGGTGACAGGAAGCAGGTTGTATGTATGTCCCTCTTCTATTACTGGGGAAATACTGAAGCAATAGAAAAAGATCCCGCTTATTTAGAAGGACACATTGCCAGTATCATTGTGTTCTAAGCTACCTTTTGAATGACATGGATCTAATAATAGGCAATGTTGCAGTTGCCAACATCTTCGTTTATTGCCAACTCTGTTTCTGAGGTCCCTGCCCCTCTTACACTTTCAGCAGTAACTTAACACTCTGAATAACTAACCTTTGAAAGAAGTTACTCCTTTCTGGACTTTATACTGTTTTTTTCTTAGAAGGCTGGGCTGAGCAAATGGGTTTACTGGCAGTTCACTTGTTTGCCTTCCAGAGTGACTGGTGATCAGAATTGGCCAGGAATACCATGTCCTGTGTTTACTTCTTTCTTAACCCTCCCTCCCACCTTCCCTCCCTGTCCCTCCCTCTTTCTCTCCCTCTCTCCCTCTCTGTCTCTTCTTTCTTTGTTTTTTTGAGACAGGATCTCAGTCTGTCACCCAGGTTGGAGTGTAGTGGCATGATCTCGGCTCGCTGCAACCTCTGCCTCCCAGGTTCAGATGATCCTCCCACCTCAGCCTCCTGAGTAGCTGGGACCACAAGTGTGTGCCACCACACTCGGCTAATTTTTTGTATTTTTGTTCGAGATGGAGTTTCACCATGTGGCCCAGGCTGGTCTTAAACTCCTGAGCTCAGGCAAGTCACCTGCCTCGGCCTCTCAAAGTGCTGGGATTACAGGCCTGAGCCACGGTGCCCAGCCTTTCCCACGATTTATATGTGTGGTTTAAACCTAGGCTCCTTCCCGTACGGTCCCCTTATCTCACATCAACTCTGCTTGTTCCAGTAGGAACGCCGTGTTCGGGGCACACCTGGGCACTGAGCATTAATGTGCCAGGTACTTTATGAAAAAGCCTCCAATTTACGGTTTTTAAAATCTGGCTATACATAAGCATTAAACTTGAGATTTTAAAAAAATGCAGGTATCTTGGCTCATTCCCATTCTACATACTTTTGAAGTTGATTCTGACGTTCAGCTGGATTTGGGAACTTGTGTTTAAACAAACTTGTGAAATAGTATTATCCCCATTTTCCAGATGAGGAAACTTAAGCTTCAAGTCCCTTGATTAAAATCAGGCAGCGGCCAGGTACGGTGGCTCACGCCTGTAATCCCAGCTCTTTGGGAGGCTGAGGTGGGTGGACCTTCTGAGGTTGGGAGTTCGAGACCAGCCTGACCAACATGGAGAAACCCCATCTCTACTAAAAATACAAAAATTAGCTGTGCGTGGTGGCATATACCTGTAATTCCAGCTACTCGGGAGGCTGAGGCAGGAGAATGACTTGAACCCAGGAGGTGGAGGTTGCGGTGAGCCGAGATTGTGCCATTGCACTCCAGCCTAGGCAACAAGAACAAAACTCCGTATCAAAAAAAAAAAAAAAAAAAAGCTAGAAGGTGCCAAAGACAGGATATGAACCCAACTCTGTTGTGGCTTTTCAGTGAAGGAAGCCAAAGCAGATGCAAATAGACGATGTCTCTGTCTTCACGATGCGTCCTTTCTACTGAGGCAGTCAGCTTGGCCCATTGTAGGTACTCATATTTGTTTAATAAGCAAACAAGTCATTATAATACAATTCACCAAACTACCAGAATAAAAGGAAGTAAATTTCTTGGATGAGAGGCTAGGTCTTGAAAGATTGATGGACAGTTCTGGTCAAGATGGAGGAAGCCACTTGTTCTAGGTGGATTTAGAAACAGCAGCAGCAAGAGCAGAAACTTGGGAAGAGAGAACCGTGTGCCTGGACCTGTAGAATACAGGTAGGGAGTGGCAGGGAAAGGGGTTGGGAAGATAGATTGGGGCTTGTATCAGGAAAATCGTTTTGTGTGATTGCTTGAACTTCAATCTGCGGGCAGTGGGGAACATTGAAAGGCCTTCATGTTTGGTCTTTAAAAAGTAGCTGGCAGCCAGGTGTGCTGTCTCACACCTGTAATTCCAGCACTTTGGGAGGCCGAGGCTGGTGGATCACCTGAGATCAGGAGTTCGAGACCAGCCTGGCCAACATGGCAAAACCCCATCTCTACTAAAAACACAAAAAATTAGCTGGGCCTGATGGCAGATGCCTGTAATCCCAGCTAATCGGGAGGCTGAGGCAGGAGAATCGCTTGAACCTGGAAGGCGGAGGTTGCAGTGAGCCGAGATCGTACCACTGCACTCCAGCCTGGGCAACAAGAGTGAAACTTCCTCTCAAAACAAAAAAACAAAAAAGTAGCTGGCTGCCCCGTGGGGAGTAGAGGGAGAAGGCTGGAAAGAGGAGAAATGAGATAGTGACCACATTTTGTGTTGGTTGCTGTGATGCAGGTTTAAGGGAAGAGTTGGTTTAAACCAAGGCAGTGGGATTGGGGACTGGATTGGAGGGACCTCCCCCCAGACAGAGAATTGCTGGCACTCAGTGAGGAAAAGGAGGGCTTTCTCGAAGGG
The DNA here is from genome assembly GCF_000001405.40 of Homo sapiens. Lineage (NCBI taxonomy): Eukaryota > Metazoa > Chordata > Mammalia > Primates > Hominidae > Homo > Homo sapiens. The sequence continues at coordinate 123,010,432 of NC_000008.11, read as the reverse complement.
GTTTCCATTGGTGATCAGGGCTGGGATCTGTGTTTCACACACAAGCTGGGTAAAATGCTATTTCTGGCTGTTGGTGCTGCAGCCATTGTAGATAATTAGGTGCTGGCATCCTAACCTGGAAACCTAGCCACTATTTGTAAGTATATTTCTGTGGAAAAAACATTGAGCTCCAAATCCATCAACTTGAATGAAAATGAACTTTTAAAATATGATGTCTTCCTGAAATGTGAACAGCTTTGCAGAAGGCCCCAGTGAAGAAGAAGCAATTCTCTTGATTCTATCACCAGCATTTAGGGCCCAGTTTAAATGTCATTTCATCAAGGAGAGGGCTATTAGACCTGCAGGCAAGGTGAAATGTCTTCTCACGTAGCCACTGGCACCCTGATCTCTGCCTTTGACGCTTGTTCCACCTGTGATCATTTGCTTAATATCCCTCCCATGGCTTGTAACCATCCTCAGGACAGGGACTGCATCTTATTTACAGCTGTTTCCCAGTGCGTAGCACAGGCCTGCCACATACAGGTGCTTAAGTGTTTCTTGCACTGAACTGAAATTTGGCCTGTGTAGGAATTTGTCCTGCTTAGGGAGAGAGCTAATAATGGCCAAGTCTCCCAGGAGCATTGAATGATTTTTTTGTTGTTCATCTAAGGGAATCATAATCCCCTGAAACAGGATATTAGAACAGGTTAGAGATAATGGGAAGAATGGACTCAAAATTAAAATACTTAAAATAAATGAGCAGCAAAGCAGCTTCTATCTGCACTGTGTAATCTGCTAATGGGTATGAGTACTGGGGTGATTTGGGCAAAAGGAGACTTGGTACAGAGTGAAGGCGGGCAAGAACACTTGGGAAGATTAATTGAAGGTATAAATTTAGCTTTCTCTCCCCCAAGGAATTCCCCAGTGGCTCGTACAAATCCACATGTATTTAGAGAGAAGGAGAAACCCCTGCCATGTCATCACGGCCAGAGAGACCCACAGGGAGTACAGAATTAAATCTAGGTGCAAGGCGTAAGGATTGCTTGGGAAATGTTTACTGAGCTCAGTGTGTCATTTGAAGCCTTAACCTGACCCAGATGAATCTGATCTCTCTTTTCTCTGTCAGTGTGTTGGCCTTTTCCTGAGGGCTTGCACTGATCCTCTAAGTGTCCTTGTTGGTTAAGGGCAGTCACTGTTAGCTTAAGGGAGCCTCTGGATTTTGATCATTACCGACTTGATGTAGAAGTAGGCTCTAAGGATGTAACAAGATGCCTCTGTCTCCACAGCCAGGCCCTCATTTGCTGTAAGCCAGTTTTCTCTTGGAGGTGCCCAGACCCCTTACTGGGGAGGAGGGATTGGGACTTTTCGTGATCACAGGCATCAGGTAGGGTTTTCTGACTGCAGGTACCCGAAAAGGACCCTCGCTAAGTTAAGCAAAAGATAATTTGTTGGAAGGATATAGAATAGCTCACAGATTCTAAGGGCCTGCTGAGAACCCTCACATGGATGGGGGACCAGGGATTCAGGCAGTAGGCATTGATCTCATCACATCCCTTGCTGGGCTAAACCAGCTTCGTCTTTGATTCTATTCTTGTATCTCTCCCTTTTAGGATTTGACTCCCAAGACTCACTGACCCAGCTTGGACCTGGTGCCTCTCCTGTGGCTAGGAATTCAGGGAAAAACATTTGATTGACAGTCCCATTATGGCTACCCTCAACAGGAGAGAGGAAATTTTCCAAAAGCAAATCAAAGTGCTCTTGCCATAAGAAGGAGGAAACGGATGCTGGCTGCCTAAAGAGCCCTACCTGGCCCACTAGAGCATGCAAGCCACATGTTGGGCCTCCTGTGAGGAGCCTCTGGCTTTGCTTCCTTCCAGCCCAGGACAAGACAGTATTTCCTTCTGTCTCCTCAGTCTAGCTCGTCTGCTGAGCATTTGCAAGCAATGTGTGCTTTGCTGAAGATTTTGGGGGAGAGGGTGGAGAGCGTTGACATTGAACATCACAGGGAAAGGGACTTCCCATGCTTGAGGGCAGGTGCTGTGTCTGTCCCATTCATCATCACATCCTCAACACCTAGCAGAAAGCTTGGCATGAGTGAGCTTTTTGAGATAAATATTTGTTGAAGAAATGAATACATTTTATAACCTAAATTCCTTTTAGCTATCAACTAGCTCCCTCCCTTTCTTCTCCAAATCCTTCCCCCATGTGGCCTCTCCCTCTAATGTCTTGGTCAGTTTAGCTCTCTGGCCCCAAACCTCTATACTCAGCCAAACAAAAGCCTTGCAGCGAGTCGGACCTACCCGCCATAGAAAGGCTCATCAGAGTTCCTCACCAGATACAGAGCAAGACTCTAGTTCAGGGAAGCAGGTGGATTTTATTTTAAAAAAATTAAGGGTCGGGCGCGGTGGCTCATGCCTGTAATCCCAGCACTTTGGAAGGCCAAGGCGGGAGCAGGAGTTTGAGACCAGCCTGGCCAACATAGTGAAACCCCGTCTCTACTAAAAATACAAAAAATTAGCCAGGCGTGGTGGTGGGTGCCTATAATCTTAGCTACTTGGGAGGCTGAGGCAGGAGAATTGTTTGAACCTGGGAGGCAGAGGTTGCAGCGAGCCGAGATCGTGTCACTGCACTCCAGCCCAGGCGACAGTGCGAGACTCCATCTCAAAAAAAAAAAAAAAAAAAAAAAAAAAAAAAAAAAAAAAAATTAAGATTATTTCCTATGTACCTACTACTCAAATTCTGCTATACCCTCTCTAATGTGTTGAATGATATATAGGCTGGGCACAGTGGCTCATGCCTGTAATCCCATCACTTTGGGAGGCCGAGGAGGGCAGGTCACTAGAGCTCAGGAGTTCAAGACCAGCCTGGGCAGCATGGCAAAACCTCAGCTCTACAAAAAATACAAAAAATTAGCCAGGCGTGGTGGTGCACATCTGTGGTCCCAGCTACTCAGGAGGCTGAGGTGGGAGATTGCTTGAGCCCAGGAGGTCAAGGCTGCAGTAAGCTGTGATCATGCCACTGCACTCCAGCCTGGGCGAAAGAGTGAGATACTGTCAAAAAAAAAAAAAAAAAAAAAAAGACATATACATGTCCTAATTCCCAGAACCTATGAATGTGACCTTATTTGGAAAATGGAAGGTCTTTGCAGATGTCATTCAGGTAAGGATTTTGAGATGAAGAGGTCACCCTGGATTATCCTGGTGGGCCCGAGTCCATTGACAAGTGTCCTATTAGAGATTTGACAGAAGAGGAGAAAACATAGGCATGTAGAAAGGAGAAGGTGATGTGGCCATGCAGGCAGAGATTGGAGTGATGTGGCCACAAGCCAAGCAAGCCAAACACCCAGGGCCACCGGAAGCTGGAAGAGGCAAGGCACAGACTCTTCCCTTGAGCCTTTGGAGGACGTGTGGTCTTGCTGACACCTTGAGCTCAGACTTCTGGTCTCCAGAACTGGAGAACTCCAGAACTGTAGAACAATTTCTATTGTTTTACATCATCAAGTTTGTGGTAATTTGCTACAGCAGCCTAGGAAACTAATACACCCCTTAAAGTAGTGTATAACCTCCTCACCATCTTCTCTCAGCTCCTTGAATGCAACGTGCCCCTTTCTGCCTTTCAGACATGGCACACTCTCAACTCTATCTCTGGCAAGGGACATTGGTAGTCACATTTCATCACTTCAGGTGAGCCATTCAGGCTCTGCCCAGCACAGAAACATGCATGGGTGGGCACGGTGGCTCACGCCTGTAATCCCAGCACTTTGGGAGGCCGAGGTGGGTGGATCACTTGAGGCCAGGAGTTCGAGACCAGCCTGGCCAACATGGTGAAACCCTGTCTCTACTAAAAATACAAAAATTAGCCAGTCTCAAAATCCGGTCTCAAAATAAATAAATAGATTAAAAATAAAATTTAAAAAAATTTTTAAAAAAAGGTTGAGCACCATCACTCCACCACCTAAGATAGCCTGGATGCATCTCTTCTTTGCTCCCTGAAGAAGCTTTAACTAATTTAGAAGCTGACCATTAGGCTTCTCTGTACATCCCAGTATTGGTCTACTTTTGTTACAGACCACTGTCATTGGCAAAACATTGCAAAAATAAAATTTTGGATTTCTTATATAAGTGCAAAGATCCTTTAGGCCAGAGGGTACCAAAAAGATGATCTAAATCAGAGATTTTCAAACTATTTTTAGACACAGTATTCTTTGCTTGAATGAAATTTTAAATCCTAACAGGTAAAAGACAAGTGAAGCTGATCTAAATTGGGAAGGAATAGAGGGGTCATGGCTAGTGCTGTTTCAACTCCATCCCAACCCTCATTTCAGTCGCTTTATGCCCCTGTTCTTTAACAAATCCTGTGAAACGTTCCTGACTTCTGTTGTTAAAAAGGATTCTTTCAAGCTGGGTGTGGTGTTGTGCACCCATTGTCCAAGCTACTTAGGAAGCTGAAGCGGGAGGATTGCGTGAGCCCAGAGTTTGAAGCCGCAGTGTCGTATGACTGCACCTGTGAACAGCCACTGAACTTTAGCCTGGGCAACATAGCAAGACCCTGTCTCTTAAAAAAAAAGGATTCTTTCTAATGTGTCCTAGTTTCTGGGCCTCTGCTGCAGGGAACAGCGTCTTTCCTAGTCTTTGTTGGTTTTTTGGGAGTCAATAAATCCCCCTTTTTTTCTGAGTTTGGAATCAACTGAGATAAGCACAATTATTAGATAGATAAAAATGTTAGTGCTATTTCTGAGAAAGGCTGGATTGGAAGATAATAACTTAGGGGTGTAGCCATGTGGACTTTCTAAGACTGAACCCCAGAATTTGAAAGACTTTCCTGGCCACTGGCACAGCTAGGCAAGGACAGTGTGTACTGCAGCAGGCTCACCCTGGGGAAAAGCAGAGAAGGCAGCTTCCAGAGGCCCAGATGGCTTTATACAGTCTGAGCTTGGTTCTTTCATCTACTCACCCATTGCCTCCCCTTGGGACAAAAAAAAAAAAGAACTTCTTATTTACTTTATCTTTTTAGGAAATTGCCTCTCTTTGGAAACCCAAGGAGTAAGGAATATGTATTTCTCCCTAAGAATGTTCACTTCCATTCCCATTTATGAGACAGAGAAGGTTCCACTTGGAGACCCAGGACCCAAGTCAGGCATATTAGGTATTAGTCAGATAGTCAAGTTAGGCAATAACTATAACAAAAAATCCCCTCTCCATTGCATATTACAACAGAGATATATTTCTTGTTTAAATCAGAGTCCAAAGCTGGTCATGGTGGCTCACACCTGTAATCCCAGCACTTTGAGAGGCCAAGGCAGGCAGATCACTTGAGGCCAGGAGTTTGAGCTCAGACTGGCCAACATGATGAAACCCCCTCTCTACTAAAAATACAAAAATTAGTGGGGCGTGGCAGCTCGTGGCTGTAATCCCAGCTATGCAAGAGGCTGAGGAGGGAGGATCGCTCAAACCCGGGAGGCAGAGGTTGCAGTGAGCTGAGATCGTGCCACCGCACTCCAGCCTGAGTGACAGAGCGAGACTCTGTTTCACAATCAATCAATCAATCACAATCAATCAATCAATCAATCAATCACAGTCCAATGTGGATAGGCAGGTGGGGTGGTGCGATCAGGAGGGGGCTCTCTCTGCTCCATGCAGTTATTCAGGGACTCAGGCTCCTTTCATTTTTCTTTCTTTTTTTTTTTTTTTGAGACAGGGTCTTGCTCTTTTGCCCAGGCTGGAATGCAGTGGCATGATCATGGCTCATTGTAGCCTTGACCTCCCGGGCTCAATTAATCCTCCTGCATCAGCCTCCCAAATAGCTGGGACTACAGGCACATGCCACCACGCCGGTTAATTATTTGAATTTTAGTAGAGATGGGGTTTCACAATATTGGCCAGGCTGGTCTTGAACTCACGGGCTCAAGTGATGCACCTGCCTCATCCTCCCAAAATGCTGGGATTACAGGTGTGAACCACCATGCCCAGCTCTCCTTTCATTTATTGCAGAGAATTATTTTTAAATTCTTGTGTGCTGTAATAAGAACTATCAATTGCTCCATCATCTCCCAGGACCTCAGAGTCTCCACTGACTTTTTTGCAGGTAGTGAACAGAATGAGAAAGATTAAGTGGAGGATTGTGCAGGAGATTGAAGGGGCCAGGCTGAAAGCAGCATACATCATTTCTGCCCACATGCTATTTAACAGCACTCATCACATGGTCCCACTAACCACAGGGAAGCCCAGAAACCTAAGTCTTTCTGCATGCATAGGAGGAAAATTGAGTTTGGCAAACACAAAGTATTGTTCCAGCACAGTATCACATTCACATAAATACAGCCCAGCCAACAAAACCAATTATACAACAATTCACATCTTTACTTGGAGAAGTATAACGAACAGATCAGCAGCTTGATGAATTTTTACAGAGAGCACACATGTACGACTAGCACCCTGATCAGAATAGGTGACATTGGCCAGGTGTGGTGGCTCATGCCTGTAATCCCAGCACTTTGGGAGGCCGAGGCGGGTGGATCACTTGAGGTCAGGAGTTCAAGACCAGCCTGGCCAACATGGTGAAGCCCCGTCTCTACTAAAAATACAAAAATTAGCCAGGTGTGGTGGTGAGCACCTGTAATCCCAGCTACTCAGGAGGCTGAGGCAGGAGAATCACTTGAACCTGGGAGGCAGGGGTTGCATTGACCCAAGATCGTGTCATTGCATTCCAGCCCGGGTGACAGAGCGAGACTCCATCTCAGGAAAAAGAATAGGTGACATTATCAGCCCCGAAGAAGCCTCTTGAACCCCCTTCCAATCATCAACCCCCCAAGTGAGCACCTATCCTGACTTGTACCCATATAGATTAGTTTTTAAATATTCTACAAAAGGACTCATACCATATATATTCTTTTGTGTTTGGCTTCTTTTGTTAATATTGAACATCATGTTTGTGGGAACCATCCACATTGTTGTATGTAATTGCAGTGTTTTCATTCTTGTTGCTGTATCATCTTTTATGGTTTGAATATGACATTATTTATCCATTCTACCATTGATGCGCATTTGGGTAGTTTGTTGTGTTTTTTTGTTTTGTTTGTTTGTTTTTTGATACGGAGTCTTGCTCTGTAGCCCAGGCTGGAGTGCAATGGCGTGATCTCAGCTCACTGCAGCCTCCGCCTCCCGAGTTCAAGCAATTCTCCTGCCTCAGCCTCCTGAGTAGCTGGGATTAAAGGTGTGCGTCACCACACCCGGCTCATTTTTTTTTCATATTTTTAGTAGAGACGGGGTTTCACCATGTTGGCCAGGCTGGTCTCAAACTCCTGACCTCAGGTGATCCATCCTCCTCGACCTCCCAAATTGCTGGGATTACAGGCGTGAGCCACTGCGCCTGGCTGGGTAGTTTTAAGATATAACGAATAGTGCCGCTATGAACATTCTAGAATACATCTTTAGTGAGAATATGGATGCATATCTGACGGGGATATACTAATTGTACCTAATTCCTAGAAGTGGGGATTGCGGGGTCACAGAGTATCAACATGTTCAGCCGTAGTAGAAGCTATCAGCTTTCCAAAGTGGTGATATGAACTGAGGATGCAAGTATCACGTGGCAAAAACTGCAATGACTTTTGCACCAATGTAATATTTTGTGGTCTGGTTTTCCTAAAATTCTCATTCTGCTTTGTTTCATTTTACCCTCACACCTGAGGCTGTGCTAGAGCCCCTGACTCCTCACCTCCAAGAAAACTCTTCCCCACACCCAAATTTTTGAATTTGAGCTTTTCTCTCCCTTTACCTGCTACTTCCTCACCTCTAGTTTGGTCACTGTCAGCCCCATTGTGTGGATTCTTCATCCCTCAAACTTGAAATAGGCCTGGCCAGAAGGGAGCTCTCCTCAGAAGGAAGTGGGGCCTGTGGGGGACACAGAATACGCAAGGATCGAATTTCCTGTAGAGACAGTGTGTGTGGGAGAAGCTGGGAACATTCACTCATTAATAATTTTTGTATCTGTCACACAGAGAAAGGGAATTAAGGAAAAACCCTTAAAAATCATTAAGATGAACTATCTGGAGGAGTGCAGGATCTTATTAATATTCAAGTCCTCGTGGGGAGAGGCAGGCAGCTGGAGGGGGTGGAAGCTCCCTCACTCCCCACCCCGGCCCTTTGTGGGAGGGGCCGGGAGTGGGGCCACTGCAGAGGGGACCCGGGGTGCTCCCATGCTGGGGACCTGGCACGCTCTTGCCAAAAGGTTAATGGTCACTGCTCTAACTCCACCCGTGGCCGATCCTGATTAATGGTGCACCCTGGGAGGGTGCTGAGGCGAGAGACAAGTTGAGTTCCCAACTCTCATGAGAAATACATAATCATTAATCAACATTACTGGGCCCCACTCAGACTAAGTGGCCTCTTGTGATTAGGAATGGGCCCTTGAAAAATAAAAACGCAGTCTTTTAGCATTTCGAGTATTTGACAATGGCTTTCTTGATAGCAGGTGGTGGGGAGTTGGGAGGGAAGCTTGCTGTGCTGGGTGCACATGTGTGTATGTATATGTGTGCGTGCATGCGTGTGTGTGCATGCGTGTGTTTTTGTACGCCTGTATGCCTGTGTGTGCATGCGTGTGTGTGCCTGTGTGCGCCTGTGCGCCTGTGTGTGCATGTGTGTGTGTGCATGCATGTTTGCCTGTGTTTGTGCGCCTGTGTGCCTGTGTGTGTGTATGTGTGTTTTTATGTGCCTGTGTGTGCGTGCATGTGTATTTGTGTGCATACGTGTGTGTGTGTGTATGCCTGTGCATCTCTGTGTGTGCATGTGTGCGTATGTGCCTGTGTGCCTATATGTGTGTATGCATGTGTGTGTGTGTGTCTGTGTGTATGAACAAAGACAATGTTATGAGTTGAGGGCTGGCCTTAAGGCAGGTCGACCAAGCCTCCTCATCCACTTCGCGGGGTGATTCTGATGGGGCTGCCTTTTTCTGGCCAGGAACTCAAACTCCAGGAAGGGTGAGGGCAGCTAGGGGCTGGATTCCCTCTGGGTCTTCTGTGTTACACATTCATAACACACCCGGAAAGCCAGAATTAGAAGGAAACAATCCAGCCCTCACTTCCAAATGGGAAGCACAGCTCCCACCTACAAGGCTACTGTGAGAATTAAATCAGGTCATACGTGTAAATCACTGGACTCTCCTCAGAAATGTTAGTTCTCCTTCCCTTCACAACCAGGAACTCATTCAGTCCTCACAGTCACCCTGTGAGGGTTGAGCTCAGGGGCAGCCAGGGGCTCCCCTAGCCAGGTAGTTCCAGAAACTAAACCCTGACCTTCTCTCTTCAGAGTGGCCTGGGAAGTCCGATAGACCTGGGTGACGTGGACACTGCTCTTTGCCAGCTCTGTAACTTCCAGCAGGCTATTAAACCTCGGTCAGCCTCAGCTTCCTCAACTCTAGCAGGAGGGGAACCACCTCGTAAGATTCCCGTGAGAACTCAGCGAGCTAGTGCTGGGAAGCATTTGGCACAGACCATTCCCAGCACATTAGTTTCTTTGCCTCCTTCCCCTTTCCTCAGACCAGTCATCAGCTGGATTCCCACAGCAGCCTATGAGGTTGGTGTGGTTGTTGCAGATGAGGGAACTGAGGCTTAAGGAGGCAGTGCCTCTGCTTACTCTGCCTCGTCCCAGGGCAGCGAAGGACCAGTGGCCTCACTCACCACCAGCCTGACCTGCATGTGGCGTTAATTGTAGGGGATGCTGTGGGCCCAGGGAAGCAGCCTCCAAGGCCACTGTGAGAAATGATTCTTTCTCTCCCCTCCCCTCCCCTCCCCTCCTCTCCCCTTCTTTCTTTTTTGATGGAGTCTGGCTTTGTAGCCCAGGCTGGAGTGCAGTGGCACTATCTCGGCTCACTGCAACCTCCACCTCCTGGGTTCAAGCTACTCTCCTGCCTCAGCCTCCCGAGCAGCTGGGATTACAGACACGCACCGCTACGACTGGCTTATTTTTGTATTTTTAGTAGAGATGGAGATTCACCATGTTGGCCAGACTGGTCTCAAACTCCTGACCTCAAGTGATCCACCTGCCTTGGCCTCCCAAAGTGCTGGGATTACAGGTGTGAGCCACTGCACCCGGCCCCTCCCTCCTTCCCTTCCCTTCCCTTCCCTTCCCTTCCCTTCCCTTCCCTTCCCTCCCCTCCCCTCCCCTTCCCTTTTCTTTCTGCTAGGGTCCCACTCTCTTCCCCAGGCTGCAGTGCAGTGGCATGATCATGGTTTACTGCAGACTTGATCTCCTGGACCCAGATGATTCGCCCACCTCAGCCTCCTGGACTACAAGTGTGTGCCACCACCCCTGGGTAATTTTTTGTATTTTTTATACAGATGGGGTTTCCCCATGTTGGCCAGGCTAGTCTCAAACTCTTAGGCTCAAGTGATTGGTCTCCCAAAGTGCTGGGATTGCAGGCATGAGCCACTGCACTCAGCCTCTACTTGCTTTAAAGCCAGTTTGAGGAAACATTTGTCCCCAAATCACCTTTTTTTCCCTAAAATTTCCTAAGTTTCTTTGTAGAATTAGAAAAAACTACTTTAAATTTTGTGTGGAACCAAAAAAGAGCCCATATAGCCAAGACAATCCTAAGCAAAAAGAATAAAGCTGGAGGCATCATGTTACCTGACTTTAAACTATACTACAAGGCTACAGTACCAAAACAGCATGGTGCTGCTACAAAAACAGATATATAGACTGATGGAACAGAACAGAGGCCTCAGAAATAATACCATACATCTACAACCATCTGATCTTCGATAAACCTGAGAAAAACAAGCAATGGGTAAAGGATCCCCTATTTAATAAATGGTGCTGGGAAAACTGGCTAGCCACATGCAGAAAACTGATACTGGACCCCTTCCTTACATCTTATACAAAAATTAACTCAAGATGGATTAAAGACTTAAATGTAAAACCCAAAACCATAAAAACCCTAGAAGAAAACCTAGGTAATACCATTCAGGGCATAGGCATGGGCAAAGACTTTATGACTAAAACACCAAAAACAATTGCAACCAAAGCCAAAATAGACAAGTGGGATCTAATTAAACTAAAGAGCTTCTGCACAGCAAAAGAAACTAGCATCAGAGTGAACAGGCAACCTACAGAACGGGAGAAAATTTTTGCAATTGACCCACTGACAAAGGTCTAATATCCAAAATCTACGAGGAATTTAAACAAATTTATAAAAAACAAATGAACAAATAAGCCCATCAAAACATAGGCAAATGATATGAACAGACACTTCTCAAAAGAAGACATTTATGCGGCCAAAAAACATATGGAAAAAAGCTCATCATCACTGATCATTAGAGAAATGCAAATCAATGAGATACCATCTCATGCTAGTCAGATGGCAATTATTAAAAAGCCAGGAAACAATAGATGCTGGTGAGGCTGTGGAGAAATAGGAATGTTTTTACACTGTTGGTGGGAGTGTAAATTAGTTCAACCATTGTGGAAGACAGTGTGGTGATTCCTAAAGGATCAAGAACCAGAAATACCATTTGATCCAGCAATCCCATTACTGGTTATATACCCAAGGGATTATAAATCATTCTACTATAAAGACACATGCACACGTATGTTTATTGCAGCACTAATTACAATAGCAAACACTTGCAACCAACCCTAATGCCCATCAGTAATAGACTGGATAAAGAAAATGTGGCACATATACACCATGGAATACTATGCAGCCATAAAAAAAGAATGAGATCATGTCCTTTGCAAGGACATGGATGCAGCTGGAAGCCATAATTCTCAGCAAACTAACACAGGAACAGAAAACCAAACACTGCATGTTCTCACTCACAAGTGGGAGTTGAACAATGAGAACACATGGACACAGGGAGGGGAACATCCCACACCGGGGCCTTTCAGGGTGTGGGAGGCAAGGGGAGGGATAGCATTAGGACACATACCTAATGTATGTGGAGCTTAAAAACCTATATGATGGGTTGATAGGTGCAGTAAACCACCATGGCACATGTATACCTATGTAACAAACCTGCACCTTCTGCACATGTATCCCAGAACTTAAAGTAAAAAAAAAAAATCTGAATTAGCCCCAGTTTTGCCTCCCCTCACGTGGCTGCCCAGCAATCTAATGTACAAAAAGGACATGTATAAGAATGCAAATAGCAGCATTATTTGTAATAAGGCTAAATAGAAATAACCCAATGTCCGACAACAATCGGATGGGTAAATTGCAGCTTACTCATACAGTGGAATACTATACAGTTATGAATATGAACAAAGTACTGCCACTGATAGCAACACTGGCAAGTAGCAGAAACATAATGTTGAGTGAAATAAGCCATCTGTAAAAGAGTATACCATATACTGCATGATTCCATTTATATGAAATTCAAGAATAGGCAAAATAAGTCTAAGGCATTAGAAGTTACATTAGTGATTACATTTAGAGAGTTACTGAAAGAGGCCAGTGTGGGTGCATATCTGGGGTACTGGTAATGTTCTGCTTATTGACATGTGTGATGATTGTATGAAAATGTATTGAGCTGTATACTCATGATGTGCCTACTTTTCTGTAAAGACATTATACTTTAGTTTTAATGTTTGTTTAAAAAGATTTTTGGGTAACTCAGAATCACTGGGAAGGCTGGAGAATCAGACTCATAACTCTGCTGCAGAATTGATCTGATGAAGAAACTGCCACCACTGAGTATTAAATGGAATAGTTGTACCCTCATGACCACTTTTGCACCAGGGACTCAATGGGACTGAGATGTGAATGCTGCCCCAGTCCCACCACCCCTTCTCCAGCAAGAACACAGCTTTGCAGCCACAGCCACCTCCCAGAACACGGATGTTGCATGGTGCTTCTTTCCTCACGTGCTCATTTTCATTCCAGCAGCTCCTGCTTGTGTGCTTGATTTGTGGAGCTGATGCCTACTCCTAGCTGCAAGGGAGGCTGGCAAAGTGAAATCATAGCCTCCATTTGGGATAGAAGGCAAGAAGGCCTCAAGTGTATGAAGACTGTAAAAAGGTGCAGCACAGCTAGAAAACATGACGAAGGTCCATGGTGCGTATGTTTATTAACAAGGGCCTATTGGGGATATCACCTTAAGCTCTAGTGGCCCTAATGCTGTGTCAGTTGTTGTCTGTTGGTGTTCAGCTCCATACCTGCCCTTTAATCCTTTTTTTCTGTACCATTGCCACTGAGAAACTGTGTCTTCTAGACTCCCTTCTCAGTTGGGTTCCAGTTACTTTTTGCAAATGAAAGGCACTGAGTTGGTGTGGTGGCTCACATCTGTAATCCCAGCACTTTGGGAAGCCAAGGCAGGTGGATCACTTGAGCTCAGGAGTTCAAGACTAGTCTGGGCAACATAGCAAAACCCCATCTCTACAAAAAATACAAAAATTAGCTGGGAGTGGTGGTGTGCGCCTGTAGTCCCAGCTACTTGTGGGGCTGAGGCGGGAGGATTGCTTGAATCCTGGAGGAGGAAGTTGCAGTGAGCCGAGATCGTGCCACTGTACATGCCTGGGCAACAGAGCCAGACCTTACCTAAAATAAAATAAGATAAAGACACCTGTATGCAATGATATCAGAAATGGGGAAGAATGTAGAAGTCACAGTCACTCCCCTGGCAGCAGCATCAGTGGCGCTTATGGTCTCTGGCCAATGCCACTTTTCTCCACTTGCTGCTTCAGCCCTCCTGATACTTGTAAGGAATTCTCTGTCATCATCCCCATCCTGTTTTCCTAATGGACATGGACTGATACCCACGGGCATCCCGAGAGCCATGGGGTGCAGGTTTAGATATATGTGTGTGTGGAGGGCTGTGGGAGAATTGAGCATCTCACACCACACTAAGGAGGCAGATCAGACAGCCCCTCAGGGTCCCTTGTGGAGTGGTTAACCTGTCACTGGAGGGCTCTGAGCAGCAACTGTGTGTTCCAATCTCTGGCTAGCGGGCTCCACTCAGTGATCCCAGAAGTCTGAGCCCTGTGATGGGAGAGCAAAGGAGCCAGGAAGAATAGTGCTGAGCTTGGAGGCAGGCAGCCCCAGGGGCCAGCAGTCTCTGCCATCTCCCAATGTGCATGCTTGGGCAGCATACCTGGCCTCTCTGGGCCACAGGTTCCCCATCTGTAAAATGCACAGACTGATACCTACCTCGGGGGTGGTGGGAAAGCGGAATAGACAGGTTTGTGAAAGCCCTTTGTGAATATAAGGGCATGGTTTTCCGTGTATAGGGAGTACTCTTGGCCCCCCAAAGAAAGACTGAGGTGCAGCCTTGGTTCCTCTCTGTCCTGATCAGTTGATCCCTCAGTGGCCCCCGTAAGAGGGAGAACATTCATTTGCTCCTTTAGCCTGGCACATTCACACGGGCCTGTCATTGCTCTAGGTGCTGGGGATGTAAGGATGAAAAAGACTTGGCTTCTGCCCGGAGGGAGCCCTAGTGGGGGACAGGGCACGTATTGAGGCAATTAACATTCAGTGTGAGGGGCATTGAAGAGGAGACAGAGGATGCGACGGGAGCGTGAAGGAGAGGCAGCTCATTTGGACCTGCAGGTGGAATCATGGGCACTTCTGTAAGCAGAGATTTCTAAGCTGAGACCTAGAAGAGGAGCAGGCATCAGCCATCTGAAGGAGCAGGGCTGGGGGAGTGTCTGAGGTGGAGAGGACAGCCACGCAGAGGTCTGGAGGAAGAGAAATGGGGTGTTTGGGGAACTGGAGGCAAGTGTAGATGAAGGCTGAGAAGTGGGTAGAGATGGAGCTGGAGGGTAGGTGGAGGCCACTCATGTTATACTGAGGGGTTTGGATTTGTCCTGAGCAGTGAGGAGCACATGCTCTGCTCCAGGAGAGATGCAGCTGGCCCTGAGCCCAGCTCCAGGCTGATTTACAGGCACCAGGTGTCAAAAGTGGCTGCGTCACCTGCTCTGAAATCCTAGGCACGTAAGGCTCGGTGCCTTTGTCCAATGTTAACCTGAGCCCAGAGGAGAGGCTGTTTCTGGGACTCTGTGGACTCTGCCCCTGGCCCTGTGTTCCTCACAGAGTGCGTGCAGGAATGGGAGCTGCTTCTGCCCGCAGTCTCTCCACCTTCTCTTGCTCTCTGGTCCCTGCTCCTTGTCGGCATCTGATGCCCCCTTTCTTCTTGGCTTGTCAAGCCTGCAGGGAGGCCCACCGTCATTTCCCACCTGCCCTCCATACAGGAGACCAGAGCAGGCTTCACAGTGATGTTTCTGTGGTATTTAGTGAAGCTTATTTTCCCATTGGAGAACAAAACCCTCATCCACTGTGCAGGGAGAGGCAGGTGGAAGTTAAGTAGAAGAGAAAGCCAGAAGACAGGAAAAGCTAAGTTTGCATCAGATGGCTTTCTGCCAACCTCTGTCCCCTCCCACCTAATTTTTCTTGTGGTTTATTCTTGTTTGTCTCAGAACTCAGCTTAGGTGCCATCTCCCCTAGGGAGCTGATCATGAGCTCTGTTTTGCAGTACGTGCTCTCTCCCTCTGTTTTCCCAGTTTTCTCTAAAGTTGTTGATAACTTCCCTGCTTCCCCCATTAGACTAACATCCATCAGTTCAACAGAAGTGAACTGAGCACCTGTCATGTTCTGACATTGTGCTGGGCCCTGGGTAACTGGACTAAGTCCTGGAATGCCTACAACCTCCTGAAGGCACAGACCAGCAGGGTCAATTGAGGGTAGGAGCAAGTATCATTCAATTTTGTTTCCCCAGCAATTACAGTGCTTGACACAAAGAAGGCATTCATTAAGTAAGTATTGAATGAATGTTTTGGCACTGCAGATGTGTTTCTCAGATATCTAAGAAAATAAATACAAGAGTACTTCAGAAAGTAACTCATCAGTGAAGGCTTTTCCACCCACACTGCTCTGATGTACCCTCCCTGAGTCATCCCCATGCTTTCCTTCGTAACAGCGGGCTCAGGTCCCACAGGCACAGCTGCTGCAGACAATGACCGAATCCTGGGAAGGAGAAAGATGAAGTGCTTGCAGTAGGTGGGACCACCTCTAGTCTAGGGAACTGGGAATGCTGAGGCTGGAGGATTTGGGTCTAGAATGGCAAAGCTCAATGGGAAAGACACTATATTTCTACCTTATGGACACTGGCCAGATGACAACCACCTATATTATCCATCATTGTCACCATTCTCATCACCATAATTGCTTGCTGTGACAAAGCACTACCACATCTATTAGTACATTATCTCATTTAATTATCACAATAACCACCAGATTTTTTAGGGTAGTGTCTACTGTATCACCTTCATTTTAGAACTGAACAGAAGGTAGCCCACAGAGGTTAAGAATTTGTTCAAGTTAGACAAAAGCAACAAATGGGGAAGGATTCCCTATTTAATAAATGGTGCTGGGAAAGCTGGCTAGCCATATGTAGAAAGCTGAAACTGGATCCCTTCCTTACACCTTATACAAAAATTAATTCAAGATGGATTAAAGACTTAAGTGTTAGACCTAAAACCATAAAAGCCCTAGAAGAAATCCTAGGCATTACCATTCAGGACATAGGCATGGGCAAGGACTTCATGACTAAAACACCAAAAGCAATGGCAACAAAAGCCGAAATAGACAAATGGGATCTAATTAAACTAAAGAGCTTCTGCACAGCAAAAGAAACTACCATCAGAGAGAACAGGCAACCTATAGAATGGGAGAAAATTTTTGCAATCTACTCATCTGACAAATGGGTAATATTAAGAATCTACAAATTACAAATTTACTTTACAAATTTATAAGAAATTTACAATTTCCAAGAAATTTACAATTTACTTAAACAAATTTACAAGAAAAAATCAAACAACCCCATCAAAAAGTGGGCAAAGGATATGAACAGACGCTTTTCAAAAGAAGACATTTATGCAGCCAACAGACACATGAGAAAATGCTCATCATCACTGGCCATCAGAAAAATGCAAATCAAAACCACAATGAGATACCATCTCACACCAGTTAGAATGGCGATCATTAAAAAGTCAGGAAACAACAGGTGCTGGAGAGGATGTGGAGAAACAGGGATGCTTTTACACTGTTGGTGGGAGTGTAAACTAGTTCAACCATTGTGGAAGACAGTGTGGTAATTCTTCAAAGATCTAGAACTAGAAATACCATTTGACCCAGAGATCCCATTATTGGGTATATACCCAAAGGATTATAAATCATGCTACTATTAAGACACATGCACACGTATGTTTATTGTGGCACTATTCACAATAGCAAAGACTTGGAACCACCCAAATGTCCATCAATGATAGACTGGATTAAGAACATGTGGCACGTATACACCATGGAATATTACGCAGCCATAAAAAAGGATGAGTTCATTTCCTTTGTAGGGACATGGATGAAGCTGGAAACCATCATTCTCAGCAAACTATCACAAGGACAGAAAACCAAACACCGCATGTTCTCACTCATAGGTGGGAATTGAACAATGAGAACACTTGGACACAGGGCGGGGAACATCACACATCGGGGCCTTTCGTGGGGTGGGGGGATGGGGGAGGGATAACATTAGGAGAAATACCTAACATAAATGACGAATTAATGGGTGCAGCAAACCAACATGGCACATGTATACATATGTAACAAACCTGCACATTGTGCACACGTACCCTAGAACTTAAAGCATAATTAAAAAAAAAAGAATTTGTTCAAGTTATTATATACACAGCTACTAAGAGGCAAAATTGGTAGGGAAATTTTGGCCAAGGTAGGACTCAGGGATTTTGATCCTAACACTTTTTTCTCACCACACTATGCAGTTATTATAACCTCTTACTTAGGATGGCATTATTTTAGGAGGTAGGTAGGGTAGATATTATTCTAAGTTGCCCAGGCTGGAGTGCAGTGGCATGATCTCGGCTCACTGTAACCTCTGCCTCCTGGGTTCAAGCGCTTCTTGTGCCTCAGCTGGGATTACAGGCATGTGCCACCATGCCCAGCTAATTTTTGTATTTTTAGTAGAAACAGGGTTTCAACCATGTTGGTTAGGCTGGTCTCAAACTCATGACCTTGGGTGATCCACCCACTTTGGCCTCCTAAAGTACTGGGATTACAGGCTTGAGCCATCACACCCGGCCAGATAAATATCTTTAAAATCATTTATCCATCTATGCATTCACCAACAACTCACCTATCTACCCGTCCATTTACTTATCCATCCAAACATCCATCTATCTACCCATTCATTTATCCATCCATCCATGCACCCAACGTCCAACTATCCATCCACTCAAATATTTTCCACACATTGACTCACCTAAACATCTGTGTATCCACTCATCTACCTACTCATCTGATCATTCACGCATCCATCCATGTTTTTATAATCTATTCATTCAACAATTCATCCACTCACCAGGTAATCAATAAACATGTATTGAGCACCTACTATGTGCCAAGCAGTGCACTAGGGTACTGGGGCTACAAGATAACCAGGATGTGACTTCTGCCCTTGGGGACTCTGATGGAGGAGACAGGATGATAAATGTGATAACATAGGTCTATATAAAGCGCTAAGGGGAATGAGAGGAAGGAGTGATAATCTCCGTGCCCTGCAGGATGAAGACACACAGGCTCATCTCTATAGGTAATCGTTGTAAAAATAATTGGATGTGATGCAAACTCATGCCAGTGATGCTTCCGTCATCAGTAGAAAGATGTAAGTGCTTATTGGGGTTGACTTTTTGTGTGTATATGTACATGTGTTGAGAGGGAGAGAATAAAGAAATAGGCAGAGGAATGTTTCAAGGACGGGAATCCTATTTATCTTGGTATCCCCAGCATATAGCACAGAGCTGAATATATGGTAGGTGCTCAATAAATGTCAAGAAACCTGGCTGCAATTTGCAGTGACAGAGAAATGAAATGAGCAGACCAGCAATGACACCAACAAGCAACCACCACCACCTTTAAGGATGCTCAGCTTCATTTCTCCTTACCAAGTTTCACTTTGAACTTGGGCTGTTAATTTTAACTTGAAATTGGAGCGGATTTCTCCTTCGTTATTCCTTGAGATCTGTAGACCGCACCTCTTACTTGCTTGAGCCAACAAAAGACAAGTCTACTCTGGTTTCCTATAGCTTATGTCAGGCAAAGTTTACAAGGGACAATTAACCCTTTTTGGCTTAGCAGCTTTAGGAACAAGTGCACTGATGGCTCTAGCAAAAACCAACTCACTCTGATCTATGCTTGCAATACTAAGGGTTATAGGGAAAAAAGCTGATTGTGGAATCAAAATATTTCAGTTCTTGTCCTGGATTTGTAACTAAGTAGAAGATGACCTTAGGTAAATTAGTTACTCATGCTGAATTGCTCTTCTTTCATCTCTAAAACAAGAGTGGCTGAGTTAGATGAATTTAAATGAATTTTAACGCCTTTTGGTGTCCCTGAATTGATGGCTTGTTTACCTGTGTTTCTGGCTGGAATCCACTTGAGACCATTTAAGTTTTTGCCTTTCTCATGCTATAGCTTCTCTGGGAACCCTGTTCTGCCACAGCCTTGGAGGATGACTGGTTTCTGCTGTGTGTGCTGCTGAAGGCAGTCAGTGTCCCTGATGCCATGCCAGTTAAACAGGAACCTGAATCTGGATGGGTCTGCATCACCCTGCATTCCTTGTCAGCTGGTTTCTGGATGAACTTGGCCTTGGGAGGCCCTAGAAAGGGATTGGAGGGCAGGAGGAGAGAGAGCACTGGGCATTTCTTCATTTTCTTTTTGCTTTGATGCTGTTTCACCAGCAGCAACTACAACTACAATTCCAGCTAAGTGGTCCTCCTTCTATGGCTCTCGCTCTTTCTGGGTTCTGATAACATCTTCCCTCTGCTCGTTCCTTCAGCCCTAGAGGTGACAATGGCTTCCTACTGTCACTAGTCTCTGGGTGCCTCTGCACCCCTTGCCTGTTCTCTTAACTCTGCCACACCATCTAAGATGTCCCTGTAATGGAGTCTCTTCAGTCGAGTCACCTGTGGTGAATAACATTTGCTCTTGGGACTCTTAACTGAAGAGCACTATATCAGTGCGTTTTATATACATACATAATATGTATATATAATATATATTATATAACATATATATGTTATATAACATGTTATAAAACATATATTATATATAACATATATGTTATATAACATAATGTTATAAAACACATATATAACATATATGTCATATAACATATATATGTATATATAACATGTATAACATATATCATATATGTTACATATGCTATGTATAACATATAATATATCATATATGTTACATATGCTATATATAACATATATATCATATATGTTCCATATGCTATATATAACATATATATCATATATGTTCCATACGCTATATAAAACATATATATCATATATGTTCCATACGCTATATAAAACATATATCATATATATGTTACATGTTATATATGTAACATATGTTACATAACATGATATATAACATAGATATGTTACATAACATATATGATATATAACATCTGTTTATATAACCTATCTATGTTATATAACACATATATAACATATCTATGTTATATAACATATCTATGTTATATAACATATCTGTTATATAACATATCTATGTTATATATAACATATAACATCTCTATGTTATATAACATATCTATGTTATATATAACATAACATATCTATGTTATATAACATCTCTATGTTATATATAACATATAACATCTCTATGTTATATATAACATCTCTATGTTATATATAACATATAACATCTCTATGTTATATAACATATCTATGTTATATATAACATATATATTATATAACATATTTTTATATATTATATATAATATACATATATAATATATATATAAATATAAAATATATATATATTTTTAGATGCAGTCTCACTCTTCATCCAGGCTGTAGTGCAGTGGCACCATCTTGGCTTACTACAACCTCCACCTCCTGGGTTCAAGCAATTCTGTCTCAGCCTCCCGAGTAGCTGGGATTACAGGCGCCCATGCCTGGCTAATTTTTGTATTTTTAGTAGAGATGGGGTTTCACCATGTTGGCCAGGCTGGTCTCGAACTCCTGACCTCAGGTGATCCACTCACCTTGGCTTCCCAAAGTGTTGGGATTACAGGCGTAAGCCACTGCGCCCAGCCACGGGACTTGTTATCCAATTCAAAACTCTATGATGTAGGCATTATCTTCCCATTTTACACTCGAGAAAACCAAGGCTGAAAGAGGTGAAGTCACTTGCTCCAAATTACAGGATTTGAATCACCTGCCTGCAAAGTTTGTGTTTGTATTACCCCATCGCGCTGTCTAACCCTGTGCAGCATCTCCGGGCCATCTCCTTCCCTATCCCTAGGCGGAGTGGCTTCTAAATCCTTCCATTCTTCATGTTTTTTTTTCTTTCTGGCTTCTTGGAGACAGGATATTGGACCACGTGGGCTCTAACATTCATGTCTAGAAAATGTCAATGTGCCTACCTGGAGTCTTACATCATTTTTATTGGCAATAGTTGGTGTGAGTCATTAGTTGAAACCTGGCTTTCACGCTTGGTACACAGTCAGCTCAGTCAGGCAGGGAGGCAGTCTCCTAACAAGCTTCATTCTGGCTGCAGGAATAAGACACGGATAAGGAAAAACAAGAGGCTGTCCAACACTGCTGCCTATGACTCAAGCAGGACTTGAATCCTTCTGATTTGGCTTTGATCTTGGAAGTCAAATTTATCTCTCCAATTTATCCTAAGGAAACAATCAGATAAATGGGAAAAGAAGAATAAATAAAGATTACAGTAGCAAGAAAATTGAAAAAGACTTGTGTGTCTGCCTGTAAGGGATTGGTTAAACAAATCATGGCCTGTTTATACAATGGAAAGGTCTCATTAAATGAAAGGAGCAGGTTATAAAACAGTGAGCATGGCAGGATGCCGTTTTTATAAAAAATAATCTTCATACCTATTGATATGAAGATGTTATCCATCTTCATATCCAACCAGGCAATCCCACCGTCTCCAGACTTTAGGCTCGTTAAATCTTATTTGCAAACACTTTGGAAGGCCCATTTCCAACCAATATATGTAGAAGGAAAGATTAAGCTAGAAAATCACTGTTCTGCAGCCATCGAAGTACTAATGATTCAGGCAAGCATCATCAGTGGGTGCCAAAACCATTGGGTGAAATGTTGGGGAACAGGATGTTTACATAGTCTCAAAGCTGCCACAGATGACTGATCATTTACAGAGGAGAAAAAGAGGTGTCTTTACATTGGAGAAATACGACAGAAACCACTTCCACCAAACAGCCAAGATCAACATCATCAATAATAGGACAAACTGACATGTGGTACCTCCTGACGTGTTGTACTGAGAAGGTCACAACAGGCTGGGAGTGGTGGCTCACGCCTGAATCCCAGCACTTTGGGGGGCTGAGGTGGGTGGATCACCTGAGGTCAGGAGTTCGAAACCAGCCTGGCCAACATGGTGAGACCCCATCTCTACTAAAAATACAAAAATTAGTCAACATGGTGGCAGGCACCTGCCATCCCAGCTACTCAGGAGGATGAGGCAGGACAATGGCTTGAACCCAGGAGGAGGAGGTTGCAGTGAGCTGAGATCGTACCACTGCACTCCAGCCTGGGCAACAAGAGTGAAACTGTCTCAAAAAAAAGAGAGAAGGTCACTACATGTAGTACTCCTGCAAAAGTCCTGTAGTATTTGGGAACCAAATCCTGAGGATACAACCATATAATTGCAAATTAAGGGACATTCTACAAAACAGTGAGCCTTATTCTTTAAAAATGTCAGGGCCATGAGAAACAAAGATAGGTCAAGAGACTGTTTCAGACTGGAGGAAAGCAGAGAAACATGACGAGTAAATGCAAAACGTGACTCAGAATTGGATCCTGGAAATAAAAAGTTGGCATAAAGGCAGTACTAGACAATTGGCAAAATTGGAATATAGGCTGTACATAAGATAATTGCAGCAACGATAATTTCCTGAATTTGATAATTGCACTGTGTTTATGTTAGCAAACTGCTTTATTGGAATTTTGTATTATGAAAATTTTCAGGTGTACAGAATGGCAAAGAGAATACTGTAAGAAACACCTGTATACTCATTACCTAGATTTAACCATTACTAATCTTCCATCATTTTTTTCTGAAATATTTTAAATATTTAAAGGTAAATTTTATATTTCTCATGACATTTCATCCCTTCATTATGGATCAATGAGGACATTTTCCTACACAACTCCAGTGCCATCAACACACCTAATAGTTAATAATAATTTCCTAATATTATCTAAGATTCATCTGTATTCAAATTTCTCCATTGACCTCCAAATGTCCAACTGTCTTTTTTTTTGTTTTTGTTTTTTGAGATGCAGTCTCTCTCTGTCGCCCAGGCTGAAGTGCAGTGGTGCGATCTCAGCTCACTGCGACCTCCACTTCCTAGGTTCAAGCTATTCTCCTGCGTCAGCCTTCTGAATAACTGGGACTACAGGCGCGTGCCACCATGCCTGGCTAAATTTTTGTATTTTTAGTAGAGATGAGGATTCACCATGTTGGCCAGGCTGGTCTTGAACTCCTGACCTTAGGCTTCCTGCCTGCCTTGGCCTCTCAGAGTGCTGGGTTTACAGGCGTGAGCCACTGTATCCGGCCTCTAAATGTCTTTTACAATTACAATTGGTCTGTTCAAACCAGGATCCATTCAAGACCACATATCACTCTTGGTTTTTATATAAGAAAAATCTTAAATTTATGTACTACTCTTGGTTGCTAACTTTATGTGAGTTATATAAATCCTTGTTTTATTTATATCCTTCCAGTCAAAATTTCCTTCTTTCCCACCTCTAATATTTATCAAGAGCCTTATGATGTGTTAGATGTTGAAGATATAAATATAAATAAGTTAAGATCTTTACCTTATGTCACATGGATGAATAACTATAAAACAGTGTGTGAGAATTCTGCCAGAGACAGAGACTGGGCATTCCATCACCTTTTTCAACTTTCTTCAAGTGATGAGGAGAAGAAATTGAAAAATTGGTTTAGGGAGGCAGTTGAATTAAGCAATCACATAAAGCAAAGTTTTACAGGTCATGATGTGGATTTCAAATTCCTTTAGTCTCCTGGTCCTTCATTCTTAGGAGTAAACCGGAGTTGATCTTTAAAGTCATTTGATACCCGCGTTGTTTAAAGTCTGTTTTTATTCCTCTTCAAGCCTCCTTGAAAGGCTGTCTCCAGCCCATGCCTCCCATTCCCACTCAGCCTTCCATGACCACAAACATGAAAGAAAGACTCCTACAAAGGAAGACTATCCACTCTCCTGGACTGGAAGTGTTTGAAGAAATCCTCAGGGGATATAACACCCGGGGCACATATGCCAATATGTCGGCCCGTTTTGAACGTATGTGCTCCCCTGTGCTGTTACCAATGTTGTAATTAGTTCTGAGCCATGACAACCACTTGATGAGTGGCTAGAATATTGTGGTTAAATGTCTGGGCTTTGGTTTCAGAGAAATCTGAAACCAATCAGTTTCAATCCTGGCTCTGACACTTACTAGATATGTGTCTTTGGGCAGATTCCTGAATCCAGTCTTGAAGAGTGCTGAAGTCCAAACTTTGTTCGTCTGATGTGGAAAATTATGCAGTTTCCCAAGGCAGGGGATCAAAGTTTTAAAGTTCTATGGGAGTGCGTCCTTCCTGGAGCCCTAGCCATTCTTACACAATATGCTGATGATCTGGCACACAAGGGGGGCAGAAGCACCATGTAAAACTTCCTCTGGAACACACATGGATTTAAAAATCCCTTGGAGAGAAATGTATCCTGCTAAGGCCAACCCAGCTCTCAGCCTGGTTCTCATGTTGACCCTGGAAGGTTCACCCACCTCTGTTGGGTGGAGATGGCGTCCTGGGAGCCTAGAAGACTGTCCAGGCACAGAGCAAGGGCAGCTGTCTTTCCAGAGCAGGTGGAAACTTAAATGACCCCAAACAAAGCGTGTGTGTGTGTGTGTGTGTGTGTGTGTGTGTGTGTGTGTGTGTTGAAACAGATGGCATTGTGGATGTAGCTTGTCTGAGGAGAGATACAGAGTGGTATGTTCTGGGTTTGGAGAAATATTCCTCCACAGCCTACTTTTCAGTTTTCCATTCTGTTGTACATTGCTTTTTAATTAAACACTGTTTATGGACACAGATGCTTCTTCAAAGTTCCCCAGGGGGGCTTGCTGACAATCTTTGCTCAAAAGATTTAGTGCTATTGCCCAGAAGCTTACTTAACTCCCTGCTGTCCTAAAAACTCCCCCAAAGGCTTTGGTTGAGGATAAAGGGAGGAAACTGAAGCCTGGATACTTTGCAGAGGTGTGTTGGTCCAGGCTCCTACACAGGAGAGTCTCGGAGTCAGAACGAACTGTTCATGGTCATCTGGTCTAAACCCTCTCATTTTTCAAATGAGGAAACTGAGACTCAATGAGGGGAAGTGACTGATTTGTCCAGAGTCATGGAACCCATGAATGGTAAAACAGAGGCCAGAATTCAGAGCCCATGAATCCTGGGGTGGCCTTACCATGGATAGTTCATGGGATGATGGAAAGTCACATGTCCTCTACTGTTTAACTGTGTTTCTGACTACTCCAGGGTTCAGAAGAATTTCTACCAGACAGAGGACAGTATGGGCAAAAGTGGGGATGATTATGGGCCATGGAAATGGGTGATGAGGTGTATCCTATTGATAGCAGGATATGTTTTCAGCTGGTTTTCCAGTTGCATTTCACGTGTACTGCGATGACTTTCTTGTGTAGCACTATTGAAGCTGTGACCCCCGTGATCCAGTCCTAGAAGCAGTTATAGAGGCACAGTTCAAATAAGCCAAAACTTCATTAAAAGAGAATTTATTTTTTTCCCTCATCTTTCTGAAAGGACATTCAACGGGCTTCCATGTTTAATCCATGGCATGTCTTCATCCTCTTTGGATTCTTGCCGGGTTTTCTCATATCCCGCACTCTGAAGGACTTTATTAACCAAAACTTTGAAGAATTATTTCTTTTGCCAGCAGCCCCAGTGACTTCTACTTCCTGAACATCCTCTCTTTTCTCTCTCCATTTTTTATTAGGTAGATTGATTAACCTTTTTCTCAGTGTCCTTCTACTTCTCATCCCACCTCTCTGGTGCTGTCCTTCTTTGCTTACTCTGACTCTGCACTCCAAAAATCCAGGCAGTGCTATGTTGGTGAGATGGGGGAGAAAGGGGAATCGGGCTGTCAGTGAGAGGTTCTCTTGGGCAGGTGAGGTGAAGGGAGGAAGTTTATGAACATTAATCTATTTTATCCTATCATGGGTATTTTCCCACAAGTTATTTTTTTTTTCAAATACCTTACTATCATTCCCTAGTCTAATTAAACTCCTAGTATTGCTGGTACAGATGTATGTATACAACTCACGATTGAATGTATGCTTGCTTTAAATGTTAGCGTACAAAGACAAAGACCTGGTCCTTGGCTCATATGGTGGACAGACACACAGACAATCATAATTGCCACACCAGCAGTGTTTAGTTGAAACAGGGAAAGAACAGGGCCTTAGAAGACTTCTCCAATGGGGAGGGGTATGTGTATTGCTACTAAAAGAGAGAGGGAAGGGACGCTGGAGAGATGAAAACTGATGTTCAGCACACCTTCTGACCAGGAGGATCCTCACAGAGAGAGAAGATTAAACAACTAAACCCATATATGATTAGAACTAAATAAATCCTATCAGTGGTAATTGCTCCAGGAATTCAGAGGAACAGAGTTCCCTGAGAGCCAGTTGGAATATATATGTCTTTCTTAAATCTAGTTTCTCTGTCACCCCGTATTCACCTTTATTTGGTCTGGTAGAACTGGAAGAATTAGGTAGAATTTAGGCAAGAAAAGGGGAAGGCATGAGCATTCTAAGAAGAGAAACTGCATCAACCTAAGGGATGTTCGTTGATAAATGAGCAGACCAGTGAGAAGGAGAGGTTGAGTAAGGAGGAGCTGGAGAATAAATTTGGAGAGAAGAATCCGATTCCAAGGTTTGTGACACAAACTTAGCTATGGGAAGCAAAGTCCAAGTTAAAGAACCTCAAATGTATGTTTTTTCACTTTACATCTTTTTTTTTAAATGATATTTTACTTATTTTGAGAAATCTCAGGCCGAACACGGTGGCTCACGCCTGTAATCCCAGCACTTTGGGAGGTCGAGGAGGGCGGATCACTTGAGGTCAGGAGTTTGAGACCAGCCTGGCCAACATGGTGAAACCCTGTCTCTACTAAAAATACAAAAAAAATTAGCCAGGCGTGGTGGTGTGTGTCTATAGTCCCAGCTACTCAGGAGGCTGAGACAGGAGAATCGCTTGAACCTGGGAGGTGGAGGTTGCAGTGAGCCGAGATCATGCCACTGGGCAACAGAGCGAGACTCCATCTCAAAACAAAACAAAACAAAACAAAACAAAACAAACAAAAAAAGAGAAATCTCAAATCACTTTCTGATTTCCCATCATAAAAACTCATAGCATAATTCTTTGGCTATTTTTCAGGTTCTTTCCAAGTAGATAAGCACTTCTGTTTTTTTCTTACCAGATTTGAGTCAGGGTGACTTGATTGTTTTCCAAAACTCGTTGCTCAAAATTGATGGTTTCTTCTTTTGTTACACATTATAGACTGCTTGTTGGATTCCTATTATTTAAAATTCTGAAATTGTATATACCCTTATTTATACTTCTTGTGCCTTCCTCTGATTTATCCACTTGTCAAACTCATCCCTCAAACATAGATCAAATTTCCTTGTGTAGGCAATGTATATGCCTGACTTATCTTACCATGGCAGTTAGTATAGGGATAAATGAATGCATGTATGAGAGAAAGGATTTATATCTATCTAGCCCAGGGATGGCAGATAGATTTGTGTTAATTATGAGTGCATCTGATTGCATGTGTTAAACAAATTCACTGAGTGATGGGTTAAACAAATAGGGGTTTACTTTTCTCACATATCAAGAAGTTTGGAAACAGGAAGCTGCAGCACTTGGTCATGGACTCTAAAGTCAAAAAGAACTCAGTCTCGAGATCACAAAATGCATACAAGACAAGAAAAAGTAAAGAAGGAGAGTAGCACCAACTATTCAGTGGCCTTCTGGTGATGTCTCACTAACTACACCTAGCTGAAAGGGAAGCTGGGAAACTGAGTTTCTCACCTGGGCATGGGTATGCTACTGTCTGCTATAGTTTGGTTTGTTTGACCCCTCCAAATCTCATGTTTAAATGTGATCCCTAATGTTGGAGGTGGGGCCTAATGGGAGATGTTTTGGTCATGGAGGTGGACTCGCCATTAATGGCTTGGTGCTATCTCTGTGGTGAGTTCTGGCTCTATTAGTTCCTCTGAGAGCTGGTTAAAGAGCTGACATCCCTCCCCACTTTACTTCCTCTCTCTTCATGTGATCTCTGCACAGTCAGCTCCCCTTCACTTTTTACCATGAGTGGAAGCAACCTGAGACCCCCACCAGAAGCCAAGCAAATGGTAGCACCACGTTTCTTGTACAGTCTACAGAACCATGAGCCAAATAAACCTCTTTTCTTTATAAATTACCCAGCCTCAACTATTCCTTTATAGCAGCACAAGTAGATGAAGACACTGCCTGAGGAATATCTTGGTTCTGTTGGCAAGGAAGGATAGGGGGATGGATATTAGTTGGGCAACCAATGGCATCCATCACATATTTCATCTCATGTTCCAAGGTTAATAGATTTGTGGTGGAGCATTGTGTTAAGTATCATGAAGACCTGACCAAGTCCAGCAGGCGAAGGTAGTTTGATTGATCATTAATATCTGCTGTGGGTGTGGAGTGGGGTATGACGGCAAGCTTAGTGTGCATTTGGCATCTTTTGTCCATCCCTTGTCCCTTCAAGCCAGGCTTTCTGCATCTTCCCTTGTTAGTTTTTCTAAACCCTGTTCACACCTTTATAAAAATCCTTTTTAATAAACCACTCCCAGTTTACCCATTGTAAGTGTTCAATTTCTTTCCTGCAAGGATCCAGATTAAGGCAGTCTGTAGTGCTTTGGGGGCTTGTTATGGATGAAGGTTTCAGAATTACTGGTGAACATTTTGGTCTCCCTCTGATTTTAAGTTTCTCAAAGTCAAGATCAGGATGCCTCCTACACTCTACAGGATACTCAACTTGCAGCATGTCATGGGATGTGCTCATGAAGTGTTTTTTATTCATTTTTATCGATCAACCCCCTTCCCCTGCCCAGGGCAATGATAATTTTTCTGCTGTGCTTTATACGTATGTCCAGCTGTGAGATGTTGGAGACAGGAGCTTTCAGCGATTAGAAGGAGGGAGCTGACATCTTTCCTGGTTCTCTCTGGGTTGCATTGTGACAGGTCAGTGAGAGCTATCCTTTCCAAGCACTGTTGGTTGGAAGTGGCTGTGCACCAGGTGGCCTAGAAGGACAAGTGTGTCATCAGCTGGTGGACCATGCTCTTTCTGCCCTGTTCTTCCTCTGCCTCCCTGTTCCCAGGCCCTAGGGTCTACCCTCTGCAGACAGGCCAGTGATGTATTATTAGACTTGCCACCCATCCCTTAGTGTGCTGGAGGAGGTTGGGGAGGAGCCATTTAGTGTCTTCAGAGCTGGGTTTCTTCAACTTTACTGAACATACGAATCATCTGGGGATCCTGTCAAATTACAGAATCTGATTCAACAGGTCTGGCATAGGGGCCAAAGATACTGCATTTCTAACAAGCTCCCGGTGATACCTATGCTGCTGATTCAGGAGCACATTTGAATGGCAAGGACTAAGAACCGCACCATCCAATACTGAAGCCACTAGCCAACATGGCTATTTACAATTGCTGTCTTTCCTTTCATTTTTATCTCATAATTTCATTAACCCACCAGAACTCTTTGAGTTTCTGGTGACAGAAACCCAACTCAAAAGATTTGAAGCTTAAGCTAAAAAGGAAAATATGTTGGTTTTTATGAAACTGGAAAGACAAGGAGTTGGCCTTAGGAATGGCAGGCTCCAGGGATTCACATGATTATCAACATTGTCATCACCACTGCCGTCATCACCGCCACCATCATCATCCCTTGCTCCATCCTTTATTGCTCCCTTGCCTCTTGAGTTTGTGGCCCCATTCTCTCTACTTAAGGACTGGCTTCCTCTCCCTGGCAGGGGCTTTGGCCACTGGTGGTTCCAAGCTAACATGATTGCACTTACCATCTAAATGGGAAAGGAAGCTCTTCCTCCCAGTATCTGACTTGGTGCTGTTTGGGTCTTATGCGTGGTACTGTACCTGTCCCTGAATAGGGTACTAGAGTGCCGTGGGTCACTGCTGTAGATCGGAGAGTGGGTCACCATGATGGGAAGCCCCAAGAATGAGATGAGTGGAGGGAGATATGAGTACATCCTCAAGGAAGAGAAGGAGTTCAAGAGGTATAGGGCAGACAGAAGCAGCAGCAGATGGTCGCTCCACCCCACCACTCTCTTCCACCTCACCAAGAATCCTGCCCCTCTATTCCCCCTAAGAACCTCCTTCCTAGTTTCTGCCACTCTTTAATCATTTCCAGTGGAGGAAGATATCTTGACATATTTTGCTGGGTGTTTAAAAGAGCACACCCATCTTCCCATTGTATTTTCATCCCCATCAATTATCAAGGCTTTCTCTTTGGGTCCTTCAAGCATTTGATAGCATCTCATACCATCTTGCTCGAAAGATTTATTTAAATTGCCTTGGAGTGGCAAGCTTAAGCACAAGGGTGGTAAATGGCAGGAGGGGAAGGCAGCCACCTGTCAAGGGAGAGAGTGTTGGAAATGTTCATTAATGGGAGGGAGGACAAGACAGTATGTGGGTGATGAGGTCTGGGGAAGGTTCAGGTGCTGGGGGCACAGGCAGGGAAGGCAGTGCAGGCAGGAACTGGGAGATGAGTTAGCCACAGCAACTTTAACTTTTTTTAAAGAAAAGTGCAGGTTGGAATTTTGGAATGTTTGTGGGTTAGGGAAGAGTTTGGGGGTAGAGGGTGCTAAAGACAGCGTTGGCTACATATGGCAAAGTCTCCAATGCCAGAAGCACATGTCTGGAATATCATTTCCTAGACCTGGATCCGACTTCCTCCTGGCTGCCCTTCTCACACAAACTTCCTATCCAGGGATGGAAAGGCACAGGTATCACACTGCTTGGGTTGATGTCACTCCCTGCATAGAGCGGTGGGAGGGGAATGGACATTTGTAGAGCTCTTATTGTGTGTTGAGTATTTTGCTCCCATGCACTCAGTTAAACCTCACACCAAACCTATTACGTGAGTATAATCATCTCCAGGTCTCAGATGAGGAACCAGGGCTCCAACAAAAGCTAAGTAACTCCCACAAGATCACCTAACTGGTCAGCAGTAGAGCTGTGATTCAAACTCAGGCTGTTTGACTGCAGAGCTGGCAGTCTTCATCCATCCATCCATCATCCGTCTATTCATAATCTATCCATCATCTACCCATCTATTATCCATCCATTCACCCATCCATCCATTAACAAATATTTATGGAGCATCTACTTTGTGCCAGATGCAGTGCTAGGCACAGGGGATACAGTGAGGAAACAAGATAGATACAGTCCTTACTCTCATGGAGCTTGCAATATAGTGGGATGAAGAAGGCAAAAAACAAACAGATACATGACGATATGTTGTGAAAAGCAAGACGGAAGATAATGAAGCATGGTTAGAGAAAAGCATGAAGGGTAGGCAGGGTCAGGGCTAGAGTGAGGCACATGAGGCACCTAGGATGAGAAATCTTGGCAGGCACCCACTTTCAGGCTTCTGCAAGTGCAGGGTTTGTCACCTGCATGACCTTTCTGCCTTAAACTTTGCACCCTTAGGTGCGTTCCTTGACTCACCCTAGTCCTACCTCTGCAGACAGGGGGTCACGGAGGGCAGGTGACACTTGAGCAGAGATCATAACAGAGAGATCAGGTGCTCTTAGAATGGACCAGGTGGAGTGTGGCATCTGGAGTGTGAGCTTTGAGAGGGACTGAGAAGAGTTCATTAGGGAGAAGACATCCTTGCATCCTGCCTATGCCACAGACTGGAGGAGTGCAGGGGACTGAGAAAGAATGAGGAAGTGGTGAGGGAGGTCTGAGGATAGACGTTGATGGAAGGTATCTCCAAGGCAACTGGAGCTCACAGTCAATGGCTGCTGCAGGATTGCAAGGCTTCTAGTCAAGGACAAGAACTCTCCAACAACACAAATGTGCTAGATGCTGATATTCATAAAAAGGGGGAGGGAGTCTGTCCAATCCCTATAATTTTAATTTGGGTCAATCCATCCATGCATTATGCACCCAGGAATAACAATGGCAACCCTGAGAATTTAATAGATACGAGGAACTATTCTAAATGCTTTCCCTATACTGACTCATGGTACCTGCCACGATATGAATAGACACAATCATTATCTCATTTTACAGGTGAGTGAACTGAGACACAGAGCGAATAAGTGACTTGCCCAAGGTCATACAGCTAGTAAGTGGCAGAGCTGAGATTTGACCTCAGGCAGCGTGACTCGAGCCTGTGCACTTAGTTGCCTTACCTTCTGCTTCTTGATGTCACTGGAACTCAAGAGGAATAAAGACATACCTGGGCCCACTTCGCTCATGGCAGAAGGCTGAAACTCACCTGTTGTCATCCTTTTGACTCAATGTGGACTTGGGGCCCTTTGCTCAAGACCTCTTTCTTTGTCTCCCATTTCTCATCTAGTGGGTCTGACACTCCAAATAAGCCCTCTTTAGATGTGATCTTGCACTCACCTGCCAGTCCTTCCATTCTATCTACTCCAGGACCCTCTCCTCTGTGATTCAGCCCCTGCAGCCCCTGAGAGCACCAGTCAGGGAGACTGAGGCTTCAAGACTATATTGATCATGATTTTTGGTTTTAAGTTCCAAAAACCCTAGTAAACCAGCTGAAAACATAAATAGTTCATTCTGGGCTCATGTAACTGGGGAGGGTGGAGGTAAACTTGACCTGAGATTGCTCTATCCTTGATATCCACTCTCCCCTTCTTCCTTTCAGATACAGAGCCCCTTCTCTGTTGGTTCTTGGCCACCTATCCAGAGCCTACATCCCCAACTTTCTTTCCATTGAGGTGTCACCATGTCTAGGTTTTGGCCAATAGGATAGGAACTGAAGTGACCAGTTTCTGTTTCATGACCTTAAAACTGAAGTTCTTGCTCTCCTGTTTCTCAAGGGCTGGAATGTAGAAGTGGACTTTTGGCCACGTGGATGAGGAATTGAAGCAGTCAGTTCTGATCTAGAGATGGAAGGCGCCTGCTGAGGACAGCAGGGCTGCTTGGCACCCTGGGTCCCTGAATGGCTCTGTGGAGCACTGCCTGATGGCCCACCCTGGACTGTTGCCTGAGACAGAAATAAACTTTTATCTTGTTTCAAACACTGCATTTTGGTGTTTCCTTGTTCAAGCAACTTATCTACTATGCCATATTCCAACAACTGTAATACTAGCAAATATTTGCTTTTCTCACTGAGTTTTTATGTTTTGTAGAGAGACATCCTCCCCATGGCAGAGAAAATAGCTGCAGTCAGCCCCAGGCCCACATCTTTCTTTTTTTTTGAGATGGAGTCTCACTCTGTTGCCCAGGTTGGAGTGCAGTGGCGCGATCTTGGCTCACTGCAAGCTCCACCTCCCGTGTTCACACCATTCTCCTGCCTCAGCCTCCTGAGTAGCTGGGACTAAGGTGCCCGCCACCCCGCCCAGCTAATTTTGTATTTGTGTTTTTTAGTAGAGACGGGGTTTCACCATGTTAGCCAGGATGGTCTTGATCTCCTGACCTTGTGATCCACCCGTCTCAGCCTCCCAAAGTGTTGGGATTACAGGCATGAGCCACTGCACCTGGCCTGGCCCACATCTTCTTAATTTAGCTACCTAAGCAGAAAGAATGAGCTTTTTTTCTCTTTACAGCCATCTCTCAAGAAGAGGCTTGGTTGGCCCTGCTTGACCCACATGCCATCACTAGGGCCAGGGGACGGGAACTATGATTGGCTAGGCTTGGATCATGTTGCTTGAGCAGGTCTGTCAATAGTCACAGCACAGCCTCATGGAATGGGGAGGGCAGTTCCCATAGAAAAGAGGCTGCTTTTACCAGAAGCAGCAGGTAAGGGACACATAATAGGCAAAATTAGTAGGCTCCCATGACAACCGCTTAGTATCTGCATGTTCTTGGGCTTGTTACAAAACCTAAGCCTCAGTTTCCTCATTTGCAAAATGGGGGCACCTATCTCACAGGGTTGTAAAGATAAAATAAGAAAATGTATGTAAGGCACTCAGCGCAAAGCCCAACCCATAATAAGTGCTCAATAAAAAAGATAGCTATGATTTTTACTTTTATTTATTTATTTTTGAGATGGAGTCTTGCTCTGTTGCCCAGGCTGAAGTGCAGTGGAGTGATCTTGGGTCACTGCAACCTCCACCTCCTGGGTTCAAGTGATTCTTGTGCCTCAGCCCCAGTAGCTGGGATTATAGGCACATACCACCACACCCAACTAATTTTTGTATTTTTAGTAGAGACAGGGTTTCACCATGTTGGTTAGCCTGGTCTCGAACTCCTGGCCTCAAGTGATCCGCCCGCCTCGGCCTCCCAAATTGCTGGGATTACAGGTGTGAGCCACTGTACCTGGCCTATTTTTATTTTTGAATCGCTGTCTACATTCAACTTTGCTGAGTGGTAAAGAGAATTAGCGGAATTTTGGAGAGGTGTAAAGTTATGGAAAATCTATGGCCCCTGCTCTCAGCTTGGGGGAATCGACAAGCTGACCAAATGAATCCGAGAGCTGTGTGGTGAGGGCTATGTGCAGAGAGGGTGTCATGGGAGCCCACAGGATGGGGGACTGAGGGAATCCCCCAGAGAAGGCCAGGCCCTTTTGAATCTTGAATTTTTCAGTGTTTCCTGTATTTTGGGAAGTGGGTCTTTCCCGTTATCTGTAGAATAAACACATGCTAAGTTTAGATAAACTGGCCAAAAGTCTGTAAGTTCCCGTAAAAATGAACCATCTAGACCAGAGGTTCCCAAGGTGAGGAACTTGTTAGCAATGCACATTCTCGGTTCCCACCCCAGACATGCCGATCAGACAGTCTAACCAACCTTCCAGGTGATGCTGGTGCCCACTCATGTTTGAGAACCACTGGTCTAGACGAGTGTCAGGTGTGAAGAGTGAGGGACTCTTTAAACCTCACCAGGGCAGAGATACTTAAAAGCCACCTTCTCAGAGAAATGGCAGTGCCCCAGCTACCACTCGCCAGCAGCCCAGGGAGGGGGAGCGACTTAGCTCAGGTCATCCAAGGGCGAGCCTGTGCACAGAGGGGCTTCTCATTCCCACTCTGAAGCTCTTCTCTTGACTATTTTATGAATCTATTTGTGAGACCCGGGAGAAGGAAGGGCCTATACCTTCCTTCTCTGTGTCGATGAGATCTGCTGAAGATTCCTACAACACTTACATCCAGTTTTTTTTCGGTGGGGGGAGGGAGGGGACAAAGTTTCACTCTCGCTGCCCAGGCTGGAGTGCAGTGGCGCCATCTTGGCTCACCGCAACCTCCGCCTCCTAGGTTCAAGCGATTCTCCAGCCTCCTGAGTAGCTGGGACTACAGGTGCACACCACCACACTCAGCTAATCTTTGTATTTTTAGTAGAAATGGGGTTTCACTATGTTGGCCAGGCTGGTCTTGAACTCCTGACCTCAGGTGATCCACCCGCCTTGGCCTCCCAAAGTGCTGGGATTACAGCGTGAGCCACTGCGCTGGGCCTACGTCCCATTTTTAAAGTCCAGTTTGCGATGTCAGATCCCTCCAGGATGGAAAATGAATTTGAAACGGGAGGTATCCAAGTCAGAACCCTTACACCAAGCCCTCGGGAGCCAGACGACAATAAAGAAGGCGAAGTAGAGGAAAAGGTTATAAAAATGTTTAGTCTTTGCTTTATTGAGTTACAACAAATGAGCAACAAGTTAGAAAAATTGGTTTTATTCAAACTTCCTAGCGTTTGACTTGTGCGGTGTACTCAAATGGGGGGCAGTGTGGGACGGGGAGGGATTGCAACCAGAGTTCATACTGCAACACGTACACCAGATATGTCTCTTGGTTTTCCTTCTTTTAAAAGTTAGGACTAACTGAAAAAGTGCACTCAGGTATCTAAAATTGTCCCAAAACAAACACACACACAAACAAAAAAAATCAATTCATGGTGAGGCTTTGAGCTAAAATCTTGTCAAATACCACACCGAGAAAAGGCAGTGAAGAAGAGAAATGAAAACCAAAGCCATTCACCTCTGTACCCTCCAGATAGGAAGATCTTATTGTTGTTGTTTTAATGTCACAATAGTACTGATCATGCTAACAGAGGCGGGAGCCTCTTCTGCTGGTATTTAGAAAGGTGCTTAAAGAAGTCAGCCACCTGCTACCCAGTTCTCCCAGGGCTGGCTGGGCACAGCCTGGCCCAAGAGGCCGAGCAGTTGAGAAGCCAGATCCCCTCTTGGCAGTTCAGAAAGCCTTGTGTGGGGCTAAGGCAGGGACCCCCAAAAAGGCAGCCAGGGGAAGAACTGGAAAGGAATTTGATTTGGAAGATCTGCCGTCTGTCACCTCTCTCCAAGTTGAGACAGGGGCCTGGATTTCAGCCCTTCCTGCCGAGAAATCTCCCAAATTTCAACCTACCTTTAAAAATAAAGTCTCCCTACTTAAAATCCAGTAGATATCATGGCACTAATGCTAACACCCCTTTCCCCAAATTAATAAAACAAAAATAAAAAAAAGAAAAAGAGAAAAGAGAAAAGCAAGGTGGTTAGCCCTCCCTCCTGAAAAAAACCTTACAATGGTAGTGCTGGAAAAGGAAGTTGCCCTTGATTAAAAAGGTAACAAAATTCCCACATTGTACAAATCGGTTCCAGTATAGCAAGAGGTGAGGGCTAGGGCAGAGGAGCAAACTATGTACAAGGACCCATTGAAAACGCAGTAGTAGGACTTTGGCACTATGAACAATTCCCACCGGTCCTCTGGGAGGTGCGTCTGAGAGTCGCTGGACTTCCCGCACCCTCCAGGCACACGCGAGCTAAGTAGTTCCACTTGGAGTCACTGGCAAGGGTGGCCCATGGCTGGGGAGAGACCATCTCTTCTTTCTTCAAAGACGGAGCGTCCCGTTGATCAGCACAGCAGTTCTAACAGACTTCCCTAGAAGACACAAAACCACAGAGTCAAGATGTCAGGCAAATGACCATTGTTCCCTGGGGGGAAGGCATCATGGTTTGCTTCTTCCTGGCTCTCCTGGGTTGGGGTGGGGGCCTTCCAAAGTCATCCTGGGGCTTGGAAGAGAGACACATGCCCTTCATGTACGGGGCCTGTTGTAAAGAAACGAGTGTGTTTTCTGAGCACAGTCCGCCATAATAGGAAAAGCCTCCAGAATCAGGCCTTTGAAAACAGAGTGACTTTCTGGGCAAGTGAAGGTGGTGGCCTGTGATTCTTTTCATCCTTACAAGACCCTTTTATTATTCCTAGAAAGTCAACCAGTCCCAGTGGCTCCTAAAAGGCCCTGGAGTCAGACAAATCTGGATTTGGGTCCTAACTTCTCCCCTTAGTGGCTGCAGGGCTGTACCTATAGGACTTGATCACTCTAGGGCTTAGTTTTTGCTTCTGTATAACAGGGATGACACTAGCACCCACCTTAGAAAGTTGCTGCGATGATGCCATGCGTTGATGTACACAACAGTATTTGGACTAGTGCCTGGCACATGGTAAGTATTGTAGATACTTCTGCTGTTTTTATTAGATGGAGCCTTTTCCAAACGTGGTAGGATATAGAAGAGTGATAAGATGAGGCATTGTAAATGTGTTTTTATTTAATGTTTATATGAATTCTAAGAGGTGTAAATATTATTATTATTCTTATTTTACAGTTGAGGAAACTGAACATATAGGGGCCTAATAAGTTTCCCAAGATCACACAGCTAGTAAGTGGCAGAGCCAAGATTCAAACCCAGGTAATCTCTAGAGTCCGTGCACTTAATAAACAGAATTATTAAGAATCAGTAGGAAGAAATGTTTAATTCTTATACCCTTGGAAGTAATGAAAATAGTCCAAGGACCTTATTATAGGTGGAATGGTGTCCCCCCAAAAGTATATATTGAAGTCCTGATTCTCAGTACTTCAGAATGTTACCCTATTAGAAATGCCTTTAGAGAGGTAACACAGTTAAATCAAGTGAGAATGAGGCCATCAGGGTGGACTCTAATCCAACATGACTAGTGTCCTTACAGAAGGGGGAAATTTGGACACAGAGACAGATGTGCATAGAGGGAAGATGTGAAGACTCACACACAGGGAAGAGACCATGCGATGATTGAGGCAGATATTGGGCTGATGCATCCACAAGCTAAGGAATGCAAAAGACTGTCGGCAGACACCAGAAGCTGGGAGATGGGCACAGAACAGACTCCTGCACAGCCTTCAGAAGGAAGCAACCATCACAGACTCCCTGATTTTTGTCTTCTGGCCTGCAGAACTGTGAAACAATAAACTTCTATTGTTTTGAGC
Organism: Homo sapiens; assembly: GCF_000001405.40. Lineage (NCBI taxonomy): Eukaryota > Metazoa > Chordata > Mammalia > Primates > Hominidae > Homo > Homo sapiens. The sequence continues at coordinate 122,971,881 of NC_000008.11, read as the reverse complement.
CATCCAGTTTGCAATACTTTGTGGTAGGTAGAGGAAATGGGGGCAGGTCTCCATCATTACTTTTGTCTCCTCCCAAGATCTAGAGATCCTGGGAAAGGGATCCAAGCAAGGCTCAGGTCTCTAGAGGACACAGCCAGTATTCCATGACAGGCTAGAAGTTTTTCAGATCTGTAGGTTCTCGGAGCCACTGGCCTTTTCTTTGCCTCCCTCCTGGTAAGGCTGTTTGGCTGAGAAAGCCCTGAGAAGGAATTTTTTTTTTTTTTTTTTTTTGTACAGGGGCCAACAGCAAGGAGAGTGGACTTCTCAGCCAGAGGCATCAGCTGATCATCGATAATGCCATTCATGCCTAACATCTGGATGTTAAACGCACCCACATTCCCTAGATGCTCCTGGGAGTAAGATTGAATATTGGAGTTAAGAAACCAATTTATAAAAGAAAAGTCTGCAGATAAAACCAGATTCCAGGGGTGACCTTAGAATCTGGACTACCTAAAAGTCATCCAGCCAGAGTCACCAAGTTGTAAACACTGCAGGGATCCTTATAGGTGATGTTGTCAAGATCACTCATTTCACCAGGAAAAAAAAAAAAAAAAGGAAGCTCAGGAGGAAAAGTGCTTTCTCTTAGGCCAGGACCTGCTCAGTGGCATGGTCAAAAACAAGAATGATCATGACTCTCCCTCCAACAGTGAGAGTAGCTAGTTTCTCACACCAGGCCCCATGCTAAGTGGTAATACGGCTCATCTCATCTACTCCTTACAGTGACTGGCAGGTGATTGGCAGACCCACTTCATAGCGAAGAAATGGAGGCTTAGAGAGATTAAATGTTGTGCTTAACATTAGGTAACCAGTGAGTGGTGAAGCCCGACTCCACCTTGGCCAGTCCAACTTCAGAGCCTCCTGATTCTTAATTGCTCCTCCCTGTACCTATTTTGGGTCCAGGTCATGCACAGCCTCTCCATGCACAGAGCTAGGTAGCAATTGAAGAGAGCATGGTGGCTTCAAAGGTAGGGGGCTGGGGCACCCAGTGAGGACCACGAGCCTTATTGCTGATCCCAGGCAGAGCCACATGCACTCCCTGGGTTGGCACAGTAGCCCACGGCCAGCCTCTGCCGGTGCTTTCCAAGAAACAGGGTTTTCCCCAGCAAATGGGGACTTCCACCACCTTTGGGAGGGAGGCTGCCACTGATTGGATGTCCCCCTGAACACTTCCAGATCCTAGGAGACAAGGCCCAAGGCGGGAAGACAGCTACCGATGTTCTTTCTCCCAACCCGGCTAAAGAACGTTGGGTCAGCACAGGACTGCAGGATGGGGTGGAAAGAGCTGTGGAGTTGGAGAAAGCTGGGATCCAGGATCTGCCACTTCCTGGCTACGTGCTGAGGTTGGTTACTTAACCTCCCAGAGTCTCACTTCCATTGCACAGAGCCCACGGGCTGCTGGCAGGGTTACAGACAGGGTGCAAAGCAAGCAGGCTGACCCCCCCATCCGCTCCCTGTGGAGTCTGGCCCATGCAGCATACTCAACAGGCATTTGTCAATGAATGGAAAATGGAAAGTGAGCATAGTGCTGTCAGAGGAGTGGCTGTGACCCAAGGGTGGTGACAAAGTCCACATTTCAGGATTGCTGTTCTATAGAGCATTGCAGTGCTTTGGGCTGTGTGGCTCTTGCTAACTCCCCTGGGCTTCTCTCAGAGTCCTATTACCTGGTCAGAGACAGTCACCCAGCAAAGGGCCAGTGCCTCATCCTAGAGTACCTCTCAGAGCCCTGGAGGATGCTGCAAGGCCATCGGACAGGCATTTCCTTATGGCCTCTGGGACATTTCTACCACGTGATGTCCAGGCTCTCGGTGAACACGTCCCAGGACAGGAACCCACTGCCTCCCACCCTCCCTTTCTGTCTTGGGGAAAACCTGGAATGTTAAGAAGTACTAATTCTTTAGCAAAATCTGCTTCTCTGTTACTTTCCTCATTGGAGAAACAAAAACATTAGAATTGTTTTCCCATGTGACAGCTTTCTGTTTCTGTCTCTCTTTAATTTTCCCAGGAGAACTTTCTCTAGGGCCCTAGGGACTTGGGAGTGAGTAACACTGCACTCCAGGAGAAAGGAAAACAAACACTGAGAGAGTGATTGATTATCTCTCCATAACATTTTTTTTGAGAGGTGTAGCAAGGTTTATTGCTCATTTGCCGAGTGCCTGTTATCTGCTAAACATTTTGTTCCATTGTCATCTGGCTTCTATTTTTGATACGGACAAACCTGTCAGTTTAACTGTAGTTTCTCTGTAGGCAACGTCTTTTCTTTCTGGTTGCATTTTTTCCCTCTTTGCCCTAGCTTTATTGACGTATAACTCGTTTGCAGAAAGCCGCACATAATGGATGTAATTTAGTGAGTTTGGGCATATGCATACACTCATGTTACTGTCACTACAATCCAGTAACAAACATAAAGTTTGCTTGTGTCTATTTTTGGGGGGGGCAGTGGGGAGGTAAGGATATAACATGAGATCTGCCCTCTGAACACATTTTGAAGTAAATATCTTCCTATTAACTACAGGCACTATGTTGTACAACATACCTCCAGAAGTTACTCATCTGTATAACTGCAACTTTACACCCATTGTATGAAAATTCCCCACATCCCCCTGCCCCATCCCCTGGTCAACATCACTCCACTGTCTATTTCTGTACTGCTCCATAATATTTCTCTCTCTCTCTTTTTTTTTTGAGACAGAGTCTTGCTCTGTCACCCAGGCTGGAGTGCAGTGGCATGATCTTGGCTCACTGCAATCCCCACCTCCTGGGCTCAAGCAATTCTCATGCCTCAGCCTCCCGAATGGCTGGAACTACAGGTGTGTGCCACCACACCCGGCTCTAATTTTTGTATTTTTAGTACAGGTGGGATTTCACTATGTTCGCCAGGCTGGTCTCGAACTCTTGGCCTCAAGTGATCCACCTGGCTTTGCCTCCCAAAATGCTGAGATTACATGCGTGAGCCACTGTGTCTGGTCTGCTTCATAATATTTCTTTTTCTTTTTTTTTTTTTCCAAGATGGAGTCTTGCTCTTGCTGCCCAGGCTGGAGTTCACTGGTGCAATCTCAGCTCACTGCAACCTCTGCCTCCCAGGTTCAAGTGATTCTCCTGCCTCAGCCTCCCAAGTAGCTGGGATTATAGGCGCTCACTACCATGCCTGGCTAATTTTTGTATTTTTAGTAGAGATGAGGTTTCACCATGTTGGCCAGGCTGGTCTTGAACTTGTGACCTCAGGTAACCCACCCGCCTTGGCCTCCCAAAGTGCTGCGATTACAGGCATGAGCCACCGTGCCTGGCCTGCCTCATAATATTTGAGTTCAAACTTTCATTTCTTTTATTGAGGGTAGGGGGCACAGTCTGATTTTTAACTAGAATTTAAAAAGGGGAAATGTGTTGGACTGGAGGAAGATTAAGCAACTTCCCAGTGGATGACAAAAACTCCGTGCCATCCCAAATTGTCTGTACACCAGGCTTGAGTCAGTTTTGGCCACATCCCGCCAAAGCTCTCCTTCCCTGCGTGGTTTGAAGGGCCTCTAGGGTTGGGGAACTTGCTGAGACCCACAGGCCAGGTATATATTCCTCAAGCTGCTTGCAGGGAGGCTCAGAGACAGTAGGAATGCCTTTCCTGCTCCTGGCCTATCAGTGCATATTGGCCAGGGGAATTTAATAGAACCAGAGCAAATGGAATTGTATTTTAAACTCACTGGGCAGATTCCCCAAAGTGCTTACATGTGTGGGTGTAGGGGTGGATTTGAATTCCAGCTCCACCACTTTTTACCTCAAAGACTTGCACGAGCTACCTTTCTGCACCGCCTTCTCATCAGCCCTAAATAAAGAAACTAACATGAAGCCCTGCCCAAGGAGAGTCTGAGCTCAGACTCGCCTAACCCTGCCCCCACCTGATGGTTTGTCTCTACCTGCCCTGGTAGCTGAAGAAAAAAGACATAATCTTTTGGAAGTTCTGTGGTCCTGTCCATTGCCTAAGAAACCCGAGTACTCATCCTGGCCAATGTAGGGCAGAATTATATCCCCTTCTACTACTGCAGCTGGCGCTTTCCTGAAAGCACCACCTCCCGGCTGGAGGCCAACCAACTCAAGCCATTACAGCAACTCATAACAGAACAACCTTGCTTCAAAGGAGCAAACAACAGCTAATGCCACTGCCTGCAACATCCTGGCTAACCAGAGGTCCTGAGTCTGTCCATGTGGCAATTTTACTGCTGGTGTAACCAGCATTTGAGAAAACCACTGCACTAAACAAAACTACAACCAAGGACTCCCAGAGTCCACTTCACTCCCATGCCACCTCCACTGGAGCAGGTGCTGGTATCCAAGACTGGGAGACCTGAAGATGGATCATATCACAGGACTCTTTACAGACATTCCCCAGCACCAGCCTGGAGCCCAGCAGCCCCACTGGGTGGCTAGACCCAGAAGGGCAATAATTACCACTGCAGTCTGGCTCTCAGGAAGCCCCATCCCTAGAGAAAGGGGGAGAGCAACACATCAAGGGATCACCCCATGGGACAAAAGAACCTGAACAGCAGCCCTTGAGTTCCAGATGTTTCCACTGAAACAGTCTACCTAAATGAGAAGGAAACAGAAAAGTAATTCTGGTAATATGATAAAACAAGGTTCTAAAACACTCCCATAAGATCACACTGGCTCTCTAGCAACGGACTCAAACCAAGATGAAATCTGAATTGCCAGAAAAAGAATTCAGAAGGTTCATTATTCAGCTACTCAAGGAGGCACCAGGAAAAGGTGAAAACCAATTTAAAGACATTGAAACAACAATACAGGATATGGATGAAGTCTCTAGAGAAACAGATATCATAAAGAAAAGACAGTCACAACTTCTGGAAATGAAAGACACATTTAGAGAAATGCAAAATACACTGGAAAGTTTTAACAACAGGATCAAACAAGTAGAAGAAATAGCTTTAGAGCTTGAAGACAAGGCTTTTGAATTAACCCAACTTGACAGAGACAAAAACTAATTAAAAAAAATGAACAAAGCCTCCAAGAAATTTGGGATTACGTGAAATGACCAAACATGAGAATAATGGTGCTTCTGAGGAAGAAGAGAAATCTTAAAGTCTAGAAAATTTATTTGAGGGAATAATCAAGGAAAACTTCCCTGGTCTTGCTAGAGATCTAGATATCCAAATACAAAAAGCTCAAAGAACACCCAGGAAATTGATCACAAAAAGATCATCACCTAGGCACATGGTCATCAGGTTATCTAAAGTCAAGATGAAGGAAAGAATCTTAAGACCTGTGAGGCAAAAGCATCAGGTAACCTATAAAGGAAAACCTATCAGATTCACAGCAGATTTCTCAGTAGAAACCCTGCAAGCCAGAAGTGACTGGGATCCCATCTTTAGCCTCCTTAAACAAAATAATTACCAGTCAAGAATTTTGTATCCAGTGAAACTAAGTTTGATAAATGAAGGAGATATAAAGTCTTTTTCAGACAAACAAATACTGAGAGAATTCACCACTACCAAAGCAGTGCTACAAGAAATGCTAAAAGGAGTCCTAAACCTTAAAACAAAACCCCAAAATACACTAAAATAGAACCTTCTTAAAGCATAAATCTCATTGGACCTATGAAACAGTAACACAGTGAAAAAAAAACCAAGGTATTCATGCAACAACTAGAATGTGAATAGAACAGTACCTCACATCTCAATGCTAACACTGAATGTAAATGGCCTAAAGGCTCCGTTTAAAATATACTGAATTGCAGAATGGATAAAAATCTACCAACCAAGTATCTGCTGTCTTCAAGAGACTCACCTAACACATAAGGATTCACATAAACTTAAGGTAAAGGAGTGGAAAAAGATATTCCATGCAAATGGAAACCAAAAGTGGGCAGGACTAGCTATTCTTATAGCAGACAAAACAGACTTTAAAGCAACAACAGTTAAAAAAGACAAAGAGGGACATTATATAATGATAAAAGAAGTAGTTCAATACAAAAATATTACAATCCTAAATGTATGTGCACATAGTACTAGAGCTCCCAAATTTATAAAACAATTACTACTAGACCTAAGAAATGAGATAGACAGCAACTCAATAATAGTGGGGACTTCAACACTACACTGACAGCACTAGACAGGTCATCAAGATGGAAAGCCAACAAAGAAACAACAGACGCAAACTACACCGTAGAACAAATGGGCTTAACAGATATTTTCCGAATGTTCTACTCAACAACTGCAGAATATACATTATTTTCATCAGCACATGGAACATTCTCCAAGACAGACCATATGATAGGCCACAAAACAAGTCTTAATAAATTTAAGAAAATTGAAATTATATCAAGTACTCTCTCAGACTACAGTGGAATAACATTGGAAATTAACTCCGAAAGGAACAGTCAAAATTATACAAATACGTGGAAGTTAAATGATACGCTCTTGAATGATCCTTGGGTCAACAATGAAATCAAGATGGAAATTAAAAAATTATTTGAACTGAACAATAATAGTGATGCAACTGATCAAAACCTCTGGGATACAGCAAAAGCAGTGCCAAGAGGAAAGTTCATAGCATTAAGTGTCTACAATCAAAAAGTCTAAGAGCACAAATAAACAGCCTAAACTCACACCTCAAGAAACTAGAGAAACAAGAACAAACCAAACCCAAACCCAGCAGAAGAAAAGAAATAACAAAGATTAGAGCAGAACCAAATGAAATTAAAAGAAAAAAACAACTCAAAAGATAAATGAAACAAAAAGCTGGTTCTTTGAAAAGATAAACAAAATTGATAGACCACTTGTGAGATTAACCAAAAAAAAAAAAAACAGAAGAGAGAAGATCCAAATAAACTCAATTAGAAACAAAATAGGAGATATTACAACCAATACCATAGAAATACAAAAGATATTCAAGGTTTCTATGAACACCTTTATGAGCATAAACTAGAAAACCTAGAGGAGATAAATAATCCTGGAAATATACAACCTTCCTAGATTAAACCCAGAAGAAACAGAAACTCTTAACAGACAAATAACAAGTAGCAAGACTGAAAGAGTAATAAAAAAATTGCCAACAAAAAAAAGTCCAGGACCAGGTGGATTCACAGCTGAATTCTATCAGACATTCAAAAAAAAGAATTGATACCAATCCTACTGAAACTATTGCAAAAGATAAAAAAGGAATCCTCCCTAAATCCTTCTACGAAGCCAGTATCACCTAATACCAAAATCAGGAAAGGATGTAACAAAAGAAAAATAAAACTACAGACCAATATCCCTGATGGACATAGATGCAAAAATCCTTAACAAAATACTAGCTAACTGAATTCAAAAGCATACCAAAGAGATAATCCACCATGATCAAGCGGGTTTTATACCAGGGATGCAGGGCTGGTTTAACATACACAAGTCAAATGTGATACACCACATTAAAAAAAAGTGAAAACAAAAATCATATGATCATCTCAATAGATGCAGAAAAAGCATTTGACAAAATCCAGCATCCCTATATGATTAAAACCCTCAGCAAAATTGGCATAGAAGGGACACACCTTGAGGTAATAAAAGCCATCTATGACAAACCCACAGCCAACATTACATTAAATGGGGAAAAGTTGAAAGTAGTTCCCCTGAAAACCGGAACAAGACAAAGATGTCCACTTTCCCCACTTTTATTCAACACAATACCAGAAGTCCTAGCCAGAGCAATCAGACAAGAGAAAGAAATAAAGGGCATACAAGTTAAGGAAGTCAGACTGTTGCTGTTTGCTGACTATGTTGATTATATACCTAGAAAACCCTAAAGACTCATCCAAAAAGCTCCTAGATCTGATAAATGAATTCAGTGTTTCAGAATACAAAATCAATGTACACAAATCAGTGGCACTACCATACACCAATAGCAACCAAGCTGAGAGTCAAATCAAGAACTCAACTATTTTTATAACAGGTGCAAAAAAACAAACAAACAAAGAAACAACAACAAAAAAAACCCAACTTAGGAATATACCTAACAAAAGAAGTGAAAGATCTCTACAAGGAAAATTATAAAACACAGCTGAAATAAACCATAGATGACACAAACAAATGGAAACACATCCCATGCTCATGGATGGGTAGAATTAATATTGTGAAAATGACCATACTACCAAAAGCAATCTATAAATTCAATGCAATTCCCACCAAAATACCATCATCATTCTTCATAGAACTAGAAAAAACAATCTTAAAAGTCATATGAAACCAAAAAAGAGCCCGTATAGCCAAAAGCAAGACTAAGCAAAAAGAACAAATCTGGGGGCATCACATTACCTTACTTCAAACTATATTACAAGGCTATAGTTACCAAAACAGCATAGTACTGGTATAAAAACAGGCACATAGACCAATGGAACAGGATAGAGAAAATATATATAAAGCCAGATACTTACAGCCAATTGATCTTTGACAAAGCAAACAAAAACATAAAGTGGGGAAAGGACACCCTATTCAATAAATGGTGCTGGGATAATTGGCTAGCCTCATGTAGAAGAATGAAACTGGGTCCACATCTCTCACCTTATACAAAAATCAACTCAAGATGAATAAAAGACTTAAATCTAAGACGTGAAGTCATAAAAATTCTCCAAGATAACATCAGAAAAACTCTTCTAGACATTGGCCTAGGCAAAGAGTTCATGACCAAGAACCCAAAAGCAAATGCAGCAAAAACAAAGATAAATAGATGGGACTTAATTAAACTAAAAAGCTTCTGCACAGAAAAAGAAATAATCAGCAGAGTAAACAGACAACCCACAGAGTGGGAGAAAATATTCACAAACTACGCATCTGACAAAGGACTAATATCCAGAATCTACAAGGAACTCAAACAAATCACCAAGAAAAAACAATCCCGCATAAAGTGGGCTAAAGACATGAATAGACAATTCTCAAAAGAAGATATATGAATGGCCAAAAAAAACATGAAAAAAATGCTCAACATCACTCATTATCAGGGAAATGCAAATCAAAATCATAATGCAATACTACCTAACTCCTGCAAGAATGGCCATAATTAAATAACCAAAAAATAATAGATGTTGGCATGGATGTGATAAAAAGGGAACACTTTTACAATGCTGGTGGAAATGTAAACTAGTACAACCACTATGAAAAACAGTATGGAGAGTCCTTAAAGAACTAAAAGTAGAACTACCATTTGATCCAGCAATCCCACTACTGGGTACCTACCCAGAGACAAAGAAGTCATTATATGAAGAAGACACTTGCACACGCATGTTTATAGCAGCAAAATTCACAGTTGCAAAAATATGTAACGAGCCTAGATGCCCATCAACCAACAAGTGGATAAAGAAAATGTGGTATGTATATACCATGGAATACTACTCAGCCATAAAAAGGAATGAAATAATGGCATTCACAGCAACCTGGATGGAGTTGGAGACCATTATTCTAAGTGAAGTAACTCAGGAATGGAAAACCAAACATCATATGTTCTCACTCACAAGTGGGAGCTAAGCTATGAGGAAGCAAAGGCATAAGAATGACATAATAGACTCTGGGGACTTCAGGGGAAGGATGAGAGGGGGGTCAGGGATAAAAGAGCACACATTGGGTGCAGTGTACACTGCTCGGGTGATAGGTGCACCGAAAGCTCAGAAATCACACCTAAAGAACTTATCCATGTAACCCAACACCACATGTTCCCCCAAAACTATTAAAATAGTTTGGAGTGTGACTGTGAGAATGAGATGAGTCAGCACATGCACAGTGCCTGAGCAGGCCTGGAACAGTGAGTGCTCAGCAGTGCTACCCTGTGTCACAGCCCCAGACACCCCCAGCCCAACCCCTCCTGAGATGCAATTAACACCCACTGGCATGAACATGTGGGGCCCCAACAGAAAAGGTCAACTTGGAAAGGCAAGAAGCAGGGGGCCAAGTTCTTCTCCATATAGAGAGCAGTAAGCAAGTTGAGATGCAGTATCTATTGGTACTAATGCTAGAACCCTGCTCTAGGGGTGATATTGTTAGGCTTTGTGTCCCCACCCAAATCTCATCTTGAATTGTAATCCCCATAATCCCCATGTGTCAAGGGAGAGACCAGGTGGAGGTAATTGAATCATGGGGGTGGTTTCCCCCAAGCTGTTCTCCTGATAGTGAGTGAGTTCTCATGAGATCTGATGGTTTTATAAGGGGCTCTTCCCTCTTTCCTCAGCACTTCTTCCTGCCACCTTGTGAAGAAGGTGCCTTGCTTCCCCTTCGCCTTCCGCCATGATCGTAAGTTTCCTGAGGCCTCCCCAGCCATGCTGAACTGTGAGTCAATTAAACCTCTTTCCTTTATAAATTACCTAGTCTTGGGCAGTTCTTTATAGCAGTATGAAAACAGCCTAATACAAGGGGCTTTCATTTATATTATCTCACTTAATCCTGACAAATACAGACAACTGTTTGTAAGCATTATGAACAGAATTATATCCCCCCTAAATTCATATGTTGAAGCCGTAATCTCTAAGGTGACTGTATTTGGAGATAGTGCCTTTAAGGAGGTAACTAAGGGTGGGGTAATTAAGTCCTAATCTCATAGGACTGGTGTCCTTACAAGAAAAAGAAGAGACACCAGCCATGTGAACACACAGAGCAAAGACTATGTGAGGACACAGTGAGAAGGTGGGTGTTGGCAAGCTACGAAGAGAGGCCTCACCAGAAACTAACCCTGCTGGTGTCCTGAGCTTGAACATCTAGTCTCCAGAACTGTGAGAAAATAAATTTCTGTTGTTTAAGTGACCCAGCCTGTGACATTCTGTTCTGGCAGCCTTAGCTGACTAATACAGTAAGTATTAAGGTTATAGAAAGAATAAAGTAAAATGTATAGGCATGTGGGTGCTCTAGAATTTTCCACCATCCAGCCTCCATTTTCCACTAGGGCAGATGGGTCTGAATGCCCAGGACATTTGCAAGTTGGTTTTCCTTTTGCTCCTTCCTTGAGTAGCTCAGAGGGCATCAAACTTTCTCTAGGGTTATGGACAATGAACCATGTCATCTCCTTTACTGGTGAGACAGAGGAATTTCAAGGGAAATTTTGATTATATGTGAGTCCACCTAACGCTCTGGCTTTTAACCTCTGCACTTCTGTGAAGTGTGAACCCAGGCAAGTCATGCCCACCATGGCCACCTTTCAGTTCCCCTTGAGTATGTTGTTTCTTCTGTCTGGAATATTCTTCCCCTCCTCTCTGCCCAGCATGCTCCTGCATGTTGGTCTAACCCTTTGGTTTTCAATCCATCCATTACTTCTTCTTCTTATTTACTTATTTATTATTATTTTTGAGATGGAGTCTTGCTCTGTGCCCCAAGTTGGAGTGCTGTTGTGCGATCTCGGCTCACTGTAACCTCCACCTCCTGGGTTCAAGCGATTCTCCTGCCTCAGCCCCACAAGTGGCAGGGACTACAGGCATGCACCACTATACCAAGCTAATTTTTGTATTTGTAGTAGAGACAGGGTTTCACCATGTTGGCCAGGTTTGTGCGAAGTCCTGACCTCAGGTGATCTGTGTGACTCAGCCTCCCAAAGTGCTGGGATTACAGGTATGAGCCACTGTGCCTGGCCCCATTACCTCTTTAGGGAGTGTCCCCTAAACCTTAAATCTGCTATTTAAACCCTCAAATTCCCATATTCTATACTCTAACGGCACCAAAGAACATGTCAGTGTAGCAACTTTCATTTTTGTTTGATTAAAGATTGGTTAAAACTTCATTTCCCATTAGACCAAGGGCTCCATGAGGGCAGGGACATGCTGGGCACACTGCCTTCCAGAGCCCGGCACACTGCAGACATTCCACAAATACTTGATGGATGAATGAACCAAATCACTTATTAGGAATGTCTCTGGGCTAGTGACTTCATCTCCCTGGGACCTACATCCTTCCTCTGAAAATGAGGGGGCTGGATTTCATGGTGGCTAAGCCTCCACAAGTCACCCAAAGCACAGTGAGAATTCCTAGGGTGAGAAGCTCCAGAATTAAGTAAGTGGAAGTGGTATCAGTTAACTCCCTGTTAGGCATGAGGGAAGTCAGACTAACGGGCAGTCCCTGAGAAGCATCACCAGTAAATATCTGGTGACAGATTCTCCAACAGGCCTTTCTCTTGAGCTTTTCATACACAGGAAGCAAACTGTATCCAATCCCTCTCCTCTCGCTGCTGTCAACCATTGGAGCTAATGAGTGATGGGAAAAAAATGAGGACAAGCAAAAGGATTGAAATACCAGATCCCAACTATCTTTTAAAATTCTCTGGTTCGTTCAATAAACCGTTATTCAGCATCTGCTCTGAATCTAAACTAGGGATTCAGAGATTAATGATATATGGTCCCTGCCGGTAAGGGTCTGGTACAGGAGAGAGGGAAACAGTCGACAACAATATTTTCATTCATTCACTCATTAATTAATTAGTTAATTAATTCGTTCGTTCATTCATTCATTCAAATATCTGCATTTGGACAGCTAATCTGAACAGAGTGTGAGGGCATACCTCTTCTGGATCTTAAATTGTAACCAGAATGCAATGCTTAGCAGCCTTAAAAATTTTAACCAAGCCGAACCATGGAAAATACCTTTCTGACATTTCACAATTTTTTCCTCTTCTCCAAAGTCATCCCTAATCATCAGGAGTTGGAAACTGTTGACAGAAATCAGGAGGCAGCGAAGGTGGTGGCTGGAGCTTTGGAGTCAATTTTAGACACTGGCTGAGTGAACTCTGGCAGGTTCCTGAGCCTCAGAATTCTTTGTTTAAAATAAATGGGAAGGTGGCTTGCACATGTAGGTTGGTGGGAAGGTTCTGAATCAGACAACATGTTGGAAAAGCCACCTCTCCCCCTCCTAGCTCCTCTGGTTTCTGTGTGCACTACTCTCATGAAACAGGTGTTTCTATGTCCATTTCTCACCTTTATTAACTGAGATTAGGTAGGGGCTGTGTCTTGGACATTCTGGCAAATCTACACAGACTAGCACAGGGCCTAGCACAAAGAGGGCTCTCTAAAGTTCTTGCTGAATGAATACATTGTGGATTAGTTTCCACTCCCACACAAAATCAAGAAATGACCACACTCTGTTTGTTCTGGGCTATGCTGGTGGTGCCACTGTTGGAGAGGGCAGGGCCATAGTGGCTGGGGTCAGGCACTGGCCTGACAGTTGAGAGGTGGCCTCCAAGGTCTTCCAGCTGTTGGCTGAGGAACATAAGGCAAGTTACTCATTTTCTCTGGCCCTCAGTTTTGCCCTCTATAAAATGGGGACAAGGCTGTACCTACCTCACAGGGTGGGCATGAAGTTGAAGTGACTTAGTAGACGTGCTTAGAAGGCAGCTGAGCACACAGTGGGTGTCAATTAATGGGAACCCTCACTAGCAATAGTAACGGAATATTCCATTTGACCAAACATCAAGGCTGATGTCTGACAATGTCTTGCTCAAGTACGTTGACTCATTTTTCTGAAAAAATAAGTCTAATTTTCAGCCTTTTCCTAGGACAGGTCCCTCAATGGAATGGCTCAAACATTGTTCAGACACAGGGACTGAATCAAGACAACACAATTCAAAGGCTGGGAAGTATTCCTTATCTTTGTGTCTAACCTCAGGGCCGAGGTGAGCCTGGACTGAGTCAAATGCTGTCCTAAGCTTTGCAGAGGTTAGAGAGATTTGGTTGCAGGAGATGCTTAACGCCTACAGAGGAAATCTAGTCCTAGAGCCAGCTCTCAGCTGCTTGCTCAAGTTCCTCCCCCTTCACCCTCTTGTGCATCACATAACACTTTTTATAAAGTCAAAACCATGAATTATTTCAGGATTATTATGTGTCATAACTGAACTGAACTGCAGGTTCCTAAATAAATAAGTATTTAAATAGGGACATCACTGAATATTTATGAATTCAAGAGACTCATGTGTTTGGTTCATGAAAACTGTGAAGCAATTTGGAGAGATTTTTTTTCCCTTTAAATTGAAAGATTCCTTTAAGGAGTGCCTCTGTCCAGGATGTGGGAGAACTTTCAATGCCACCCCTAGTGCAGAAGGCAGCCCCTTTCTCAATACCATGGAACTCCAATGGTGGGGCGCGGTGGCTCCTGCCTGTCATCCCAGCACTTTGGGAGGCTGAGGCAGATGGATCACCTGAGGTCAGGAGTTTGAGACCAGCATGGCCAACATGGTGAAACCCCACCTCTACTAAAAAAAATAGAAAAATTAGCTGGGTATGGTGGCACGTGCCTGTAGTTCCAGCTACTTGGAAGGCTGAGGCAGGAGAATCGCTTGAACCTGGGAGGCGGAGGTTGGGGTGAGTTGAGATGGCACCACTGTACTCCAGCCTGGGCCACAGAGGAAGACTCCATCTCAAAACAAAACAAAACAAAACAAAACAATGGACCTCCAAAATATCAGGGAGCCATCAGAGATATCTGATGTTGCCACACGTGGAACAGATCTTAGCATCCTGTTTAGGGATGTTTTCTAGCTCACAGGTGGGGCATTTACCATAATTAAACATAAAGTGGGGTTCCTGCATGTTTTTTTTTTTTTTTTTTGTGAACACAGCTAGTCCCTGTCCTGAGAACGGGGGTATACTAGAAATGGAGAATTTCTGTCAGAAATAATGAGGTAAAGATGGCAGGAGGAAGAGTGAGGACTCTGGAGACAAACTCATGTGTTGGCTGGGTGAATGTGGGTAAGTTCTTTGGTTTCTGAGTCTGTTTCTGGGTTTATAGAGAAGCTACCTCCCTAGGAGAATTAAGTAAGACCATGTATAGTCAGAGAACCTACCTCGACCTCTGCTATTCAGGCGACCTTCGTTCATCATTCCATCCTTCCTCCCCAAAGGTTTTCTGTATGGTTTTAACATTCCCTCCCTCATTACTGTCTTCTTTGGGCCACTGGGGCATCAGGCAGGATAACATCCCACCCCCATGTGCATTTTCAACTGGTGGTGGTGGTATTAGCTTGGGAGAGAAGAGATGGGGACCGGGGCCTCTGGAGAACCGCCGCCCCTAGACAACCTCCCACTCAGCCATGGGGACTGGAAGTGCCATCTGAGCTTACCTTGGGATACAGAGACACTAAGCATCTTTCTATTCAAATTCAGCAAACATAACTCGTTCAGAATAGCTTGTCTGTTATGGAAAACCATTGAGTTTGCTTTCAGTTTGCCTCCTCTTATCCTTTACCGAACCCAAACTCTACCTTTTGGCTATGCCCAACCTCTTTTGGTTTCTCACCAGTGGCATTCCTTTTCTTGTCTCTGGACTTTGGCCTGTGCTGCTTCTTCCATGTGGACCCCTCTTTCCCTTGTCTGTGCACTTGGCTAACTCCTTCTCATCCCCTGAGTCAGATGTCCCTTCCTCCAAGAAGCTCCCTAACCCCCTACCTAGGTGTTCCTCCTCTGAGCCCTGACCCAGAGCCGTGCCCTTCCCCATCGTAACACATATCACACTGATGAGTAAAGGAAAATGCGATTTCCTCTCTCCTTGGCCTGCCCGAGCTCCACAGTGAATGGGTACTGTGTTGTCTGTCTCTCTCATGGCACTGTTTCTAGCTCCTGGAGTAGCAGCAGGCATACAGTAGGTGCTCAGAAGGTACTGTTGAATGGAACTGAACCCTATTGTCCTCTCTGGGGTGGGAGGAAAAAGCAACCATGTAGACACGTGTCATGGATGGGAAAAGATCAAGGATAGAAGATGGGAGGTCGGGCGTGGTGGCTCACGCCTGTAATCCCAGCACTTTGGGAGGCCAAGGTGGGTGGATCATCTGAGGTCAGGAGTTTGAGATCAGCCTGGCCAACACGGCAAAACCCCGTCTCTACTAAAAATATGAAAATTAGCCGGGTGGGGTGGCGCATGCCTGTAATCCCAGCTACTCGGGAGGCTGATGCAGGAGAACTGCTTGAACCCAAGAGGTGGAGGTTGCAGTGAGTTGAGATCGTGCCATTGCATTCCAGCCTGGGCAACAGAGTGAGACTCTGTCTCAAAAAAAAAAAAAAAAAAAAAAATCACTCCCTCATTTTAATGAGGGAGGTATGGGCTAGACTGGTAGGTTCTTCTAAGGTGGGAGAATGGCCAGAGGTGGCCAGGTAGAGGTGGGAAGTTGCTGTCATTGTGACCTCAGTACACTTCTATCCCCTTCCTTTCACTCACGCCCTCCCCTTTGGGTTGTGCCCACACCCTTGACACACAGGCATTTCCTCCTGCAAGTGGGAGGAGAAAGGAGAATGGAACATGATGGCATTCTGGGATTGGCTGCTCGTTAAAGTGCTCTTTTAATAGCGGATGGAACTGGCTAAAACAAGGTTTCTAGAGAATTTCATTTATTTGTCAGCTGCCTCATTTTATTAGTGAATCAATGAGTTAATGAGCGACGTGGTCAGCCAAAGTTGTCCAAGTTCATTAAGACAGAGGTGTGGTAATTTCCAGGGCTGCCTTTGGGACCTTATCAATCATTCTGGAGGTTCTTACCTTTATTTTATATTTTGTAAAGATAACTTGGGAGGCCCATTCCGTGGTATTTTAAGTGACCTCTGGAGAAGCCTACCTGGGCAAATCGTGCATCTTCCTCCTTGTAATATTTGCTTTCCCTCCCACCAGCCCTCCCCCTGCCACTGCCCCCATTTCTCAACTCACCACCAAGCTGCTGTGCTTCAGGCCTCGATTTGCACTGACCTCTTAGGAAGCAGAATACCAAGGGCTTCAGTGGCATGTCCCATTATGGGGATGACATGGCCATTAGTAACCATGGAAACCGCCCTGCCACCCCCCCCCCCCCGGCTTATGTGACTCTACAGGCCTAATTTACACCCGGCTCTTCCAGATTTGAAGGGGTTATGGGGACCCAAGCACAGTGGCACCTTCCTTTTGCCCTGACAAGGCAAATATCAAGCACTTTCAAAGCCTTTTCAGATTAGAAGAAATAAGCTCAGGTCTTTGATTCAGTAAACTTGGATATGTATTCTTAAAAAATCCAAAAAGAAAAGGGGGGAAAAAAAAAAAGAAACAACCTCTTCATGTTTGGTGTTTTTACAGCAACAAACACAAAACACACAGAGGGAGGATGTGTTTTCTAACAGTCAAAACTAACCTTCAGAATGGACAGGCCTGAAGGCTGGAGCCCAAACAGGCCACAGCCAGCGGTGCTGCCCCCTGGGCACAGCCTTACAAATGAGGACGTAGGTTCCATCAGCCCCCATTTTTCTTCTTTTTTCAAAGAACCTTTACAAATAACTCATCAGCCGGGCTCAGTGGCTCATGCCTGTAATCCCAGCACTTTGGGAGGCAGATGCAAAGGAATTCCTTGAGTCCAGGAGTTTGAGACCAGCCTGGGCAACAAAGTGAGACCCCGTCTCTACCAAAATATTAAAATATTAGTTGGGTGTGGTGGCAGATGCCTGAAGTCCCAGCTACTTGATAAGCTGAGGGGGGAGGATCGCTTGGGCCCAGGAGTTTGAGGCTACAATGACCTATGATCGAGCCACTGCACTGCAGCCTGGGTGGCAGAGCAAGACTCTGTCACTAAAAACAAAACAAAACAAAACACCAAAACCAAAACCAGACCCTTCCACTACAAGAATAAGTATGTGAGGTAATGCATACGGGAATCAGCTTAACTGAGCCATCCCACTAGGTAAACATATTTCAAAACATCATATTGTATGTGATCAATATACATCATTCTTATTTGTTAATTACAAGAAAAAGACGCCACCATCTGTGTCAACATCTCTGTACCCTACAATCTATATTAACCCTGGCAACGAAAAGAAAGCAAGCTGCGTTCTCCCCTGCTGCCTGGGTGAGCAGGTGGAATTACCTGTCTAGGCCTGGCCAGCCTCTGCAGGGACGCAGTCGGAGTCTGATTCAGCCAGTTCCGACACACCTTCTGCCGCAGCCTGACTCCAGCTATCTGATCTATCTGAGATCGCATCCTCCTCCCCGACCGTCACCTCCACGTAATCCACAACGCTCGACTCCTCGTTCTCGTCGCTACCCTGGCCGTCCCGGCTGCTGCCCTCTGACCGGTCTGAGGTGGCCTCTGAGGGCTTTGCTGGCAAACAGTCTTTTGCTGGCTCGCTGCCTACTTTTACCCTGGTCACCAACTTCTCCAAGTCCTCTTCGCAGAGCTTTTTGGGGTCCTTGTAATATTGTGGAACCACATCACCCCCGTTCTTTGGGCTCTCGGCCATGGGTTTTGTTGCTTTCCTTGCTACGGCATCGTAGCCGTGATCATCTGCCATGGGCTGGTGCTGGTACTGCTCCATCCACTTCACGGTTCCCGTTTTCAGCAAGCATCTGTTCTCCTTGAACCAACGCACAATCTCAGTTCGGACCAGGCCAGTCTTGGCCGCTAACTGGTCGTACTCCTGGGGAGTAGGCCACTGGGTTCTTGCAAACGTGCTCCTCAGGAGATGAACCTGTTCTTGACTTTTTGCAATTGCTGGCGAAGGGCTGGGCAGAGAACTTGTTAACTGGGCACCGGAGAGCTGGTCGAGTCGAGACAGAGCACCATTGGGGGCTCCCACATCTTGGCCTTTTTTGCCAGACCCCATGGAATCCAAGACAGCTTGTTCCATGCTGTCTCGAAGCTTCCGCCTCTCCGAGAACCAGGAGTCGATCTCTCTCCTGCTCAGCTTGGTCTCCACCCTTAGCCGATCCAGTTCTGCTTGGGTAGGAAAAGAACTTTTCAAAAAGCTGTCTTCCAAGATTTTAACCTGACCCTGTGTTTTCTCTTTGAACTTCTGGGGGGCAAAGTCTGGGTACGCATGATACGTGCGACCGTGTCGGGAGGCCGCGATGGCCAACTGGTCTTTGGCAAGGGATTCGCTGGTGATGTGGACGATGCCCCTTTGACACCGATATCGGTGGTCACTGAACCACTTCTTGATCTCGCTCCTGGCAAGGCCAGTCACCTCGATGAGCCGGTAAACCTCGGCATCGTCAGGGAACTGGCTCTGGAGAAAGCTGGCCTTGAGATGTGCTATCTGCTCCTTTGTCTTCTTGCGGTCACTGGCTGGTGTGAGCGGGGGGTTGGCCACCTTGGGTGGGGGCTCTGGCACCTGAGCGATGTGTGGACGCTTGGGTTCGGGGGCAGCTTGGGGAGTCACCAAGGGTCTCTTCTGGCCATGGTTGGTGACTCCTGCCACGGCAAGTGTGATGGGGGAGCAAGAGACGGTTGTTGACCCGCTGGTCACCTGAGTCAGCACCAGGCTAGTCTGGCCGAGGATCTGGCACGGTAGAGCCGTCTGGAGGATGGGCTGCGTCACCTTTGTGGGGGCCAACTGGGCGGGCAGCACAGTGATGGTCGGGGGTACTGACTGGATGGTGCCGTTGAACATCTTCTTCCGGGCCTCCTCCACCTCTTCTGGGGACCAGCTGATGCCATGCTTTAAGCGCTGGGTGGCAAACCAGATTCTGATGTGCTCCTCTGGGTGTTTGGAGGCAGCTGTCAGCCAGGACAACTCAGCCTGGGTCGGGTAAGGAAACTTGTTGAAAGAGTTGATCATCGTGGCATTTGTATCCAGGGCAGAGTTGTATTTGGTAGTATTTAGTGGGACAGGGACCTTGGGCACAAGGTTGATATTTGGTGGCAGCTGTACAGAAGGCATGACGTGTCCTAATGTGTCTTGGAGGAGCTCCACCCCGCCGAGTCTCGAGAGGATCTCAGCTGTGTCTGTCACCAGGCGGGCGGTCCCTTCCACGTGGTTCTCGGGGGTGATCTCCTCGGGCTTCTTGGGCACCTTCTTGGCATCCGCTTTTGGTTTTCCAGGCTTCATGATGGGGGTTTTACTCACCGAGATCCCAGAATCACTGTCACCAGTTCCAGGGCCACTGGTGGTGATGGACACGACATGGTTGGTGGTTTCGATGGACTGTTCCAAGACAGTTTGATTATTGCGTTTAATTAACTTCAGCTTGAAGTTGGCCTCCCCGGGATGGAACTTGGAGTTGTGGTCGGATAGGGAGTCGTACTTTTTGGTTGTGAAGTTACATTCTGCACACACGTAGAGGGGGTTGAGAATCACGTTGGGATGCTGCATGTCGACATGCTCCGTGAACTCGTTCAGGTTTTGCGTGGAGTAGGGGCAGTATTTGCACTCATAACCACCTTGGAGTTTTTTGGACTGGCTTTCCCCCATAGATTTCACCTCTATCACTTCGTTTTCTTTGGAAGAGTTTTCAAGTTCTGCTGCCCAACTGTCCTTGGCCACGTCAGGCTGTGGTGTGCCGATTCCTTTCTCTTTGGCCCTGTCTACTTCCTCGGGCACATCTTGTTCTACTACTTGTGATGTCCGAACCATGCATGGAGTTGTAGATTTTCGTTTGCTAGCCATGCTGCCTGTCTGTGTGCAATGGCTTATTTTTGGAGGGGGATAAGGAGGGGGCGGTGAGATTCTTGGAACGAATAAGGTGAAAGGCTTTTGGCTTTATTCCCCCTCAAATGGCTTTGGCTTTCCTTGTGTGCTGAAGTCTACTGTTTGAGTTTTCAGAATGATTTCAGCACAGAAAATTGGAATGGCACCAACCACTAAACACACCAGGAAGCATCATATCTGTGGACAAGAACAAAGACAGGGTCAGTGTCTCTTCACAACGCAAAAGAAACTGGCACTTCTTTATGAGTTTTCCCATGACCCAGCCCAACAGGCACCCAAATCGAACATCTATGGATGCACAGACGGCGTGAAAGTGCTTAGAAACACGAAAAATCACATTCTTCTTCTCTTCCTTTTTTTGGAAGGAGGTGAAAACAGGCCCAAACCAAACAAACATGGATGAGGGTCACCATTTCATGTTTGGAGACAAAGGAATACAGGAAAGGTAGACAGGTCCTAAAATCCTCTGAAGCGGTGAGAGGGAGTCGCAGATGGTGTGCTTGCAAGCCACTTTTAGATATGGTACCTCGGAAGCGAGATGTGTCCCCAGGGGTTGGCAAGTGAAATTTACTCAGGCGCTAGAAAACAGATATGAACATTTTGCTTATCATAAAAGCAAAATCATGATAGAAAATCCAGAAAATGCAGAAAAGTATAAAAGAAAAAAAAAGCAATCACCCCCCCAATATTGCAGTTTTATAGTTCATCTCACTTAAACAGTTTCCCATTTCCATAAATAGTGAGCAAAATAATGATTTTAAAAATCATTATTTCATCACGTGATGAAATCATCACGTGTGGTATATCCCTATAATGCATGTTAGTACATTGTAGGGATAGACCACACATGATACGTTCAGCCATTGGACTTTTTTAAAATTTTATTTTAAGTTCTGGGATACATGTGCAGAATGTGCAGGTTTGTTACATAGGTATGCATGTGCCATGGTGGTTTGCTGCACCCATCAACCCGTCATCTAGGTTTTAAGCCCTGCATTCATTAGGTATTTGTCCGAATGCTCTCCCTCTCCTTGTCCCCCATCCCCCAACAGGCCCCGGTGTGTGACGTTCCCCTCCCTGTGTCCATGTGTTTTCATTGTTCAACTCCCACTTATGAGTGAGAACATGTGGTGTTTGGTTTTCTGTTCCTGTGTTAGTTTGCTGAGAATGATGGCTTCCAGCTTCATCCATGTCCCTGCAAAGGACATAAACTCATTCTTTTTTTTACAGCAATTGGACTTTTGTTGGAAATTTATTTCGTTTTTGGCTCTTATCAACAAAACTGCAGTGAATACCCTTAATCCTTATTTTTGATAACTACCTTTGGATGGATGCCTAGAAGTGGTTCTCTTGACCCATATGTATGGCAGAGTTTTGGCCTCAACTGGCCTTTTCTTTGGTAGTGTATGAGAGGGCTTGACTTACAATCCAGCCTATACAGCTGGATCCAGCCTATTTACAGTAGTAAATACTACTCACAATCCAGCCTATTTAACAGTAGTAAAATACTACTGTTAAAAAGCCTTGCTGATTAGATAGGGAAAAACAGTTTTTTGGATTTTTGTTTGTTTCTGAGACAGGGTCTGGCTCTGTCACCCAGGTTGCAGTGCAGTGGCACAATTCTAGCTCACTGCAGCCTCTATCTCCTGGGCTTAAGCAATCCTCCATCTCCTGGGCTCAAGTAATCCTCCTGCCTCAGCCTCCTGAGCAGCTGGAACTACAGGCACACACCACCATGCCCAGCTAATCATTTAATTTTTATTTTTAGTAGAGACAGGGTTTTGCCATGTTGTCCAGGGGTTTTGCCATGTTGTCCAGGCTGGTCTCCAACACCTGGGCTCAAGTTATCCACGTGCTGCTGTCTCCCAAAGTGCTGGGATCATGGGTGTGAGCCATGCCTGGCCAAGAAGACTGTTTTAATATGCTTGTATGCTTTTCTTGATTGACAATAAGGTTGGATTGTTTTCAAAGATTTGCCCACTATTTATATTCTTTTATGAATTGTCTGCTTATGTCATTTTTATTTAGACATTCAGTGGTTTTTATTATGAATTTGCAAGAATTCTCTTTACATAAATAATACTAATGCTTTACTAAGTTTGTTGCAAAACTTTTCCCAGTCTATCATTTTCCTTTTTTTCTTTTCAGATAGAGTTTTGCTCTTGTGGCCCAGGCTGGAGTATAACGGCGCGGTCTTGGCTTACCGCAATCTCTGCCTCCCAGGTTCAAACGATTCTCCTGCCTCAGCCTCCTGCATAGTTGGATTACAGGCATGCGCCACCACGCCAGGCTAATTTTGTATTTTTAGTAGAGATGGGGTTTCTCCATGTTGGTCAGGCTGGGCTCAAACTCCTAACCTCAGGTGATCTGCCTGCCTTGGCCTCCCAAAGTGCTGGGATTACAGGTTTGAGCCACTGCGTCTGGCCCTATCACTTACCTTTTAGTTGTGCATATTATATATTTTTTAACGTTTAACATGTAGAAATTTTAATTTTTAGCTAATAGATTTACCAATTTTTTTCTCTTGTAGCCTCTTTCATTGTGATTTTATATTTAGAAAGTGATTCCCTGTCTTGATAGCTGAAATATATTAATCTACATTTTCTTAAGAATATTTTAACCTTATTTTTTGCATTTAACTCATCTGGTATTGAATTTATCTTGGGTTAAGCTGTAAGACACAATTCTAACCATTTTTCTTCAGAGTTACCAACCATCTCAGCAGCATGCATTATTATTTTCTAACTAATTTTTGAGAAACCTCCTTTATCATACACAAACTTTATATCTACTAGGGTTGGTTCTGGGTTATCTAATCTGTGTATCGATCTAGCTGTTGAGTACTGCACTTATGCCTTGCTTCTAAAAGAACTTTTGTATGTTTAGAGTACATTTTTATATCTAGTAGAGTTCTCCTCATTACTCTTTCTTTTCGCAAAACAGTTCTTGGTTATTTTGATAATCTAGTCTCATGAATCAATATCACCTGTGAAATAAAATTCTATTAGAATTTTGATTGGAACTGCATTAAACAAATGATGATTTGGAAGTACAGGAACAATTTGCTTATTAGGTTAACAGAACCCAGAACCGAGAATAGAGAGCTGATGGGCTAAAGGAGGTGGGAGACATGTTTTGAAGCAAAGATCCCCGACTTCCAGGAAAAGGAAGGAAAGGGAAGGGAAGGCAGGAGATGGCATATCATCTCTGGCCTCTCCCATGGGCCTGGGTTTGAGTCCCACTGAAGAGAGGGCATAAAGGCCAAAGCGAAGAACTTATTTTCACAAACAACTCTGAGAGTCTAGGCCCACGCCCACCTGCTTAGGGGCTCGGTGACACACTTGGCCAGGGCTGGGGAAAGGGCCATTCCCCGGCTAGTGAACCCAGAACCTGGCCCCTCGAAGATGAAAGCACTGGCATGTGTAGGCTGGTCAAATTCATCAGCAGTGGGGTGGAGAGGACAGGGGCAAACCAGAGAAGAGGGCAGCCGTTTCTTTTTATTGACCATGCCCAAACCGCCACCTCCAGCCTCCGCCTGCCATGATCTTCAGAGTCTTGATCTCACCTCTCAAATACTTTTCACGCCTCCAGAGTTCATCTCCAGCAATGGCACCACCAAGACCTGGCAGGCTCCGGCCCCGGCTCCCCTCTCCCGCCGCCCTTCACACTCCAGTGGCTCTGTCAGGACCTCACTCCCCTCACAGCACCTCTGCCAGAACATCCCACCCCGAGAACCGCCTGGTTTTTAGGTCTCCATTGAAAAGTCAGCCTCCCACAGAGAGGCTTTTGCTGACAGCTGCCCCTCTGCAAAACAATGCCTCCTTAGCACTCTCTATTTCCTCACCCTGCGTGGCTTTCTGCACAGCACTCTTCAACAGCTGACATCATACTTCGATGTTTTGTGGTTAAAAGAGGAGCAAGTGTCTATCCACTTGTTTATCATTTGTATCTCTGTGCAGAACCATTCTGCCCAATATGGTAGCCACTGGCCACATGTGGCCTTTTGAGTTTAGTTAAAATTAAATAGGATTAAAAATTCAGTACCACAGTCATACTAGCCACATTCCCAGTGCTCAAGAAGCAATTGTGGCTGGTGGCTATTGTCTAATACAATGAAGGACATTTCTATCATAGGAAGTCCTATTGGACAGCACCATTCAAGAACAGAAACTCCATCAAGGCAGAAAGGTTTTTTTTTTTTTTAGAGATGGGGTCTTGCTCTGTTGCCCAGGCTGGAGTGCAATGGCACGATCTCAGCTCACTGCAACCTCTGCCTCCCAGTTCAAGCAATTTTCCTGCCTTAGCCTCCCAAGAAGTTGGGACCACACGCATAAGCCACCATGCCTGACTAATTTTTTTTTTTTTTTTTTTTTTTTGCAAAGACAGGATTTCACCCTGTTGCCCAGGCTGGTCTCGAACTCCTGGGCTCAAGCCATCCACTTGCCTCTGTCTCCCAAAGTGCTGGGATTACAGGTGTGAGCCACCACACCCAGCATCACAAATTAACTGTAGGGAGGCTATCTCTTGGGAACTGCAGCTCAGTGATGAGGTATGCTAAAATCTCCTGTGAATGCTCAGTAGTGTGTGTGTGTGCATGCGTGTGCACACGTGTGAACATGTGTGTTGGGGTTACATGAGTGGAAGAACTCTGTAAGGGAAGGGAGACTCTACAATTCTGTGGGGAGTACTATTAACACAGCAGAATGTGGCTAAATTCTAAATTTGCACCCATTGGCCAAAGGGCTTGGGACATTTGAGTTAAATTTTTCAAAAGAGAGGAGGAAAGACACTTTCCTCCTGCAGAAAAAAGACATCAGGCAGGAGTAGACCCAGGGGAGGAAATACCTTTTTTTACCGAAACTTCCCATATCCCGCATTATTTAAATCTGTTAACAAGTGAGCCCCCGAAATGAGGTGAATAGTGGTAAAATGGCCTGGAAGCTTCTCAGTGTTCCAAAAATTGTGGTTCAAAATAAAAGCATCTTCTAAAACTCATTCAGCAACCAGGAATCCAAACCAAAGCAGATGAAAAAGAAGAAAAGAGGAAGGAAGAAAAGAAAGAAGGAGGAGAGCTCAGAAAACACAGAGCCTTTTGAGAATCTATTAGGGTTCTCTTGGTGGATCTGCAAGAAATATGGCCTTTAGAAGGATGATCCTGGCACCAGGGATTGGGTGTCTAAAGGATAGTAGCATGTTGGTATCTGTCATTTTGAAAGCCCGTGAACCACCAGCAAGGTGAGGACCAGCACCATGAAGTCTGGTACTTGCAGTTTTGAGCAAAGTCTTCGGGTCTGATATGCCTGGGTCAAAGTTGGCAAAAATAAAAAATAAGTGAATGAATGAATACACAAAATACATGTTAAGAATAAACTCTAACACAGTCCCTTCCATAGCGAGTGGTGCGTGTCCCAGCAGACCTGTTGCAAGTCGTGGTTCTTGCCCTGGGCCAGTGTCTCAGCGGGTCTGAACTGGGCACAGTCACATCCTGTGCCAACCTGAAAACACTTAAAGGGAGCAGGGAGTTCTCCCTTGGGCTGCACCATCCAGGGCCCAGCAGTGGGGAGACTCCAGCCAGTCATCACACCATCCCCTGTCTGACGAGACCGGGCGCATTCAGGGTGGTATGGCTGTAGACAGACCATCCCTTATCTGGAGCAAGAAACATCCCTGCCCTCAGGAGGTTGCCTGAACAAGTCAGAACTAAGCAAACTTGTTTAAGATTCTGGTTCCCAAGAGAAGGGAGGGGAGGTAAGACAGCTATTCTCTGTGTTGCCCCTCTCTGTCTGAAGTCCTGCTCCTCGTGGGATAACTAAGAGTGTGACAAGTGCATGTTACATGGAAACGATCCTGGAGCTCCAAATACACCCTTGCTGCCTTTACATGTTTTTGATCTCGACTCAGTTTTCCTTTTATCCACTGCAGCATTTGCTATGCCCCTCAAAGAAACCCTAACCATAATGAGACCATAACAATGCCTTGGAATAAATTGCCTCGGAATACATGCCTTTTTTTTTTTTTTTTTTTTTTTTTTTGCAGAGACAGGGTTTATATAAAAGAGAAATGATCAGTCTACATAGACAATGACAAAAAGGCCATTTCTGGTGTCTGTGCAAGGCTCTTCC
The DNA here is from genome assembly GCF_000001405.40 of Homo sapiens. NCBI lineage: Eukaryota > Metazoa > Chordata > Mammalia > Primates > Hominidae > Homo > Homo sapiens. The sequence goes on along the minus strand of NC_000008.11, from coordinate 122,945,346 downwards.
CTTCGCCACAAGGTGCTTCTTCCATCATTACCCTCCCTGTTGCAAGTGGAATGCAACTCAATTAGACCCTTGCTTACTGAGTATGAGTATGAGCCAGAACCCTGTGGACAGCTGGGGGTGCACAGATGAAGACACCACAGCTCTGTCCTCAAGGAGTTCGTAGCTGGTACATTAGTTCGCTAGGGCTGCCATGACAAAATGCCACAGACTGGGTGGCTTTAGACAACAGGAATTTATTCTCTCACAGTTTTGCGGGCTGGAAGTCTGAGATCAAGGTGCCAGCAGGGTTGGGTTCTTCAGGTGCCTCTCTCCTTAGCTTGGAGATGACCGTCTTCCTCCTGTGTCTTTCTGAGGTCTTCCCTCTGTGGGAGTCTGTTTCCTAAACTCCTCTTGTTATAATGACATCAGTTATATTGGATTAGGGCCCACCCTCATGACCTCATGTAACCTTGGAGTTAGGGTAATTAATTACCTTAATTACCTATCTCCAAATACAGTCACATTCGGAGGCATAGGGGGTTAGGACCTCAACATATGGATTTTAGGGGAGCATAATGCATCCTACAACTGTTGGGCAGGGCACTGCCATCTAGACACCCTTCAATGGCACACAAAGTGATTGGTTCCTGCAGTCGACAAACACTGACAGAGCACCTAGTGGTGCCAGATGCTGTTCTAGTTGCCGAAGATACAGCGGTGGATGGACAGAAATTGCGGCTCGTGGAGAGCTCACCATGGAGGAGAGTAAGGCAGGGAACACATTAAAAGTGTAGAGCGGGGCCACTTGAGGTTTTAAGCAGTGTGGTCAGCGACTTCCTTTTTGAGAAGGTGACAGTGGAACGTGTGGATGTTGCAAATACAAGAAGGAGAAAGAGTTTACGAAACAGAGAGGAGGCTATACTTAATTTTGTAGGGCAGGGTTGGGGGAGGGTAGATAAAGGCTTTCCAGGGGAGGCAACTTTCCTCTTCTTAGAAATAAAATGGTAATAGCTACTATTAATGCAAATTCTCCATGCTTTCTTGGTGAGTCTTCACAACAACTCTGCAAAGCAGCTGTGACTACCCTCAATCTGCAGATGAAAGAACCAAGACCAGAGAGGGTAAATGTCTCACCTAAGGTCACACAGCTAGTTCATGGCAGAGCTGGGATTTGACCAGTCTGTCCAAACCCTGTGTTCTTGGCACACCACCACACAGTCTCTCCTGGATAAGCAGGGCTTCAAAGGGGGAGTAGAATTCTGGGAGGTAGAGGAAAGTGAGAGTGACTCCTATCAAAGGAACCTAGTCTTCCCAGGCAGAGCAGACAGCATGAGCAAGTCAGAAGGCAAGAAAACATTTGAGGAATGACAAGGACTGGGGGTAAGGGGCAGGGGTGTGAGGGCAGAGGTAGAGAGGAGGCTGAACAACTTAGGTTGGGGCTAGATGGCGAAGAGCCTGGAATGCCACGCCAGGGAGTTGGGATTTTGGTCTGCAGGCAAGGGAGGGTCAAAGCCTTTTGGGCAGGGTCCTGGAAACAGAGGGGTCTTGGATTCAAGGTGTGGGGTGGGGCTGGCGGGAAAAGAGGCACATCAATGAAGAACAAACCCTCAAACCAGACAGCTAAACAATAATCTCAGCTAACCCCAAATTAAACAGTCAAGGCCCAGGCTGCTGAGAGATATCCTTCCCACCCACCTCCAAGTTTCTCCTTTAAGTAGATGCTGGGAGCTCTTCACTTTTCATCTGGAACTTTCGCCCGTTGGGTTTGGCCTCTCTTCCCTACCATGGAATGGCTGAACAATTGGGGTTTGAATGTGACAGCTGATTCTCCCTTAATCAATTCCCCAACAATAATGACAGCCAACATTCACCAAAGCCTTAGTGTATGCCAAGTGCTAAGTTTCACTTCTCAGAAACCCTACGTGGACACTAAGGCTCAGAGAGGTTAAGGAGCTTGGTCAAGGTCACACAGCCTGGAGCAGTAAAACTGGGATACGAACTTTACGTGTAGACCTAGGGATTGTGTTAAAATACAGATGCTGATTCAGTGTGTCTGGCGTAGGGCCTATGACTGTGCATTTTATTTTTTATTTTTATTTTTTTTTTGAGATGGAGTTTCCCTCTTTTGCCCAGGCTGGAGTGCAGTGGTGCGATCTTGGCTCACCGCAACCTCCACACTCCGGGCTCAAACGATTCTCCTGCCTCAGCCTCCTGAGTAGCTGGGATTATAAGCATGTGCCACCACGCCTGGCTAATTTTTGTACTTTTAGTAAAGATGGGGTTTCGCCATGTTGGCCAGGCTGGTCTCGAACTCCTGACCTCAGGTGATCCACCCACCTCAGCCTCCCAAAATGCTGGGATTACAGGCATGAGCCACCGTGCCTGGCCATGACTGTGCATTCCTAACAGGCTCCCAGGTGAGGATGCTACTACGCAGGTGCAGCAAGCTTTAAGGTACAGGGCTCTGTAAGGCTCCCCAAGAAGCACTCTCCTCTGCATCCTTTGTTCTTTTTCCTTACCACCGTCAGTTCCAGAGACAGGTGGTGGCATTTCCTGACCTTTCCCTACAAGTGGCCTGCAGCCCCTGGGAGAAGGAAAAAATGGATCAAACTGCCAGAGCAGCCCCTGGAAACTTCTCAAGGTGGCTGGCTCACAGTCTGGCTGTCAGGATGGTACATGGCTCCGCTCTTGACCTCTCTAGGGATGCATCTGGGGGAGGTGAGGAGTCAGACTGCAGAGGCCTCCTGCAGTGGAGGATCTCAAGCCCTCGGGGGTTCAGAGGCCAGAGGGAGCTGCAGAGCCGGGATCCCAGGGGTCTACCCAGAGGGCAGCAGTGCTCTGAGCCCAGGGAATGCTCAAGAGCTGCTCGCTCTCAGGGAATCACACCTCCGGGCTTTGACAGGGATGCCACGTCTCATCGCAGAGCTTTTCACTAGGGCTGTCAGGAGAAATAACAGGGCTGTCTGGGAGCTTTCAAAGGAAGCATCTTGACAAGACATCAAAACCAAAAAGGATGCTTTTAGCTTTGTGGGGTCTTCTGACAGGGCTGTTAACAGATTCTGCCTCAGTTCATCAAGGGTAGATCTTTTTTGAGGGGGTGGGAGCAGGAATTGCTCCTTTGTGTTTTAAAATCACAACATGACACCCCCCGAGAAGGCATTCTCCTGGGTAGATATGTTGTGGCAATGGTGACGGGTGGGGGCAGGGCAGGAGGAATTAGATGCTGCAAAGCAGAAGGCCTGGGCTTTACTCTGAGCTCCAGCAACCCAGCTCTCTTCTCATCTGTTTCCATCCTTGCCTCCATTTTTCTCTTCTGTTAAACAGAATTGCCTTTGAAAGGTCACTGGTGACTGAGAGTTAATTCCTGAGTTTTCTGATTTTTCTCCATTTTATCTTAATCCAAATTTGAATTTTGGAGTTGGGCTTATAATGTGGCTCCCAAACCATCACACGTCACCTGGAGTGCTTTGTAAAAATACCAATTCATGAACCTCAGTCCAGAGTTACTACACCCAAGCCTCCAGGTGCAGAGCCTGGGAATGTATATTTTTAATCAGAAGTCACGCAACTGCGGCACAGCCTTGTTTGCTACCTTTGGAATCAAGACATCACTTGGCTTCTTCTAATTCAGAACTGGTTGGGCTGAAACACACTGTCCCATGAAGACACAGAGATGTTCACAGCTACATTTTTTTTTTTTTTTTGCTGCAACTAAAACTACAAACAGCCAAAGCTCCCTGCCATGCCGAAGAGTAGAATAACTGTATTAATACTCCCAAAGGGAATGACAGACAATTTGGAGGACGAGGTAGAAACGGGGGAAGAACTGTACAAAATTATAATCCTGGAAAAGAAAGGAAAACAGAATGCTGGCTGCTTGATAACATAGCATAAAACATCTTTATAAACACGATCCACAGAAACAGAGTTGGTGATTTGGGAAAGTTGAGACGTAAGAAGCAATTTCCTGTTATCTGTGTTTGTGATTTAACCTTTTGTATTGCTTAGTTGCTCAAACGGACACATTTTTAAAAAGAAAAGAAGGGGTTTGTTGACCAAGGAAACCTGATAGTACTAAAATGTTGTTTACATGCACAATCTTTTACAATTGTATTCTATTTAGAGACAGGTTCTCACTCTGTCACTCAGGTTGGAGTGGAGTGGCATGATCATAGCTCACTGCAACCTCAACTCCTGGGTTCAAGTGATCCTCCCACCTCAGCCTCCTGAGTAGCTGGGACTACAGGCACATGCCACCATGCCCAGCTTCTTAAAACAATCTTTTTTTTTTTTTTTTTTAATAGAGATAGGGGTCTCATTATATTACCCAGCCTGGTTTTGAACTCCTGAGCTCAAGTGATCCCCCTGCCTCAGCCTCCCAAGGTGCTGGGATTAAAGGTGGGAGCCACCATACCTGGTTTACATGCACAATCTCTATTATTCCCAGAACACCAACTGATGGCTGTGATCTCCATTTTACAGATGAGGAAACTGAGGCTCAGAGAGGTTCGATGGCTTGCTGAAGAGGGTAGAACCTAGATAATCCTGGCTCCATGCCTGCTGCTTGATCCCTATGACACACAGTTGTTCATTGTTAACAATTCTATTTCCTGATACTGTGTCTATAAATTAGATTTCTCACAAATTCCAAGTGGCCTTGCCCCTCTGGGAGTGTTCAAAGGAGGAAGATTTTAATTGAATTGTGATGTCTTTTTCAACATGCTGCTCTGAGAAGCTCTTGTTAGGAAGAAAGCTGACATGATCCTTTCTAACCAAAAAAGCTTCATGAGTGGCCCATGGAAGTTTGAAGTGAGGTCTGTGGCTGCTTCACGCCGCCTGCTGTGTGAGCATCACCACACATTTGGGTGACACGGGGCCCTGAGAGGAGGCTGGGTGTCCTGCCAGAGGTGGGATGGGGTGGTGGCTTCAGACAGGGCAGTCAGAACTCAGGGGCAGAGGAAGCCACTGATGCCTGAGAAGGTAGACCGGGTCTGGACCCATGTGAACCGGGAGCCCCGAATTTACTCATTTACTCCAAACCAATGAATTCCAAAGCTCAGACCCTTCCTACCCTTCAATAGGTAAAGCCTTGGCCTCCAGGGGCCTTGTTCTCCATCAGTGCTCAGCATTAGTGCTCACCAGGTCAGTAGAAGTGGGGCACAGGCTGAAGCCAGCACCCCCAGTTTGAATCCTGGCTTCATTACTTACTAGGAGTCCACTTTTCTCTGGCCACAGCCTTAGTGCCCATCTCACAACCCCCAAACCCACATGCAAGCCAGAGAATACCAAATGCTGCATGTTAATTCACCATGGCTAACCTCAGTTCCTGCAGCTGTAAAATAGGGTGAACCTTCACCTGCAGAACTGGCCCGAATGAGGACCTTTGACACTGATGTGTTCTGGGACTAATCACAGGATAACTTTGATTAGTAAGCTAGCGTGAGTGGTGAGGGGATTGGCAAACTGATGTTCAGAAGGACTGCTCCACCCCTCCTCCCCATCAGACCCCGTTTTCCTCTACAGCGCCTTTCAGTGGCCAGGCACTGTATCAGGTGCTGCGTACTTCTGCTAGCTCATCTCACCTGGTCATGCCGCTCTGAGATTTTTTTCTTACTCATCTTTTGTTCCTACCTCTTAAATTTCCTGTGTAACTGTTCCAATATGAATTTCCCAACTTCGCCTCTCTGTTTTAGTAGATTTTGCCCTGTATCTTGCTGAGATGCAGCTCACCTTTTCCATCTCCAAGCATCTCTTTGCTTTCCAGTTGGTTAGGAGGAGGTAGTTGGTCTCCCTGTTAAAAGGCTAATCCCTCCACCAGGCCTCCAGCTCAGCACTCATGGGTTCTGTCAACTCCTGTCTCCCTCCACTGGGTCCCCTTCCCTTTGGGTTACAAACACCTCAGGTTGCTGTTTCCATAAAAAGGCAAACAAAGCAAAGCAAAGCAAACATGAAAAGCAAGGCTAAATCTCTCATGACGGCTCGATTCCACCACCATCTACACATCATTATATCAGATCCTTCATCCTATGGCAGAGGTGAAGAGCTCAGTCAGGCTCCTGAGTGGGAGACGTGCCTTCGAGGTCTGGTTCCACGCCACGGGTGAGAGACCCTGGACATGTTCCACCAATCCTTTGAAGCCTCAGCCTTTCCATTTGTAACATGGGGATGAAAATGGTAGCCACATCAAAGGGCAGCTGAGAGTATCCAGTGAGCTAATTTGAGTATATTTGGTTCTGTGCCTGATCCTTGATGAGCTTGGAGCTCACAACAGAGGGTACCTGTTGTTAAAATGATTTTACCATCAAAATTCTCAAAGGAAGTTTATGATTACACCTGCTCACCGCTTCTCTTACTGCATGCTTCACCCCTCACCTCTGTGGATTCTGCCCTCCCAGCTCTGTTGACAATTTTATCTTAAACTGCCAAATATATCCCCCATCACTGACTCTGCAGTGCCATCCTCAAAACACCTCTACTGGCTGCTGCTTCTTGATCTCGATTCTTCTTCTTCTCCTTCTTTTTCTTTTTTTTTGACAGAGTCTTGCTCTGTTGCCCAGGCTGGAGTGCAGTGGTGTGATTTCAGCTCACTGTAGCCTTGGCCTCCTCGGCTCAAGCAATTTTCATGCCTCAGCCTCCCGAGTAGCTTGGACAACAGGTACATCCCCCCATGCCTAGCTACTTTTTTTGTATTTTAGTAGAGACAGTGTTTCACCATGTTGCCCAGGCTGGTGTTAAATTCTCAAACTCAGGCAATCTGCCTGCCTCAGCCTCCCAAAGTGCTGGGATTACAGGTGTGAGCCACTGTGCCCGGCCCCTCAGCTTCCTCTTCTGTTTTTCTGTTCTCAGTAGGTGCCTCGCCATGCCCTTGGCTCTTCTCATCCGTCTCCTCTCCATCCTTCTTGGTGAACTCATCCATCCCAAAGATCTGAGCTCGTCCTTGCAGATATCTACCAAACCAACATTCCTAGCCCTGGCCCTTCCACTCCAGAGCCCCAGACTTTCCTTCCCAGCTGCAGGTGGCTGGCAAGAAGACAGGAGGGACTAGATGGATTCATAACTGGACAAAGGCTGGAGTGGCCACTCTCCACTGAAAGCTTAACAAAGTCAGAATAATTCATGAAAACCAGGAAACATAAACTGGGCATGGTGGCTCATGCCTGTAATCCCGGCACTTTGGGAGGCCGAGGTGGGCGGATCACGAGGTCAGGAGATCGAGACCAGCCAGGCCAACATGATGAAACCCTGTCTCTACTAAAAATGAAAAATTAGCTGGACATGGTGGCACACACCTGTAGTCCCAGCTACTTGGGAGGCTGAGGCAGAAGAATCTCTTGAACCCGGGAGGCGGAGGTTGCAGTGAGCCGGGATCTCGCCACTGCACTCCAGCCTGGTGACAGAGCCAGACTCCGTCTCAAAAAAAAAAAAAAAAAAAAACCAAAAAGAAAACCAGGAAACATAATACATGAATAAAAAAAATAGATGATCCGGCTGGGCGCGGTGGCTCATGCCTGTAATCCCAGCACTTTGGGAGGCTGAGGCGGGTGGATTGCTTGAGTTCAGGAGGAGCTCGAGACTGGCCTAGCCAACATGGTGAAACGCTGTCTCTACTAAAATTACAAAAATTAGCCAGGTGTGGTAGTGGGCACCGTAATCCCAGCTACTCAGGAGGCTGAGGCGGGAGAATTGCTTGAGCCCGGGAGGCAGAGGTTGCAGTAAGCCGAGACAGCGCCACAGCACTCCAGCCTGGGTGACAGAGTGAGACTGAGTCTAAAAAAAAAAAAAAGATAATAGACGATCCAATTTCACTTGGAGAACAAGGTCTACTCACTTATCCCCACCAGGAGAACTTGGCAGCAGCTGAGCTGGATGATTTTTGGAGTCTCTTCCAAGTGCATGCCGTGTGCATCTATGATCACCACTGGGGGAAGGAGTGGGGGTTCTCACATAGACCTCAGATTTAACATATCTAGAATCAAGTTCACCTGCTTGCCAAACCTGATCTTTCTGTAATGTTCCTTATTCCAAACAAATGCACCAGCATCGACTCAGTCATTCAGGCTGGAAACCGGGATAGCACTGGTTCTTCCACTTCTTCCCCATCCTGGAGTCTGCTATGCCCCAGGCCTTCCTGACTCTGCTTCCATGAGGTCTCCTAATTCTTCATTGCTCTGCCCCAGGTCCTCCTCGGGGCTTTCCTCCACAACTGCAGTGAGTGCTGCACCTGGCCTGAGCCCTGGGCCTCCCCGGTTGGATGCAGGCATTGCCTACCTAGTGCCCTTTTCCTCCTCTTCTGGCAATGGCCATCCAGTTTTTCTAGAGAAAGACCCCTACCCATGCCTGGCCCAGGTGGAACCTCTGGCACTGCACATGTGACTTGGTCCTGCCCAGTGAGAACATCACTGTCTCCAGGAACAGTGAGTGATTAAGGAACAGCCTGATCCAAGTACAGCAGTCAGAATTAGTGGGATTCCATTCTGGGGCTTTTATTGGAACCCTTGGGAGAACGAATGTGCTCCTTTCTGGTGGAGTTGCTGAGGGCACTGGATAGAAGCCAAGAGGCACCAGTGGCTATCTCGCCACGACGGAGGAGAGCATGCCTGGGCGCTGAGCTGAAGGCTGAGTTGAGAGATGCAGAGAACCAGTCCTGATGATGTCCCACTGAATTCCACTGTGTCCCAGTCCAACAGACTCACAGATTTTTCCACAGTGTCAATTTGTTTAAACCAGTTTGATGGGGTTTTCTGTCACTTGTAACTGAAAACATCCCGACAGACAGAGTTTCAGGCCAGCCTCCTCGCTGCCACCATTCCTTTCTAAAACAGCAGTTCTCAGCCTTTTCCTGCCACGACAGCATGGTTGCTGGGATGCCTATTTGTAACATTCTCTCAGGGTTACCTGTCATTCTTGGGTTGGTTCTAACCCCACACCATTCCCTCTTCCTTAAGAATCTCAGGACATGAGTGGGATTGCATTTTAACAGGAATAACCTTGCCAATCAAGAAAAGTAAGCCACTCACAAACTTCAAGGCTTTATTTTTAGCCGCAGATTGCTTGCTGCCCCATACCTCGCAACTGATGCCATGGCTGAACATCATGTTTCTAAACACGAATCTGATCACGTCATCCCTGTCTTCAACACCTCCCTGCAAAAACTGGGAGTGAACTGTGAGAGGCACTCATCGCCAGCAATCTGCATCTTACCACTCTGTTCCCTTCTTCAAACATTCCTGGTGTTTTAAAAGGGATCTACAGCAGATCTATCGTTGTTTTTTTCTTTTCGGACATAGAAATATAAACATAGCTCAGGCATTCACTCGTTCATTTGTCCATTCATTCATTCATTCTTGAATGCCTGCTATGTGCCAGACACTGCCTTAGATACTCAGGGAATAAGGTATAAGATTCTTGCCTTCAAGGAGTCTACCATCTAGGAGGGGAGACAGAAAGTAACCAGAAAACAAAGAACTTAGAGTGGTAAGTGCTATGCAGAGAGGTTTTCAAAATGATGTGATGGTGACTAAAGAGTGACTCTCGGCCGGGCGTGGTGGCTCACACCTGTAATCCCAGCACTTTGGGAGGCTGAGGTGGGCGGATCACGAGGTCAGGAGATCGAGACAATCCTGGCTAACATGGTGAAACCCCGTCTCTACTAAAAATACAAATAATTAGCTGGGCATGGTGGTGGGTGCCTGGAGTCCCAGCTACTTGGGAGGCTGAGGCAGGAGAATGGCATGAACTTGGGAGGCGGAGCTTGCAGTGAGCCGAGATTGCACCACTGCACTCCAGCCTGGGTGACAGAGTGAGACTCCGTCTCAAAAAAAAAAAAAAAAAGTTACTCTCAATGGTATAATCAGGGAAAGCCTGTCTGAGGAGAGGGTATCTCAGCTGAGATCTACATGTGAGGAACAGCCTTGACACACTCATGAGTGTCAGTGAAAACGGGGAGGCTCACTGACGACCCGTGACAATTTTATGTTCATTGCAAATAATTTTCAAATTATTCAGTTATTATTAAAAATTCATATTCTCCCCAAAGATACTTTTTTGAAAGGTCTTAAAAAGCTCCACTGAAATGTACTTTTCCCTTTTCAGCATGAAAACAAAGCTCCTCAGTGGTTTTATAATGGAAATAAGTTTTTCTTTCTCTTACTTAAGACAATTCAGGAATAGATAAATATGAGATAAGAGCTTCAAATAGATAAAAAAAAAAGACACAGAGAGAGGAAAAAAAGTCATCTGTGAGTCCAGATCAAATATTAGAAGAAATTTTAATCCCAAATAATAGTTTTTATAAAGTGGATAAAAAAAACTATATAGCACACGGCTTTTTGAAGTAGTCAAAATGATGCACTGTCTTGACAGCTTATAAAAAGAACTTTGAGGCTGGGCCGGTGGCTCACGCCTGTAATCCCAGAACTTTGGGAGGCCAAGGAGGGTGGATTACCTGAGGTCAGGAGTTCAAGACTAGCCTGGCCAATGTGCTGAAACCTCATCTCTACTAAAAATACAAAATTAGCCAGGCATGGTGGTGCATGCCTGCAATCCCAGGTACTTGGGAGGCTGAGACAGGAGAATTGCTTGAACACGGGAGGCAGAGGTTGCAGTGAGCTAAGATTGTGCCATTGCACCCAGCCTGGGCAACAAAAGCGAAACTTCATCAGAAAGAAAGAAAGAAACGAAGGAGGGAAGGAAGGCAGGAAGGAAGGAAGGTAATAAAGAAGGAAGGAAGGAAGGAAGGAAGGAAAGAAGGAAGGAAGGAAGGAAGGAACTTTGCACCCAAATGCCATGAAGGGAGAAGCTAATGGAGAAAAGCCAGAATCAAGAAGGTCCATAGGGCACTGGAGTGGGAAGACTTTTAGAGGTAACCTGCGCTATTCATTAGTCAAGGTCAACCACAAGATTTGGGGAGGAACAGAATATAATTATGGTGAGAGGAGCTTCACCACTGTTACAAGGCGTTTGTGGCCTGCCTGGGCAGGTGAGTGAAGTGTCTTCCAGAGGTGGTGGCTGTCTGTTCTCAATGTCAAGGTCAGGATATTTTGAACTGAACTGATTCTTGAGAAGTCAGTTGAGTGGGTAAGTCCATTAGCTTTAGAATCAGTACAGAACGGTTTGAATTGCAGCTGTATCCGACACTTCCAGTTGTAGGAGGTTGGCAAGATACATGGCTTCTAGATTTGGTTTATTTATAATAAATAAATTTATCTGGAGCTAATGACCACCTCATAGGGGTGTGAGGATTAAATGGTACAATGCTTGTGAAGACTCCATCATAATGCCAGGTACCTGCAAACGTGCAATAAATGGTAGCAATGTTTATGATGACTTGAGGGCAGCCCCAATAGATGATTAATTAATTAATGTAGACAAAGTCTCACTATGTTGCTCAGGCTCGTCTTGAACTCCTGAGCTCAAGTGATCCTCCCACCTTGGCTTCCCAAAGTGCTGGGATTACAGACGTGGGCCATTGTGCCCAGACCTAGATGTATTGTAAAGCTGAAATTAGTGTGTAAGAAAGAGTATGATAATGAGGCTAATTTGATCCATTTGAGGAGATTGAGGTAACTCATGACTCTACACCCTGAGCCAGGAAAGTCAGGAAATTGTCTTTGTATGTGTATCTACCTAAGTTTCAAATCATAAACCGATCACATTGTAACACCTTTAATCTCCCTCTTTCTCTGAGCAATAATCTTGTTTTATTTTTTTTTAAAGCAATAAGATTAAGACATATTTTGAAGCATAGCGGCTTTCTTATTTTTTCTGTTAATTCCTGATGTTATAATCTTCTCCCAGGCAAAGTATTCTTTCTCCGTGTGGAAAGAATCGTAACAGCTGCCACCATGTACAAGCACACACACCTACACGCCCACAAACACGGAAAACCAGGGCTTAGAGAAGAGTGATGTGTTTCTGAAAGCAGAAAAAAAAATCTTGCTAAGACAGAAAGAAGAAACAATCATGGTTTTATGTGTCACATACATAAATAAATAAGGCACTATCAAATGTTTAAGATAAGCCTGCTCTGATTTACAATCCATCAAATTCTGCTATCAAAACATTTAGAGAGGCTGCGAGACTACAGGGATTTATAATATCGACAATTCTTGGTGTAACCTTTTCATTTCCTTCCTTGTGGGTGATTCGTGCACACTCCATCTTCCTGGAGCTGGGAGAGGAATGAGATTTCTCTGCTCCCCAGGCACAGATCAGGGCGAGACAGGGCTTTTCAGCAGTTCTTAGATTCTGTCTGTCAGATCTTTCTCCATTCTACCCTCCATCCCCGCCTCCAGGCCACCCTTTGCAGCTTTCCCTTGAACGCCTTTCATCTCTACCTCGAAGAGACTTCCCTTTATCTCAAAGCCTTGGATAAATGGTGAAGGTTTACTCTTATTCTCTGATAGAATGTCCTCCACAAAGCCATTCACTGAAGCCAGTTAAATCCCAGACAAAAACCACTCAGATTCAAACCACACCGAGAGGCTGTGTTTCGGCATCTCTTTACACAGGACCCAGGGTGTGGTAGGCTGAAAAATGGTCCTCAAAGATATCCAGGTCCTAATTCCTGGAATCTGGGAATCTTACTTTGTACGGCAAAGGGATTTGGATGACGTGAAAAGGGAATTTGACAGTGTGATTAAGGATCTTGAGATGGAGAGATTATCCTGGATTCCCCAAGTGGGACCTAAATGTAACCACAAGTATCCTTATGAGAGGGAGACAGGAGGTTTCTTTTTGAGATGGAGTTTCACTCTTGTCACACAGGCTGGAGTACAATGGCGCGATCTCAGCTCACTGCAACCTTCGCCTCCTGGGTTCAAGCGATTCTGGAGGCAGGAGTTTTGACTACGAAGGAGAAGGCAATGTGATTATGGAAGCAGACATTGGTGTGATGTGCTTTGAAGATGGAGAAGGAACACAGGTGGACACCAGAGGCCGGAGAAGGCAAGGAAACAGATTCTCCCTGAAGCCTCCAGAAGGAGCCGGCCCGCCAATACCTTGACTTTAGCTCAGTGCATCTGATTTTTGACATCTGACCTCCAGAAATTAAAGAGAATAAACTTGTGGTGCTTTAGGCCACTAAGTTTGTGGTAATTTCTAACAGCAGCCATTGGAAACTAATACAGTGGGCAAGCTGAGCTTGGTTTGCAGCCTGTGCCATTCATCTCACTCCACTCCACCTCTTAGGAAGCTCCTCCAGCAGCCCTGGAGAAGCTGAGCTGCTCTTTCTTGGGAATGGGCAGTGAGCTAGAACTCTCAGCCCTGACCCATAAGATTCACAAGGCCAAGATCTGCTGTTGTCTTCAGTTTCCACAAAATTGCCACAGTTAGGATGATGACTGCCTCTGCTCCACATTTGAAAATGCTAGTCTTTAGAGAGTCACGCACCAGCTCGTACTGTCTGTGCCACCTCCAAATCAGGTCTACGGTTCATCTAGCGCTCTCATTTTCCACTATGACCACCCCGATCCAAGGCACCATCATCTCTCATCTAGGCCTCCTGCCTGGTTTCTCTTGGGCCCCCACTCATTTCCTTCTCCCATTCATTAATGCTCCAGAAAGATATTTTAAAATCAGAAATCATGTCTGCTTAAATATCCTGGTGCTCAGGCCACATCCTAGACCAGTTACATCAGAATCTTGGGGTAGGGCCAGGTATTGGTAGGTTTTGAAGTTCCCTAGGTGATCTTGATGGGCAGCTGGGGTGAGAACCTCCTGAAGACTCTGATGCTGCAGCGCGTAATGACTGGGTACATATGTGACTTACATCCTCGGCTACACACCCCTGTATAGAACCTCTGCTTTGGGAGGTGAAAGATCTTACTTTGAAGCTGCTGGAGCTAAATCTGTCTTTAAGCTGAACTAATAAATATTTTTCTTTTTATTTCCTAGGGCTGTATTGAGGATCAGATGACATAAGGCGTGCAACATTATCTACCTGCTCTCTCCTCTCTCTCTCTCTTCTTTCCGTCCTGTCTTCAGTCTTATAAGAGATGAATGTCTTGTGGCAGGTTCTTCTGCAGGCCCAAGGCTAATAGGGAGAAACATGAGGCCTACCGCACAAACTCTGGCCCTTCTCACGCAGGCAGCAGTGTACGAGCCCTGCATAATACTCGTGGCTCCTGGAGGCGCCAGGCGTGGAGCCTCATGCACGACTGTGTCCTAACACAACAAAACAGCTTCAGTCAGGCAGGGTGAAGGCCAGGGAAATTATGGCTGCAAGTCTGGACCTGATGGTGTTCAGCTCCACTCATTTTATAAGGATCAGAGAGGTATCAAGGCCCATGCAAAGGTACATAGGCTGGGGGGTTATTGGCAGGTGACCTTTGACAGCCTAGTGGAAGACGTGCCCTATCTGGACCTGGAACAGCCCTCAGGCCAGGGAGGCCTCCCATGATAACACCAGGACCAGCTTTGGGCCGAAAAAGGGATGGTTCTGGTTGACCTTCCTGGTGTGACATCTTGGTGGATGGACCAACAACTGCTGGGTGCCAGTGTGCCAGCCGGTCCCCCTACTTCCCATGGGTCTGACAATATTCCCAGCACCCCCGTCCTCCATCTTTTAGATGGTCTCTCAGGCTGAACACAGTGGCTCACACCTGTATTCCCAGCACTTTGGGAGACCGAGGCAGTCAGATCACCTGAGGTCAGGAGTTCGAGGCCAACCTGGCCAACATGGTGAAACCCCATCTCTACTGAAAAAAATAAAAAAAAAAAAAAAACAAAAATTAGCCAGGCGTGGTGGCTGGTGCCTGTAACCCCATCTATTTGGGTGACAGAGCAAGACTCCGTCTCAAAAAAAAAAAAAAATTCTCTCAGGACACGTGTGGGATGCACCAAAAGGTGGGAAGAGAAGGTCCTTTGTAGGATCACCTTCACCACGGAGGCAAAATTCTTACCAAGTCTGTCCCATGTGGAAGGGTTCTAAAAAGGCATGATTTTTAATTTACACTTCAGAAAGAACCTGTGGGGGCTGTCCATTCTTCCGCAATCCCTCTTTCACATTTCTAAGCAATTCTGTAAAGTGTTGCTTTTTTGTAGAAAGTCACCAGGCTGCTTGTTCCTTTTTGCCAATAGTCCTTTCCATCACCTCTGCACCAGTAATGACCGCGGTGATGCTGCTGATGGTAATAAGTATCCCTTGGGTCTTGAGTGTGCATTGCAGCCCACAAAACATTTCTACATGCATCCTCTTGCAGGAGCTTCTTAGCCCTGAGGAGGCAGAGCAGGAAATGCTAGGACCTCTATTTTCCCCTGAGGCTGCTGAGGCTGAAGAGAGGTTTCTTCAGTGATCTGTCTCAGAGCCTTCATTACACCCGCTCTGTGCTGTTACCTTCTGGGTTTTAGAAGCAGGTAACGGGAAGACTGTTACCTTCCTGTTGTACAAACAAGAGCTACAGCATGGAGCCGGCCTGCTGAATTAAGATGGGGACCAAAACTAGATCCTTCTTTGGCCCCTGTGGCTCCCCATTAGGTGCAAGAACACATTAGTCAATTTCAAAAGCTATGTAGCAGCCATAGCTTCCCATAGCGCCATAGAGTTGGATTTATACTGGTAACCTGTGTACTCCATAGATTTTGAGACTGAGTGTGAGCTACGGGTATATAAGAACAAGAAACAAAATAATGCTCAGTGGAGTTTTTCAGACACGAAAACCATGTCTTTGAGATTTGCTTTAGCCTTTTCCAGGGGAATTCCCAACAACTGTCTTTTTTTTTTTTTTTTAAGACATGGTCTCGCTGTCACCCAGGCTGGAGCACAGTTGCACAATCTTGGCTCACTGCAACCTCTGCTTCCTGGAGTCAAGCTTTTCTCATGCCTCAGCCTCTCGAGTAGCTGGCATTACAGGTGTGCACCACCATGCTTGGCTAATTTTTGTATGTTTAGTAGACACAGGGTTTTACCATGTTGGTCAGCCAGGTCTCGAACTCCTGACCTCAAGTGATCTGCCCGCCTTGGCCTCCCAAAGTGCTGGGATCCAACTGTCAGTCCTAATGTTCCAAGATGTAATGACCCTGGGTAAGGAAGCTTGGCCAAAATATAAAGATATGAAGAAGCAAAACCCTACACACAAATGAGAAGTGGGGTTACTTCTTGGCTGATGGAATGAGCAAGTCTGATCAAGGAGCTCTGGCTGATCAAAGCAGGCAAACAGGGAAAGAAATGAAAAAGTAAGTGCGCCTGGTGTTACACGGGTGGTGTTAGAAAAACGTTATAACAACTAGCTTGTTTGAGGGAAAGTGCATTTCAGAAGTAAAAGAAAATCTCAGTTTTCTCATCTGTATCATGGAAATAATAGAAACTAACACAAGATTGCTGTGGAATCAAATAATATTGATTGAAGAAAAGTGCACAACACAACTTGGTATATAGGAAATATTCAATAATGTTAACCAATAAGATAATAATGATAGTAATTGTAACAACCACAGTAAAAATAATAGGATGTCCTATCTTTATGGAAAACTCACCTTGTCCCAAGTCAAGATGATCACCTGGCTTCCTCATTTCCTTTCCCACACCTGAGGGGGCACCAAGCTCTGTCACTCAGGTTGGCAAACACAAGAGTCATCTTGGATACCCCCGTTGGCCCAGGGTGTGAGGCCTTAGCTCATGAGTTGGTTTCTCTCCTATAATCTGAATCCATGCTCTGTTGTCATTTGTTCGTAACATTCCAGATGGCTCCACACTAGTCCCAGCCATCCTGACAGCTTGCCTATATTACGGGAATCGAATGACTTTCCTTCCTTCCCAAGTCTCTTTATCCCAATTTGCCCTGTGCCTGCCGCCAGGCAAATCTCCCCTAAATCTCTGATCTTACCCATCTCTTCTTTCAGTAATAATCCATGCTGGTTCCCCATTTTCATTGAATTCTATCCCAACTCATCTCCCAAGACATAATTCCAAGGTACCCCCCAAACCTCACACACTCTTCTCCCTGAACATTCTGCCCCCTAAGCCACAGGATCTTTGAATGTCCCCTACTTCTCCTTGCCAAATATTTTCTGATGATTTGCCAGACAGACCCCTGGTGTAGGCACTGGGGACACAGTAGTGAACAAAACAATCCAGTTTCCCCGATAAGCCAATATTCTCAAAAGCAAGGTTGTCGGGTTCTTATCCACTCATTAGTAGTTCCTCTATTCATTTAACAGATATTTGAGCAGCCACTAAGTGCCACCTTCTGTCCTGGTGGGAGTGGGGGAGATAAATGAGATGGAGGAGATGGAGCCTGGCTTAGGGCTGTCCTCTTGGAGCTTAAGTCTAGTGGAGAAAAAGAAAACAGAAGTACTGATAGTGCAAGCGTCCTAGGGCCAATTTTAGGGGTAGTATGGGACTTTACGAAAGCGGGGAGAGGAGAGGGGAAGCAGGACCTCAGTAGTGTTTATCCTGAGGGCAATGGAGAGTGGTGCAACTTGATGTGTATTTCAGAAGCCACCAAGTTAAATCCCCCTGTGCCTGGTGTTCCCAAGCTTGCCTCCAGTACTCTTTCTGGATTCCTGTGAGTTTGATTTCTAACGCAATGGGATCTTGATCTGCCAATATGGTTTGGCTCTGTCCCCACCCAAATCTCATCTTGAATTGTAGCTCCCATAATTCCCACATTGTGTCATGGGAGGGACCCAGCGGGAGGTAACTGAATCACAGGGGTGGGTCTTTCCTGTTCTATTCTTGTGATAGTGAATGAGTCTCATGAGATCTGATGGTTTTATAAAGGGGAGTTCCCCTGCACAAGCTTTCTTGCCTGCCGCCATGTAAGATGTCCCTTGCTCTTTCGCCATGATTGTGAGGTCTCCCCAGCCATGTGGAACTGTGAGTCAACTAAACCTCTTTCCTTTATAAATTACCCAGTTTTGGGTATTTTTTTTTTAAGATGGAATCTCACTCTGTTGCCCAGGCTGGAGTGCAGTGGCACGATCTTAGCTCACTGCAACCTCTGCCTCCCGGGTTCAAGTGATTCTCCTGCCTCGGCCTCCCAAGTATCTGGGATTATAGGCATATGCCACCATGCCTGGCTAATTTTTGTATTTTTAGTAGAGACGGCGTTTCACCATGTTGGCCAGGCTGGTCTCGAATGCCTGACCTCAAGTGATCTGCCTGCATCAACCTCCCAAAGGGCTGGGATTACAGGCATGAGTCACTGTGCCTGGCCTGGGGTATATCTTTATTAGCAGCATGAGAACAGACTAATACAACACTATTTATTGATTCATTCGCTATGTCACTGGCTTACCCAGTCCCAGGTGCTGTACTAGCTTGTGAGGCTACAAAGAAAACACATAATCCCTGTGATGGGCAGCATTGTGGTCCTCCAAAAGATACCCAGGTCCTAACCCCTGGAACCTGTGAATGCTATCTTATATGCCAAAAAAAGATGTTATCTTATACTGCAGATGTGATGAAGTTAAGGATCTTGAGGTGGGGAGATCATTCTGGATGATCTGGGTGGGCCCTAAACGCCATCCTCAGTGTCATTCTAAGAGAGAGGCAGAGGGAGATTCCAGACAGAAGAGCAGAAGGCCACGTGACAGCAGCAGGGGGAAGCGGAGTCAGAGAGAAGATGCTACACACTAGCACTGAAGATAGAGGAAGGTGCTGTGAGCCAAGGAATGCAGGGAATGTAGCCCTAGATGCTGGAAAGGCAAGGAAACAGATGTTCACCCAGAGCTTCCAAGTGAGTGTGGCCCCTGCTGATGCCTATGCCTCGTAAGGAGTTCCCTAGGACCAGCCGAACGAGGAAGAAAACACACTGGGTCCTGGCTTCCAGATGGTTCATATCTGCACTCGCCACCTGACAGCGAACAACTGCAACTACAGCACAGCGATGGGCCGTGGAACTATCTGGTCTTCCCACGTTCCCCATCGTCCTGAAGCGGCTGGCTTGACAGAACGGTGAAATGGCCTTTTAAAGGCTCAGTTACAGCAGTCACAGGAAAGTATTACAATCCCTATACTCAGAGAGTTTACTACCTAGTGCAGGACATAGCCTTTAATTAAGGAACCACACAAATTAATGGCAAACTGACAGCAGCCAGACAGCCTGCCTTTACACGGGAAGACATTTCTCCAGGCAGGGCCCTCAACCCTTGTTCCGCACCGGCATCAACAGAGGAGCTTTTAAATACCCCAGTGCTCAGGCCTCACCCCATACCAATTAAGACAGTTTCTCTGTAGGTAGGGCCCAGGCATTTATATATATTTTTAAAGCTATTGGACAGTTCCAGGGAGCAGCCCAGCTTAAGCAGCACTGGTTTCAGGCTGGCCACTTCCCAGGAGATCTGAGCTGGGGCGCATGCGTGTGGCTTCTGTGAAGGACACTAATAGGAGAGGTTATTCCCATTCAGTTCCTCTGTTAGGTGGGTTTGTAAATCTGGGCTGTCATCTCACTTAAGCCGTCACCAGAAAGTCCATTTCTGTGTGTGCCCCCCCACTCTGTCCCATGTCCTCTTCTCCACTTGCAGTCACAATGGCCTCCCAATCACCCTTCCACTCTGTCCCTGTGATCTGCTGAAACACACCACTCCCTTCTCTTAACCGTTCCCTGGCTCCCTAGCATTCCTGAAATATTGTCCAAGTTCCTCCATGTCGTCTTCAAAGCCCTGCTTAGAGAGCCTGGGCTTCTGATTCACCCAGTGTGTGTCAGCTATTTCGGAACCTGCTCTGCCCTCCTCCACCTCTAGGCTTTGCTCGAGCTGTTCTCTCTGCCTGAACCAGCCCTCTCTCCAAAATCTTCCTATCAAAGGCCAACCTCTTGCGTATCTTCAAAGCCTTGCTTATATCCCTCCTCCTACAAGAGTGTGTCTGGATTCCCTCTGTCAGATTGTTTACTCCCTCCTCTACTCAAAGAGAACACGGTTTGAACTTGTTACTCTGTAACATCTATTAGAGTTACCTGTGTGGGTATTTCTCGCCCCTAGTGGGTCAAGAGCTCATTTTGGGCAAGAACCTGGTGCTGTTCATCACTGTGTTTTCCATAGCACTAAGAACTGGGGCCTGCTCAGCAGGTGCTCAGTTAGCAGTTACGGAAGATCAATCACACACCATCACGTCCTCCTCTACGCTGCCTATCTCTTGACGTCTAGTGCAATTTGCACAAGACACTACTAAGAACCTCACTTGGCAATTGTTTGATTTCAAGGGGAACAATCAACTAGTAATTCATGCCACAACTGTGTAACAAGTTCCATCCAAATCAGTTTAACTTACTCCAAAGTTATCTTGGGGTGAAGATACAAATCTCAAATGCTGAGAAGTCAGGCTGATGCTGGGACTGCTTTTGTATAGCCAACTAGTAAGCTTTTCAGTGGGGTCCCCCTTTTCCTCTCTAGGAGTTCTTCTAACAGCTGACAGCAGAGTAAGGTATGTAGTCGCTCCTGTATTTTTCTTAATAGCAAGATGTCACTGACTCAACTTCAAAGGAGGAGGAGAGACCTGTGAATTCTCCCATATTATTAGCAGCAGAAGTAACTACAGCAATAACTGCAAACCTCAACACAACTGAGACCGCGACTCAGATACCCTCAAATACCTGGCCACTTAAAGATCAGAAGCTACAATACATGGGGTATGGTGGACCATTTTTTCTCTGTCTGGTCACCAGATATTCACCGATGGGCCAATCGGTTCATTCAATCATTCATTCAGTAAAGTATGTACTGAGGGCCTAATATACACTAGCATTGTTCTGGGCACTGAGACTATTGCCCTCTGGATCTTCTATTCTAGAAGACCCCTTGCTCTGACCCAGGCCTGGGTTATGACCTGTGGAGATCAAGAGAGACTGGAAGTGAGATTGTGCGAGGCCAGGCTTTGGCCCCAGTCCATCTCTGCTCACCACCTTTAATGGATTGAATTTTGTCCCCCTAAAAAGATATGTCAAAGTCTTAACCCCTAGTACCTTAGATTTTGAGTCTATTTGGAAATAGGGTCTTTACAGAGGTAATCAAGTTAACATGAGGTCACTGGCATGAGCCCAAATACAATATGACTAGTGTCTTTATGAAAAGGGGAAACTCGGGTGCAGAGGCAGACAGGCACTGAGGGAAGATGATGTGAAGAGCCACTGAGAGAAGATGGCCGTATGCAAGCCAAGGAAGCCTGAGGTGCCCAGCAGCTAGGAGATGGGTCTGGAACAGATCTTCCCCTAGAGGCTTCAGAGGGAGCACGGCCCTGTTGACCTCAGCGTTGGAGTTCTAGCCTCCAGAACTAGAAGACAATGAATCTCTCCCAAGCTACCCAGTTTGTGGTGCTTTGTTACAGCAGTCCTAGGAAACTGATACACCACGCAAAGCAGGAATCTTTCTTTCCAGGTAATCACGGCCTGGACAACCTGCTGGGGAAGGCCCACCTAACTGATTCTGCCAATTTTGACAATGTGGACCCATCTTTCATCAGGACAGAGCACAATGACTTGGGATGGAAATGCCTTATATTTTAGCAAATTTGATGTATAAATGCTTGGAATTTACACTTGAGAAGCTGAGGGGTGGTGGTTATCGACAGGAATCTGTCAGAGAGCATACCCATGGAGCATTTATAATTGGGAGCCATTCCAGAATTCTGGTTTGCATACAACTCTTTAAAAAGCCAGCTACCCTGAAATGTACACTATCTGAGCTCTGCCTTTGCCTGTGATGAGTGATGTTGGTCCTGCCTCTTAGTTCTGCTCTCAGTCTCCACCATCGGCTTCTCAGATTTTCCTTCCAGGACCAGCAGGCAGGTGGGTGTGGTGACTTTGTGGCAGACACTGTGGCAGATTAAAGGTGGTTGCAAATTGTGTGACACTTTTTTCATTGAGAGATGGGGTCCATGTTCCCATCCCTACCTCCCTTGAATCTGTGCTGACCTGTGACTGCTTTGACCAGTATAATATGGTGGAAGTGAATCTATGACAGTTCTGGACATATTTAAGAACCTACGACAGTTTAAGAGGACATGCAGTTTCCACTTCTTTCCTCTTGGAGGAGTCAGAAGTTTGACTACTTTGAGGCCACCATGCTGTGAGGAAGCTCAGCCTACCCAAGCAGGGAGACAGACGCTCAGCCAGTCTCCAGCTGCTCTAGGCCCATCTCACTTGAGGCCCCCAGGCCTCCTGGAGTACAGACAAGCCATAACTGCTACAGTCTGTCTAAACTTCTCACTCACAGAACTGTGAGATATAATAATCGTAAACTTCTGTCTGCAACTCCTGGTTTTGCTGTGGTTTGCTGTGCAGCAATAGTTCACCAGAACAGAGGCCGACCCAAGATATCAACCAGGAATGTGAGAAGATTCCCTCTATCTAGACTTTGACACTGACAAGTAATTTTAGGAAGACATGAAGGATGCTGAGGAAGGTCTCAGGTTGAGGTGGAGTCCACACCTGATAGGGCCACCTGGTTGGCTCTGTCAGCTGGAAGACAGAGGCTGAACTGCCCCCTTTGCAGTCCCCAGCAGCCCACCGGGCAGATGGAAAATGTGACTAGAAGGGAAAAGAATCTCTATTACACAATATTACTAACAGCTCTATGCTGGCCACTCTGCTAGGTGGTTCATGTGTTACTGTTAAACTTTACAACCCCTTGACAGTAAGTGTTTCATGCATATGGAAACTGGAAGCTCAGAGATGTTGAGCAATACACCCAAGTACCATAGCCAATGCAAGGCAAAGCTGGGATTCAAACCCAGGCTCTAAAGCTGTGCTTCTTGAAGGGACCCAAAAAGGTCAAAGTTGGGGTGATCTGACACAGGAAATGGAGGAGAAGGAACAGGAGGAAGGTCCTAAAACAAAGTGGAGCCTAGTTATTCAAAGGTCCCCCAGGTCATGGCTGCCACATGATCCATTTGGCAAACATTGAAGGTTCCAGCCACCAGCCCTGAGACCTAACAGTTTCTCAGAGTCTCACAGGAGCAATGGCTATGAAAATGCTCTGCTATGAGTTTTCTGCAGGGCAGAGGGACTGACTCTGTCCGAGCCCTTCCCTAACATCTGCTGATTTTGTAAGTGGATATATTTAGTGGTGGAACAGTTTTTCTTCCAGTTTCATAACACTTAAAAAAAATCCCGCTTGTCCTATTTTTTTCTTTTTTTCCTTTTCTTTTTTTTTTTTTCATGAACTCACAAGTGATGTTGCCATTCTTTCCATAGCAACACACTAGGATACGGACTCTGCTTTGCTGGGAGAAGTCTAAGAAAGACCCAGGAGGAGGGATAAGAAGGTGTTGGTGGGGGTGGGGAAAACAGTTCTAAAACTTCAGCACCCAAAATGAATGCAGGAGCTGCCTGAGTCATTTTAGCACAAAGAGCTACAAGTGTCATCCCAGCTCCTCTCCTGTCCTCGAGGGATTCCTTCTTCATCAAGAGGCACAGCTTCTAGAGGCCCCTGTGTATTTGTTTCCAGCCTATCATTTGTTCTTCCTGAAGTGCTCTTTTTCTTCAATTCTCTTTTAATCCTTTTGATGACATAGGGAAGCAGCTTCAACTAGGTGACATCTGTTTTTAACAGTTTGGGTTAACATCGACTCATCTCTTTTTTTTGCCCCTGAGCTTTACTGAGGTATACTTCACAAGAAAAATTGTATATATTTTAGGTGTACAACTTGTTTTGATATAGGTATACATTGTGAAGCACTCACCACAATTGAGTTGATATATCTATCACCTCACATAGTTGCCATTTTCTCCTTCCTTCCTCCCTCCCTCCCTCCCTTCCTCACTTTCTCTCTCTCTCTCTCTCTTTCTTGATGGGGTCTCCCTGTGTTGCTCAGCCTGGTCTCAAAATCCTGGGCTCCAGCAATCCTCCCACCTTGGCCTCCCAAAGTGTTGGGATTACAGGCGTGAATCACCACGCCCACGCTTCTTTTTTGTGGCGAGAGCACTTAAGATCTGCGGATCCAAACCCCCAGGGGAGGGGCAGCAGCGGTGGTGGGGATGGGAAAGAAGAGAAAACAGCCGGAGTGCTCATCCCTGTGGTCAGCACTTGGGCACAAATCATCTCCTTCAAGCCGGGCACGGTAGGTCATGCCTGTAATCCTAGCACTTTGGGAGGCCGAGGTGGGTGGGTCACCTGAGGTCAGGAGTTCAAGAACAGCCTGGCCAACATGGTGAAACCCCATCTCTACTAAAAATACAAAAAAATTAGCCAGGTGTGGTTGTGGGTGCCTGTAATCTCATCTACTCAGGAGGCTGAGGCAGGAGAATCACTTGAACCTGGGAGGCAGAGGTTGCAGAGTGAGCAGAGATCACGCCAACGCACTCCAGCCTGGGCGACAGAGTGAGACTCCTCCATCTCAAAAAAACAAAAACAAAAACAAAACCAAAAAAAAACATGTCCTTCCATCCTCACAATGGCCCTATAAGATGAACATTCTTATCTCCACTTGCTTGAGGAAACTCAATCTGAAACCGAGAATCCAGAAGGTGCCACATACGAGCAAGGGATCTAAAAGCACAAAGCAGGACGCAAACGTAGGTGCTGTGCATTGTGGTGTGGTACTGTCCAGCCCGCCCATATGGAGCTCAGCCCCTTCGGCCTGAAAGCAGAAGAGCCAGCACCTCCTCTCGTGGGTGACTTGTGCTCATCACATCGATCCTGCCCTTGTGCTTCCCAATGCAGCTCTCTACCTCTCATTTCTATTCTCTGAGAGGCTGCGGCTGTGAACTGGAGGGCACGTGGCCTGCCGGGTGGCAGGTAGTCATTAAAAAACAATGCTTCTGAAGAGTATATAACCTCATGTGGACACATGCCTCCAATGCTAAGTGAAAACTGAAGCTACACCACACCGCATGAGTCCATTTATGTGTCATCCAGAGAAGGCAAATCATACAGACAAATCCATTGCTTTCCAGGGTCTGAAGGTGGGCGTTGAGTTTTTGGGGTGATAGAACAGTTCTATATCTTGATGTTGGTAGTGGTTATTCAACAGCATGGGTGTGTCAAAACTCATAGAATTGTACACTAAAAGTGTAATTTCATTGTATGTAAATTATATCTTAATTTAAAAAGGCAGTTGGTACCAAAGGTATCAAAAGAAAAAAAAAAGCAGAAAAATGCAGCTACACACAAGTATATACAACAGGATTCAATTTGAATTTTTTTTTTGTTTGTTTTTGAGACAGAGTTTCACTCTTGTTGCTCAGGCTGGAGTGCAACGGCACGATCTCGGCTCACTGCAACCTCCGCCTCCCAGGTTCAAGCGATTCTCCTGCCTCAGTCTCTCAAGTAGCTGGAATTATAGGCATGTACTACCACACCTGGCTAATTTTTGTAGTTTTAGTAGAGACGGAGTTTTGCCATGTTGACCATGCTGGTCTTGAACTCCTGACCTCAGATGACCCGCCTGCCTCAGCCTCCCAAAGTGCTGGGATTACAGGTGTGAGCCACTGCGCCCAGCCTCAATTCAAATTTCTGTAAAAACATGCAAATTGTAAGAATATGCAGATACTGTTAATGTCAGCTATCTATGGGTGTAGGAATTACCCATGATTTTTATTTTCTGCGTGATATATTTTCAACAATTTCTACGGTAACCTGGATTATTCTCTTTAGAATCAGAAAAGTGGTTTTATTTTGTTTTCAGAGAGCAAGCATGGTGGCACAGTTTTGAAGTGAAGCTCCATTTCTCAGAAGCTGTGTGACCTCGGGCAGGCCACATACTTTTGGGCCCTGTATCTTCATCTGCAAAACGGGATGCTACCATTCACCTCTGACGGTTGTCATGATTCAATGAGACAATAGATGCAGAAGTACTTTATACATTTGCAGATACAGCTTGACTAGTAATTACCACAGCCCTGTCATCTTTGAAAATTTCCTTTATATCTTAATCCATTGGTTTGCAAGAGTGGTACCATCACACATTTGTGCTGGTAACAGCTTGAAGCTAGCACATGATTGATTAAAAAACAAGCAAACAAAAGGAGTACTTAGTATGTAGTGAGTACGCAATAAATACATGAGGAATGAATGACGGTCACGCTCCCCACCATGTGTTGGAGCAGAAAAAATAGACTGAGAACCACTCCCTTCCCCAGACGTTGCAATCAAACAAATCTTCAAAACTGTCTGTCATCTACTGTGCACCGATTATGAATCCAGCACATGGCTACAGCTAATGTACATAAGAAAAAACTTAAGCTGCACACCTCAAGGAGCTAACCATTGAAGGAGGAAGAGATGAGTAAGAGATGCAAAATGAAAGTGAAAGAAGAACTGGATGAAGCGAGAGATTAGCAAGTGCTGTGCTGATGGTGGGGTTGGGGAGGAAGGCTTGCCTGGCTAAGTGAGACTACCGCTGAGCCTCAAAGGCCAGGAAGCAACAGATGTTACAAAATGAGAGTGGAGGAAGCATATTCCAGGTGGGAGAACAGTTTGGGACAGGGGTTGGCAAACTATGGCCTGTCTCCTGTTTTTGTAAATAAAGTTTTTTTTTTTTTTTTTGAGGTGGAGTCTTGCTCGGTCACCAGTCTGGAGTGTAGTGGCGTGATCTCGGCTCACTGCAACCTCCATCTCCCAGGTTCAAGCAATTCTCCTGCCTCAGCCTCCTGAGTAGCTGGGACTACAGGTGCATGCTGCCACCATGCCCAGCTCATTTTTGTATTTTTAGTAGAGATGGGGTTTCACCATTTTGGCCAGGATGGTCTTGATCTCCTGACCTTGTGATCCACATGCCTCGGCCTCCCAAAGTGCTGGGATTACAGGTGTGAGCCACCGCGCCCGGACGTAAAGAAAGTTTTATTGAGACACAGCCATGCCCATGAATGCTTTCATGCTTCAACAGCAGAATTAAGTAGTTGCCACAAAGACCTGGCCTGCACAGCCTAAAATATGTCTTGGCCAAGAAGTCTGAATCAACCATGGTCTCCTCCAAAGACGAGGTGAGAAGTGCAACAGAAGTGGGATGAGGGGCAAGGCAAAGGCGAGATGGGTAAGGCACTGAGGGTGGTGGCTGTGGCAAGGAGGCAGACACCCTGGGACTTGGAAGCCAGGATTAAAGTTCTCGTTTTCTGGGAAGCAAAACAGCTTTGCCCAATTTGCTGGGGAGGCAGAGGTTCTGGGGATCTGGATTTCGTCCTCAAGGCCTATTGCAGTGCCTGGCACACATGGGTGCCTAATAAAAATGTTGAACGATTGGAATGACAAAGGCGGTCGGGACACAGTCTCTGACTTGGAACAGTGTAATTCCTGTGTCTCAGTTTTTTCATCTGTCACATGGGATTGGTACTTAGTTCACATGACTGTGAGGATTAAATAAGTTTAATAAGAGGCACTTAGAATGGTGCCTGGGTCAAAGTGAGAGCTCAGTAAAGATTAGCCATTAGTCTTATTACTACAATCTAGATGAGCCCAGACAAGAGTAGCAGAGTCTTGAGGGCTATGAAAGGTAAGAAAAGAGTGGAATCATTTCTATCAAGAGGATCCAGAAAGCCTTCAGAGTAGAGGTGAGGTCTGCAGTGTGTTGAGAAGAATCCTGATGGCCTTACTAGGAGAACCTATGCTGTGATTGACTGGTGATGTCTGCTGTGGGTGAGGAATGCACAGTGGTGGTGTGTGTGCCTCTGTAGCCTATATTCTGTTTGTTTTAGGATCCAGACATGTCACGGCACATTTGGAATTTTGGCAACACAGGCTTGATAGTGATTTTTTAAATTCCAAGGCCCAAGGGGTTTTGGGGGAAGTAACTCATCCTTAGGAAGGCACATACCCTGACTTAAGAAGACCATGTTAGTCATCAGACAGAAATGCAGTTCTGACTGCGGCCTTATGCCTGATCTTCATCAGGTCATCCTTTGGCCTAGGTTTCAAAGATCTATGTCTGATTTCAAGAGGATGGGACAAGTATAATTGGACAGGGTTGTCTCAATAAAAATCACTGTGTGAGGCAGCACTGCTAGGGCTCCATGGTAGAAAGTAACATGGGGTGGGGAGAGATGAGGGTTTGGGGAGAGGGATTCTCATGGTTGCAGAATCCACTGTGGGCTTGGGTGTGGTGGGGATGGAGGACATTGTGGTGGGTCAGGGGTTCTGGCAGATCATAATGTAGATGCTGTGTGGTCTCATGGGGACAGGGCCAGGACTCCCAACTCTGGCAGGGGCAGGAAATGGTTTCTCGGTGCCTTTTTAGAGTGAAGAACACCTGCAATGCTCCCTGAGGACTCCCAGAAATAGTTAGGGGGCTGACTGTGATCCGCTTGGAGGCCACGCCACAGTAGGTGGAGACAAAACCTCCTGCACAGTGACCCAACTTGGAGCCCAAGGCTGGGAGCCCTGAGAAACGCAGGTCATAATTATAACACTGCGTGGGATGAATGCGCTGGATGACAGGGAGGACGTCACTGGCTGCCTGGTGGGGGGGACTGGGGACAGAGGTGCTGGAGGGTTTCACAGAGATAAGAGTTGAGCCAGGCACAGTTGTGAATGTGGGTCTTGAAAATCAGGAGAAATGCATGAGCAAAAGAACAGAGGCATGAAAAGGAAGGCTGGGTCAGGGAAGGGTGTGGATTTGGGGTGGATGGAGGTCAGGAGACAGTGGCAGGAGACGAAGCCAGAAGGGGTGGGGAGTGTGGAGACAGATCTGGAAGGGATGTGGATGTTAGGAGCAGACACAAAGTCCTGGCTCTGGAAGAAAAGGTTAAACGATAGGATGGATGGAAGGAAGGAATTAGGATTTAGGAGAGAAGAGACGCTCCTTTTTCTTTCACTGAGAACAATATGGGAAGGAAACTACTTGGGCTTTTAAAGAAAAGGAAACCTGAAGAGCAAGACGGTGAGCAAGTACAGCAAAGAACTGAGGGTGTGTGTGTACACATACACATAAAGCAAAAGTGCAAGAGATGTGTTACGTTCTCAGTCTCGAGCCTCAAAAAAGTACCTCTAGGTAGAAAAAAAGAAAAAGAAAAAGAAAAAGAAAGGCACCGAAGCCCCTCTCCACTGGATTGAAGTGAAAGGCACAAAGCAAAGGGGATGATCAGAGCGTTCCCAGGATGCAATGCAACTTCCTCCAGGCGCCAAGGGGAAGGGCCCCTCTTAACCTGGTCCTCTGTGCTCCCTTCTCAGCCTCGATGGCTCAAAAGGATGCGGCTGGAAGATGTGCAGGCCGGGTCACCCTGCCCAGCAGGGATGCAGCCAGGAATGAGCCTCCTCTTCTTGTTCTCGCCTCGTTGCCAGTCTTTGGAGCCTTGCTGGGAAGGAGGAAATCCGGGCCAAAGCTGAGATGAAAGCGTCTGTAATCTCATAAAAGAGCCAGGCGGATGCTCTGAAAGGCACGGAGGAGCCAACACCTGCCATTTGCACTTCAAGGCAGGCCGTTGAAACCCACTGAGGCAAGAGGCCCATCTGCCCTTCCCCCAGGTGCCTGGACTTGGGTGAGAGATGGCCCGGGAACTAGAGTCTGCTGGCTCTGTGTTCCTTGGGCTGCAGGAAGGGGGAGGAAGACAGCCACCAAAGCCCTGGGCCTGGAATGCGCCTTTAGGAAGAGCTGGAGAGCTAAAGCACCATCACCCTCTTTCCTTGCCTGCAAAACATTATTTATCACTTTCTTTGGTCTTCAGACCACTGTGCGGTGGGGAAGAGTTCCCAGCACCACAAACAAATCCTTTCCCATTGCCATCACAAAATAAGACTCCACCAGAAATGAGCAAAGAACAAGTCTGTTGCAAATGAGACACGCAACATGGAGCCTTTTCTGCTTTTTCTTGCTCTCCTGAGAAATTTCACAATGCTGCTAGAACCCAAAGCCTGGATGTGGTCCTATTAATCACCCATAACTGAAGGAGGAAATGTTTTCTTGCAGCGTGAAGCCAAGGAATCAAAAGCAGAAAGAGATGAACGATTTTCCACATGAAATCCCCAAAGGATCAGGACAGGACCTCTAACAAATTTCTTACTATTTATTTACTATTTCCCATAAATGATCTAGAAGAGGTACTCAGAGAGATCTCCCAGTTTAAAGGGAACACACTGTCCATTGGGGTTGTGAGACACCAAGATGGTGGGAGAGTCCACAGGCAGCAGAGTTAAGTGGGAGGGAGCAGCTGCAGGATGGGATAAAGGGACATCCACTCTTATAGCATGACAGGGCCATGTTCATAAGATCTCAGGCCCTTCTATCCATTCTAACTCTGGGAAGGCATCCACATGGTAAAGGCCTTTGAAGGGGCATCAGGAGCCTCAGATACTCCTTCTAGTGTTGTCACTCACAGCTGTATGGCCCCTTCCTGCTCTGGGTCTTCACTGCATTACCTGTAAAGCTCAGGGATTGGATGGGATGATCTCTCAGGTCCCTCAGCTCCAGCCCCCTAGAACTCCAAGATGATAACAGCTATCCCAAGAAAGGAGAGTGCACCATTGCTGCTGAAAGTCACCAGGAGGGGTGGAGGGCCACAGCATGCCTTGTAATGGCTGTAGGAACTAGACGTAACAGATGCAGCCTAGACTGAGGTTTGGTGATGGCAAAGAAGGAAGGCAAGATGCTCCCATTTGGGAATAACATTAAAATATTGAATGCAGCAGGAACAATCTTAAAGAGTGAGACATGCCACCCCAAGCAGTTTAAACCTCTAGGAACGACTCAATTACAGATACAGACCCTGAACATCAGAAAAGTCCAAGAAGGAGATGAAAAAGCTCAGATAACAAAGTAATAAAGAGAAAAGCACGTTTCCAGGAACTGATGGAAGTGTCTGAATGAGCGCATGAGATTTATTAGCAAATAGAAGTCCACTGTTGAATAAAGAAAGAAAATTGGTTGCGAGTTTTAATTAGTTTGGGTTTTGATAAGTGGCGAATCTGGGAAGTGGTAAAATGCCAAGTGATGGGCCTGAAGGGGCAGGTCTTGGGAACCAGGGACAGGGCGAGCATTTTGTTCTGGCAGCACCGGGTAATGAGATTGAAACTAGGCCAGGGCTGAAATGGGGCCTGGAGGCGTGGCTGAGAAATAACCGAAAGGGCCCTTGTGCTTTGTCAGTCGAAGGCAAATGCCATCTGCTCTGGCTCCTGCCCACTGTGCCCCTTTCTCCCCCCACTTCACCATTTGTGGTTACGGTGACCTGGGCTTATGGGACTCAAGTGCCTTCAGTGCTTCTCTGTCCCTTCTGGCTTAGTACACATGGCCATCTCCACTCAGGCTGCCTGGCAGAGCATGGGCTGCCAGGATCAGGCAGCAGGATGAGAGCAGCTGCTCCCTAGCATAGCTTGCTGGCTTGCCTGCTTCCTTCTACAGACTTCTCTGAGCACCTCCCCAGTGCCAAGGACTGTGCTAGGTACTTGGAATATGACGACAGGCGATCTTTTCTCTTGGGGTTCCAGGAGGAGGGAGGTAGATAAAAACTCAGACAGAGATGAGACAATGGCTTAAGTTCTGTGAACAAAGGGAGTGGAAAATTACTAGAGAAGAGAGCATATAGAGTCTATGGGGGTGGAGATCAGAAAAGGCTTGCCCCAGGAGCTAGCTGCTCTCATGAAGGCCATTGTTATAGGATGGATTCACCCATGACTTGGTGGCTTGGGCTATGGGTACACATCCCCCTCTCTATCAACAATTGATGGTGTCATAACCCTTCCTTTGTCATAAGAGAGGACCAAGTAAGGGGGTCACTGGCTCAGGAAAGAGCCATAAGTAACGTGAAACATGTGCTCTGTGGTCAAGGAGGGTGTCATATTTAAACTCCATTGCTGATGGTGCCCAAACTTCTAAATGAGCCCCTGAATCCCCTGAGTTTAGGGTTGCTCAAGACAGAAGGCCTCAGCCTTTGTTCTTTGCCTGTCCCTGTCATGAGGAGCAACACAAATGCTGGAGAACTTCCCTACTGCCCCATTCCACAGGCCTCAGAGGGAGAGTCCCACCTGCCAATAAGTTTACCAGGCTCGACTAAGGCCATGGCATGTGATCATGGCTTCTTTCCTTCCAAACATGGCTAGGTTCAAGGTTGGCAGGCTCCTTGGAAGAAATTATTTTTAGGGGCATGGAAGCTGCTGAGGAGTAGAGTGGTTAGGCTTTGGAGTAGGGTAAAATTGAGTTGAAATCTGGGTTCCTACCATGCGAAAACCTGTACATAAGTGTTCATAGCAGCACTATTTATGATAGTCGAAAAGTGGAAATGTTCATTAACAGATGCATGGCTAAACTAAATGTGGTCTTACCCATACAATGGAATCTTCTTTGGCATCAAAAAAGAATGAAGTATTGATGATACATGCTTACAACATGTATAAACCTTAAAACCACTACGCTAAGTGAAATAAGCCAGTCATGAAAGACCACTTATTCTATGATTCCCTTCATATGAAGTCTATAGAGGCAGAAATAGATGAGTGGTCGCCTAGAGCTGACTGGAGGCAGGGCAGTTTGGAGGGAACAAACTAGTAACTGCCAATGGGTATAGGGTTTCTTTTTGGGGTGATAAGAATGTTCTAAAATTATGGTGATGGTCGCATGACTCTGAATATATTAAAAACCACTGAACGGTAAACCTTCAATGGATGAATTATATGGTATGTGAATTATGCCCCAATAAAGCTGTTTTTCTTTTTCTTAAATCTAAATTCCTACCTCTTCTTGGTTGCTCCTAGGGTTACCACAGCAAAGAACCCTTTGCTTTGCCCCTCAGTGTATTCTGAGTACCTGGGACATAGTAGGTGCTTAAGTATTTGCTAACAAATCAGTATGTGGCCTTGAGAAAGCCACTTAGGTTCTTTAAGCCTCAGTTTTAGCATCTGTAAAATGGAGATTAAAATGCCTTCTGCAAAGGGCTGCTGATTAGGAGACCAGGCATTTAAGGTGCTCGGCAGGGTCTCAGAATATAAGTGCTGTCTAAAGGGCAGTTTTCTGGATGTGTGGCTCAGTGCCATAGACGAGGCTTCTGAAGGAGGATCTGTGCTACTAGGGGTTCTGTTCCTTAGTCACCCACCTCCCACCTCCCACCTCCTATTACATGTCCATCTTGGAGGGAATGGCCAAGGCGTCACATAGAGCAGCCTACATGATGCCATTGGTGGGGCTGTGAGGAGCTGCTTTGAAAGGCCATGCTCGTGCTGCCCAGAGCACCCAGTGCCCAGGCCAGCCTGTGGCTGGTGGACATGACAGATGGTATTTTCTTTTTGTCTGGAGAGGCATTGAAAAGGCTCTCCCAGGCCGTTTCTGCCACTGCCCTTCAGGGTTGACTCTCTCTCTGAGTCTGTGCTATGTGTTAGCAGCAACACACTGGAAAAGCATGACATTGGCAAAACATCCAGTGGGGTAAGGGTCAAGGTTATGACCACTGGAAGCCCCGCCACCATCTTCATGAACCCAGTTTGCAAAAATGTGGGGAAAGTCTTTCAGGCCACCAGAAACTTAGAACCCTGAGTGCCTGTCTCTTTCTCCTTTTCTTATCTGGGCCCCCAGAGCCTTAGCCAGGGATTCCAGGGGGCAGCTGCTCAAGCGCGTGTGTCCCCTCCAGGCCTCAGAGCCTTAGGGGAGCCATTCCCCGCCTCTAAAAGGTGGCTCACTCCCACCCTCCAGCCCACCCCAAAGCTTACCTGCAACCCCTCTCATCTCTCAGGAGTCAGCTGAAATGTACCATCTTCATGGAAGCCTGCTCTGATCATTCCAGATGAGGGTAAGTCCCACCACATAGGCTCGTAGCTCTGTGTGTTTTTCCTGCCATGGTCTATTTATGATTATTTGCTTAGGCCTGTCTCCCCCACTATCCTGTGAGTGCTATGAGGATGAAACCTCGGTCCTTCTTGTACACTGCTGTGTCCCCAGGGCTCAGCACATAGCTTGGCACAGAGGAGACCCTCAATAAACATTTGTTTAGGAAAATAGTCCCACTAATATTTCTTTGTCTCTTCCCTTTATGCTTCCACTCTGGCTGGTGGCAGCTCTTCCCTTCCCATGAAACCAGGGTCTCTGTGCCTCTCTTTGTAGAGCAGTCTCCCCTCCTGCCCCGGCCCCAGGTGGAAAGTAGAGGGGAGGAGAGAAGGGGAAGCAGGGGGCAGGCACACTTGATGATGGGGGAAGAGGGTGTGAAGGCCTCTGCAGGACAGGGAGGGGCTGAGAAGACAGGAGGCTGCCTGCTGGCCCCACGCAACTCCACCCACTTCACTTTCACTCCCACCCCCACCCTCATCTTGGCAAAGCCCCCTTCCACCCCCGGGAACCACCAGGGAAGACGAACAGCTATAAAGTGGCAGAGATCCTACCAGTGGCCCAACAGGACTACGGGGCTGCCCTGCTGGTTTTCAGAGGTTTCTGAGACCCACAGTGAGAAGTATGTTTTATGAGGCCATCCTGCGTGTGTGTAGACCGATGTACAAACCCCCAAGTGGACAAAGTCATACTTGCTTTCACTATGCAGGGTGTATTACAACACCTCCTATTGTTTTCTATTCCAGTTTGAAACCACTTCTTGTCATGACTTATAACAGGAACATGTAGCCGATACAGTGGGCAGGAGTGATGTTCTGGAAGGGGCCCCATGCCTGGGGTTTAATGCTTTGTGGTCACCATCTTGAAATTCTTAATCGTTTTTTGTTTGAATTTGTGCTTCGTAAGTGAGGTCTTGACGGGATGCATGGCCCCACTTCCTGGGTTCTGGGCCACTGATCCCATTCCCTTGCCCCTGGTTAGTGTCAGTGGCTGTATTCCTCACCCCCCACCCCCCACCCCCCAGCAGGGGCCTGCACACTGGCTGGGGAAGGGTCTCGATTGGGCAAGCCTCCAGGGTGAGGGTTGGTCCGTACTGCCCCACCAGTAACCCCGTGCCTGAGGGAGTATGACATTAAAGTACGCATAAAAAATGCCACAACAAGCTGAGAGACTGCCAAAGAAAGGAAGAAGCCTTTTGCCTGCCTTTTGAACAGGGGTCCTGCATCTTCATTTTGCACTGAGCCCCACACATCATGCAGCCAGCCCTGCCTGCTAAACCGATTTCACAACTCACGGATACATCATGACTGGCAGTTTGAGAAACACTGCATTAGCCAGCAGGATGTTGCAGCTGACAAAAATGCAAACCTCCATCAGGTGAACTTAAGCTTCCATCACAATTCTACAATGAATTGGCTGTGTTTTGGGGCATGTCACTGAACTCTCAAGTCCTGTGTCCTCATCTGCAAAACCAAGATAATGCCGAGACCTACTTTTAGAGTCATAGTGGGGACTGAATAAGGTAATGCGATGTGCCCGGGGCAGTGCCCTGAATCTAAGAAAGTCATTATGATTATTACTAGGTCCCTCTAGTCTTTTGTCCAGCTCTGATTTTTTTTTTTTCCCTACTTTGATTTCTCGGAGGAAGAGATTCCTGAGCTGGGCTCTGAGAAGCAAGCAGAGGTTTACTGGGTGGACAAGAGAGGGAAGGAGGATGTCTGAGTAGACAGAACAGCAGAGGCTCAGGGGCATGGTGTGTTTAAGGGAAGTGAGAGCAAATCTTTTCTGAGAGGCTGCCCTTCCAGTGAGAGGTAAGCTGGTGGGAGGGGCAACTGGGCAACCTGGGCTCCTGGGGCAGCCAATGAAGGCAGGGTTTTAGGCGGGCAAGAAGCATGGGGAGACCCCTGCCTTCCAGGATTGCCCTGGCTGCAGGCTGCAAGATGGATGGGAGGGAGTGAAGCCCAAGACTTCCGGAAGAGGCCAGGTGTGAGATGCAGCCCACAGGACAGCAGCAGTGGGGATGGAGTGCAGAAGATCAGGATCACTCCGGAGGCTGGAGTGAATGTGGAAGCCAGTGTGAATACCACGCCCTGGCACCTCCCAGGTTTCTGCTTGA
Source organism: Homo sapiens (assembly GCF_000001405.40). Classification (NCBI taxonomy): domain Eukaryota; kingdom Metazoa; phylum Chordata; class Mammalia; order Primates; family Hominidae; genus Homo; species Homo sapiens. Next base: position 122,909,641 of record NC_000008.11, on the reverse strand, counting down.
GTGAGAGAGAATCAGGAGGAACAGGTTGTGGGGGGGAGAGGAGGAGGAGGGGATTATCTGTCCAGCCCCAAGGCGAGTGAATAAGAGTGTTGGGTGTTTTGTCTATTTTTAGGAACCTCCAGGGATGCAAACTCTAAAAATTAAAGAGCAACGAGTATTCACAAAGTTGTCCCCTAACGCCTGCCCCACTTTTTTTTTTTTTTCTTTTTGAGACAGATTCTTGCTCTGTCACCCAGGCTGGAGTGCAGTGGCACGATCTTTATTCACTGCAACCTCCACCTCCTGGGTTCAAGCCATTCTCCTGCCTCAGCCTCCTTAGTAGCTGGGACTACAGGCATGCACCACCATGCCTGGCTAATTTTTTGTATTTTTAGTAGAGACGGGGGTTTCACCCTGTGGGCCAAGCTGGTCTTGAACTCCTGACCTCAAGTGATCCACCCACCTCGATCTCCCAAACTGCTGGGATTACAGGCATGAGCCAACGCGCCTGGCCCACTTTTTAAAACCAAAGCTAACTCTTCTTAGCTACTACACCCAAATCAGATGATCTTTATTTAAGCCACCATGTGTTTGAGTTCTAACCTCCATTGTCTCAGTGCCTCACCACAGATTTCTGGAACCTGGTAGAAGTTCTAAATTATAGAACAAGTTAGAACTAACTGGTGGTGATGGAAGGGAGGAAATCACAAGGGAAACTTGAAAAGGTAATGTATCCACCAGCCCCTGGGGCAGGGCAAGTTTCCAGCTGCCCATGGAGCTCAGGTAGCCTGGGAAGTGTGCTCAGAGCCGAAGCCAACATCTACTTTTGAAAAAGAACCACCTTCTTTTTTGGAAGGTGCAAGCAAGTCTTCCCTTTGCCTTCTCACTTCATCATTCTTACCCTAGCCACAGTCGTTCACTGGCAAGTGTTTTTTCAGTACGCTGAAAAATTAATTGTGGAGCCTGTCTCTGATGCCTGGATGCTGAGTGGGCATGAGAAAGATATTTGTTACAGTTTCAGGTCAAACTAAAGGGGAGACAGTGATAACAAGGGTTTTCTATGCTATGGAAACAAGGACCACTATAGGCTCGGATGAGGTTAAGCAACTTGATGATCAACCACCACCGTGGTCCATGTAAAACAAGGACTTTAGGCCAGGCACAGTGGCTCATGCCTGTAATCCCAGCATTTTGGGAGGCCGAGGTGGGTGGAACATCTGAGGTCAGGAGTTCCAGACCAGCCTGGCCAACATGGTGAAACCCCGTCTCTACTAAAAATAAAAAATAAAAAACAAATTGGCCAGGCATGGTGGCACACGCCTGTAATCCCAGCTACTTGTAAGGCTGAGGCAGGAGAATCTCTTGAACTCGGGAGGCGGAGGTTGCAGTGAGCTGAGATCACACATTGCACTCCAGTTTGGGCAACAAGAACGAAACTCCATTTCAAAACAAACAAACAAACAAACCAAGGACTTTACAGTTGACACAATGCTCCAACTCTCACCCTTCCATTTGTGCTCACAACAGCCTTGTGAGATTTTGGGTTGGGCGGGGCGAGGATTGTCATTCCAATTTCATCCACGGAGAACACACAGCCCTGTGAACTGACTTAGAGGCACAGGGCAAGGATGTACGCAGGTCTTCTGTCTTTTGCTGGTTACCCTCTCATTATATTATGTTATCCAAGGCAAACCTCTAAACTGTCTGGAGATCACATATTTGGAAAATGCAGCAATAGGCATTGGAATCAGTTCAGTTCAGATTAACAAAAAAACCCCTACTGTAGTGCCTAACATGAACCTGGTGCTGGGCTGGGAGTGGCCTAAAGACACTAATATCACTACCACTTCTGAGAGATCCAGGTACTTGGTGCATCTTTGATCTCATTTAATCCTCACAATGCTCTGATGAGGCAGTGTCATTAGCCATTTTATAGATGGGAAAACATCCTCTGACCTAACTCAGGAGCTCTGGACATTCAAACAGAGGCTAGGGCAGCACTGACTTCATGCTGATTGGGCACTTTGGAAGCAGCTTTACCAGTTTCATTTGTCCAATACCTCTGGGAGGTTTCTCATTTTGAATGTGAAGGGAAAATATTTTGGGCCCCCCAAATCACTAAGGAAAACTCAAGCTGGAAACTGCTTAGGGCAAACCTGCCTCCCATTCTATTCAAAGTCACCCCTCCGCTCACTGAGATAGATGCATATCTGATTGCCTCCTTTGGAAAGGCTAATCAGAGACTCAAAAGGATGTAACCATTTGTGTCTCACCTATCTGTGGCCTGGATGCTCCCTCCCGCTTGGAGTCTTCCTGCCCTTGCTTCAAGATGTCCCGCCTTTCTAGACCGAACCAATGTACTTCTTACATATGCTGATTGATGTCTCATGTCTCCCTAAAATGTATAAAATCAAGCTGTGCCCCAACCACCTTAGGCACATGTCATCAGGACTTCCTGAGGCTGTCAAAAGGTTGAGGAAAGTTTTGCCTCAACCTTGGCAAAATTAACTTTCTAAATTAACAGAACTCAGATTTTCTAGGTTCACATGAGGAAACTAAGGCTCAGGTGGGTTTATGCAACTTGATGATTGACCACTGCGATCGAATAGGCCTTTCTGCTCTGTCACCTTTAAGTCGAAACCACTTAAATTTTTTAATTTCACAAGCTGCATATGACTTTTATGAAAATTATAGCCGAGTATGGCGGCTCATGCCTGTAATCCCAGCACTTTGGGAGGCTGAGGTGGGCAGATCACTTGAGGTGAGGAGTTCAAGACCAGCCTGGCCAACATGGTGAAACCCTGTCTCTACTAAAAATACAAAAATTACCCGGGCGTGGTGGTGTGCGCCTGTAATCCCAGCTACTCAGGAGGCTGAGGCAGTAGAATCACTTAAACCCTGGAGGAGGAAGTTGCAGTGAGCTGAGATAGCCCTACTGTACTCCAGCCTGGGTGACAGAGCAAGACTCTGTCTCAAAAAAAAAAAAAAAAAAAAAAGGAAATTATGTGATACAGAAGTGTTTAAAGTAAAAGTATCTCCCATCTCTGCTTCTCTATTTCCAATCCCCAGAAGTAACTGCTTTTAACAGTTTAATGTATAAGCTTTTCCCATGCATAAACACACCTACATATGCAGTTTATTTTTCACAAAGGGATGGCACTAGATGCATTATTCATGACTTGCTTTATTCACTCAACCATGTGTCGCAGCTACGATTCCCCATCAACACATACAGAGTTGCTTATCCTCTTGAACAGATTTCATTGTCTCAATGTAGCATAAGCCATTCCCCTACTGATGGACTCACAGGTTATCTCCGATTTCTCATAGATTCGTACCAAATGTCATTTTAAATGTAATAGATCCTTGAGATGTAAACTCTCATAAACATCAGCTATTACTTTTAGCCTTATTTTATAGTTTTGTTTAATTGACAGCCTCAATTCAATTTCTATAGCAAATATTCATTTCAAAAAAATAGCTATTAGAGTTAAGTATGTCTCAATCTTTGACCATTATGAAAACAAATTATTTTCCATAGTTTGGGGTTTATAATAATTGCTTAATCCAATATTGAAATTGGGTTTAGATAGGTACTTTTGAACTGATTGATATTACTTTTCCACATTTTCTAACTCATTCCCTAATTGAGGCTCTGTTCTTGCAGGAAACTACATGGCATAAAGTAAATAAAACTATCTAAGAGAAGCTGTGCAAATGTAGCTTGATATAAAAAAGGGAGGAAGCTGGGTGGCCTAGCATTTCTGTTCTAGCTCAAATGATTTTATTCTATTAGGTTAGTGCAAAAGCAATCGCAGTTTTTGCCTTACTTTCAATGGCAAAAATACAATCATGTTTGCGCCAACCCAATACTAATTCAAAGGACAAGAATTCTAGTGTATCATCTACATATTGTATTCTCTCATTACATCCCTAAGCCACTTTTCTGTCATGGGCATGACCAAGTCATTCCTCTCTTCCTTCTCATAGGCTTCTTGAGACTCAGACTGTTTTCCTTTTTCAAAATTCTCATCCTCTGCTTTTGTTTTGGCAACAGAATAGGAAACAGCCTCATATTCTTCTTTCCTTCCTGATGTTCTAAGAATCCTTCTATCATTTCCTTTCTGTTTAGAGAATTTTCTTAGCCATTGTTTTATAGCAGAGCTGTTGGCTAAAAATCCTCTTAGCTTTGCTTCATCTGATAATGTCTTGACTACCCCTTCATTCCTGAAATATAGTTTTTGATGGATATAGGATTCTGGGTTGACAGTTTTTAAAAAAAATGTTGTGCCATTTCCTTCTGGCCTTCATGGTTTCTGATTAGAAATCTGGTGCTGTGCATACTGCATTTCTCATTAGTGGCTGTTTCTGTCTCAGTGATTTTAAAGGCTGTCTTTGGTTTTCAAACATTTGAGTATGATGTGTCTTATTGTAAATTTATTTGGATTCATCCTGTATGGGGTTCACCCAGCTTCTTGAATCTGTAGGTTTATGGCAAATTTGGAAAGTTTTAAGCCATTATTTCTTCGAGTGGTTCTTGTTTTTCCAGTCTATTTTCTCTCTGTTGTTCAGACTGGGTTATTTCTAATATTCTATCTTGAAGTTCACTGATTCTTTCCTCTGGCCCACTGGCTCTGATGTTGAGGTCATCCAGTGAGTTTTTAATTTCAGTTACTGTATTTTTCAATTCTAAAATTTCCATATGGTTATGTCGTTTATTTGCTGAGAATTTCTATTTTTTATTGTTTGAAGCATGTTTATATTTGCTTATTGAAACATTTTTATGATGGCTGCTTTATAATCTGTAAAATTTTAACTTCTGTAGCATCTCAGTTTTATCATCTATTGTCTTTAATCGTTCATTTTGAGATCTTCCTTGTTCTTGGTATGAGTGATTTTGAAAACTGAAACCTGGTTATAAGATTTTGGATCTTATCTAAACTTTCTGTTTTAGCTAGCTTTCTCTGACACTGCTCCAACATGGGTAGGGGGTTTATGCCACCTCATTATTACTAAGTAGGGGTCCAGGTTCTCCATTTGGCCTTGACACTTGAGGGGGAGCCTTCTCATTACTGTGCAGTGATGGGAGTTCCAGCTCCTGACAAGGCCTCCATTGATACCTCTCTCTGACTGGGAGGAGTCAGGAGTGTCTTGCTACGGCTCCCACACGATCTTAACTGACACTAAGGGAGTGGATAAGGCCAGGTTACCATTTCGTGGGGTCATGAAAGTCTACTCCCCACTTGGCCTTCTCTGACACCACCCTGCTGTAAAGAAGGGGGAGACTGGGGAGGCTTGCTATAACGTGGTGAGGGTGGAATTCTAGGCTCTGCATTTGGCTTTTGCTGGTGGAGCAGGGGCTGGACCACAGTTTTTTCTGTGACCTTTGGCTACAGCAGAGCAGTTACTGTCTAAAAGTTTTTGGCTTTGCCAGGCTGCCCCTTTCCTGATTCTTTGGCTAGAGACAGCAGACTTTTTTGGGGGGGCTTTTGTTGGGAGGGTTCTGGGCCCCTTAGCATTTGTGGTTGATGGCCTCTTCAGCTCTAAGTCTAGGATATATAAGGCAAAACGAACCAAGCCAAACAAAGAAAAGAAACAAAAACCCAGAGAACTCACCACCACGTCATTCCTGGGGCTATGAGGTCCCTAGTTAGTCTGCCTTCTTCCTTCCACTTTTCAGGGTCTTATGCTTGTTTTATAAATAATGCCCAAGGTTTTTAGTTGTACTCAGTGGGAGAAATAGAGAAAATGTGTTTACTCCATTTTCTTGGAAGTGGTGGTTCATCAATATTAGCAATATTCATTCCCCTCTCTTTCCAGTCCTACTGAAGCCCCATTTCTAACCATTCCCATTTTCTCTCTATCCCTGTATACATCTATCTACCTGCCCCGTGTCAACACCAGTTTCATCTTTCTAGTCTTGGAGGAAAGCCAACATCAGGAGATACCAGAACAACACGCCACTCCCCTTTCAAAGTCTTTTATGAATCTACACTGTCTGTAGACCAAAGCCCAAACTTGTTAGCCTAGCAATGGACACTTCAGAGTTCTAGCCTCTGTGTTCTTTTCACCCAGAGGTCCCTTTCATTTGTAGGCAGATGCTTATTTTCTGCCTGACATGTCTGCTCCCCGCTCACTCCATCCCTGCACACAAGACCCATTTCTCAATGCCCACGTTCTCCAATAATACCTTCCAGCTGAAATGGACACCCAGTTCAGGATTTGGTCCTTTTACTGGTAATTACTGAAGGTCAGTTAGATTTATTTTAAACTCATTAAAGGACTGGGTCATGCTTGATACTTCTTTGTCTCACAGCATACAGGAGCACCTGATAAATACTCTTTTGGAAAGAATAACTAAAGGCCCCTGCCTGTCAGTGTGAATCTCTTGGCAGAACTCTGAGAATTAAACAGAAATCCAGTGCCAAGAAGATAAGATTAGCTATGGGCAAAGTTATCTTAAACACCAGTAAGAAAGAAGCAGGAGAGTAGGCAGAATTTGGAGAATCTAATCAAAGTTATAAATATATCTAAAAAAGGAATAAGTTTAGAAGAGGACTAGGAGAAGCAGTCACCCAGCTAGGAGGAGTGTCCTGACTTGGGGAAAGGCCCATGGGTCCTAGAGATGGAAAGAGCCCCACTCTGGTAATGGATGCCCAGTTTGAGGCCCTGTGCACATGAGTCTCACCAGCTCCCGAGTGGATTCTGTGCTCACCCAGGAGGCCTTGGGAATCCAGCTTCCCATTACCATCTCTGTACAGTTAGGGAACTGACCCAAAGATGCAACTGTTTGGGCTCATGGCAGACTTGTTTTTCATTTCAAATAGACAGGCCTCTGGTATGAGTTTGGTTGGTTGGCATAAAGCTATTTACAATAGCAATAACAATAATTAAACATTATTCAGTACTATGTATCAGACTGGGCTAGGCATTTCCTAGATCATCTCATTTTATCATCCTATGGGGTAAATACTATGATCATCCCATCTCATGGATGAAGGACTTGAAGCTCAAAGAGATTACATTGCTTACCCAAGCTCAGAAGAGGCAGAGCTGGGATTTGAACCCAAGTCTCCTGACTCAAGGTCTGATTTTCAGCACTGGACTTTGTAAGATAGCCCTTTCTATGTGCCAGTCATTGTCCTCAGGTCCTTATGTATATAAATTTGTACAACTCTCCAAGCAACTCCTTGAGGTAGGTACTATTTCCATCCCCAATGTACAGCTGAGGAAACAGGCACAGAGAGGTCATGCAACTTGCTCAAAGTCACACAGCTGTTTTTGAACCCAGGATTTGAACCCAGGCAATGTCACTAAAAACCATTATGTCATGCTGTCTCTTTTGGGGCACTTGCCTGACTTTTTCTAATAGATCTCAGCCTCTTGAGGGAGAAGACTCAATCTTACTCATTTTTGTATCCTCAACAGCTTCTGCAGTACCTAGCACAGAGTAAGGCTGTAATACATGTTGGTTCAGTTGAATGGTCCCCTAGGAGGAGGACCCATTAGCCACCTGATCTGTTCCAGTTACTTTCCGATTCCATGAAGACAAATGTGCAAGCTCATCTAAAGTAGGTTTATGCTAGGCTGCAGGCTACTTATTCTGTTTTACTAACTTCATAAAACATTCTTTTTTTTTTTCACGTAGCATAGGACTGGGGCTTCTGAAAAAAAGGCAGAATACAAATTCAAGGGCTACAGTGCTATGAATAATTTCTACTGGAGCATATTTTTCACATCTGGAGACTTGAGTTTTCAAAGTTAATCCAGCTTAGCCTAGTGGTTCTCAATGTTGGGTGATTTTTTTTCCCCCTTACAAGGGATATTTGGCAATGTCTGGAGATATTTTTGATTGTCACAAGATGGGGGTTGGGATATGAGTGCTACTAGTATCTAGGAGGTGGAGGCCAGGGACACTTCTAAACATTGTACAATGCAAGGATAATCTATCATGACAAAGAACTAACCGGCCCCAAATGTCAGTAATGTTGAGGCTGAGAGATCTGGATTGGCCAAGCAGCCCCCAGATCTGCACGTACAAGTGGTTTTAAAGAGGAAGCATTGCCCAACAATTAAATTAGGTTTTATGAGATTTGATTCCCAGAGAACAAAGATCACCAGGGGAAAAATGAAAGTGAGCATTCCATGCCAAAGAACCATCTTAGTTTGGGAGCACATTCTGAAACAGTGCTTTGAGAAGTAAGGTCTTAGAACCTCCTCCTAGAAACCCAGCTTGGGAGCTTATTAAAATGCAGATTTCTGGGCCTCACCTCAAAACCACTGAAGCAGATTCTCTTGGGGAGAGTAGGAGGGATCTGCATTTTTAGGACACCCCCAGGTGATCCAGATGCACAATGACATTTTCTTCCAGAAGCAGGGGAGGTAGGTTGGGTAGTGGTAGACAGACCATATGCATAGTGGTTTTTAAAAAGTTAACTAAAAATTCTCACATTCTAGCATGATTTCTTCAACTTCCATCATTTATACAGCACCATTATGAGTTGCGCTCTAGACAAATACCACGTGTATTACTCTTTGCTTAATAATTTAAAAAAATCAAATCACTTTGTAAATTCTAACGTATTTCTAAGCAACAATACCCAATAAATCATAGTTGTATTTATTGGGTATCAGCTAATTATATTTTTTCTTCATACTCCTGAGAATATATTACCATGAGAATAAAAAGTATCTGCCCACGCCACACAAAATTGATATGCAACACATGGGAAGCAGGATATTATGGCAAAGCAACTGCAGTGTGCCAGGAGAGTGCTACTAATGGTAAGTGCAAGCTCTGTAAGGCAGACATACATGGCTTTGCATTTGAATCTCACAGCTTCTTGTTCAGGAATGGATGGCAATCCTGCTGCTTCCTGGAGGAGGAATAATATAGTTAGCAAATGCTCACATGCTTGAGCATACTCAGTGGTACTATGTGACCTCATTGACAGCCCCACCAACTCCCATTTATGAACTTTGGAAAACAACCATCTTAAATCTAGCACCAGGACAAAATTAAGGGCCAACGTATATTGAATGTCACTGAGCCTCAGATATCAGAACCCACGTGTGAGGAGCAGAAGTCACTGCAACTAGAAACTGGTTTCCATTTGCCATGGTTTAGATATTTGACCCCTCCAAACCTCATGTTGAAATCTGATCCCTGGGGTTGGAGGAGGGGCCTAGGGGGAGGTGTTTGGGTCATGGGGTCAGATCTTTCATAAATAGATTAATGTCCTCCCTCGTGGGCGAGTCTCACTCTATTAATTCTCAAAAAGCTGGTTGTTAAACAGAACCTGGCATCTCCCTGACTCTCTTGCTTTCTCCCTCACCATGTGATCTCTGCCCACAACATGAGTCTTCCCTTGGCCTTCACCATGAGTGTAAGTAGCCTGAGGTCCACACCAGAAGCAGATGCTGGCACCACGCTTCTTGTACAGCCTGCAGAACTGTGAGCAAATAAACCTCTTTTCTTTATAAATTACCTAACCTCAGATACTCCTTTATAGCAACACAAAATGGACTAAGCCACCATTATCATCCTCCTGTTCCCAGAGTGCCCTATATAGGTTGGGGATGGGGAGTATTAATAGAGGGAGAAGCGTGATAAAATGAAAGCTACAAAAAAATTAATGCCTCTGCTGAAAATCAGGATAAATGTGAGCAGTTCATCTTTCCATTTACATCCTTTCCCAAAACGCCTAAACTCAACATAATGTGAGTTTTAACTGGGCTCTGCACACAGCCCACCTTGCTACAAAGCCAGTGAGGAAAGCAGTAGCATGAGATTATGAGCATGCTTGTATTAGCTAACACCACTTTATTTTTGGCTTTTCCCTCCAATTTGCATTAAACTGCCTGCATAATTTCCACCTCAGGTGAAACCTCTCTGTATTAGTTGTTTCCTACTTGAAATACATTGATTTTCCATGTAAGACAGGAGATCAGCAAGTGAGATGTGAGGTGTGACTGTGGAATTGGGTTAGGAGGAGGGTAAGACACAATACCCTTAGACTCAGGTAAGACAAATGCAGCAAAAAACTCATGACGGCATTTCTCTTTGGGGTAAAGATCTGGGAAAGGGGGTGTATTGAGTGTAGCCATCAATGGATACACCTTTTTCTATTGCCTCAAAGGGCTTGTTATTTAAAATATTTCTCTTTTTGTGCAATTGTAAATCAATCCCGTTTGGCTCCAACTGAAAAGATAGTATGAGGTCTGAGCTTCGACCACTAATATGCATTTATTGAGCACCTACTATGAGCCACGCAGGATCTGTGTTGAGAACAAAGCCCTGCTCTGACTGAGTAGGAGTGGGGAAGAAAGGCAGATAAAATACATGTCTGGGAGAGGAAATGTTCCCAGTGCTGTGAAGAAAAATTAAGTGGGAGAGCTAGAGAGGGTGTAAGAGGATCTTTGTAGGAGTTAGAGGGGGTTGTAGCTCTGAGGAGGGAGATTAGAAAAAAAATAGAAAATGCATTCCAGCCCTCAGGAAACTTGGAATTTCACGAGTACCTGTATGAGGCCTTGGATTTACAGTGTCCAGCTCAGTGCCTTGGGCCAGGAGGGATTTAATACACATTTGCTGCATAGGTGTTCCATGGCTGTTGACTGAATCCCTAACCCTAGACCAGGACTTCTAAAAGTTGTGAGAAGCTCCAGTGAGTGAGTATTGGGCAAGTCTGTGCAAAACCACTGCTACAACCAGAAGAACAAGGCCGGGAGTGGGTTCTGCTGAATAACAGCAGGAGCCCACAGGTGAAGTGGGGAAGGGCAGACTTGGGGGCTGGCCTGCCTGGGCATGCATCCCAGCACGCCACTCTCCAGCAGAGTGACCTCAGCAACTGGCTTAGCATCTCTGCACCTCAGTTTCCCTATCTATTAAATGGTTATGATAATGGAATCTATCTCAGAGGATTATTGTGAAGCTTTAATGAGTTAACACAGGTAAGTGCTTAGAGCAATTCTGGTCACAAAGAGTGCTTAATAAGTATCAGCTGCTAGTGTTTTTCTGTGGCCGAGACATATTAGGATCACTAGCTCCTATTTGGACTTGAAGCAAAATAATCCTAAAATGTGGAGCTTGTGATGGATGAAGGGGAGACGGGAAGACAATTAGAAGTGGGGGAACTAGGCTTAGTTCTGCCTCTGACTTTGGAAATTTAGGCATGCAAACTTCACTCCTTTTTTTCATTTCTTTAAACAGAGTTGAATATGTACCTATTAAGTGGTTGTCAGATCCTTTTCTGAAAATGGATAGTTAATGATACCACCACTATCAGGATGAACAGCAATTTCCCACTGATGAATCGCACCACCACCACCTCTACCACCATCATCACCGTCAACTTTCCCTGAGGCTTTTCTACTCTTTCCTCATCCCCAATTTCTTTCCGGTGATTTAACAAAATGACAAGAGCTTTGGAACAAAGAAGACCCCACTCAATAACTTCATAGCTGTGTGACCCTGGGCAAGTCACTTCACCTCTATGAGGTTAAGTTTCCTCATCTGTTAGATGGGTTTTTTGTAAAAACTACAAGGCACCTAGGCAAGGATTGTCACATGTGTGGAGATCTGAATAAATGGTGGCTTATTTTCACGGTGTGGACAAATCAGTCAGCATACCTTGCTGATTTCCATTTTAATGTCCTGAAGTGTTTCATTCACTCGAATGGAGCGGACCACCATGATTTCTCTTCATGAATTTTGGTTTCCCAGTTGAACAATACTGCTTGAGGCCTCTAAGCCAAAAATGTGGGCTTTCAGCGATCTAGGCCACCACATCTGGCAAGAAGAACAAAGCTGTCCTGACACGCTGGGTGGGGATTTGTCCCTGTGTGACCCTCTTAGCCCCACTTCCAACCATCTGGTTACCCAGAGAGTTGACTGGGCATGAGGCAAGAGGCAAGAGGCTTTGCCATGAACCAGCTTAAGGAAATAGAAACTCTCATTCTTTTTTTTTTTTTGTCAGGAAAACATGAAAAATCACATCATATGTGAGGCAATACTCTGGGATGCTAACCTAGTCTTTAGTGTTCCTGTTTCCTTTGATAATCTACTTCAGTAAATGGAAACTAAATTGCTCCATTAAATTTCTAAACACTACATTAAGAAGATAAACAGACAAAACAAAAACCTCTCAGTCTGCAAGGGATAAATCCAAAACCAAACAGTGGGACACAATGTTCTCCAGAAACAATTAGACTTGACTTTCACACCAAAAAAAATGTAATCATCAGTGATGTCTTAGAATTGCAGGGTTTTGAATGAAACTTAAGAATGAAACTATGGTGCTCAAAAGCACTAACTCATGGTGGTTACTGTTATCCCCCAAAGATCATTTCATTCTGGTAACCCAATGAGGTAGGTACTATTTTTCTTTCCATTTAATAGGTGACAAAACTGAGGCACAGTGAGGTTAGTAACATAACTAGCAAGTGTGAGACACCGGAATTTTAACATGGTTCATAGCTACCATGCTGTTTTGCCTCTCATGATCTGGAAGTGACTCCAGTGCTCAGTGCCAGGGGAAGCCCAGGCTCCTATTTGAGCAGGCTCCCAAGACACCAAGGGTCTATCAAGTTGCCAAGGAAAAACTCATTCAGGCTCAGGACATCAGTTTCTAAAGTGCATTCCCATACCCTAGGTATCTGGAAATCCATCATAACCTTAAGTATTAATAGTATATTTATCCCCATTTCACGGCCACAGGAACTAAGGCTGTTGAAAGTTAAACAACTTTTCTGAGTTTGGACACATCATCTACATTTCTCATCTAATTCCCAGACACTGTTCTTTCCCTGATGACATATATCCAAGTTTAAGCACAACCAAGCAAGGGTTGAGAAAGCTTCAGACATTTACAAAGCTCCCTTCATACCTAGTACTGTGCTTAGACCAGGAACACAGGGAGGTAGAGGGCAGCAGAGCAGGGACTGGCTTCAGAGCCAGACAGGTGGCTATGTGACTTAATGTGTCTGAACCCTGGTATCCTAGTCTATTAAATGGTATAACAGCAGCTTCTAGTATGTAAGTTCCTTGTCAGGAGAAAAACTGTTTTGCTCATGGCTGGAGCCTTAGCATGTTGCATCATATTGAACATGTAATAGATGCTCAATAAATATATTTTTAAGAATAAATAAATGTAAATGAAAATTACTTCACAGTGTTTCTGTAGAGATTTTATAAGATATGGTATACACAATGCATAACATAGAACTGACGCTCAAAAATGCCAGTTACTTCCATCATTGTGTCATAGGCTTTTATGTTCATTATCCTGCTGCATCATCCCAAGAATTCCATGAAATACGTATTGCTTTGCTCATTTTTCTGCAGGAGCAAACTGGAGAAGAGGGCAGGGAGTAAAATAATTCCTAGAGAAGAGCTCATCCCTTTTAAAAACAATATGCCCTTAAGAAAAAAAAAAAAAAGAGTCCTAGTAAGGAACTATAGGAAGGTCTAGAGTCAGCCCAGGGAGAACAGAAGAGCAATGGGACTTGGGACTTTGGATCTAGACTGTTGGTTCCTTTGGCCTCTTTTAGTCCTCCACCTCTGAGGCATTCCAGCTTCAGGCAGGATGGACTCCCCACCTCTGCATTTGCCATCAGCCCCTCCTGTCAGCAGAGAGCTCCTAGCTGAGACAGAGTGCCCAGCTGTGCTATTATCAACAATAATGGTAATCCTAATGAATTGCAGGCTGATGAATCACTGATTGCAAGAAAGAAAAAAAATAAGAGTGAGCTGATTGAAACTCTTAATAAAGCTTATTCTTTGGGAAGGGTCTGGGTTGGCAGGTGGGAGGGCTGGGGGTACTAGAATCTAATGGGAGATTTTTTGCATGGTTCTGATGGTTCAATAGCAGAATATGCCTCTCTTCTATGCTTATCTTGGCGAGAGCTTTTTTTTTTTTTTTCCCCACACCATATCCAAATTGCCTGGGTCTTAGACTGCAGATGTCTAAAGAGCAAGGATGACATCTACCTTGTTGTCCTGCATCTTAACACAGCATCTAGAATATAATGGGTGTGAAAATATCTGGTCCACTTCCATGACACCAGGATGCTAGCTAGGTAGCAGTGAGAAGAACAATGAAACAACAAAAAGAGCAGAAAAAAGTGCCACAGGGTGAGAGCACAGAGACTTGTTTATGAATTCCAATTTTAAAAGGGCTTATAGAAATTCATTGCTAAAACTTCAGCCATGCAAAGCCAATTATGCTGGAAATAATCCTAGTGGTCACACGTTCTTCCTGTGCCATGCAGTAGCATCTCCTGGCAGCTCATCTGAAGAGAAGCCAGCTTGCCTTAAGCCAGTAACACCCACTTGGTGTTCCTTTCTCAGAAAGTGCATTTCTCCACTGGCAAAAGTGTCACCTAATTTAATTGCAAATGCCCTTGCCAATGCTCACACCTCCCCTATGATGTGATTACTATTGGCTCTTCAATTTTCTACCACCCGTGTGCCCCCTTTAAAGAAGGGAGAGAGCAAGAGGAAAACAAATGTCAACATTAATTGCAATTTAATACAGTTCACTGGAGATGACCCTGGGGAGAGGGATGAGGGAAATCAATTCTGGTGATTGAAAAACAATATGAGAATTACAAGAGGCTACAGCTGAAATCTGGAATAGAGAGAAAAAATGCCTCTGCATTTTCTGCCTGGGGGTCAGTCAGACTGTTACTGATTCAATGTACTGTGATTCAAACATTTCTTGAGAACATGCTGTGTGTCAGTCACTATACCAGACACTGAGGGGGACAGAGATGTCCAAGACATAACCTGTTTCCTCATGTGGGCTTCTCTGTGAGTGGGTGAAGGGTGGGGGTCAAGATACTAAGATGGATTTTTTTTAAATTTTTTATTGTACTTTAAGTTTTAGGGTACATGTGCACAATGTACAGGTTTGTTACATATATATACATGTGCCATGTTGGTGTGCTGCAACCATTAACTCGTCATTTAACATTAGGTATATCTCCTAATGCTATCCCTCCCCGCTCCCCGCACCCCATAACAGGCTCTGGTGTATGATGTTCCCTTTCCTGTGTCCATGTGTTCTCATTGTTCAATTCCCACCTGTGAGTGAGAACATGCAGTGTTTGGTTTTTTGTCCTTGTGATAGTTTGCTGAGAATGATGGTTTCCAGCTTCATCCATGTCCCTACAAAGGACATGAACTCATAAGATGGATTTTTTTAAATGACAAAGCAGAATCAGAAAAATGGCTAAAGAGAGGATGAATGGCTGCCTTCTTTTCCATGCATGGTGTCACCTTATAAAGGATGTGAAAATGTCAGGCAGGGCAGCTGGATCTTTATTTCATGGTTTCATACAGAGTGACCTGGCCAGAAGCCCTTGGGAAACTGGGTGGTACAGGGTAATTTATTCTAGCACCTTCAAAGGAGAAAAGGCCAGTGTCCTCCCTTCTCAACTGGCATTGCCTAGCACCTAGTGCATAACCGCCACAGCCCAAGCATCAGCCTGCCTGGCATCCCCTGCCCCCAGAAGGGCCATGCCACTGTCTCCACAAAAACCTGCAGCCTAGGCCACTAAAGCACTTGTAGGCACTTCTTACACTGATTACAGCCAAAGAAATCACATGGAGACTACACTGCTGCATCCACCTACCACCAAAGCCAAAGCACCTACCCAGCCAACGCTATAGGACACATCTACAGGAAAAAGTCTTTGCCTATGAATATAAAATTGGAAGAGGCAACTGTCCCACCAGATGCACAGATATCAATATAGGGACACAGAAATAAGAAAAAACAAGGAAACACAACACCTTTAAAGGAAAACAATAATTTTCCAGTAACAGATCCCAAAGAAGAGGAAATCTACAAAATGTCTGAAGAGAAATACAAAATAATGATCTTAAAGAAATTCAGCAAGATACAAAGAATACAGATAGACAATTCAGTGAAATCAGGAAAATAATTCATGATCTCAATGAGAAAGTCAACAAAGAGATATAAAAAGAGCCAAACAGAAATCTTGGGGCTAAAGGATTCAATGAAGAAAGTAAAAATTACAATTGAAAGCCTCAACAATAGACTAGATCAAGTAGAAAAAAGAATTTCTAAACTTAAAACAGGTCTTTGAAATAACCCAGTCAAACTTTTCGTTTTTTTAAAAAATAAAGAATAAAAAAAGTATGAAAAAAGCCTACAGGGCCTATAGGATACTATAAAGTGAAATATTCACAGTATAGGGTTCCAGAGGGAGAAGAGATGGAAAAAGGCACAGAAAACCTATTTAATGAAATAATAGATGAAAACTTCCCAAGTCTTGGGAGAGATTTAGACATCCAGATCTAGGAATTTCAAAGGTTCTCTAGTACATTCAGCCTAACAGGTACTTTCAGAGGCACACTATAGTCAAACTGTCAAATGTCAAAGACAAAGAATTATAAAAAAGCATCAACTCACATATAAGAGAATTCGCATTAGACTAACACCATATTTTTCAGCCAAAACCTCACAGAGCAGGAGAGAATGAGATTATGTAATCAAAGTGCTGAAAGAAAAAAAACAAAACAAAAACCAACTACTCAAGAATATCATAGCCAGCAAAGCTATCCTTCAGAAATAAAGGAGAAATAAAGTTTTCCCCAGATAAGCAAAAAATGAGGGAAATCATCATCACTAGACTGGCCTTATAAGACATGCTTGGGCTGGGCATGGTGGCTCATGCCTGTAATCCCAGCACTTTGGGAGACTAAGGCAGGCAGATCATAAGGTCTGAAGTTTGATACCAGTCTGGCCAACATAGTGAAACCCCATCTCTACTAAAAATACAAAAAATTAGCCAAATGTGGTGGTGTACACCTGTAATCCCAGCTACTCGGGAGGCTGAGGCAGGAGAATCACATGAACCTGGGAGACAGAGGTTGCAGTGAGCCAAGATTGTGCCTTTGCACTCCAGCCCAGGCGACAGTGCGAGACTCTGTCTCAAAAAAATAAATAAATAAAAAATAAAAAAAGACATGCTTAATGGAGTCCTATATCTAGAAGCAAAAGGATGATTAACTACCACGATGAAAACACACAAAAGTGTAAAAGTCACTGGTAAAGCAGATACACAAATGAGAAAGAGAAAGGAATCAAACCTTAAACTACAAAACCACAAAGATAAACAATAAGAGAGGAAGAAAGGAACAAAAAAATTACAAAACAACCAGAAAACAGTTAACAAAATGATGGGAGTCAGACCTCACTTATCAATAATAACCTTGAATGTAAATGGATTAAAATTTCCAATTTAAAAAAATACACTGGCTTAATGAGTTAAACACAAGACCCAACTATATGCTGCCTATAAGAAACTCACTTACTTTGTAAAGACGCACATAGACAGAAAATAGAGGACTAGAAAAAGATATTCCATGCAAACAGAATCTGAAACAAGCAGCAGTAGCTATACTTATATTAGATAAAATAGACTTTAAGCCAAAAAGTAAAAAAAGAGACAAAGAAGGTCATTATATAGTGATAAATGGATCAATTCAGCAAAGTGATACAATGATTGTAAATATATATGCACTCAGCACAGGAACACCCGGATATAAAAAGCATACATTGCTAGACCTAAAGGGAGAGAGAGAGACCCCAATATAATAATAGCTGAGGACTGCAACACCACACTGTCAGCATTGGACAGACCATCTAGGCAGAAAATCACCAAACCAGTATCCTATTTAAACTACACTATAGACTAAATAGACCTAGCGGACATTTACGGAACATTTCATCCAACAGCTGCAGAATACACTTTCTTTTCATTAGCACATGGAACATTCTCCAGGATAGACCATACATTAGGCCACAAAACAACTCTCGATAAGTTTAAAAATCAAAATCATATCAAGTATGTTCTCACACCACAATGGAATAAAACTAGAAATCAACCACAAAAACTTTGGAAACTGAACAAATACATGGAAATTAAACTACATGTTCCTAAATGACCACTGGTTCAATGAAGAGGTTAAGAAAGAAATTGACACATTTCTTGAGCCAAATGAAAACATAAACACAACATACCAAAACCTATGGGATACAGCAAAAGCAGTACTAGGAGGGAAGTTTACAGCAATAAACACCTACATCTAAAAAGTAGAACAATTTCAAATAAACAATCTAATGATACACCTCAAGGATCTAGAAAATCAAGAACAAATCAAACCCAAAATTAGTAGAAGGAAAGAAATAATAAAGATCAGAGCAGAAATAAACAAAACAGAGATTAGAAAACAATACAAAAGATGAAAAGTTGGCTTTTTGCAAAGGTAAACAAAATCAACAAACCATTAGCTAGACTAAAAGACACTACACACACACACACACACACACACACACACACACACACACACACACACACACACAATCTACCAAGATTGAACCAGGAAGAAATAGAAAACTTGAATAGATCAATAATGAAGATTAAATCAAAAATAAAAAGTCTCCCAACAAAGAAAAGCCTAGGACCAATGGTTTCATTGCTGAATTCTACAAAACTGTTAAAGAAGAACTAACACCAATTCTTCTCAAACTAGTCCAAAAAATTAAAGCAGAGAGAATTCTTCTAAACTCATTCTATGAGGCCAGCATTACCCTGATACCAAAACCAGACAAGGATACAACAACAAGAAAACTACAGGCCAATATACCTGGTGAACATGGATGCAAAAATTCTCAACAAAATACAAGCATATGATTTGCATATGGGAAAGGAGGATGTAAAATCATCAGTGTTTGAAGATGACATGATCTTATCATATAGAAAAAGCTAGGCTCCACTAAAAAACTCTTAGAAATGACAAATGAATTTAGTAAAGTTGAAGGATGCAAAATCAACATATAAAATAAAAAGTAGTGTTTCCATATACCAATAACGAACTGGCTGAAAAAGAACTCAAGAAGCAATTCCATTTACAATAGCTACAAGAATAAAATACCTAGGAATAAATTTAACCAAGGATGTGAAAGATCTGTACAATGAAAACAATAGAACACTAATGAAAGAAATTGAAGAAGACATACACAACAAAGGAAAGAGATTTCATATTCATGGATTAGAAGAATTAGTATTGTTAAAATGACCATACTATATAAAGACATCTACAGATTCAATTCAACCTCTTTCAAAATACCAATGACACTCTTCACAGAAATAGAAAAAAATCCTAAAATTCATATGGAATCACAAAAGACCCCATGTAGCAAAAGCAATCCTAAAGCAAAAAGAACAAAACTGGAGATAACACACTACTTGACTTCAAAATATGCCACAAAGCTATAGTTAACAAAACAGTATGGTATGGGCATTATAAAAGACATATAGACCAATGAAACAGAATACAGAACCCAGAAATAAATCCATGTATTTATAGCCAGCTTATTTTCGACAAAGGCACCAAGAACCTACATCAGGAAAATGATAGTCTCTTCAATAAATGGCGCTGGGAAAACTGAATATCCACGCACAGAAGAATGAAACTAGATCCCTATCTCTCACTGTATATAAAAATCAACTCAAAGTGGATTTAAGATACAAATGTAAGACCCCAAACTATAAAACTACTAGAAAAAATCAGAGGAGAAATGTTTCAGGATTGGTCTAGCCAAAAAGTTTATGGATAAGACCTCAAAAGCACAGACATCAAAAGCAAAACAAGCAGGATTATATCAAACTAAAAAGTTTCTGCATAGTAAAGGAAACCATCAGAGTGAAGTAACAGCCTTCAGAATGGGAGGAAATACAGTCCTCTCATGGTATATGCAGGTGATTGATTCCAGGATCCCCCCATCCCCCAACCTCCATCATCTATACCAAAATCTGCATATATTTGAGTCCTGCAAACCCTACTATATGAAAAGTTGGCCCTTGGAATATGCAGGTTTTGCATCCTGTGAATACTGTATTTTCTGTTTTTATTTGGTTGAAAGAAAAATCCGTGAATAGGTAGACCCACACAGTTCAAACCCGTGTTGTTCAAGGGTCAACTATGTTTGCAAACTATTCATCCAACAAGGGATTTATATTGAGCATATACAAGAAATTCAACAGCAAAAAATAAAAATCCAATTAAAAAATGGGCAGTTGATCTGAATCAACATTTCACAAAAGAAGATATTCATATGGCCAAGAAGTATATGGAAAAAATGCTCAACATCGTGAATCATTAGGGAAATGCAAATCGAAACCATAATGAGAAATCACCTCACCCTAGTTAGAATGGCTATTATCAAAAAGACAAAAAATAACAAATGCTGGTGAGGATGCAGGGAAATGGGAACCCTTGTACACTGTTGGTAGGAATGTAAATTAGTACAGCCTCTATGGAAAATAGTATAGAAGTTCCTCAAAAAGCTAAAAATAGAACTACCATATAATCTAGCAATCCCACTACTGGGTATATATCCAAAGGAAACAAAATCAGTATGTTGAAGAGATATCTGCACTCCCATGTTTATTGCAGCACTATTCACAATAGCTGAGATATGAAATCAAACTAAATGTCCATCAACAGATAAAGAAAAAAATGTGTATCAAAAATACTATTCAGTCGTGAAAAAGAATGAAATCTTGTCATTTGTAGCAACATGGATGAAACTGGGAACATTATGTTAAGTGAAATAAGTCAGACACAGAAAGATAAATACTGCATGTTTTTGTTCATATGTGGGAGCTAATAAAGTTCATCTCATACAAGTAGAGAGTAGAAGAGTGGTTACTATAGGTTGGGAAGGGTAGAAAAGAGGGGATAGGGAGAGGCTGGTAAATGGAGACAAAATCATAGCTAGATAGGAGGACTAAGTTCTAGTGTTCTACAGCACTGTAGAGTGATTACCGTTAACAATAATTCTTTGTGGCTGTGCGCGGTGGCTCACGCCTATAATCCCAGCACTTTGGGAGGCCGAGGAGGGCAGATTACCTGAGGTCAGGAGTTCGAGACCAGACTGACCAACATGGTGAAACCCTGTCTCTATTAAGAATACAAAAATTAGCCAGATGTGGCAGCGTATACCTGTAATCCCAGCTACTCAGGAGACTGAGGCAGGAGAATCGTTTTGAACCCGGGAGGCGGAGGTTGCAGTGAGCCAAGATCGCACCACTGCACTCCAGCCTGGGCAATGGGAGTGAAACTCCATCGCCAAAAAAACAAAAAAACAAAAAACAAAGAAACCCCAATAATTGTTTGTATATTTTTGAATAGCTAGCAGAGAGGATTTTGAATCTTCCTAACGGAAAGAAATGTACATGTTTGAAGTGATGAATATGCTAATTACCCTGACTTGATTCTTACATATTGTATACATATATAGAAATATCACTCTGTGCCCCATAAATATGTACAATAATTATGTGTCCATTAAAATAATTTTAAAAAAAGAAAAACAAAAAAAAAAATCAAGGGCCGTTTCTGTGTTTCTGGACTCTGAACTCTGCAGGCTCTGTCTGCATTTTCAGAGGCAGAGGCAGCTCTGTGGATCCCGAGTTGCTTGGCCCCACTGAAGAATGAGATGACTGCTGCCTGGTCCTCTTAGTCCCTTTTAAAAAGGGAATACCCCTGGAGAAGGGGTAGAGAGGGGGCTCCTGCTGTGTGGCTTGGAACCCTCGGAACAACCTGGGGTGAGAGAAGTAATCCAGGACCACCCACGGCAGGAGGCTGGCTGCAGTACAGCTCTCCGACTGGCCAGAGCCCAACGCAAACACTGGTCAGCCTGGGTCATGCTGCACACTGTCCCCTGATGAGCCCTGGCCGGCAAGCGCGGCAGAGGGTGGCAACACCAACAGGAAGAGACTCAGACATGGGGGTGGTGGGGGCGGCGCGAGGGTGGGAGAAGCAAGACAGGGACCACCTGGAAAAACCTTTCTCAGCCCAAGGCCCAGGACTGCAATTCCAGGCAGCTCCAGGCCACACGGCTCCTTGCCCTTTTCCGGGGGCTCCTTCTACTACCTCCGGTTTTCCATTTTCTTTTCTTTGCTTTGGTTATTTCTAATTTTTAGCACACTTTTGCAATGAAAAGTAATTGCAAAAACCGCTTTACCTTTGCACCAACATATCTATGTTATGTACATATACACTTGTATATATGTATATATATTTTTTCATTTTTGATGTTTCTTTTTTTGAAATGGAGTCTCGCTCTGTCACCCAGGCTGGAGTGCAGTGGCGCAATCTCGGCTCACTGCAACCTCTGCCTCCCAGGTTCAAGCTATTCTCTTGCCTCAGCCTCCCAAGTAGCTGGGATTACAGGCGCCTGCCACCACACCCGGCTACTTTTTTTTTTGTATTTTTAGAAGGATGGGGTTTTACCATGTTGGCCAGGCTGGTCTTGAACTCCTGACCTCAAGTGATCCACCCACCTCGGCCTCCCAAAGCGCTGGGATTACAGGCGTGAGCCACCACGCCCGGCTGAAGTTTATTTCTTTTCACCCACACTCATGAATCACCACTCCATCTCCATCTGTGTCACACACTCACACGTGCTCACATCCCCACACTCCCACTCATGCACTTCACACCCACTTCCACACTCCTAACTCACTCATGTACACACACACACACACACACACACACACACACACACACACACACGGTGGCAGAGCACCGTGTCAGGTACATAAGCCCTGCAGTCAATTAGATCTGATTCAAATTCTGCCTCTGATGCTCTGTGACCCTGGGCACATGCCTTAACCTATCTGAGCCTCCATTTCCTTGTCTTATAAAATAAAGATACTAATAGGGCCTTGCTTGTAGGGCAGTGGTGTGGACCAAATACAAAAGGCTCAAATATTTGTCTGCTTGGACCTCAGGAAGTGCTCATTAGGGAACAGCTGTTCCTTCCTCTTAGTTCTTCTGTTATATCCTCTCCAGCAATAATTTCTATTATGTGTTTGTCTCTTTGGAAGTACTCAGTTAAGTGTTCACTATTATGATTACAATAATTTTGTTAATTCTGTTATATCACATTGCTTAACTTTAAACAAAAATTAATACGCTTTGATTTTTAGAGTGGTTTTAGGTCTACAGAAAAAAATAGACACGAAGTACAGAGGGGTTCCGTATAATCCCTCTCCCCTTCTTTTCCTGGTTTCCTTTATTATGAATATCCGGCATGGTGGGGTACGTTTGTTACAAGTGATGAACCAATATGAATACATTATTATTAACTTAAGTCCATGGTTTACATGAGCGTTCACCCCTGTGCTGTCCAGTTCTATGGGTTTTGACAAATGCATAGTGTCCTGTATCTACCATGACAGTATCACATAGAAGTTTCACCGCCCTAAAAATCTTTTGTGCTGTCTATTCATACCTCCCCCTGAACTCCTGGCAACACTGATCTTTTTACTGTCTGCATATTTTTGCCTGTGCCAGAATGTTATATAGTTAGAATCATACAGTATCTAGCCTTTTTAGATTGGCTTCTTTCACTTAGCAATATGCATTGAAGGTTTCTCCGTGTCTTTTCTTGGCTTGATAGCTCATTTCTTTTTATGGCTGAATAACACCCCACTGGATGGATGTATCACAGTTTGTTTATCCATTCACCTACTGAAGGGCATTCTGGTTGTTTCTAATTTTTAGCACATATTACCTAACTTGTATTGGCATTTTGGTATAATTTTCTCTTTTTTTTCCTGAATTGGCAGCCTTTCAAACACCCTGACCCATATATATGTGTACTCAATTCTTCATGAATGCCTCCCAAACATATAGAGGAAGAAAGGTCTGGATCAGGCTTAGACACTAGCAGAGCCCACTAGGCCACACAGCCAGGGCTACAGACTATGGGCTTTTGCAGGAGGCTTCAAAAGAATTACCTATTCCTCCAATGTTGAATGTTTATGATATTCTCAAGGGTCTCTCAACCTTGGCAGAACTGATATTTTGGGCCAGATAACTCTTAGTTGGGGGGTCTGTCATGTGTGGTGTAGAAGGCTTAGTGCATGCTAAAATCCTTCACCCACTAGATGCCACTAGCAACGCTGCCTCAAATTGTGACAAAAAAAGATGTCTCTAGACGTTGCCCAATGTCCCCTTGGAGGTAAAATTGATTCCTCACTGTCACCCAACCCACTACTGAGAACCACTGTTAAATATTTTGTTATTGTCAGTGCTGTTATGATGAGAACTTTCCATGCCACCCAAAAACTCCAAGAAAACTCCTACGCTCTAGGAGGGCCTTTTCTTTACAAGGCAGAGTGAAGGTGTCCACCGTCCCGATGGCTCCCTGCATTTCACTCTTGCTGGATGAGTTTGCTTTGATCACAACCAAATGCTGATGCATGCAGACTGGCCTCTGGCTGGTCCCTCAGAAGATGACAAATGCAACATCTTGATGAGTTTAAGCTTTTACTGACTTGCCAAAGATCATTCTGCTAGCTGAGGTCAGGCCTGTCTCCTGACTGCAATCCAGTGACTTCCATGAGCCAGAAAGGTCTCGCCAGTGAAGTTCTGACAGGCCACAACTGGCTCTTCCAGTCGACCTGGTTTACTCATCAGCAGCTCCTGTTGGCTCTTCCTGAAAAATATATCCTGGATCTGACTGTGTCTCACCAGCCCTGCTTGTCTAACCCTGGTCCAAGCCATCGTCACCTCTTGCCTGGCCTTCTGCTTTGACCTTAGTTCTCCAACAATCCATCTTTTTACACTGACCCAGCACAATATCTAAAAAATGTAAATCAGATCACATCACTCCCCGGCTCCAATGGCTTCCCATTTTTTTGAAATTCCAAAGCCCCATGGATGAGTTCTGCAGTGTTGTTACCACCTTGTTTATGGCGCTTGCCTCCATCTTCTGAAGGGGTGTTCTTAAGTAGAATTGTGAAGGACTGGAAGCTGGATGTGTAAGGCTCCTGAAAGGGCAGGTCTGGACCGGGCTCACATGCTCCCACAGGTCTGCTTGGCCCACTGCACCCTGCATTTCCACCACATGTTCCTGATTCTACCAGTTTCCTCCATCACCCCTCCTCCTCGGTGAAGACCAGGCTTCCATGGCCAGCGGACGCCCACGATACTTGCGGGAGTTGCTGCAGCTTTTGCACTCAGGTTCTACCTGATTGACCCAAGAGCTCTGGCTCCTGAATGTGAAGGCAAGGTAGTGCTGGTGGGGGGGATTTGTGACACCAGCAAGAGGCACAAAATGGAAGAGCTGACAAATTCCTCCCTCTTTCCACCCCAATGAACTTTCTTCTGAGACACAGCACTGTCAGTTCTGCTGTAATGCTTGAAAAATCTGTTCCAATGTGACTGACAAATTAGAAAACAAGTTGAATATACCATGAATCTTGCATTTGCTTGTGCCCAGCTTTATCAGTGAGAAACAGTAGGTGAGCACAGAAAACTTTATCCGACTGAACGGAGCCATATAGGAAAACAGTCATGCCCCACATAACAGCACTTCAGTCAATGACAGACCACGTGTACTGTGGTGGTCTCCTACAATTAGGATACTGTATTTTGACTGTACTTTTAAAATATTTAGATATGTTTAGACACACAAATAGTTATCATTGTGTTACAGTTGCCTGCAGTGTTTAGTACAGTAACATGCTGTACAGGTCTATAGCCTAGGAGCAATAGGCTCTACCGCCCAGCCTAGGTGTGTAGTTGGCTATACCATCTAGGTTTGTGTGAGTTCACTCTATGAGGTTCACAAATGACAAAATGGCCTAATAATGCATTTCTTAGAGCGTATTCCCGTCATTACATGGCACATGACTACACACAAAATACACACATGCATTTATCTCAAATGTCTGCCAGCTACCTCAATTTACGTCATGCATTAAGAGCCAAACCCGTCCACACCTGGTGTTACAACTTTCATCTGATTTCAACTACTTTCCACAACTTCACAGAAACTCACAAGCTGAAACCCTTCTGACATTTGGTTCCACCAACAAACGGGTCTTTCTTTCTGCAAGGTAAAGTACCACATTGACTGTACTATTTGTGTATTTCTAAACCATATGTGACATGTAAAACTATGCTACTGCTTTTATTATCTCTTTTTTTTTCCAGTGTTGAGTCCCTAACAACATTTTCCCCATAAGCCCTGTGATTTGTAAAGTGCAATTCTGCATAGTGTGGTGGTTTGGGGGAACACATATGTTGCATTATGGTATAAGTGTGTTCCATATTGCCACTCCAAAGAATCCCATGTGTCAGAGCAACTGGCTAGAGTTTCTCAAGAAGTGATGGGTCAGCTCAGTAATGCATTTGCAGCCTTTGTTTTCTCTCTCTTGCTTCCCTTCTCCCTTACTCTTGCTGCTGTCTGGGATTACACATTCTTCCGCCCACCTCCATCTCCTCCATCCCATCAGGTGTTATGAGTGTGGTGTCAGCCTCTGTTCCCTGAGCCAGGGAACCCGGGCTCAGGTCGAGCATTGCACACATAGGGAACAGCAAATGCAAAACCATAAGGTGGAACCAGGCTTGGTGTATCTGAAGAACAAGAGAAAGCCTGCATGGTTGCTGCACGGCAGATGAGGGGATGTGGGAAGAAACGAGGGTGGGGAGGAAGGGAAGGGCGAGATCTTGGGGGGTTTGGATCACCAGAGAAAAGAGTCTGGACATCAGGCCAAATGCAATGAGAAGCTCTCAGGTGGTTACAATCTCTGGGAGTGATGTGATTTTTTGTTTGTTTGTTTGTTTTTTGGGGACAGAGTCTCACTCTGCCACCCAGGCTGGAGTATAGTGGTGCCATCTCAGCTCACTGCAACCTCCACCTGTCAGGTTCAAGCGATTCTCCTACCTCAGCCTCCTGAGTAGCTGGGATTACAGGTGTGCACCACCACACCTGGGTAATTTTTGTATTTTTAGTAGAGATGGGGTTTCATCATGTTGGCTAGGCTGGTCTCGAACTCCTGGCCTCAAGTGATCCTCCCACCTCAGCCTCCCAAAGTGTTGGGATTACAGGCATGAGCCACTGTGCCCAGCCTCTTGGTTTGTATTTTTAAAAGATAACCCTGGCTGGGGTGTGATGGAAAGATTGCAAGCAGCAAGGCTGGGAGTGAGCAGACCACTCAGGCGGGGTGGCTGAGGAGCGCTCAGGAAGTGGTCAGCACTGCTGTTGTTTCTGGGAATTTGGGAGGGAAGGGAGAAAGTCTAGGGGACCCAAAGTCCAATTCTGTATATTTCGTTATTGTCCAATTTGGGGTGGGTCATGATTCTTTAGAGAGAGGAAGAAAAAACTTGCAAAAAATTCATGAAGATTCTTGAGAGTAGAGGCAAAGAACCACATTCACGGTGGTTGCAGAAGGGCAAAGCTTATCTACTGGCTTGGGAAATAAGAGAGCTGTCTCTCTCTCTCTCTCTCTCTCTCTGTGTGTGTGTGTTTGAAGAACAATGCAAGTAGAGGCTATTGTTTCCATTCAGGAACAATAACCACAACATGATAAACTGCAGTGCAAAGCTTGCCTAAGTTTGAAATGTGGCCAAAAAAAGAGGGGGAGATTAATCACACAGGGAGGGCTGGTATCTCAGGGGCAGATTAAGACAAGGAGCTGGCAATTTTGAGTCTGATTAGAAACTCCTAAAATCAGAACTTCCAGTTAGGGACTATACTTAAAGCAGCCCTCTTTTTCGAGGAGGGGGGACATGGGAGCAGGGAGAGAGGTTGATTTAAGTTAATTAAACCTAGTGCTTAATTAAGTGTTCTTGGAAACAAACTGTATCCTTCTTCCATGGTTAATGCAAATCTGGGTGCACAGTGCCACTAAATTTGCCGGTTGAAAGTTTTAAGGAAATGGGGGTTTCCAAATGAATGCAGGTACTTTTGGATAGTGAGAGTCGCGCAGTGGCTTGATTTAGGGATGGAACAGAAGCCCCTTCTCAGAAAGTCAAGTAGCTTGGAAAAGCAGAAAGGGTATGGATCTTGGAATCAGGGAAGCTGGCTTCTAGTCCCTACGTGGCCTGTCACCTGCAGGGTGGCCTTGGGCAAGTCATCTATTCCAATGGACCCGTAAATGTTGTCATCATGAGATGCCTTTTGCGGTTTCACCCCCATGCCCCAAACTAAATTTATCAAATTCTACTTCATCTCTACCTATGATTAAAATGCACACATTAATGTTAAATAGGTAATATTTACCAAACGGTTCCTATGTTTACTCCAGATATTGTTCTAAGCGCAACAATATGGATTAACACATTTAATTCTCAAAACAACTCTGAGAGGTAAATACAATTATCCCCATTTTACAGAGGATAAAATGGAGGCACAGAGAAGTCAATAACTTGGCCCAAAGTCTCACAGATGGTAAATGGTGGGCCACAAATATGAACCTAAGATTTTGATCAAAGGCAAAGAAACAGAGCTTTAATTAGTATCAGACTTTACCTCCTTAGTTTGGTTATCTGTAAAATACAGACTCTCATCTTCACTATGACCTCCCTCCAGGAGTTAAAAGGCTCCAATGTCAAGGTGCTTAGAGGGGTTTTATAGGTACTGATGCCTCAGGATGAGGGAGGAGGGCCCGAGTGCTCCCGCACGGATCCTGCAGCCACGCTCACATTCCCAGCAAATGATCTGTCAGCAATATCACATCCGCATCAGGCACTCAGTCACGTAGGTCAATGGGCGTTAATCAAGTGTTGGGACTTGGAGAGATGATGCCACTGCTTTCTCAGTCACTCAGGTTTACTGCACTGAAACCCTGGGTGGGTTTCTTTTCTCCTGTGGTTTCTTGGGACATGAAATCAGGGTTCTCTAACTTGACTTCCTATTGTCAAAGTGATCGGGCGATTGGGCAGCATCTGTTTTAGCTGCTCTTTAGGGTAATGTCCAGGGTGTTACCTGGACTTCCACTGTGGCATGTTCTCACTCATGAGCATCTCTCACTCTCTCTATTTTTTTTTTTTTTTGAGGTGGAGTCTCACTCTGTTGCCCAAGCTGGAGTGTAGTGGCATGATCTTGGCTCACTGCAACCTCAGCCTCCTGGGTTCAAGTGATTTTCCTGCCTCTGCCTCCTGAATAGCTGGGATTACAGGTGTGCACAACTGTGCCTGGCTAATTTTTGTATTTTTAGTAGAAATGGGATTTCACCATGTTGCCCAGGCTGGTCTCGAACTCCTGACCTCAGGTGATCTACCTGTCTTGGCCTCCTGAAGTGTTGGGATTACAGGCATGAACCACTGTGCCCAGCCCCTCATGAGCATCTCTATCTCAAGGTTCCAAAGGGACAAGGGTAGGGAGTATTTCCAGTGTTCTTGCTGGGCCTTTTCACAGGAAAGAGGGGAGAGGGCAGAGTGCACAGGGTCTGGACCAGACAGCTTGCCTCTGAGTCCCAGCCCCACCATGGTGGGTCCTCTGGGAGTCACTCCGTGTCACCAGCCTCAGGTTCCTACCTATAAAAATGAGATAACAGCTGGGTGCAGTGGCTCATGCCTGTAATCCCAGCACTTTGGGAGGCTGAGGCGGGTGAATCCCCTGAGGTCACAAGTTTGAGACCAGCCTGGCCAACATGGTGAAACCCCATCTCTACGAAAAATACAAAAAAATTAGCCAGGTTTGGTGGCGGCACCTGTAATCCCAGGTACTCGGGAGGCTGAGGTAGACGAATCACTTGAACCCGGGAGGTGGAGGTTGCAGTGAGCTGAGATTGCACCACTGTACTCTAGCCTGGACAACAGAGCGAGGCTCCATCTAAAAAAAAAAAAAAAAAAAGGTAACAATAGAACCTCTCTCAGTGTTGGTTTAAGGATTAAATGAGAGAGTTCTAGGTACATTCTGAACCACAGGGCAGCACTCAAGAATCCTAGTCCTTAAATTTAGTCCTCATAACAACACTATCATGAAGGCAAGATGTTCTCCAGAAGCTCAGAAAGGGCAAGTGATATATCCAAGGCCACATGTTGGCAGGAAACAGAATTAGGATTTGAACACAGTCTTAAGAGTGTGTGGGAACGTGGCCCGAGGGCTGAGTTAGAGATTGGTGGTGGCAGAGGTAGAAATAGGGCTGGGGTAACATCTGCCTTTGCCACTCTGAGAAAGTCACATAACTGGGCCTCACTTACTTCATCTGTGAAATGGGAATAATGCTAGTCCTTGTTGTGGAAGATATCAAGTATGAAATAAACTCAAAGTATTGAGTTATATGAAAAAAATGACGCAGAATTAAAAAAAAAAAAAACCAGCCCGGTGCAGTGGCTCATACCTATAATCCCAGCACTTTGGGAGGCCAAGGTGGGTGGATCACGAGGTCAAGAGATTGAGACCATCCTGGCCAACATGGTGAAACCCCATCTCTACTAAAAATACAAAAGTTAGCTGGGCGTGGTGGCATGTGTCTGTTATCCTAGCTACTCGGGAGGCTGAGGCAGGAGAATCGCTTGAACCTGGGAGGCAGAGGTTGCAGTGAGCCAAGATCGTGCCACTGCACTCCAGCCTGGTGACAGAGCGAGACTCTGTCTCAAAAAAAACCCAAAACAAAACAAGACAAAAAAAACCCTTAGGCCTTTCTTTCATTTGACCTCCATTTCTAGGCAGACTGCCTTTCAGGAATCCTTGAGTAACAGATTCTGCCGAGAGGCACGAGGCTAACCTTGAGTTCCGAGGCAGTGCTGTGCTGCCCTGCAGGGAAACAGCTTAGGAGAAGCAACACATCCAACCCTGGCACTACGAAGAGTGCAGTAGGTCCCCATTCCTCTAATGATGGGTTCTATTAGTCTCTGTGGACACTTTGGGTCAGGGATCAGGTGTGGGGTGGAAGACACAGATACTGACTTAAATGCCCCAATGTCAAGGTCTCACTTTGAGGTCAAGTTCACCTCATGGTTCTTAGAGCAGAAGAAATTATATGAATATCTCAAGCACATCTTTGAGGACTCCTCCATGTGGCTTGAAGGTTTCATCAAGCAGACTTCTAGAAACAAGTTACTGGTTGTAATAACAGTCCCAGTGCTTTACTGTTCCCTGTATTCCTGCCTTTTGACATGTCACCTTGTAGAGTCCCCACACTCCCTGCACCTCCTACAGGGACTCTCAGCCATGTCACTTGCTTTGGTTCATTGGATAAGGATGTGATGCAAGCCAAGACCTGAAAAAGCTCTTGTACCTTTCTGCAAAAGCACCCTCGCTCCTCTGCCACTCCCATGAAATCATGCCTGGGTGAGACTGCTGGAGGATGAATGATGTGCGAAGCTTTGTCAACTCACCCCTGTCATCCCAGTAGAGGTCATCTTAGATCAGCCAGCATCCAGAAAACCCCCTAAGATATGGCTGACTCCAGCTGAGATTAGCAGGACCCCCTCACTGACCTAGGTATGTGAGCAGGCCCAACCCAAACTGAGATCAACTGAACCCTGTAGACTTTCATGCTAAATAAGTGTTTCTTCTTGTTCACCACTGAGGTTTGTGGGCAGTTGTCATGAAGCACTATTGTGGCAATAAATAGCTGATATACATACACACACAAACACACACATGTATTTTTAAATGTAACATACCATGGCTTTGATTGTATTTTGCTACACTGTTCAAGCCTTCCTTTCTTTGCCTCTATCTTTGCTTTTGGAGGTACTGGCAAGAAATGTTTTTATTTTATACACACACACACACACACACAGAACTTTTACCGACATTCTCATATTAGTCCACCCAGTGAAATCCTGATAGGAGGGAACAGAAATCTCTACAAGCTTTGCTCTCCCCCTTATGTCTCACTCTTCCTCTTCCAATCTATTTATTTTAAATAAAAATCCAACGTATATTTTAAATAAATAGGTCATATTTGTTTAAGACAAGCTCCCACTTGGTACCAAGAATCTGCCTATTGTAGAGTCAATCAAACCAGATCGTGCTTCCTTCTCCAAATGCAGTCCATAGTTCCCCTCCTCCAGGTCTTAGCTCCCCCAAGTCCTCCTTCTTAGAATTCCTCTTCCACTTTCCAGTCCCATCCTCTCAGTCCATGAAAATGCATCAGCCTTCAAGTCACCTGCAGCCACTTCCCCGGGACAGGCCTCCCCAGCGAGGTTCCCGTGTTCCTGGAGTACCACCATTTGTGTGCTTTTTGTGATACTGTAGTTCGTGTTTTGATGAGGCAGCAAATCCAGATGAAGCTGGATTCAAATCCCCTCTTCCCAGCCTCAGGACCTAGGACAAGTTCCGCAAACCCACAGAGCCTCAGTTTCCTCATTTGCAAGGTGAGGATAACAATGATGACATAGTACCTATCTCACAGGGTTGCCTATGAAGATTAAATGATGTAGTACAACTCCAACACTTCACATAGTGCCTGGGATGGAGTAAGCACTTACTACATGTTAGCCATTATTATAATTGTATGCATGGTACCATGGGAACTTGCAGTCCTAGCTAGCATTTATTTACTGCTTACCATGTGCCCACTGTTTTAAGTATTTTAAGTACTGTTCTAGTGCTTCTTATGTGTTTATTTCATTTTAAACCTCATGGCAATGGTTAAGGTAGATAGTGTTATTATCCCCAATTTGTGGATGAGAAAATTGAGGCACAGAGAGGTTAAGTAAGTTACCCAAGGTCACACAGCTAATAGGTCACCCACTGCCATTGCCATCCTCTCTCCACTTTACTATAGTTATTCACTCATCTTTGCCATTGGGGATCTCGGATGTGTCCTTAATTTTTGCTTTCAAGTGCTTAGCACAGTGCCTGGCACATAAACCCACCAACATACTGATGGAGGTTACCATAGAGTAGCCTGTATGTCCTTCGTCTTTTCTCTCTTGACATTCACCCCCATTGAGGGCAGAGGCTTGGGTCCCCCAATCCCTGCAACTGCTTGTTGCTGAATTGACTGGGTGGGACAGATGGCTCCTTGCAGAGGAAAGATGGGCTTCTTCTCACCCTGGTGCACACAGGCAAGGGCTCTCTACACTCAGTCTTACAATCCAACTCGATTCAAGACGGGAAGCAAACAAGGCTTTCAGCAGCCTCAGGCGAGCAGGGGTGAAATTAGCCGATCGGTGTACAAAGGAGTGTTTAATAATGCTATCACGCTACCCCGTCCTCGTGGAGCCGTTGTGACATTCTGCATTAAAAAAGTGACAACCCTCAATTGCTGCTTGTAACCAAGGCCTGGCATCACGTTGGCTCCCAGCCTCCAGAACACTTGCATTTTCTGGCAACAAATGGCATCCAGGGATCAGGGGAAACTGATGGCTTCATGCAAAAATGTCCTGGCGGACCCTCTAAGCCCTTTGTAGTTCAGCTGCTCTTCTGCTCGTCTGTCAGGAGCATAATTTTCATTTAATATTAAGGAGCTGTTTGTTAAAATAATATTGTCATGGTAACGGGGTAAGGGGAGGGGGTGCTGAAATAGTCTGGTGCTGCCCGAATTGCAGCATATTAATCAAGTACTTGGTACTATTTAATGAGCTTCCCTCTGTGCTTCCTGGCAACAATGAATTTGGAGGACCCAGGCACTTGGGGTTTGCCCCAGTTGTCAGTGTCGAAGATGTGGGCTCTTATGAGTTCCTGGTGCTGTGTTGTGATGGATGGAGGGAGGGAGGGAGGGATCAAGGGAGGGGTGAATGGATGGGATGGATGGATGAGTGAGTAGGTGGGTGGAGGGATGGAGGGATGGGTGGGTGGATGGGTAGGTGGATGGATGGATGGGTGGGTGGAGGGATGGATGGATGAATGGGATGGATGGATGGATGCCAAAACCCAAATTATAGATGTCTGTGTCAGAGCTGTTTTGAAAGCTCTTCTATTTTTCAGTTGCCCTTTTACAGTGGAAATGAATTTTGTCAGAGAATTAGGGAAAAGGGGTCAGGGAAGAAAACAAGGGAAGGCAAAGATTTATCTTGCCTGAAGGGAGAGCTGATGGCAATGATAGGGAGGCAATGTAGAAAAATTCAGAGTCAGGCTGCCTACGTTCCAATCCTGGTTCTGTCCCATCTCACTGTGTAACCACGGGCGGGGGACCCGCACCCCCAGGCAGCTTCTGTTTCCACATGTGTAAAAGGGGGCTCATAGTCATGCTTATCGCAGAGGATTGTTGAGGAGATTAAAGCAGATTATGCTCAGTAAATTCCAACTACCACGTCTACTACTACCGCACCTGCTGTTGCTACCGGCGCTGCTGCTGTTGCTACAAATCTTATGAAAGTCACCACTGTGGGAAGGCCCCAAGGTGCTTTCATGACCCAAAGGTCCAATTGAGTCCTGATCATCTAGTACAGCACCCAACCCCAGGTGTGGTTGACACTACTGCCTGTGTTCTTTCTGAGGTCAGCAAACTTTTTCAGTCAAGGGCCAGACAGTAAATATCTTAGGCTTTGTGGGCCACATGCAACCTCGGTTGCATATTGTTCTTCTTTGTTTTGTTTGTTTTTTACAACCCTTTAAAAATACAATACCATTCTTAGCCCACAGGCCACACAGAGCCAGGCATAGTTAGCTGGTCCCTGCCCTGCTGCCTTCTGAGAAAAGACAAGAGAAAAGGAAGGCAAAGTAAAAGGATATATATATATATATATATATATATATATATATATATATATATATATATATATATATATATATAACAGAGTTTTCCTTCCTCTAAAAGCAGGTTGAAGACAAGCATAAAAAAGAGAAATCTGGATCCAGGAATTTGTTTGACTTTAAAAATAAAAATAAAACCAGCCATGGTGATTCACTATAGCCTTGTCTGCTCATTTTACAGTCAAGGAAAGGGAGGCATACAGAGGTGGGGTGACCTGCCCAAGGTCACGTTGCTAGTAAGGGATAGAGCTGGGACATAAACCCAGGTGGTCTGGCACCTGAGAACGTCCCCACTGCCCCATGCCCTGCTGCTGATGTAGAAAAGTATCTCCATTTTCTTCTATTCTGAATCTCCTGACACCCTCTATCAGCTGACTGTCTAGAAGCTCAGACTTTATGGTCTGGCAGAACTATGATCTACTGTTTACTGGGTCTGTGGATATTATCTTGGAGATAACTGACTTTTAGGTGCCTCTGTTTTCTCAGTGGTAAAATGGGGATGTTTACTGTACCTCTTGATGGTTATGGAGATTCAATGGCCGGGCATGGTGGCTCACTCCTGTAATCCCAGCACTTTGGGAGGCCGAGGTAGGCGGATCACTTGAGGTCAGCAGTTCGAGACCAGCCTGGCCATCGTGGTGAAACCCCATCTCTACTAAAAATACAAAATTAGCTGGGCGTGGTGGTGCATGCCTGTAATCCCAGTTACTCAGGAAGCTGAGGCAGGAGAATTGCTTGAACCCCAGGAGGCGGAAGTTGCAGTAAGCTGAGATTGTGCACTCCAGCTGAGATTGGCACTCCAGTCTGGGTGCCAAGAGCAAAACTCTTGTCAAGGACTTAGCAAATGGTATTGAGTGAGTGCTGGATGAATATTAGAACTGATGATTGTAACAATGCTGTGGTAGGCAGAGTAATGGACCCCCAAAGATGCCTGTGCCCTAATCCCTGGAACCTGTGAATATTTTATGTTAAATGGCAAAGAGGAATGAATATTGCAGATGGAGGTAGTCAGTGATCTCAACGCATGGTTCACAGGCAGTCACAGATTCAACTCCTTGTCTACTCTTTCCCCCTTCTCAGAACTGCACTTGACTAGTCTAAAACAGACAAGATTGCAGATGGAATTAAGGTTGCTAATCATCTGACCTTAGGATAAACAGATTATTCTGGATTATCAGGGTAGGCACAAGGTAATCATAAGAGTCCTTTAAAGATGTAGGAAGCCAATGAACGTCAGAGTCTGAGAAACTGCATGTTCTCATGTTCTGCAGCATAAGAAAAACTCAAGCATCCATTGCTGGCTTTGAAGATGGAAGGGGGCCCTGAGCTAAGCAATTCGGGAGGCCTCTAGAAGCTGGGAAGCAAGAAGATGGATTCTCCCTGAGAGCTTCCAGGAAGGAGTACACTTTGTCAATACTTTGTTTGTCACCTTCAGCTCAGTGAGACCCATTTCGGACTATGACCTCTAGTACCATAAGATAATAAACTGGTGTTAAGCCTAAGTTTGTGGGAATATGTTATAGCAGCCATTAGATCAAATACATTGTTGTCTGCAATATAAACCAGAGAACTCACCAGAGTGGGAGCATCACCTGAAGCAAAGATGGCGTCCTGCACCGGCCGCAGGACGAGGGGCCCTTCTCTGCATGCCCGCTCTGATGCTGCTCAACCAGTGACCATCTACTGAGTGCTGCACAGGGGCCAAGTACGGACAGGCACCAGCTCAGGGGCTGCAGGGGAGTGGAGAGAAGTGGAAGCATACAGAGGATACTGCCCAAGCCCCCGGGGGAGATGACACTTCTGCACGTGGGGTTAGCATGCTACAGAGGGGGACCCGCATGTGGAATATCACTTCTGTGGAAATATTCCACTGCCTAGCCTTCACTCTCACATGTGTTCTGGGCCACAAAGGCCAGCTCCAGGTTCAGTGCTCCCCACTGAGTCTGCTCTGAGAATTACCGCCACGGTCACTCCTTTTTCTTAACGACTAGGCTTTTAAGGCAGTGCAGGACTTACATATGGTAATTTGGCTTTGGTTTATTCCCTCTCCCCAATTTCCTCACCACCCATTCTTGGTCCATGTGGTCCCACAATGCCCGGTGGGAGTGCGTGACACAGGCCTGGCCAGTTGGCACCGTGCACCCTTTGGCTCCAGCAGTTGGCTTGGGGATAGACAGGTGACCTGAGTTTCTCAATTCCAGGGCATTTGCTGGGAGCACTGTGGAAGCACAGCCTTCTTTCTACGGGGGTTGCTGAGAAAAGCTGCTGGCTGTCGGTGGGGGAAACCTGTCTGAGTAAATCCCACACAGAAGAAAGCTGAGCCGAGAGATGGAGAGACACGACGCCTGCAGACATTGCTTAGATCCAGCTGGGCGCAAAGCCAGGCCAGCTCAGACTTTTCAATTACACGAACGAACCGCCTTTTTGTTTTACACTTATGTCAATTTGAATTGGATTTCCATCTTGTAACCAAAAGTCTGACTAATATAATCAAATACCAACTTAAGTATTGGTATCTACGAGTTATAGGTGTTTTCATTTCCTTGGCCAAGAAACTTTGAGCTCTGAAATATCACGGAACGGGGGGTTAGGCCAGGGCACTTAGGGCAAAGTTTTAGCTGGACTATAGAGAAGGATGAAGTGGCCTCTCTCACTTCTTTCTTCATCTCTTTGGTTTAGCTTAGCCACACTGAGTCCACTCCTAATAGTGGAGGAAGAGGCAAAGGAAGCCTCTTATGCTATTGAATGGGGCCTGGTTGGAACTTGCCCCTGAATCTGTAGATGGACCAAATGCCTACAACAGGGTTTTCATATCTAGTCCATGAGGGCAAAGTGAATTTCATACGAGTGGCACATGGGGCAGTTGTAGCTCTGTGAACTGATGGAGCTACCGCTTTGGATCCTGCATCTTAAATGCTGATGCTGCCTCAGGGTTCTGTCTTCAGCCCAGCAGTCTTCTATCTCTGAGCTGTCCCTGAGTGAGTTCAGTCACCCCATAGGTTCACCTGTCACCTCCATCAGCTGTCTGTGCATCTTTTTTCTTCGCCTGCAGACCTGAAGGATGCGGCACATTCCCATTGGTCATGGTGATACCTGCCTATGCTGATTTTTCATAGGACAGCAGGACTGCAGGGGCCAGGGTCAGGGTTATAGTGCAGTTGGGTAGGATGATACGCTTTGAAAAGAACCCGGGTGATGCCCATTTCTTCCTCCTTAGGAACACATCTATAGGTTGGTAATCACCAGCCTGTATGTACTATTGATTCCCAATACATCTATCCCTTCCTGAGCTTGTTTCTGTGCTCCAGGCCCATGTTGGACATCTCTAGGATGATAAACACTAATCCTAAAATCAGTTTCAATGCTAGTACTAATGTAATGGAAACTCACACTTAGGAGCACTCCCTCTGTACCAGACATAGTTTTTTTTTTTTTTTTTTTGCCCTGAGAAAGGAATTTATTTATTATATGTAAAGGGTTTATATATATATATATATACTTTAAGTTCTAGGGTACATGTGCACAACGTGCAGGTTTGTTACATATGTATACATGTGCCATATTGGTGTGCTGTACCCATTAACTCGTCATTTACATTAGGTATATCTCCTAATGCTATCCCTCCCCCCTCCCCCCACCCCACAACAGGCCCCGGTGTGTGATGTTCCCCTTCCTGTGTCCATGTGCTCTCATTGTTCAATTCCCACCTATGAATGAGAACATGCAGTGTTTGGTTTTTTGTCCTTGCGATAGTTTGCTGAGAATGATGGTTTCCAGCTTCATCCATGTCCCTACAAAGGACATGAACTCATCATTTTTTATGGCTGCTTAGTATTCCATGGTGTATATGTGCCACGTTTTCTTAATCCAGTCTATCATTGATGGACATTTGGGTTGGTTCCAAGTACCAGACATAGTTCTTAACACTGTACATGTGCTGATCCTAAAAGCCTTCTCAGGTAGGTAATAATCACTACACAATCCTCATTATGCAGATAAGGAAACTGAGGCTCAGGAAAGTTAAACGATCTCTCCAAGGTTACACAGCTAGCACTTGGCTGGGCCAGGATGTGAATTGAAGCCACGTGGACTCCTGAGCCTACCTGTTAACTGCTACTCCATGCTGCTCCCCGTCCTGCCCGCTCCACCGGTTCATCAAATGCAACGCTTCCAGAGCCTTCAACACCACCTGCCACTTTTTCTGCTTTTGTCCACTACTTGGTTAACAAGATCAGTCTCTTAGATTCTCAAGCCAGGAACCTGAGGCTCACTCTGGACCTGTCCTTTCTCACTTTCTATCTTCACATGCAGTCCATTCTTTCTCTGAATTGGTGCTCTGGAGTGAGTTCCCCACTCCATTTCTGCTGTGACTGCTCAGTTGAGAGGGTCACTCCTTCTCTCTGGGGCCATCGGAACAGCCACCATCTCCTCACTGCTTCCTTGTCTTTGACTTCTCCTACCTGCAGTGCCATCTGCACTCTGACCAGTTCATCTTTCTCTTTCTTTTTTTTTTTTTTTTTTTTTTTTTTTTGAGACAGAGACTTGCTCTGTCACCCAGGCTGGAGTGCAGTGGTACGATCTTGGCTCACTGCAACCTCTGCTTCCTGAGTTCAAGCAATTCTCATGTCTCAGCCTCTCAAGTAGCTGGGATTACAGGCACCTGTCACTACGCCCAGCTATTTTTTTTTTATTTTTAATTTTTAGTGGAGATGGGGTTTCACCTTGTTGGCCAGGCTGGTCTTGAACTCCTGACCTCAGATGATCCACCCCCCTTGGCCTCCCAAAGTGCTGGGATTACAGGCGTGAGCTACCGTGCCTGGCACCAGCTCACCTTTCTAAGCCCAAGGTTGCATCATATCACTCCCTTGGTTAAAAACCTCTGAAAGCCGCTCATTGCTCCCTGCAAACAGCTCCATCCTGAGCACGGCACCTGAGAGCCTCTGCAGTCTGCCTCATTGACCTTGCCCATCTCAATTGCCATGTGCTCCCCCATGAGGCTCTACCTGCTCCAGCAACCTCAGACTCCCCAAAGCCTCCAAATGTCCAAGCTTTGTCCACCTCTGCCACCTCTGCCCAGGTTTCCCCTCCTTCAGGGTCTAATTGAAAGCCTCCCTGAACCCACAGGCAGAATGAAAGACTTTGAATCTGTGGGTAGGAAACTTACCATCTTGCTGAGGTGAATCCAGTAATCAATGACATACTGACTTCTGTGTTCATTTACTTATTAATTTTGTTTTTACTAACACTTTTACTCTGTGGTGGACACTACCCCAAGCACCTTCCACAGACTCATTTAGTCATCCTAACTACCCTATGAGGGAACCCATTTT
Organism: Homo sapiens; assembly: GCF_000001405.40. NCBI lineage: Eukaryota > Metazoa > Chordata > Mammalia > Primates > Hominidae > Homo > Homo sapiens. The sequence goes on along the minus strand of NC_000008.11, from coordinate 122,869,839 downwards.
ATAGATGAGGAAGGCACAGCACATGGAAGTTAGATAACTCATCCAGAATCACAGAACTAGCAAAGGTGGAGCTGAGATTCTAACTGAGGAGCAGTCTGGCTCCAAAGTGCACACTCTCGATGGCTCTGCAATATTGCCTCACATTGGATGTGTCAACTGTAAGATCCACGGATGCTCAGAGAGGAGACCAGAGCCTCAGAGGAGGCTGCAGGACCTGCATGGAGTTCTGATGCCCCTGCCTGGGCCTCCCGGCGACAGCTCCCTGAGGGAGCCTGTGTTGGCCATGCACTCTCATCTCAAGGCCTTCTCTCCAGCCCCACGGTGTCCCCCAGCTCCATCCTCAGGCGGGAAGAGTCTGAGGCTGGATAAGAATGAAGAGAGGTACTTGGGAAGCTGAGGCAGGAGAATCGTTTGAATCCAGGAGGCGGAGGTTGCAGTGAGCCGAGATCGCAGCACTGCACTCCAGCCTGGGCGACAAAAGCGAAACTTTGTCTCAAAAAACAAAAAAAAAAAACAAAAAAGGATGAGGAGAGGGATACACCACAGGGCAGCCACACTACGGAGAATGGGAGGGTGGGATAGGATTATATTCCTCCTTCTGCCCTGCGCATGGAGCCTTGGAAGACCACTGGCCACCCTTTCTCCTGGGAAGGAGGCAGGTAGCTCCTCAGGTAAGGGCAGAGCACAGGCTGTGGAGAAGTTCTGCTCTAGGCCTCAGGGGAGAGGACAAGAGAGAAGAGGAGGGTTGTGCAGCCCAGCTCACCAGGTTGCAGGCCAGAGAGGACTGGAGGCTGATGCTCAGGGTGGCTAGAATAAAGGTGCACTTGTCTGTTGTCTGCCTTAGAGCCCCAGCTCTCACTCAATAACCCAGGAGTCCTAATGAGTCTCGGCTTCTGTGATCAGGGGTGCTGCTCCTCCAGCCATGCAGGTCCCTCTCCCTGCTTCGCATAGATTTCATTAGTCTTGATTTTTCTTCTTTTCCAATATAGGGTCTCACTGTTGCCCAGGCTGAAGTGCAGTGGTGTGATCGTAGCTCAGGGCAACCTTGATCTTCTTGTCTCATGCAATCCTCCTGCCTCAGCCTCTTGACCATAGGTGAGCCCCGCCATGTCTGGCTATTTTTTTTTTTTTTTTTTTTTTTGACGGAGTCTTGCTCTGCCACCCAGGCTGGAGTGCAGTGGCGCGATCTCGGCTCACTGTAAGCTCCGCCTCCCGGGTTCTCGCCATTCTCCTGCCTCAGCCTCCCAAGTAGCTGGGACTACAGGTGCCTGCCACCATGCCCGGCTAATTTTTTGTATTTTTAGTAGAGACGGGGTTTCACCGTGTTTGTCTGGCTATTTTTTAAAGCATATTTTGTAGAGACAGGGTCTCCCTATGCTGCCCAGGCTGGTCTCAAACTCTTGGGTTCAGGTGATCTTCCCGCCTCAGCCTCCCAAAGTGCTGAGATTATAGGTGTGAGCCTCTGTGCCCGGCCTTGATTTTTCTTTTTTTAAGTGTTAACTTAATCTTTCTCCTGAAGATTCTCAGAGACTAAAGATGAAAGAAGATTTTCATTGCAAACTTCTTACCCGTTATTAACAAGTAAAGCCCATCCTTCTGACACATGGTTGGTGTCAGTTTGGCATTAGATCACCCTTCCTGTCCTGAATCTCCCGACAATGGAATTCAGGTGTGGACACTTGCTGTGTTGAAGGAAAGATGTGGAATAGCCGAATCACCGTATGACTCAGTCTGTACTAGAGAAACCCGCTAAAAGGCTCAATCGTGTCACAAAGACATTCGTCCACATGCATGTCAGGACCCTTGGAGCTATTCCACCCAGAAGACCAGAGCAGAGGAACTCAGGCTGAAGAATTAAGTGGACATTTCCCACTGAAGGATCATCAGCAATAAAAAGGAAGAGCCTCTGAAAAACTAACAGGAGTCATTTGAAAAGTATGATGCTATTTTAAAAAATCTATCTGTAACATCATTTCTTGAACATATTGCAAGAAAAAAGCTATGCTTTCAGTGTGAAGATAGATGGGAGGTGGTACGGGGGAAAAGAAATAGCATTTCTTGACCATCTTTTGTGAGCGAGTTTGCACGCTACGTCTCTTCCACATTTTATCTCATTTACTCTCCCAAATAACCCTGTGAGATGTATTATTTCCCCATTTTACAGATCAGGAAACTCAGGGGAAACCTAGTTCTGAACTATTTTGTCTCATTTTCTGCATATAACTCTGGAAAAACAGCTTATTCCCAGCTAGTACAAAGTTTCTCTAATTCAAATTCCCTGGCAATTTGAAATAGAAGCAAAGCTGCCCATTGAATGATTTTCTATTCAAAAAACACACTGCTTCTGTTAGAGTTTCAGTGGTATTTATTCCTAAGCATGCAAAGAGAGTAAATGGCTTAAAAGTACAGGTCAGGTGCATTCAGCCATGTGGTCAGACCTGCTAAGCACAGGTCCTGTGGCTCCTCCGTTAGCACCAGTTGGTGAGCTGGGCTGAGCTGAGTCTGTGGACTGAATGGTAAGAAGGCTCAACTGCCTGCAGGAAACACCCTGGGCTGAAGACTTTTCACTCACTTGGGTTGCTCCTAAAGTGGTCCAGATTAATGAGGTTTGACTACTCCTTGTCCCTCTGATATAAAACAAGATTGCTGATATAAGACCACAAAGTAGGATGCAGGAAGGTAGACTTAGAAATTGTTTTGTCTAGGGGCTGGGTGCAGTAGCTCATGCCTGTAACCCCAGCACCTTGGGAGGCTGAGGTGGGCGGATCACTTGAGGTCCAGGGGTTCGAGACCCGCCTGGCCAACATGGTGAAACCCTGTCTCTACTAAAAATACAAAAAAAAAAAAAAATAGCTGGCATGGTGGCAGGCACCTGTAATCCCAGCTACTTGGGAAGCTGAGGCAAGAGAATTGTTCAAGCCCAGGAGATGGAGGTTGCAGTGAGCTGCGATCGTGCCACCGCACTCCAGCCTGGGTGGCAGAGCGAGACTCTGTCTCAAAAATAAAAAATAAAAAATAAAGAAATTATTTTGTCTAGAGATGCCAAAAAGTGGCAGGAATGCTACAGTTCTTCTTGCCTCCTCAGCAGACATCAGTAATCCACTGCAGCATACTCTTTCCTGGATATGCCTCGACACACTTCTCAGCATAGTGCCCCTGGCAGCCATGACCAATTGATCCCCTCATGCCATCTGTCTTCCCACCCAAATTGGAAGTGAGGCTGTGGCCACCTGGCAGATGTCAGGGGGGTTGATGGGAAAAGGAATCTAGAATAGTTTTAGATCCCCTAGGCACAGGCGCTGTGTTTGTGTCATATACAATTTTGGCTTACATTACAATCCTGCTATCCACTAAGGTCTGGGTGAGATGGGGTGAGGGAGCCAAAGGCAGGGCACTAAGCAAGCTCATTCTGTAACTCCAGGTCTACCACTCACGTAAGAAATGTAAACCTGACAAGTGTTTCAGGCGAATGCAATTTTTATCTGAAATATGCTCCAAATCCTGGGGTGGGGGGGAGTGCCTTTTGCAAAGTGAATCATCACTATGGGAATCTGGCGACACGCTGTTTGTCTTCCAGCCATGGAGACAGCCAGACCTCACTGGGGAAGGAACAGGGAACTGTGTGGCTTGAGACCACACTACCTAAGCTGGGGTCCTAAATGATTCTCCATCTGTATCAATGGAATATTTCTTTTGTGCTGGTGTTTCTCAGTCTTCACGACTACTTCCCGGAGGGAAGGAGGATAGTAAGGGTGTCCCCATTCACTGGGAAAAAGGGGTGTTCTGAGAGGTCACACCACTCTCCAGGAGGCCCACAGCTAGGAATAAATAGCAGGGCCACCTCCGCTTTCAACCAGGAGGGACCAGAGGGAGCCAGGAGGAAAAACAGTGCCACCTTGACAGCCTTCCACAGCATCTCCAGCTTAGAGGATGTGCTAACCGGTGGGGATTGCTTCCTTGACCCTGCCCTGCAGCTATGCCAGGGCTTCTGACTCCCAGCCCAGTGCTCTGTCCTCCAACCTACACTACTTTTTCCTGTCCCATCATTGGGCCTTAACCTGGGTTCATGTCTCACATCCAGAATAAGAATAAGGATTAATATTTATTGAGCACTTACTATATCCCAGCAGCTTCATGTGAATTAACTCATTAAATTGAACTATCACTATCTCTATCTTAGGAGGAGACTGATGCTTGAGGCCCCACAGCTAGTGGAAGGGCTGGGATGGGAATCCGGCATTCTGACTCCAGGGACCATGCTCTGAACCACAGACATTGCCTCCCTGGGCTGCCTCCTCATCACTATATTTGACAATCATTTACTGAGCACCTACTACGTGCCAGGTTCTATGAATGCAAGCACACAGTACCTGTCCTCAAAGCTCAAGTCCTGCTTAAAGACTTGCCAAGTCGGCCGGGCGTGGTGGCTCACGCCTGTAATCCCAGCACTTTGGAAGGCTGAGGCGGGCGGATCATGAGGTCAGGAGATCGAGACCATCCTGGCTAACATGGTGAAACCCCATCTCTACTAAAAATACAAAAAATTAGCTGGGCGTGGTGGTGGGCACCTGTAGTCCCAGCTACTCGGGAGGCTGAGGCAGGAGAATGGCATGAACCTGGGAGGCGGAACTTGCAGTGAGCAGAGATCGTGCCACTGCACTCCAGCCTGGGCGACAGAGTGAGACTCTGTCTCCAAAAAAAAAAAAAAGACTTGCCAAGTCACAGTTCAGTCCTCTCCTCTCCCTCCTTTCCCCAGCCCCTGACAGCAAACAGGGCTCAGCTGAATATACAGCCTGTGCACAACCACTGTCAAACTCGATTCTCATCCAGGCTGTCAGTTTCTTAAAGAAAAACACCGTCTCTGGCCTCCCACAGAGCCCTGCCCTCAGGGGCCCTTGGTAAATATTTACTGTTGCAGCTGACCCAGACCCCAGGGGAAGAAGACCCAGTTACAAAGCACAAAGGAACCCGTGTGCTCATTATTCAGACCCTCCCAAGCGCAATGGGTGTCCCTCCTGCGTAACTTCCCCATTTGTGTCTGGAGTGCAATTTTTCTCACGCTCAGTGGGCCAGGTTTTGGCCACTGGAGTATGTGATACTGCCCCTGCCCAAGAGCCCACGATTCCAGGTGAAGCTGAAGCCAAGCCACCTGCCTGGACCACACCCGCTTTTGCCTTCTCTGGGGCCCTGGGGAGTGGGGGGGTGGGTGAGTCTTGCCACCTGTTCCCCCATGCCTTTTCCTCTTGTCTATGTGGTCTGGATCTTGGGCCGAGTCCCTTGATGACATGACTAGCCAGTAACTCTTTTGGTGGTTCTGGCATGAGATAGGCTCCCCAGAGCCTCTGAGCAAAACTCTCATTATGCTTTGAGAGTTGCCCCCTGGACCACATACAGCAGGTGTTTGGGCTCATGTCTATGATATGTGCATTGTCTGGCATTAGCTCAGGTACAGCCAGCCAATGGGCAACAACGTAGGAGAGACATGAGGGTCATTTCATCTGGTGGCTTCCAAACAGTTTTACAGGAGAACCTGCACCTAAAACGGAGGCAATGCTGAGCATTTGCAGGCACGAGTTCAAAAGCTTCCTTCATTCAGACTTTCCCTACACTACCTCCCTCCTCCCACTGCCTGTCCCTCACAGCATTCTAGATCACCAGGGAACAGGGTCTGTAAAACATTGCACTCTCCCCTTCGACGTGTCCCACAGACATTTCTCCAACCTCTGCTTGAATTCTGCCAGCAACAGGGAACTCACTCTACTTCCCAAGTTTCCTATTGCACTCTTGCATAGCTCTTCTGTTAGGAATGTTTCCTTAGGTGGAGTCAACAGCTGCCCACCTCTGCCCTGCTCATGACAGTTTTTCAAATGTGCAAAGGTGGCTTTCCTGCCTCACTTTAGCACTGTCTCCTCGGGGCCATGGTTTCCTAAATGGTGTGAGCCAGATAGCTCCCTCTCTGTTCTAAGAATATCTCCCTAGCCCTGGCTAGAGGTTTACTGGAAACACTTCTGAGCACATGCCCTCTGGATGGTGAGTCTGGGCTGCTATCATCAGAGCAGAGGGAGGACAGTCCAGCTACCTGCAGGCTCCAGTGCTCCTGGGGAGGGATTGGCAGGAACCCAGTGGATTCCAAGGGACTCACACCTAGATTCTGGGCCCTGTGCTGTTTCCAGGCACACGTGCATGGAAATACAGTTTCAGAGCTGCCAGAGCTCAGCTGCCCCTGCCCCTCCCATCCCTCTCCTTTCCCTTGTTGAAATCCAGCCTAGGCCCCACACTGCCAAACGCGACGGTACTCACCGGTCCCGTGTTGCTCACATCCTGGGAATCTTTTTATTCCAAAAGCAGTCGGTACATCCAGACCTACAGGGGACAGAAACTCAGTATCAAAAGCAGGGCAGAGCAATTGGGTGTCCATCTCTTTTCTAGCAGGATGGAGTCAATGGGGGACTGGGATGGAGGTGGGGAAGATGAATGAGAAGGAAATGGTGAGGACTGAGCCGCTCATTAAACCAACCTCAAAATCTCTGGGCTTTGTGGCGATTCTGAGAAAGAAAAAAAGAAAAAAAAAAAAAAAGACCCTAGCCCTGGATGAGTCAGCAGCTTGTGGAAAAGCAGGCTTTCTAGAAGAGCGAAATGAAAGGCAAAATCGGCGGATGTAGGGGTGCGGGAGGCCTCTCTTTAACCTCAGTCAGAGTCCCCTTGAGTCTTCCTGGCAGCGGCCCTTCATGGTTGCATTTTGGTGAGGGCGAAGGGGGAAAGCTCTGTGCTCAGGCCTCAAGTCGAAAAGATACTGCAGTCCTTAAAACAAAAGCCCCCAAAGCGTATTTATATCCTGGGAGACTCCTGCCAAGCGAACCCCGTGTGCTTTGAAAATTCCTCGGGAGAGCTGTAGCCGCAAGAAAAAGGCATGTGCCCGGTTCTGAGGATGTGTTCACAGCACGGCAAGTTGGGGCCTGAGCCCTAGAGGTTTAACCACGCAGGGCAGAGGCCACCTGCGGCGCACATGTGCACGGAGCAGCCACCGAGCCAGGGAGCTGCCGCGGAGGGCACACCGTTCTCACTCCCCACGCCCAGCCCGCCTTGAAAGCCAAACTTGTTTTTTCTTGTTTCCCTGAGAATTCTGAGGTGGGCAGAGCTTTCTCTTTTCATCCATTCCTGTTTTCAAAGGAGAACCTTTTGGCTGGGGGAAAGAAAACTTTCAGGTGGCAGATCTGTTGACTGAGTACTTACCACGCGCCAGGCCCCTCGCACACCTGACCTGGGGTATTACTATTCAAGGGTGCAATCGTACCGGCTGGGAGCTTGCTGCACACACAGAGTCCCAGGCCCCACCAAGCCCTACGGTATGGGAGCAGCCTGTATTTTAACAAGACCTTCAGGTGATTCCTGGGCAGGTTAAAAGTTTGCAAAGCGCTGGTGTATCATTCTCTTAATCACGGAAGGAAGGAAGTTGCAGCCCATTCTCCACGTGGGGAAACCGGCTCCAAAAATGACAACTTGCCACCATGGCTGTGGACCTGGTGAGTGGTCGGGCTGATCCAAAGCCACGTTCACGTGGTTCCAAAGCCTGTGTTGCCTTCCACTGCACTATCTGGGGGAAGGTGCAGTCAGACCTGGCTTTGTGGGAGTGGCTGAGGGAGGGGTCCTAGCCACGGGTGGTGGGTGACTGGAGTCCTGGAAGTGAGTGGTGGCCTCGGGTATCGGGCAGAGCACTCCGGGAGGGAGGCACTGAATACTGGCCACAGGCTTCCCTCCTCCTCAGTTTTGTCAAAGGCCAGCAAAATTCCCCAGTTGAAGGTTCTGGGCCTCCTTCCTGAAGGGGAATTCGAGCTTCTGCAGTTAATCCCAGTGATTAATTTATTTTGATTCCAGTAAGTTGAGCGCTTTTGTCCACTGCCCTTTAGAACTAACCATCCGGCGGGAGGAGGCGCCCCAGGAGACAAGCTAACCTGAGCATTCCAGGCACTGACCTGCGAGAAGAACAATACTCTCCAAAGTCCTTCATAGCTTAGAAAGAGCTTTTTATCCACCAGCTAATCAGCTCCTTACTTTTTAAGGGGCATGTCACTAGCTCTATTTTGCAGTTGGGAAAACAGAGAGGTTAATTGACTTTCCTGAGGTCACACAGTTATCACACAGGCTGGGGTGACTATCCTCTGACTCCAAGCCCAGAGGTACAACCAGTATAGTCTAGCTGCTCCTGATGAGGAGGGGGACATCACAGCATAGATTTACGATACTCTAAATTAGCATCTCCCAACTCCATATGCTCTTGCTCCACACTCTGCTTGTAAGGTGAATTTACTAAATAGACTCACAGACCAAGAGGAAAACAGTCCACAACCCATGCAGGGTGCATGACCAGTACTTTTCTCAATGTAAACTAGACAACTGGCATTCTTGACTTATCAGTGAGTCATTATGTTATATCAGACATCATTCGTTCTACTGCACTTGCTTCCATAAGACAGTTCAGCTAAGTTAAGATATACAGTGGAATGATGTCCATAAAATGTGGAAGTAGTATTGGCTCTTAGGCAAATGTTCCCAGCACATTAATGTTTTGCTTCACCAAGTAAAAGCAGCTGGATGCAAAGATCCCTGACACAGCTGAGTGTAGTAAGCCACAGATGACTCCATGCTGTCCATGACACCCGCTCACTCCACGTTCTTCCTCTTGGCTCAGTGTGGCCATGTGCTGTCTTAGAAGAGTTTGTTGCTCACTTCTCCCTGATATTTGTGCAAAGGCCATGTTAGACCACTCCTCTCTGATAGTGCTTTTTTTTTTTTTTTTTTTTTTTGAGACGAAGTCTTGCTCTGTCTCCAGGCTGGAGTGCATGCAGTGGCATGATCTCGGCTCACTGCAACCTCCGCCTCCTGGGTTCAAGCAATTTTCCTGCTTCAGCCTCCCGAGTAGCTGGGACTACAGGCATGCACTGCCATGCCCGGCTAATTTTTGTATTTTTAGTAGAGATCGGGTTTCACCATGTTGACCAGGATGGCCTCGATCTCTGACCTCATGATCCACTTGCCTCAGCCTCCCAAAGTGCTGGGATTACAGGTGTGAGCCACCACGCCCGACCCTCTCTGATATATTTCAGCAAAGCCTGCAACTGCTCTTGTACCTGTAACTTCTGATGAAGATCTGTCCGCTCCTGCCTCCATAACTCGGCTGCCTCAAACTTTCTCTAGCCACTTGCCTTCAAGTTCCCCTTTTGGTTTGTAAAATATAGCCCTATGGTTACTCAGGTCCTAAAGTTACTAATGTATTTTTAATTCAAAATTTAGCATGCCATTTTAACTGTGCTATAATCATCACTAGGATTGTGGTTTGTTAAAGAGTTGCATGAATTGTGAATTGTGTGCTGCAATCTTATTGTCTCCCAAATCTCTGTGATTTTTGAATTTTTCAGAATGCAAGGATTTACAGAAATGCATATATCATTTAATAGCAGAAATGCTTGCATAATGCAAGTTACATTCTAGGTACTGATATGGTTAGGCTTTCTGTCCCCACCCAAATCTCATCTTGAATTGTAATCTCCACAATCCCCATGTGTCAAGGGAGAGACCAGGTGGAGGTAATTGAATCATGAGCGTGGTTTTCCCCATGCTGTTCTCATGATAGTGAGTGAGTTCTCACGAGATCTGATGGTTTTATAAGGAGCTCTTCCCCCTTCGCTCACTGCGTCTCCTTCCTGCTGCCTTGTGAAGAAGGTGCCTTGCTTCCCCTTCCACCATGATTGTAAATTTCCTGAGGCCTCCCCAGCCATGCTGAACTGTGAGTCAATTAAACCTCTTTCCTTTATAAATGACCCAGTCTTAGGCAGTTCTTTATAGCAGTGTGAAAATGGACTGATACAGGTACTAATGTCAATATAGAACTTAAATATACATATAGTTATTAGACATTGAACATGTTAATATTAAATGTTGAGCATATTAAATATCTAACAATAATTCATTGGGTACCCATATATATCTGATTCTGTGCTATGCACCAGATAGACATAAATAAATAAAACCCAGTCCCTACCATTAAGAAACTCATGGCATAAAAAAGGGGAAAGACAAATAATAGACTGAGTGGGAGAAGGTACAATGTATAAAGAAGGGGTGCAAGACAGGGACAGCTAACAGGCTCCTCACCTGTGTCAGGGCAAAGACCACGCTCCCCACCCCATGGCCTCTGTAGCTCTGTGAGGCTGGTGCCTGCTCATCTCTCCCCACTCCCCTCCCCTCCTTCAATCCCCCCACTGTTCCTGGCTCACTGCCTTCTTCTCCTTTCTTGAACCCATCATGCTCCACAGCCACATAGCCACGCTAGTCCCTCTCTCAAATGATCTGCCTCACTCTTACCCTAATTAATGCCGCCTTCCCCTCCAGGATTGAGGGAGGTGATACATATAAAGTGCTTAGAAGAGTGTGAGCAGGTGTTAGCTGTTCTTGTTATTGACAATACCCATTATTATCCTCAACTGACTAGGCAGCAACTGGAGTACACAAGGGCAGAGTGACTTGGCTGGGGCTGCACAGTGAATTATTCTCAGAGCTGGGACTCTCACTTAATCAGTTCTGTTTTCTCCATTTATCCTTGAACCCAGTACTGCACCATCACCCCGCTAGACCCCAGGAGATACTAAGCAGCATGCTGGAAGGAGCGCTAGTCTTGCAGGGCCAAGTCTGGTCCCGTTTCTCTCTCACACGTGTTCTGTGTCCTTATGCCAATCACTTCTCTTCCGGGACCTTGGTTTCCTCCTCAGCTGGGCAGGGCTCTAACCAGAGCTGCCTCCTTGGGTTGTGGAGGGGAATCCAAGGCCACAGTGCATGCCGAGTGGAGCCTTCTGTTCCTGCACGTGGAAGGCAGTGGCTCTCATTAGGAGTTAACCTGAATTGGGCTGGGCGTGGTGGCTCATGCCTGTAATCCCAGCACTTTGGGAGGCCAAGGTGGGCAGATTACCTGAGGTCAGGAGTTTGAGACCAGCCTGGCCAACATGGTGAAATCCTGTCTCTACTAAAAATACAAAAATTAGCTGGGTATAGTGGCACATGCCTGTAATCCCAGCTACTGGGGAGGCTGAGGCAGGAGAATTGCTTGAGCCTGGGAGATGGAGGTTGCAGTGAGCCAAGATCGTGCCACTGCACTCCAGCCTAGCCAACAGAGTGAGATTCTGTCTCAAAAAAAAAAAAAAAAAAAAGAAAGAAAGAAAAAAAAAGGAGTTAACCTGAATCACAGGGCTTTTTAGTGCCCTCTGAGCTCCACAGGCACACACATTTCCAACCTTACTGGCTCAGGACTCCTTTTGCCAGAAATTACTGGTCATATGGAGAAAATCACAATAAGGAAAAATAAGCCAGTGGCATTTTCCCCATGAGTCCCCGCATATTCCCTTTTGGCCTAGTTTAAGCCTGTGCCAGGCACCAGAAGGGGGCGAACCAGGGAAGCAACTTTAAAGGCCTGTAGAAGAGAAATGCCCTCCCCGAGGGTCACTCCCTCTTACGAAGTTTATCCCATTCCACTTCTTATTCAGCAAACATTTAGCAGACGAGTAAGAAGCTCCAGGTCTAGTAAAAAGGCCATGATGTCCTAAGGTGATAGCATCAAACTGAGGGAGAGGCGTGAGTGCAGCCAGGGAGCACACGAGAGAGACAGAGAAGCCAACCCTGGCTGGAGCCAGCCCAGACCAGAAATAAGAGCAAGGTCAAGCTCAAAAAAGGTGGAAAGCTACAAGCGGCTTCCGTGGGGCCCGAGCTCGGCCCTCACTCCACAAGCCAGAAGTGCAGTCTTCAGTGACCTGTCTTTGTTCCAGGCAATATTTCACCTTGGTCCCTAACAGTAGCCTTTCACTCAGAAGGGCAGAAAATGCTGGTCATATGGAATAAAACGCATATGTCATTTGCTCATCTGCAAAATTGCTCACATAACAGCCACCACTTCCGGAGCACATGGCTCTGTTCCAGGAGGCCCTGGGGTGGGTCTTAAGCCTTATCTCCCTTTTTTACAGCAACTGTGAAGTGCAGGCATTCACATACCCATTCTACAGATGGTAAACCTGAACCTGCGAGATTAAAAAAGTTGCCCAGAGTCATAAGAGTAGAAAGTTCAACATGGAGGTTTGAACTCAGGCCTGACTGAATCATCATTCCATTTCTTCCCCACAATGACTCTTCAATGTTGGCTATGTAACTGGAGTTGTGGAAAACTGGGCCATCTCTCCCTCCAGCCACAACCTAACTTCAACTGAGATTCCCCAAGAGTACAGAAGAGCCTGTGTTCCCAGCTGCCCTGGGGTGTGTAGATGCAGCTTGATATCTTGGACATTTACGAGAATACTGAATTCAACTCTAGAATTGACCCATATTTGTTTCAAAATATTTCTCCCTCAAAGTTGTCAAGTACAATTTGACAACTGACACTCTAGGAAGATGTATGTGTCTGGCATTGGGAAGGGCAGCATCTATTTTTTTTTTTTTTTCTGTTTGTGACAGTGTCACTTGCCAAGGGCAGCATCTATTTTGCTCACTGATGTCTCTTCATTCTTTCAACAACTCTTTATGGGGCTTTGACTAGGGGCCAGGCTATGGGGAGATTAGGTGAACCCTGGCCTTAGAGTCAGGCTAGAGTTAAAGACTTCAATGACATTATTGCGCTAACTCAAGCACTGTGCAATGTGGCAAGATTGCACAGAGAGGCATAGGAGGATAAAGCAGATTGCAGCGAGACCTGGAGGACAGGCAGCGCACACCAGGCAGGGAGAGGAAGAAAAGCTGAATGAGCGGCGAAGGGCATGTGTGGGCTGTGGCGGGAGGGGCACGGTGGACCCCAGAGACTGGCAGCTGTCAGGGTGGCTGGAGCCGAGAAGGCCAGAGAAAGAGCAGAGCCAGATCTTCCCAGGGTTTGGAGTCCTTTCAAGAAGTTCTGCCTTTACCTGTGTGTGTTGGGAAGCCACTGAAGAGTTGGATTCTGTGTCTGCGGTTCCTGGAACATGGTGGCCCTCAAAAGTATTTATAAGATGGAAAGATGTGTCCTTTTCACCTCCGGGCCCCTTTCAGATCCCCCAGCAATCTGAGAAGCACCACCAGGCACCCTGCGATCTTTAGAAGGGCCACCATAGGGCGATCTGATTCGTTGAGGGAAACATTCTCCCAGGTACCTGGCCTGTGCTCCTCCTGCCAGGCCTCAGGGAACTCTGGCTCCAACACGGCTGCTGGCAGATGTGAGAGAGATGAATACACCTTTGATTACGGCTCCTGTTTCTGAGAGAAATACACAGCTCCCTTAAGATTGGGAGTCTATGAAAGTGAGCCCTCACAGAAGAGATATGAGTGAACTGGAAAACAGAAGCCCTTTGGGTGGGTGGTGGTTTCCTTCTTTAAAATAAACAACAGTAAGGAGATCAACCTGGGGGAACTGGGTTCTCCATAATCCCTAAAAGGCAAGTGTCAGAAAGTGGCTGAGGACACCGGTCTCCCAGAAAGCTGTGCCTGGTTAGGATCTGCAGACATCATCTTTGACAATGGGTGTGTCTGCCTCCCTCCTTGGTATGGAAACTCCACTCCGAGGAACAATAATTTGAAACCACTTTCTTTAGCATAGGGAGATAGCATATTCTTGGTTAGAGACTGACAGACTCAGTTTAGAATGCAATTTCTACCACACAAGAGCTTTGAGTCCAGAAACAAAATACTTGATCTTCTCTGACCCTCAGTTTTGTCATCCATAAAATGGAATATGATGGAGACTAAATAATATTATAAAAGTGACGTGCTGTGATTTGAACCCAAGCCTGTCTGAATCAAACTGTTTCATTTCCCCCCATATAGCCTCTTGAACTTGGGATATGTTCCCTGCTCATGGGGTACATCTAGGTGCTTAATAGATGCCAGTTCAGCTTCCCTGCTTTTACACATCTCTTATTTCCTGACCTTGTTTAGCAAAAATCTGAGTATTCAAGAGGTATGAGATTAAACTCATGTAATTTGGATCTTCCTGTGTACAACATGGTAGCTGGGAATACAGAAGGAGAAGGCAGCTAGCTGTGTTTTCTCCCAATTCTATCTTGTTTCAAACCCTTTATTAAATGTTTTAAATATTACTTGCCTTCTGGGTCTAAATAAAATTTCCAGAGGTTTCCACTTTATACTCATAAATGATTCTCGCTAAACTTCTTTTTTTAAAGAAAAAAATGTGTGTGTGAGCGCATAAATGTACTGACTCATAGCTGGAAAAACTCTCTCTCCCTAACACATTCCAAATTTGTCAAGTCACATGAATTGAGTAAGAGCACTTAATGTGGCCACGAGCCCCAAACTGGCGCGCAGTTAAGACAGGGATTTGGAAGTCCATCTCTCCCTTCCCTGCCCCCTTGCTCCAAGAAAGAGTGTAGCTAGGGGCACACTCTGACCCGGCCAGTGCCTATGTGAGGCAGTTGCAGAAAATGCAAGGATGGGAAGGGCTTGGCAGCTAGCTAAAGCCAAACTTGAAATGCAAGGTGGTATAATATATTTTCAAAAAATCACATACAAACTTGTATGTAGAATTGCAAAAATGTTACAACTTCACTTATGGAGTCAACTTTATGCTGGCCTCTATTAAACACGTCATTTACATGCATCACCCATTTAATCCAGAGCCACCCAGTTAGCCAAGCACTATGATTATCCCTGTTTTACAAATGAGGAAATGGAGGCAGTAAAGTGTTAAATAACTTGACTAAGGTCCCACAGTGCACAGAGGCCAGAGCTAAGATTCCACCCAGTCTGACCCTGGAATGTATGGATGCTTATATACCTTACTGTTTATTCTGAATGAAGATAACATTTATTCCGGAAATATGTATCCAACACTTAGAATACTGTATCAGGTGTTGAAGCAGAGGCTAGTGGTAGACATCGGAAAATGGAGGCTATTTGGCTACTGCTTTCAATGAGCTTGAAATCATGTAGAGGAGCTATGATGTACACACAAGTATTTAAAAGTAAGTAAAAACGCCCACAGGGGGACTATACAGTGTCATGGGTGGGAGGGCTTATTAAGATGATGTCTCTTATGGGGTGCCTTGGAAGGGCAGCCTGGTTGGAGGTGCCATGGGAGCTGGATTGAAAGATGCATAGGATTCAAACAGGAGGTAGCTAGAGGATGTCTTGCCTGCTTAATGACAGTGAGTTCACTCAGGTGGCCAGTGCCTCGGGACTTGCCATCTTAGTTCTGATTCAAGACTAACTCTTGGCATGGCTGACCTTCATGTCCCACAGGTGAGGAGCACAGTCAGGGTGGAAGGAGGGAAAGAGGCGTCGAGGGACTGGAAGGCTGGGGAGAAGAGGCAGGACATGGGAGCAAGGTGGAGGGCTGCAGATCTGGCCAGAGTGGGAGCTCCAGTCCCACCACCAACTAGGTTGGCTCTGAGCAAGTCCCCTGCTCCTGGGCCTCAGTTTCTCCTATCTACAAGGAGGGAAATAAAGGAAGTGCCTGAATGCTCCCACTGGGTGGAACCCTGGAGCACTCCCAATTTATCCCATCATGTTGTAGATGATGGAACCAAGGGCCAGAAAAGCTGCATTCGTACAAGTCCTTGGATTTGAATCCAAGTGTGGGGTGAGGACTCAGGGTTCCACATCACAGTGCAGACCTTTTCCCCACTCCTCAAGAGGTATGTGGCCCTGCATTGGAAGTCCAGGAGACACCAGGCATGCTGTGAGAGGAGGGGAGACCAAGGGCCACCTAGCACGCCTCAGCTGGTCCAGTAGCCACTCCCAGTCCTCAGGGGCCCGGGAGGCTCGGCCTGACCATGTAGATCACTGACTATGTAGAGAGGTATACCATTCACTGAGGCGCTCTCAGGAGCCTCAGGCTGGTGGCCCGTGGTTCAAATCCATGCCACAAAGACGTTTTGTTGTGCTGGAGTGATGTGTTAAAAAAAGAGTCATCAGATGCCCTTAGGTGGGGCAGACGTTCCCTGTTCCTCACTGTTCAACATTCCAAGGAGTATGGGCTGTGTTAGGTGTCTGTAACTTTGTTGGAGAGTGGTGCAGGTGCCCTGGGAGGGGTGACAGTGGGGTGGGGAAAAGGGCATGGGGAGATAGTGGGTGGGAGGAGGTTGCATGGAGAAGGCGGTGTTTGTCCTCGTCCATGAAGAATGGGTGGAAATTGCCAGCCAGAGAAGGGTGGGAGAGTATGAATTCCAAGGAGGGGAGCGGAGGGGTGAGGTCCAGAGCAAGGGCACGGCTGAAAGGAGCAGCCTGGCTGAGCGTGGCTGAGACGAGGGAAGGTGGAGCCAACTCGAGGGGCAGGGCAGTGGCTGCAGGGGTGCATGCACACCACACTGAGGAATTTGGACATTGTCTTACATGACCGGGAGTTCCAGAAGGTTTTATCCAGGGAGGGGACCCTCTGTGCTAACACATTCAGATGCTGGATTCGCATTTCCTAGCTATGTGATGTCTGCATGTGTTGGCTGGGGCTGTGTGGCCTAAAGCACCTCACCTCATCTGTACAATGGGCATCATAACACTGTGTATCTCAAAGGAGAGTTGTGGGGATCAGAAGGAAATACGATGTGAAAAGCCCCCAGAAAAATTCCTGGCACATAGAATGCTCCCAATCATGGAGAGTATCATGATGATGAGTCTTTATAACTCACCTAGTGATGGCACCAGTGTGGCAGGTAGCTGAGAGTGATCAAAGGCTGTATTTGTTAAAATCAGTAAAGTACAAAAAAACCCTGGGATAGGACCCAGGAAGCACTTGTGGGAGGCAGGAAGAGGTAAATGTGACTGGAAGATCAGTTTTCTCAACCTTTTTCTCCATTTCCTTGTCTATAAAATGGGAATATCCTTGGCTCTGCACACAGGATTTCTGTGTGAATTAAATAAGAGATATGAGGCTGTTTTAAAGTTAGAAACACCAGGTGACCATAAGGGCTTCATTTTCCTTTGCCCACACAGAGTGAATGAGGGGACACATGCACCCGGGGCTCTTATTTTTTACAAACCACCGAGGCAAGAAAAGTAGCAAATGATAGCATGGCAAGATGCAAGCAAGAACCAGACAGAAAGGAAGCCCATAGCTTAGCCCTTCTTTGTAATATTCTCGGCTCTGCCCCGTCTCGTCCCATTCTCTTACTCTCCTTTTGCATTCACGCCCATGACTCAAAACTCCTCCCAGATTCTCGGTCTCAAAAGCATGGATTTTTTCGAGCTGGAAACTATGACAGAGTACATTCCCTGAAATTTACAGATAAAGAAGCTGAGAGTCACAATAGGGAATCAGTTTGGTTAGGAACTGTCCCCAGGAAAGACTGCCTGAGTTCACATCCTGGGCCTGCCGATGATTAGCTGTGTCACTTTGGCTAAGTGATTTAACATCTCTGTGTCTCGGTGACTACTATTACACGGTGTTAGTAAGAGTATTTACTTCCAAGAGTGGTTTGGGGAATTAAATGAGTTAATAAGTGTAAAGCACTTTGAATGTGCCTTGCACCTTCTAGGATTCAGAAATAAGAGTCACTATTATTTAAAGCCGCAAGGTATTTTAGTGATAGAGCTGGGAATAAATGAATCTTGACTCAGATGAATGCTCTCTGCACACCCTCCATACTGAAATATTTGATTCTAATCAGTATGCCATGTTTATTAAAGGCAGAGAAGTAAACTGATTTGTTTTTGGAATAATGGACACATTCACGCACCTGTATGCCCCATTTCTAGAGCATTCCGGGCCATCAAAGTCTGACAGTCACTGAACGATGCTTTGCAGACACCTTTCTTACCACCTCAAGTCGTATCATCCAGGAGGCAGCAAAAATAGTACTCAAAATTTAAAAAATTAAACAGGAAGGAGAACCAAATCAATTCGGAGGGATCTGCTCAGACGTTGCAAGCACGGCCGCTGTCCTTCTGGTACTTTCACGCAATGCGTTTCCATTTCCAAATGTCTTTCACTTACAGTCTTTCATTTCTGCCTCATGACAGATGGTGATTCAGAGAGTGGGTTCTGGAGTAAGACGAGTTGGTTCAGATCCTGCTGCTAACACTGACTTAGTTGGGTAGCCAGGGAACATTTATTTACTCTTTCTGAGCCCCCAAGCCCCGGGCAAATAAGGATATTACAGTACTGACCTCATAGGCTGCTGGGAGATATGAGGTCATGCATACAAAGCCAGTTCCTGGCCCAGAATAATGCCCTCATCCAGGAAATGTTGATGATGTGGCTCACATGTGCCAGGTACTGAGGATCCTGGAGGAATCAAAACAAAGTCCTTCACCTCATGGAGCTTGGGTGTAATGGGGAAAGCAGACAATCTGACCTTGCACTAAATGTTTTGAAGAAAAACCAGAATAAAGGGATGGAGATTGATGGGGTGCTGTTTGAGCTATGATTGTCAGGGAAGGGCCTCCTGCAGGGGGTATCTTTTAAGCAGGACCACAGCTTCATAATCACCACAGTCATCATCACCATCATCATAGCCAACTTTCATTGAGAGACTTCCCAAACTTAACACGTCTAAAATTAACTCTTGACTCTTTCCCAGTTTTCCACAGCTTAGTAAATAGTACCTCTGTTAACCCCAATGAACAGGCCAACATCCTACAAATTATCCACCTTTCTTCTTTTTCTCTCACACTTCATTTTATCCATAAATCTTGGCCGTTCTGTCTGCAAAATAGATCTCCAGCCTAATCACAGCCTTCCAGGACCCCCGTCTCGCACCCCCCAGGCATCCTTCACGTTTTGGTGGGTGTGAATGGCACCCTTGGAGTTCCATGCGAAACATGTGAGCAGCTAGTGCAGTGAGGGAGAAGACCACAATGATAGCTGGGAAAAGAGTGTTCTAGGCTGAGAACACAGCCAGCGCAAATGCCAAAACAGGTGGCCTGTGTCCCAGGGCGAGCCCCAGGTCCAGGGGCTGCAGCACAGTGACAGAGGGGCAGGTGAGGATGTGGGGCCTCAGGGGCTACTGGGAGGACTTGGCTTTTGCTCTGAGTGAGATAGGGGAATGAGTGGAGGCCTGGGGCAGAGGAGAAACAAAATCTGACCCATGTTTTTAAAAAGTAGCTCCAAGGAGAGTAGACAGTCACGGGTATGTGCAGGACATGAGGGGGTGTTGGGGGGCAAGAGATGAAGGTGAGAGGACAGCCAACAGCTACTGCAGTGATCCATGTGGGAGGTAGTGGTGGCATTTTTTTTTTTTTTTTTTTGAGACAGAGTCTCGCTTTCTTGCCCAGGCTGGAGTGCAGTGGTGCAATCTCGGCTCACTGCAACCTCTGCCTCCTAGGCTCAAGCGATTCTTCTGCCTCAGCCTCCCGAGTAGCTGGGATTACAGGTGTGCACCACCATGCCTGGCTAATTTTTTTGTACTTTTCATAGATACAGGGTTTCGCCATGTTGGCCAGGCTGGTCTCGAACTCCTGACCTCAGGTGATCTGCCCGTCTTGGCCTCCTAAAGTGCTGGGATTACAGGCATGAGCCACTGCGCCCGGCCGGTAGTGGTGTCTTGAATGGGGGACAGTGGTAGAGGCAGTGAGAAGCAGCATCACTGACGTAGCTGCTCACGTGTGTCCTATATAAATCCAGGAGCGTCACTCACACCCATCAAAACATGAAGGGCACCTGAGGGGGGGTGCGACACGGGGCTCTTGCGAGGATGTGGTTGGGTTGGAGATCTATTTTGGAGACAGAACAGCCAAGATTTATGGATGGAATGAAGTGTGAGAGAAAAAGAAGAAATGTGGATAATTTGCAGGATGTTGGCCTGTGCATTGGGGTTAATAGAGGTACTATTTACTGAGCTATTGAAGACTGGGAAAGAGTCAAGAGTTAATTTTAGACGTGTTAAGTTTGGGAAGCCTCTCAATGAAAGTTGGCTATGATGATGGTGATGATGATCGTAGTAATTATAAAATTGTGGCTCAGTACAGATTATGAAAAGAACAAACGTTTGCTCTGTGCGGGGCATGAGACACATTAGCTCATGTAAACTCCATAACATGGTAGGCACCGATATCATCCTCATTTGATAGATGAGTGTAATGGGTTGATCGTGGCTCCCCAAAGGATATGTCCATGTCCTAGTCCTCAGAACCCATGAATGCGAGCTTATTTGAAAAGAATCTTTGTAGATGTAATTAAGTTAAGGATCTCAAGATAAGATCATCTTGGATTATCCTGATGGGCCCTAAATCCAATGGCAAGTGTCCACCTGAGACATCCAGAGGAGAAACCACAGAACAGGAGAAGGTGACGTGAAGACAGAGGCAGAGATGGGAGAAATGCAGCCACAAGGAATGCCAGCAGCACCCGAAGCCAGAAGAGGCAAAAAAAAGATGTTCCCTAGAGCCTTCAGAGGGAATAGGGCTTTGCATGCACTTGATTCCAGACTCTCAGCCTCCAGAACTGTGACAGAATAAATTTCTATTGCTTTAACCCACCCAGTTTGTACTAATTTGTCCCAGCAACCCCAGGAAACTAATACAATGAGGAAGACCAGGCATAGAGAGGTAAGCAACTTGCCCAAAGCCACACAGCAAGTGAGTAGCAGAGCTGGGAATGTCTAGCTCCGGAGCCACTCACCCACAGGTAGGCAGCATCAACTTCACATCTCCAATGGGGAAACGGAGACTCAGAGCCACAAGGAACAGAGCTGGTGAATGGCAGTGCCAGGCTCTCTTGGGCCTCCAACAGGGAGGCCAGAGGCCCACCCCACTATCGATTCTCACCTTCCCACCTTGAAAAACCCAGAAAGGTCCCTGCCTGGCCATCCCATGTTTCTTGGTAGCCACCAGTGGATTCAGGGCTTTGCTGAGAATTCTATCCAACCTGGCGGTTTTAGTTCACAGGCAAGCAGCCGCGAAGAGACCCTAGTGGGTAGCAGCCTCGGTAAACAGGTTTCAGTGGCACCTCAGCACTCATCACAATCACTCAGGACTGCGTAGAGTCTGGATTCCGAAACAGCCTCCTCTTTCCATGATACCCATGCTGAAAATCTCTTGGCTTCAGCCCCACCCTGGCCATGAGGACCGAGATCGGAGGAATGCCAGGGGCAGGGCACGCTGCCGGCCTCAGAACCGCTGCCAGCCAACTAGAAATTGCTCTCTGAAGAAACAGCGATTGTCCATTCCCTCTCCCACCAATGCCCGGGAAAATATTTTACTGGATGAAAAGCAAATATGGGAATCCAGGCAAAACATCCTCCCTGACCCCCTGCCTGGTCAAATCTTCATTATTTGAACAGAGATGGACAGTGGGACCTGCAAACAAGGCCTGTGAATGGGACCCAAACGTCTTCCCACACAAAACCGACTTCTCAGAACCCTTAATGAGGGGTGGTCAGTTAATCTGGGGAGTGGTGGGGGGCTGAGAATAGGGGATGGGGGAAGTGTTCCGTTTATAAAGAATAAAATAATTAAATTCAGGTCAGTGGAGGGAGCCACTGGGCTGAAACTAATTTGCAGGCCATGGGGGAGAGCAAGAAGCAAAGGAATGAGCGTTGTGGCTGACTCTGGCTGCCTTCTTCGCCTTCTTCAGTGACAACTGAAAAGAGGTGTTGTGGCCTGGGGGCTGCCTCCAAAAAGAGACCGTCTCTGGTTCGGAGACCCTTCTCTCTTTCAGGCGCACACACACACAGAGACGCAACAACACACTCGCTGTCTCTCAAACCCACACTTTGGCTATGAGATGATGAGGTTTCACCGCTATACTCACTCATTCATTCCTCAAAATATATTTTGAGGGCAAAATGTAAACATGCTCACTCAACTGAGCCGACCAAAGGAGAGCCATTGTTTGAAAGAGCTCCCTGCGGCGGACTTTCTACCTTTATTTACCTCAGTGATGTGGCCCTTGTCCAAGATGAGTTTGGAAGGCCATGTTTGGAGCCATCTTCAGAGTTGTACTATGATGTGAAGAGTAAAGCTCGGTTCATTACTGTCTAAGGGCCTCCTGTGCTGCCTGTCTCCCCTCAACTGTTTCTGAAGGGAAGTCACACTCCTGGTTCCTCAGGCGTGACTGCAGCCACCTTCAGAGGGCGGAGACTGGTCAACACCAGAGAGGAGAGTGTGGTGCTGGGTGCTGGTGGTGAGGTACTCTCAGGCGTTCCAGGAACTTGGGATGCCCTGGGCCCTGGCGCCAGCTTTGGAATAAAGGGCATGTTCCCCAAGGGGACAGTCATCATGAGCACATCCCCCATGTGCGAAGGTGGGTTCTGGTGATGACCACCTTTGTTGTTTTTTAGAAGCCAGCTGTACAGTGTGTCAGGGCACCTGCTCTGGGCTTGGCACTGGGCCTGGCACATAGGGATGGAGAGTGACAAGGTACAAGGCAAGGCCTCTGTTGCCAAGACCCACCCTTGAGGAGGGACCTGGACTCAATGACATGACGTGCCTGTCATCAGGGCCCGGGGTGCTCCCAATTGGAGAAACCTGTTGGAGAAGGTCACTGGGTGGAGGACTGGAAGGTGACAGGCAGAGGGAAGGCCACCTGGGGCAGGAGGCAGGGCGGGGAGGACAGGGTAGAGTGGTCCTGGACAGTGGGCTCAACCCCCCTCAGTGGGGAGGCAGACTTGACGGGAGAAGTGCAGAGATTTCTGGCTGGGGGAGAGGTGGGGAAGCTCACACAGAGGACGGAAGAATTTCACAAGGACCCAGCCCTGGCAGGAGGCTTCCTGTGCAAATGTAAGTCCCTTTGGAACATAGATTCCTTCTGAGGGTGGCATCTGGGAACACAACTTGAAATTGATTCCACTACTGAGCGTGGGGACATCACAGCCTCATCATGCCTCAGTTTCTCTATCTGGAGGCTAATCGCAATAACAACAACATCAGCTAACATTCATATTGCAGGCCCTGTTCTGAGTACCTTATCCAGCTCAACTCTTTTAATGTTTTAATGCTATTATTGTAGTTCACATGCTCGTGGCTGCTACGTTCCTTGGCCTCTCAAATAGAGCTAAACACACCATTTATCTTACCTTAGATTTTCATGAGGCTAAAATCATGGAATGTATATAAGAGAGGTCTTTTAACGGAATGACACTCTACAAATGCCTATTGTTGGTGTTGATCTTATAATTCTATAGGTTGGTGCAAAAGTAATTGCAGTTTTGCCATTACTTTCAATGGCAAAAGCTGCAGTTACTTTTGCACTAACTTAGGCTTCATCCTTTCAGAAGCCATCATAGGACAAAGGTTATTTAAGGCCTGAGTAACAACATTTAAAAAAAAAAGAGAATCACTTTCAAACATGAGCAGAGGAAAGATCCCATGGAGACTGGCAAAAAAAAAAAAAAAAAAATACACAAAGTCTGAAACATTAGAAGGTAGGACATCGGGGGTTTTTGTTTGTTTCTTGTATCAGACCCAACATTCTGAGAAGGGTCATTACTTGCTCCCTGGTTCCCTGGTGGCAGAAGGAATACAGGGCTTCTCAGAGCCAGCGGCAGCATTCTAGCTCACTCAGTTCACAGAAAGCATTTAGTCAATGCCCAGGAGCAAGAGAATAAGACCTGCTCTCCGCCAGAGAAGGACGCATGTTTGGGGAACCTGACTCTTTGCAAAAGTGCGTGCCTAGGTCACTGTAACCTGACAAGTTTGCAAGGATCCCCTAACTCCCCTCCCCACAACCTCCAACAGGTTCCTCCTGAAGATGTCCTAAATCAACCACCCAGCAACCCACAGGGAAACCATGCCTCCTCCCCTCTCTGCCAACATCTACATCCAATCCTCAGTAAGGCTGTCTTTAGATGCTCTACGTATCTCTGAATCTGTCTACTTTACCTCCACGGGCACTGCCCTCATCTCTTACTGGAACTTCCAAAGCAGCCTCACAAGTGGCCTCCCTGTCTCCACTTTTGCCTTCTCCACTCTGGGCAGTGATCTAAAAATGTGGATCAGGTCGCAGCGCTCTCCCGCTTAAACTTTTGAAGGCTTTCCACTGAACCCTAAACAAAATCCAAATTGCTCTACCAAGTCCTCCAGGCCCTATGTGTTGTGGCTCTTTCCTGTCTTTTCTGACTCAGCATCTACCACTGTTCTCCGGATGCTGGTCCTGCCACTTGGCTGAAACTCGGTTTCCTTACCTGTGAAATGGGCAGAGTAATGTCTACCTTCTAGGCTGGCTGTGGGGCCACCAGGAGTGGGGACATAAAAAGCACTTTGTAGACTGCAAAGTGCAGCACCTTTAACTTTTACCCCACTTATAATTGGGCTTTTGTGTTCACACTCTTGTTTCCATGCCTTCTAGTTCCATTTCATCTGTACATCTTATTGTTTGTAATTTTATATGCTTTTCAGATATAAGGATATTTATATACACAAGGTATTATTGGAGACCACGTGACAACATCTCAGTATTCCAGAGATAACAGCCCAGCTAGAGTGTGCTTAAAACCTGGACAATATTAGTTCTTTCCTGGGTAGAAAACCAGAATTTTAATTATGCAGTCAGATTGTTAGAAGCCTAGTGAGATCTCATTAAAATTATAAACAAGTTAATTTTCTTATGAAAATGACAATAATGTGATCTTCAATATCATCTCCAACATTTTCAATAGCGGCAGTTAACATTTATTAACCTTACTTTGTGCCAACCCTTGTATTTCAGCACTTTTTAGGCTTTACCTTTGCTAATCCTCACGACAACATTAGGAAGTATTATTATTGTCCAGATGAGGAAGCTGAAGTTCAGAGACATTAAGTAATTTGCCCAAGGTCACAGTGCTGGTGAGAAATAAAATTCCAATTCTCTTTGTCTGTCTGTGTTTGTAGCCCATGTTCTTTGGTTCTGCCCTATGTGTGTTTGGGCACAGGGAGACCAGGAATGTGTTTATTTGTGGAAAATCATAGGGATGATACGGTTGGGCAGGGGGTATTAGGCAACTGTAAGGCCACCAAGCCCCACACATGCAAGCTAGTTTGGGCAGTAGATTCTCTTCAGCGTTTTCCTTTACTACTTCATGTCTTATGTTCTAACTTGCAAAGTTGAATGATGCCCAGTAGGTTTCCTTGCAGTCAGTGCAAAAGAGTGTGATTCTCTCCTGTAAAGAGCAGTCATTGCCTTTCTGCTATTTAAACCAAAAAGTGTGTGTGTGAGACAGACAGACAGACACAGAGAGAGAGAGAGAAAGAGAGAGAGAGACTCAGTGAGAAATAGTAGTCATAAAGTGCTCTGTTTTAGAAGCTGATGGGGGTGCTCTGTCTAGAAAGATTCCCAGAAGTCTTCCCTCACCCTGACCTCCTTCTACCTCCCTCGTCACTTCACTCATCTGTGACCTCCAGCAAGTTACCTCCTCTCTCCGGACCCCAGTTCTCTCATTAGTAAACCAGAACCTCTAGATTCCCAGAGTTCTTTCCAGATCCCAGACTGCAGGGATACTTTTATATCCATGATCTCTTTTGCCTTCACAATCTCTCTTGGGAGAAGAGCAGGTCAGATTCGCAATGCGAAGCTCAGAGAAGGTGGCATGGTTAATAAGTGGACCCTGGACTAGCGTCGTCAAGTTTCAACACCAATTGCAATGTCAGCTGATTCTTCCGAGCTGCCAGCTGCCTTCGAGGGTGTGGATGGAGCCTGTCTAAGACCTATGTGTCTACCCTTTCAAAACCAAAAGAATTAGCACTCTGAAGCCTCTGAGCATCTCCAAGCTCTGCGTGGAGGCCTTTGGCCACCCCAAGAGATCAATTCCTGCAGGGCAGTTCCCTTTTTCCTTCCCGCCTCCTGGCTTCCTTGTCCTTGCATAGGGAGGAACACAGGCAGACGTGGTAGGAGATGCCCCAAGAAAGGCATAGGTGGCTTGAAGGACTTCCTGAGGTCCTTGCGGATGTAAAATTAACTGCAGAAAATCAGAAGCATGATGTGTGTGTGTGTGTGTGTGTGTGTGTGTGTGAAGGGTGAGAACAAAAAGCGAAGTGTAGAAAAAGCTCTCACAGCCACCTGTATTTCCTCTCTAATTACTGTGTTTTATACTTCTTTACAAATCTATCAGCTTCCTATTATACACCAGACAAATCTTTAGAAATTAGGGAGAAAGAAGCTCCCTGACTAAGACCCACCAGCTGGAAGTGTTTCAGTCATGACATAAGCTCCTTCACGTCTAGCTGGTGAACATTCTCTGCGATCCGGTGCCAACAGTTCTTTCCCAAGGTCCTTACAGCCAAACAGAACATCAGCCAGCCCAGAACCGAGGCAGAAACCCACTAAAGTGGGGTCTCCCCAGATCCGGCAGCAGTTCACCGTTTCCACCCAAATGGCTCAGAATGCTATAGATGCAACAATCCCTGTTTACACGAGGGGTCCCTTAAAAGTGAGCACTCAGCAGTGCTGTCTCACGGTGGGGGCCAAAGGCCACTACCAGTAGGATACAATTTGTGGGGAACTAATGAAAGGCTCCTCTAACCAGAAAGTCCTGGGTAATGACCCCTGTCTGAACCTGGTTTGAAATTCCCATAATAGAGCCACTCATGGCTCGGATGACAAGGAGAGGCCTAGTGAGCTAAAGAAAATAGCCCACGTTTTGCTCTAGAAAGTCCTGATCACATTTGTAACAAGTATACTCTTAGATGATGACTTAATCTCATTGATCCTTGATTTTTGAATCACCAAGCTCCGTAAAATAATGAGAAATACTGATTTAGGACATCTAACACAGAGTCTGGCATGTAACAGATCTGAGTAAATAGCAGTTGTTGCTGTAATTATCTCAATCATTTCGAGGGTCTCTGTTTAAAAAGTTACCATGCTGTCAGGGATGCTCCACTGCAACCATGGCCCACGAGTAAAGGTTCCTTTGATGGTTTGCTAGTTGGGCTCTCAGAAAATGAGCTGGGGCAATGGTTCTCCAAGTGTCACGCCTGCATCACCTGGGAATTTGTTAGAAATGCAGGTTTGGGGGCCTCACCTGCCCCAACCTGTTGAATCAGAGATTCTGGGGGTGAGGCCCAGCCATTTCACATGCTCCCAGGTGATTCAGTGCCCACTGAGTTTGAGAACCCCAAAGCGCAGGCAAAGACTGCCAAATCTGGCTGATCATCAGAACTTCTGGGAGTGTTCAGGGGAGAAAAGTCTTGGGCCTTGACTCTCAGGGATTTGGAGGCTTTAGGTTCTGGGGTGAACCCCGGGAGACAGCTTGTTTTTTTTTTGAGATGGAGTCTCGCTCTGTCACCCAGGCTGGAGTGCAGTGGTGCAATCTCGGCTCACTTGCCAGCTCCGCCTCCCGGGTTCACACCATTCTCCTGCCTCAGCCTCCCGAGTAGCTGGGACTACAGGTGCCTGCCACCATGCCCCTGGCTATTTTTTTGTGTTTTTAGTAGAGATGGGGTTTCACTGTGTTAGCCAGGATGGTCTCGATCTCCTGACCTCCTGATCTGCCCGCCTAGGCCTCCCAAAGTGCTGGGATTACAGGCGTGAGCCACCAAGCCCAGCCAGGAGTCAGCTTTTTAACAAGCTCCCTGATGTTCCCACTGAACTAGCGGTTCAGTTTGTTGGGAGAATTTGCTCCTGGAAAGAACTCAGGGATGGATGTGGTAGGAAGTAGGCTGGGGAAGCAGGCCTGGTAGGACTGGGGGCCCTGAGAGAAGAAGGTGCTGAAGACCAATGTTCTCAATCCCAGGCCTATAGATTTATGAGATGAATTTCCTACAACCTTCTCATTTTCCAACTAGGGAAACCGAGTCCCACATAAAGAGACATGACTGTCCTAAGTCCATGCAACTCATGCCTGGAAGAGCTGGAACTTGAGCTATAGGTCTCGCTTCCAAAGCCAGTGCCCTTCTCACTGTGCCCCAGGAGCTCGTGCTCATTTGTTTGTTCCTTCTTCGTGTCTCTAAGAGTGGGCTCTACAGTCAAGCACTATGTCTGCGCACATTTCCCCAGAGCTGACCATAAGGGAGAGAGCTAGGGAGGACTTGGAGTCTTCATATCTCATACTGAGACTTCATATCTCAGTACAAGTTTAGGTTGTCACTGGGTAGCTAAGCCACTGAG
The DNA here is from genome assembly GCF_000001405.40 of Homo sapiens. Classification (NCBI taxonomy): domain Eukaryota; kingdom Metazoa; phylum Chordata; class Mammalia; order Primates; family Hominidae; genus Homo; species Homo sapiens. The sequence continues at coordinate 122,841,863 of NC_000008.11, read as the reverse complement.
TTACCATCTAAGGGCTTCAGTTTCCTCATCTGTAAAATGGGGGATAACATCTGATCTCACACAGACGCTTAGCGGCTCAAATACAATCACATACATGAAGAGGCTTTCCGAGCTGTCAATCAGCTCCACAAAAGCAGGGGCTTGGGAGGAAAGGGAGGCTTCATCACCATGTCTAGCCAGAACCACTCTCTCTAGCTGGAGGGCTGAAACACCCTCAAAGCAATCAGAGAACAATTAAGCATTCAGCTGCCTGCTAAATGTGAACTCACACTGTGCCTCTCTGCTCAGGCTGCCCCTCTGCCTGGATTGCCCCCCAACCCCCGACCCTCCAAGTGCCCTGTATGTACAAGAACTCTGTGTAGTTCACGGTCTGTTCCTGACTCCCTACTGTGAGGCAGGAGGTGGGTTTTGCAACCCCAAAATGTCTGGCACCTGCAAGGTGTGCTCAGGAAGTGGTGGATAGGGAGATCTCTAGGCCTTAGAGAAGGCCTTTCAGGTGGCTAAATGCTTCAGGGAATTCTTATGATGCGCCACTGGATTGAATACAGGAAAGACACGGGCTTTAAACCAGGCGGAAGTCACCGGCTGACTTCCCGCTATCCCCAGGCCTCTAGCGCCTTTGTCATCTGCTCCACCGTTTGAGAGTTCTCATTAGGGCTAGTGGTTTCCTGCAGGGAAGTGTCAGGGGAAGACAGGCAGGGAGGAAGGGGAAGCAGGAACCAGCAACGCTCCACCTGGCAGCAGTACGTAATGCTGCTGCTAAAACGAAAGAAAGACAAGAACCAAGGGCCAGGTAAACAGTCAATGCTCAGTGTTCGAAACAAGAGTTTTCATGTATCTGGCTGATTCTCCTGCTTCTCTGTGTTTTCCGGGTGTGGAGGATGAACGGAGGCATGCAGAGGAAACATGGCACCATGGTGCAAAGAGCTGTTGGCAGGTGAACAGGAGATTCGGGCTTTTCCTCCCACTCTGCCCTGACAAGCTGAGTGACCTTGAGCAAGTCACACTGGATTTCAGGGTCTTGCTCTTTAAAATGGGTACTGACAATGGGGAGAGGTTTAATTGTTCTCTAAAGGATAAAGCAAACAACACAGAAAAGGAAGTAATGGCCACAGGTCCAGCAAAGCAAAATAAGTTTAAGCTGACACTGTTCTGGCCAGGGTCCTTCCATGAAAACCCAACAGTAATGACAATGACAGTGACGATGGTGACTACTCTTATTTATTGAGTATGCACTGAGCATGAGGCATGGGACAAGTACTTTCTGTGCTTGTAATGAATTTTCTGTGCAATGTAATGACAAGTGTAATGTAAGCCACTTTTAACGTAAAGCACTTTTTCTATGCAATGTAATGACAAGCACTCATCACAATGGTTAATCTTCACAACGGCCCTTTAAGGTAGATACTATCATTATTCCCATTTTGCAGTTGGGCAAATTGATGCACAGAGAAGTTAAACCTGGGATCAGGGACTGGCGAGTGGGAGAGCTAGGATTTGAACCTAGGGTGTCTGATTCCAGAACCTACCTTCTTTCCCACGACACTCTACCAAACTTGGAAGTCTGTATTTCCACAGTTAGGAAAGAGTAACTGTGGGAAGAGTAAAGGACTTAGGCAATTACAATAATTAATCATTTTCTAAACAGAAGACTCAGTCTGGAAAGACCACACTTGGAGCATGCACAAATTCAAAATCTACTAAATTATTCCTAGTGCAGGAAGCACGTCTCAGGAAGTTGGTTTAAACAAAGGTAGAATAGGTGCCCTGGAGCTAGCCTGGCACTTAGAGTCAGACAATCTGGATTCTAGTCCAGTGGCCCCATGTACCAGCCTCTTCTGCTGGGGTCAGGGAGCCACTTCAGAGCCCATTTTCTCACCCTTCAGGCAGTGAAGTGCCAGAATATATATTTCTCAACCTTCAGGCAGTGACCTCTCCACTCACAGATCTAGCTCAGAATAGAGGGTCCCATCAATGTCCACCTTCTCCACAACACAAAGTTTAAAAGATTCTGTCTCTCATACATTAATTATCTATTAACAAAATAACCAGGCATATGTATAACTGCTGGAGTTTCTGAACAAAACGAGGTAACCATTGTTATCCAATTGCAGCCCGAAGCAAAAACAAAACCAAACCCCCCACGATCCCATGCCACCCCGTGCCACCATATCCTGGGGACTGTACAACTTGCAGTGATTTCTGGAAATACTCCCTGTATTGTGGACTTTTAGGAAAACACTGGCCTAAACTGTTCCTAAGGCCTCTTCCAATACCAAGTTCTATAGTTCTACAAAATTATGTCCATAAGTGTGCTTTGCTAATTGCAAACATATCATTGAGGTTCTTATTTTGTTCCCTTAATGCTGGAAAGGTAAAAAACAGGGAGGACCCCTTGGAGTCCAAAGGAGGTCATCTGAGGATACGAGCCGGGCAGGCCTCTGCCACTTCACACCGAGGGTGGAAAACACATGGAAGTCACTGGGCCCGAGAGGCTGTACCAGCTAAAAATATAAACAAGTGGAAGAAGGGTTTAGATGAACTCATGGGTGAGTGAATGATGGGGTGAGGGAAGTTGGAAATGTTCAGATTTTGTCCATTGCTTGTGCAACCTGCTCTGTTCTCTGTTAGCAATAGAATACTTGGCTGAATGGAGTGCGGATGGGCCCACAGAGAGCAATGCCACATTCTAGTGTGTGCCCAAGATAAAAAAAGAAGGAAGGGAAAAAAAAAGTAATGAGGGTATAGTGGGGTTCCCTGCTCCAACATATAACTTCTATAATCATACACGAAAAACCCTTTGGAATACATGTAGAAATGAAAGAAAGAAAAATAATAATTTCTGATTTGATCTCTAAAGATCTCAACTTTGTTAACATTTTGCTGTAATTTCATCATGCATTATGTGTTTTTCTTAAATAAAAACTATATATACAGTATGAATCCTGCATTTTTCATTTAACATTTACCACTTTAAAAAAATCACATTGGCCAGGCATGGTGGCTCACGCTTGTAATTCCAGCACTCTGGGAGGGCAAGGCGGGCAGATCATGCGGTCAGGAGTTCCAGACCAGCCTGGCCAACAGGTGAAACCCCGTCTCTACTAAAAATACAAAAATTAGCTGGGTGTAGTGGCACGTGCTTGTAGTCCCAGCTACTCGGGAGGCTGAGGCAGGAATGAATCGCTTGAACCTGGGAGATGGAAGTTGCAGTGAGCCGAGATCGAGCCACTGCACTCCAGCCTGGGTGACAGAGTGAACTCTGTCTCAAAAAAAAAAAAAAAAAAAAATCACATTACTAAATACTGTAGACTTCATATATGATCGAAAGGTTTCTACCACGTATTTAACCATTTATTTATTTAATTGTTTAATTATCGTACTATTCACCTCTTGTTGAACCTTGTTTTCTTTTCCCAGTTTTCTGCTGTATAAACACGCTGGGACTGACATGCCTCGTTACTTCTTTTTGGAGAAATAACAATAAATCTCCAAATCTCAGAGTAGAACATGTAATGAGTTTCTCTTACATAGACAAAGGGCATGTGAGGGATGGGCACACGAGGAATATTCGCCAGGGTGTCTGTGGTGACTTGATGTAATACCATTTTTAAACGTTCCTTGATACCCAGGAAGTGCCCCTGGCACCCCACTGTGCTGTGCTTTCTGCTCTCTTCCCACAGCTATTTGTTTTTGTAGAAGATTCTTCCCTTGCTCTGCAAACTGAGAGCACTTGGAGAGCTACAGAGATGTGCAGCCACTGGGCTAAAGCACACCCAGACGGGGCTCTTATTAGAAATGCAAATCTCCTCTCTGCTGACAAATCCCAAACACAAAGCTCAACGGGCTCTTCCACCCTCCTCTCCCCTAAGCGGGTGGCCTCTGTCTTCCATGTTACCTGAATGAGCTGAAAGGGAGTTGGCTGGGTTGTGGATCAGTAATCTGAGAAGGAAAGGGTCTGTCTGAAATGGAATTGTCTCCCCAGTGTTTCCATTTTACCCAATAAGAGGAAGTCAGTCTCTTTCTTCTCAGCCTTAACTCTACTAAAAGCCATTAAGCACCGACAAAGACAGGAGACATTATCTGTTGGCAAGTGTGAATGCTGCATTCTGTACCTCCAGCAGGGATGGAAATTGAGCTGTTTACTTGGTGGCCACCCCAAGGGACTGAAATGAAGCTCTAATGTGACAGCATTTCTGAAATGCCAGTTTTAAATCCCAAATTCTCACCCTCTATTCCCCACCTGTAAAACGCACTAGGAATTTGCACTATTAGCACTATTAATTTAGCCGAATTACACCCTGACTAGATCTGACCACCAGATGCAAATGAAGTCACCAGTAGGTGACCACAGTAACCTGGGTCTGGTTTTGGAAAGGAGGGTGGGTGTTTGAAACCTGTAGGGGTAGTGGCAGGACCAGCTTATGGAATAACTTTCCTTATTACAAGTGACTTCCAGGATGGGGCTCACGATTAGAGATGGGGGTCTGGAACCCATTGCTCAGATGGGGTTTCCTTTGATGGTCAGTAATACAGTTACTGGAAAGGGGTCCAGATCTAGATCCCAAGAGAGGGTTCTTGGATCCTGCACAAGAAAGAATTCAGGGCGAGTCCATAAAGTGAAAGCAAGTTTATTAAGAAAGTAAAGGAATAAAATAATGGCTACTCCATAGGGGTTGCCCATTTTTATGGTTATTTCTTGATGATATGCTAAACAAGGGGTGGATTCTTCATGCCTCCCCTTTTTAGACCATATAGGGTACCTTCCTGACGTTGCCATGGTGTTTGTAAACTGTCATGATGCTGGTGGGAGTGTAGCAGTGAGGATGACCAGAGGGTCACTCTGGTCAAAATCTTGATTTTCGTGGGTTTGGGCCAGCTTATTTACTGCAAGCTGTTTTATCTGCAAGGTCTTTATGACCTGTATCTTGTGCGGACCTCCTACCTCATCCTGTGCCTTAGAATGCCCTAATTGTCTGGAAATGCAGCCCAGTAGTGTAAGATTCTCCCTGGGGCCTGAAAGCTTAAGGGGATGAATAACTCCTCCCTTCTCAGGCCCAGTACCAAGGCGCAAGCCTTGCGCCAGCAGTGTGGGCCAGCAAAATAGCAGAAGCAGGAAGAAAGCCGGCCGGAAGACACCTACCCTGGCTGGAAGACACGTACCCGTGAAGATCAAGAAAGAGGCCATCCAGGTACAACGTAGCAGTTACGTCAGACTAGGACACTTCCTGTTTACAGGAGACTATAAAATCTTTGCCCTGTCCTCACTTGGTGCTGATGCCATTTTAGGCCTCAGCCCGCCTGCACCCAGGAACTCATTAAAACAGCATGTTGCTCCACACCGCCTCGTGTTGTCTGTTGGTTCGAACGCGCGCTCTCCGGGTTCGAACCGATACAAGAACCTTAAGTCAGGTGCCAAAACCGGGGAGGGGCTCAGGTCTGCATCCCCTGTGGACCTACCCCTCCACCCCGGAGAGCAAGCCACAGCAGCCGGACAAAGGAAGCTCCTCAGCCTCCAGTTGCCTCTCTGTGCATGCACATCGGTCACTGATCTCGCCTACTGGTAAGTTTTCCCGGGAGCCCTGTTAACAGGGGAAAATCCACATGGCCTCTCTTGATTTCTCTGGTCCAAAAATCCAACGTTGGTCCAAGAAGGTTCCGGTGTGTGTCAGGCACTTGCTGATCATCTGGCCTTAGGGGGGTGCCTCTAAGCCATTAGATCCTGTTCTGGGAACGAAAATGGCAGCAGTGACAATTGCTCCTTTTATTGTCCCCCTCTTGCTGTCCAGGATGTTCTCCTCTTCCTTGTTCTCTCAGCCTACCCTCTGTTGTGGGAAATTCCCAGTCTTCCACTCCAAAGGACAGCCCTCTAGGCTGCCTCATAAAAAAAAACCCTAAAAACCTTAGGCCTCAGGCAAGATATCTGCCCTAAGTGCTGTGTCTTTTTCGCAATTCAGTCTGGCCACAATACGAATTAAATAATGGGTCCAAATGGCCCGCAAATGAAACATTCAACTTTACAATTTTAACTGACTTAAGCAATTATTGCTGACAACTGAAGAAATGAGAAGTTCCTTATGTCCAGGCCTTTTTATTCTCAAATCACAACCCAACCTCTGCAATTCTTTCTTACCTGTTCAAATCCTTCTCCATTCTTGCCACCCTGATCGCCTTTCTCTTCCCGACCCTACCTCTTTTTCCTCATTAAATCCAGCAGACTGCTGTCCACCCCTCCCAGCCCTTACCTCTTCCTCTCAACCATCTTCTTTAACCCCTGCAAGCCTCCTCGTTGTCTTCTCAGCTGCCATCTTCCCAGTCGCCATCTTCTCAGTAAGCAGTATCCACTTCTTTTCCTACACCGTCCCCTACTCAGGACAATTCTAGTATTGCCTGTACCCATTCTCCTCCCCCACCGCCCTCTCCTGAGGCTTGTAAACCCATCCCACCACCTTACGCCCCTATCCTCCACTGCTTATCAACTCAACCACCCTTCCCCCTTCAAACCCTCAGCAGAAACCACTTCCAGCTTCTTCCTTCTCTCCTGCCCTTACTCGCTCGGGCGCCATCTTTGGCCCATGCCCCGCCCTTACTTCAGCGCCGGTGCTAGAATACCCCCTTCAGAAAGTAGTAGAAAATGAAGGTATTGTTAGAGTTCATGTTTCCTTCTGCCTCACTGATCTCTCTCAAATTAACAAAAGATTCGGTTCATTTCCAGAAGATGCTACCTCTTATATTAGAAAATTTCAGTACCTCACCCAGTCTTATGAACTGACCCGGCATGACCTCTAGGTTATCCTCTCTTCCACCCTCACCCCAGAAGACCAAGACCGTATCTGGACTGTAGCTCAGGCACATGCTGATACCATTCATCACCAAGCTCCTGCCCAGCCTACTGGTGCGGAGGCAGTCCCCAACCAGGACCCCCACTGGGATTATCAAGACAGGGCCTCTGGATGCCACCGTTGAAACCACATAATTGTGTGTCTCCTTGCAGGACTCAAAAAGGGTGCCCATAAAGCGGTAAACTATGAAAAACTTTCAGAAATCACCCAAGGTCCTAATGAAAACCCAGCCCTTTTTCTCTCTCATTTAACTGAAGCCATTAAAAAATATACCAACCTAGACCCAGCTAGCCCAGAAGGAACCACTATCTTAAACCTTCGGTTCATCTCCCAATCCACCACCGATATTCGGCACAAGCTTCAGAAGCTTGATGACGGCCCTCAAACCCCACAATGAGACCTTCTAAATTTAGCCTTCAAAGTCTTTAACAATCGTGATGAGGAAAGTAAAAGGCAAAAACAGGCAGAGTTTCGAATGCTTACCTCTGCCATCAGGGGCCCTGCAGGCCCACGGGGCCATAGCTCCACACGGAAGCCTCCTAGCAATCCACCTCCACCTGGCGCCTGTTTCAAGTGCGGCAATGAAGGTCACAGGTCCAGACAATGCCCAAACCCAGGTAAGCGCACCAGGCCGTGCCCCCTCTGCGGAGGACCCCACTGGAAGTCGGACTATGAGCAGCCCCAGCAAGGACCGCCCCCATCCCTTCCGGAGCCGGCCAAAACCTCCTACTTGGATCTCATCGGCCCTGCCGCTGAAGACTGAGGGTGCCCTGGAACAGACGCCCTGGCAACTACCATCACTTCATCCAAGCCAAGGGTAACCCTGATGGTGGCAGGTGGGCCGGTATGTTATTTTTGAATTAATACCGGGCAACCTACTCTGCTTTACCTAATTTTTCAGGACCCACCCAGTCCTCCCAAGTCTCCGTTGTGGGAATTGAGGGACAAGTCTCCAAACCCTGAGCCAGCCCTCCACTTTTCTGCTCCCTGCACACCTTTTCCTTCACTCACTCTTTTTTTTTTTTGAGACGGAGTCTTGCTCTGTCGCCCAGGCTGGAGTGCAGTGGCGCGATCTCAGCTCACTGCAAGCTCCGCCTCCCGGGTTCACGCCATTCTCCTGCCTCAGCCTCCCGAGTAGCTGGGACTACAGGCGCCCACCACCACGCCCGGCTAATTTTTTGTATTTTTTAGTAGAGATGAGGTTTCACCGTGTTAGCCAGGATGGTCTCGATCTCCTGACCTCGTGATCCACCCGCCTCGGCCTCCCACAGTGCTGGGATTACAGGCGTGAGCCACCGCGCCCGGCCCGCTCACTCTTTCTTAGTCCTGCCCTCATGCCCAACTCCGCTCCTAGGCAGAGACATCCTTTCAAAACGCCACACTACTCTCCACATCCACATTCCCCATAGTACCCAACGCATCAACCCAGACTCCTCTGGGCCATCTAACTTTCTTCTACTCCTCCAACCTCCCACCTTAAAACATGCAACTTCTCCTTATCCGCCGCCCGTAGTTAACTCCGCAGTTTAGGATACTTCCACACCTTCAGTCACAGAACACCACACCCCCGTCCGCATTACTGTTAAAGAGCCCACCCAGTTCCTATCACAGAAGCAGTATCCCATTCCTCAGCAGCTCTCATAGGCCTAAAGCCTATCATTTCTCACCTCCTCACCAGTCGCCTACTCCGCCCAACAAACTCCCCTTTTAACACACCAATTCTACCTGTTAAAAAGCCACATGGAACTTAATGCTTAGTCCAGGACCCCAGGCTCATTAACCAAGCTGTACTCCCGGTATGTCCAGCAGTTCCTAACCCATATACTTTACTTTTCACGATTCCCTCCAATACCACTCATTTTTCTGTTCTAAACCTTAAACAATGCCTTTTTCACAATTCCTTTACACTCGAATTCCCAAAACCTCTTTGCCTTTATGTGGGAAAATCCTGACACCCACATTTCACGTCGGCTCACCTGGTGTGTACTACCTCAAGGTTTCAGAGACAGCCCCCACCTCTTCGTACAGGCCCTTGCTTGCGACCTTTTTACCTTATCCCTAAAACCGTCCACTCTCCTTCAATGTGTTAATGATCTGCTCCTGTGTAGCCCCTCTCAAAGGGACTGCAACGCCCATACTATCTCTTTTAAACTTCTTGGCAGAACGGGAGTATTAGGTCTCCCCTAAGAAAGCACAAATATGCACCTCCTCGGTCACCTATCTAGGCCTAGCTCTTACCCTGCAAACCCGAGGGCTCACAACCGACCGCATATCCCTCCTCCAGTCCCTCCCGCCTCCGCAAACTAAGCAAGAAATTCTCTCTTTTCTAGGACTAGCAGGATATTTTAGGCTCTGGGTTCCCTCCTTCGCTCTACTTGCCAAACCGTTATACTAAGCTGCTAAAGGCCCTCTCCATAAGACTTCAAACCCTGCACAGCCTATTCCCCAACCTTTCTGTCTGCTCCAGAAGGCTCTCACCTCAGCCCCCGTGCTCACTCTCTCAGACTTCACCAAATCTTTCTCCCTCTATACCGACGAACGGCGTGGAGTTGTACTGGTGTTCTAACCCAGTCTAAGGGACCCACCCTCCAGGTTGTTGCCTACCTCTCCAAACAGCTTGAAGCCACAGTTCTCAGACGGCCTGCCTGCCTCTGAGCATTGGCGGCAGCTGCTGTCCTCACCCTTGAAAGCCTAAAACTATCTCTCCAAGCCAAACTAACAGTTTATTCAACCCATAACATCAAAGACAAGCTAGCTCACCGCAGTGTACTAAGTCTCATCTCTGCCCCACGGCTCCTCCAACTGTATGCTCTATTCGTAGAAACTCCCCACATCACCGTCTAACCATCTCCCATCTAAACCCGGCCACGCTCTTACCTGAAGCTGCAACTGCCCAAGACCCTACACATTTCTGTGTAAACACTGTTCAAACCTTCCTTATACCTTTTCCAAACCTAACAGACCAACCCCTTCCAGATGCCTCCTTTACTTGGTTTTGAATGGCAGCTCCTTCCTACATCAAGGACACCAGAATGCTGGCTATGCTGTAGTGTCACCACCCCACATGCACACTATTGAAGCCAATCTCCTCCCGCTAGGCACCACCTCCCAAGAAGCTGAACTCATCGCCCTCACTCGAGCTCTCACTCTAGCAGCAGGACAACAGATCAACATATATTCAAATTCTCATTATGTGTTCCACATAGTGCACTCACACTCATCCATCTGGAAAGAACGGGGTATCCTAACTGCAAAAAACACTCCTGCCATAAATGGCTCTCTCATCAACAAGCTCCTTAAAGCTGCCAGGCTCCCGCAAAAAGTTGCCATCATTCATTGCAGGGGCCACCAAACCCCAGACAATCCTATATTGGCTGGAAATGTGCTAGCAGATCAGGTAGCCAAACAAGTGGCCCTACAACCCGTGCAAGGCCAGTTTCTGTCCCTGTCCTTGTTCTCTCCGCTTTACTCCTCAGAAGAAAAGGAGGACTTCCGAGCCCAAAACCTTCAAAAGCAAGGACCATGGTATGTCAAAGAAGGGCGCTTCGTTCTTCTTCACTCTCAAAGCCTTCCTCACCTCCAAAGCCTCCACAAGTCTTTCCATGTTGGTTACAAACCTCTCCTGTAACGTCTCCGCCCTAGCCTCACTTGTCCTCACCTTTCCAGCCATGTTTGATAAATTACCCAGTCCTGCTCTATCTGCCACTCAGTGTCATCCCAGGGCTCCCTCTGGCCGCCGCCTTTTCCTACCCACCAAGCCCGAGGCCAGGTACCTGGGCAAGATTGGCAGGTAGACTTCGCTCACATGCCGCCCGATAAACGGCTCTGCTATCTTCTAGTCTTTGTCTGTACTTTCTCCAGATAAGTAGAAGCATTCCCGACAACTTCAGAAGCTGCAAATATTGTCACACAAACTCTTATGCATATAATTCCCTGTTTTGGACTCCTAACATCCATCCACTCTGGTAACGGGCCCGCCTTCATCAGCTAAATTACCCAAGGCGACTCTACATCCTTAAGAATAAAGTAAGTTCTCCACACACCCTACAGGCCTCAATCGTTAGGCAAAGTTGAAAAAATTAACCCTGTCCTTAAAGCCCAACTCACCAAGCTGGCTCTAGAAACCCGCCAGTTGTGGACAAAACATCTCCCTTTTGCCCTCATGAAACTGTGCAACACCAAAAGCACCCTCTTTTTATAGTCCCTTTAAAATCATGTATGGCCAAACTTTTGTCTTAGGGCCTCCATCCTTACCAGACTCTGAGCCACGCAGTAATTACCTCCCCTCCTTAATCCAGACACGGTGTTTCATTCATAAAGCAGCAGATGAGGCCATGCTTCTCCCTGTCGACACCTCCTTGTCCTCTCAACATAACTGTCTTGCAGGCACAGACATATTTCCAGACAATGCAGGCGATGCTCCTGCTACAACGACATGGTGAATACCAACCCATCTCTCAAGAATACCTAAAAATTAAGGTTTTCTTTTTCCAACGTGCCCACACCACCCCCTATGTCCCGCCTGAAGTAGTTATTAAGAAAGTTGTCCCTTTTCCCTTTTCTATAACCAAATAGACAGGAATGTAAGATTCTCCCCGGGGCCTGAAAGCTTAAGGGGATGAATAACTCCTCCCTTCTCAGGCCCAGTCCCAAGGTGCAAGGCTACTTGTGCCAGCAGTGTGCGCCAGCAAAATAGCAGAAGCAGGAAGAAGGCCAGCTGGAAGACACGTACCCCTGAAGATCAAGAAACAGGCCATCTGGGTACAACGTAGCAGTTACATCAGACTAGGACACTTCCTGTTTACAGGACACTATAAATCCTTTGCCCCGTCCTCACTTGGTGCTGACGCCATTTTAGGCCTCAGCCCGTGTGCACCCAGGCTCTCATTAAAACAGCAAGTTGCTCCACACCGCCTCCTGTTGTCTGTCGGCACACGCTCAGGGTTTGAACTGATACAAGAACCTTACAAGTAGGTCTCAGCCTCATTTTACCCAGCCTCCATTCAAGATGGAGTTGCTCTGGTTCAAATAGCTCTGACAATATTGAAAACTTAACATGCTTCCGTCCCTCAATGTGGCACATTCAGACTCTCCCTAGTGTCAAACCCACTTCTTCATCACCAACAGGGCTCCACTTCACAATCTGCCTATGCCATTCCTTCCACCAGTTGAGGGAAGGCCATTGCTACTTGTAAATGTCTCTCCAAACTCACCTTATATGTGCAGAAAGCTTGTCAAGATGAATTCTGGCTGGGGTCATTTATTTTATATCCTTTTGGCACTCTGAAAATTCAGAACACTCAACTCTTACAGCTATAGCTTTTCAACTGTTGTCACAGAAACTTGCTTGTGTATTTGGTCTCTACCCTGTTCCTCAGCACTTGAAGGTGGGACCAATCTTTCATGTGTGGTTCCTAACAGTGCTCAAATAGAAATATGTTTTTCCCCAACTCTTACAATGAGGTGGGAGAGTTTTCATATTGTTCTTATTCTCATTTTCTCCCTGATTTGTATGGATGTAGGTACGTCCATGTCATTATAAAGAGAATATAAGCACATTAAATAAACTTTGAAAAGTAAAGAAAAAACTAGCATAGTTCATTACCCAACTCTAAGCATTGTTATAAGTTCTTGAAGCTTCTGTGACAGTAAAAGTTAACAAGCCTTGTTTGATGCAACTTTTGCAGAGTTGAACAAATGATTTTGGATTTGCAGATTTGAAGTTGGAATGTACCATAAGATAGCCTTGGTAGTTTAGTTTAGCTGTGATTAAGAAAACACATCCTTCCTAGGTTGATGAATCCTGGCTCAGCCATTTACCAGCGGTGTGGCTTTAGGCAAGCTGCTTGATCTGTCCATCTTTGGGCATATCTGTATGCCTTCAGAAAATGTTATTCCACTACACATATGTTACATATAGTCCTCATTTTACATAATGTCCCATGCAAGCAGCTACCCTTACTATTACAGAGTCTTCATAACCTAACTTCAAATTGTTCTATAATATTCTATTTAATAAATGGCTCAGAGTTAAGTAAATGTTTTCTTTTTGGTGAAATGTAGTGTTTTAATAACTGAAAAAAAGATCAATTTCTTCAATTTGTAGTGGATAAATAAATGAATTATTATCTGCCATCTCCTGGGTACTCTGTGTAAAATAAAATAAAATAAAATAAAAACCTACAACACCCTGGGTAGAGCCCAAACCGGTTGTACTTCATTTATATTCCCAATGAGAACAACCTAGAATGAGCCTTCCAAGAACCCCTTTGCAGGCACGATCCATCAGCCCTGCGAAGCGTGGGAACACACCTGCGATTAAATGAACCACTCATTCCCTCAGAGCAGTCCCTTCTCAGTGCCCATGGCCACCAGGGCTGCCGCCAGCACATCCCCCACAGCCCATGGCCCCGCCTAGTTATTACACAGAGCATGAGGAGCTCTCTGGTCAACAAGGTATGTCACAAGGACAGCGTCTCCTGCCATGGGTTTAGCTGCACACTGGTAGATGCATTCGTGGGCCGCAGCTCTCCCTGTCTTCCTGGGTTTTGGTTTCTCTTCTGTTACTCTTATCCACATAGTGACCACGTAATGACCCTTATGCTCAGCCAGCATAAGAATGCACCCTCCCTCCAGTCTCCTGGTGTGTGAGTGAGATCCTCTTCCTCCATATCACTAACACACACACGCACATGCACTGTACAGATACTTTCTCTATCTTCAGCTCCTGAAGAAACAGGAATTTTTGTTTCATTCCTCTCCTAAGCCCTAGGTCTGTGCTTCTGTCCACTCCACAGGGGTGCTTTTGTTCCATATACGCTGCACTCGCCTCTGCTCTCCTGGCCAGTGCTGTCTAGGTGCCCTTAGGTCTCTCCTGCGAGCCAGCTTTTCTCTTTTATTTATTTATTTAGAGACAGGGTCTCACTGTCGCCCAGGCTGGAGTGCAGTGGAGAGATCATGGCTCACTCCAACCTCAACCTTCTGGGCTCAAGTGATCCTCCCATCTCAGCCTCCCGAGTAGCTGGGACTACAGTTGTGCACCAACATGTCCAACTAATTTTTAAATTTTTTTGTAGAGGCAGGGTCTCGCCATGTTGCCCATGCTGGTCTTGAACTCCTGGGCTCAAAGGGATCCTCCTGCCTTGGCCTCCCAAAGTGTTGGGCTTACAGCCATGAGCCACTGCATCCAGCTCTTCTCTATTTCATCTTGTCTCTGTATTTAATATTAGGTTGGTGCAAATGTAATTGTGGTTTTTTCACTGCAACTACTTTTGCACCAACCTAAATACTTTAAAGAGGGCTGCCGACCTTGAGAATCCCATTTCTTAATTATTTATGTACAGATTCTCTCCTTTTTCACCCCCTAAAGATTCTGATTCTGAAGTCAGATTCTCTTTTTTTCCCCTAAAGATTCTGATTCTGAAGTCAGACAGATCTGGGTAACCTTGGGTCTGTTACTTAATTTTTTGAGCCTCAGTTTTCTCATCTGTAAAACAGGGCTCTATTAGTACCAACTTTCTTCACAGAGTTGTTGCAACAATTAAGTGATCTAATACATGTCCTGCACTTGGCACAGTGCTTGGCACTGAGAAAGCACACAAATGTTAGCAAGTATTACTATTGTTATCATCATTAATTATATTAATGAATAACAATCCTCGGTAGTTAAAAAAAAGCTTACGTAGGCTGGGTGTGGTGGCTTACACCTGTAATCCCAGCACTTTGGGAAGCCAAAGCAGGCAGATCACCTGAGTCCAAGAGTTTGAGACCAGCCTGCACAACATGGCGAAACCCTGTTTCTACAGGGGAGAAAACAAACAAATAAATCCCCAAAATTAGCTAGGCATGGTGGCGCAAACTTGTAGTCACAGCTACTTGGGTGGCTGAGGTGGGAGGATCAATTGAGCCTGGATTCGAAGGTTGCAGTGAGCCGAGATAGAGCCACTGCCCTCCAGCCTGGGAGCGAGATCCTGCCTGAAAATAAAATAAAAATAAAAATGCCTAAGGTGCCTTCAGAGCTTGTCATTTTCTAAATTCATCCATCCTAGGCTTTCTCACCTCCGCCTAGGAACCCTGTTCAACCTAAAACTCTTAACTCTTGGTTAATTTTTCTTTTCCATGGACTTATAAAATTAACAAACCTATATTAAGAGTCAGAAGACTCTGAATTCTACTCTCACAGAAGAGTAAAAATGGCTGTGACCCTGCACATGTAACAGTCTCTCTGGGTTCTCTCTCTCTTGCCTGAAAAATGAAGAAGTTGGATCTGAACACATTTTTCCGAACACATTCTAGAAGCTTCCACCTTTCCAAAGACAATCGCCCCTTACACACAGACCTTTTGGCTAGAGCAGTGCCGTGCGCTGTGAACAAGCACACTCCCTAGCACCGCCCCTAAGCTGCACCTCTGTTAGCTCCGTGTCAGGATTTGGATGGTGTCTACACTGCCCGGCGCTTCAGCAACCTCAAAGGGCTGACCCAGACCCTTTCATAAAAAGAAGATTCTAATTGGTATAAATCTCAGCTCTGTAAGGAAGGAAAATGAACTGCAAGCTCTGCTGAAAAACTAGGACAAGGTTCTCTTTAGCAAGTCTGCAGGTACTGTTCTGACAATCACTGGGTATCATGAGCCTTAAAATATGCCCCCGCCTGGTACAGTGTCTCCTGATTAAGCTGGCTGCCAGGCTGAGGGCATGGCAGGCAGAAATGGCAAATTTCAAAACCACACAATTACTAGTAGTTTGGGAAAAACCGTTGGGAACACCATGCCAATCATTTAATTCATTTTCCAAGCCCTTTTTAAATGCAAAATATGCTAATATGTTGTTGGAGTGTCCAGCATGGAACCTGCTAAACCCAGGGCTGGTGGGAATGGAGCAAGGCGAGAATAATGGCCCATTTTCCCTCTAGTGAAGAAAATAGGGCTGATGCCACTAGGCTCAAGTGTTTCTTTGTACTCCCTTCAGCTGCAGAAGGTGTGATCACCCTTAGAGTCACAGATTCGGGAATAATGGGCTTCTTTTCTGAGCAGAGCCCAAGTCCTGCCCCTGGTAAGTGAGATGTATCCTTGAGTTGTCTGTTAACTCCTCCTGGAGAGCAGGGGATAATGAAGGAGGAAATAAAGAGAGGGGGAGAGGGGAATTTATGGCTTGATGGAATACATTAATTTAGGTCCAAAGGGGTTGGTGCAGCGTGGTTTCTGACAAATGACATTGTCCTGCTTTTTGTAGCCCTCCATTTCACTTACCTGCATATGGAGAAGGATAAATTACAGACCAGGAGTCTCTCTTTGAGGTTGCAGGTGAATCAGCTTCTTTACCAAATATTATAGCCATTTTGCCAAAAACCATGCACTTCTTGTTGGTAAGAAGGGAACTTAGAGGTCATGGACTCTGAGCCCCTGGTTGACAGAGGCATATCTTCATATGTCAGGAGACTAAAAACATGGACTAAAATATGGTGGCCAGGATCTCTCTTGACCTCAGAGAGGCCTGATCCCATGGCAGAGCTCGAAAACTAGGACTTGGAGGGAGGCGGTTTAAGATCATTGAACAAGAACAGGGATGGGGTGTAGGAAGACAGCTCAGCCAAGGCAGCCAGAACAACCCACATGCTTACCAAGTACCAGAGATGTGCCAGTGGTTGAGTATAACGACCATGCCCCGGCCATAAGGGAGTCATGACCCAGCCAGGCAGCCAGGCACTAAGCCAGCTATAAAGCAATGTGACAAGTACTGTGACAATGGGGCACAGAAGGTGTGGGGGTCATCAGGGGAGAATGTGCATGTGCAAGAGGATATACCAACAGGCAGATGGTGTGACTGGAGGTGCAGCAGGCAGAATAGTGCCATCACCCTCAAAAGATGTCCACATTCCAATCTCCAGAACTTGCAGTTATGTTCCCTCACATGGCAGAAAGGACTCTGCAGATGCGATTAGGTTCAGGATCTTGAGATGGGGAGATTATCCTGGCTTAACCAGGTAGGCTCAATGTGATCACAAGGGTCTTTATGAATGAAGGAGCCAGGCAGGAGAGTCAATGTTGGAATGATGCGGCTGGAGAAAGACTCAACTGACCACTGCTGGCTTTGAAGATGGACGGGGGCTGTTAAGTCAAAGAACATGGGCAGCCTCTGGAAACTGGAAAAGGCAAGAAAATGATTCTCCTCCAGAGCCTCCAGAAGGAACAGCCCTGCCAACACTCTAATTTTAGCTCAGTGAGGTCCACTTTGGACTTTCAAACTCCAGAACTGTCAAATAACAAATTTCTGTTGTTTTCTATCATCAGTTTTTGGTCATTTGTTACAGCAGCCATAGAAAACTAATACAGGAGGACAATCAGACCAAGAGATGGGGGACCCAGGGGACCGGCCCTATATTGGTACCAGTGATCCTCTTGGACCCTCTGTTTCTTTCTCCGAAAAACATAAGCACTGGGCTGGATGATATCTAAGGTACATTCCAGTTCTGACACTTTGTATTTTGATGGAAGAGGGGAACAGGCACTGTACAATGGCTGACAACTTGTTGCGAGGGTTGACAGAGAACAGCACGTCCCCGAGCATGTTCGGTAGAATTTCAGTTCTATGGGCTGTGGGTGAGGGTTCATTGGACAATATCTCTCCATGCAGCAAATCACTACTGAGCATTTCCTAGGCCCTGTTTGTTCTAGGCACTTAGAGTCAGTGGTGCATGGGACAGGCTCTGTCCTCTGTCCTCATGGAGCTGAGATCAGCGAGTGAGCCAATGCACAGGTGAACTTATAAGTACACAAGTACACAAGCTAATTTCTGCCAGTCATTAATGCCATAAAGAAAATGCATCCTAGTGATGAGAAAGAGCAGGTTTCCACAGGGTGGACAAGGCCGGCCTCCCAGGGTCAGCTTTGACTCAGGACTAAGTGATGAGATGAGACAGGCATGAAAGAAAAGGGGAAAGAAGTCTGAAAAAATATTGAGCTCAACAAAATTAAACAGAATTATATATGGAGGAGTTCTGAGGGTTTGAATGTCTGAATTGATTCATGTGTTCATTCGACACAGTGTTTTATTAAGTTAGACAGTGTTCTAGGTGCCAGGGATACAGTCTTCAACAAAACAGACAAGTGCCCTACAGCATGGAGCTTCACTACTGTGTGGAAGACAGACAACGCAAAAGTCAACAGGTAAATATGAAATCAGGAGGTAAAAGTACTCTGAAGAAGAACTGAGCAGGATGAGTGGATAGAAGGTGTCAACAGCAGCCGTAACTGGTCTGGGAAGACCCCTCAGAGCTGTCCATATCTGAGCAGAGATCTAATATGCATTAGATCAGTATGCATTTCCCAAACTGAAATGACAAGGGAACCTCTTTGTCACAGAGCATCTTGCAGGACTGCTTCTGAGAACCTGCTTTGAGAAAGTGGGCATGGAGACAGTCGGAGTAGAAAGTGGGATCTTCAGAGTCCCAAGACCTGGGTGCTCATGTTAGAATGGGGACTCTGAATCTCATAAATGCAAAGTAAGACCTTTCATGTAGGAGTCTTATCACCCACCCCCAACTGGGAGGTCTCTGCTTCGACTTCAGGGTTGGAAAAGCACTGCACATACTCTCCCCAGCTGCCCTGGATTCACGCTGATTCTGCAGGGTTCATGAAGATGGAGAGTACATTTAACCCATGGTTAGACGAGATGGCCTTTGCAGGCCTGAGCAGATGCTAGTTTTTCACATGTCAGAGAGAGCTGAGTATAAGAACAGGAATCCTTCTTCTAGGATGTTACTTGTTGTAAAGAACATGTTATTCATTTTAAAGTGTGGCCAAGAGACAATGATCAAGGTCCCCAATTCCAGGGACCTTTGCCCAAGATTTCCTTCTGTCTTGATAAAGGAATAAATAAATTTGGCACCCAAAGACCAGACACAGGATCTGGGACCCAGACCAGGACACACGCTGTATTCATGGGAAGGACACATCCTGAGAGGGTTACTAACATTCTCCCCAAGGAGCTCATAGGGAATTTTACAGAAAACATACCACCTGTCCCTGCAACGTCCTTTCCTGTCTAGAGGAGGCTGTCTGGACTTTCTCACAGCTGAAATCGGATGAGGTACATTATGTATTCAAGTCCTATTGCAGCAAGCCTTCCAGCCTGCCACACTGAGCCACCACCTGCCCAGCTCCAGCAGAAACGCCTCTCTCGGGAGCAGTCTCCACTCACCATCCGCCGGGCTCCGCGCCCACCGGAGGACCACTCCGATAGCCCAGGCACAGGCCTTACCTGGCAGGTGGTGATGTCGCTGGCTTCCCACATTCACCCGGCAAGAAGTCAATGCAGAGACAGATGGGAAGAGTCTACCCAGAGAGCTGTCATCTTTTCCGGACCTCTGCTTCCCAGGAGTGGGGAGATGAGCACTGGACCAAACCCAGGAGCAGTCCCTCTGCTTGGGAGGCTCTCGTCACCTTCTTTTCACCAGTCATCTTTTCAGCTCAGTTACCACTTCCTCCGGGAAGCTGTCTCCATCAGGGTAAATCCTGCCATTTGCAGTTTTTATAGCACATCAGGCCTCCTTTTACGAGCATGCCTCCTATGAGATGGCTTCAAGTCTGAGGTCTGCTACTCGCTGGTCCTTGAGCAAATCCCACTGTTCCCTGGGCCTCAGTTTTGAAGGAAGGGGGTTGATAAAATGCTCTCTCAGGTCCCTTTTGGTTCCAACCTCTGGGATTTCCCTTCCCAAAACAAGAGCCGCCATCACAGCAGCAACCCAAGTGGAGGTCTTGACCTTCAGAAAATCCCCTTCACTCGCTGGGCCTTCGTTCACTTAGCACTAAAATCGTGGGGTAAGTTATGATACTGGTTTCCAAGCATTTTAAGGCATGAAATTCATTTTTTCAAAATGCAATCTAATACCTAATAGCAGTAAGAGTAGAGCTGCTTTGCTTGACATAGGAGCCAGGGTCTGGAAGTCCCCTTACTGTTGGGCCTCCGAGGCATCCTCTCTCAATAGGGCTCCTAGAAGCACACTTTTAAAGTCACACTAGGCTGGGCACGGTGGCTCATACCTGTAATCCCAGCACTTTGGGAGACCAAGGAGGGTGGATCACCTGAAGTTAGGAGTTCAAGACCAGCCTGGCCAACCTGGGGAAACTCTGTCTCTACTAAAAATACAAAAATTAGCCAGGCGTGGTGGCACATGCCTGTAATCCCAGCTACTCGGGAGGCTGAGGCATGAGAATCACTTGAAACCAGGAGTTGGAGGTTGCAGTGAGCCGAGATCGCGCCACCGCACTCCAGCCTGGGTGAGACTGAGACTCTGTCTCTAAATAAATAAATAAATAAATAAATAAATAAATAAAGTCATGCCTGTAGCATCACTGTGTGTCAAGTTCTAATGTCTACCCGCTCTCACCTCACATCTCTGTGTTGCCTGCATCCTATGGGGTCCAGGGATCTTCTTTTGAGAAGTGTCCAAAAGATAACAAAGGCATGAGTGCTCCTTTTTTTTTTTTTTTAAGTGTTTGATTTCAAATGAGGCTCCAAAGGATGTAAGATATGAGATTTATCAAGGCAGGAGGAGAGAAGCCAATAAATTACCCTATTTGCAAATCATTGCTATGGAAGCCAAAGCCCCAACTGTTAAAACAAAGGAGATAAGCCCTTACTATAGCTTAGCCTGCTCACAGAGGAGGCACAGATGCCCACGGAGCTGGCCCAGCCCCCAACAAGCCCCTAGGCACCTCCATTGTATCCCATCCCAGCGCCCAGCAGAACTCTAGTTCCCGTCCATGCAGGGCTGGGCAGCAAGTCAGGAAGCCTGGCAGCTGGTTCCCAGGAGTTGCCAGCAGATCCAAGGACACAAAGAGGGACTCCTGGTCCCTGCAGAACCAGCGCACCCCTCCTCCAGAATCTAGAATTCGCGAGAACATTGCCCACCCCTCACTGCTACCCAGATGTGAACGGCTGTGTGGCTTTCCATGGCGAGGGCTGCACACTCCTTCCTTTCTTTATTTCTGACTCCTCCTGAATCATCACCCTCTGCTGGGTGAGCACAATGTGCAGAGGTTTTAGGGGCTGGGGAAACATCCCTGCTGCTTCCATGTCAGGGAGACATAAAAACACACTAAGAAACCTTTTGGCAGGAGGCTCAAGGCACGGGCCTGTGTGGGCACCTGGCCGTTGGCTTTGATTTGGAAGCCAGGGTGGCTGACCTTTCGGAACCAGAGAGACACCTTTAATATTCGGAGACAGCTGATTTTTATTCTTATTATTTTTAAAGGCTCTAAAGCACCCATAAAACCATCTCGTGGAGTTGAAGCTTCCTTTAGTTTTCCTTCCATTCTTATTCAGCTTATAAAAATGCATAAAATCAGGAGTCATTCTGCCACCCCAAATGCATCCCTCTCTCAGCCCCGTCGTCTGGTGACTATTCTCCGTATCAATCCCAAGACAGCAGCTGAGCTTCCTGCACAATCCGGCATCTCCCCCATCCCCCGCTCCCGCTCCCTTGTCCTGTTCAGTCCTCTTGAATTTTAACTGTCAACTCTCCAGTGACAGACACAGCAAGCTTGAAGGGGAGGGAGGCGGGTGCTATTTATAATTCGGCGGCGTTCACCCTCAGAACACGGCCATTTTTTCCAGGCCGCCTGCCAGAGGCCCACATTCCCCAGGCTCTATATATGGGCTTCTCCACAGGCCCCTGTGGCCATCTCCTCGCCTCTGAGGGGCCCAAGGCAGCCTGGCCAGTCAGAAAGGCAGGGCCAGCTCTGCTCCTCCCTGGCCTGCGAGGAGGCCACAGCCAGCCCCACAGCCTGGACTTCCTCTGGGACAGAGGACAAGAGTCAGGGACCCTGGGGGTACTGATCTGACAGGGACTGGAGAGCAGCCGGCTTTTCCCCCTGGGTTTGAGTAAGAATGGCAAGGAAAAAAAAATGTATTCTTGCTATCAAACATTAGATCACCCCTTCTTTTTGCCAAGTGGTTTTCAATTGTTTCCATCGTGATGTGACTGAGGTCCATGGCAGTCTCGCCAACCCCTGAGAGCTCTGAAAGCTGGATTTATGGACGCCTTTAGCTAGGCAGATGGGAGGGGAGGCCTGGGGAGGGTGGGCAGCCCAGCCAAGGCGAGGGTGTGGGGCTTTGGCCAAGCAGATATTTTCTGCAGGCTCTCAGCTTTGATTAGCATATATTAAGGATACGGGAGAGAAAGGTGTCCGGCCTCTTGTGGGTATTTGGATGTAACCACTTCACTGCCTTCTGGAAGCCAAGCCTGGAGGCAAAGGAAGGGCCTGACCCAGTGGAGTGCCCAGTCTGGGCTCTCGTCAACTTTGTCCTTTCTATGCCGATGCCTGTGGGGCCAGGCTGAGGCCAAAAATGAGCTGGGGTCCCCATGGAGCAGGACACCCCCTCCAATTTCATGCGGGCAATTCTACTTTGGTTTCTTGGATAGTGCCTGGAAAACCTCCTTAGGAACTGACTGCAGTGGAAGCAGATGTGTCCCAGTCTGGCCACTTGAACATCAGGAACACTCTTGTTCCCAGGTAATCTTTTTCTCCTCCTTTCAAACCAAGTTCAAGTCCTTCTTCTAAAAAGCCTTCTATGGCCATCTTTGTATCTCCTCCTGAGGATGGAGAGCATCTACTGTGAGCACGCATGCTGGGAATAACGGTCTGGACTGCTGGCATGCTTACTCTATGCCATGCATTTAGCATGGAGCATCTCATAAGGCTCTGGTGGGAGAGTGCCATTCTGTAGGTGAGGAAACAGAGGTGCAGAGTGGTCAGGCAGCCTGCTCAAGGTGACCTCGTGGGTAGGTGGCAGATCCCGGTCTCACTCCCAGCCTTCCCACTGCAGGCACTGGCTCTTCTCAGTTGCCTGGGGTCTTCATTGTTACTTTGGGTCTAACCACTGTCTTCTCATGCACTGGCCTCCCATCTGGCCTTCAAGAAGGCCTTCAGCTCCTTGCAGATGGAGGCTGAGTCTTAATGCCTTCTCTCTTCGTTCTCTTCTCCCCTGAGCATCTAGAACAAACTAGACCCACAAAAAATCTTCACTCTTGCTGTGGTCCTATGGCTAAGGACGCGGTCTATCTGCGAGCTTGCTGCTGCCTGAGATGGGTTCCTGATTCTCTCCTTTGGCTCCATGGCCTCTGCATACCCCTGAGCAGCCACCATCCTCTATCTGTGGAGGTCCCAACCATCCCTACAGTTACTGGTTTGCCTGTGACAAATATGGGACTGGCACTTCAGCAGGGAAAAGCAGCAGCAGGAGTTGATCAATTCCTAAGCAACGAAGATCCTGTTTTCATGCAAACGTCCTCGGCATTAAAACAAAAACAAATTCCTCACGGGGCGCGTCCTGGATGCCAAGTTTCATCGTAAGACACATTTTTAAAGCAAGGTTTTGTGCCTGTGTGAGAGACTAACAGGGAATGTGGGAGAGCCCCAGGCCAAGTGCTGTCTCCATATAGATACGCCCTCATTTAGGCCTCATGGCCACCCCTCAAGCTAGCCACAGACAGAGCCTAATCTGAGGGGCGAGAAACTAGGCAGAGAGGGAGGAGGGAGCGGGTCCAGCATCGATCAGCTCTCAAATGGCAGCAAAGGGAGGTGACCGGGTCTGATTGAGACTACGCTGTGTCCAACACAGACATGGGGATGAAACATGGTCATATTCGCCTTGCAGACACGAGGGGTATGAATGTGAAGATTTCAGATGACTATAGGCAAAATGGTTGTTTTTTTTTTTTTAATTTTCCTTAGTGTGCTTTTCTCAACCCCAAATAAAGAGAAGGATGTTGCCTGGGCGCCAACTCTCTCTTTACAAAAACCCAGTCCGACTGTAAATCTGGATGAAATGTTAGAATTGACCCAATGCCCTGCAGCATTTGACGCTTACAGAGTGCTCAGGAGAGTCCCTGACTCACTTGGCTCTAAACATAGTCCTGGATTCCTTGCCTCCGAAGCCAAGAGCAAATAAAAAGGGGGTGATGATGAGAAATCTTATGAGGCAAGCCAGGACCTTTAGGTTGAATGATAACAAGTGCCCTGAGCTTTGAAGAGGTGGGAACACTGAGGGCTGAGCAATCTGGGAAGGCCTCCTGGAGGAGGGAGACATGCTGATTCCACTCAAGGATCTCATAATAGACAGCTTTGGCCTGATCCTAGAGGAGTGGGGTGCCCACCAACACCAGCATCACCAGGCCATTGCCAGGGTCACCAGGCCTGCCCAGCAGTTACAGGAAAGTGTCCACAGGCCATCTAGCCTCCAGCTGGCTCCTGTAGCTTTGTCTTGTAGGATAATGGGTGTCCAAAGGCAGCACAATGATGGGTCAGGGGCAGGGCCACACAGTTCACTTCTGGCAAGAGGCAGTAATCACAGAACTGTGGTATTTTAGTGTGCAGGATCATCTGGCACTGTCCCCTTACTGCTGATGCCTTGCCCAAGGTTCATAGTGCAGCCAAGACTTCAGTTCAAACCTTTTTCTTCCTGGCCCTCTGAAACCCTCTTTGCAGCCCCCTTTTCCCATGCTGAGGAGGTAGTGTGCCCAGCAGTGCCTTGTGGGCCTGGGGTTGGGCAATACAGAGAGCATAACATCTGGTTGCAGCCTCTTCAAGTTGGCCTGGTAAGCTCCCCAATGCATTCCTCTTCCTAGTGCCTCATACGGCAACTGATCCTGAGTGGGCAAAGGTCTGGTGCTGGGCACAGTGAGTGGGCAGGTGGGGCAGGATAAAAGGGCCTGTAAAGGGGACTTGTGGGAGCTAAGAGTGATAAGAATCGCTAAGGAGGGTGTGGAAAGCACGCGGGCATTGTGTGCAGAAGACCTGGACTGGAATCTAACACTGTGAGTACTCCCCAGGATCCGTGTTCCTCTCTTTAGCCCAGGCATGCAGTTACATTACATTTTCCAACCTTCCTTGCAGTTAGCTACGATCACGTGACTGCATTCTGGCCAGTGGAATGTGTGTGGAAGTGATGTGGGCCAATTCCAGGCCTGGCCTATAAAAATCCCCCACTTTTTGTTCTCTTTCTCCATCCACCATCTGCATGGAGAGCTCCCAGCACTAGAGGGAGAAAAAGCCACCAGAGGGAAGGAGCCTGGGTCCCTGAATCACTGTGTAGACTACCTGCCAAACATACACCCTGAATTGTTATGGCAATAACAAATAAACTCCTAATGTGTTAAGCCATTTAAATTCTGGGGTTGTTACAGCTGTTAGCCCAGTCTGACTAACATAGCCTCTTAAGAGGCTTTGGATAAGTTTCCTAGCCTCCCTGAGCTTCAGTTTCCTCATCTCTAAAATGATAATTGGAAAAACCTTTCTGAAAATGACTGAGCTAATATTTGTAAAGGCTGCATATGACTTTTGTAAGCCCTAGGCACTTTCGTTTTGTAGGTGCCTTCCTCTATTAAAAAAAAAAGAATAACTAAATAAAAATGAGGCTTTACAACTGTATCAGTATAAAGATGGACATAAGACAGATTCATTATTGAGAATCACTTGAACCCAGGAGGCGGAGGTTGCAGTGAGCCAAGATTGCTCCACTGCACTCCAGCCTGGCGACAGAGCAAGACTCTGTCTCAAAAAAAAAAAAAAAAAAGATAGATTCATTATTATGTTTATTATTACAGGCATACTTTGGAGCTATTGAGACTTCAGTTCCAGACCACTGCAATAAAGCAAGTATCACAATAAAGTGAGTCACATGAATTTTTTGATTTCCTAGTGCAGTAAGTTATGTTTACACTGTACTATAGTCTAATAAGCAACAGCAGTACACATAAAAAAAATGCACACCCTTCATTTGAAATACTTCACTGTTAAAAAATGCTAATAATCATCTGCCCCTTTAGCCTTTTGATGGTGGAAGGTCTTGCCTTATTGGTGATGGTTGCTAACTGATCAGAGTGGTGGTTGCTGAAGGCTGGAGTGGCTATGGCAATCTCCCTTTTTTTTTTTTTTTTTTTGAGACGGAGTCTTGCTCTGTCGCCCAGGCTGGAGTGTGGTGGCGTGATCTTGGCTCACTGCAACCTCCGCCTCCTGGGTTCAAGTGATTTTCCTGCCTCAGCCTCCCTAGTAGCTGGGACTGCAGGTGTGCGCCACCACACCTGGCTAATTTTTGTATTTTCAGTAGAGACGAGGTTTCACCAGGCTGGTCTTGAACACCTAACCTCAGGTGTTCCGTCCACCTCAGCTTCCTGAAGCGCTGGGATTACAGGGCATGAGCCACCACGCCCGGCCGGCAATTTTTAAAAATAAGACAACAACAAAGTTTGCTGCATCGATTGACTCTTTAACAAAAGCTTTCTCTGTAGCATGCGATGCTGTTTGATAGCATCTTACCCACAGTAGAACTTCTTTCAAAATTGGAGTCAATCCTCTTAAACCCTGCGGCAGCTTTATCAACTAAGTTTAAGTCATAGTCTAAATCCTTTGTTGTCATTTCAATAATGTTCACAGCATCTTCACCAGGAGTGGATTCCATCTCAAGAAACCACTTTCTTTGCTTATTCATAAGAAGCAAATCTTCATTTGTTCAACTTTATCATGAGATTGCAGCAGTTCATTCACATCTTCAGGCTCCACTTCTAATTCTAGTTCTCTTGCTATAAAACACAGTTATCTGTGAAGCGTGATACAGTGAAGTGCAATAAAATGAGGTATGCCTGTATTTATTATTTTTATATTTGATTTTATATTCATTATTCTTATATTCACTTTTTTCCTTCTGATTTTAAGAGCAATAAAAATGAGCATTTTCTGGGCCCATCAAAGTATCACAGACTCTAGGCACTGTGCCTATTGTACCTAACGGAGAAGCCGACCCTGCCCACTGCAGTGCCTGGCCCGTGGTACGTACAATAAATGGGAACTATTAAGATTTGTATAAAAATAATAACAGAAAGACAGGTCTGAAACAGCAACAAATGATTATGAACCCCTTTCATATACCTCATTTCCTCCAACCCTCACATCCACTGTTAAGATGCTCATCATCTATATTTTCTGATGGAAAAACGAGACTCAAGGAGATTAAGTTGTGGGCTCAAGAAAGGCAGGAACATCTAACACTCAGTGCCTATGTTGGGCACAATGCTCCACACCTGTCTTACTTTATCACTGCTAATTTTCCCAGACCTAGGATGAGGTAGGGATTATGTTTTTATCCCCATTTATGATTAAAAAAACAAACCGATGCCAGGGACCAGTGGCTGAGCTGAGAACTAAACCCACTTCTACTGGGTACCCCAACTAATGCTAACTCTACCACCTGGTCTTTCCATTTATCAATAGCTGTGTCAGGAGAATTGAGAGATGGCAGTGTCTACAGAGGGTGCCAGACACCCCAATACCTCCTTTCATGAGCTAGAGAAGAACCTGCTCAGGGCTGAAATCCAAACACATCATGCCAGATTAAACTTGTGCTTTCTCATTCTCCACCCAAATGTACTCCTTGGAAGGTTTAATTATAGTGACTTCTATTTTCTTGTAAATAATCACATCTGTCATAACTGATCTAACTAATCCAAGGCTCCAAGTTGGCAGTCTTGGTGGCCTGAGCCAATGTGTCAATTATGCCAAGTAGGCTGTGAGCAAAAGTTGCGTGAAATGGAAGAGAGAAAAATAATCACAGTCATATAGATGGTGAGGACCAATATGTGCTTTTTCACAACAGTAATATCAACATGAACTCCTAAATGTGGCCAGTGGGTGTCAACCCTTCAGCAATCCAACAGTGAAACAGATGCAGCCAGCCAGTTCCCGGAGAATAAAAACAATCTTTTTAGTAGAGAGCCAATCCTAGCAACTGGCTTACTTAATATTTTTTGAGTCTAAGTAGATACCCCAGGAAGCTGCCTTGGCTCTTTATGCATGTGGGCTTTCATGATCTGTTGCCTCTGGGAGTTGCAAAGGCTATATTCAGAGTGCAGCTGTTCAGCCAGTGTAGATTAGTAGTGCGAACTTTGGGTCTGGATTGGGGTTCCAGTCTTCTCTCTCTGTGAAATTTATCAGTAGTATGACTAAGCAAATCATTTAGGCTTCACCAATTCATCTCAGCTTTCTCATCTATAAAATGGGGACAAGAATGTCTACCACCCAGAATCCTTGGAGGACTGAATGATGTAATGACCGTATGTGATAGTCTGTTGGAGAGAATAAGCACTACATAAATGCCAGTCATCATCATAATTAGCAGATTAGCATATACAGGTTAAGCATCCCTAATAAAAAATCTGACATTCAAAATGCTTTAAAATCCAAAACTTTTGAGCCCTGACATGATGCTCAAAGGAAATCCTGAGTGGAGCATTCCATTTTTTGGATCTTTGCATTAGAAATGCTCAACAGGGATGTATTCAGCAAATATCCCAAAATTAAAAAAAAATCAAAATCTGAAACACTTCTGGTCCCAACCATGTTGGATAAGAGATATTCAACCTGTACTGAGTCCTGTTTTCAATCCATGGGATGACTTCTTTCTCTACTCAAATAACAGCAAGTGGAAACACTCATGCTCTGTGTCAGAGAGGGGATAAGACATGGCATCTACTTGGCGACTTCTTTCATGGGAGATGTCTGAAAGTCATCATGCCAGTCAAGCTCTGAAAGTCTTTGTGTCTGATGGGAAGCTATAAGGGAGGTGCGTCTTTCAGGTCACAACATAGGAAACTGAAAGGCGGCTCTGATGCATTCCCCAGACACCCATGGGAAATGGACACATGCTCTTGGCTATGACTTTCAGAGTAACCTTGGGCATGTTAGATCATCTTTCTTGCTTCAGTTTCCTCAACTGTAAAATGAGGGTAGCAACAGTACCTACTTCTTTTTTTTCTTTTTTTTTTTTTTTTGAGACAGAGTTTCACTCTTGTTGCCCAGGCTGGAGTACAGTGGCGTGATCTTGGCTCACCACAACCTCCGCCTCCCAGGTTCAAGTGATTCTCCTGCCTCAGCCTCCCGAGTAGCTGGAATTACAGGCATGTGCCGCCACGTCCGGCTAACTTTTGTATTTTTAGTAGAGATGGGGTTTCTCCATGTTGGTCAGGCTGGTCATGAACTCTTGACCTCAGGTGAACCGCCTGCCTTGGCCTCCCAAAGTGCTGGGATTACAGGCGGGAGCCACTGCGCCTGGCCCAGTACCTACTTCTTAGAGTAGTGGTAAAGAATACTTAAACTATCACACTTCACCAGCTTACAACAGGGCCAGGCACATGGGAAGCAATCAGTTGGTATCAGTATTTACTATGACTGATGCCACCGCCATGTCACCAGTCAATGGCCTTCCTTCCCTCCTCCAGGATTTACTAACATACATGTTTAATGTGTTAGCCTTTCTCAGGTTTTCCATGTTAAACCTCTTCCTAGGAAGGAAATACTGTAGTTAACATAGAAGATCTGGGCAGCAAAGCACAGTGTTAAGAGCTCCAGGATCTAATCTGAATCTTCAAGAGAGGCCCAGAGTCACCTCCTTCAAAAGAAGTTCATTTCTGGAGCAGAGACATGAGAGAAAGGGTTCTGGACCAAGAATCAGGGAACCCGAACCCTAGCTCCGTGCCATTTTTCCCACTCTGTGGCCTTGGGCAAGTTGCTTCCCTACTCTGGGTATGAATTTTCTCAGCTGTAAAATAAAGGGGGCTTTTGGCAATGTATCTCAGTGCATTCACGTAAAGAAAGGGATAATAAGAACAACAACTATCACAGAGTTGCTACGGGGTGTGAACCACATAACACATCACTCTGAAAGGCATGAGGTCTTGACCGTGGCCCATAAGGCTCTTTTCCATCTGGCTCCCACATCTCCAGAATGCATGGCCTTTTCTGCTGCACACATCGGACTCCTCGCTTTTCTCACACCCCTCAGGCACGCTCCTGCCTTAGGGTCTTTGCACCAGCTGTCGCTCTGCCTGGAATGCTCTTTCCCCAGAAAGCCCCATGGCTCACTCCTCCACTTCCCTCGAGTCTAAGGTTACTATTGTTTTTCTATAACAATGACCGCTTTCTAGCAT
This sequence comes from Homo sapiens, assembly GCF_000001405.40. NCBI lineage: Eukaryota > Metazoa > Chordata > Mammalia > Primates > Hominidae > Homo > Homo sapiens. The sequence goes on along the minus strand of NC_000008.11, from coordinate 122,812,041 downwards.
AGTCTATGATTTCCTTACTTATCATGATTATTGCTTACTGTCTGTCTCTCCTCAGTCCAAAAATGTAAGTTCCATGAGAGAAGGAATCTCTTTCTGTTTTGAACCCAAGAGCCTGAGAAGAGAACCAGGTACAAAACAGGTGATCAATAGATAGTTGGTGATTTATTGAATGAATGCATGAAGAGCACTGATACACAAAGTGAGTGCTTATTAAATTCTTGGCAACTTTCTTAAATGTGAAAGGGGGATTCTTACCTCTCACACATTTTCCTTCCACGAGAAAGGGTCTTTACGTAAACGCTCTGGACCTATTACCATCCCACCTTCCTTCTCTTCCCCCCTGAAAGTGGACTAAAGGCCTGATTGGCAGGTGACAGCCACTCACGGACCATTTCTCAACTCAGTTACTCTCCTGCAAACATCACAGATGGGATTTCTCTTTCTGTTCTGTCTGCCCCTATCAGAGGGCGGCAGTGGCCTTGGCCCTGGGTAAGTGTGTCTGGTTTCCAGGCTCCCAGTTCCCCTTGTCTGGTTCTTCCATGGCGTGGATGCAGGGCAGGGAGCATTAGAAAGACCATAAAGCCAGTGAACCTGCATCATATTCTCTAGTCTGGTTCTATCAGTAACAAAGTAGATATTTTATTTTATTTTATTATTTTTTGAGACAGGGTCTCGCTCTGTCACCCAGGCTGGAGTGCAGTGGTGCAGTCTCAGCTCACTGCAGCCTCGACCTCCTGGGCTCACGCAATTTTCCCACCTCAGCCTCCCTAGTAGCTGGGACCACAGGCCATGTGCCACTACGCCCAGCTATTTTTGTATTTTTTTGTAGTGATAGGGTTTCGCCATGTTGCCCAGGCTGGTCTCGAACTCCTGAGCTCAGGCAATCCACCCACCTCAGCCTCCCAAAGTGCCGGGATTACAGGTATAAGCCACTGCACTCAGCCCAAAGTGGATATTTTGATTTCCACCTGTTCAACATCTCTGTCTGTCTCCACTGATTCTGAACCTGGTCAGGTAACAGGGCTCTGCCATTTACTGACCCCTAAAACTCTAACATCAAACATTCCCAATTTTAAAAAGTAAAACTTTCGGTACCCTGGGTCCAGGTTGTCTATAATCCCAGCCACTCCCTTTTGACATGCTAGTCTAGTGGGTGCAGCGCACCAGCATGGCACATGTATACATATGTAACTAACCTGCACAATGTGCACACGTACCCTAAAACTTAAAGTATAATAATAAAAAAAAAAAAGACATGCTAGTCTGTGGATATTCCATTTCACATACAACACTCCTTGGAGTGCCCATTTTGATGGGCACGACTCTGCAGTGAGGTTTGTGACACCAGGGGAGAGGAGCTGCTACTGGCTGGACACCATTCTGCTACCGATGCTGTTAATAAAAAATGTATACACATCCTGCCCCTCACTGCTGGCCCTTCCAGGACCTGCCGTCCACAGAGACTCACCCACGCAGGACGTGACACCTCAGGGCCGCGTTTCCTGCTCATGTGGGACTTGATGCTGTTCTCTGAATTGCTGCATTTGCTCCATTCTTCTTGTCTGCTGAGATCTTTCAGGAAGCTGTATCTATCATCCAACATGTTCACTATTGTTCCCAGCTTCACGTTATCTCTGACCACAGTGAAATGATAGTGACCACTTGCTGAATGTGTACAAGATCTCAGGTACTGGGCCAAGCATTCTCCCTACATTGTTGCATTTAATACTCAAAACAAGCCAAGGAAGCAGGTGTTACTACCCCCCATTTTACAGAAAAGGAAACTGACGTTTATAGAGATGAAGGGCATTTATGTGTCACTGCAGCTCATAAGTGGCTGTGCCAGTTCTTAAGCCTGCACACTGGACGGCCTCTAGGGCTGGCACTTAGGTCTTCATTTATGCCATTTATTAAGCTCTTACTCTTTGCCAAACATTGTGCACAATGCTGGATTTACATGATTTCTTAAGAGGCTTTAAAAATATATATATATTTTTAGCAGACAGATACATGCCCATGGTCAAGAAATCAAGCACTATAGGGGCTTATAATGAAAACCATCATCTTCTAATGAAAAGTAGCCCTCCACCCCCCCTACCCAATCCCCAGAGTCACCCTTTTCTAACTCCTTCTGAAAACTCATAGAGACCTCTCTAACTACAGGATTTCTTGTAAGCTTCAAACAATTTGAATGATATAGATACAATGATAATCTCCCTTTACAGATGAAGAAATGGCAGCAGAGTGGCCTAACGTCACATAGCTGGCATGGGGCAAAGCCATGATTCGAACTCACTTCTGCCTCTGTCGAGGTCCTGCTCTTACACTTCAGGCCCCACGCGTGACAAGTGGGGCAAGGGTGTGGTTCGGGTCCCCTCAGGCACATTGGTTTCTCGGTTGCTTGTTGTCTAAAAGCACTCACAGTGGGCATAACTAAATACCAGCGTGGGATTATGCAGAAGTGAGTTTTCTTTCCCCTGTGAGGTTAGTTTCCAATTCCTCTTTCTTTTTTTTTCCTTTCTCTCTTTTTTTTTGTTCTTTTGAGATGGAGTTTCACTCTGTTGCCCAGGCTGGAGTGCAGTGGTGCAACCTCAGCTCACTGCAACCTCCGCCTCCCAGGTTCAAGCGACTCTCCTGCCTCAGCCTCCCCAGTAGCTGGGATTACAGGCGCCTACCACCACGCCTGGCTAATTTTTTTGTATTTTTAGTAGAGATGGCATTTTGCCATTTTGGCCAGGCTGGTCTTGAACTCCTGTCCTCACGTGATCCACCCACCTCGGCCTCCCAAAGTGCTGGGATTACAGGCATGAGCCACTGTACCTGGACCCAACTCCTCTTTCTAGTGTCTTCAGGTTTGTCCTTCTCCAGCCACTGCAGACATCTCCCATCTCTCTGTTATGATGTAACTGCCAACATCACTTCAGGGGCTGAGTCTCCCGGGCCCTTCCATTCCTTTCCAAGAACCTCACAGCTTCTGGTCTCTCTTCCTGTTAGATGGAACTGATGGCATTTATCACCATCTCTGTTAGGAGGTTGCAAAAAAGACCAATCCCTTCCAGCTTCAGCTTTTATAAAAAAATGAGTCTCCCTTTGTTTTGTGACTATAGCTATTACTGGAGAAAAACTGCATGCAGCACAAAATGAAACAACATTGACAATATTTGTTAATTGTCTAGCTAGCGCTTTGGAGCTCCAACTCAAACTAGTCAGGTTCAAATCTTGGTAAGGGCATTCACTTACTATTTTTGGTAATCTGACAGGTCACTCTCCTCTCTGTAATGGATTCCTCAGCTGTAAATCTGGAAGGAGTGTGGTGAGAATTATGGATTATAAATAATGAATTACATGGGTTAACCATTGTGCTTTGAACGCTCCTGACCACAGCCAGTGCTCTATATGCTATTATTACTTACTATTTGATATGGTTTGACTGTGTCCCCACCCAAATCTCAACTTGAATTGTAGTTTCCATAATTCCCACATCACGGGAGGGACCTGGTGGGAGGTAACTGAATCATGGGAGCGGTTACCCCCATGCTGCTATTCTAGTGATAATGAGTGAATTCTCATGAGATCTGATGGTTTTATAAGGGGCTTTTCCCCCTTTTGCTTGGCACTTCTTCCTGCCATCATGTGAAGAAGGATGTGTTTGCTTCCCCTTCCACCCATGATTGTACGTTTCCTGAGGCCTCCCAAGCCATGCTAAACTGTGAGTCAATTAAACCTCTTTCCTTTATAAATTACCCAGTCTTGGATATGTCTTTATTAGCAGCATGAGAATGGGCTAAGACACTAGTATTGCTGTTGTTTAAAACCCTGAAGTTGACCTGAGGCATACATATATATAAATCTGGTGCTCACATCTAAGTGGAGTCAAGACTGAAATGATCACTAATCTCTTAAAAGTATTTAAAGGCGTAATTATTAGCCCCATCTTATATATGAGGAGATAAACTGAAAAAAGGTAAGTGACCTGCCCAAGGTGACGGGATGGTTCAGAGTTAGAAGCAGGCACTAAGGCCATTTGAACTCTCCCAATAACAAGGCTGGGTGACCTTGGACAAGTTGCAATATCTCTCTCTGAGCCTCATTTGTAAAATAAAAGGGGTAAAGCTGAGATCTCACCTCTACCATTCTCTAATAAAGAGGGAGTAAGCACAGCAGTTAAGAGACAGTGTCTAGAGTTAGGGGTCTTCCACTTACCACCTGGGTGGCCTTGAGCAAATTACTTCTTCTCCCAGTGCCTCGGTTTGCTTATCTGCAAAATGGGTCTAATGGCAGTATCCACCCGAGAAGGTGGTTACATATCTCAGGAGAAGGCCTGGCACATAAAAGCACACAGTAAGCGTCAGTTCCTATTCCTGATTTGTATGCGGCCAGCCTGGCCTCCAACACCCTTGGTCAGTCCTAAGCCCTTTGCTCACCACCCACCACAGTCTCACTCCTGACCCAGTGCTCAGGGCATAACACGTGTTTTCCACAAATCCCTGGTTAGGTGGGTCGCAGGCAGAGTGTTAAATTCTCCATCTAAAGTAAAAGGCTATTTCCAAGTGCCTAACACTTCAATTTGAAAGGAAAACTCTATTTTTCTATTTCTACCTGTAACGCTGATGACACTGTTTTTGCTTTTCTTCCCATGCAGTCTGGAAATCCTGAATAAATGTCAAAAAGAGTTCCCTGAGTCAACAAATATGTAATATTATTAAAACTGTTAGGAATGAACCATTTCCTCCATTACCAGAAGCTTAAAAGGATAATATTTTCAATTTCATTTTTCAATAAATACATTATTCAGGGCCCAAGTGATGTTGATATAATTTGTGGTTAATAGGTCAATGGTTCATTCATTCAATTGGAAAATACCTGCGCCTGCCCAGTAGGAGCCAGGCATTGTCCCAGGCTTCGATGATCCAACAACGACAACAGCAGCAGCAGCTGCAGCAAAAATAGCAGCTCCCACTCACCAAGGGCCCCTTCCACTGTCCACCCTTCTCCACACTGTGGACTGTCTGAGTGCACATCCTCGCCCTCCACCCTCTACCAGTGAGCTCTACCAGTGGGACGAACTGGCATGAGATCAGAGGGTCTAAGGATGGGAGGTCTGGTTATCTATCCCCACTCCCCTTCCCCTATCATCAGACCTAGAGAAAATTACTTAATCTTTCTGTGCCTCAGGCTTCCCATCTGTGAAATGGGGCAAACAGTTTTACTCCATAAATGAGGGTGATGTGGGTTACCATGCTTAGAACAATGCCTGGCCATAATTGGCACAAGGTAAATGTCAGCCATGTAAAATGACTATTCTTCAGTGTCAAATGGGACAGTCACTCTCCTACAACTACACCTCACTTGAGTTCCAATGGCCACCCTTCGTCTTGACCTTAAGGCCTAGGGGAGGTCGGACTTTCAGCTGTTGTGAGCCCGGTGCTTCCCTTTCCGTTGTTGGCTTTGCTTAACCCTGTACTCTTCTCTGTAATCAGGCCCTCCATTTACTCAGTCCTTGCTACTCTGTGTGTACCATCTCTTTGCTACGACCCTAACTCTGGTGCCTGCACACACCGTGTTCTGGGCAGCGTTCATGAGTTTTCTGTAATGCATACAAACTGACCCGGGCAGATGCATCCCTTTTCTGGATTATAAAACTTGTGATGACTTTCTCAGCTCTCAGGTTTCTTCTTGCTTTTCTAGTGGCTCTATTGGGTAGGGGCCAAGAAACTCCACAAATGCCCCTGTAAAGGAAGTCTTATTGGGTCCATTTCTACAGATAGAAAAACTGAGGCACACAGTTCAACCTAAGCCCCACAATTAGGAAGTAGTTAAGCTGAGTTTCAGATTCAGGCTGAGCTTTCATTCCCAGGCCTTACTTTAATGCCATCGAAAGTGACTCATTCATCCTTGATTTCCTGAAAGCTTGCAGGTAAGTAAAAAGGCAATTATAGTCATGTGTGTGCGTGATGATTAATCTGATAGGAATAAGAACAGGAAACTGTGCAAAGGCCAAGCTCACCTGGGAACTAGTGATGAGAATGGGAGTTAGAGAAGGCTTCCCAGAGGAGGTGATATTAACCAGACTCAAGAAAGATGGGGCACTATTCTGGCAACAAGGTAGAGGAACTGGAATATGCAAAGGTTTAGAGGGAAGAGGGAAAGAGAGAAGGACTTTTTTTTCCAGGACCTACAAGCAGTTCAAAAATCCCAGAGCAGAGAACTCGAGGCAGGGGACAGGGAGGAGTAATGACAGAGTTGAGTCTGGGTCCTAGTGATGAGGAGCCACAACTGCTGGGCTGAGGAGACACAACTTAGAAATTTCGATGTCAATGTTTGTAGAGATGATGCCTATACAGGGCTGCTCTGGCAATCTACCCACGACAGCCAGCTCTATTAGGACAGAAGCTCTTATGTTTCATTTTGAACTTTTAAACCTGGCATGGAGCTTGTATACAACAGGTGCTCCATAAGTGGGACTGACGACTTTTAAAAAAGAAAGATCTTCATGAGGTGTTCCTTTGAGTCCGTAGTAGATGCTGTGGGGCTGGCCCATGTCCCCCTGTTCTTCCCACCTCAGTGCACATTGGCCTTACTTCTAACTGTCGGTACCTGTGTTTCCTTGCTGGGGTGGGGGGTCACTCAGATTTCGAGTGGCCACTTTGTTCCCTACATGCCAGGCCTGAAGTATGGGAGAATGACGCCCCTTCAGGGAGCAGCCCATGGCCAGTGACTGATGGGAGTTGGTGGATAGGTTCCATGCCCGTCTCAATACTCAGGTGGAACAGCACTGAGGCGTGTGATTTGTGCTGGCACCCAGAGCTCCCCACCTGCTTGACAATGCTCTATTTCCTGGCTTCCTTCTCTCCAGGTCCCACTTGCTGCCCCACCCCCACCCCCACCCAGCGCTTCCTTTGCTTCTCACATAAACTATTTGCACTTGAAGCTTTGCCTTGGGGTGTGCATCTGGGGGACCCAAACTAAGACAGCCTGATTCTTAGTGTCACAGAATGAAAGAGTTTAGATGAAGGGACTTCAGAGGTAACCTTCCAGGGGCAGGAACACACACTGAGTCTACAGCTGGGGGATGGCTGGGGCTGGTTTTATGCTATGCACGTATTCAGGCAACAGAGTGGCCGCTGTGTGCACAAGGGAATCCATGGCCCTGTGTTCTAGTTTCAGCTCCAGACACGGCATTGTATGTTGGAAAGAAAACAGGCTTTTGAGTGAGACAGACCTGGGTTTGAGTCCCGGCTGGGCTACAGATGGGCAGGTAACCCCAAGGGAGTTAGGTGACCTCCCAGAACCTCAGTTGCCTCAGCTGGGAAATGGTGCAGGGTTGTGATGATGTTCAAGTGTGAAAATGCAAGTAAAACACCTCACTGGGAGACACTGGGCTCCTTTCTTGTGTCTTTTCAGGCACTGCTTATTCTATGTCCTAGCTGCTTTTTGCATACCTCCGGCCTAGCAATTCTTTCACTACATGGGCCACCTTGTGCACCTGCCTATGTGCCTCCCAGGAGACTGGAGACTCCCAGAAGATAGGAGCCAGGTTTTCCTTATCCTTGCCTCCCCAGCATTCAGCACCACACCAGGCATTTACCAAGCACTTAATGAATGTTTGTTGAATGAATGACTGAATAAATGGGGCCGGGCGTGGTGGCTTACGTCTGTAATCCGGGCACTTTGGGATGCCGAGGTGGGTGGATCATTTGAGGCCAGGAGTTGGAAACCAGCCTAACCAACAAGGTGAAACCCCATTTCTACTAAAAATACAAAAATTAGCCAGGCACAGTGGTGCACGCCTGTGGTCCCAGCTGCTTGGGAGGCTGAGGCAGGAGAATCACTTGAACCCAGGAGGCGGAGGTTGCAGCAAGCCGAGATGGTGCCACTGCACTGCAGCCTGGGTGACAGCAAGCCTCTGTCTCAAAAAATAAATAAATATATAAATAAATGGACAAATAAATGACAAAAATGAAAGAATCCCTACAAACTTCTACCAGTGATGATGGGTTTTCTGCAGTATTTGTTCATTCATTGAATCTTATAGTACTGAGTCCTTGCCAGGCACCAGGCACTATTCTACGTACTGATCAAAGCCCGCCCTGGCCCTCCATCTAATGGCTTCTCCTCTGTGGGGAGACAGCAGTGAGTCTCAAACAGGCCGCCCAGCAGGCTCACCTGGGAAAACATCTCTAATGTGCACCCATATTCCAGAGATTCTGATTTCATCATGTGGGGTGGGGCTGGGCATTGGGAGTTTCAAAAGCTCAGGTGAGGATAATGAGCTGCCAGGGGGAGCACTACTGGGACCAAGACAGAAAAAAACACGACCATTTCAGAGAGTGAAGAAGGCTGTGAAGAACGCAAAACAGAGGGTGTGATTTAGTCCACGGGTTCTCCATGGGGGAAGAGGAGATTGGGACCGTTTCGTCCCCGAGGGCACATTTGACAAAATCTGGAGACAGTTTCGGTTGTCACAGCTGGAGGAGAGGTGCTGCTGGCATGGAGTTGGCAGAGGCCAGGGATGCCGCCAAATACCCTATGATGCACAGGACAGCCCTTCACGAAAGAATGATCCAGGCCAGAACGGGCTGAGATAGAGTAATCCTGGTCTAGAGATGGGGCAGGGTGTGCTTCAGAGAAGGCGTCTTGGTGGAGATGACAGGAGACCTGATACCGAAGAGGCAAGACATGGCCTCCACCAGTGAAAGCCTGCAGGAGGAGCAACGGGGAGTGGCACCTCTGAGGCGGGGCCGGGGCCACCATCACGGTCCTTAACGAAAAGGCACCACATAGTGACACTGCCAAGCCTGGCTCACACCACTACTACCTCAGTGGGGGCTGTTTTTTAGGGGTAGAGTGGGGAGAGGGAGGGAGAAATCTGGCTGCGTTTGCTTTGCTGCTTTCACTTGAGTCCCCACCCTCGTTCCAGGCTCAGAATAGGAACAGGGGATGGGGAGGGAGTTTCAATTCAGGTTGACCACTCAGACCACGCCACCAACACCACCTGTAGGGGCACTTCTTCCTTATTTCCAAAGACATCTCGTGCTGCCGCCCGCTGGTCCCCTAGAGCGCTAACTGGGGGCGGGGTGGGGTGGGGTGGGAGTGGGGGCAGTGGGATGCAGGGGAGCATTCTCGGGTGACAGCCTGTCAGCCTCCTCTGGCCCTGGAAAAAGTGACTTCCCAAGAGAAACAGGGATGCCCAGAGCAGTAAATAAACACAGTATCCCAGAGAAGCGTGGAAGGGCAGCCCCCTGCCAGCCTTGCCCCCATGACGGACACAACCCATTCACTTTACCAGCCAGGCGTTGGGACCCAGAACACATCTCCTGCCCTGCTCCTCTGCCCCCTTTCTCTTTCCCTTTCCTGAACCTTCCCTGTAAATCAGTTGCAGACCCACTGCCTTGGTATCCCCTAGCTTGGACTAGCAGGGGCCATGCAGGCAGCCTGCTTGCTCAACACCATGCGGGCTTTCCACGGAAACGTCATGACAGTTCTGTGGGGGCAATCTGGGTGGAAAGGCAAGTCCTTACATACAAGGTCCAGAAAGGCCTGAATCAACAGGCTATACAAGGGAGCTAGGGCAGCCACGGGCCTCTGACAGCAACAGGTCTTACCTGCAGGAACCCTGCTACCTGGGGATGGGCAGAGTGAACCCAGCTGCAGACTGCTGAGAAGAAAAGTGACTTGAAGCCGGGCATGGTGGCTCACGCCTCTAACCCCCGCACTTTGGGAGGCCGAGGTGGGTGGATCACTGGAGGCCAGGAGTTCGAGACCAGCTTGGCCAATATGGTGAAAACCCATTTCTATTAAAAAAATAAAAATTAGCTGGGGTGGTGGTACACACCTGTAATCCCAGCTACTCGGGAGGCTGAGGCAGGAAAATCGCTGGAACCGGGGAGGTGGAGGCTGTAGTGAGCTGAGATTGTGCCACTGCACTCCAGCGTGGATGACAGAGTCAGACTCTGTCAAAAAAGAAAAAAGATGACTCCAGGAACTGTACAGCCACCTCCACTTTCTAAGTGGGGAAACTGAGGCCAGAGAGGGGATAAATGACCCACCCAAAGTCAGCAGCCGTGGGTGGCTGGGCAGGGTGATCCCAGGTCTCCTGACCCCTGTCTGCATATGGAATTTCTCTCAGGCCTCATACTTATTCCAGAATCGTAGAAAAGTTCCAAGTCAACGCATCCAAACAGAAAGCCAGAGTGTCCGGAACTGGCAGTCATCTTCCTCCAGATGTGCGTTTAGGGCAAGGGAGGATATTACGAAACGTCTCTGCCTCTTTAATCTCTTTTTGTTTTGGAGATGAGGTCTCACTCTGTGGCCTGGGCTGGAGCTGCAGCGGTGCAATCATGGTTCACTGCAGCCTTTACCTCCCAGGCTCAAGTGATCCTCCCACCTCAGCCTCCCAAGTAGCTGGGACCATATGTGTGTGCTACCAAGCCTGGCAATTTTTTTTTTTTTTTTTGTAGAGATGGCATTTCACTATGTTGCCCAGGCTAGTCTCAAACTGCTGGGCACTCAAGCAGTCCCTCCACCTCGGCCTCCCAAAATGCTGAGATTACAGATGTAAGCCACCGTGTCGGGCCCCTTAATCTCTTGACTCATCTTCTGAAAGGAAAACATCTCCCTGTTTATAAGGTCCTCAGATATAAGCCCCATGTCAAAATCCTGTTCGTGAGGACAGTTGTCAAGTCCTAACTTATGAAACTCCATGTCACAGAAAGAGTCATTATGGGAAATTTGCAGGAATATGTTTACTTAAGTAATTATTTTATTAAAATGATAATTTGCCCAATATGCCCTGAGAATTTTATTACAGATACTTATAATGAAGTAGGTAATTAGCAACAAATGGTCTCTTTCTGTGAACCTAGAATTACGAATTTTTTCATGGGTTGTTATTTTGAACCGCCAAACACTACAGAAAATGTATAGCCTCTTCACTCATTGAAAGCCTTGATTTGCAGAGTTGAGTATCTGCAACTTGGAACTTACAAAACTGATCACCAGCTTTCATGCACCTTTTATGCTGTTAAAGTTATACACAAACACCTATACACTGTCAAGCAAAAGGCTAACAAATATTTAACTTTTGAGCTGTGCTGTGTTTTGGCTCTGTGTGTTTGTATGTTTTTGTGCACGCGCACCTGTCTACACAAGCCATAACTCCAGTTGTAGGTTCTGTTTTGACAACTCTTTCAGGCAAGCTCCCCCACATGGTTTTGAAAGAGGAAAAACGTTCTCAGTTCTTTAGCTTCTGCTTCTGCATCCTCTCTCTCTCTCTCTCTCTCTGCCCCCCGCCTTGGGAAAATACATGGCTTTTCAGTGACCACAGCTATTCTCATGATTAAATCAAGCACTCACTGTTAACCTGAATTTAGGGTTACTGATAACACATGTTGCAAAGATGTTTCATCAGTTGCCAGGACAAATTCCCAATGTGCCAAGTCTCTAAGTGCTTGCATCCTGGATAAGTGTCACTGTGGGTCCATCAACACTGCCTGGCTCAGAAATTCCACAGATATTTATTGAGCACCTACTCTGCACAAGGGGTGGCCGCTACAGCTCGGGGGCTCCACTATGCTGTCCAGGACACAGATACTCCCTTCCAGTCTTTGCAGAAGCCAGGGTTTGCAGGCACCGCACCAGCTTCCTTGCCGGGGCGCCTCACAGCAGAAACACTAGGGACAACCATTACTCTGACTATAGCTACTACGTGAACCCAGGACAGGGGAAGAGGGCAGGATGGGATGCGGGCTGGGATGAAAGGGACATAATGGTGACTGGTGTCTTCTGCCATCAAGACCATCTGAACTGCAGGACAAGCTGACTCCTGCTGTACCAGATGAGCTAGGAGGGAGCAAAAAGCATTTTCTTCTCTCAAAAATAAATTTAGGCCAGGCGCGGTGGCTCACGCCTATAATCCTAGCACTTTGGGAGGCTGAGGCAGGCAGATCACTTGAGGTCAGGAGTCTGAGACCAGCCTGACCAACATGTGAAACCCAGTCTCTACTAAAAATACAAAATCAGCCGGGTGTGGTGGCACATGCCTGTAATCCCAGCTACTCGGGAGGCTGAGGCAGGAGAATCGTTTGGGAGGTGGAGGTTGCAGTGAGCTAAGGTCACACCACTGCCCTCCAGCCTGGGCAACAAGAGTGAAACTCCATCTCAAAAAAAAAGAAAAGCAAAAAGAAAAAGAAAAGAAAAGCAAATGTAAATGTAAATGCCCATTACTCCTACAAAGCAAAGGCTGAGGGCTGAGAGTCAGGTGGACAGGACTCTCCTCGAGAATCTGGGGAAAAAGGATGCTTCCTGGACATCAGGATGCTGCCAGGTCACCTAGCCCAGGAGCTCCTCAGTCACAGAGGCTGAGCCCTCAGCCTTCCTCCATGGATTATCAGCAGGCTAAGAGCTAAAACCAAGTCCTCTATGCCATGGAGATAATCAAGTCACAGTATTATTTTCTGGGAACAAAATTCCAGATTTAAAACATAAGCTAAAAAAGAAAGTTGAAGTTCACCAAAAAGATATTTAATAGACGACTTCTCTGGATTCTTATCTCCCCCATTTTCATTTCACCAATTTTGAATGATTAGCTTTGTCAGAGAACTTTGGATGAAATTCTAATACTAAAAAACAAACAAAAAAAAAAATTGTGGCGCACAAGCCAAAAACAAAGGGTGTTAGCCCAGGTTCCATGGCTACTTAGCATTTGATCTTGTATGTGTCATTTTCTTTCTCTGTGACGGAGGAAAGAGCTGCCACTGCCTAACCCACTTCCCTCAAACCTTGCAGCTGCGTGGGGAGATGAGGCTTGGCTGACTCTCTTGCCCTGCACACCATAGGTGGTGATCAGGATCAAAAGAAGAGGCTTATGATCAAAAGGGCTGGGAGTGGTGAAACATTCTGTCATGCTCGCTCCTTCATGTAAGTGTAAAGGAGGGGGCAGTGCTGTTTGTGTCACGGGTATGGTTTGTTGTTCTGGAGCGAGCTTTAACATGGGCACATTTTAAAGTAGCAGAGGAATCCTGGGCAATTCACAGCCTAGAGAGGGCCTCCATTGCCTCTCTTATAAAGCCCCAGGGGATTGGACTAGGTGATTCAAATGTTGGCTTTCACAGTGGTTGGCTGACTGTTCAACACAGGAACTAGTGCAAAATTGGTAACTAACAAATGCTTGGATGGTTAATCACAGGGTCAGTTGGTTGAAGAGAGTCCTTACTTTTCTTTCTTTCTTTTTTTTTTTTTTGAGACAGTCTCGCTCTCGCTCTGTCCCCAGGCTGGAGTGCAGTGGCACCATCTCAGCTCACTGCAACCTCCACTCACTGCAACCTCTGCCTCCTGGGTTCAAGTGATTCTCCTGCCACAGCCTCCCGAGTAGCTGGGACTAGAGGTGCATACTACCACGCCCAGCTAATTTTTGTATTTTTAGTAGAGACAAGTTTGGCCAGGATGGTCTTGAACTCTTGACCTCCAGTGATCTGTCGGCCTCACCCTCCCAAAGTGCTGAGATTACAAGTGTGAGCCACCGTGCTCAGCCGGGTCCTTACTTTTTGAGCTGAGTCCATCTGCCCCATGCAATGTATTCAGAGCCAAAATTCCAACGCACCACCATTCCCTGGCAGGATGTGAGATCAACATTCTGCAGCTACCTTTAAATGATATTTTTAAAAATCAGGGAACTTCAATGGAGAATAAACAAGTCTAAACTGAACCCACTCTCTCCCTCAGCACTGTAGGGTCCCTCCTGATCAGCATGGTGCCTGACACATAGTAGGGGCTCGAATATTTCCTGCAAGAATGAACAAAGTGTCCAGCATCCCTAACACTTCTGATATTCCTCGAATGCATAGGCGTAGCAGAATATCCAGAAAGCTTTCAAGAGCTGGCATTTTCTGTATCCCCCAACATACTCCCACCCTCCAGTGCTGGGTTTAGAATCAGCTAGACCGGTCTGGCTCTGCCCCTTCCTCGCTGCGTTGCTTCACCTCTCTGAGCCTCAGTTTCCTTTTCTATTCCATACAGATAATCAGGACTCTCTGAGGAAGAGAACAACAGGGACGCCCTCCCGGAGGAGTTGGGTGGAGTATACAGATTAATTAATCTGTGCAGTTCTGAGAATCGGCCTGGCACGCTGAACCCTCCTGGTAACTGTCAGCCATTAGCGTGACTATTGTTATGCTCAGTATCATTAGTGCTGGCAGTAATTAGAGGCTCATTAAATGTTAATTTTCTTTACGCCAGACTGGATGCTCAATGTAAAACCAAATTGTAATGGTATCCTACAAAATGTAAGAAAGGCAAATAGGCTGCAAAAGAAATTTTTTTTTTGAATGTCTGGGTGGCCGTTCAGAGTCCAGGACTGCTCCTCCACATCCTGTTGGGAGGGACAATTGAGCGTGGTCCTTAGCGTCAAAGACGGCGCTGACTAAGTGTCAGGAAGCTTCTGTTCAGGTCTGGACTTTGCCCCGAAACTTTGTCGGCCTGGATTCAGGAATCCTGTTCAAGGTAAAAGGGAAATTGGTTGCCTTGCTGAGCGGAAGAGAAAAGGCACAATGCTTGCTGAAGCAGCACAGCCAGCCCAGGGTTCTCTGTGCAGAAACAGGCACTACTGGCCCGACGGTCATGTGCTTCCCCCACAGTCTCCAGGCTCCTTGCGGCTTTGCGAGGTTGTGTGAGCAGAAGTGGCAACTTTAGAAAGTGGGTACATACCCCTTTCCTTTTCTCTTCCTCTCCTCCAGCAGCCTGAAAGCCAGTTGTTTCAAATGAAGTGGCTACAAAATTTTAGCAGCGTGGATCCCCAAGTCACAGCTTGGAGGAAAGCTGCCTTACAGAGCTGTAGTCCTTCAGTGGACTTCATGAAAGGAAGAAATAAACTCTGCCTTATGAAGCCACTGGGATATTGGGGTTTACCTGTCACTGTATCATAGCTTAGCCTAACCTGATTACTCACATATCTCATCCAATGCCTATCCCAGAGGTTTCCTGCACCTGAAGGAAACCAAAATACTTTTCTCCAAACTATTGAGGATCGTTAAGTGAAAGACATTGACAATGCCAAGGAACCCCCTGGCCGGCCTGCATCTGCCTGATGGGAGGACACAAATCTTTCCTTACTGGAGACAGCACGGACTTAGGAGACCAAAGGAGGCACCAGCAGGCACCCGAGGAATCTGGGAACAGATTTTACTGTCTTCCCACATTTTCCCGCTTTTTCAAAGACTGGAACTGCTCTCTTCTTTGTCTTGTCACTATATAGGATTTATGGCCCTTTGTTAAAATACTATTTAAGCAAGGTCCCTAAGCCACCACCTTGAGAAAGAAATACTTTTAAACTAAGGCCTCTCCCATGTGATGGGCAGAGCACGCATTAATAAACGTTTGGTTGTTTGTCTTCTGTTAATCTGACTTTTATTTTCAGGACAGCGTTTCCACAAAGAACCTAAAAAGGGAAAAAAAGGAAACTAGATTTTCTCCCCTACACACAGTTGTTACAGAATGGTCTGCTATTCTATTACTTAAGCATGGGCATGTGCACACACAAATATCAGACTGGAATCCCAAGCCCATTTTCCTATTACACAAGATGGCACACTAAGATAAATCTTAGTAAGTACTAAGTAAGTACTTAGCACACTAAGTAAATCTTAATAATCCCACCATCCCACTGGTGACAAAACTGCAAGAGGACAGTGTCTTGAGGATGAGAGGCTGTGTTAGTGACAAGACGTGCCTCCAAAGGGAAAGGTAAAAGATGCTGCTGTTACTAGTTCCCGTTGTGTGGTCTCTCATAAGCAAAATCTTAAACTCTAGTGGGGAAGACAGGGCCAGTGTCTACATATCCTACTTGCTAAGGATTTAATCTTTTTTTTTTTTTTTTGAGATGGAGTCTCGCTCCATTGTGCAGGCTGGAGTGCAGTGGTATGATCTCAGCTCACTGCAGCCTCTGCCTCCTGGGTTCAAGCGATTCTCCTGCCTCAGCCTCCCAAGTAGCTGGCATTACAGGCGCCTGCCACCATGCCCAGCTAATTTTTGTATTTTTTGTAGAGACAGGGTTTCATCATGTTGGCCACGCTGGTCCCGAACTCCTGACCTCAGGTGATCTGCCTCCTCCGGCCTCCCAAAGTGCTGGGATTACAGGCGTGAGCCATCGCGCCTGGCCTTAACACAGAATCTTTATGTCCTTTACATAACAGTCCAGCACTGTGACAGGGCAAGTATATGGGATCAGATGTCACTCAGACCTGGCTTCAAATCCCAGCCTTGCCTTTTACTGTGTAACTCAGGCAAGTTAATTTCTTTGAAGCCTTAATTTCCTCATATGTAAAATGAGTATAAAAATTTCTACCAATGGGGGTAGTTGGGATTAAATAATATAAAACAAGGTATAGTATACAACATGCTTGGTTCAATGGCTGACACTTAACACATTTACATCCTGCCTTCCTACCACCATTAAATAGCATTTGATCTCAAGTTCAGACTCTATTAAAAAAAAAAAGTTTACTATTGGAAGTACCAGAAAGATCCTGCAAGGACAGTTGTGATATTGCTCTATGTGCCACAAAGGAAGGTGGAGATGGTGCTCCCAAGAGGAAACAAGGGATAAGGCCAGGCCCAAGGGAGGAAGTGGACCCAGCTTGCGCCCAGAGGCCAGATGTCCAGACAAGGGAGCAGGGCTAGGCCAGGGAGGCAGGCAGGTTGGCCAAGATAGGCCAAAAGCACCTGAACTTGGGACAAAGCTGGCCTGGGATAGACACTGCCTTGACTGCTTCCTGTTACAAAATAGTCCAGTGACAGTCCTTCCAGGCTGTGGCAATGACCTGCCACCAGGGGCAGCAGCGAGCAGCAACTCATTCTGCACCTGTGCCAACCCAGGAGCATAGAACTTCCTATAGGCTGTAGTGACAGAGCCACTTCCTCATTCATATAACCATCCAGTCATTCCACAGACATTAATTTTGAGCCTATGAAGTGGGCCAGCCCTGTGCTGGTGCTGGGAACACGGAGACAAACAGGAAGATTTCCCTTGGGGTGGAGAAGTGGCTCATAGTATTTCAGGGATGCAGATGTACAAACAGATCAAAATCCACCAGCTTAGATTTCTAACAGGTTATTTCCATGGTACACTGGCCTGTTAGAGAAGAGAACAAATATCTCCAGAGTAGAAAAAAGTAGGTTTTGCTAAGCTTGGGGATAGTCTTTCTGGGAAGAAGGAACTACAGGAGTCTTTCTTAAGAGAAAGAATGAAAGGGGAGAGAGGACAGTGCATTTGGGGTTCAGGGGTCAGTCTGATATGACTGAAGTGTGGGGTATGTGGAAGAGGTGGAAGGCTTTAGAGCAAAACATGCCTGGTGGGTAGAGCTCAGCTCTCAAAGAGCCACCATGTCAGGGTCAGGAATTTGGACTTGATCCTATGGGTCAGAAATTACAACTGGCAGTCTGTAGTGGACTGGAGAGTCCATTAAAAAATCTAAATATCTTTAGACTGGAGATATGCTCTCTAGTCTGACCCACTCCCACTGCTTCCTACTATTCTACCCTTGACCCCTTCACTCTTTTATGCTACCTGCAAAGCTCTTGAAAGCATTTGGGTTTCTGACCCCTAGGAAAGCAGTGACCAGGAGAGGTTTTTAGGCGGTTAGTGAAACATGAACAAATTTGGTATTTTAGAACCTCAGTGGCATGGAGGAGGGGAGAGATTGGTGACAGATGACACAACATGTATTCCTTCCAATAAGACTTCTTCCTTCCCTCTTGTTAGAAAAAAAAAAAAGATGGAAAAAAAAGTCAACTCTGGAAGAGTTTCCATTCACTTTTGTGCAGTTAGGACCAACATGAAGTCACACTCCTATTTCAACACACCCAGACTCTCTTTTCTTGAATTCTATGTATCAATATAACAACTATTAATTGAGCAACCACCCAGTGAAAGCTGGGTACTCAGGTGCTCAGGTGGCAGGGGGTTGGGGTAGAGAGCTGAGAATCAAAGCATAAAGCTCCAGGTTCAGCAAACTCAAGGACTCATCATGGCACCAACCCACATGTACGATGACTGGTGGATAGCATAAGACAAAAGGTATCTCCCAACAGAGGACCCTATAGCACAGATGGCCCACACTCAGGGTGTGCCAGCAGGTGGGTGCCAAGACATGGTGTGTGCACAGGGCTGGGGAGAGTGGCAGTAGGAGGTCTGATGCCATTGGTCCCATGGCCCTGCCAGCAAGCAGTCTTTCCCAGAGGCAGGGCCCCCCAAGCTTCTGCGATTAAGAGGGGTGAGTCCATTTGAGCCATGTGCGGAATCTACGTAGGCTTTGACCAAACTGGAAAGAAGGCTCTCATCATTTCTATCATTTTTGTAACCAACACATCTGTTATTCATCTAGAATTCTCAAAATTGATTTCCCAAATCTCCTATGACAGATCAGTTAGTGCTCCCTTCCCTGAACTGAACCCTTGAAGACCAGCAGACAAAGCTGGTTACAAAAAAGGCCATGATAGGGCCCCTACTTGGCTCACTATGGCTGCCCCAAGTATCATCCAGCAGGTGTTTTCTCATGTATGGGGAGCACGGCAATGCACTCTGGCTTTGGAGATAACAGAGCCAGGCATGGAGTGTCTACAGCCCAGAGAAGAACCCCTAAGCTCAACTGGAGCCAGTGCTGGGCTCTGTGGCTGGGACTTATGATGCCCAGGTCAGGATCAGTGGGGCTGAAGAGGGCCTGGATGTCCAGTTTCCTTCATCCCAGGCCACTTCCTGGTCCCTGGGTGATGGCCTCTCCTTTCATAGCTGTCCCTCAACCTATAGGGACTTAGAGGTATCCTCACAGGAGGTAAGGTCAGACATATGCCAATGACAACATGACACCAGCCAGAACTTCTAGGGCATGCCTAGGTGCCAGGCACTGTGCTAAATGCTTCACAGGTATGATCCCCTGTAATTCTCACAGCAACCCTGTGAGCAGCGATTCAGGCTCTGCAAGTCCAGCCAGGCTAACTGTGGGGACTGCAGATGCATGGGTTCTCCAGCCACACTGAGTACCTCCAGGGAAGGGGCAGCGGTATGGCCATCTCTGTGTTCACCCCCACAACAGTGAGCACAGTGCCCTATACACTAGGAGCTGGGTGGTGGCAGGGCCTGGACCGGGGTGAGGTACGCTGCGAATCAGGTACCCAGGAAGCAAAATTTAAGGACACACTCTCGGGTGCCACCCTGCACTTGTAGGAACCTGAGAGTGGGTGTCACCTTAAATTTTGCACGCTGGGTACCTCATTTGCTTTCCTCTAGTCCTGGCCCTGGGTAGTCCAATGACCAGGCATGTGTGTGTGTCTTGCTCCTCCTCCCTAGCCATGGGACCCTCCCTTCTCTGTGCCTCAGTTCCCCCACCTGTAAAATGGGACTAATGACAATACCAAGGGTGGACAGAGATGCAGCAAAATCAGAACTCTCTCATACTCTGCTGATGGGAACATAAAAATGATGCATCCACTTTGGGGAACTGTTTGGCAGTTTCTCAAAAAGTTAAACATAGAGTTACTATACAACCCAGCAATTCCACTCCTGGGTATCTACCCGAGAGAAATGAAAACACATCTCTAAACAAAGACTTGTATACGAATGTTCACAGCAGCAGCATCATAATCACCATAAAGCAGAAACAACCCGATTGTCTATCAACTGATGAATGGCTAACAAAATGTGGTATATCCACACAACAGGATATAAAAGGAAACAAAATACTAATACATGCTACAACGCGGATGAACCTCAAAAGGGAAAGAAGAGAAGCCAGACAAAAGACCACATGGTGTATGATTTCACCTATATAAAATGTGCAGAAAAGGCAAACCTACAGAGACAGCAAGTAGATTAGTGGCTGTGTAGGGCTTGGGCTAAGGTGGGCGGGGAGTGGAAGAAGGGAATGGAGAGTAACTGCTAATGGGTACACAGGATCTCTTTCTGGGGTGATAAAAATGTTCTAAAGTCACATTGTGGTAATGGTTGCATAATTTTGTAAATACACTAAAAGTCAATAAATTGTACACTTAAAGTGGGTGACACTTGGGTATGTAAGTTATATCTCCATAATGCTATTTTAGAAAATAGGGCTAATGATAATACCTATGGCACAGCATTGCACAATGCCTGAGAGTATCCTATACATCATCTTTTTTTTTTTTTTTATGAGATGGAGTCTCACTCTGTTGCCCAGGCTGGAGTGCAGTGGCATGATCTCGGCTCATTGCAACCTCCACCTCCCAGGTTCAAGCAATTCTCCTGCCTCAGCCTCCCAAGTAGCTGGGATTAGAGGCATGTGCCACCACGCCCAGCTAATTTTTGTATTTTTGGTAGAGACGGGGTTTCACCACATTGGTCAGGCTGGTCTTGAACTCTTGACCTCAGGTGATCTACCGGCCTCGGCCTCCCAAAGTGCTAGGATTACAGGCGTGAGCCACCGCACCCGGCCCCTATACATCATCTTCACACTTATTATTATGATCAGATAAGTATCTGTTGCTCACTTAAAGGACTTAAAGGTTGTCTAAATTCCCTTGAAGTGCCTTTATTTTTAGGGGGACTTTGGGGAACTAAAGTGGGCAGTCACCCGAGATCCTGTGTCTCTAAGTGACCTGCCCGTGCCCAGGCAGGGCTCCCAATCAGCTACTTGGGCTGCAGCGGCTGCTGCAGGCACCAGCCTGACGTGGGTGAAACTCTTCAAGTCTTGGATTCCAAAGATCTGTGTCGAGTTCTGGCTCTGACCTTCATATTATCTACTCTGTAGGGTTGCTGTGCAAATGACATGGGCTACGGTGTGAGGATATTTGGAGCATCCAATAAATTGGGGAAAATCGTGGGTGAGGAAGACCGTAGGCAGAGGAAGACCCTGAATGCACACCCATCCTTGCTGTTATCCTCCGTGCTGGATTGTGGCTCAGCCACAGGTTCTAATCCATGGAGGAGGGGCCACAGCCCTTTTGCTGGAGCCACAGGTGCATGGAGGGCAGGAGGGGTTAAATGTGCCCAGGCTTGATGAACATCAGTGTGGCACAAGCCTGCCTGGCTTCCAGAATTCTTGGATAAAGGACTTCCCCACTTTGTACTTTCTTGTCTGTTAAATGGGGATAACAGAATCACAACATCGGGATAGGCATGGTGGCTCATGCCTGTAATCCCAGCACTTTGTGAGGCTGAGATGGGAGGATCGCTTGAGGTCAGGAGCTCGAGACCAGCCTGGCCAACATGGTGAAACCCCGTCTCTACTAAAAATACAAAAATTAGCCAGGCATGGTGGCGTGCACCTGTAGTCCCAGCTACTCGGGAGACTGAGGCAGGAGAATTGCTTGAACCCAGGAGGCGGAGGTTGCAATGAGCTGAGATCACGCCATTGCACTCCAGCCTGGGCAACAGAGTGAGACTCCATCTCAAAAATAACAACAACAACAAAAAACAAAACAGAATCCCAACCTCTCTTAGGATTGTCCGAGCACACCCACAAAAGGCATGTAGATTTGTGCCTGTGATGTCAGTGAGGGCTAGCATGACAATGGGCAGCAGATGTTGTAGCTAAGTGCCAATGACTATGACCTTCCTGAAGGCAGGAGTATTGTTTTCTTCCTCTGGCAGGTGCTCAGTGAGTGCTGACTGGAAAGAGGAATCAAAGCGGGGAGGGAAGGTGCTGTGATGAGCTGGCTAGCTGGCCGAGGAAACAAAAGGGCCTTAGTTAGACTGTAGAGAAGAAGAAAAATAATACATGGCCATAGGACTGTATAACCTTGGGCCAATTATCTTACCTTTCCGGGCCTCAGTTTCCTCAAGCTGGGCTATTTGATCCCTAAATTTTTTTTCAGCTAGAGCATTCCTGGATCCTACCAATGTACCATGTTGCTACTAGACTCATCCTCTCAAAATCTTCTTTCAGTGATTCCAGAGGACATTATATATCCTGTACCAGGAAATCCATAAATCCTATTCTAAAAGTGCCAAAGTCAGGCACTGTCCAAGTTCACACTCTCGAATGCAAGTTCTCCGTTCTTTGGAATGTTTACCATTAACTGTGAAGTGATCAAGACCGTTTCCGTTCTGTGGCTCTTTCTGCCCAAGAGCCCTGGTTCTTGGAAACAACGTGAAGTCTTCGGGCTCTCCTGGACTATGGGTCTCTGGCAGAAATTCACCACATACTCAGAATCAATTCTCTAACACAAAGTTCCCCAGAAGAAAGTAACAGGCAGTTCTACAAGATAATGAAATCGCAGAGTTCTCTATTAGGAGAGCTTAGAGGAGAGCTGGCGCTTCAATCCTCTCCTGCCTGGAACCCATCTTTTCCCCTTAATGTCTTGGCCAGAGGGCAGTCTCTTTCTCCAGCTTCTATCTGTCAGTTCACATCCCTGCATTATCTACCTCTTTACCTCCCCTACACAAAAGCAAAGGCACACCCCATCACCGCCAGTGCTGGCCTCCTGGCCTCCTGGCCTCTCCCTACTCCCTCCGGACCACCACTGCCACAAAAAACTTCACCATGACATCCAGCTCTGACCAGGCTGTGTGCAAATATCTTAATCTATCTTCAAAAAGACAGGGTGCCATGCAAATGAAAATAAGTTCTAAACTTCCTCCTCCACAGGCTATGGAGATCCCTGGGGGGTTCTGGGTACACCCAGGGGCTGGTGGGGTGGCGCCTGAGATGGCTTTGTCCTTAGAGCAATTCAGCCCAGTCTCATATTTTAAGAACAGCGGGAACGTAATATCAGCTGAAAGGAGTTTTCTGTGTGCTATTTAACTAAATGGCTCTGCAGCTGGGGAGAGCCATAGGCAGACGTGTTATGATTCAAAGGCTCCCAATTACAATGATCCTCTTTTATTGTATAAAAACAGCAACACAGCCATTCTCCACCCTCCCTCCGCCTGCTTCCTCCACCCCCTTCCCCCATTGGCTGGCGAGGCCACTCTGCATCCTGAAAGGAGCACCCAGATTCTCCTCCGGCTCCAACTTTGCAGCTTTCAGCCCACGGGGATTCCTTCTCTCCAGATCCGAGGAGGAGAGGGCGGAGGGCGCAATGCCCCTGGAGAATGTTCTCTTGGAGACACTGATAGAGGCTTTACAATGGCCTCTTTTTGAGGAGGGGTGGTTTGGGGGAGCTGTAGATAACAGAGGCGGATTTGTAATTCTCTCCTGTTTTGACTAAACTCTCATACGCACACGTGCACACACACTCATGCAGGAAGGCATGCACCCCTATGCCCCTTATCAGAAAAGCAATCAGACTATCCCAAAGCACGATCTAAAACCGTCCCTTCTCCTCACACCTCTTCCAGGCTGATGTGGGCCAGGCTTCCAGAAGACTTACGTACAATAACAGAAAGCTCTGGAATCAGACTGAGCTGAGTTTGAATTCTGTCTTTGCTACCTTCTTTCTGTGACCTTGAATAAGTACTTAACCCCTCTGAGCTTTCGTTTCCTATCTTTTTTTATTTTTTATTATTTTGAGACAGAGTCTTGCTCTCTCACTCAGGCTGGAGTGCAGTGACGTGATCATGGCTTACTGCAGCCTTGACCTCCCGGGCTCAAGCGATCCTCCTGCCTTAGCCTCCCAAGTAGCTGGGACTACAGGTGTGTGTCACCACGCCCAGTTCATTTTTTAGTTTTTTAAATTTTTTGTAGAGATGGGGTTTCACCATGTTGTCCAGGCTGGCCTTGAATTCCTGAGCTCAAGCGATCCACCTGCCTCGGCCTCCCAAAGTGCTGGGATTACAGGCGTGAGCCATCAAGCTAGCCCATTTTTCCTACCTTTTAAGTGGAATTACACTGCCACTCTCAATTTACTCCTCAGGGTCAGATTAAATGACATTGTGAAGGGAAAGTGTTTAGCAGAGTGCCTAGCACATAGTAGGTGCTTACTTTTTCTGTGGCTATTGCTGTTCTTAACATGGTGAACACCATGTGCTTGTGCTGTGTCTGGGTATGTGGGGAGCTTTGTGCATCTGGTTGTGTAGGGAGCTTTGTATTTGCTCAGTTTCACCAGCCAGAGTGAACCAGGCTGTGGGGGATGAGATGGCTGTGGGGGCATAAATGTCAGGCCTGCTGAGGAGTGTTTTTCTTGAGTGTTTCTGCAACACTGGTTTAAACGGTCACCTCTGCACAGCATATGCAGGCATGCATGAGTGCCTGCCACTTCCTCCTTAACTTAGACTTGTGGTCCTTCCTCAGTTTTCTGCAGATGTTTTTGAGCCCAGCAGCTGCAGTTGCAGGCATCCAACCAGGACAAGGAGGGGCTGTAGCCCAGGAACTCTCATTCATAACCCTCTTCCTCTCTGCCTCAATAGCAGGCTCCTTCTCTGTCTCTCACAAGTGGCCCCTGGGCCCCCAACAGGGAAGATTTCCTCCCAAAGAAAGAGCTAACTCAATTTGGCTACTCCCCGAAGCCCCAGAGATCCATGAATCTATTCCCTGACCCTGAACTTGACAGGAAATGGTCCCCAGGATTTTGCTGATTTCTCTCTGAAAGATAAACTCAGCGTGGGCTTCCCGCTATTCCATCCCAAACTAGACATGTGCACCCCTAAAATATATCACAAATCTCTTACACCACAGTGAATGCCTGGCTCACATTCCTTCATATTGACCCCTCATGGATCAATAGCACAAGAATTTCATTCACTGCAGATTCTGTTATGTGTTAAATACCATTGCAGTGAAACAATGTGTAACAAGATTAATCTCCACTAAGTGTTTCTAATGTTAGGGAGTAAGGGGGAGAGAAAGAGGAAGAAAGGGTGTGAACTGTGACTTTTAACAGGTAAATATTGTCTACCAGGGGGGAAAGAGAGGTATCAGCAAGAAGACAGGTTCTGGCCCTGGTGTCTCTATTCCATTTTAAAGTTTGGGTGGAAATTGATATACTGTTGTCAGGACTGTTTTTCTGCATGGGGTCTGTTTTACACACACACACACACACACACACACCACTGCCAATCAACCCCTCTTAACTGCATGATTACAAGTGTAAGAACAGGAAGCAGACTGTGGGTGGATGTTCTTAAAATCACAACCTGCTCAATGTAGGGTGGGGGCATTAGAGAAGGGTGGGGGAGGGGAATCACGAGTTTTTTCAGTTCAAAATGAAATAATCTTGTCAATACAGAAAATAATGTCTACCTTATTGTCTACCAAAGGGGCATGTGCACAGCCAAGCATCCTTCCTGAGATGTGCTGTCTGGATGTGGCTATGACACAGCACATTACGGTACCTCATGTGCTGGTACCGTACGTGTGGTACCTGATGTGTGGTACGGACTTGCCACAAAATGAGTGCATGTGTGTACTGGGGGTGGGGGGAGGCAGAAGGGGAATGGCAATGAGATGGGACAGTCAGGGTCCTGGGATTGATGATGAAATCCACACATGCTAATTACTTGGCACCTCAAATTTACAATAAAGTCACTTTCTTGAGGTGGTTGCAGTGATGACGGTGATTTGTTGAGCACAGTTCACATGTGAGGTGTGTGCTAAGCCTTTTTACAACTTTCTTAAGTTTCCTAACAACTCATACAGCAGCTACTAAAGTGATCTCCATTTCAGAGATAAGAAAATTGAGGTAAGTAACAGCTCAAAGTCATAAAGGTAATACCCTGAGCAAAGAGAATCAGAGAGGCTGGCCCTTGCTGGAGGAATCTAGCCTGGGGAATCTGGTGCTGGGAAGGCCTCTGACATGCTCTGATATCATCTCCTTGATTTAAAGCAATGGTGAAGGTCATGGCCAAAGGTATCCTGCTGATGAGTGGTGGAGCTGCAGCTAGGGCCCAGGAGACCCAAAGGTCAGGAAAAAGGCAAGTGTAGTGTTTGGAGAGTAAATGGCACCCCCTTCCAGCTTTTCCAGTCCCACTAACTGAATTATCCAGAAAGGAGAGCTGATTGCCTCCCTGTAACAGCTGACTCACATCAGGTTAAGTTTGGATTCTTATTGACAGGACCTAAAAGCAAATCATCCCTCACTTCTTTATTGTACATGGTCTTCTCTTTGCCCTGAGGCAAAACTGTTCCCTGGCCTGAAACTTTGCAGAACTCGTTTTATTGCAAATAAGAACTAAGCTCGTTTGTCTGCACAAGGTACTCTGCTGTCAGTCTTAGTCTTCCCTTCCCCAAACACGTGACCTTCAGAAACCTGCCATAGCTCCCTAGTACCTAGAGATTAAAAGCCAGCCTCCTCCATGTGCACCCCCAAGCCTGGCATCATCTCTTTGCACAGCCTTCCCTGCATCCCCCTCTCCACCTCCCCAGGGTACCTGTCCACTGCTCCCAGGGCCCTTCTTTCTCAGGCGGCACATGCCCTCCCTGCCAACTCAACAACCATTCCTCCTTTCACCCCGTCTGCCTTACAAGTTGAACCCCAATTTGCTCATGACAGCAATGGGTCCAACTAAAAATACTTGACTGCTCTTCCCTGGCAGTAGTCACCATGTGGCACAGCTCTGGTCAATGAGCTAAAGACAGAAGTCCCTGAGAGGGGTGCCCCTTCCCAGATATAGCAGTGAAGCTGTACTGGGTAAAAGCTCTTTGAGACTCATTCATCCTTTTTTCTCTTTCTTGGAATGCAAACCTGAGGCCTAGAGACGTAGCAGCCACTTTCCTACCATGAGATGATAAACCTAAGGCCAAAGGCCTCCACTCTAAGCATGGCAGTGTAGAAAGAAGTAGTCTGGGTTCCCAATGGTACAGCTGAGGCATCATCTCCCTTTACCCCTCACCCCGTTGTTGTCTGACACAAAAAAGTCCCTATCTGGTTAAGTCACTGGTAGTCAAGAGTCTGCTGCTAGCAGCCGAATGCAGTGATATTGGCTACACCTCTGGACATTGTTCCTCTTCATTCATGGGGCAGTTCAGCTGCTCCCACCTCTAGGAGATCCTCTGTGATCCCCTCAGAGCAGAAGAATCATGCCTTTCCTTGTGCTTCCACAGTGGTTAGTTTTCTCAATCATAGCACTTATCTAAGCCTGCTTGATTTGGTTTAATGAGTGCTTCCCCGCAGTCGGCTCAAACTCCTAGAGGGCAGGGGGTGTGTATCCCACCAGCATCTCCATAATGTCTGGAGCATGCAGTGCTTTGCGTTTCTGCCAGGGGGGCTCTGTCTCCCCAGCATTTCCATACATCTGGTTATGCGCTCTGCATTGCAACAGCAGAGTGTGTGTGTTCTGGGGGCTGCCACTCCGCTTACTAGCTGTTTGGACTTGGGCAAGTTAGCTAACTTACCTGGGCTTGTGCCTCCTCATCTAGAAAAAGGAGAGAATGAGAGTACTTACATCAGAGTTGTCATGAAGACAAAATAGTCTAGTCATAAGCACTTGGGATAGTGCCTGGCATACAAAAATGCTTAATGGCTATGGGTTCTTATTAGTATAATGAACATTATAGTTGCTGAATGAATAAATAAATCAACACACAGTTGCTAAATAAATGAATAAAGGAATAAAATCCAGGTAAATTCTGAAGTTCGGACCTCAGGACAGTGGCTACTGTTCCCTCTTTTCTGCTGGACCTGACCCTTTACTTTTTTATTCTAACTGTGACGTCGTGTATCTGAATGCTGCTACAATGGACTGGTTAAGGCTATGAAGTTAGGCCTGGATTTGCTTTTTGCTGTGTCGCTCAGGCAAGTTTCTTCACCTCTTGGAGCCTCTGTTTCCTCAACCATAAACGGAGGATAATAGTAGTACTTAGCTCACAGGATTGTGGTGAGAATTAAATGATAAAGCACGTAAAATATACAGCATTGTGCCTCACACACCATAACAGTGTTAGAAACTGTTATCAAACATTGCCATGATTATTTTTGATAAGTGTACAGCATCCCACCAAATCACATGGTCCTGATGTGGATGAGAAACGCCGGGTGGGGCCACCTTTCAGCATGTCAAGATACACTGCACTTACATCACAGGAATACCCTTTCTTCAGTGCCAACAAACAGTGGTGTTTTCCCCCTTCAAATGGACATTAGTTGAGATAGCTGATGTGCCCCAGAATCTTGGTTTCTTGCATTTTCCCCTGAAGCACAATCTTCAGGTGCATCCTTTAGCTGACAGCAAACCTGGCTAGAAGGAAAGGTACAAGTGCGCAAGAGAACAATCGCGGAGCAGAGCATTTAAACAGCGATGATATTTCCACACATCACCAGTCCAATTATTGTCAGTGACACATTTCAGCCTTACTTGTAGATTTTTTCCCTTCTGGCCTTAAAAGAAGCTGTGTATACAGCTTTACATAACTTTCCCTTTAAACTTAAACCTTTATGGTAGTCCCATTCAACCACTTGACAGCTCCATTAATCTATTTTTACTATTAAACATGCCATTTTACAAGATATTTATTCCACTTGGTCGTCATCCAAACGCTTTTTGACATTACTGCCCTGGGAGTGAACTGCTTAAACTCGCTGCCCTCATAAACAGAAAATCACCTTTTGACTCAAATCTTGAAGAGCTCTCAGAACCTCACCCCCTTCACTTCTACAGGCATTAATTTCTGCCATATATAAAGGAGAGAGTGAGTAAGTGTGTGTGTGTGTGGTTTTAAGAGGGTAATTGTGGGAGGTCTGGGCAATTCAAGAAGTGCTGGGGGAAGGAATCCTCTCCTCTAACTCCATTCTGCTCATCGGGGCCTGCCTGAGACCTGGAGATCTGGTAACTTAACAGAGAGAAAGTGATCAGAGAGCAGGTTGGGGAAGAACTCCAGGGCCTAAAAGGCAGTGTCCCAGGGGGCCAAGCTGAGCAACCACTCTTTAAAAGGGGAGGGGTCGAGGGAAAGTCCTTATTCATCGACTTCTCTCCTTCTCCACGCCCCAGACAAACAAAAGGCCACCGCGAAACAGTTGAAGGTAGAGACCTACTGGCTTTGAAGACTATCAATCAGGTGGAAACCTGAACAAATCACAATTTGGCTTCCTCATCAAGTTTTCTCCCCAGCCTGACAAACCCTCCTCCGCCGCCGCCTCCACCTCCTCCTCCGCCTCCCAGGCTCAGCACAGCTACGAGGCCAAAGGGACCGTCCTGTGATGCCTGCTGGTTTCCAACTTTCCGCTCATCTTCGTCTCCGCAGCCTCCTGCAAAGCGGCTGGGAAAAGGGCAAGTTTGCAAAGCCGAGGATACAAGTCCTGGGGAAGCCACAAAGAAGCTGCAACACCAACAAAGATTAACCTCTTGTGGGGCAGACGAAAAGCGCCAGCTGCCGTTCAGGGGGGCGAACGTGGGCTCGGGCTGGCAGAGGCTCCGGCCAGCTGGCAGCGGACAGCAGGGCCGGGGGTCCCGCGGCCGCCCTCGGCCCCCCGCCCCGCGCGGACTCCCCCTGCACCTGAGCGGGGGTGAGGACAGCGCCGCGCTCCGGCCCTGCCCCCGCCAGGTAGCTCGGCTGCCGCCCGCGCTGCGCGCCCGCTGCCTGCAGCCGCCGGGAGCGACGAGAGCAGAGGCAGCCTCGGCCCACGGCGTCATGCTTCCTGCCACCACATTACGGCGAATCGTCACCGGGAGAGGGGAGCGAGGGGAGAGGGGGAGGGAGGGGAGCAGACACACGCAGCCCCCCGCCTGCCAAAACGCGCGGAGACGGGGCCACGTCCCGGTGGAGTCCCCGCGGGACCTGCCCCGTTTGCACAAAGCGCCGCAGTTTGGCCAAGAAGGGAGGGAGACGGCCACGAAATAAATAAATAAAAACAGTCGGGTCTACGTAACGCCCTGTCGAAAGCGGACGCCATATTTTTTTGTGGCTTATGTCGACATAGGGAAACGTAGACATGTTTTTCCTCCTCCTCCTCCTCCTCCTCGCTCTGGCTCCCATTTATCCAAACTTGTAATCAAAACTCTTAAAAAAAAAATCTTCTTCCCTCTCTGTATCCGCTCATTTCCTCCCACCCGCAAAAAGAGCCTGCACACCCCCCCCCTTCCGTACCCCCCTTCCAATCACAAACCCGGCCAAGTCCCATTAACAACACATTTTCGGGAGCCGCGGCGGCGACGGCGGCGGTGGGAAAGTTGGGCTGGAGTGGCCGGCGCCCGGCGTGCGGGGTTTGGGGCCGGCGGCGCCGGCTGGGGGGCTCCGCGCCGAGGCGAAGTTTCTTACCTGCGCTGGGGCTGTGAACGCGGGGACCCGGGCTGGGAACGCGGAGACGCGGCACGGGCGTTCCAAAATGGAACTCTGCTGGCTCCCCCCACCCACTCCCCACTCCCCACCGGGCGCCCGGCTCGGGCTCCGTGGGAAAGAGGGGGAAAGCCAGCCTGCCAGCCAGACAGACAGACAGAAAAAGCCCCCGTACGGAGAACGATGGCCAAAATTTTTAAAAGAAAAAAAAAAAGGAAAAAAAAAGGGAAAAAAAATGCCTCGATCAGTGGGGAATCTACGCCAAAACCCACATGATCTGTAACGTCAGCATGCGTATTTGCATACGATACCACCACCCGAGCTGCCACCCGGGCTCGGGTTCCGCAGAAAGTTACAAAGTGAAATTCAGCCCCCTCCGGAGACACCGGCGAAATGTCATTTTTCAGGCAGGAGCTGGGGGGGAGGCTAGCCCTAAAGGCGCTGGTTACTGGCCAAGGTAGGGGGGCAGTAAATTAACTTAAAAGTCTGAGCCCAGTAACGGACTCGGTGGAATTTCTGCGAGAAGAGGAGGGGGAGGCGCGAGCGAGATCATTGAATATTAAGCACGACCCCGCGCGGCGGCCGCGGCCAAACCGTCTCCGTGCAATACCCATTTTCTTTATGAAAAGTTCAAGGTGTCACTGATGAGCTCAACAAACTGTTGATCTTGACCACGTGGAGTGGCGGACCGTGGGACCGAAGGGCGCGCTTGCAGGCCCGGCTCTGGCGGTACCCGGGCCCCGGGACCCTTTGCGTGGGACTGTGCGCGGGTGGGGCCACCACGCACCCTGGGCGCTGCCTGCGCCTTGGCCCGGCTTCAGGCTCAGGAAAATAATAATAACGATTTTAAAACTATGTTGAGCGAGACACATTTTACTCCCGGAATGATAATGAGAAGGCTCGGCGTAGGGAGGGGAAGAAGGAGCCCCCCACTTATATAACGACTTGAAGTTATATCACTTTTGCTTGGGGAGATTCCGGGATTTCCGCCCGCGCCAGGTCTGAGGCTGGTTAAAGATCTTCAAACTTTTTTCCCTTAAGAGCCAATAAACAAACAGACGCCCCAGGGGCCGACTTAAACTCTGGTAGAGCCCGAGTTCGCTGGAATTCTCAGATTCGAAGAAATGCACACGCCTGCGGTGCTCGCAGAGAAGTCCCTCGGAAGCTAGGCGGGTCGCTTTCGCAACTGGGACTCCAATGTTCCCAGTGGGAGCGGAGCTCTCACCGCGGCAGCCCCCAGGTTCCCCTAGGCGCCTTAGAGCAAAGGTGGCGGGGGATCGCGCTGCCCTTCGCCCGCCGGCTCGGAACCATGAACTTGTATTCCGGGCGCCGCGCTCCTGCCACAGTGCTCGGCTAAAGAGCTCTAAGGAATTCGGGATCTGGGTACACTTCGGGATCTCAGGCGGCAACCTGTCTGCGCCGCGCATTCCTGCCCAGATGTACCTTGTTTCCCCCTGGGCTGGCCTGTGGACTCTTGGGCAGCTCCCGGGCGGGGACGAGGGGATGCGGTCTGGGGGCTAGTTTAGAAGCTTCGAGCGCAGCGAGAAAACAAAGGGAGCCTGGGGCTGGGAGGCTCTGCGGAGTCCCCGCCCGCCCTGCAGATTAGCAGGCGCGTCGCGTCGGGGCTTCCCGGGCAGCTCTGCTCTGGGGAATTAGAACGAACTCTAGCGGCCGTTTGCAACTCGGCTGTGGGCGCGAGGGCATCAACAGGTGGCCGTGTGCAGCGGAGAGGCCAATGGCGAGGACCCGGACTGGGGTGAGGACGGCTGGCCTTGGGGCTGACTGGGTGGCGGATGCGCTGGGTGACCTTTTGGCTTTTTCATTTCCGAGGCCGGGGAGAAGGAAGTAGCTAAAAGGTTTTTGTAAGTTCTGCCCTAGGGCTCTAATTTCTGACATACCCCTTGACTCCCCAGAAATCCTTTGCAACAAAAATTAAAACAGCTCATATGCAAAACTTTCTTAATGGCCTGCACCTGTTTGTTCGGTTATTGCTGATGTAGGGTCTGTTTGTTTGCATTTTAACCGCCCATAAAACAAGATTCTATCCTGGGAAGGAGTCTCTTGCGTGATGCTCGCGGACCTGAAAGGCGACCTGGAGGGGCTCTTACAGGATTCTGTTAACTTCTTGATGACTGTAATCCAGCTTGGGCCACATCTTTCTCAGCCTCATTTGGTACCGGCTAAGAACCTAATTTACTTGCCATCAACATCAGAATTTACCGCTGCCTGATCTCCTCCCAACCTCTGCCTCACCCAGGGTGAACCAAAATTGTAAAAAGAAAAGAAAAAAATATGGGACCCTCCCCCCATTCCCCCGCCTTGTCCCGTCCCGCCGGCCACACCAACTTCAACATTTTTACATCGCTTACCTTATTATGCCCCTTGCAGGCTATTCCACGCCCTGCCCCCCCCCCCTTTAAAATAAGTCTAGTTCTGTCTGTTTCCATGGAAATTACCCAAACCTTAACGAAGCTATTCCTATTTTGAGGCTGCACCTCCTCTGGATGATCAATCACTTAGGAGGGTTTTCTATAAGCCAAGTTTCCCTTGCTGCCACCTCACTGCCACCTGCTTCTGGCTGGGTGACAGATTGTATGTAGGGTGGAATGGGCCAGGTGGGAGGGAAGCCAGGTAACCCTCTAAACAGTCTGCTGGGTTCTCATATCTTCAGAGCACTTGGATCTCATGGACACTAGCAAGGATGAGGGGCTTCTGATGTGTTGCAGTGTTTTAAAATTGTTCAGAGTTTAGCATGGACTGAACTTGCACCATATAAAGAGAAAACAATGAGGAATAAGACAAAGGTGGCTTTTGCTTTATGTGGTATGATCCCTGTTTGCTTGAAGTATACTCATGGAGTAGACAGACCGTTATCTGACAGTATTTAGGAGCTTCAGAATCAATAATGTTGGACAAGTAAATGTTCAGCCAGGAAGTAACGTATGCCACTTTCACTTACAACTCATTGGTCAGAACTAAACACAAAGTTAACTGTAAAGATCCATGGAAGTATTGTGTGCCTGGAAATGGAGAGAATGGGAAAGATTTGCACTAATATGATAGCACTAAGGACTATCATAAATAATAATAGCAGTTCACAATTATTGATCATTTACCATGTGCTGAGCCTTTTATATGTATCATCTCATTGAATCATCACAAAAATCTATATTTTGTCTTTATTTTACCGATATAGAAACTGAGACTTAAAGAGCTTAAGTACTGTACCTTGCTCGACATCACACAGATGCTAAGTAATGGAGTTGGAATTTAAGCTTAATTTTACCTGCTTCCCAGAGAATAGACTTTTAAAACACTGTCCTCAACCACCTTTGGACTTAATTGGTCCCCTGTTGTTGGGCATTGGGTAGTTTCAATTTTATTCCAATGAACAACCTTGTGTCAGATCTTTTGAATCATCTGCGATTACTTCCTTAGGATAAATTCCTAGGTACATATTTGCTTAGTTGAAATATACACACATTTCAAGAATAAAAACCTTTTGCAAAAAGTGAAAGCTTTAGGAGGTGTGGTAGTCTTCTAAGATGGCTTTTTTCAATCCTTTCCTTCCTTTTTTGAAAAATACATCACCATTAAGAGGTGGAGTTTACTTCCCCTCCCTTGGAATCTGGACTGGTCCTGTGATTGCTTTGGATGCAATGAAAGTGATATTCTGAGACATCTAAATCCAAGTCTTAAGAGACTGGCAGTTTCTGTTTCCTTCCTTTTAGGGTCCTGCTGCCATGCTGTGAGAAGCCGAAGTTTCATGGAGAGGCCACATGGAGTGAAAACAAAGGTGATAGGGACAATAGCTCCACCTGAGATCCTGATTAATACACAGACTTTAGCCATCTTGGATGCTCCAGCCTAATCGATCTCCCACTTGACTCTAGTCTCACCTGACATTATGTAGAGGAAAACCATCCAGCTCCACCTAGTCAACCCACAGAATAATGAGATGATCATAAGACTGTAGTTGTTTAACATTATTAACTTTTGGGGTGGTTTATTACACAGTGATAGATAAATAAAATGGGAGTTATTATCCGTGTCTTTATTTGCACATATATCTGAATATTTCAGATCTACTTCCCCCTGAACTCTGCAGGGTATAGGTAGCATTGTGAAATATTGGAGGCCAGGACAAGGGGTAGAGAGGCCTCTTGGTCCATGATGCCTGAGCTGGCCCACTCTCCAAATCAAAGCTTTTCTTGATTTTAGTTGTTGCTCATGAAGGATCCCGCGCCACAGGTCCCAGATCCTAAGCAAATAAGAACTCATTTATCAAGCATAGATACTCAGTAGGTACTGGAGTTAAGTTCCTGTTTGGTGTTGCCAAAAACAGAGGTTTCCATTATTTAAGGATATACACTGTGATAGGGAGTGCAAGTGCCCACCATGTACATGGCTGCCTGGGAGGTGCTTCTTATACTTTATGTAATTTAATCTTTTAAACAACCTTCTGAATAGTATATTGTCTCCTTAATTTGTGGGAGAAAACAAGTTTATAGAAGCTTATGAATTATCCATGGGCCATACAGCTGATAAGTTAGAAGCAGGTCTTGAGCCCACATTTGATTGATTACAAATCCTGCCTGCTTCCCACTATACTTGTGACTTGCAAATTAACTCATGTGCAAACCCCCTTCACCAATTTTGTCCCAGTAGCAAAGGAACTACCTATAGTATTTTTAATTTAACATTTTATTTGGCCAGGGTCATGGCTCACACCTGCAATCCCAGCACTTTGGGAGGCTGAGGCAGGTGGATCATTTGAGGTCAGGAGTTTGAGACCAGCCTGGCCAACATGGTGAAACCCCATCTCTACTAAAAACAAAAAAAAATTAGCCAGGTGTGGTGGTGAGTGCCTGTAATCCCAGCTACTCAGGAGGCTGAGGCAGGAGAATCGCTTGAACCGGGGAGGCAGAGGTTACAGTGAGCCAAGATTGTACCACTTCCAGCCTGGTGACAAAGCTAGACTCTGTCTCAAAAAAAAAAAAAAAAAAAAAAAAAAAGAAAACATTTTATTTACATTGATTCACATTTTTAAAACTTAAATGCACTTATTTCATACTAATACTAAAGAAGCCTTTTGTCACAATAGAAACAAGAAAATCCAATATTGAATTTTCAAATGAACCAATGAAAGGTAACAGTGAAAATAACCATGGGAAAAAAAAAACAGCACTATTGAGCTAGCTAGATACTCTTATTTGCAGAAGGTAGAGATGGAGGGGAAAGGTGTTAGAAGGTTATTAGAGACAGGGTAGCACCAAACTGAGAATTTTTTCTTGAGCTAATTAAAAGGATGGGAAGAGAATTGAAAGTTGTAACTTTCTCTGAGTCAGAGCTATTTTGTGCTGTACCTGGACATCATTTAAAACCATCTCATGGCCACACATGCTACTTAAGCGGTACATGTTTCACACTGCTGACACCTGGCTGCCTGTCACAGTTCTTCATGTATGAATCTATTACAATGTTGCTCCCTCTGAGAGCATAAGAATCAGTGCCACGGGTTGAAGGGCTGAATGTTTGTGCTCCCTTGCCCCCCAATTCATATGTTGAAATCCTAATCCTCAATGTGATCATATTAGGAAGTGGGCGGGGCCTTTGGGAGGTGATTAGATCATGAAGGTGGGGCCTTCCTGATAGTGATACTGGAGTGCTGGGTAGAGAAATGTGGGTCCCTGGCCAGGGCTCCACCCCTACAGACCTAGGTGAGGACAGGCTTTTGTGAGGACTAGGCTAGGTGAGGACTCCTGCTTTTGTGTCTAAACGTTGCATTTTCCAAGACCACCCTGGCCCGCCACACCCTCATCCTGGTCCTATAAAAACCCCAGACTCCAGCAGGTAGACACAGGCAGCCAGATGAGAGGGGCAGTTGGAGAAGATTTGGGCCGCTAAGCAGCCTGACTCCAGGGGAAAACCATCTCCCTTCTGGCTCCCCCATCTGCTGAGAGCTACTTACACTCAATAAAACCTTGCACTCATTCTCCAAGCCCACGTGTGATCAGATTCTTCTGGTACACCAAGGCAAGAAACCCTGGAATAAAGAAATCCCTCTGTCCTTGTGATAAGGAAGGGGGTCTAACTGAGCTGGTTAACACAAGCCGCCTATAGACAGCTAAACTAAAAGAGCACCCTGTAACACACACCCACTGGGGCTTCAGGAGCTACAAACATTCACCCCTAGGCACTGCCGTGGGATCGAAGCCTCATGGCCTGCCTGTCTGTACACTCCTGTAGAAGTTTGAGTAGCGGGGCACTGAAGAAGCGAACCACACCCTCATTGCATGCCCTGCGAGGGGGACAAGGGAACTTTTCCCATTTTAACGGGATTGGTGCCCTTATAAAGGGATACACCGGAGAGCTCACTTTCTCTCTCCCTGCTTCCCTCTAAGTGAGGACACAGCAAGAAGATGGCCAGGAAGAGAGCTGTCACCCAAACCTGATCATGCTGGCACCCTGATCTTAGACTTGCAAGCCTCCAAAACTGTGAGAAATAAATTTCTCTTGTTTAAGCCACCCAGTCTCTGGTTATTTGTTCTATAGCAGCCTTACTTAAGACAGTTCAAGGAACTTGAAATTCTGTAAACACCAACTAACTGATTTCCCTGGCTCCAATTTCTATGTCTACTATCCATGCTGTCACCAAAACACATATCTTGCTTGGTCACCTCCTTGCTTACAATCTTTTATTGCTTTCTACTTCTTTGGGGTAGCAGAAGTGATCTTGCATAAACTTGTCCAAATCAGCATTTCCAGCCTAGTCTTCTGCCTCTTCTAATCTTGTCTTCTACAATTTAGCATCACTGGGTTCCTTGTCACTCCCTACATTTTCCATGATCTTTTCCATCTTTGTAAATGGTGCACCCTGTACCTGGAATGGCTTCCCTCTTCCTCGGTCCTTCAAGACACAGATCAAATGTCACTTTCTTTAGGAAGCCTTCCTGTACTCTCCCAAAGAGTTAATCCTGCCACCTCTGAAGTCCTACAGAACCTTGCACTTAACCTTGAGTTAGCAATTATTGCCCAATAATCTAGTTACTTCTCTGTATTTGTTGTATCCATTTTACTATAAGTCCCTTGTGGATGAGTATTTCGCCATAGTCATCTCTGTGTCCTTGTTTCTTGCCTCACATGGGATATATAGCAGGCAGAATTCAAAGATGGCCCCCAAGATTCCCAGTCCCTGGTTATTCAATCAACCATGGATGTAGGCATTGCTGTGAAAAGATTTTGCAGATGTTGTTAAAGTGCCAAATCACTTGCCCTTGAAATATGGAGATTATGAAGATTATTTGGATAGGCCTGATCTAATCATATGAGTCCTTTAAAAGCAGATAGGTTTCTCTGGCTGGTGGCAGAAGGGAAAGTCAGAGACATTCAAAGAATGAGAAGGATTTTACACGAGGGAGGTTTTCTGTTGCTAAGATGGACCTGAGAGCCACTTCTAGAAACTGAGAGCAGACCCTGGCTGACAGTTAACAAGACACTTGGGACCTCAGTCCTAAAAGCACAAGGAAATGAATTCTGCCAATAGCCAACAAGCTTGAAAGAATACCCTGAGACCTAGATGAGAAGCGCAGCTCTGATTGACACCTTGATTTCAGTCCAGTGAGACCCGGAGCAGAGAATCCAGTGAGGCCATGACTAGATTTCCGACCTACAGAAATTGTGAGATAGTGAATTTGTGTTGTTTTATGCTGCTAAGATTTTGGCAGGTGTTTTTTCCATAGAAATAAACAATTGATAAAGGGTAGATGCTGAGTGAATGTTTGCTGAATGAGTAAGTGAATGAAAACATGCATCATTCAGCAGCCATAGATGACATTTAAGGGGAACGCCTTTCCCCACTCCTGGTTTCCAGGAGGAGGGGTTTTCTCCAGAGGATGTTTCTGCTTCTCTCTGACTCTGGAAGTGTCTGGCTCAGCTGCACCCTTCCTCCTCGGGGCACTCCCCTGAGACCCTGAGACTCCTTTGTTCTGCGTCTTAGCGTTGGTTGGGGCACTCCCAGCCAGCAGCACTGCCTGCACCTGTGTGGGTATGCCAGTCTCATTCTGGGTTGTGTATTTGCAGCCCACATGGCTAACAGATGATATTAGTCAGCTCAGGCTGCCATAAAAAATGCCCAGCTGGGTAGCTTAAACAACACTTTTAGGCAGCTGCCATCTTGCTACGTGCTCTCATGACTACTTTGTGTGTATGGAGAGAGAGAGAGAGAGAGAGAGAGAGAGAGAGAGAGAGAGAGAAAGAGAGAGAGAGAGAGAAGGAAAGCCAGACAGAAACAGAGCAAGCAAGCAAGCTCTCTAGCTCTCTGGTATCTTTTCTAATAAGGTCACTAATCCCATCATGAGGACCCCAACCTTACGGCCTCATCTAATGCTAATTACCTCCCAAAGATCCCATCTCCAAATACCAAAACGTTGGGGAGTAGGGCCTCAACATATGTATTTTGAGGGGACCCAAACATTTAGTCCATAGTACAGACCTATGACCCCCTCCTTCAGCGTGGCTACTAACGGTGATGAAGATAGATGATTTATTGGGCCCCATATGTACTCCTTATTTTATTTGCATTGGATTGGGAAAATGGGTATTATTTATTCAGAGGAGAGTCCCTTGGAGACCTCAACAGAAGACACAAGCTGTTGTGGGAATTGTACCTGTGGCAAGACAACATTTTTGGAAATGTTTAGTGATGGTATCACCTCCATCCACATCCTTATACCCCTTGAACTTCTTCTTCACCTCATCCAAGTAGAGATAAGAATTTTTGATGCTTTTCCCCTCAGAGAAGGAATGAGGTAAAAATTGCATTTTTGAGCAAACTCCTGGCTTTCTAGTTTTAAAAATGTGGATCCCTAGGGGGATGGAAAGAACTTAGGGCATGGACAATAAATTTTAGAGAGAACAGAAAAAAGAGAAGCCTCACTGCTGCCTCTCCCACACCTGGAATGGATGCCTTCATTTGGGAGAAGAGAGAGAGTCGGAGGGAAAGTAATGAGGGTGGTGCAGATTCCTTCTCTCTGGATGAACCCCAAGGATGTGGCAACATCCACCCCCAAAGACTGTGGGATCAGATCAGAAGACCTGAGCCATTTCCAGGTAGAGTTCTGGGGGTGGGTAGAGAGACACCAGAGAAAAAGTGGTTGCTTAGTGAGGCAGGTAGAGAAAACCCTGCCTTCCCTCTCCTTGGCTGTTCCATAAAGTGACTTTACCACCTTCCATCAGGACATAGGGTCTATTTCCCCTGTCCTTGAATCTGGTTGGGTTTGTGAGTGCTTTGAACAATAGGGTGCAGCAGAAATGAATGATTCTATGTGATTTTTGAGGCTGGGTTGCGAAAGGCAATGCAGCTTCTGCTGCACCTGCTGGGACACTTAAGTTTTGGAAACTTGAACCGCTGTGTAAGAAGTCCGTTTCCCTAGAGGCTGCTGTGCTGTAAGTTGACCTCAGCACGTTAGGAGAGGCCTCGAGTCAGCAGCCCCATCTGAGGTCCTAGCCAACAGCTGGCATCCCCCACCAGACAAGGGAACGATGAACCCTCCAGATGATTCCAGCCTCCAGCTGTTGAGTCACTCCCAGGGATCTGGTCTTACCAGCTGTTGCCCTAGACATCATTGGAGCAGAGACAAGCCATTCCCATTGTGTCCTGTCTGAATTCCTGAGCCACAAAATAGTGTGCATAATAAAATGGTTGTCTCACACTCCTAAGGGGTGGTGTGTGATGCAGCAAGAGTAACCAGTGTGGGGGATGAGCGTGGTATGAGCCCAAGTGCCCAGGGTTGTGTAGTCCGTAGAATAATGGCCCCAGGCTGGGTGCAGTGGCTCACACCTGTAATCCCAGCACTTTGGGAGGTCAAGGTGGGCGGATCATGAGGTCAGGAGTTTGAGACCAGCCTGGCCAACATGGTGGCCAGTGCCTAGGTTGCCTAGGTGCACATCAGTTGTCCTAAAAATACAAAAATTAGCCAGGCGTGGTGGCACATGCCTGTAATCGCAGCTACTCCGGAGGCTGAGGCAGGAGAATCGCTTGCACCCAGGAGGCAAAGGTTGCAGTGAGCTGAAATCGTGCCATTGCGCTCCAGCCTGGGTGACAGAGCAAGATTCCGTCTCAAAAAAACAAAAAAACAAAAAAACCAGAATAACGGCCCCAAAGAGGTCCACGTCCTAGTCCCTGGAACCTGTGCATCTGTCCTCTTACACGGCAAAGGGATTTCA
This sequence comes from Homo sapiens, assembly GCF_000001405.40. NCBI lineage: Eukaryota > Metazoa > Chordata > Mammalia > Primates > Hominidae > Homo > Homo sapiens. Next base: position 122,771,701 of record NC_000008.11, on the reverse strand, counting down.
CAGATATAATTAAGTTAAGGATCTTGAGATGGAAGATTATCCTGGATTATCCGGTGGTTCTAACATGAACACCAGGCTCTTTATAAGAGGGAGGCAAAAGGTCAGAGTTAGAGAAAAAGACATGACCATGAAAGCAAGAGGTCACTGTGATGCAGCCACAAGTGAGGAATGTAGGCAGCCTTTAAACTTTTTTTTTTTTGAGACAGGGTCTCACTCTGTCTCCCAGCCTGGAGTGAAGTGGTATGATCTCAGCTTGCTGTAACCTCCATCTCCTAGGCTCAAGTGTTCCTCCCATCTCAGCCTCCCGAGTAGCTGGGACCACAGGCGCACGCCACCACACCCTGTTAAAGTACGCAGCCTCTAGAAAGAGGAAAAGGCAAGACAATGGACTCTCCTCTGGAGCTTCCTAAAAGGAAGCAGCCCTGTGGACACCTTGGTTTTCATCCCATGAGACCCATTTTAGACCTCTGACCTCTGGAACTATAAGAGCATACATTTGTGTCATTTTCAACCATGACGTTTGTGGTAATCTCTCACAGCAGGCATAGGACATTAATCCAAATGGTGTGGATGAGGAATGATGGGGTGATGGATCCTCAAGATTGCAGGGTGCACAGATGACACTCTGAGCATAGGAGGGTGCTTGCCCCCTCTCTCTCCCTACTGCCCACCCCCATGTTGATATCAGGCTCTGTCTGTGTCCTGGAACCTGAACCATCTCCCTGGGGAAATGAGCAAGGGATAGGAGTTGAACTGTCTGCCATCATTTTCACGACATTGGCTGAATAGGACCTTAACATACAAATGAAGTTGCGTCATAGAAAGTAAAGAAAGTGGTAAGCCTTGCACATGTGAGTTGAGGATTTTGATTGACAACTGATGTGCACTTAGCAGAAAGTGTGCTTCCCAGGGCAGTGGGTGTATCTACACAGTGGCCACATGGAAACCTAGGCACTGGCACAAGGATTTGCCTGTGGTCTTTTAAGAGTTGATCAAAGGTAACAAAATAAGAATATTAAATTCCGTGTGTGTGTGTGTGTGTGTGTGTGTGTGTGTGTGTGTGTGTGGGAAAGGAGCCAATTTATGAAATTAAATAAAGTTGCCTGGGCGCAGTGGCTCATGCCTGTAATCCCAGCACTTTGGGAGGCTGAGGTGGGTGGATCACGAGGTCAGGAGATCGAGACCATCCTGGCTAATATGGTGAAACCCTGTCTCTACTAAAAATACAAAAAATTAGCCGAGTGTGATGCCTGTAGTCCCAGCTACTCTGGAGGCTAAGGCAGGAGAATGGCATGAACCCAGGAGTCGGAGCTTGCAGTGAGCCCAGATTGCACCACTGCACTCCAGCCTGGGCAACAGAGCAAGACTCCATCTCAAAAAAAAAAAGAAATTAAAGTCCACAAAGGAAGTGAGAAACTTGGGCTCAGGCATCCCATCCTGGCTGGGCCCAGCACAGCTGGAGCTCAGCACACTGGGCACCCCCACTGTCCCACCCCTCCTAAGGCTTAAATAGGCCAGGCCCCAGCCTGGTGGCTGGGGGTCCCTGGGCCCAGGGCGGACAGAAGTCGGAAAAGTAGGGGTACTGCAGGGCCTCTTCTGCTGAGATACATTGGCAGGGGTTACACTTCAGAAGATTCTGCAGCAGATCCCTCCCTGTGGCACTGAGTTTGGGCACGATGTTCACCAGGGATGTTGTGGCCGGGTACAATGGGTACAGCTTATAGTCTGGCAGCTTGGTCATGGAGGGCCACTGCTCCTTGGTGAGCATCCCTAGCAGCCAGAAGATCCTCTTCAACTGGTCATCGACGTCATTGCCTGGAAAAAGAGGCCATCCAGCATTGGCCAGCTCTGCAAAGATGCAGCCAGCTGACCACAAGTCAATGGACGTGGAGTACAGCTTGGCCCCAAAGAAGACATCTGGTGGGTGGTACCACAGTGTGACCACTCCAGCTCAGTAACAGCAGATGGGGATCCCAAAGGCTCGAGACAGGCCAAAGTCAGCCAATTTCAGCTCCCCATTCCTGTTTATTAGCAGGTTCTGGGGCTTCAGGTCCCTGCGTAGCACATTGCGGCTGTGACAGAATCCGAGGCCTTTTAGCAGCTGGAAGAGAAATGACTTTACAATCTCAGGATCGAGATCACCATTGCAACTGTCAAAATACTTTTTCAGGTGCTGGTGACAGAATTTGAAAACCAAAGTCAGCTTCTTGTCGCTGTGCAGGAGGTCATGAAGCCTGACGATGTTCTTGTGCTTCAGCTCCTTGAGTAGGCAGATCTCCCGGAGGGCAGAACTCGGCACACCGTCATCATTGTCATCCAGCCTCACCCATTTCAGAGCCACAATCTCATGAGTCTCCCAGTTTTTGGCCTTGAACACTGTCCCATAGGTGCCTTCCCCAATCTTCTCCAGTTTCTTTTATTTCTGCATTGCGGTGGCCGCAGGGGCCCCTGTGGGCTCTCGGTTTTAAGACTCAAGAATATTAAATGTTTTTAAATTTTTATTTCATTTGTTCTTTTCTTTAAAGACGGGGTCTCACTGTGTTGTCCTGGCTGGAGTGCAGTGGCATGATCATAGCTCCCTGCAGCTTCAAACTCCTGGGCTCAAGCAATCCTCCTGCCTCAGCCTCCTGGGTAGCTGGGACTACAGCTGTACACCACCATGCTCAGCTAATTTTAAATGTGTTTTTTTTTAAGTGACAACTTTTCATTTTGAAATAGTTTGACTCATAAGAAGCTGCAAAAATAGTACATAGAGATCGTATGTACCCTTCACCCAGTTTTCCTAAACGATAACATCTTATATAGCCACAGTACAGTTTTCAAAAGGAGGAAGTTGACATTGGTGAAGACTAGTACAGGCTTTATTTAGATTTCACTGGTTTTTGACGCATTCTTTAAAAAAATTTTTTTTTGCTTCTTCGAAATTTGAGCTTTTTGTAGTTTTTATTTTTTATTTTTTTGAGATGGAGTCTTGCTCTGTCACCAGGATGGAGTGCAGTGGTGTGATCTTGGCTCGCTGCAACGTCCGCCTCCTGGGTTCAAGCAATTCTTCTGCCTCAGCCTCCTGAGTAGCTGGGACTACAGGCTCCCGCCACCACACCCAGCTAGTTTTTGTATTTTTAGTAGAGATGGAGTTTCACCATGTTGGCCAGGATGGTCTCCATCTCTTGACCTCATGAGCCACCCGCCTCGGGCTCCCAAAGTGCTGGAATTACAGGCGTGAGCCACTGAGCTGGGCCTGTAGTTAGGTTTTTAATTAAGATTTTTATTTTGAGATAATGACATATTCACAAGCAGAGCATACCTCTTGTTGCCCTTTTATAGCCACTCCTACTTCTTCATCCCTGTTCCCTTCAAAACTACTGGCAACCATTAATCTGTTCACCATTCCTATAATTTTGTCATTTCAGACATCTTTTTTTTTTTTTTTTAATTTACTTTAAGTTCTGGGATATATGTGCAGAATGTGCAGGTTTATTACATAGGTATACGTGTGCCATGATGGTTTGCTGCACCCATCTACTCGTCATTTGCATTAAGTATTTATCCTAATGCTCTCCCTCCCCTACCTCCCCACCCCCTGACAGGCCCTGGTATGTGATGTTCCCCTCCCTGTGTCCATGTGTTCTCATTGTTCAACTCCCACTTATGGGTGACAACATGCCGTGTTTGGTTTTCTGTTCCTGTATTAGTTTGCTGAGAATGATGGTTTCCAGCTTCATCCATGTCCCTGCAAAGGACATGAACTCATCCTTTTTTATGGCTGCATAGTATTCCATGGTGTGTATGTGCCACATTTTTTTTATCCAGTCTATCATTGGTGGGCATTTGGGTTGGTTCCAAGTCTTTGCTATTGTGAACAGCGCTGCAACAAACATACATGTGCATGTGTCTTTATAGTAGAATGATTTATAATCCTTTGGGTATATACCCAGTAATGGGATTGCTGGGTCAAATGGTATTTCTGGTTCTAGATCCTTGAGGAATTGCCACACTGACTTCCACAATGGTTAAACTAATTTTATATAAATGGGAATTATATAGTATGTGATCTTTTAGGACTGGGTTTTTTTCAATCCGATTATTCTCTGGAGATAAATCCAGGTTGTTGCGTATTTCAATAATTTGTTCCTGGTTCTTTGTTTTGGGTGTATTACAGTTTGTTTGACCATTTATGTGTTGAATGACATCTGAATTATTTCCATTTGGGGTTTACTACAAATAAAGATGTGATAAACATTTGTGTACAGGTTTTTGTATGAACTTATGGTTTCATTTATCTGGGATAAATGCCTAGGAGTGTGATTGTTGGGTCACATGGTAAGGGCATGTTTAATTCTGCAAGCGACTGCCAAACTGTTTTCCAGAGTGGTTGTATCATTTTACTTTTCCACCAGTAATGTATGAGTCACCCAGCTTGCCTGCATTTTGTTGTAATTATTTTTTATTTTGGCCTTTCTCATAGGTATGTAGTGATATCTCATTGTGGTTTTAATTCGCATTTCCCTAATGGCTAATGATGTTGAACATTTTTCATGTGTTTATTTGCCATCTGTGTCTCTCTGAAACTGAAAAATAATGTCTCCTGCCCATTATCTAATTGAATTATTTGTTTTTATGCTGTTGAGTTTTGAGAAGTCTTTATTTATTCTAGATACTAGTCCTTTCTTGAACAAGTGATTGCAAATATTTTCTCTACTCTGTAGGTTGCTTTTTCATACTATTGACATGCCCTTTCACAGAGCAAGATTTTTAATTTTGGTGAAGTCTGATTTTCAATATTTTCCTTTTACATATCATACTTTTGGTATCATGTCGAAAAACTCTTTGCCTAGCCCTAGATCCTAAACCGTAGATCCTAAAGATTTTCTTATTTTTTATACACTCTTTTTTTAGGTTTTTTTTTTTTTTTTTTGAGACAGAGTCTTGCTCTGTTCCCCAGGCTGGAGTGCAGTGGCACAATTTTAGCTCACTGCAACCTCGTGCCTCAGCCTCCTGCGTAGCTGGGACTACAGGCATGCATCACGATGTCCAGCTACTTTTTGTATTTTTAGTAGAGATGGGGTTTTGCCATGTTGGCCAGGCTAGTCTTCAACTCTTGGCCTCACATGATCCACCCACCTCAGCCTCCCAAAGTGCTGGAATTACAGTTATGAGCCACCGAGTCTGGCCAAGATTTTCTCTTATGTTTCATTCTGAAAGTGTTATAGTTTTTATGTTTTACATTTAAGTCTGTGATCCATTTTGAGTTAATTTTTATATGATTTAGGTTGATGTTCCTTTTTCACCTATGGATGTCCAATTGCTCCAGACATTTATTGAGAAAACTCTTTTCTTCATTGAATTGATTTTGCACTTTTGTCAAAAATCAGTTAGGGATACAGGTGTGGGTCTATTTCTGAATTCTCTGTTCTGTTCCATTATTCTATGTGTGTATCCCTATACCAGTACCATACAGTTTGGATTACCATAGCTCTATATAAGTCTTGAAACTGAATAAGTCTTGTAACTTATTGCTCCCACTTTATTCTTCTTTTTCAAGATTATTTTAGATAGTCTATTTTTTGGTCTGTCTCTATACATTTTAGAATAATATAGTCTAGGTCTATAACAATCCTTGCTGGGATTAAGATATGAGCTGCATTTAACCTCTATGTCAATTTGGGGACAACTGACACTTTTACTAGGTTAAGTCTTCTAATCCATGAATACAATATGTCTCTACATTATTTACATATTCTTTGACTTTTTTCATTAGCATTGTGTAGTTTCTAGCATACAAGTCCTTACATGCTTTGCTATTTTTATACCTAAGTATTAGTTTTGAGTGATTGTAAATAGTATTTGTATTTTTTATTTTGGTATCCATTTGCTCATTGCTAGTATTAATATATAAAAATATAATTGATTCTATGTTTATATTGTATCCTGCAACTTTATTGAACTCATTTATTAGTTTTAGGATTTTTTTTGGTAGATTCCTTGGGGTTTTTTTATATAGACAATCATGTCTTCTGCAGGAACAGTATTATTTCTTTCTTTTCAATATATTAATATATACCACTTATTGCCTTCTTGCACTAGCTACGACTTCTAGCACTATGTTGAATAAGAGTGGTGAGAGCGGACACTTTCCTTGCTCCCAATCATAGAGGGAAAGCTTTCAGTCTTTCATTATTAAGCATAATATTCATTATAGGATTTTTGCAAATCCTACTGATCAAGATGAGGAAATCCTCCACTATTCTTATTTCCTGAGAGTTTTTTTTTTTAACTATGAACGGCTGTTGAATTTTGTCAAATGCTGTGTCTATGTTTATTGATTTAATCATATGATTACCTTCCTTTAGCCTGTTACTGTGGTGGGTTATGTTTACTATGTCATGATTGTACATTGATTCTCAAATATCAAGCATCGGTGGAATAAAACTCCCTTGATCATGTATACACCATACACTTTTCATATATTGATTAATTCTATCTGCTAATATTTTATTAAGGATTTCTATGACTATGTCTAATATTATGTCCATATTCATAAGGGATATTGGTCTGCAGTTTTCTTTTTTGTGTTGTCCTTGGGTTCGAGATGATGGTAATACTAGCTTCATAAAACAAATTGAGAAGTGTCCCCACTTCTACTTTTCAGGGAGTCATTGTACAGAATTTAGTTAATCCTTCTTCAAACATTTGGTAGATTCTTTCATGAGACAATCTGGGCCTGTAGATTTCTGTTTTTGGAGTTTAAAAATTATTGATTCAATTTTCTTAATATTATAGGGCTATTCAAATTATCTGTTTCATATTGAGTGAGCTGTGGTGGTTTGTGTTTTTAGATGAACTGGACCATTTTGTCTAAGTTATTAAATTTATGTGGTGTAGAGTTATTCATACTATTACTTTATTATCCCTTTGATGTTTTCAGGATCTGTAATGACATCCTCTGTTTCATTCCTGATATTGGTAATTTGTGTCTTCTCTGTTTTTCCTTTGTCAGTCTTGTGAGAGGTTTTACAGTTGTATAGCTCTTTCTTTCTTTTTTTTAACTTTTATTTTAGGTCAGGGGTACATGTGCAGGTTTGTTATGTAGGTAAACTTTTGTCATGGATTGTTGTACAGATTATTTCATCACCCAGGTATTACACCTAGTACCCATTAGTTATTTTTCCTGATCCTCTCCCTCCTCCAGCCCTCCACCTTTTGGTAGGTCCCAGTGTATGTTCCCCTCTATGTGTCCATGTGTTCTCATCATTTAGCTCTCACTTATAAGTTAGAACATGTAGTATTTGGTTTTCTGTTCCTGTGTTAGTTTGCTAAGGATGATGGCCTCCAGCTCCATCCACATTCCTGCAAAAGACATGATCTCATCCGTTTTTATTGCTGCATAGTATTCCCTGGTGTATATGTACCATATTTTCTTTATCCAGTCTACCAGTGATGGGCATTCAGGTTGATTCCATGTCTTTGCTATTGTGAATAGTGCTGCAATGAACATACGTGTGAATATGTCTTTATGATAGGGACATTTATATTCCTTTGGGTATCCAGTAATGGTATTGCTGGGTTGAATGGTATTTCTGGTTTTAGGTCTTTGAGGAATTGCCACACTGTTTTCTACAATGGCTGAACTAATTTACACTCCCACCAACAGTGTATAAGTGTTCCTTTTTCTCTGCAACCTTGCCAGCACCTGTTATTTTTTGACTTTTTAGTGATGGCCATTCTGACTTGTGCAAGATGGTATCTCATTGTGGTTTTGATTTGCATTTCTCTAATGATTAGTGATTTGCATTTCTCTAATGGTCAGCTTTTTGTTTTCATGTTTGTTGGTTGCATGTATGTCTTTTTTTGAGAAGTGTCTGTTTATGTCCTTTGCCCACTTTTTGATTGGGTTGTTTGTTTTTTTCATGTACATTTGTTTGAGCTCTTTATAGATGCTGGATATTAGACCTTTGTCAGATGTATAATTTGCAAACATTTTCTCCTATTCTGTAGGTTGTCTGTTTACTTGGTTGATAGTTTATTTTGCTGTGCAGAACCTCTTCAGTGTATAGTTCTTTCTAAAGAACTAGCTCCTTATTTCATTGAATTTTTCTTTGTTGGTTTTCTCTTTTCAATTTTATTATATTGGTTTCTGGTTTTATATTAGTGTATTAGTTCATTGTCATGCTGCTGATAAAGACATACCTGAGTCTGGGTAATTTACAAAGAAAAAAAGGTTTAATGGACTCACAGTTCCACGTAGCTAGGAAGGCCTCATAGTCATGGCGGAAGATGAAGAAAGAGCAAAGGGACTTCTTACATGGTTGTGGGCAAGAGAGAATGAGAACCAAGTGAAAGGGATTTCCCCTTATAAAACCATCAGATCCTGTGAGATTTATTCCTATCCTGAGAGCGATATGAAGGAAACCGCCCCCATGATTCAATTATCTCCCACCAGGTCCCTCTCACAACATGTGGGAATTATGAGAGCTACAATTTAAGATGAAATTGGGGAGGGGACATAACCAAACCATATCAATTAGTATTTGATTTCTTCTTGCTTCGAATTTATTTTTCTTTTCTTTTTCCAGGTTCTCATGAGGGAAGCTTAGGTTATTAATTTGAGACTTTTCTTTCTTTCTTTTCTAATGTATGCATTTAATGCTATAAATTTCTCTCAGCACTGCTTTAGCTGTGACTCACAAATTTTCATGTTTGATTTTAATTTTTATTCAATTCAATGTAATTTTAAAAATTTCCTTTGAAACCTTCTGTTTGACCCATGGATTATCTAGAAGTGTGTTGCTTAGTTTTTAAGCATTTAGAGATTATTCTATTATCTTACCATAATTGATTTCTAGTTTGACTTCACTGAGGTTGGAAAATACGCTATTTATGATTTCCATTCTTTTAACTTTGTTAAAGTTTTTTTTGTAGCCTAGTATATGGTTTATCCTGGTATATATTCCATGGACACTCAAATAAATGTGTGTTCTGCTGTTATTTGAGAAGAGTGTTCCAGCTATGTCTATTAGATTTTATTGGTTGATAGTGTTTTGAGTTCCATATCCTTGATTTTTGTCTAATTGTTTTTATTAATCATTGAGAGGACAGTGTTGAAGTCTCCAACTGTAATTGTGGATTTATCTAGTTCTCCTTTTCATTCTATTAATTTTTACTTCACAGGTTTTGCAGTTCTGTTGCTTGGTGCATACACAATGATCTTATTTGGGGTTCACTCAGCATTTTGAATCGCTAGTTTTATGTCTCTTCACAAACTTGGGATGTTTTCAGCCATTATTTCTTTGGGTAATCTTTCATCCCTGTTCTCTTTCTCATTTCTTTCTAGAACCCCAATGACACAAATGTTAGATCTTTTGCTGTGGTCCGGCAGGTCCCTGAATTTTTTTTTATTATTATAATTTTTTTCAGTCTATTTTTTCTCTTGTTCAGATTGTTCTGTGTTTAAATTCACTGATTCTTTCCTCTGCTCTTTCACTGTACTGTTGAGTCCAGCCACTGAGGTTTTATCTTCAGGTCTAAAATTTCCACTGGGTTTCCCTTTATATTCTTTACAGATCTTTGTGGAGACTTTTTATTTCTTTCCTGAGGCTTTCTATTTTTTATTTGTTTGCAACAAGCTCATATTTGTTCTATGAAGCATTTTTATCATGGGTGTTTTAAAATCATTGCCAAGGAATTCTAACATAATTTCATCGTCTCTGTGTTGTCATCTAGTGATTGTTTTTTCATTCAATTTGACATCTTCCTGGTACTTGGTATGACAAGTGATTTTTGAAACATGGGAATTTTAAGATTAGGTTATGATACTCTGATCTTATTGAAACCTTCTGTTTTAACTGGCTTTCTCTGACATCACTCTGGCAGAAGAAAGAAGAGGGACTCTGCCTTGTTACTGCCAGGTGATGATGGAAGTCCAGGTTCTCCACTTGGCCTCTGTTACTTCTGCGCAGGGGTAGATGTTCCAGTGACACCATGATGGGGATGACCTTGTTACTGATGGATTATGCTGAAACTCTCACCTCTCTACCACTTTAGGGGGAAGAGGAGGGACACCTCATTACTGCAGGATGAAGCTGAAAGTCCAGGCTCTCCACATGGTCTCCACTGAGATGAATGGTGATAAAATTCCTGATCTTTTCTTCGTCTTTTCTGATACTATCCTTAGTACAGCCCCGCAAGGATGGAAGTCTCAGTTCCTTAGTCTGCCTTTGTTGGCTTGGGTGGGGGCAGGACCACAGTGTTTTTTTGTGGTGATTGGCTGGAGAGGAGTGATTATTATCTAAAAGTTTTTTGTTTTGCTAGGCTGCCCCTTTCTTGGTCCTTTGGCTGGAGAGAGTGGGTTTTGGTTGAGTTTTGCTGGGACTTTTTTTTGTCTGTGCCTGTTAGTGTTTGCAGGTAGTTGGCTTCAACTCCAAGTCCAGGGTGTATCAGGCAAGAGAATACCCGGGGAAATCACTGCCCGGTTGGTCGTCGTTCCTCAGGTCCTACACTTCCTTCTCTCCACGCTTGAGTCTTTTAACATTTGTTTTGCATATAATAGTCAGGGTTTTTAGTTGTATCTTGCAGGCAGAAGCTCTAAACAATGGGATTTTAAAGCCATTTTTCTAGGATTACCATAAGCACTTTGAGCCTCTCTGATGGTGATTATGCTATAGCAGTGCCTTATAAAGGATGTTCATTTGCTCTTAGGGAGGGAACTGGGCACTTCAGGGACATCCTGGCTGGAAGGCCTGCTTTTGGCATAATCTGGATCTTTAAAGGGTCATAATTCACATCCCTTTTAGAGCAATCAAGGAAACATGCCAATCAGCATTGACACAGGGTGTCCAAGCTTGTCGTTTGAGCTTGGAAAGTTCCATGAAAGTTTGAAACTTTGAGTAGGACATGTGAAAAGAGCCCCAAGAAGGATTCAGCAGATGTGGCCTGCTGTGTGTCCTCAAGCAATCCATTTCAACTTCCTGGGCTTCCGTTTTTCCACCTCATACTCAGGAAAGACAAGGATGGACCAGCTCGGGGTTTCTACACTTCCACCATTTACAGAGCACCAGCTTGAGTTTGCTGTGGCAGTACCTCCTGTTTCTCCATTTACTGAAGACTTTGATCCAAATGGACTCACTCGAAAGAGGAAACTTCATGTTGCCTTGGGACGTGTGCCCCTTGGCAGGAGGATGGCTGAGCTGACTCAGCACACACAGGACCAGCGCTTAGTCATGGGGCCCTCTGAGGTTTCAAGCCCAGCCTGAAAGAAATGTTCACTGGGGCTTATCAGTTCAGGTTGACCCCTTGACCCTAACTCAGATGCTGAGGAAGCATGTCCCGCTCACAGCAGGTGGTTATGAAGCTTTCCAAACACAGATGCCACGCGCTCCACGTAGCCTCCGTGGTAGTTCACACTCCCCGGACTGTAGACAGAACATCTGTTGTTGGTTCATGTGAAAACTTCCAACCATGCCCCTCCTCCCTCCCTCCAGTTCTAAGGCACTTAATTTAAAAAAAGCTTCCCTTATTCCTAAACATTGTGGAGCAAACATTTAACATCATCCTGTTGCCTTTAACACACCTTCTGCTCATCCTCCCGTGACAAAATGTTGCTTGCCAACACAGTTACTCTTGAAAGGAAAGTGAATTAAAATTCATCTCCTTGGGAGCACTTGTGAGGAGAAGAACTTCATGGCCCCGTGTGTTAATTGGAGAGTTTCTGAGGACCCAGCGCAACTGGGGATTAGCTACATAGCACCATACTCCAGTCAGCCCCTCTCAATCCCCTCCCAGGATGGAACTCAGGAGCTGCCAGGGTGGGTGACTACTCCTCGGCAGGCCAGGTTTTCAGCTGGGAGATGGCTCCCCGGAGGGCTGGAAAGGCAGTTAGCACATCCCAGCTGGGGCTGAGTGTAGGGCTCTTGTTTCTTTTTTCAACTCATTCACTACCTGTCGAAAATGCTCAATTCCATTGTTTTGAAATGTCCTAACCTATGAAGGCAGCATCCCTGCCTTTTTTGTTCCCTGTCGCATCTTCTAACATTTAGAATTGTGTCTGGCTCTGGCATATAGTAGATGCTCAATAAGTATTTGTTGGATGAGTAAATTCCATAGTTGTCTTCACTGAACTCTATTTGTCAAGGACCATTTCTGTCTTATTTAATCTCTAAGGCTTAATATGGTATGGGGCATGTCGTATATGATCGATAAATATCTACTGAACTGAGCTGCTTCTGGGACGTTCTTATTACTCCTTAGGAGAATCTCTGTGGCTTCACTGTTAGGAGCAGGGCTTTGGAGTTAAGCAGTCCTGAATGAGAATACTTACTCAGCTACTTTTTCTCTGGGGATCTTGAGGCATGTATTTTCAGCTCCTTGACTCTCTGCTTCCTATGGGAAAGACAGGGATAATAATACCTACTAACTTTTTTCAACACATGGGGTTTTTGGAGAGTTAAATTGCAGGGGCATAACACTTAATAAATGATAATTATAACTGTTGTTGTTGACATTATGTCTCACTTCTATTTCTCAGGCAGATAATCATGCCCACACTACTTGGTTGGGTTTTAAGTGGAAAAGGTGACCTGGTAGTGTGTCAGGGAGAGCTGGACAGTACCTGAGCTCTGCTTCTAGGCCAGTGACTCTCAGTTTGGAGCCCAAAGCGTGATCTGGGTGCTTTGAGAATTACTCACAGGTTGTTAAAGAGCCCAGTGAAAATCCCAATTGTCCTTGATGAAAATGCATTGTGTTGGGGGGTAAGGGGAGCGGGGAGGGGCGGTGCATGCTGATGGGCATGGATCAAAGCCACAGAAGACTTAAAGAAAACAATGAGTCCATTATTACATAATAAGTGCTGTCTTGTAGACAAAAGATTTCTATGGCTGGAGGTTTTGAGGGGAAATAACAAAGTGGCCTAAACATTGTTATTTAATGACTCGCAGTCTTCGCTTCTCCCTGAGGGCTAGAACACAGATAGAGTAAAGCCCGGTGGTTAAATTTAGGAGCTCTTGATTCACCTCCTGGAATGGAAGCCTGACTCTTCAGTGTACTGCCTTGGGCAAATTACTACCCCCCTTCTTTGTCCTCATCTATAAAATGGAGATAATAGTAGCCATGCTGATTATGAGAGTTAAATGAAGCAATTAATATAAAGAGCTTAAAGCAACACCTGGCCCACAGTACATAGTTGCCTGCCATTTTTGAATCATCCTGCTGGCTTTTCCTTTTTCCCAGGTGATATTCTCCAGTCAACTTGCTGGCTTCCCGCTCACCACCTATCATGTTCTCCTGACTCAGGCTGGTTGTGGGGAGCAGATGTGGACCCAACACTCGCCTGGGGCCTGCCATGATGGTGTCAGGGGAGGATGACCTCAGCCCCGGCATGCTTCCTGATGACCTCGGCCTTCTATTTATACACCGAACACTGGGCTTGCCTGGAGAGTGCCAACATTGCATCTGCAACACCATCAGCTTGTCTGTTACCTGGAGTCTGAAATCATCCTTTGCTGTTATTATCATAAAGAGTCCCAGAATGGTAGAATGGCAGAGCTGATGGCAAGATCACAACAGCCTCTTAAATCTTACCAATATCAGTTGTCATGACCATGTCCAATGCAGGAAACTTTGGTCCCAGTGCTTGAATTTGCTCCCTTTTTACTGTTATCTCTTGCTCAGTTTCTACAAAAGCCTCTTAGAAGTGGAACTTAGAAGTGGAACTACTGGAACTAAGCATGTGCTGCAATATTTTTTTTTTAAATCTGTTTTATGAGCAAGCAAGTTTTAGAACGTGGAGCTGACACACCATTTCTAAGATTCATAGTAACCACGAGAGTTGGACAATGACAATGCCTGGACAGGGCCTGGAGAAAAGCGAGTGGTGGAGAGCTCCTTTCTAGAAGGATTTGAGAGTCAGCCAAATGCATTATTCCCCCAACAGCTTCTTCTTCATCCTATGTGTTCAATACTCTCAGTCCTGTGGGTTAAGCCTTTGCTTAAGGCAGGCAGCATCATATGGTAGAATGAACCTGGGCTCCAAAATCAAACACATCTCAAGTCAGGTATCAGTTCTGCAATTTATAAGCTGTGTGACGAAGAAAAGTTACTTACCATTTCTGAGCCTCAGCATCTTCACCTGTAAAATGAGGCTAATACCTTCACTCAACTTATAGAGTGGTTGTGAGGATTACATAAACCTATCAATGTAAGCACACAATATACATTAGCTATTATATTAATATGTTAGCTATTATTATTATTAACTTCAAGGCCATAGAACCCCAAATGGCAAATGCTGACTGGACACAGAAGGATAAAAGCAATGCTCTGGGAAGGAGAAGGAGATGTGGTAAGGCTGGGACTCTAGTCCCAGCAGACTAGGGGTTGGTGTAAGGTCCCAGGAAGCCAGGGCAAGGGGTGAGAAGGTGATGCAATAATGCCAGAGATAACCTTTGTCGGTTTCCCAGTGTGGCCAGGGCCAGCTTGGTTAATGGTTAAGTGAGTGGCGCCTGCAACGGCATGGAAGGCCTTCTTGTGTACTTGGGACTAAACGTGGCTTGTGAAAAACATTCTCCCAATTAGCCGGGCATGGTGGCGGGCACCTGTAGTCCCAGCTACTCGGGAGGCTGAGACAGGAGAACCTCTTGAACCCAGGAGGCAGAGGTTGCAGTGAGCTGAGATCGTGCCGCTGCACTCCAGCCTGGGCAACAAGAGCGAAACTCCGTCTCAAAACAAAACAAACAAACAAACAAACAAACACACACAAACAAAAAAACATTCCCCCAGAGAGGAGGCTCCTCAGGTTGTCTCTGCTGGAAGGGCTGTGTAGAGTGTGATCAGGAACTCCCCTTCCACTGTGGAGAAGCTCTGACATCGTTGCCATTGTTGCTGCAGGCATTGTTGCCACTGTCCTCTCTCCACAGCAGCCACTAGCGTATGAAGTACCAGGTACTGTGCTAAGACATGCATTGACATGCATTTTCTCTTCCCAAGAATACCATGAGAGACATATTATTATCTTACTGTTAAGGAAACTGAGACTCAAAGAATTGAATTGCTTAAGGTCACACAATGACTAAGTGGTAGAGCTGGGATTTGAACCAGGTCTTGGTGTAACTCCAAATCAATATCTTTACTCACTACACTATAATGCATGTTACCATCACTATCACCTTCGTTACTGCCATCATCGCCACTGCCACCACCATTACTAGCACCACTACCGTGATCATCCTTATCATCAATTTCACAAAAAGCAAAATCACACACTGTGTGTCATCTCTTTTAATATTCACAACATGATAAATATGATTACATCATCTCGATCTTGTATGTGGATTAAATGAGTTATTACATGCAAGTGTTTAGAGCAGTAACTGGTACATACTAAGCTCTTAATGAGTCTTGTTTATTATTATTATTAACAACTTGATACTACCCAGTTCAGATCCACTGATGAAGTCACTGGGGCCTTAACCTGGGCCAAAGCTCCCCTCTGGGGCTCTACGACAAGGAGGAGTGTGATCCTTGAATGTCTCACCACTGCCCACCTGTAATGTGACCCACGTGGCCTCTGACTCCTGGGCTGCTGAAGAGGTGTGCAGGAGTTGGCCCCAATGACACTGCACCCATGAGACTAATGTTTGAGATGAACAACCTCTCTGCCTGTATAAGAAGCCTTTGCACAGGGCCCTAAGGTGAGGCTAGGAAGGTGGAACCCCATAAAGTCCTGCTCCCAGGTGCCACTTTGGGCAGGTTTTGTGTTCCTGGCTGGTTCTCCTTTAGGTTGTTTTTGTCATACCTGGGGTGCCCCAGTTCTGCTTCTGGGAGTGCGTGGCTCATGCACCTGGGGCTTCTCTTCTCCCATCAGTTTCTTTCTCTATTCCTCTCCCCTTCGGGTCATCCATACTTTACTTACCCCACGGCTGCTCTTCTAGGAGTTTTATTTTTTTACAAATAATACCTGCGGCTTTTATTTCAGTGATGCTTTGCCTCACTTGTTCAGAGTCCAGATTTTTCAAAACTTGCTAGGTATCTGACTGGAAAACCTGGCAAATTTTTGGTCTTGAGTACTGTGACTGTAACTTTCCCAGTACCATACAGCTGCAAAGATGTGTGTGTGGCAGTGGGGTGGGGTGGGGAGGCCAGGGCAAGTCCCAGGTCTGGCTGGACTTAGATCCCTCCGTGAACACTTACCCATTCTGGGGGTGACCCTGCCCCAGAATTCATGGGGTACTACCTGGTGGCTTAGATGGGCTGTGTGTCTCACATTCCACAGCCAGCGATTCTTCTCATATAAAGTCACATGGAGGAAGCCCTGAGACCCCAACTCTGGGTTTTTCTGATTCCTGGACATGCAGCCTCAAAGAAGACATTGTAAAGACACACACACAAAAGGTAGACATTAAAGCAAGATGGAAGTATGTTGGAGGCAGAGATGGGGTACATGCTCATTGCCTGCATGCTATTTTGCACACGTGTGTGTGTGTTTGTGTCACTCCAAGAAACCATGGGTATACAGTGTTTTGAGTAGGCCAGAGTTTTACAGCTGGACAGACCTAGAGTCTAGTTCTGCCCACGCCAACCCCCATCCCTTCCCATCGTTAACTGTGTGGGAAACAGAATAAGGGTAGTTATAAGTGTGGGTTCAGGAATTTAGTTTGCCTGGGTTCAAATTGTGCTTGCATTGCTTATATCAATGAAATCTTAGGCAAATTGTTTGGTCTCTCTCATCCTCAGTTTCCTCACCTGTAAAATGGAGATGATAATTATACTGACCTATATGGCTGTTGTGACAATCCAGTGAGATAAATATGTTTCAAGTACTTATCTCAGGGCCTGCAGTGTAAACTTGAATGAATCACAGTTGCTAGTTTCTATGCACATCTTATGAGGCCGTTAACTGTTCATAGTCCCTCTCTTTCTTCTGTAACTGTGTCTGAGAAGGGAGACTGAGAGGCCTCTGACCTGCTTAACTTCACCTTGCCACTCCGCTGATCTGATCCGAAGATATGTCACTTGCCTGTCAGAGTCCTGTGAACAGAGGACAAAATTCTTGGCACTATTTGTCCAGCCTCTTAGTGGAGATGTCAGCCACATTGCTGCTGCTTTTCCTCGCTTTCTTGGCTTCATAATTTCTGATCTAATAACTTGGCCCATTGACCTCAAATTTTGCTGTGAGAGTGGGTTTAGCAGGCTTTTCCCAGCTGCATCCTTTGCTGGAGATGTTCTCGGGCCAGGAAAGTTCTTTATTCTCTTCTCTAATGCAAGGCAGATGCCATCCACCTAAAGGATGTGAGAAAGAGACTTCGCAGTTGGGTTTCTCTTGTTCTATTGTGTGTTCAATAGTTGCTGAGGACATTGGCCATCCCTTGAGGGTCTCAGTTTAACTTATGGCACCTGAAAAGGTTTGGCTCTGTGTCCCCAACCAAATCTCGTTGTAGCTCCCATAATCCCCACGTGTTGTGGGAGGGACCCAGTGGGAGATGATTGAATCATGGGGGTGGATCTTTCCCATGTTGTTCTCTGACAGTGAATGAGTCTCACGAGATCTGATGGTTTTAAAAATGGCAGTCTCCCTGCATAAGCTCTCTCTTTTTGCCTGCTGCCATCCACGTAAGACGTGAATTGCTCCTCCTTGCCTTCAGCCACAATTGTGAGGCTTCCCCAGCCACATGGAACTGTTAGTCCAATTAAACCTCTTTCTTTTGTAAATTGCCCAGTCTTGGGGATATCTGCATCAGTAGTGTGAAAATGGACTAATACAGTGCCTAATGCTCCTGCATCCACAGGCGAGTTGGTGCAGGTGGGAGTGGGGTGGTTGGGGGTGCATTAGATCCATAGGACCTGAAGGAGCTCTCTGAAAAAGGGGCTCAGCACATGGCTCCAGGTGTGGATGGCAGGATTCCTCTCTTCTTCACTCAGACCTTCAAGGAAGAGAGGGAAAGGTGGAAGAAACTGAGAGACTCCTTGCTTCTCCAACACCAGGGGTGGATGGAACACAGGGAATACTCAGATGCCATTCTCTGCCCACCTTACCAATGGGACTGTGAGTGTAGTCATCAGGTGGTTCCACCCCGCTCAGGTGACCCTGTCACTTTGGCTACCCTTGACTGTCTCATCCCACAAGAGGCAGCATAGCGTGGTGGAATGACACAGGTTTGGCATTGGAGTGATTTGGGCTTGCATCCTGGTCTTACCCCTTATTGTCCGTGTGACATTGGGTAAGTTACTTAACCTGTCTGGATCTCAGTTTTCTCATATGAAAAATGAGGATAATGATATACACTTTGTAAGTTCATGTGAGGATTGAAGTGAAATGACACATGAATGGTGTAGATACGTAACATTCAATAAAACCGTGGTTATTAAAGATACCTGATAAGATTATTTTAACTTGCGACACTAAAGAGAAAATAAACTGAGTGGTTGAGAATGACAAGAGTCACCATATAGAATAAGCTAATTGTGTTTATAGCTGTACTATGATGTGGGCTTGGTGTTTGCTTCTAATTCTCTCCTTTCCTGAACATTGATGAAACTGATAGACAGGGGATGTCTTTGTCCTCCTTCCTGATCTCCTTTGCTGTCTTTGAGCTGGTTCTGAGGCATGCACTGATCCATTTCCACATGCTACATCTCTCCCTGCTGCTTCATGCCGGAACAGTTTCTTTCTTGCATCAGAGCTAATAAAAGAGTTACAGAGAATTCTTGGCCTCTCTGTCTTGTAATTCCAAACTTCAAAGAACAGGGTCTTCCCCAACATCATGTCTACAGCAACAGCAATCTATGTTTCTATTAGCAACTGTACGGATCCAAGCAAATACTGGCTGCACAAATCTCCTTAGGTCTGCAAAGTCCTGATCCAGCACTCAGTGAATGCTGCTGGAGCTGTTTTTTCTTTTTTTAAAATAAGCCCTTTAAATAATTATAGATTCACAGGAGTTGCAAAGATAGTACAAAGAAGATACATGTACCATTCACCCAGTTTCCCCCAGTGATTACATTTGACATACCTAGGGTACAACATCAAAACCGGAAAACTGACATGGGAACAATGTGTGTGCATTGTTCTATGTCATCGATCACATGTGCAGATTTATGTAATCTAGATACAGAATTATTCCATCACTTAGGCAATGATCTCCCTCTTGCTACCTAGCCCTTTATGGTCATGTCTACCCACTCTTCCCCCACCATTCCTAACTCTTGGCAACCACTAGTCTACTTTCCAAACTGGGATACTTTTGGGAGTAGAAGGGGATGACACCAGCCATCAATTATTATGCTAGGACAACAGGTGTAAACTGGGATATTTGGTCTCCTAATCAAATGTTTTATTTCTGGGTGTGTGGTTGGGAATGGAGTGGGGAATGAAGCTTGCAGTGAAGTTCTATAGCTTGGGATGAAACATTTTTCAAGAGCTGTCTGAGAGATTTTCCCCTTTGGGTGGAGGGAGCTTCCATTGTCCTGCTGTGTAGTATGTGCCCCAGCATCTAATCATTCTGCACTCTTGCTTGCAAGACAGTAGAATAGCTTCTGCCTTCTATAGAAGTAGCTGGAGTACAGGTTTAAGGATAATTCCTTGTTTTGCACCTACCTCAACCCACTGTGTCCTGCCCTGCACTCCCATTGCACCATGAAATTGTAATCACTCAAGTTACCACTGACTCTTCATTGCTACACCCTGTCCTTGAAAGGTTGGAATTTTCCAGAATATTGGCTCAAGCTCCTCTCTCACCCTGCACTCTCTTGCTGTGTCGTCTCACCACCCCATGTCTTTAATAATCACTTAGGGTGATGACATCCATGTTGGTTAATTTCTCAGACTACTGTTTCTGCACTGACCTGGCTTCCTGTGATGAGGCTTAGCATTTCCAGTCTGCACAGTGGCATTTATTCTAGCCTCTATACATTTGGGACTCTGGTTTAAAATTGCTTTTCTTTCTTCTCTTATCTAATCTCCCCTGCCTTGCTCCAAGTGAAGTATGGATCTAGTCTATATTTTGTACATGTAAGAAGGTTAGTGCACCAATAATCATCTGTTGAATAATCCTACTGACTTGTTTTAACTTTGTAGCATGATCAGGGAATACTCACTCTTTGATTTGCTTTTTGCATTTTAATTGATGCTATATACAAGCAGGTGCGCTGTGTTTTCTTCTAAGGATGTTCCCTTTCATTCTCAAGGCGACTGCTTTCTACTTGTCCTTTCCCACTTGTATTTCTTCTCAGTTTCCTTTTGTGCCCTAATCTTTTTTGGGGCTGGTATTTTGCTGTGGTTTTCCAAGAGGGGTACCCTGAGACAGCGGGTGACAATGAAAAATATCCCAGTATAGGAGCTACGTGTATAGAACTACATGACCTGGATCCTTCTATCCTTAATACCCAGCTCAGAAGCTAGTTCTTTGTGAAACTCTTTCTAGTTTCCCAATCAGAAATTATTTTCAGTTCTTTCAGGGTTCTTAAGCACTTCTTTTTAGCTCTGATTTTATCCTGCCTTGTGTCATAGGACACTTACATGCTGCTTTATTAGACTAACAACTCTTTGAGTACAGAGGTTTTTTTTTTTTTTTTTTTGACAGAGTTTCTCTCTTGTTGCCCAGGCTGGAGTGCAATGGCGTGATCTCAGCTTACTGCAACCATCACCTCCCAGGTTCAAGTGATTCTCCTGCCTCAGCCTCCTGAGTAGCTGAAATTGAAAGTGCCTGCCACCATGCCCAGCTAAGTTTTTGTATTTTTAGTAGAGTAGGGTTTTCACCTTGTTGGCCAGGCTGGTTTCGAACTCCTGACCTCAGGTGATCCACCTGCCTCAGCCTCCCAAAGTCCTGGGATTACAGGCATGAACCATGGTGCCTGGCTGAGACTGTGCTTTATTTTTCTTGGAGCCACCTCAATAGAATATTGTCTTGCATATGGTAGATGCTTAGGAAAGGCTTGTAAAAATAATAGTTGTGTGATCTTAGGTAAGTCACTCTTCCTCTCTGGTCATTTTTTATTTCCTTATCTATAAAATGAGGAAATACACAGGGTTGGAAAAGATGATCTTTAAAACTCCTTTCTGCTCAAGAATACTTCAAAAAAAGGTAGCTATCTCCCTTGCTAGCTCTGTGAATTCTAGAATTGTCATCTGGAACCAGTCTATGTCCCCTGGAGCCCCTAGTCTAACTTCAGAGAGAATTGTGAAGCAGAGTTCTTGTAGTACTGACAGTCTTTCTAGGCTTTATGCATGTACTACATTGTCAAAAATAAAATTTACTTCCACCCCAGACAAACCAACCAATCAAGCAAAGACTAGAAGAAAAAAGCACTCATATAAACATTCACATGCATCTACATATGCACTGCATGTATGTGAACACGCATCCCTTGTTTGTTGAAAAGAAAAGATTGCCTTATACCCAGAGAGATGATGAACAAGGAAGTAAGAGAATCAAACACATTAGTTCCCTTGCTTACTCTCTTTAGTTATTCTTTCCTCTTAGTTATTATTTATAATTTAAATATAACTATTGTTTAGGTGCAAGATATTTTTATTACAGTTTGTATGGAAGAACCTTAGCAAGAAAAAGCAATTTGCATATTTTTTCCTTAAAAAGAAAAAAA
This sequence comes from Homo sapiens, assembly GCF_000001405.40. Taxonomy (NCBI): domain Eukaryota; kingdom Metazoa; phylum Chordata; class Mammalia; order Primates; family Hominidae; genus Homo; species Homo sapiens. The sequence goes on along the minus strand of NC_000008.11, from coordinate 122,750,113 downwards.
AGAAAGAAAAGAAAAAAAATGCTCTTCCTCTAACAACATCCTACAGTCCTTCTAAAATAAACCTTTCTTCTTAATTATTCCTGAATGGACATCTCAATCTGTTTCATATGAATGTAAAACTGTTGATACTAATTAAGAAAAAGAAAAACATGAGTAATTAGGAAAAATATTAAAAGTCTTTCTTACATTTGTAGAGGGCTTTGGAGTTAAATAAAATATGCTTTGTTATGAGTTATTTTATTTAATGATTAAAACAACCTATTGGAGGAAGTGAGTGAAGTGTTATAATCCCCATTTTATAGATGAGAAAACTGAGGCTCAGAGAGATTATCTTTCACAAAGTTATGCATTTAGAAAACTGCGGAGTTCATTTATAGTTCAGGTTTTTTGGACTCTAAACCTAATGCTCCATGTTGTAGGATTCCTAATATTTGATGATATCAACAACAATTTATGTGTTCAATATAGAGCTTTACCCAAGTTTGCAGTTTCCTGGCAGAAATAATAAGCTTCATTTCATCTGATGAAAGCTTTTGTTATTATCTTCTCATGTTGTTGGTATTAATTTTAGATGAGTGATTTTTGAAAATCCATTCACATAAATATTAAGTCCTACCATGCCCTTAGCCAGGTTGTCTGGTGGGGAGCTGTGTTTCTGGTTTTAGTTAACTCAGCTATGCTGTGGTTTGCTCTATACAAAGTCAGGTTTGAACACAGGGGCAATCGATGTCTCAGGTGTGATATGGAGGATGATGTGATGGTGTCTTATTGATGAGGCAGTGGGGACAGAAGGAGAAAGAGATCATTGTATCCTTGGAAAGAATTGGGGCAGACAACCTAGAGAAAGGGGTGCTTGAACTGAGGTCTTAATTAGAAGTAATTTTTTCCCATGTGGTAGGGAGCATGGAGCAGTCATTCTAGGGAAAGGAGGTGGTGTGAGCAAATGTATGAAGGAAACACAGAGCATGGTGCATTTCAGGAGATGCAGCCTGTTGTAGCTGGGTGAAGGAGCCTGTTTCAAGTGGGGATAGGCTGATAACTATGGTTTGGCTGTGTCCCCATCCAAATCTCACCTTAAACTGTAGCTCTCGTAATTCCCACGTGTTGTGGGAGGGACTCGGTGGGAGATTCAATCATGGTGTCAGATTCCCCCATACTGTTCTCATGGTAGGGAATAAGTCTTATGAGATCTGGTGCTTTTATAATGGGAAGTTCCTTTCGCTTGGCTTTCATTCTCTCTCTTGCCTGTGGCCATGTAAGCTGTGCTTTTCACCTTCTGCCATGATTGTGAGGCCTCCCCAGCCATGTGGAACTGCGATTCCATGAAACCTCTTTTTCTTATAACTTAACCAGTCTTGGGTATGTCTTCATCAGCAGAATGAAAATGGACTACTACACTGATAATAGGGAAGGAATGAAGGCCAACCTAGTTGGTAAGAATTTACAGGGTCGTCCAGTCTGAAAGTCAGCCCAGCTCTCAGATTCTCCATCACAAAGGAGATTTATGCCAAATGTCTGGGCCAGTGGCTCTCAACCCTGGGTCCACATTAGAACTATCCCCAAGATTCTGATTCTATTGGTCTTAGGTGGGGTCTGGGCCTCCTCATTCCAAAAAAGAAAAAAGAAAAAAAAGCCCAGTTGATATAAATTAACTGTTAAGGAAAAAAATTATTTTGTCCCCTTGTTAAAACAGTAAGGAAGACTTTATTCAAGACTATTGCAATAGGGGAGAAAGATGGGGCTCAACTGTGAATACAGGAAGGACAAATGAGGATTTATAGCAAGGAGCAGCGTGCAGGGCCAGTGGATGGAAAATTATTGAAAGGAGACATCAAAGATATGGCTAAAGACAGGCCAAGGACTTAGACATCATGGGTCTGGGATGAGGAACTTGATGAGATAGCAGCCTGGGGGGCAAGAGTGAGACTCTGTCTCAGAAAAAAAAAAAAAAAAGAAGTAGCTGACTTAAAAAGAGTGCTCAGAAGTCATAATTTCCTACTCTGTACTTATGCCTTGCTCCCACTCCAGTAATAATAATAGTAATATATAATATAAAACATTATTTATAATGTAAAATATAAATAATACTTTGGATTCAAATGAAAAACCTGCCAAAGAACACAGCTGGCTTTCACTGCCATTGTTTCATCCATTCCGAGCACTGTAAGAACAGAGGCACAGCCTGTGGTGAGGCACTAGGTTTCTGAGCTTGACTGTCTTGGTTTAAAGTCTGGATTTGCCATTTACTGAACTCTTACAAGTTATGAAGACTTTCTGTGCCTCAGTTTCCTCATCTGTAAAATTAAGATAATAGTATCATTGCCCTCATAGAGTTGTATGGATCAAATGAGTTAAAACATGCAGAACCCTTAGAGAAGTACCCAGAAAATGGTCAGTATTTATTGGCTACCATTTAGACTTATAAATATGTATTATTTTCTATCACTACCATAAGCAGTTTCCACAAGCTTAATGGTAACACAGATTTAATATATTATAGTTCCGTAGAAGCCTGATATGGTCTTGCTGGGATAAAATCGAGGTGTTGACAGGGCCTCCTTTGTGGAGGCTCTGGGGAGAATCTTCTGTTGCTGTTGTCATGCCTTTTCTAGCTTCCAGAGGCTGCCTACATTCTTTGGCTCAGTGGCATTCCTCCATCTTCAGAGCCAGCCACATTGCTTTTCATTGTCCATTCTTCCATAGTCACAGTTCCTCTGATCACAGCTCAGAAAGGGTTCTCTAGCTTTTAAGAATTTATATAATTTCACTGGGCTCACCCAAAAAATTCAGGATAATGTCTCCATCTCAATGTCCTTAACTTAATCCAATCTACAAAGTCTCTTTTGCCATAAAAAGTAACATATTTATAAGGCCCAGGGAGTAGGATGTGGCTATTTAGTGGCCCATAATTCTTCCTAACGCAGGATACGTCCATAATAGAAAGTTTAACATTGTCCACTGTGATGGTTAATGGTCAACTTGACTGGGTCACAGGGTGCCCAGATATTTGTTTAAACATTATCCTTGGTGTGTCTGTGACGGTGGTTTTGGAGGAACTTAACATTTACATTGGTAGACTGAGTAAAGCAGGTCATCCTCCCTAATGTGGGCGGGCCTCATCCAATCAGTTAAAAGCCTGAGTGGAACAAAAAGGCTGACCCTCCCCTAGGTAAGAAAGAATTCCTCCTTCCTGACTGCTTGAGCTGTGACTTCGATCTTCTCCTGCCCTTGGACTGGAACTTACATCATCGGCTCTTTTGGATCTCTGGCTTATCAGCTGCAGATCTTGGGATTTTTCAGCTTACATAGTCACATAGGTCAATTCCTTGCAATCTCCTCTCTCTCTCGCTCTCTTGTTTTTCTGGAGAACCCTAACTAATACATTCATAGACACTGCAGCAATATCATTGATGTATATATTTTAACCTGTCAATCAAGGTTTTAGGAGGGCTCATTTAGTGTCAGTGCTGGGTCTGAGGAGCAAACAACACAGACCTGGTCCTTGCCCTCGTGGAGATCACAGCCTAATGGACAAGCGGACACTGAACAATTGAACATAAACTGACCTGAAATTACAGAGGGTGACCAGCAGAATGCAGGTCAGTGCTGTTAGAGAGAGTAGCAGAGTGGGAGTCGTAGAGTGGGAGTCTGAAGTCCCAGCACATATCATGAAATCTATGAGTGGAGTTGACCTGAATATAAAAAAAAGCAAAATGAAATAAAATAGAAAACCTTAGAGCACAATGGATATAATAATGGTAAACTGTGTGTTTTGGAAACTTTAGTCTGATGACACTTTCAGACCTACATCTGTGTGTGGATTGCAACGCCTGCTGTGGATCCCGTGTAACTCAGCAACAACTTTGCAAGCCAGGGTCACAGAGCCTCCACTGGTCTGGAACAGCACCATCTGGAACGCTTAGCCTCTCTGTAGATATTCTCTGGGAAAGAGGATTTTGGAGGGGTTTGTATGGTCAATTAAGTGTATGGGAATGACACACAGCATCTCACTCACTCAAGTGCAAGGGGACTGGGAACTGGATCCTGGTGTATCTTAGTGTCTATCACACACTTAGTCACACTTTGTCACCTAGGCTCCAAAGCAGTGCTATGAGGGCCCCCATGCCTCAGAAAATCCCTCATCAAGGCAGTCTTCTCATCTTCTCTTGAAGCACTTCTCTTCTTAGGGATTAGATAAGGCTTCCAGGGCAAGATCCCATGAACCTATTCCTCTTCCTGGTCATGTGTGCAATGTGCAAACAAAACCTCACATTGTGTTTTAGCCATAAAAAGCTCTGAGCTATGGTCCTGTTGGAAAAGAGTAAAAGGATGATCGAGCTCAGGGAGAGCCCTGCTGGGGCTGGCTAACATGGATCAGTTTTATGATTTGATGCCAGCAAGCTGGGTGGCTCAGAGTTGGAGACAGTGGAATAATAAATCTCTACAGTTAGAGCTTAACAAAGCATGCCTTTTAATGTAGTTAGGAGGACACTATTAAAATGGCTCACCTTGGGAACACAGACAATAGGAGGAGAGAGACTAGGGCAAGTTTGAGGGACTGGTACAATTACATAGGCAGGGAGCCATTGACTCTACCCAATGACCTTGTTAGATGGGTAATATTATCCCCAATTAACAACTGAGGAAACTGAGGCTCAGAGAGGTTTTATGATTTGCTCCAGCTCATAAAGCTTGAGAGAGACAGCGGCAGGACCAGGACTCAAGTTTGTTAAACACTAAGAACAGTGTTGTTTTCACAGAGAGGGAAGAGCCAAGTCATATGAGAAGATTAGCATAAGCCAACAAGGCCATGTGCCCATCTAGGTAGCCATGTGGCTTGCCACATTCCCAGCCCAGCCTGCCCAATGGGAGCCTCATGCTCCCTGTCCAAAGCCTCCGGAGAATGACACTTGGGAGAATAATAATCATGTCTTCTTGCATGTGGTCCTGTGAACCAGCATGACAGGTAAAGGTCATGGCTGCAGCAAGGGATTTCCCATCTGTTGATACTCAAATTCTTCAGCCAACCACTCCAAAATTGAAATGCATATTTAATAAGCTGACTCTCTGCAACAAAGCAATTTAATTCACTGATAATTATGCAGATCCACCTCTCCCTCTCAGGGTGCCAGCTTCACTCTCGGTGTCCTCAATTTGGCATATTGCAAACCCCTACATCTGTCTCAGGCATTTACATTCCCAGAGTTATGATTATTATTTTGGAAATGTCAAGAATTCAGAGTCCTGCAAAAGTATGGCCTTTCCACTAGGGCTGGCAGATAAAATGCAGGATGCCCAATTAAATTTTAATTTCATATAAACAATGAAGAATTTTTTAGTATGTCTCGAATATTGCATAGAGCATACTTTTACTAAGCGCTTGTAGGTTAAGTATTCAAATTTTATGGGGCATCTGGTATTTTTATTTGCTGATTCTGGCAACTCTATTTTGCACGCCAAATTAAGGTTTCTAATTGGTCATAGGTTTCAGCTGCATCTTTAGCTCCAGGACAGAAGGAACCTCAAGGATGTATTCTCTCTCCTCCTGAAAGAACTGAATTTGGTTACAGTGAATTTGCTTATGCTGACTTTTTTTTTTTTTTTTTTTTTGCCCCAAGCAGCAAGGTTGATTCCATGAGATGCAGACCTTAAGCAAGAGTTGACTGGCTGGGATTGAACCTGTGACTCCAGGTGGGCCAATCAGATCTGTTTCTGAGAACTAGGATTGAAAGAGGGAGACCTTGAGCAGAGTCTTTGCAAGTGGTTGGAACTGAGGTGACAGTTTGTGAGACACCCATTATCTCTCCCACACTTCCTCCTCTTTTCACTGAGCTAGACTCACTTGATTTTTGTTAATTTGAAACCAAAAACAACTTATCTAAGAAAGGGTGCTAAGCCAAGACAGTGGTTAGTAGAAGCATGAAGGAATCTTTTCTTGGGATTGCTGTGCTCATCTCTTCCCCATGCACCCAAATCCTACCTTCTTCAAGACCAAATTCAATCTCATCTTCTTCATGAAGCCCTTGTTAATGGTCCAGCACATAATAAAACATTAACTAATTTTCTCATTACCAAGGGCTTTCTCAACTGAAATTTGAGTAAGTGGAATTCCACCAGAAGAGTAGGGCTTTATGGAAATGATGAAGGAGATATTTATTTTCGAAATGTCCATATCTCTCCCCTAAAAACTCCACAGGCAGCCAATCCTTTCATTGCCTGAGGCCCCTTCTAGGCTGCACCCTGTGTGAGGTAGAACAAAGAACACTCCACTAGGATGCAGCAGATTCTCCTTCTGGTTTGACGTCCACTCTTGCCCCTTCACTTGGCATGCACCCTTGTTCCCTACCTGCTCCGGTTCTACATTGCTTCCGAGAGGACCAACAGCCTTCTCTCCAGGCTTTCCCCACTGTAACCTCCTCCATACACTACTGCAGATAAAGTCTCTGATTAACAACACCAATATACAAAGGAATGACTGCTTCAATTTATAAAGAGCTTATACAGATTAATAAAATAAGAAAATCACTACGACCCCAGTAGTCTATGCCTTACCCTCCTATAAAGTGCGCACAGAGCTCTGCCTCTCCCCCTCCTTTTTTTTTTTTTGCACATACTGTCTCTTCTGCTTGGAATCTCCTGGTCTTGCTTCTCTCTTGTTTAATCTTTAAGATGGAGCTTAAATGTCACTTCCTCTTTGAAGTCTTCCCAGGCTCTTTTCCAATCCCTCTGTTGCAGCTGAATGAGTTTTCTCCTTCTCTGTGCTCTCCTGGCACTTTGTACATTGTTGTATTATAGTATTTATCACACCATATTGTACCTATTGTCACACTTATTTGCTTACATTTCTGCCTCCTCCCACAGGCTATGAGCCCCTCAAGGGCAAGGGCAGTGTCTTTCTTGTGTATTCAGCACCCACACAATGCCAGCCATGTAGCAGATGTCCAGATTTAAAGGCTGGTCAGGATGACAGTAAATCCTCCCACTCATCCCTGCTACCCCATGGGTTCCTGGCCAAGTTGTATATAAGGAACAGCAGTCAAATGAAGAACAAAGTACGAGCTTTCACGATGATTTGCCAGTACTATAAAACCCCCAAATGAAGGTGTTTTTGGATAAAAGCTGGATAATAGATCAGAGCCTTAGATCTGAAGAAAATGTGGCCACCTTTTCTCTGTTCCTCAAGTCTAGACTGCCTGGCCATGCAGTGCCATCTCTAAGTCCACTTACCCAACCAGCTTCATGGGTAGGGATGGCCAGGTTGCATGACAAACCCAGTAATGGGCAGAGAATCAGGTACAGAGAGAAGGCTTCCTTTGGGAAGAGGTCTGTGTGTGCCGATGCAGAAAGTGAAGGGGTGCGCCAGCTCCACCCGCCAGTAAAACACAGTCTGATGATCATTCCAGGCTCTGGTCAGTTACAGGAGCTTGCCTCCTTCTCTTAGGGGGCAGCTGTCAAGAGAGTAGACAGAGGTACTAGAAATGATGAAAGTTCCTCTAATGCTATTGTAGGAGAGAAAAATCAGAGAAGGGCAGGAGGCCCTCCTCCTCCTCCTCTCCTCAAACCAGAGAAAAAATTCCCAGTGAATGGAAAGATTCTCCATGCAGTCTCCTCCTTTCCTTATGCATATCCTGTATTCCCTCCTTAAAGGATAGTCACTCCTCAAAGGAGAACTGAAATAAGATCTCCAAAGGGCCTGAGGACCAGAAATTAGAAAGACTAGTTTTTTTGCAGTTTTTTCCTTTTAAAATCTACTGGTAACTTCATAGAATCAAATCGTTTTAATCAGCCTTTAAGCAACATAAACCAGCAGGTTGCCCTAGTTCAATGATTAAAATTTGGAGATAGAGAAATTTACTGAGAAAAAAAAACCCAGAAAATATTTGACATCCTTTTCTGATTGTGGGCTCTTGGGAAGAGCCCGTGTGTTTTCAGAGATCCACATGTCCCAGATGGGCTCCTTTATGACTGGAGGCAAGCCAGGCTCCTGGAGTTGCTTGATCTATGACCTTTCCTATTAGGGAACAATACAAACCCGTTTGCACAGGCAGCAATTTGGGTGATGCTCAACCTTCTCATCGCCTCTCTCAGTAGGCAGCTTGTGTGCTGTCAGAGTATCCCCATAACACATGAATACTGTAGAACGTTTTGAAATTACAGATAAGAAAAAAAAAACAAGAAAATTAAAATGTAATTCAACCACTGAATTAGTACCACTGGCATCATTTTTAGTCATTATCTTTCTAGGACTTTGTGCGTGTACACATACATGCCTGCATGCGTGTGCGTCTAAGTATTACATTAAACTATTATTGAAACTCTTATTAGGTCATGTCATATACATTAGTTTGTGTGTGTATGTACCTGCTTTTAAAAATGACTTCACAATACGTTACAATCAGTTTTCTGTGACATTAAATATTCTTAAAATCATTTTCAGTGGCTGCTGAGTATTCCACCGTGGAGATGAAAGATGATTTAATTATCTACTCTTCTGTTGTTGGGCCTTTAGATTGTGTCCAGTTTTTCACTATTATAGAAAATTCTGGAAAGAGAAATTCTTTAGTGGTATTTTTGTGTACATCTATGATTATTCACCTAGGATAAATTCTTCCAAGTGGAATTGCTAAGTCAAAGCATTTGCAAACTCTGGAGGTTTTGTAACAGATATTTGACATCCAGCTGTGCAGTAGTTCCCTTCAGCAGTGGCCCATTTCCTTGAAATATGCCATGTCTGGGCAGTAGTGGGTCTTCAGCATTTCATTGCCTAATTGATAAGTGAAATGCCTCCTGAAAGGGTGCCCAGTTGTTTGAGCTTCAGTTACCCACAGAGATAATTCTCTCATCAGCACACCCTTGCTTGGTGTTTTTACCTCCCTGTCTCACTTCTTGCATTTCCTCATTTGTCTTCCTGGGATGACTTCCCAAATAAACTCTTTGCATCCAAATCCTTATTACAGAGTCTGATTTTGAGGGAATCAACACCAAGTTTATGGAACTCAAACGAAGACGTATGGGAACACAGTGGAGGGAGGAGCCATTCTGTCTTCATGAGCAGTGGTAGTCGTAGCAGCAGTCATTGTTAAAATAATAATGGTAATAATATTTACAAGGCAGTAACAGCATCACCACTTACTGTGTGCTTCCTGCGTGCCAGGCACAATGATAAGCTGTTCACCCCCACTGGGCCACTCTACTTTAGAACTCCACTGGGTGTGTACTATTTTATCCTATCTGATGGGTGAGGAACCCAAAGCTTAGGGGGTAAGCAACTCTCCCTAGACATGTGGTACGAAGTGGATGAGATGGGATTTGGAGTCCAACTCCAGGATCTATAATCTTAGAGAAGGACACATTTGTGCTGATGCCTTGGAGAGCAGTGTGTGGGGTCTGCCAGGTGTACAAGGAAAGAGGGACATCTTGGGCTGATGGAGGAGCTTGTTGGGGCAGTGGGTCTTGCACAGGGGCTTGGAGGGAAAAGTGGGATGTGTCAGGAAGGGTCTAGATAGAAAAGAGAATCAAAGCTGCAGCATTTGGTGAGGCCAGGCTGTGATGGATGAACTTCATTTATCCTGCTTAGAACTTTGTACTTGGAGGCATCGGATGGCACACTGTGAAGCACAGAAATGACATGCTTAGACCCGCATGGCAGAGTGGAGAGTGGAGAGGTGGCAGGGAACCCAATTAGCACGCAATTGCAATGGGCTTTGCCTCCACCCTGCCATTTTCCTAACCGCCTCAGTGGAGAGGGATCCAGGCATGCTGGCAAGTGAGCTGAGTGGCTCCCCTGGGATTATTTTTTCAGCAACTGGCTGTTCTTCATACAGATTTGCTTCGCCAGGTTTCCAAAGCAGCCCACAGACTGTCCTGATCTGTAAATAAGTTGTATCTGTCTCCGTTCACCCCCTCCCCCATTGCTCCAGGTACAGCCTTTTCTTTCTAGAATTCAGATAACCAGAGAGACGGCCTGAAGCCTCTGCTGGGGGTGGTGGGGGAGGGAGGGCATGTGGACGGGCACTGACAGTTCTGAGGATGTAGGTGGTGAAGCTGTGAGTGCCTGAGCTGTGCAGGACCTAAACAGAAGAGACCTATATGATGTGGGGAAACTGAGGCTTAGAGACACAAGCCTGGGTCTCCTGACTCCTTTAACTTACACAGCTTGCCAGAGGCCCATCTCTTTAGCTATTCCTGTTGCCTAAAAATGCATTTATTCCAGGGAGTCACTTGAACACTCCCTACTTCCTTCAAATCTTTGCTTAAAATCTGCCCTTTTCAACGAGACCTACCAAGACGACGCATTTAATATTGCAATCTGGTCCTCCCTAACCCTCATTTTGTTCTCTCTTTTGCGTTAGCATTTATCACCTTCTAATATACAATGTCATTAACTTGCCATTTTTACCCCTGCCCTGCTTTCCTCAAGGACAAGGTCTATGTTCACTTTGTTCCCTGATCCCAAGTTTCTAGAGGTGCCTGGCAATAGCATATGCTCAATAATTATTTGTTGGACTAACCATAGTGCTTGTCTTTCTCTTCTTGGCTGACTTTAATGGCAATTTGCAATTAGTCTCCCTGATACAAAATGTTAAGAGTGGTGTAAATATGACAAAGACATGGTGATAGTGATAATTTTAAACTCAGGGCCACAGTCAAATTGCTAAGGAAGAACTTGAGAGCCTGCTCATCCATTCTTAAACATTTAACAAATCACCTCTCTGAAAACATCCGTCTAAGCTTCAGCATTCTAGACAGCTCCTCTGTCCAATAGAAATATAATACAAGGACACACACATACTTTTAAATGTTCTAGTAGCTACATTAAATGAGTAAAAATAAACAGGTGAAATTAATTTTAATAATCCATTTCATTGAATCCATCATAGCCAAATATTATCATTTCAACGTATAATCACTGTAAACATAATTAACGAGTTTTTACATTCTTTTTTTTTCTCCCTAAGTCTTTGAAATCCAGTGTGTATTTTACGCTTCCAGCACATCTCGATTTGGACTCACCACACTCTAAGTGCTGGGCAGTCACAGAAACCAGTGGCGTCCATACTGGACAGGGCAGTTCTGGAGGGGAAGACATGGCCTTTTTCTTCTAGCGGCTTCTATGTGAGCCAGTGGCAGGAGCACGTGGTAAGTTCAGGAGCAGAGGTGGGAACTGGGTACCAAGAGAAGACCAAGGCAGATGGGATTAGTTCTGTCTGAAGGGAGAGAAATTGGCAAAGATGTGAAAAATCAGGTGTTTATTTTAACATCATTTACTATCTGGTGACAAATTGAAGGGCTCATGAATGGAAAAGAACTTGGGGTAACTATGGTTCAACCTCCTTGTTTTATAGGTAGGGATGCTGAGATACAGAAAGGGGAAAAATCAGGTTTCTGTATCTGAAAACATCCGTCTAGGCTTCAGCATTCTAGACAGCTCTGTCCAATAGAAATACAATACAAGGACACACACATACTTTTAAATGTTCTAGTAGCTACATTAAATGAGTAAAAATAAACAGGTGAAATTAATTTTAATAATTCATTTCATTGAATGAAATGAATCCCCTTTCAGATACAGAAAGGGGAAAAATACAGAAAGGGGAGGTGGACTAGCTCAGGGTCACACAGCAAGTCAATTTCCTTCTCTGTAAAATGACAAAGCCCCTGTTCCACCCTCTCTTCAGAATTCTTGTTGGAACAAATGGGATTATAAACAGGATGTGTCTTGCATGGAAGAAAGTCTTTTTCTTCCATGCTAAAGTACATGTTAGCGCATGGCTAAAAATGTAATTTCCAAAGGGACTCTTTCTGAGGGGGTGTGGGCCTCAAGTTTCCCCATGTGTCACATGCTTCAGGGCTAAAGAGGCCTTGCTGAAGTCTATGCACTGCCACAAGCTGTGTGTGTTGTGGGTTCACGTCTTTGCTGGTCCCAGTGCCTCCTCCGTATAGAAAGCCCGAGTGCAGAGTCTCCTGGGAGGGGAAGGAAGTGGGTTTGAAGACAGGGAGATTAGGGTTTGCATGATTAGGCTCAGCCACTAATTGCCTGAATGATGTTGGGCCAATCCCTCACTCTCTTTAAGCCTCAGTTTTCTTATCTGTAAAATGGGAGTAACCACAAGGCATGTGCCAGGTTCTTGTTGTGAAGGCTCATAAAGGTAGCTCATGGGAGATGCTCACAAACATTTTTATTCCACCACCCCTTCCAGCCCCAGCTTTTGATATGGCCATTCACCCATTGCACCCTCCAGTGTGCCTGGCACCAGGCTGAGTGATTTGTAACACTACCCCTGAAAATTCTCATACAATCACTTCTGTTAGGTGATTGAGAGGTGTAGGTGGAAGACATGGGAGATTGGCGAGAACCACGTGAAAATCTGCCTTTTCCAAATCAGCCCAGGTGTGACCTCTCACAATTTTCCCTCCTCAATCATTTCCCTCCATGGCAACTGGCAGGGTAGGCAGGGGCTTGTGGGCCCCACATATTCCATTTTTTCCATTCCAGTTTCCTGCTGAAACTTCTTGTGCAGGAATTGCCCCAAGAGACAACAGGAGCCAAACTACCTTATGGAGTAGTGGCAGGAATTCACAGGGTGTCACACTCACCTGACGAGATTTCAGAGGGCGCCCTGGCCACGCCTCTTGGCACTCTGTCAAATCAACTTTCTCCTTATTTCTATTCATTGCAGAAATGTGAAAATTCAAAGCTAGAGTAAAATAAACAATGATAATACAGCCAAGATTGTTAAGAATAATATCTGTATATTTCTACATGTAGATGGAGATTTAAAACATGGTGTTGGATTATACTCACTTGTGAAAGTTGCTTTATTTCTATATAATGTATGACTATCACCTTTCTTTTGGTCCATAAATATTCATTTGAAAGTTATTTAACAGCTGAGTGGAATTCTCTATTATGACTATACCCTATTACTGGACGATGAGTTCAGGACTGAGGTTTTATTGTTAGAAAGCAAAGCTTTCATGCAAGTCCCTGTCAGCTCAGCCTTTGTGCATGGGCTTAATTCTTTCTTCAACTTAAATTCCTGCATTGAAATAGATGAATAAAAAGTTACACAATAAAAACTCTTAAATAAGAAAATTGTACTTAAAAAAGTATAAAAAAAGTAGGCATGCATGATTTCTATAGTGACAGTCCCCTTACTCTCTCTGCCTCTCCAAGCCATCCCTGGAGCACTGGTAACATTCTGTTGGGTATCCCTTCAAAACTTTTCTAGATTCAGCCAAGCATCCTTGTACACAAACCCCACGTGCCTTACACACACACGTAAATATTGCTTCAAGCTTTTGATGTGTAATGTCAGGTTCTGTTCCATAAAGATCTTTCTTCCCTTTAAATCTCCACTTGTTTCTGTCTTGTGACCCTGCTGCAGAGCCTTCATGCCAGCTGCTATGGGATTTTTGGCACGTCCATCCTTTTGGAGCTGTCTGAGGCCAGGCAGATAAGGTTTGGATTGTGAAGTCTCTGCATTGTGGTGTATGTTGGGAGCAAAGCTCATTCCTGATTCTGCTTTGGCTTTTGACCCAGCCCAATCTTTCCCAAGGACGGAAAGGTATGGAGAGATTTAAAGACCATCCTGGCTCCCTTGAAGAACATAATATACCACTCCCAACTTTGGCAAAGCTTCATGCCTCTTTGTCATAAAGCTCATGTGCAAGAAAAGAAAAACAGAAGGAGAAAAATACTATTTTGTCCCATAGCCTAACACGGTAAGGGCTGGACCTAGGGCAGAGGCAGGGAGCTCTGTGGCCAAGACTGCTGAGAAGGTTATCATATAACTTACTGTCCAAGTGGGACACTTCTGGGAATGAAGTGGAGAGCTAATAATGTGTATACTGGGACAGCAGGCACAAGCCAGATATCTGGTTACTCTTCCTTATGAGGGATGTCTTCAGCTTATAGGAGACACAGGTGGGGTGCAGTTGATGGGGGCACCAGGTTGGAATCAGAAAGCCTGGATTGAAGGTCCTGCCTCTTGTGGTTGCTGAGATCTGAGACAGTCACTTCACACCTAGAGCCTGTTTTCTCCTCTGCAAAGTGAGGGGTAAAACTGTTTACCTTACGGAGCTGACATAGAGAGTAAGTAGGATGTGGAGCTTTGTAAAGTGTGATTTGCTGTGTATGTGCTAGGTATTGGGGAACAAATTCCTTCAGCCTCATTAGTGAACCCATAGAAAGGTCTTGTGGAAAGAGCCTGCTTAAGGTAACAACAGGGAGTTAAACTAATAATATTGCCTTCAACCACATTCCAGTACTCCAAAGAAGGAGCAAACCCTCGTATGAACCCAAGATAGAGATAAAGTGGGTGTTGTGGGCTGAGTGGCGACACTCTAACATTCATGCCCACCTTGAACTTCAGATTGTGGCCTTATTTGGTGCTCTGGTCTGAATATTTATGTTTCTCTAAAATGCATGTGTTGAAATCGAATCCCCAATATGTTGGCTTTAAGGGGTAAGGCCTTTGGAGGTGACTAGGACGTGAAGGTGGAACCCTCGTGAATGGAATCATTTCCCTTATAAAAGAGGCCTGGGGAAGCTTTTTCACCACTTCAGCCATGTGAGGACCCAGCAAGAAGGTGCCATATTTGAAGCAGAGAGCTAGCCTCATCAGGTGCCAAATTGACTAGAGCCTTGCCTTCAGAACTGTGAGCAACAGATTCTGGTTGTTTATAAATTACCCAATAGAAGGTATTTTGTTATAGCAGCCTGAACAGACTAAGACATTTGGAAATAGGATCTTGCAGATATAATTAAGATAAAGATTGAGAGGAGATCATGCTGGATTAGGGTGGTCTAAGATTACTCAACGCGAGGGTCCTTAGACGAAGAGGAGAGGACACACACAGGGAGAGGGAGGAAGGCCCTGTGCAGATGGAGGCAGAAATTAGAGAGATGCTGCCACAAGCCAAGAAATGCCAGGAGCCTCCAAAAGCCGGAAGAGGCAGGGAATTATCTGCTCTAGATCCCTGGAGGGTGCAAGGCTCTGCTGACTCCTTGATTTCAGACTTCTGCCTCCGGGATTGGGAGATGATAAATTTCTGTTGTTTTTAGCTACATTTGCTGCTGGTCATGTCATTACTGGATATTAGCAAAGGTGTGTGCCTTAGCAAAGGCCCAGAATCTTCAAGTAGAAGGTTTAAAATTCACCATCGGCCAGGTGCAGTGGCTCATGCCTGTAATCCCAGCACTTTGGGAGACTGAGGCGGGCAGATCACTTGAGGTCAGGAGTTCAAGACCAGCCTGGCCAACACAGTGAAACCCCGTCTCTACTAAAAATACAAAAATTAGCCGGGCATGGTGGTGCATGCCTGTAGTCCCAGATACTCAGGAGGCTGAGGCATGGGAATCACTTGAACCCGGGAGGCAGAGGTTGTGGTGAGCCGAGATCACGCCGCTGCCCTCCAGCCTGGGCAACAGAGTGAGACTCCGTCTCAAAATAAAAACAAAACTCACCATCGAAGGCAGGAAATATGTGGCAGTCTTTGATATACATAACAGGTGTCAGACTTGAAAGGGGTGTGAGATACACACACGTACACACTTGCACACCCCTTTCTTTACCAAATATGAGAGTCCTCTGCTTCCTCATCCTCATTACCGGCAGGCTTTAATTGCTGGGAACCTCTCTATTGCTGTCCTGGGTGGGCAGAGATTGTTTCCGCAGGTCTTTTGCTCTACTTTGCTCAGTGAAATCCTTCAAATTGGATTCCCATTTCTCTTAATCACAAATAGTGCTGCAAAAAGGGCCCTGAGAGTTTAAGGAGCAATGTGATGTAGAAAAAAATATACTGGCTCTGAAGCCAGAAGACTAAGACTTCTTCAAGGTCACACACCGAGCACGCAGCCCTGAATACGCCTTTCCCTGTTTTGATGAAAGTTACACATACGGGTGCTCAAACCCTACTTAATCGACAAATTGATGTGTGTCCCTGGAATTGTTTGTGCAGCCAACTGCATATGAATCCGAGAGAGGCGAGGGCGTTAGAAGGGCGAGCGTCTGGGATATTTTAATATTCAGTATTTTCAGACTCAGCAGGCAGCAGGCTAAATCTGTCTGCTGATGGGCAGGCATGAATTATGAAACCACTCGCGCAGGTTGAGAGGTTACACTGAGCTGGGGAGGTTCCGCCACCAGTGTCTGCTCAAAGTGGTTGGGGGATGGGGTACTTCCCACTTAGGAGGGAAGGGGGGAATATGAACAGGTGAGTGGCCACAGTGGGGCTGAGACCCGTAGACAGTGGGACCAGCGGGGGCTTCCCAAATCCTGGGCCCTCAGACTGCAGGATCAGAAGAGGGAAAAAACCCCATAGGACCGGCTCAGCTTCCCGAGGCTGGAGGGTGAGGCTGCCCCCTAGTGGCTGAAGTTCACGACCGGACGGACGTTCAAGGAGTCCCGGGCGTTCCAATGCTTTCTCCCAGGAAGTGGGCTCTGCAGGCTGGAGTTGCCCTAGTGTCAGGGTGAAGGCTGGGAGCCAACGTCTAATCATCAAGGTGATGGAACTCTGAGGGCTGAAGGTAAGATAGGAGGGGGTGGCAGTGGAAGATTGTGTGTAATGGCCAGGGGAGAGAATAAAGAAGCCGAGACTCTGTAGTAATACTTGACAACAGCAGCTCATTAAGTATAACTACTTATTGATGTTCTGTTTGTATCTGACATGGCGCTAAGCATCTCACATATTTTCTCAATTTATCACAACAACCTATTCATTAGATATAATTACTTTCAAATATACAGATGAGAGGCAATGTAAATAATCAGTATCATCATTACAATGTGTGTGGTAGTTTATAGCTATGTAATACTGTTGCATAGGCACTTGAGAAGCATAATCTCTTTCAGTCTTTACGCTTGTTTTTCTGAGGTAGGCTGTATTATTCCTGTTTTTATTATTTCTGTCTTATCATTGAAGAAACTGAGGCTTAGAGAGGGTGTATATCAGTTAGCTTTCGCAATGTAGCAAATCATCCTTCAAATTTAGTGGCTTGAAACAATAGTTACTTATTCAGTTTGTAATGCAGTGAGTTGGCAATTTGGGCTGGGTTCAGCTGGGTGGTTCTTCTGGTCTCAGCTGGTGTGGTGAGACCACTATACCTCGATGGTCAGATGCTGGTCAGCTAGGTGATTCTGCTTCAAGGGATTGGTTAGTTGTGGGCTGGGGTAATGGGTGGAGACTGGTCCACGTGTTTCTCATCTAGCAGGCTAGACTAGGCTTGTAGCTGGAAGGAGTCTGAGAGAGAGAATGGAAACATGCAATATCTCTTGAGGTCCAGGATCAAAACTAGTACAATGCCACTTCTACTCAACTATTGGCCAAGGCAGGTCACATGACTAGTACAGATTTAAGGGGTTAGGAATATAGACTCCACCTGCTGATGGGAGGAGCTGTAAAATCACATAGCAAAGAGTGTGGTTATAGGAAGGGGTGGTGAACTGGGGCCAGTTTTGCCATTTATCACTGAGTGGCTGTGGGGAGTAGAGGACGGCTCCCAGGCAGAAAGAACAGAATGTACAAAGACCGCCCCCAAGACTCTAGGCAGGAAAGAACACGTATAAGCTGGCATGCCTGAAATACAAAAGAGGAGACAGTAGGAGAAGTAGGGGTGAAGTGCTGTTCTTAGAACTTCGTATGGGTTAACTCACTTAATTCTCACAACAACTCCATGAGGCAAACAGTATGAATTTTATTCCCTTTCTAGGAGGGAAAGCTGAGGCATGGAGAGGATGAACAATACCCTAAGTCATACAGCTAGAAAGCAGCAGCATCAGATTCCAACCCTGGGAGCCTAGCCCCAAAGCCCATACCAAAAACCACTTGTTACACTTTTGGCACCACGGCAGGTGCCAATAAAGAACATGGGAAGAAAAGGTTCTTGGTGTAGAGTTTGGGGTCCGAATGTTGAAACTACTTTCCTTAGAGGCTTAAAGACAATAAGGTGGAGATTCCCTGCCACCTGTTTGCCCAAGATTGGGACTGCTTATTCCTGCTTAAATGTAGAAAGGAACTAGGAGAACTCTTGTGTTTCCTTCTGGCTCTGTGACCCTACAAATTGGTGCACAATAGTGTCAGGTGTATTCACTAGGATCCTGTTGGTCTTAAGAAACAAACTGACTCAGTGTAGCTCAAGTTTTAAAGGAGGTGTCCTTAGTGCCTTACTGGGTGAGCTCAGAGAATTAGAGGATCTCAGGAAGGGCAGGAACTAAACGAGATCCCAGGACTTCACTGGTAGTAGTTTGTGGGCTCACTTTCTGGGTTGTAGCAAGCCAGCTGAGTCAATTCTAAAGACTTCCCATCACTACATCTCCTTGTTCAAGTCTTAACTTTCCATGATAGAGAATATGCCACAACTTGGGTCACATGTTTTTATGCTGGGCCAATTGAACCTGGCCAGGGGAACGGGTTCATGAGTATAACCAAGGCCACTGGGGGAATCACTATGAAGCCATCCTACTCGGGGTCTATTGCTTGGTGGTGGGATGAGTTGTAAGCACCACTACCTACACCCACCTGGACAGTTCCAAGGATGCATCTATTTCTAAAGCAAAGGAGTAGATTTTCTTCTCCCAAGGATCCCAAAGTTCCAGAGATTCTGACCAAACTCATATCCAGCAGCTTTGTTGCAGATACAAATTCTCAGCCAGGGAATTTGGATATAGTTTTATTAATTACATTTTTTGAGTTCAGCAAATAGCTTTCATTAAATTATAACAATACAAGGCAGACAATATATAAGCCCAAACAATTGTACTGTGCAAAGCTTGCATTTATGAGATAGTGCTAGTCAATCCTGACTTCCTAAAAGATCAGGGTTGTAAAATATTTATTAGCAGTTCAAAGACATGTCTTTTTCAAATCCAGTATCTTCTTTAGGATAGATATGAGGGCAGACAGCTCTATTTGTTGATTTCACAGCATGATGTTCTTTGGATGGTTCAAAGGTGCTTCCTTGTGTTTCCAGAGAGATGGAGCTGGGTTCCGTAGATTAACAGTTCCTTTTGTAAGCTTCATGTGTGATTTGCCCCCAGATTGAAAAGTCCGCTTGCACAGATTAAATAAAATCCATGATTTTCAAAAATATATTTTGACTACTTAAATTTCTAGAAGAAAGCTTCCTATATACCAGCACAATTGTCTTGCACCTAAATGCTTTATAACACTGATCATTCTGATTCTTGACATAGATACAATAATTGTGGAAATGTAATCTATTTGGAGAGTTTTGGGGTTGGAAATTTAAGACTCAGATACTCAGCAGGCATGACTTTGCCACCAATCAATTCATTATGTGACCTTGGACGAACACCCCAGAATTGCTATACTTTCTTCTATTTCAATATATAAAACTGGGATTGGTAAATACCAGTTAGGAATGTGTTCAGCTACAAATAATGGAACACCTTTTAGGGGTCTATTTTTCTAACACAACTAGTCAAGATGCAGGAAATGTAGAATTGGTGTAATAATCAGAGGATGTTATTTAGGACCCAAGATTCTTCTCTATTCCTGTGATCAGCCTGTGGTTTTGTCCTTATGGTGGCAAGATGGCCGCTGCACCTTCAAATAGGAGGAAGAGGAAGGGTCATAGGTCAAAGGAAATGCTAGCTGAGTCTGTTTCTCCAATTTTTAGGGAAGCAACAGATTTCCTGGAAGATACCCCTCTGCTTCCCAAATAGTCTTCTCCTTACATTTCATCTGCCAGAACTGAAATGTGCCCACCCTAACTGCGAAGGTGTCTGGGGAGGTGATCTTGTTTTCTGGGCATATTGTAGCCCTGAAATTAAGGGCTTATTGGTAAATAATGAAAAATAAATGTTTTATAGGAACCTAACAGCGTCCTTTTCTGTCCCAAAAGGGTAGATGAAAGCTATTATTTATTGGTCTTCTACCAGTTGGCAAGCATTGTGCTAAGCCTTTTCCACCAATTATGTCAAATTTAATTTCTAACACACACACACACACACACACACACACACACACACATATATGGTAAGTGTGAACTTTATTTTATAGAGATGAAGAAACTAAAACTCAAGAGATTAGGTAAATTGCTCAAGGTTACAGAGTGGGATGAATTAAAAATATCTCCTAACTCTACTGGGTTCAGAAAGGCTGGAGGAGGTTTTGAGTTACTTTGAATATTTTCTGTTGGCCTCTTGGGGAGGATCTTAATTTTCTTTTCTTTTCTTTTTTTTTTAACTCTATATGCCTGAAGCAGGGATGGATGTGGGGGTAAGTGTAGAGCTCCCAGAGGCCCAGGGCCTCCCTCTGAATGCCCACTGTGATGCTGAGGGGCTCTGGCCTGTGCTTCCTTAAGGATGCCACCAATCCTTCCTAGATTTCCCAGAGTTGTAGTGGTCTGCCTCCCCTTAAGGGTCCTCCTATGCTTGAGCCAGATCCCTTCCTCACTGTCGGCCCCATTACAAACTTCATGTAGGTCAACTGCGGTGATTTGAGGGAAATGGAGCAGGACTCAACTGCCCCCCAACTCTCAGGAGCAAATAACATAAAGAGCCATGCTGCAAGTAGTCAAGGATGCAGTGTTGAGAGGTGATTGCTGCCTTTGAATCACCCTTTGCCGCTTGTTGGCCATGTGACTTGCCGGTTACTGGATGACTCCTCATCTCAGTTTCCTCATCTGTAAAATGGGCCTTAACAACAGTACCTCTGTCATTGAGTTGTTGAGAGGATGAACACGTGTAAAATACTTACAACAATGCTACCTACCACATAGCTAACACCCGTGAGTGCTTAATCAGTCTTGCTGAATGTCCTCTTTTAGACATCTTTTTGATCTACTCGATTTTATACATTCATTCTTTCGAATCTTGAGAGCCAAATTTCTTGGGTTGTTCTTTTTCTTTTCTTTTCTTTCCCTTTTTTTTTTTTTTTTGAGATGGAGTCTTGCTCTATTGCCCAGGCTGGAGTGCAATGGCACGATCTCAGCTCACTGCAACCTCCGCTTCCTGGGTTCAAGCAATTCTCCCGCCTCAGCCTCCCAAGTAGCTGGGATTATGGGCACCCACCATCACACCCAGCTAATTTTTTTTGTATTTTTATAGAGACGGGGTTTCATCATGTTGGCCAGGCTGGTCTTGAACTTCTGATCTCCAGTGATCCACCCACCTGGGCCTCCCAAAGTGCTGGGATTACAGGCCTGAGCCACTGCACCAGGCCTGGGTTGTTCTTAGGTGACTGTTTGATTTTAGTGAATACTGTACTTGTCAATAATTGCCTTTGGTTCTAGCTGTTAATACAAAACAAGAAAAAGGATAGCTAATATTTGTTGAGCTCTTATTTTTCTGCTTTTCTAAAATACGGGTTAACAGGACAGTATGAGTTGAGCCTCCTAGAGTTGTGCAATATGGTGGCCCTTGCATTAGTCAACTTGGGAGTGATGGGTTGGTAAATAGCAAAGATCACTTTGTTTTCATCACTGTTGAAGCTAAGCCTGCAGTTTTAAATACGCTGTTTTCTTTGGCACCAGTTTTACTTTCTTCCAGGCCCATGAAAGCCTCCTTCAACCTTCAATGTGATGTTCTTCTGTCTTTCCTCAGCATGCAGCCCCTGCCCAGCAAAACACCATCTGGGGACATGAGGCCAAAGCACCCATATTCTGGTCCCACTTCTAGCACTGCCTTGTGCCATGACATGGGGCAAGTCAATCCCCCATTTTGGGCTTCAGCTTCCCCTTCTAAGAGATGATTCCTAGGGCCTCTTCCAGCTCTCCTTATTTTCCGATACTCACTAAAAGACGCTCTATGACTTTGGGAGCACACGGTGCTTGGGAGATTTTGGTTTTGAAGTTTTCCTTCTGAGGATTGCTTTAATTTATTGGGCATCTTGTTGCTGAAAAATACAATCAAGAAAGAAAACACACAAATGCCTTTTCCTTCTACAAATGTGATGCTTAAATAAAATTCAGTTCCATGGAGCAAACACAGGGGAGTATAAATGGATAGGGTTTCTCTTGTCTTTGAGCAGTCCCAGAGGAGGCTGTAAGCAGCAGGATATCCCTTCAACCAGATGGGCTGCCGAGCTTAGAGAGCCAAGCAGTCACAGAGAAGAGAGAAATGACTTGTGGAAATAAGGAAAGGCTGGTTACCGTGATGTCAGTTTATTCTCACAGCTGAATATAGTCAGTCTGGAAGCCAGAAAGAAGATGAAGATTAACTACGCTGAGAGGCTCTCAAACTCGAGCTGATGGGCATGATGTTCCAAGTCACAGTCCAGTGTCTGATAGGAATATGGCCCATTGAGTTAACTTTGGATGTGAGACATCCTTGAGAGCAGGACTAGGCTCAGGAAACATTGACAGGGTTAGATGACACTCCACCCCCCTTTGGTGGTTTTGTCCCATTTTTCTTGGTGCCATGAACAGCTTGGGATATCTACGGTTTCTTGCTGCCTACAGAGCCCTCTCCTATCATGTCTCACCCAGACCAGCCTTGTCTTATCCAGTGACACCCTATTTTTAGATTTTTTTTTCTTTCCCCTTTCTCTTATCTTCAATCTTATTAAAATTTTACTTGGGGGAGAGAATGATGAGGGTAGAAAGAGTCATTGTCTTTGGACTCAGGCAGTCTTCAGTGGAAATCTTGGCTCCTTTGTTCATGACAATGAGAACTTAGGCCAGTTCTTTGGTTATCCTGTTTTCTTGCCTTTGAGATGGGTACAGTAAAATCTAACATACAGCATTGTTGACAGAATTGGATGAGATACAAAGCTTATCTAAACAAACAGAAAACAAGACACACACACAAGAAATGCTATTTCTTCCTTCCTGTCCCATCTTATAGCTCCTGCACATTAGCATCTGGAGAACTTAAAAATGTACTGATGCCTGGGATCTGCCTCATCACCTGCTGGGAACTGGTCATCTTTAAAAGCTCCTCAGATGACACTGCAGGCTGGGCCAAGACACGCTGCCCTCAGGAATTGCTGATTAAGAGTTTGCTCCTCTACTCTCAACACCGTTTCTATTCCCATCCCCTTGGATTTGATTCCCAAAGTCAATCTATCTTCTTTATTTCAATCGGACAAACAGTAGGTGCACCAGATCCCTTCCCTCTGCCTGAATATTTGTTTTCCTTGGCACCTTGACAAGAGTAGGGCCATCTTCTCTAAGAGGAGGGAAAGGATGAATAAAGTTTTACTGAAATGTTGTGGCAGAGATCTTTGGTGTAGAATGAGATGTTCTCTGGCACACTGGTGGAGAACCAGAGGGCCCAGGTAGTACCAGTGAGCCAGTTGGCCAGATTTCCTGTCTTCTTTCAGCAATGCTGAGGCAGGAAAACAGGCTGAAAAGCACTTGGTAAATTTAGAAATCAGGGAATTGGTGATTCCAATGTGCAATGGACAGCTAGGGTATGCCAGACCATGAGGTGTGGTCTGGGAAGGGAGACAGGTGTTTAGGGCTGAAATCAGTTCCTGAAATGGCTGACAATGAGCTACTCCTCCTGCCTCCTAGTTACATCTTGCAGGAGACCTTTGAACTATATCCTCTTAGCCCAGCCCAGAGGTTATCTACAGACAATTCCCTTCCAACCCAAAGCTTCTGGTGTCTCTCTGCCTGAAGGTGTTCTGTGGCCATGGGCATTTGGTCCTCACATGGGGCAGGCTGGAAGTATCAGGAAGTTAATGGGTTTGTTTCTATCTTCATTACGGAGGGATGACAGTGGGTGGATGTATTAGCCGGGGTTCTCTAGAGGGACAGAACTAATAGGATAGATGCATATATAAGGGGGAGTTTATTAAGGAGTATTAACTCACATGATCACAAGGTCCCACAATAGGCCATCTGCAAGCTGAGGAGCAAGGAAGCCAGTCTGAGCCCCAAAGCTGAAGAACCTGGAGTCTAGTGTTCGAGGGCAGGAAGTATCCAGCATGGGAGAAAGATGTAGGCCAGAAGAATAAACCAGTCTAGTCTTCCCATGTTCTTCTGCCTGCTTTTATTCTGGCTGCACTGGCAGCTGATTAGATGGTGCCCACCCAGATTGAGGGTGGGTCTGCCTTTCCCAGTCCACTGACTCAAATGTTAATCTCCCTTGGCAACACCCTCATAGACACACCCAGGAACCATACTTTGCATCCTTCAATCCAATCAAGTTGATGGTCAATATTAACCATCACAGTGGATGAACACCCGACTTACTTGTTTCTTGGAGGGACAGTCCTGAGGCATGTTCCACACAGTTTCTCAGAGGTCTCCTATGTGGCCAAGCCCTAGATGCCCAGTGATAGCACATCCACGTGCCCTTTTGCTGGCTTTCCTCTGTCCCCTGCCTCATTCCCTGCTTCCTGTGCATCCTGGTATCACCTTGAAAATAAGCTACTTGGACTCAAATCTTTGTCTTAGGGTCCATCTCTATGGGAAAATACCCACCTTTCATCAGCCTTTACTTACTCAGGGGTTTTTGCATCTCTCTTCATACATCTGCCTTGTGAGATGGACCCGCCAGTGTTCGCTGAGGGGATACATTACAGAGTTCCCCACCTTATATGTGTCTTCATTGTTGAACACACATCTTTCACAGTGAGGGCAGTGCTTTCCAATCTGCAGGTTGTGACCCACTGTGGATTTAAAAATCCACTTACTAAAAATGAAAGGAAATGGATGTGTGTCAGACTGTATTATACATTGCAAGGCGCATATTGTTATATGAAAATTTCATTTCAGTCGTGTGTATAGATGCTCACATGTTGGTGAAATATATTTCTTAACGTGCAACACGGTCAAAAATTTTGGAAGCCACGCTTTAGTGGGTCTCTGTGTTTTTTTAAATCCCAGAATCCATTCTTCCCTTTCCCTCTGGTAACAGCACCTCAGTATTCCTTTCAACAAGGAAAAAAGCCTGTGTTCCTCATTCCGCAGTCTTGATTGGACTGTCAATCATGGTGTTCTGTTGTTCCTTGGTCAAAAGATGATCACATGACTCATGATAGGTCAGTCAGGTGATTGCTCTAGGGAACCAGAAGGAGAAACACAAGGGCTGAAAAGAGTTGAAGATGCTTCATTCAAAAGGGATGTCTGGAAGACAGTATCTATTTTTTCCCCTGCTCCCCGGATCCTTGAACTTCTTTGATTTTTTCTCCCTGTCAACATCTGGTGGTTCAGTTGTTGGGTGGCTTCCACAAAATGCCTGTGGACTACTGCTTTATTTCCCCATCCTTAGGAAGGTAGAGCTGTTTTCTGTTTCTAGAAATCAAAGAACCTTCCCATGTATGAGGGCTTTGGAGTTAGTTGATCCTGACTCTACTACTTCCTGGCAGTGTTGATCCTGACTTTACTACTTCCTGGCTGTGGAAAATTACTTAACCTTTGCAAGCTTCAGGTTCCTCTCTTGTAAAATGGGGATAGAAATGCCAGGCTGAAGGTTATGGATGATGTTTATGTAGCCATTGGCCCTAGACGTTCAACTGATGGCGGCCACTATTCTGGGCCATATCTTATTCATCTTTGTTTTACTAGTGATTACTTTTTACTTATTTTCCATACCTATGTGGAAAATTAATGAATTCTCATGACAATGTGGATTTTTACAACTAAAACCCACAGTTAAATTTGTTTAGATATTTACAACCCCTTGGTTATTACACATGTGATTTATTGTTCAAAAACATAAGAAAATATCCATGGTGTGAGGTTAGACAAAAGAGTTCTTACACATAATAACAAAAGCACAATCCATAAAAGAAAAAAATCAATATATTGGACATAATCAAAATAAAAACTTATGCTCTGTGAGAGACAATATTAAGAGAATAAAAATCAAGCTACAGACTAGGAGAAAATATTTGCACATCATATAGCTAACAAAGGACTTCTATCTAGAATATCAAAACACTTTCAAAACTCAGAAAATATATAACCTAATTAAAAATAGGTGAAAGATTTAGAGATATAATCAAAGAGAACATATGGGGGACAAAAAAGCATATTAAAGATGCTCAAAATCATTAGTTATTAGGGAAAAGTGATTTAAAGCCATAATGAGATACAACTACCTACCTATCAGAATGGCTAAAATAAATAATACTGATACTACCAAGTGCTAACAAGGATACAGAGCAGATGAAACTCTCACATGTTACTGGTGGGAATAAAAAATAAGTCAATTGCTCTGGAAGACAACTTGATAATTTCTTATAAAGTAAAAGATACATTTGCCATATGACCCAGCAATCCTATTCCTGGTTATTTACCCTAAAGAAGTGAATACTTATGTTCACAGAAAAACCTGTACACATATTCATAGCAACTCTACTTATAATCATCCCAAGCAATTTAAATGTCCTCCAGCAGGTGAATGGATAAACTGTGGTATGTACACCAAGTAATGCTACTCAGTAATAAAAAGGAATGAACTATGGATGCCCACAGTAAACTTGCAGGAATATCAAAAGCATATGCTGAGTGAAGGAAGCCTGCCTCAAAACATTGCATAGTGTATGATCCCATTTGTATGGAACAGATCAGGGATTAGACATCAGGGGATGAGGGGATTAGGGGAAGGTGGAAGGTTTGACTGTAAAAAGATAGCACAAGAGAATTCTTTGGGATGATGGAACTGCTCTGTATCCTGATTATGATGGAGGTTATATGAATCTACATGTATTAAAATTCATAGAACTATACATCAATATGTCAATTTTCCTACATGGTAATTTAAAAACCCTTTTCATTATGTAGAGTCGTTTGTTGGTTATGTGGAGTCCTTTGTTGGTTATGCAGAATCCTTTGTGGTTATGTGATTTGCCCTTGTGTTCATCTGGATATTTTGGTATTCCATAGACCTGCCCTGTCGAACACAGTAGCCACTAGCCACATGTACTTAGGCTAGTCTGAACTGAGGTGTGTTCTAATTGCAAAGTGGATACTGGATTTTGAAGACTTAGAATGAAAAAAGAATGTAAAATAGCTCGTTAATTTTTAAATAATGATACTTTTAAAGAAATAAAATGATACTTTTAAATAATAATACTTCTAAATACACTTTAAATAATGAAAATATACTATTTTGAATATATTGGATTAAATGAAATGTATTATTAAAATTAATTTCACCTTTTTCCTCTTCCTTTTAAAAATGTGGTTACTAGAAAGTCATAATTACAATATGTGACTTGTGCTATATTTTTATGGGACAGCACTGCTCCAGATGAAACAAATGGGGAAGAATAGGGAAATCTGGATTCTTCTCTCTCCATTAGAGTCAGGTGTAGGATTGCCCCATGCAGTGCTGACCAAGGCCCACCTGGACTCCTGTGTTTGGAGGCTGCTCACTTCCGCCCAGTTTGTCTGAGGAGGTGAAAGCCACTCACAACATCTGCTTTATTTCCCATTTGGTTGGCTTCCGCTAACCTTCGTGGGAAGAAGAAGATGAGGGGAGGATAAGGGTCATACAAGGTGGGGTAGGTTGAGGGTTTAGACTTGTAAGAGCATCAAGCTTTGCTGTTAGATTTGCACTTGAATTCTGTTTCAGCCACCAGGTAGCTGAGCAGCTCTGAATCTTTCTTTCTTTTTTTCTTTTTTTTTGAGACGGAGTCTCACTCTGTCACCCAGGTTGGAGTACGGTGATGCGATCTCGGCTCACTGCAACCTCTGCCTTCCAGGTTCAAGCGATTCTCCTGCCTCAGCTTCCCACCACCACGCCCAGATAATTTTTGTATTTTTAGTAGAGACAGGGTTTCGCTATGTTGGCCAGGCTGGTCTTGAACTCCTTACCTCAGGTGATCCACCTGCCTCGGCCTCCCACAGTGCTGGGATTAGAGGTGTGAGTTTTTTCATGTGCCATATAAACTTTATATACACATATATATGTATATAAAGTTCCCCCAGGGGTTTCTTTATGCATAAAGCTTTCCCCAGGACACCCAGGGAGAGTTCACTGAAAGCACCCAGGAGACCCTCAGGAAGTGATAATTTTGCTACTGCCATTACTGCATTGTGTGGTGTTTGCTCTCCTAACTCTGACTTGGTTCTTCCTCCCTCTGTCCTGCCTTCCCTCCTCTCTCTTTCTCTCTCTCTCTCTGTGTGTGTGTGTGTGTGTGTGTGTGTGTGTGTTGAGCCTCACAGGCAATCTGCCCAACTTTTCTCCCTGATTCAGCACTGAGAAATGCCAAGGAGAGCGTTCCCATGAAGCTGCTTGTCAGCAAACACCCACTCTCGTTTCAACTCTCCTCAGTGTGTCAGAGCCTGGCCTGGACTCCACGCGAGGCCCAGGGCCGTGCCAGCTCCCAAGACTGATTCACACACACCCTGCTGCACAGAGACTTCAGGGCTACACTCCCAACCTGTGAGACAAGAGATTGGAGGCTCCCAAACGAAGCAACCATCCAGAGGAAAAAGCCCTCCAGCCATCTACAGAGGGTGCAGCAATTTTCCTGGATTCTGTTTCAAAGACATAAAAGCCTTGGTTTCAAACATTTAGCTGCTGCCTGGCCTGCCTTTCTCACTTTCTCTCCTTTGCCTTGCGTTTCAATTGCACTTTTATTAAATCATTCTTGTTGCTTGCCTCCAGCCGGCTCAGTGTCGGCATCAAATATTAGGTAGGTGCAGGGAAAATGAATACTTTTCCAGCTACATAGATTTTCATCACAGGGACATATTAAGTATCTGTCTGGGCCTGGCGGTGTATGACGCTCTGTGACAGGGAAGTTAAATAGACATGAGTGGTCTCTCGGGGCTTGTCCACAATGGTGGCCACAGTTGTTACCTGGTAGGGTTATGTTGTTTCCCACTAGGGCTCTGAGAGCCGCAAGGCCCTGTCAGATCCCAAGTTCAGAGGGCTGTGGTTTAAAGACTTCAGAAGCAGGCCTCGAGGCCCTCTTCCATGAGAGTGGCAGTGTGACAGGGTGGCCAAGCACATGGGTTTTAGAGTCCAGCAGCTCTAGGTTTGCACCTGGGATTACAGGCATAAGCCACCACGCCCGGCAACTTAGCACTTTTAAACCTGGGTTTTGCTGTCTGTAAAATAGCCACATACAGCAGGTTCTCCACTAACTTTGTTTCATTTGTTCAACGTTGTTTTGTTATAACATTGATGGGGAAAAAAAATTGACTCCTGGCTGAGTCCACTGTTTGTGTGGAATTTGCATATTTTCCCAATGTCTATGTGGGTTTTCTCCAGGTACTAGGGTTTCCTCCCACATCCTAAAGATGTGCACATGAGGTGAATTGGTGTGTCTACATGGTCCCAGTATGAGTGGGTTTGGGTGTGGGTGTGACTATACCCTGTGAGGGAATGGTGCCCTGTCCAGGCTTGGTTCCCATCTTGTGCCCTCAACCGCCTACTGGTGACTCTGAGCTGGAACAATTGGCCAAACAATTATCTTACTTGCTTTTATTAAGCTTCTTAAATATATCTATAGCTCACATTTTGTTGCTGTTGTTGTTGAGACAGGGTCTCTTCATCGCCCAGGCTGGAGTGCAGTGGCACAATCATATCTCACTACAGCCTTGACCTCCCAGGTTTAAGCGGTCCTCCCATCTCAGCCTCCTGGGTAGCTGGGACTCTAGGTGTTCACCACCACACCCAGCTAATTTTTTTGCATATATATATATATATATATATATATATATAT
Organism: Homo sapiens; assembly: GCF_000001405.40. NCBI lineage: Eukaryota > Metazoa > Chordata > Mammalia > Primates > Hominidae > Homo > Homo sapiens. The sequence continues at coordinate 122,720,515 of NC_000008.11, read as the reverse complement.
TTTTTTTTTTTTTTTTTTTTTTTTTTTGTAGGGGTGGGGTTTTGCTATGTTGCCCAGGTTGCTCTTGAGCTCCTGGGCTCAAGCAATTTGCCAGCCTCAGCCTCCCAAAGTGCTGGGATTGCAGGTGTAAGCCACTGCTCCTGGCTGTATAGCTCACATTTATTACAATGTTTAATATTACAAGTGTTTTAGGTCTTTATTTATAAGTTTGGCGAGATTTCTGTGTCCAGAAATATGGCATAGGAACATAACTCTTGTTTGTATCAATTAGCCTGTGATGAAATTGGTTTCATTATATGCTGTTTTGCTGTTTCGCTTAAAGTCACAGTTTCCAAGAACCTATTGACAATGTTGAGGAGTTACTGTAGCAGAGGACAAAGGGAATCAATGTTGAGGGGTTACTGTTGTAGAGAACAAGGGAATCAAACTATCCAAATCATTTCTTTTTACTATGACTGAGGCTTGTAAGTGATAACGGCATGGGAAGCACCCAGGTCAGTGCCTGTATATTGACCATTCAATAGGGGTTGGCTATCATCATCATTCCTGAGTTTAAAAACAGCAGCAGAGTTCAAGAATTGTGTGTGTGGAGGCAATTCATTATCAAATTGGAATAGTGCCAGGTACATGACAAATGAATGAATTCTGAGAATATTTCTCAGTAGTTTATCATCTAATAATAATGTTTGAGATGTCCGTCATTTTATAGTTCACAGAGCACTTTGTTACACATAATTCCAGCTGAGCCCCCACAATAGGTCTGCAAAGTATGGAATGCAAGAAATTGATTTTCCTGTTTTACAGGTGGGAAACTGGAGGCTCAGAGTTTAACAGCTGCTCATTTCTGCAACAGTCTTTTAATGAGCACTAACTACGCGCAAGACTCTTATGTTAGGTTCCGGGATAAAAGTGAATTAAGATTTTTTTTTCCTATCCTTTGGAAGAAATTGTTGTGGGTCAGGGTAGCTGGAACGGGCTTAAAGGAGGATGCTGAACTTCAGGTACTGTATCCATCAGGATAGATTAAATGATGGTGCAGAAAAACAACAATAACAACAAACTTTGATGGCTTAAAAAACAAAGATTTATTTCTCATTCATGCGATTAGCCCATGATTGGTGTACTAGTGGCTCTGCCCCACTGTATTAGTCCATTTTCACACTGCTGATAAAGACATACTCGAGACTGAGAAGGAAAAAAGAGGTTTAATTGAACTTACAGTTCCACATGGCTTGGGTGGCCTCAGAATCATGTTGGGAGATGAAAGACTCTTCTAACACGGTGGCAGCAAGAGAAAATGAGGAAGAAGCGAAAGCAGAAACCCCTGATAAACCCATCAGATCTTGTGAAATTTACTATCACGAGAATAGCAGTCTCTTGGCTAAAACATAACAAGAATCACCTTTGCTCCAGTTCCCAACAAGTTCCTTATCTCCCTCTGAGACCACCTCAGCCAGACCTTATTGTTCATATTACTATCAGCATTTTTGTCAAAGCCATTCAACAAGTCTCTAGGAGGTTTGAAACTTTCCCACATTTTCTTATTTCTTCTGAGCCCTCCAAACTGTTCCGACCTCTGCCTCTTACCTAGTTCCAAAGTTGCTTCCACATTTTCGGATATCTTTTCAGCAGCGCCCCACTCTACTGGTATCAATTTACTGTATTAGTCTGCTTTCACGCTGCTGACAAAGACATATCCAAGACTGGGAAGGGAAAAGAGGTTTAATTGGACTTACAGCTCCATATGGCTGGGGAGGCCTCAGAATCATGGTGGAAGGCAAAAGGCACTGCTTGCATGGCAGTGGCAAGAGAAAACGAGGAAGAAGCAAAAGTGGAAACTCCTGATAAACCCATCAGATCTTGTGAAACTTATTCACTATTAGCAGGGGAAAAATTGGCCTCCATGATTCAATTACCTCTTCCTGGTTCCCTCCCACAGCACATGGGAATTCTGAGAGATACAATTCAAGTTGAGATTTGGGTGGGAACACAGCCAAACAATATTACTCAATTCATGATCACTATAAACTGAACTGATGGGGCAGCTGCCGATGGGAGCCCTGTTGGTGACAGAAGAGAGATTTGAGATTGGCAGGGCCTCACACCAGCAACCAAATTCTCCACTCATGTGTCAGACTCTTCCTATGGCCTCAGCTGACCATAGGGAGAAAAGCAGGAAGTAAAATTCTGCTATGTGCCTAGAAGGCAGAGAGCTGGAACTATTTGGTGAATGAAATAATGACTACTCCAACCAGGTAGGCTCTAAAGGATGGGTAGGAAACAGGTGAATATTTGTGGGATGGGATTGAGGTGGGGAGAGTGGAAGAGGGGAAGAGATAATGTGGAGCCTTAAAGGAATGGAGGAGGTGGGAAGTGATGGAAGAGAGTGATGGAAGGAGGCAGAAATCTCCAATAAAAGGGGATGGGATAGTGAGTGTGCCAGTCTGGCTGGAAGAGTCTGATTCAACAATTTAACAAATAGAGACTCAGCTCCTATTGTGTATTAAGTGGTGGAGATGCAAAGAAGGAAAAATCATGGCACTTGCTTTTGAGGAGCTTATAACCTCATAGGAGAGCTAGATTTTGCACAGAGAATGAAGGAAATCAAACTATCCAAATATAAGAAAGATCGGTGCTTATGTTTGCCAGCTACTCTTCCAACACTTGTATTTTCATTCGTTTAATCATCATTGTAGTTCTATGATGCAGATGCTATTAGTATCCCCATTTTACAGATGACAACACAGGCATGGAAGGGCTGGTAAATAGCAGAAGTGGGCTTCAAATCCAGGCACTCTGAGTCCAGTGTCTGTGCCCATCTTAATCCTAAAACTTTACTGCTTTCTGCTTGATAACTTGTGAGTTGGGGCTGTGTTTGTAGTCTTGGATGGCAAGGAGTTCTGCCCTGAGATCCAAAATGATAGATTAATATTGGCTGCCTGGAGCTCCATAGTGGGATGGTTTCCAAGACCAAGCTGGGGCTCAGGGAGAAAAGAAAGATGTGATTAATTAGTAATGCCTGCCATGGCCAAGATAGATGGTACTGTCAGCACAATGTATTTGATAACCCTGGTCTATGCAATGCCTAGGGAAAAATGGATTTAATCAATTTATTAACAAATAAAGAAAGTAAAAACCAAACAACTAATTCATTGACTGTTTTCCTCACTTTTCAATCTGTTTTTACTTTTAGGCTCCATCACTTTTATGGCAGCATACGTACTTCTTGTTCAAACAGTTGGCTTTCATTTCTGGAGATTAATGTTTAATATATCATAACTGTAGTCCCTCAGGCAAACATACACCTTAATTGTCAAAACAATGAAAATATCATTCATGGCAAATATTCAATCCATTGCACTCTTGTTGCGGTCATCAGCTGGATTTTTAGAGAGAAGTCGGAATATGTCACGGCAATACGAATAATAAAAAAGGGAATCTAATTGCTGTAGCCAATTACTATACAAGGAAGAATTCATCAGCTGACTCAGGGAATTCAGCCACAAGAGAATCCAGCTGTAGCATGCATCATTAGTGGAATTTCTTGCCTGAAAATGGTGAGAGGCTTTCCTCTGAAGAGAAGGTTCTAGAAACACTGTTTCTTGTTTTGTTTTTCCCTACCCCAACCTCTTTTCTTGACTCTTCTTCTCCCAAATCCTACTCCTTTCTATGCTCAGACTCTTCTTTCTTTCATAGTTTTCCCAGACATTGCTGGGAATGGATTCTACATTCAGTTACATGGAGGTATAGATTCTAACTAACTAGCAGGTTAGCATTTGGATGACGAGTAGGTTTCCTCTCCTTGGCCAGATGTGGTCAACTGCTGTGGCTACTGAAATCCTGAGTTGAGAAGGTTTAGTTTAGAAGATGAACTTCACCTAAAAGAGTATTGTGATTGATTAGTGATGTCTGTTCTGGGTATGAGTGAGGTACAATTATTTGTGTAAGCTTCTATCAGCTCTGTCAAGGTGGAAAGCCAACACTGTTCTTATAGCTGTGATTTTAATGAATGAACTTGGGATTTGGTCCCAGGAGATGCTAGTTTAGGTCCCACCTCTTCTCTTTCTATGTAAATCTTGGATATTCTTGGATGTGTCACTTATTTTTTCTCAGTCTTAGTAAAACTTGAATTAAAATAATCCTCCTTATGGAGTGATTGTAAATATTGTAAGACTGATGCAGCTTCATTCATTCAATCATTCATCCAGAAAATATTTCTTGAGCACCTACTATGTGCCAGGCAAGGTGTGACCTGCTGGGAGTACAGTGAGGGGTAATATGGATGTGGTCTCACCCTCAGAGAGCATGCATCTAGTGGGGGAATGTGTTAGTTTTCTATTGCTGCATCACAAATGACCACAAACTTAGAGGCTTAAAACAACATACTCTATTGTCTCACAGTTTCTCTGAGGCAGGAGTCTGGGTCTGGCTTAGCTGGCTTCTCTGTTCAGGATCTTATAGGGTTGTAGTCAGGGTATCACTGAGCTGAGTTCTCAACTAGAAGCTTGCCTGGGGAAAAAGTCTGCTTCCATGTTCATTTAGGCTGTTAGTAGAATTGACTTTCCTACCATAGTATGTCTGCAGGTCCCAGCTTCTGGATAGCTGTTGGCTGGATTCCACCCTCAGGTCCTGGAGACCACCCACAGAAACAAAGAGGCCTCCTGCAGTTCCTTGCCACATGGGCTTCTCCAACCTGACCACTTACTTCAATCAGCCAGCAAGGAGGGTCTCTTGCTCCAGTTTCCTGAAATGGAGTCAAACATATCATAATACTGGGGATGACATTCCATCACCTTATTGGTTAGAATCAAGACACAGGTCCTCTCCACCCTCCAGGGGGGAATATATCAAGGAACGAAGAGTAGGGGGCAAAAATTACTGGGGGTTACCTTAGAGTTTCTCCACTGCAGAGGTGGACACATAAGCAAGAATAACAACAGTGTGTTAATTGCTATGGCAAGGGAGCTCCAGGGTGTAAGAAAGTGCATACTGGGGCACGTGAACAGTCTCAGGGTTGTCAGGGAGGACTTCCTGGAAGAAGTGACTTTTAACTGACACCCAAAGGTTGAGTAGGATTAGCTATATCATAATGTAGTATCCAGATATTAGGTTTTGTTGTTGTTATTTTTTATCACCTAGAATGGAAACTATTTATTAGTTAAGGTCTTTCCAGCCCAGAATACAGTAGGACTCATTCGATACTTGCTCTGAAGACTCTTCTGTTAATGCATCCCCAAAGAAAAGCAGCTCATGTTCTCAGCTTTGGGGTGACATGGAGATAAGTACTAGGGCTGGAAGGGTGATAGTAGGTCAAGAATGGAATTCTAGGGATGTCTCTGTCCAGACAGCATCAATTCCCTCCAATGTTCCCATGTAAGGGAGAGAGACCAATGGTGGCTGTAGGACATTATGCAGGAGAAACCACCATCTGCTCCAGATTGGGCCGATGGGTGATGAATCTACGGCCCAGCCAAAGCTTTTCCCATGGCACATGCACCTGTTTAGAAATAATGAGAGCAATCATAATTGTCACCAAAAGTCATGTTCTAATATATTAAGGAATTTTAATAGGAATTACTTGCTGTTAGTAGGAATAGTACATCCTGTTTTTGAGCACTTGCTGTGTGACAGGCACTGGCTAAACCTGATGTGCTTGAGTTGGATAATCTATCTCAAAACAGAGCTTTCTCCATATCTTCCAACAGCACCAAATGAAATGCCAGTGAAAAGGCTGTCTTCCTTTTTTCTTGCTATTAAAATTCTCCTCATCCTGAATGCTCCATCTCCAGTCTCACTTCTTCCAAGAAACCTGTCATGACCACTGTGTGGTCATGATACATATCATCCGTATCATCAAGTTCATCACCAAATTAACTTCTGTCTTCCAGCACTTGCTAAAGAGGATGACTGCATTTTGACGATCCCTTCCCTCTGTTCCTTCCTATCTGTGCTTCCACTTTATGATCTCTATCCCAACTAGTCTGACAACATGAAGCCTGGTCTCTCTGCCAGCAGCCATCCCGTCCCACTGCTCAGCCCTGGGTGGTGCGGACAGATTGGAATTCCTAAAGTTCAGCCCTGATTGTGCCACTTTACAGCTCAGAAACTTCCAGTACCAAATCTTTAATCCACCAGTTTCACTTCTCCCAATGTGCCCTCCAGACCTACTTGCTCATGTGTGAAATGATGACTGGAGTACTTGTTGAGTGCTGTGTTGCTTACAATAGCAAAAAGTCTGAAGCAGCCTGCGTATCCATCAATGGTGTCTTGATGGACAATAAGTTATGGTGGATCTAAAACTGGTTTTCAAGCCTGGCTGCACATTCAGGTCACCTGGGTGTGGTACATTAAGGTGATTACAAATTTTCCTCCTATTCAGAAGTGGAGTCTAATTTCCTTTCCCTCAAATCTGGGCTTGCTTAGGGATTTGCTTGACTAACAGAATGTGGTTGAAGAGATGGTCTGGGACCTCCAAGGCTAAGGCATAAGAAGCTTTGTAGCTTCTGCACTGGCCTCTTGAAACTTTAGCTCTGGGGTGAGTCAGCTGCTATGTAATAAATTCAACTACCCTGAGACCACCATGCTGTGAGGAAGCCCAAGTTAGCTGCCGAGGGAGAGGAAGACACACACACACACACACACACACAGACACACACACAGAGACACAGAGAGAGAGAGACAGAGAGAGAGAAAGAGAGACCCATCTATCCCCAGCTGTTACAGCCCACATGGCTAAGTGGTCCAGGAAGCAGGCAAGTGAGTAAGGAAACTGTATTAGTCTGTTTACATGCTGCTGATAAAGACATACCCAAGACTGGGAAGTAAAAATGGTTTAATAGGACTTACAGTTCCATATGACTGGGGAGGCCTCAGAATCATGGCAGGAAGTGAAAGGCACTTCTTACATGATGGCAGCAAGAGAAAATGAGGAAGAAGCAAAAGCAGAAACCCCTGATAAACCCATCAGATCTTGTGAGGCTTATTAACTATCACTAGAATAGCACGGGAAAGACTGGCCCCCATGATTCAATTACCTAACCCTGGGTCCCTTCCACAACACCTGGGAATTCTGGGAGATACAATTCAAGTTGAGATTTGGATGGGGACACAGCCAAACTATATCATTCTGCCGTGGCCTCTCCAAATCTCACGTACTCACATTTCAAAACAAATCATGCCTTCCCAACAGTCCCCCCAAAGTCTTAATTCATTTGAGCATTAACCCAAAAGTCCACAGTCCAAAAATCTCGTCTGAGACAAGGCAAGTCCCTTCTTCCTATGAGCCTGTAATATCAAAATCAAGCCAGTTACTTCCTAGATACAATGGGGGTACAGGTATTGGGTAAATGCGCCATTCCAAATGGGAGAAATTGGCCATAACAAAGGGGTTACAGGGCCCATGCAAGTCCGAAATCCAGTGGGGCAGTCACATTTTAAGGCTCCAAAATGATCTCCTTTGACTCCAGGTCTCACATCCAGATCACACTGATGCAAGAGGCTGGTTCCCATGTCTTGGGCAGCTCTGCCCCTGTGGCCTTGCAGGGTACAGCCTCCCTCCTGGCTGCTTTCATGGGCTGGCATTTAGTATCTGTGGCTTTTCCAGGCACACAGTGCAAACTGTCAGTGGATCTACCATTCTGGGGTCTGGAGGATGGTGGCCCTCTTCTCACAGCTCCATTAGGCAGTGCCCAGTAGGGACTCTGAGTGGGGGCTCCGACTCCCCATTTCCCTTCTGCATTGCCCTAGCAGAGGCTCTCCATGAGGGCCCTGTACCTGCAGCAAACTTTTGCCTGGGCATCCAGGCATTTCCATACATCCTCTGAAATCTAGGCAGAGGTCCCCAAACCTCAATTCTGTACTTCTGTGCACCTGCAGTCTCAACACCATGTGGAAGCTGCCAAGGCTAGGGGCTTCCACCCTCTGAAGATGCAGCCTGAGTTCTATGCTGGCTCCTTTCAGCCACGGCTGGAGCGGCTGGGACACAGGTCCCTAGGCTGCACACAGCACAGGGACCCTGGGCCTGGCTCATGAAAGCACTTTTTCCTCCTGGGCCTCTGGGAGGAGGAGGCCTCTGTGATGGGAGGGGCTGCCATGAAGGTCTCTGACATGGCCTGAAGACATTTCTCCATGGTCTTGGGGATTAACATTAGGCTCCTTGCTACTTAGCAAAATTCTGCAGCTGGCTTGAATTTCTCTCCAGAAAATGGGTTTTTCTTTTCTATCTCATAGTCAGGCTGCACATTTTCCAAACTTTTATGCTCTGCTTTCCTTATAAAATAGAATGCCTTTAACAGAACCCAAGTCACCTCTTGAATGCTTTGCTGCTTAAAAATTTCTTCCGCCTGGCTGGGCACGGTGGCTTATGCCTGTGATCCCAGCACTTTGGGAGGCCAAGGCGGGCGGATCACCTGAGGTCGGGAGTTTGAGACCAGCCTGACCAACATGGGGAAACCCCGTCTCTACTGAAAATACAAAGTTAGCTGGGCTTGGTGGTGCATACCTGTAATCCCAACTACTTGGGAGGCTGAGGCAGGAGAATTGCTTGAACTCTAGAGGCAGAGGTTGCGGTGAGCCGAGATTGTGCCATTGCACTACAGCCTGGGCAACAAGAGCAAAAGTCCGTCTCAAAAAAAAAAAAAAAAAAAAGGAAAAAGAAATTTCTTCCACCAGATACCCTAAATTATCTTTCAAAGTTCCACAAATCTCTAGGGCAGAGGCAAAATGCCATCAGTCTCTTTGCTAAAACACAGCAAGAGTTACCTTTACTCCAGTTCCCAACTAGTTTTTCGTGTCCATCTGAGACCACCTTGGCCTGGACCTTATTGTCCATATCGCTATTAGCATTTTGGGCAAAGCCATTCAACGAGTCTGTAGGAGGTTCCAAACTTTCCCACATTTTCCTGTCTTCTTCTGAGCCTTCCAAACTGTTCCAAACTTTGCCTGTTACCCAGTTCCAAAGTCGCTTCCACATTTTTGGGTATCTTTTCAGCAACACCCCATTCTACTGGTACCAGTTTACTGTAGTAGTCTATTTTTATGCTACTGATAAAGACATACCCAAGACTGAGAAGGAAAAATGGTTTAATTGGACTTAGATTTCCACATGACTGGGGAAACCTCGGAATCATGTCGGGAGATGAAAGGCACTTCTTATTACATGGTGGTGGCAAGACAAAATGAGGAAGAAGCAAAAGCGGAAACCCCTGATAAACCCATCAGATCTCATGAGACTTACTAACTGTCACTAGAACAGCATGGGAAAGACTGGCCCCCATGATTCAAGTATCTCTTCCTGGGTCCCTCCCACAACATGTAGGAATTCTGGGAGATACAGTTCAAGTTGAGATTTGGATGGGGACACAGCCAAACCATATCAGAAGCGTTCTTGGACATTGCACCACCAGCAGACGTGATATAGACAATCACCAAGGACTTCAGCTGCTGTAGAACCAGGGCCCCATATATATAGCTCTAACTGAGCCACTCCTGCCATCTCAACCACCATAGCTGAGGGCCTCAGTCACTGTGGAGCAGAGACAAGTTGTCCCTACTATACCCTGACCAAATTATTGACTCCAAAAATTTCAAGCATAATAAAATGATTATGGTTTTATGCTTCTAAGTTTTGGGGTGGTTTATTACAGAAAAATAGATAACTGGAACTCCTGGGGATTTTCCAAGATCCTCCCATGTCATTCTAATAAACAACCATGTTGAGAACCAGTGGTCTATAAAATCAAATACTATGTATCCACAGAGATGAATAAAGAAGGTCTTTTCATTTTGCTGTGGGATGATCTACAAATTTATATTGTTGAGGCCAAAATAGAAAGTTACAAATAATTTTTTATACTATGCTACCATTTGTGTAAAAATGTAAAAATATATAGATATGAATAATGTCTAAAATAATACATTAAAGAGTGGTAAGTAACATTTGTTGGCTCCAGAGAGGGAAACTGGATGGCTGGGGAACAGGGGAAAATTTCTACTCAGTACCTTATGACAGCTTTCAAATGTTAAGACATGTGAATGTACCACTTCAAAAGTAAATAAATTCTGCCTGTTTCTTAACTGGAGAAGTCCAGGTTCTTTATTTTGATATGGCCTCAGTCTTCATTTCCAGGCTTAATATTAATTTGTCTTACTTTATACTAAAAAATAGTTGTAATAAGTAGAGTAATGGCCCTCAAAGATGGCCACATCCTAATTCTTGGAACCTGTGAGTGTTACCTTACACAGAAAAAAGGACTTTGCAGATGGGATTAAGCTAAGGATCTTGAGATGAGGAGATTGTCCTGGATTTTCTGAGTGGGTCTAGTGAAATCATAAGTGTCCTTATAAGTAAAAGAGGGAAGTAGAAGAGTCAGAGTCAGAAAAGGAGATTGGGGTCAGGTGCGGTGGCTCAAGCCTGTTGGGAGGCTGAGGTGGGCAGATCACTTGAGGTCAGGAGTTCGAGACCAGCCTGGCCAACATGGTGAAACCCTGTCTCTGCCAAAACTACAAAAGAAAAAAAAATTAGCTGGGCATAGTGGCACACGTCTGTGATCCCAGGCCTGGGATCTGGAGGCTGAGGCACAAGAATGCCTACTCTGAAGGCTGAGGCATGAGAATCACTTGAACCCAGGAGGTGGAGGTTGCAGTGTGCTGAGATCATGCTACTGTATTCCAGCCTGGGAAGGGGAGCAAGACTCTATCTCAAAAAAGAAAAAAAATAGAAGATTGGAGGATGGGAGTAAAAGTTGGAGTGATGTGATGGCAGACTTAGAATATGGAGGAAGAGGCCATGAGCCAAGATGTGCAGGTGGCCTCTGAAAGCTGGAAAAGGCGAGGAAACAGATTATCCCCTACAGAAAGAACACTGCCCATTTGACATTCAATTTTAGCACAGTGAGACCCATTGCAGATTTCTGACCTCCAGAGCTGTAAGATAATAAATATGTGTTGCTTTAAGCCACTAAGGTTGTGATAATATGTTACAGCAGCAACAGGAAACTAAAGCAGTGGTGTTCCTCCAGATGCTGTTTCAACAGATAGGCATTTTGAGGGAATGCTAATGAGAAAAATAAAAAAAAAGTTATTCAAAGTCAAATAAAAAACAAATTATTATTTTTAATCAAGTTAAATAAGGCATAATGTACATATTTCATGTGTACAGTTTGATGGGTTTTGGCATATGTATATACCCTTGTAACCTACCATCACAATTATCATATAGAATATGGCCATTACCTAGAGTGTTTCCTTGTGCCCCTTTGCAATCAATCCTCCTATTCCCACCTCCAGCCCCGGGCAACCGATGATTTGCTTTTTGTCACTAGGCAAATTACTTTTAATTACAGAACTTCTAAAGATCTTTAATATGTCAAAAGTATTGCGATGCTCCAAGGGAGGGGCTGCATAGCGGGTTGTTACCCCGGGTTTATTTGATCGTGGCTCCTTTCATCCTGGAGCATCTTACAAGATGAGGGGCTTTCAGAACCCACCTGAGAAATGCTTTCCTGCTCACCTGTCTCAGCTCAGGCAGCTCCCCCTCATCTTAGAGTGCCCATTTTTATACATCAAAAATTTGCTCATCCTTTAAGGCTTTGTGCAAGGATAAGCTCCTCCATGAAGTAGACCTTTTCTTCGGCTAAGTCTCATACTTTTTGCTTTATATTTCTTGCAGCATACAAATTGCATAATGGTTAATATTATAATAATATAATGTTATATTTGCATTAGAGATACATAGTCTTACAGTCTTTTCTGAGAACAAAGAATGACTATTTGCTTAATCATTACATAATTGTCAGGAAATGCTCAAGTGTTCAGTAGGGAGTCAAGATATATTCCAAGTAACTTTCAAGCTTCCTTGGACTTGGGGCTCTCACACACTAAGACATTTTGAAGTTGTGTCTCAGCAACCTGCAACTATGTGAGTTCATGGGCTGGTGGCGAATGACTCCTTTATCTTCCTATTCCTGCATCCAGCCCAACACATCCCTGAGTCCTGTGGGTTTTACTTCAGAACTGTCTCTCCTATCCATGGTTTTCTAGTTCCTCTGCCAATGCCCTTGTCCAGGTTCTTACCATGTCTCACCTGCATTATTTCAACAGCCTCTTAAAAGTCTCCCTGCCTCCAGTCTCATTCCTCCCCCGACCTGTCTTCCACTCTAATGCCAAAATCCTGATCATGGTGCTCTTCTGCTTAAAAACTGCCATTGCTCACAAGATCAAGTCAGAAGGGTTGGGAAAGCAAATGTACCCTGCCCTATAAGGGACCCTTTGCTTCTCAAGCTTCACCTCCTGTTATTCTCTTCTGTGCACTCTCCACTCCATGGCTTCTCACAGGTTTGTGGACACACCATGCCCTTTCAAGGCACCATACTCTTCTTTCAACCTGGGATGCTTTCCCCTTCTCCATCTGGAGAACGACTCTGCTGTAGACTGAATGCTTGTGTTTTCCAAAATTCATATGCTGAAATCCTAACCCCCAAAGTGGGGCCTTTGGGAGGTGATTATGTCACAAGGGCAGGGCTCTCATGAATGGGACTAATGTTCTTATAAAAGGAACCTGAGAGCTCCCTCATCCCTTCTGCCCCATGAGGACACAGTGAGAAAATGACCATCTAAGAACCAAGAAGTGGGTCCTTACCAGGTACTGATCCTGCTGGTGCCTTGATCTTGGACTTTACAGCCTCCAGAATTGTGAGAAATAAATATCTGTTGTTTATAAGCCACTCAGTCGATGGTATTCTGTGATAGCAACCCAAGCTGATTAAGACTCCTAGTCATTGGAAGACCTTTCCAGATATCACTCCTGGGAATCCTTCACTTCATGACACTCCAATAGTATTTGTATACATCTCTTTTGAGTGGCTGTTAAGAAATCACATTATAATGAAAATTTATTGGTTTTGATCCTATCTCCTAAGCTAGAATATGAGTCTTTGCATCCTTGGCACTTAGTGCAGCACTGGCAAAGCGTTTATGACTAATAATGACAAACCCTTAATGAATTTTTATCTGTGCCAGGCATTGCACTAGGTACTTTCATGAATTAGTTTGATGATTTTACTTACTTCTCCCTTAGCCCTATGAGGAAGGTTTTGATGTCTAAATTTTGCAGGAGAGAAAACAGCCTCAGAGAGGTTAAAGAAACATGTAAGGACCTCATGCAAATGACAGGTGGTAGAACTTGTTTTTGAGCCCTAGTTTATGAAATTTGCTTTCTTAATACTTGTTATCAGTATTTCTTGCGTATTAATAAATACTGATAACTAGTATTTGGTATTCAATTAGTATTCATTGAACAAATGAATGAATGCATGAACAAAATCAGTTGTTTGAATGTTTGAAGAGAATATCTTCAAGTAGCAGACTGTGACCGTTCCCTTGGCTCGGAAAAGGGAGAGGAGACTTCTGGGTAGAGGTGACAGAACATGGAAAGCCTGAGGATCTGGGCATGGAGACTTAGAGAAGTGCATATCAGAGTCAGGCTTTGAGCTCATGTAGGTCTCCAGTGCAGGGACTTGGAAGGTTGCCTTCTGGCTTACAGCAACCCCTTCTCCAGGAAAACTCCAACGCAAAGACATTTCTAGTCTGTGGCAGGTTTAAGGAGTCAAGAAGGAGCTCCACGTTCTCTGGGGAAGATCGCCCCTCCCAGGCCTCTATCCTCCCCTGCCGGCAGCCGCGATGTCCAGAGCTCTGGGTCATTTTCTAGCCTCCATGCTACCTTGAACGGAAATGAAGAGGGTGTTCTAGAATTCTTTGTGCTCCTGGCGAGAGCCTTGTTTCTCCTTGAACACTCACAGCTTCCCTAGTTCATGCTTTGGGGCTGTGAGGATCCATCTCCCTGTGCCCTTTATTGCTGTTTACCCCAGCTTGTACACAAAGCGCGGCTTCTCAGGACTGCTCATCTCCTGGATCGCCTTCTCATGCAACTCTGCACAGCCCCTTCCATGAACTGATTGCTCACTGTTCCCTGTCTCCTCAAACCCTTCCACTGTCACTCTGGGACACATGGTTAGCCATGAGCAAAATCTCTTCTTTCCTCAACCATCTTTGAATGTCCTCTTCACCTTCTTCCATCATCATCAAAATGATGGGACATCATTTTCCCTGTAGCCCTGACCTACTATCCTGATTACTAATAGGCCTAGACATGCTCTCTCATGACCCCTATTCTCACTAAAAATGAAGTTTTAAATCATCCCAGTAGTAATTGTCTGCTGACTTCACTCTCCTGACACCTTGAAGATTTTAGCTTCTGCACCACTGGCAGTCTTTCCAAAATTGTTCCTGTTCCAATTTTTGATGATTTCCATATCTGTATAGATAATCCAGGGCCCTCTGATGACCTCACCCATCACCTTACCTCAGCAATGAATCCCCATAGTCAAACCCTAGCGTAACACTGCCCGGTAGAACCTTCTGTGACAATGGAGATGGTCTTTACTTCCACTGTCCAATAGAGTAGCCTCTAGCCATATGGAGCCATTGAATACCCGAAATGCGGCTAGTTCAGTGGAGAACTGGAGTTGTAACTTTCTTTAATTTTAATAAATTTTAAATAGCCTCAGGTGGCTAGTGGCTGCCATAACGAATGGCGCAGCCTGGATCATGGAATGACGGCTAATTGTATCACCTTCACAATCCCAGTTTCAAGAATCCCATTCTCTGTCATCTTCTAACTTTCCAGTTTAATTCTTCCAGTTCCCTGACCTCGATGTTTGCTTGACTTTACTGGGACCTGCCATCCAATGATCCTGTTATGTATTCATCGTCCCTTATTTTGTTTGAGCCCTCATGTCTTTTTAAAATCTAGCCTTAATTCCATGATCTTTCATTATAAATGACTTCCTTGCATGCATCCTCAACACATTTTCCCCCATCTTACTTCATTGTAGGTGCCTGGCAAAACCTCAACCATTGTTAAATCCAACTCTCCTCTCTTTCCCCATCTCCAGACTTGAAAGTGAACATGGCTGGAGAAAAACAAAGGGATGTTGACATATCACAAAGGTGGACTCAAGGCTGCCCAACAAGCACACATTTTGGTAGTTGTTCCCTCTTCTAGACAGCTATTTCAAACCTTATCTTCTCTTCCCGTACTTTTAATAACCATCCTCTCCTCTCCCTCAATGGATAAACTAGATTCCTATTTCAGGGAAATATCTCAAACAATAGAGGAGACTTCCAGGTGCTCCCACCACTTTATCCATCAGCTTACTCACATTTGGAAACATAGGCTTTGCTTTCTCTCACATGATAATGGTCAAACTCTCCATGCTCCTCTTCTGGGCTGGCCTCTCCTCTTGTGTGCTGCATCTCATCCTTTTCCACCTGTCAAGAACTTCACTGGCAATTCTGTCTTCTCCTTCAAGCAATCCTCAATGGATCCTTCTCCCCAACATATAGACATGCTATAATTTCTCCTCCTCAGGGCTTTGGTTTTGCTATTCCCTTTACCTGTCATGCTGTTCCAAGAAATATCCACATAGCTTGTCTCTTCACTTCCTTTGAGTCTCTGTATCAATATCAACTCCTAACTATATTATTTAAAATTGCAAAATTTCCCTCCTCCCTGTCCCATTTCATTTTTCTTCATAGGAGCTTCCAACATCTGAGAATCTATATACTCTGTTTTATTTATTCATTTGATCCTCAAGGGGAGGGGTCTTTCATTTTCATTCTTTTTTTTTTTTTTTTTTTTTTTTTTTTTTTTTGAGACGGAGTCTCGCTCTGTCGCCCAGGCCGGACTGCGGACTGCAGTGGCGCAATCTCGGCTCACTGCAAGCTCCGCTTCCCGGGTTCACGCCATTCTCCTGCCTCAGCCTCCCGAGTAGCTGGGACTACAGGCGCCCGCCACCGCGCCCGGCTAATTTTTTGTATTTTTAGTAGAGACGGGGTTTCACCTTGTTAGCCAGGATGGTCTCGATCTCCTGACCTCATGATCCACCCACCTCGGCCTCCCAAAGTGCTGGGATTACAGGCGTGAGCCACCGCGCCCGGCCCTTTCATTTTCATTCTTATTGTTGTACCCCCAGCACCTAGAATACTATCTGGCACATAGTAGGCCCTCAATGAATGTTTGTTGAAAGAACCATTCAGTGACTTCCCTTTTCTGATATTCCTTATGGTTTGCTGCAATGGTGTGATTTTTCCAAAGGAACAGCTATTCCAAATGATATTACTACCCACTGCTCTTATTCAGAAGTTCTTAGTGCAATGCTCCTCACACTTCAATGTGCATTTGAATCACCTAGGGATTTTGTTATAGGCAGATTATGATTTAGCAGTGCTGGGGTGGGGCCTGAGATTCTGCATTTCTGACAAGCTCCCAGGTGATTCAGATGCTGTTGATTCAGAATGAGTTTTGAATAGCAAGTCCGCTTTGGTCATCTTAAGCCTCATTCGTCTTCTCCTTTTTTTTTTTTAAATAGAGTGAGAATAAATATTTACATAGAACATTTACATATTTTCAGTGTCAACATGACCCTGAGTTCAAGTAATTGTGTGGTAAGTGCTTCTATATCTGCAGGTTACAACATTTGCATGGAGAGCCTCATCCATCACTGTATGTGCCATGGAGGAACTGTTGTCTAGTTAGGCTGTTAAATGATGACTGTCCATTTGTTCTGGGCAGAATTAGGTTTTCTGTGCATGTGTGTATATGTGTGTAAGAACATGACTGTTGATGCTAATAAGTTTCCTAGCAATTGCCTGATGCAATTAGCCATGTTTTGGCATGAAATCAATGCAAAGGCAAGTTTTGCCTTTTTTTCAGATAATTGTTATATCACTCTGCTTTTGTTTAGAGAACAGTGTGGGGTGATCGTCACTGTCATCAATTTGTTTAAAAATCATAGTCAGGGCCTCCCCGTAGAGTTTGTTTGGTTTGTGTGTGCCACAAAAAAGTCCAGTTGGGCCAACAAGACCCCAAACTAGCGAGCACCCCTTTGCCAAGACAAGTGCTCTGGTTGGGGTTGCATTGCCTTTTTCATCTAGCAAACGGAATGAAAGTACCTGATGTTTGATGGCCTTGATCATAAAGCTAGAGAGAGCTACAAAGGAAAATAGAGAGCACTGAACACAATATTTTCATTTTAGGGATGTTAAGGCACTGAGGGCCAGAGCACTTGTTCTCATCAGCATCATCATCAGCCTCAGCATCATTGTCACCGTAATCAGCATCATTGGCATCAGCATCATCAGCATCACCACCCTCATCATCATCAGTAGCATCAATATCACTATCATCAGCATTAGCATCAGCATCATCAGCAGCATCAGCACCATCAGCATCATCGTCATCAGGATCATCAGCATCATCAGCAGCATCACCACCATTATCAGCATCAGGATCACCATCTAACATTTTTTGAGGGCTTCAAATGCACAAGGCACTGGGCTGATTTCTTTACATGCATTGTCTCACTTGTTTCCAACAATGACAGCCCCCAAAGTTAAGTATTATTATTGTTAATATCCTCATTTACAGATATATAAACTGAAACTTAGAGAGATTAAGCAACTTGCTTAGGGCCACAGAGCTATGTTAAGTGTAATTTTCAAAAATGTAAATCACAATTCTCAGGAAAATATAAAATGATACCATGTCAAAGATTTTATTTAACTCAATAACCAATGAGAGAACCAATAAGAAGTTTAAACTTATTCAAAGAGCATTAGAGAATTTAGATATATGCAGGCAATTTAACAACAAAAAAATAAGGCGAGTATGATAGGCTAAATAATGTTCCCTCTGGAAAAAAATCAATCCTGATCCCTGGAATTTCTGAATATGTTACTTATGTTACTTTATAAATAGAAAGGACTTTACAGATGTGATTAAATTATGGGTTTTGAGATGGGGAGATTATTCTGGATTATCTGGGTAGGTCCAATGTAATCACATGCATTCTTATAGGAGGGAGACAGGAGTGTCAGCTGAGAGAGAAGACATAAGAACGAAAGCGGAGGTTGGAGTGATGTGCTTTGAAGACGGAGGAAGAGGCCATAAGCCAAGGAATGTAGGTTATCCCTAGAAGCTGGAAAAGACAAGAAAACAAATCCTTTTCTAGAGCCTCCAGAAGAAAAGGGCTCTGCTTACACCTTGATTTTAGCCCAGTGAAACAGATTTTGAACTTCTGACATCTAGTACTGTAAGATAATACATTTGCATGATTTTTACACCCTAAAATGTGTTACATTGTTATATCAGCAGTAGAAATTTAATACCAAAAGATTACTGGGTGAGATAGAAAGCTAGTTAATGTCCAACAGGGCTATCAACTATAACCCTTGGAGCTAATTCTTCTACCAGAGTTAAATTATTTGCTTCTCTGCGGGACCAAAATTTACAAGTAAACCTCTGCCGTTATGGAGATGAAAATTGACTAGTCAGTAGAAATCCCAGTTCTGCACTGGCAGATCACTCAATAATCTCTTCTGCACGTTTCCAAGTTTAGAATACTCTTTTGGACAGTTAGGAAGTCGAAGCACTGAGATTTGAACCAGGCTCTTCTAAGTCCAGAATCTGTGCTCTTAATCACTAAGGAACATATTTTTTTATTAGCATTATTTCATAGACTAGCAGGACAATCAGTGGCAAAAAAAATTGTCCATGGAAACTGAGAACACAGCTTAAAGATTGCCAGGTTTGGGCGTGGTGGCTCACACCTTTAATTCCAGTGTTTTGGGAGGCTGAGGCGGGAGGATTGCTTGAGGCTAGGAGTTCAAGAGCAGCCTGGGCAACAGGGTGAGACCTCCATCTTTACAACAAAAAAAAAATAGCCAAGTGTGATGGTGTGGACCTGTGGTCCTAGCTACTCAGGAGGTGGAGGTGGGAGGATTTTGTGAGCCCAAGTGTTCAAGGTTATAGTGAGCTATGGTTGCACTCTAGCCTGGGTGACAGAGAAAGACCCTGTCTCTAAAGAAAAATAAAAAAAAAAAGAGTGCCAGTTTGATTCACCAACTCCTTCATGGTGCTTCCCCCAAACAGAGGACCACAGAAAGAACCTTCTCCCTCCATAACATGGAAATTCCTACACTAGCTCTCTGAAAACTTAGAGCCAAGCTTTCAGTAGGTGGTTCCTGGTTGGAGTAACTTGAAGGCTGGGGTGGGAAACTAAAATACACCTCCCCACAACTGTTCCCTTCCCTGCTCAAGAGTAAATGGTCTTGACAAGCCCTTCTTTAAAACTGTGTTACTTGGTTAGACATCAAAACACTTTGCCTAGTAAATGCTTGAAAAAGGTTTGCATTGCATTTGGTTTGGTGGAAGGGCAAAGTAGACTTTGGGAGTGAGAAAAGTCAGGAGGGACAAATGAGTGAGTTGTATCAGGAACTAGCATGGCATTCTTAAGAGTCATGCGGGCTGGGTGCAGTGGCTCACGCCTGTAATCCCAGCATTTTGGGAAGCCGAGGTGGGCAGATCACGAGGTCAAGAGATAGAGACCATCCTGGCCAACATGGTGAAACCCCGTCTCTACTAAAAATACAAAAATTAGCCAGGTGTGGTGGCACATGCCTGTAATCCCAGCTACTCAGGAGGCTGAGGCAGGAGAATCGCTTGAACCCAGGAAGCGGAGCTTGCAGTGAGCCGAGATTGTGCCATTGCACTACAGTCTGGGCGACAGAGTGAGATTCTGTCTCAAAAAAAAAAAAAGAGTCATGGGTTGAAGCGTCCCACTGCAGTTGGGAACCTTTATGGGAAAGTGGGGTCTCTGATTAGACAGGTGGAATGTGGCCAGAGTCTTGAATGGGGGCTGGGCAGTGTAGGTTTACCTTATAGGGCAATCATTCTTGAAGCCGAACATTAGAATAAACTGGCAAGAGTTAAGAAATATGAATGCAACCCTGTATTCATCTACTGAGGCTGCCATAACAAAATACCACAGAATCGGTGACTTAAGCAACAGAAATTAATTTTCTAACAATGCTGGAGGCTAGAGATCAAAGTGTTGGCAGTGTTGGTTTCTCCTGAGGCCTCTTTCCTTGATTTGTAGATGGCCATCCTCTCCCTGTGTCTTCAGATGGTCTTTCCTTTGTTACTGTCCATGTCTGAATATTCTTTTCTTATAAGCCTTCCCCTATTGCCCCAATTCTTCCCATTAGGAACCTCACCAGCACCACAGGACCCACCACCACCATCACAAGCCTTATCATCACCCCTGCCTTCTCTATCCCTGCAGCAGTCCGGGGATAGACACAGGGAGAGGACAGCCATCTTACCAGCCGAGGAAGGAAGCCTCAGAGAAACCAACACTGCCAACACTCGGATCTCTGGCCTCCAGGATTGTGACCGCACCCACCACAGTTATCACAGGGGCAGCTATAATGGCAGCAGCTGCAGCAGCAGTGAGCCCCATGCCAATAGAGAGACATAGGCAGTCACACCCATTGTAGAACTGATCACTTAGGCCAAGTTATTAATTTTGTACTGGAGGAAACTGAAGTCCAGAGAGGTCAACTGACTTATTCAAGCCTATGGAGCTCTTAAATAGAAAACTAAGTCCAAAGATCCTATTTTTTGGCCTCACATTTTCTTTCTTTCTACTGGTCCACATGACTTCATCCCAGCCCATCAGCCCTGGAGGCTGGGCTAAGGACAGCCCCACTATTTGAGCCTGCTCTTCCTTCCTATCAGGAGCAAACCATCATGAAAATCAGCCCCATTAAACTCTGATTGTCTGTGTCTGGGCCATGTGTTTCCCTTGTCAAGGGGTTGAAATGCTTTGATTTAAGGGTAGGCAGGATACTTCTTTTAATGTTTTTAGTTAGGACTTGGTCAGCAAACAGGAACAAACCTGATCAAATGTGGCATAAGCAAACTGCAAACTCGGCTCATGTAACAAGACCAAGGCAGCCCTGGCTGCAGGCATAGCAAGATTCAGGGCTCACATGATGCAATCACGTGTCTCTCCTTTCTGCTTGCTTTGCAATCTGTTGACTCCAGTCTCAGACTCCATTTGGTAGCGAGATGGCAGCTTCAGTTTGTGAATTCTCTGGTGCAGCAGGAAAGAGGTAGCCTGTTTCTCAATAACATAAACGAAAGTCATGGAATTAATTAATGCAAAAATATTTATTGAGGTCCTAGTATGCACCAGACATTCTTCTACATGCTCGGGATACTGAAGTGGACAGAGAGAAGAGGTTCCTGTCATCATGGAGCTTACTTGAGTCTTCTTGGGCTCTGACATGACTGTTTTTGGCCATGTGTAATCTGTGAGCCAATCACTGTAGCCACGAGTACGCGATGTGCTGGGTCATGTGCCCCACTTAAAGAATGCAAGCCTCAGGCCAGGCGTGGTGGCTCACGCCTGTAATCCCAGCATTTTGGGAAGCCGAGGTAGGCGGATTGCCTGAGGTCAGGAGTTTGAGACCAGACTGGCCAACATGGTGAAACCCTGTCTCTACTAAAAATACAAACATTAGCCAGGCATGGTGCTGGGTGCCTGTGATCCCAGCTACTCAGGAGGCTGAGGCAGAAGAATCGCTTGAATCCAGGAGGCGGATGTTGCAGTGAACCAAGACGATGCCACTGCGCTTCAGCCTGGGCATTCTTTCAAAAACAGAATGCAGGTCTCTTTTTGAGTGCCAGGACTATGTCATAGTTATGTTTGTGATGTGTCCACAAAGCATAACCCAAGGGCTGTCCATAATAAGCACATGAGAAGTGACATCAAACGAGTGAACAACTGAGTAAATAAACCACAGAGAGAGAAAGTTCATGAAAGGCAAATGTGTAAAAACACACGAAAAGGGGACAAATCCAAGTAAATCGAACAACGAAATGCTAGCTCTCAGTTGCCAATCCAAAAAGAGACATAATATTCACTATAGATGTCTTGCTAAAAATATTTGCCCAGTGTGTTTCATATCAGGCCAAGAAAATCCTGCTCATTATTCAGAGAAACATTAGACACAAAATCTGAAGTTGCAGTTCATTTCAGAGTTGTCCCTGGGGGGTGTCAACAAACCGGGGTCACTCTGGACCTCACACTTTGAGGAGCAAGTGAAAGAAGAAATGAAGACAGCTCACAGCTGGCAGCTAAAATATGTCGATGTCATTATGTAAATATCTGCCACCCACAGCCCTCCATGGTCTCTCTTGCAGCCTGCTGTGGGCACCTGGGAAACACTTCTCCCTGTTGTCTGGTGTTCTTGGACATAGCCTCTTAGTTCCTTTGATGTTCTGCCCTTGATGTTCATTTTATGCAGCTTTCAACTGGTAAAAAAGTTTAAGGCAAGGAAAAAGTCTGGAAGAAAATTTATAGCTCCTAAATTGTTAACATGTAAAAGAGCCATTCGTTGGTCCTAAATCCTAAAAGCGTGGCTCTGTATATCTTGTATAAAACCTATGTGGGTTGGCACTTGGAGGGATGTATGCAATTTTAGTCATTACACTGCTTAAGG
The DNA here is from genome assembly GCF_000001405.40 of Homo sapiens. NCBI lineage: Eukaryota > Metazoa > Chordata > Mammalia > Primates > Hominidae > Homo > Homo sapiens. The sequence goes on along the minus strand of NC_000008.11, from coordinate 122,698,111 downwards.
AAGGACCTATAAAGGACACGTAGAAAGAGGCAAACTAAATTATTAAGAGGAACCTACATTTGAGCATGAGCTCAAAGGAGGTGGACTCCAGCATGGAGAGACCAAAGCTCTAAGAAGAAATAAGTACATGCTATGAATTCATGAAGGGCATAGAAAAGATGCCTGTAAACAAACTTATTCACCAAATTTCAATAGAATCAAATAAGAGGGGCAACCATGGGGTTTCAAAAGGGTCAAAATTGTACAAATATTAAGTGTAAGTGGCTTTAAACGATGGTGGCAAACATGAAATTTAAACTAATTTTTATGTTTTAGAGACACAGTCTTGGACTTAATAAAAAGAGCTTTAAAAGGTATATTGGGGACAATTGGTAAAATTTACAGGTAAGTCACATATTAAATGGCACCATTTAACCGAATAAATGTTAGCTTTCTTAGGTATGATGGTGGTGTGCTTATTTAGGAGAATGTCCATATTCATTCAAGATGCACGGTGAAATGTTGGGGGAAACATGGCTGGATTTTGCAGCTGACTTTCAAATGAATTAGAAAAAACATCTATAAATATATGAGAGAATGACAGAGCAATTGTAGCACAATACAGTCATGTGCTGCATAATGACATTTCAGTTAACAATGGATTGCCTATCTCGACGGTGGTCTCATAAGATTATAATGGAGCAGAAAAGTTTCTATTGTCCAGTATTATGCTATGCTATGCTATGCTATGCTATGCTATGCTATGCTATGCTATGCTATACCATACCATACTATACTATACTATACTTTATTTATTTATTTATTTTTTGGAGACAAAATTTCGCTCTTGTTGCCCAGGCACGATTCTGGCTCACTGCAACCTTCAACTCCCCGGTTCAAGCGATTCTTCTGCCTCAGCTTCCAGAGTAGCTGAGATTATAGGCGTGCACCACCACACCCAGCTAATTTTTGTGTTTTTAGTAGAGACGGGGTTTCACCATGTTGGCCAGGCTTGTCTCGTTTATCTATTTATTTTTGAGACAGGGTCTTTCTCTGTTGCCCAGTCTGGAGTGCAGTGGCATGATCGTGACTCACTGTAACCTCAAACTCCTGGGCTCAAGGAATCCTCCCGTCTCAGCCTCCCAAGTAGCTGGGACTTCAGGTGTGTACCATCACACTTGGCTAATTAAAATGATTTTTTTTTTGTACAGACAGGGGTCTTACTATGTTGCTAGGCTCATCTTGAACTCCAGGCCTCAAATAATCCTCCCACCTCAGCTTCTCAGAGTCCTAGAATTAGCACTCTGAGTACCTAGCATGGAATTTATTACCTTTAGAAGTAGCACTGTTTGAAAATATAAAGTCCTTTAAGAATTTGGATATGTTCATGAGTGATGGGTCAAGAGTGATGGGTCAGATATGTTCGTGAGTGATGGGTCAGAGACTTGAAGATGCTTTTGATACTGCCCTACCCACAGAGAACAATCACACCCACCCTTGACGCATCTATTGGAGACCGAGTGTTAGACAAGAGTCCAGATGGCTCACAGGCAGGTCTAGGACAGGTCTCAGCAATGTTTTGAGAATAAAACAAGGAAGATCTGCTGAATGTTTAAGTTTTTTTTTTTTGAGAGGGATAGCCTTTAATATCATAAATGGATAATTAAGGGAATAAATGAAGGAATGAGTAGATGATAATGAGTAGGAGGCTTTTGGTAACTTTTTTTTTTTTTTTTTTTGAGACGGAGTCTCGCTCTGTCGCCAGGCTGGAGTGCAGTGGCGTGATCTCGGCTCACTGCAACCTCCACCTCCCGGGTTCAAGCGATTCTCCTGCCTCAGCCTCCTGAGTAGCTGGGACTACAGGCACGTGCCACCACACCCAGCTAATTTTTGTATTTTTGGTAGAAACGGGGTTTCACCATGTTGGCCCGGATGGTCTCTATCTCTTGACCTTGTGATCTGCCCATCTTGGCCTCCCAAAGTGCTGGGATTACAGGCGTGAGCCACTGCGTCCGGCTGTAACTTTTTATTTTTAAATAGTTATAGACTCACAGAAAGAGGCCATAAGTACAGGGTCACATATACCCTCCCCTCAGCCTCCCCGAGCAGTGACATCTTATAAAGCTGTGGTAAAATAGCAAAACCAGGGAGTTGGCACTGGTAGTGTTGAACTATACTGCAGATTTTATTCTGTTCTCAGCATTTTTTAAGCTTGCATTTGTGTGTATGTAATGTTATCCCATGTATAGATTCATGTAACCACCATCCCAATCAAGATACAGAACTGTTCCATCACAGTAAAAGAATTCCATTCAGGCCGGGCGCGGTGGCTCATGCCTAAAATCCCAGCACTTTGGGAGGCCGAGGTGGGTGGACCATTTGAGGTCAGGAGTTTGAGACCAGCTTGGCTAACATGGTGAGACCCCGTCTCTACTAAAAATACAAAAATTAGCCAGGTGTGGTGGCACACACCTGTAAATCCCAGCTACTCCAGAGACTGAGGTAGGAGAATTGCCTGAACTGGGGAGGCAGAAGTTGCAGTGAGCCTAGACTATGCCACCACACTCCAGCATGGGTGACAGAGTGAGACTGTGTCTTAAAAAAAAAAAAAAAAAGAATTCCATTCTATCTGTTTGTATTCCTCCCCCCTCATCCTCCTGCTCCCTGGCAACCACTAATCTGTGCTCTTTCTGTCATCGTTTCGAGAATGTTGGATAAGTGGAAACAGATCCGAAAGGTATGTAACCTTCTGAGACTGGCTTTTTTCACTAAGCATAATGCCTGAGGTCCATCCAGGTTGTTGCATGTACCAAGAGTTCATTTGCTTTTGTTGCTAAGTAGTATTCCATTGTATGGAGGTACCACAGTTTGTTCCATCCTTTGCCTATTGGACATTTGCTTTTTTTTCCCTCGAGTATTTTGCCATTATGAATACAGCCACTACGAATATTTATATGCAGGTTTTTGTGTAAATATAAGTTTTGATTTCTCTGGGATAAATGCCAGGAGTATGACCGTTGGGTCATATGGTAAGTGTTTAATTTTGTAAGAAACTGCCAAACTGTTTTCCATGGTGGCTGTACCATTTTACATGTCCACAGGCAATGTATAAGAGATCTAGTTTCTCTGCATCCTTACCAGCATTTGATATTATCACTATTTAAAATTTTAGCTATTCTAAGTGGTGTGTAGGCATATATTTTTGTGGTTTTAATTTGCAGTTTCCTAATGACTAATGATATTGAACAACTTTTCTTGCTTATTTGCCATCTGCCTATCCTTTTTGGTGAAATATCAGTTCATGTCTTTCAGCCATGTTTAATTTTTTTTTACTGTTGAGTTTTGAAAGTTCTTTATATATTCTAGAAGATGCAAAATGTTTGTCAGATATTGGCTTGCAAATATTTTCTCCCAGTCTGCAGGTTGTCTTTTCACCCTCTAAACAGAGTCTTTCACAGCATGAAACAAATGGAGGCTTTAAATGGCCATTTCAGAAAAGCCTGACCTAGCCTTGAGAGCGTCGGACACGGTCACTCCACCGGTTCCCACTCACGAGGGCAGATCATGGGTTTAAATCCCATTTGGGTGTGCTAATTCAGCTTCACAATAGCTCACCCACCATGGGCTTAACGCTATTCAGTGGCCACAGGTGAGTGTGTTTCAGGACATCACAAAAAGATAAGCTGAGAAAGAGTGGCCCACCGCTGCCAGAACAGCTTGAGGGCAAGTCCCCACTGACCCGGAAAGTGAGTCAGTTGCATCACCCCCTTAGAAACCTGGAAAATGCTTCATCATCGGTGTAGAGCGAGAGCCAGCATTCAAAACGCCAGGGGGCTTATCAGGCCATTTCACCACAACATAAAGTAACAGGCAGACTTGAATTCATCTGGCACTGTTGACCAACACAGAGAGCCAAAACACACACGGAATTCAAAATCAGAAATAATCCCAAGTTTGAGTCATCCAATGTGCTTGTCTACATTGATTGCACTCACCAGATAAAAGTCCAATGCACTCTGTGGGGTGAAACAGCCTCTGTCTCAGGTTGGGAGTTGCTGCCATGGAGACCACAAGAGTGGAGATTTTCTGACACACAGAAAGGAATGGATTACAGCTCCTTCTTATGTAAATTTCCATGGAGGGGAAAAAAGATTAAAAGGAAAATAATTCTGCTTTAGTCGTTTTCCTTTAAGGTGATAAGATCCTTTGATTCCATCGTGGAGAAGAAGGCAACAGCTGTTTGTCACAAATGGTAAGACATTTTATTTGACATTTTGCAGAAACTCGATCTTTAGCTGTAATTTTGACCTAATGGTTACAGTGAGTTGTTTTTAAGAGAAAGATAGATTTTCTTGAAGCCAATGGGCCTCAGACATGAAGAATGAAGAACTAATTGTACTAACCTCAGTTTCTGAAGTGGACAGGGAAATCTTACCTTCCTGCCTCTCTATGTTCAGGCTGAGTGGGTCAGAAGGAGAGTGTATTAGGTAAGAAAATTTATCAGTATTATTTAGTGAACACTGGATTTATCCTTTTGCATTCTGGCTGTAGTACCCAACTTCCACATGGCAATGCACCCTCACCTCAGCCCTCCGCCCACGTGGTCCCCTTGCTGAGCACTTTAATGAATGACTGCATCTCATTTTCACAGCTATTTGATGCACCTGCTATTATTACTCTTATTACCATTTTCCAGTGGGAAGCTGCTTCTTGGGCAGGGTGGATTTCCATCTGCGTCTCCTTTTCGGTGTTGAAAGCTGGTAAGTGAGGACACCAGGATTGGAACCTGGGTAGTCTGAGTCCAGAATCTCTATTTTCAAGTCTTCCTGCTCTCTGCTTCTGGCAAGTTTGATGTCCACTTTTGATCTTCACCTACATTCCAGCATAATAGCTACTTTTGGTTGTTTTCTCAGCAGCACAAGAGAAGTGTGGCGAGATTTTTAGGTGAGTCATCTAGAGAAGTTAATCTTATTTTGGGAATTCTACTGGCAGCTTCAGGTGGGGAAAATTTTGTTATTTTCTATCCTCCTCTAGGTTCTAAAAGGGAAGAAAGATGGTGAGCGTAGAAAGATGTGACTGTATTCACTATTCACCCTTTGTCGGGTGGTGAGTAAGCAGCTTGCAAAAGCAATGAAGTTTGGAACAATCCAGAGAACCAAACTTTCAGCTGCCAGAGATGGCACCTGGTATCCTGGGTACATCTGCCTGTAGGGCCCAGAAAGAGCTGGAAGCCAAGTGCATGGATCAGGTCTGTAGGAAGGTGGGAGAGCCAGGAATCGAGTGTCAGGGGGCATTTATTACCCATGGAAGCAGGTTTTTGTCAATTTTGTTCACTGCTGGATCACTAACACCTGGACTGGTGCCTGGCCAGGTGGTGGCTTCATAATCATTTGTTGAGTGAATCAATGAATGAATGAATGAACAGCTGTAGCAGATGCTAGCAGGGCTTCCTATTTCTTCCATCACCATAAAGGTGAAAGACATCATAAACGGGAATTTAGACAATCCTCAGAAATTTTCAACTGCCATGTATCTTGACTTGATGCTTCTAGTAGTTATATTTATTTGTAATTCAATCTTTCTTTTTAAATAGTTGACCAAGTGTGGTGGCTCACGTAGTCCCAGCACTTTGGGAGGCTGAGGCAGGAGGATCACTTGAGCCCAGGAATTTGAGACCAGCTTGGGCAACATAGTGAGACCTCATCTCTTAAAAAAAAAAATTAGCTGGGTGTGGTAGTGCACACCTGTGGTCCCAGCTACTTTAGAGGCTGAGGTAGAGGATTGCTTGAGCCTGGGAAGTTGGGGCTGTAGTGAGCTTTGATTGCATCACTGCACTCCAGCCTGGGTGACAGAGCAAGACCCTGTCTCTAAAAAATTAAATAAATAATAAAAAAATTAAAAAGTAACTCCCTTTTCTTTATTTTCAGGCTTCCTTCCCACCTGCTAATTCAAACACTTTACAACCAAAAATATCTTACCTTGATCCTGTTTCTTTCTCTATAACCTCTCTATTTCTGTTTCTTTCAACCAAATTTCTTAGGTCATCTATAATTTTGTTTCTACTTTTTCTATGCATGCCTCAATCCATTGCCAACTCCTCAACCTGCCCCAAGTGCCCACAACTCCACCAAAAGTAATTCTAACATTTTACCAATCCAATACATCACAGTTTTTTATAAAAAACTTAAGAAATATACTTTAGTTGAATTTGAAAGAGTTGCCCACTTGTGTTAAATATTTCTTTCCTTGTGTCTGGGATATCATTTGATTCTGATTCTATTCCTAATTCTCTGACCACCCTTTCTTCGTAGATTTCTCTTCCTTTGTTCAGCCTTTCACATCCTTGGAGTTCCATCCTCTGGTGATTGTTTGTCCTGTTCCATACATTCTCCTTATATGAGCATTGTGTTTTAGCTTATGAATGGTCACATGACCTAGCCAGGCCAATCAGAGTCTTCCATGAGACTTTTGTTTATTTATTTATTTATTAATTTATTTATTCTTCCACATGCCATCTCATTTAACCTGGGACTTTTGTCAGAATTATCAGGAAAGACATTCTTCTTTCTTGGCAACAGTTGACTTTTAGGATCACAGTAGTCTGGGGCTGCCAGGGACCATGTTCTCCATTAGCAGAGAGCCTGGCTGAGAACAAAGTCAAAACATGGGAAAGCAGGATGGAGAGACATATTGTCATCATGTTACCCCTGGATCTAGCCATATTTGAGGCTTAAACTTATCCTGGACTCTAAAGTTATGGAACTAACATATCTTTTTAAATAATTTAAGCAGGTTTGAGTAAGATTTCTGACACTTGCAACCAACAGTCCTGAAAAAGATACCTCTACTCAGTCTTCCTATTTCCAATCTCATAACTCCAACCCGATGCTGCCAGAAGGAATGATATGAGATACAGAACAGGTAGTGCCATTGCTCTGTGTAAGATCTTTCAATGGCTCTCCGGAGCCTATTCAGGAGCGTGAACTCAAAAGCCTTAAGGGAGCAGGCTGATGGCATAACTGAGGGAAACAGTCCAGGTGTAAGATAATAGAAAGGGGGAGACCAAGTGTTCAGCCCTGGAGTATGCCCTGCCTCCAGTCATTCATACTCAGAATGCAAACCCCAAGTGCCTGCCAATCAGAACATGTCTGGAGGTTGGATTTGGCCTCCAGCCTCCAAGTTTGCAAGCTTTGGCTTATGTTGCAAGTTTAAGCTCCGGTAGACAGCCCTGGAGGCCTTTGTGACCAGGCCTCTGACACTTCACAATATTCGTTTCCTGTCATTAGATGCTGTAGTGACACTAAGTTGGTGCCCACATCGTGTTCTGTTACAGTCCTATGCTTTTGCTCATGTTGGCCCTTTACCTGGGACCTTGGCCCACTCCATCCTTTCTATCATGATCTTCATCTCACTAAATCCTATTTGTTCTTTAATATTCATCTCAGGTGTCACCAGCTCCAGGAAGTGTCCTCTTGATGAGACAGGTGCCCCTCCTCCATGCTCTCATGGCCTGCTTTATGCCTCTCTGTCATTGCCCCTGACATATACGGCAGACCATGTTGATTACTCACCTACAACCATTCCTCCTCCTGCTTACTTGCTGGCAGAATTTGCCTCTCTCAACCGAAGCTGAAAACACCTGATATTCTCTTTCCCAACCTGCCTTATAGCTAAAGTCTGGGGATGTAATTTAATTCTTCTCAAAGAGATAAGATGGGAAATCTGCCAAGGAATTCTTGGGGAAGTTTCCTCCATGACTACAAAGGAGTGATCTTTTTCATGTCTGCCATTAGACGTAGTTTTGTGAGGATGTGATGGTTGGAGCTACAGCAGCCACCTTGAAGCTATGAGGGGAAAGCCAAGAGAATCATAGAGGTGGTGAACTGGATCCCTGCCATTCCTGAACTGCCGAACCAACCTGGGAACATTCTCCCCCAGATTTTTGGATATGTGAGATATAGTAATAACCCCTGATGCCTAAGTCACATTTTGTGTGTGTGTGTGGGCGGGGAGAGGGGGCGGTATTCTCTTACTTGCAGGCAAACACATTCTAAATGATTCAGCATTCAGCAATGTTCACATTGCCTGTGCACTTTCTCTTCTATTATTCTGTAAGTTATTTGTGGGGATAGATGATCTTATAATCTCTGGTCTAGCATAGAGTCAGAAGTCAGTAAATGTTCACGGAAATACTTTTTTTTTGCATAATTTTTCCACTGAGAGCTCCAGTAAAGGGTGAGTGCCAGATAACATCTGTCCCATTTTGGAGATAGCCCCTGAGTGTTGGGGAGTGGAAAATATGTCAGGCAATGTTATATGACTAACACCCCAGGATTTATGGGAATGAAGAATCTGATACAAGTATTACATCATCTCAGTGGAATCGACTAGTGCTACTCAAATTGTTTACTCAGACTTTTCTTTATGTGAAAGCTTACTACCAAGCCCAGCGTGTATGTCAGATAAAAGTGTGGTGCATTGGTTAGAGAACGCAAGGGATGATGAGGTGCTTACAGTCCCCCTCATCCATGCTGGGCCTGTCTCCTTTCTTGGTGTGATCCTTGCAGCCCCTTTTCTGACCTCCTCCCCTGGGTCAGACAATTAATGCTGCTTTTATGATCTTGAATCCATCAAACCCCTTGGTCTTCCCTTGGTCCTCAGCTCTTTTATTAAAAGTTGGAGGTCACCATTAGCCTTTTGGAGGTCTTGAGATTCCAATTTTGTTGGGATATTTAGAGCACTGCACCAGTTTTGGCTAAAAATGGTGCAGCAAATCAAAAAGGCAAAGCCATTTTGAAGAATCTATTTGGCAGTCCCAGTCCTTCAAGTATATACATTTAATTTTATGGTTTGTTACACAAATTTGTTGAATTTTTCATACCAAAGGAAGCCTTTGTATTTTGGAAAGCTCTGTAAACTAAGAGCAGACATTCTTATATGGCATTTGGGCTCTTTTGTTCTTTTTTTTTTTTGAGACAGGGTCTTGCTCTGTCATCCAGGGTAGAGTGCAGTGGTGCTAACATGGCTCACTGCAGCCTTCACCTCCTGGCTCAAGCGGTCCTCCCACCTCAGCCTCCAGAGTAGCTGGGACTACAGGTGTGCACCACCACACCCAGCTAATTAAAAAAAAATTTTTTTTGGAGATGGGGGGTGGGTCTCACTCTGTTGCTCAGGCTGGTCTCAAATTCTTAGCTTCTCCCACCTTGGCCTCCCCAAATGCTGGGATTACAGGCATGAGTCACTGCGCCTGACCTCTTTTGTTCTTAATAAAGGGGAAAAAAATCACTTGAGTTTCCAATATTGACTCACAGAGAAGACATTCCTCTTTCACGTTTCTACACACTTGTTAACATAAGTCTGAGTCTTCTCAGATCTTCTGACTCTGAAATTTAGGTAGTGGAATCAGATCTTCACATGATCTAGATCTCAGAGTTTGAAAGAACAGTGCTCTCAGGGTGGAGGGTTTGTGCGGGGCGGGGTGAAGGATGTTATGGGGATAGCATCACACCTAGATCACTAATGATCACATGCAAGAGAAGGCCAGTCTCTCTCTGTCTCTGTCTCTGTTTTCTAAAGAGGAGGAGATTATATTGTATTTTCAGTTTTTCATGGCCACTGGCTTCCCTTTAGCTTCAGGAAAGTAAATTTTAGTCTCTCAGCCTGGATGAATTGCAACCCTGACCAACCAACAACCTGATATACTCAAGCTCTTGGCTGAATTGCCCTCACTTTTGTGAATCCTGTCTCTTCCCCGAGGCAGCGGCGTTCCTGAAGCTGTCTCAACCGCAGTCTGTTCTTTCTCCAAGATGTTTCCCAAGATGAAAAGATGCTGTCGTTTTTCTTTTTGATTAACAATACAACTCTGAGATCTTTACACTATTTTCTTCATGTTATAACTCCTTTGCAGCCCATAAAACATCCCTCTACCTGCCCATTCATCCAACAGATATTTGCTTTTTATTTGCCAGATATTGTTCTAGGAGCTGAGGATACTGTAGGGAACAAGCCAGGCACACCCCTGTCAGCATGGAGTTTACATTTTAGCTTGGGGACAATAACAAACAAATAAATACTAAATATAATGTCAGATAGTGAAAGCACTATAAAGGAAAATTTTGGTGGCCATGAGAATGAGCCTCTGGGATCTCATGGTGCAGAGTGTGAAAGTGACTGAGAACCTCGGCAGCTGCATTTGGGAATGCACCACTGTGTTTGCACTGGGACTGCTTCCCCTCAATGTCCCAGTGTGGCAGGGACACTGAGGCAGACTTGGGATTTCTTGATGGGAAACTTTGGCTTGAGTACTCTCTGAAGGGCTTGCTGGAATTTTTGTAGAAGTGTATTCTAGTCTGAAATCCTTCCTCTCTCCCACCCTCCTTTCCTTCCCTCTCTCCTTCACTTACAGGCAGATCTTCACTGCAGTTTGACAGCTCTCCCAACCAGTCCCAGTTCACTCCCTTCATTTTCTCATATGTGTTTCCTCTAATAAAAGTTTACATTTTTCTTTTTTTTTTTTTGAGATGGAGTTTCACTCTGCCACCCAGGCTGGAGTGCAGTGTCATGATCTCGGTTCACTGAAGCCTCTGCCTCCTGGGTTCAAGAGATTCTCCTGCCTCAGCCTCCCAAGTAGCTGGGACTACAGGCACCTGCCACCATGCCTGGCTAATTTTTTGTGTTTTTAATAGAGACAGGGTTTCACCATGTTGACCAGGCTGGTCTCGAACTCCTGATGTCAGGTGATCTGCCCGCCTTGGCCTCCCAAAGTGCTGAGATTACAGGTGTGAGCCACTGCACCCAGCAAGGTTTACATTTCTTATTCCATTCTCAAGCTGACACAAGACTAATGCAGCCTGCAAGAATAGAGAGTGATGTGGAGTGGGGGCTACTTTAGATAAGTGGCCAGGGAAGGTGACATTGTCTAGAGACTTGATTGGAATGAGGAAATGATCAGAGCAAACCCCTGGGGGAGGAGCGTTTAAGTAGAGGGAAGAAGGAAGAGCATTCATCCACTCAGAGACTTGGGTTTCTGTGGGTTCCCTTCAAAACTGCTGAGGGGCGGCAGTGGGGCTGGGTCCCCTCCAAACTTGCTCCCACCATCTCCCTTCCATTTGGAGGGCTCTGTCTTTAACCGCTTTGCATATTTGGCTTTACCTAAGATTTCATGTGAACAAAGAGTTCCAGGTTTAAAATAAAAACACTCTGGAAATCACTGCCCTGGAGGCACTCTGCGACCTCTGCCCTGTTTTATGACTCTGTCAGTTCACTGGCCATGCAGAGAATGGGCAGTGGAAGAAATTACCTCTATTTGGAAGCCTCATTGTTCCACCGAGATACTGGATTAGTGTGAGGCAGGTGTAGATAAGGGGAATTACAGTAACTGATTAAAGGACTTGATGCATGGACTCTGGTAGAGAGGGTGGGGCAGGATCATTTGGGGGCTTTCACGCTAAGCTCAGAAGCCCTGCAGTTGGACAGCAGCCAGAGGAACTGGCATATATCAAATAGACAGAAATGGACAAAGGATGGCTGTGAGCACTAAGGTTTGGGAGGGAGTGGGAGGTAAAGGGTAGCCTTCCGTGTGAACCGGAGAGGAGTTTCCAGAGGCAGTGGAGGATAACAGCTGTGCTCAAGGACTTTGGTTTCAAAGTGCAAAACATTAATATTGCCCAGAAGAAAAATGATAGAATTCACCTGTTACTGGTGATTGGTAATCGAATGTATAAAAATTTCCTGGCACTTCGTTAGTGACTTCTTTGGTGGTAAAACTTTATCTCTCCCTCCCCCACCCCCCAAGTTTTCGGAAGAAAGAGACTGGCAGCCATAATGCAAAGACTGACCTGGATGTGAGAGGCTTTTTATTCTGTCCTTTTAGGCTGGGTAGGGAACATCAGCATTGCTGATAGGGAAGTGAATGTATAACACACTGAAATGAAGGTGTGTTCAGCCAGTGAACTCAGGGAATCCTTGAGGTATGTTTTAAAATCAAGTTTGTTTATAAATGAGAGGTTCGACTCCAAAGCCTTAAACATACAAGAGTCTGTTGTCTCATATAAAATATTTTGGAGATGGGTAGTAAGTACAGGGCTGCTAAGGCAGCTCCATGCATTATCAGAGATCCAAGAACCTTACGCTTTCTGCTCCACCATGTGTACTTTCCATCCTCAAGGTCCAAAATGGCTGCTAAAATTCCTGCCACTACATCTGGATCCCAGGCAGCAGGAAGGAGAAATGGAAGAAGACCTGTCCTGTCCCTGAGACAATGCCATTCAGCATGTTCCATACAATATCTCTGCTTATTGATCACTGGCCAGAACTTGACAGAGATGAACAATGAGGCTTTTTTGTTCTGCTTTTTATGTTCTGCTACAGACAAAAAGAAAAAAAAGCGTATGTATTTATAGTCTACTTGATTTTAATAAAGGATTGAGTGCAGCCTAAGGCATGTGCATGTTATCCTGTAGGTAACAGGGGCCACAAATGGGTTGTGGCTAATGGAACATGGCTGAAGGGTCTGTGCCAGTTCTGAGCCTCAGGAGGCACTGCTGTTTCTTCTTGCCCTTCTGGGACTTTTGCCATGGGAAGAACCCACAGTCTTGGGGTCTTTTTCAGCCTGGGTTCCAGAATGAGATGCATTCTGAACATGAAGGTGGGGCAGATCTGAACTTGACCCATCACCTGAAGCCAAACTGTCCAAACCACCTCTCAAAGCTATGAGCAACAAATAAATGCTTATTTTGTGCGCCTCAGAGATTTGTAATTGCTATACAGCATCATTGTAGCAGAAGCCTGTGAATGCCCCTGGTAACTAGATTCCTCTCTATTCTCTCATACTGTGAGTGCTAGACAGGAGATGTGGCCAGTCCTGCCTGTTCAGTATACCAGGTGACCCCAGAGATAGTGGGAGGGAAATGCCACACAGAAATGTCATTGCACAAAAGAGAAATGCAGTGCTCATGTGCATGTGAGAGCTGGCACTCAGGTGAGCACCAGGGATGGTTTAGCTCAGGGACTCTCAAACTCAGCACTACTGACATTGTGCTGTGGGGGTCTCTCTGGTGCATGGAAGTTAAGAAGTGTCCCCGGCCTCCACCCACTAGATACCAGCGGCACCTCCTCCCTCCCATGCTGTGACAATCAAAAATGTCTCTAGACATTGCCAAATATACCCCGTGTGGCAAAATCACTCCCAACTGAGAACCACAGATTTAGCTGATCTGGCTTCAGTTCTTCTGATAAGACCAGAAAATGACAACTAATGACACCACTTATTGAGCATGTACTGAATTCCAGGCACTTGGTTAGGCATTTTCAGGAATTAATTGAATTTGGAAGGTTTATGAATGAGGAAGCTCAGGACAGAGAGAAGTAACTTGCTCCAGTAACATGTTTAGTCCACGGTGGAGCTAAGGCCAAGCTGTCTGACTCCAGGATTCGTGCTCTTGACCATACTCTCCATGCTGCCTCCCCCAGAAATTAACCCCTTGAGCGAGTCAGGAAAAGATGCGTCGACACAAGTGTTATTCTCGTGAATATCACTTGAATTCTGTATGTGTGTCTTATAGTAGCAAAAACAGTGTGGGCTTGGTCAGGTGCGATTCTCGCTACCCTTACATAGCTGTGGAATAACCTCGATAGTCACCGTCGTACTTCCCTGCCTACCTGAGTGGGGCTACACAGACTGCAGGATGTATCCAGCCTCTTCAGGCTTTTTCTGGACAACTCAGTCCTACTTAGTGAAAACGTGTTTCGAGATCCTGCGCCTCTTTGATGATAGAGATAAAAAGCCTTAAAAAGGTTTCTACCCATTAGTCTAGCAATTCCACTTCTTGGAATTTATCCTTAGGAAGGAATCAAATATGTCAAATCAAACAAAGAGTTATGCATAGGATATTTGATTTTAGTGTGATTTGCAAGAGCAAACATTGAATACGATATTGGGCAAATAAATTACAGCATGTCCAGATGGTGGTATGTTCGACTTGTAGATGAATATTTTCTTCCAAGGGAAAAACTTCATGATATATTATTCTTTGAGAAAAAAAAAGATTTGAATACCATGTAGCATATGATCCCAATTTTGGAAATTGTGTATATATTACACCATCATATTGAACAAGCAGGGACTTGTAGGATGCAACAGAAACGAATCGTATTTTTGGTCTCCCACTGTCTTGTTAAGCTTGTTCTGCAATATTTATTCTGCTCCTTAATAAAAGTGGGGCAAGTTCTACGAAGTCTTTTGTCGCCCTTATCTAAGAAAACATGATCCAGTTACTTCTTCCACAAAAACCCAGTCTCCATTGGTAATTAATATGCCCATTCCAGGATAAGGACCCAAATCCTCCCATCGACATTGCAAATGAAAATTTCCTCCCTCTCCCAGCTTTGCTGCATTAGGCTGGCACCTGCAGTGAGAAGGGGTTGTGGGGCTGTGCGCCTCTATTTGCTTCACCTGGTGCTTCCATTTTCCCTCCATACTCCCCCCACCCCTTGGCTTCTCCAGGATTGGCCAGGGCAAGAGGAGAAGAGAGGAGGGAAGCGGGTGGGAAGAGACTCACTCCGCTGGTGGTGTTCCAGCCATCTGGGGTTGACAGATGACTCACCTCATGGGTTCCTTCATGGGTAATTTGCAGCAACCGCCTCTTATCTGCCTTTGCCTGACTGGGAGCATGCATCTCTTCTGACCGTTCCTCCACTGCTTCTCCCTCACCCCCTAGCATCTGGCGCCGCACCTCCCAGGCCAGTTCTGCTCCATGGGAAACTCACACATGCTTTGCCCTGACAGACTCGGGAAAAGCAAGTCTCCCTCAACGCGATCACCTCGTCTCACTCCACCTTCGGCGCAACTGGCCTGCCGCCATCTCTCGCCCTTTAAATTTCTCAGGGTGAGCCAGACATCAATCGATGGAGTCTCCCGTGATCCAGGGAACATGCTGCAAGCCTTCCAGGAGGTCTCATGGAAGCCCCTTCACCTAGGCTTGAGGTGGTTAGAAACAGCCTCTCCCCAGAAGGGTGGGGAGTGTAAGGATTGGCAGCTATCTCCCCAAATTCTTGTCTAATCCCAGCCCAGCTCCAAATTCTTTTTTTTTTTTTTTTTTTTTTCAGAAGGAGTGTCGCTCTGTCACCGGGTCTGGAGTGCAGTGGTGCGATCTCGGCTCCCTGCAAGCTCCGCCTCCCGGGTTCACGCCATTCTCCTGCCTCAGCCTCCCGAGTAGCTGGGACGACAGACACCCGCCACCACGCCCGGCTAATTTTTTTGTAATTTTTTTTTTAGTAGAGACAGGGTTTCACTGTGTTAGCCAGGATGGTCTCGATCTCCTGACCTTGTGATCCACCCGCCTGGGCCTCCCAAAGTGCTGGGATTACAGGTGTGAGCCACCGCGCCCGGCCTCCAAATTCTTTAAAGTTCGGGTGGTGGATAGATTGGGGCCCTAAAACCCGTTTCTGACTACCTCCTGTGTAAGTCTTTGTGGTCTTTCACTTTTCCTTAGAAATGGGGTGCAGTCACTCTTGGTGTCTTGGAGCCTCGGCTGATACTAAAACAGAACCTGTTTTAACACACTGTTTTGCACAAACACAGAATAAAGAGGCAGACGGTATGCCTGTCAGTCTTGCAGAGGCCTCCGGGAAAGAGAAGATGGGGAACTGGATAGCATGATTTCCAGGGTTCCTTCCAACCCAGAGATTGCACGGCAGGCTGGCAGGGAATAAGAGAAAGCATTGGACCTATTCCCTGACTGTGCTATTAGAGAGACAAGACACGCACTAAGCACCCTGGTAGCAGATCATCACAAATGCTCTTGATGGTAATATAAATGCAACAACAATAAGTATGAACAGTCAAGCCTTGAACCGTTTGGAATGAGCTTTATGTCTCAGAGAATAGGGAGGAGTCAACTCACTGTTGTAGAAAGTTGCTGAGAGGAGGTAGACGTCAACTAAACTTGGTGTTCTGAGAACACGCCTTTAAACCTCCTTGGCCTCTCCTCCTGGGCACTTCGCACTTGTTTGTTCTCCCAAATGCCTCCTTGCCAGGAAATCAGTCCCAGTCCCTGTAGTTGGAGGTAAAGTTGTCATCTACTTTTTGCCATTGCACTTTATCTACACTACTTTTGTGCATCTTGTCTTATAATTGAGTGGAAGCCTCAGAAGGACAAGGGCTTCTTTCTTTACTCACAGTGATATTTCCTTTCTGGGCCCGGCACATGGGGACACACACATACACGCACACACACACAAACACGCACATGCACACACACATGCAAACACACACACATGCATATGCACACATGCCCACACGCACACACATGCACACACACGCACACACATGCACACACATGCACATGAGCACGTTGATATTATTCTTTTGTCCACGGCACTGAGTTAGCGGTTGGCTGAGTCAGGGTTGGAGCTGGGTTTCTGGGTTTCCACTGCACAGCTCTTTCTACCTCCTACCCTGGACTCTCCACTCTCTGGCTTCCCAGGTCTCTGGGCACCAGGAGGCTGGAAAGCACTTTGCTGGATATTCCAATTCTGTTGGCATTTGTGACTGAGGACATGTGCCCAAATTCATCCTGTGTGTTTCCAACTCAGAGCCTTCTGGAACAGAGGTGCTCCCCAGAGGTGGGGAAAATGCAGCCGGAGGAGATGGGTCACAGAAAGCTACACACCCGGCGCTGGTCATGCTGAGCAGAGCAGGCCCTCACGTCCCAGTGGCTCTCCCTTCTGTGTACATTTAATGAGCTTTTGGCTGCATTTCAAGGAGACCTGGCCTTGGGCACGGGGCATGGAAATGAACTTCTGAGTGAGCTCTCTAGGAGAAAAATAAAGGCCTGGCCTTGGGCCTGATTGGAGCCCCATGACTCTGCCAATGCTACGTAGAGAAAAAGGCAGTTGTGTTGAGTTACCGCATTTTAAAATAGAGGCTGTAAACCCTCTCATTTTATGGGTGGAAACCAAGGCTCAGAGAGGGGTTCTGATGCCCAGGTTTATGCATCTGGCTTAGCAGTAGATTCAGTCACCACTAGACTCTGCAGAGCCACTACAGAGGCCAGCTGGAGAGAGGTCTGAATCCCTGCCAATCTTGTTCAGTGCCACCTCAACTTTGGAGAACTCCCGGCCTTCTCTGGTGAATTATAATAGCTGCTTCTGCACATCCTGCCTCTGCATGTATCCCTCTGTGAGCCATGTGTCCCTGGAGAGCCTGCACCATGTGTTTATCATCCCTGGATTACCAAGAGAGGGCCCATTGTGGGCCCACAGGGATCCCAGGGTGGGTGGGGCACTGACTGGCACCAGGGCTGGCTTTTCCAAGGAAGTCAGGCCCAGCTCTTCCTGCCAATGCGCCTCCTTTCTCTCTCCTTTCATCTCCCGAGCCTCAGAAAGCTGAGCAGTTTCTGTTGAGGATACCATCCTGTTCATTCTAGGAGGGCAGCCTGCCAGAAGCAGCAAAATTTCTGGCCCATTTCCCAATGCAAAGGACAACTGGGAAATGGCCTAGAACAGTGCCGTCCAATAGAAATGTAATGTAAACTATACATTAATTAAACATTTTCTAGTAGCCACATTAAACAAAGAAAAAAGACACTGGTGAAATTGAGTTTAATAATATATTCTATTTAAGCTAAGATATCTAAAACGTCATTTCTGCATGTAATCAATATAAATAATTATGAATGAGATACTTTGCATTTTTTGATATTGAGTGTTCAAAATCTGGTATGTATTTTATACTTATGGCACATCTCAATCTGAACTCTAAATTTTCATAGAAAATATTTGATCTGTATTTCAATTTCATAAAATTTACAATTGAAACAGTAGAGTCATCTCTCCGCATTGTTCTAAACATAAAGTTTTTTCAATAACTGAATTGTCTATTTAAAAACTTACATTTACCTTAATTAAAGCAAAATTTTAAAAAGGCAGTTCCTCAGTTACACCGGTTACTTTTTGAGGGTCAAACACAGGCTCTAGAAGGTGCAGAGGGAGCTCTGGCAGAACATGACTGAATCAGGTGTGTTAGGCTGTTCTTACACCACTATAAAATACCTGAGATTGGCTTTTTTTGTTTTGTTTTGTTTTGTTTTTTGTTTTTGTTTTTTTTCTGAGACAGAGTCTCGCTCTGTCACATAGGCTGGAGTTCAGTGGCATGATCTTGGCTCACTGCAACCTCTGCCTCCCAGGTTCAAATGATCCTCGTGCCTCAGCCTCCCGAGTAGCTGGAATTACAGGTGTGCACCACTGTGCCAAGCTAATTTTTGTATTTTTAGTAGAGACCGGGTTTTGCCATGATGGTCAGGCTGGTCTCGAACTCCTGACCTCAAGTGATCCACCTGCCTCGGCCTCCCAAAGTGCTAGGACTACAGGCGCGAGCCACGGTGCCCATACAAGGCTGGGTAACTTATAAAGGAAAGAGGTTTAATTCGCTCGCGGTTCTGCAGGCTGTTTAGGAAGCATGGTGCCTGCATCTTCTTGGCTTCCGGGAGGCCTCGGGAAGCTTTCAATCATGGTGGAAGGCAAAGGGGGAGCAGGCATCTCACATAGCAGGAGCGGCAGCAAGAGACAGTGTATATTGGGGGGAGTGCCACACCCTCGAACAACCAGATCTTATTGAGAACTCACTCATTATTGTCCTTGGTGCAAGGACAGCACCAAGCCTTGAGGGATCCACCCGCCGTGATCCATTCACCTTCCACCAGCTCCCACCTCCAACACTGGGGATTGCATTTCAACATGAGATTTAGACGGGACACATATCATCAGGGGAGAAAGCCCAATGGCCCTCAGGGGTGGGGGCAGCTTCGCTCATTGTTTTGGTGTGTCAAAATACACGTCTCACTTATTTTCCTCAAAGTTTCAGGGATTGAAGGCGGGTCGCAGTCATGGTGGAGGCTGGGCTAGCTTCCAGCACGGTCTTCAGTGGGATTTCACGTCTCTGCATTTTCAGCAGCACGGGGAAGTTTGGGCAGCATTGATTTTGTCAGGGAGACTGGGAGGACTGGTACTTTGGGGAGAGTCTCCTAGGTCCAGGGACCCCAGAGAATGCCTGCAGGGTGCGGAGGCCCCTTGAGCGGACAAGGGGAACAGCTGCTCCCCCTCCTGGGAGCCAGAGGAACAACAGTCCTGCCGGGCTGCGGTGATCATGGCAGGGCTGAAGGCAGCCTGTTCCAGGGTGGAGGCGGGTGGACAAAGGGCCGAGGAGAAGCTGCATCTTTTTTGAATTTCCAAGTCTCAGAACACAGAGGCCCTTGACTTTGGAAGTACAATGACATGAGTACAGAAAAGAATCTTAGAGCGCAAGATTATTTAATGCAGTTTGGCAATTTTCAAGTACAAAACAAAAATTATTTATTTTTCTCTAGATTTTGTTAGGAATCTGCAATCACCTTCAGAAAGACCTCACATGTGAAAATATACATTTTCAGAAATGACACATCAAATCCTCCAGTCACTTACTCTATAAGCTGAAATTATGTATATAGTACATAGTACAACAATGTACATAGTAAAAAATTCAAAGCACACCGTAAGTTATACAATGGAAAGTAAACATCCCCTCTTCCTTCCTTGGACATCTCTTTAAAATGTTCAGAGCAACTGGCAGGTAGTAGCTGTTCAATAAATGCTAGTTTGCTACATTAGAATGTTGTAGGTGGACCAAAAAGCTAACAGCAACATAAATATTCGATTAAACTGCAAACCAGTAGGGCCATGTGTGAGAAAAGGAGATGTGGCAGCCTGGTGGAGCGATGCTGCTTTGGAATTTGGTGCTTTTGAATGCTGTTGTTTTTGAATTTTGCTTTAAAAGTTATTTAATCTACACCCTCTACCAAACACTTAGAGAAGGCTCTCCGACTGTGCTCATCTGGAAGCTTCTGGAAACAGGGTGCCCAGGGTAGTAGGGCAGGCAGGGACATTGTTTTTCAGGGCCTATGGCGGGCAAGTGGTGAAAGGGCTGGTGTTTGATGCAACAGACATGCCCCAGGAAAGAGAAAGCTATGAGCTGTGTTCTGTCTTTGGCAGCTGGGTTACATCACTTTAGGCCAATTTAATCCAACCAACATTCAGGCTAGTGGATGGGATAAGAAGAGACAGTTTTTATCTTCAAAGTGTTTGCATCTGAGGGCAAGAAATGGCAACAAATCCACCTACTATAAAGTAATGCAGAGAATGATGGTCACTGATGGCAAATTTCCCTGGAGTCCAAAGGAAGGGTCAGCAAACAATGGCCCACAGGCCAAATATGGCCACCACCTATTTGTTTGTTTGTTTGTTTGTTTAATAGACTTTATTTTTAGAGGAGTTTTAGGTTCACAGCAACACTGAGTGGGAGGTTTGGGCAGCACTGATTTTGCCGGGGAGACTGGGAGGACTGGTACTCTGGGGAGAGTCTCCTAGGTCCAGGGACCCCAGAGAATGCCTGCAGCGTGCGGAGGCCCCTTGAGCGGACGGAGGGAACAGCTGCTCCCCCTCCTGGGAGCCAGAGGAACATAAATAAATGGGAGATTTCCCATTTATTCCTTGCCCTGACACATGCACAGCCTCCCCCATTATCAACTTCACCCACCAATAGCCACATTTGTTACAGCTGATGATTGGCACATCATTATCACTCATGGAGTCTATAGTTTACATTCTGGATCATTCATGGTGTACATTCTATGGGTTTGGACAAATGTATACTGATGCGTATCCACCATTGTGGTTTCATCAGAGTGGTTTCACTGCCCTAAAAATCCTGTGTACTCTGCCTCTTCACCCCTTTCTCCCCCACCAACCCCTGGCAACCACTGATCTTTTTACTGTCTCCATAGTTTTGCCTTTTCTTGAGGGTCATGTAGCTGGAATCATACAGTATGTAGTCTTTTCACACTGGCTTCTTTATTTTGTAATATGCATTTATGTTTCCTCCGCGTCTTTTCATGGTTTGATAGCTCATTTCTTTTTAGTGCTAAATACTATTCCATTGTCTGGATAGACCAGTTTATTTATTCATTCACCTACTGAAGGGCATCTTGGTTGCTTCCAAGTGTTGGCAATTATGAATAAAGCTGCTCTAAACATCCATGTGCAGGTTTTTGTGTGGACATAATTTTTCAACGGTTTTGGGTAAATACCAAAGAGAGCAATTGCTGGATCATATGGCAAGAGTATGTTTAGTGTTGTAAGAAACGGCCAAGCTGTCTTCCAAAGTGGCTGTACCATGTTGCATTTCAACCAGCCATGAATGAGAGTTCCTGTTGCTCCACATCCCTGCCAGCATTTGGTGTTGTCAGTGGCCTGGATTACAGCCTGTTTGTTTTTGTAAATAAAGTTTTATTGGAATACAGCCATGCCCATTTGTTTATGTATTATCTATCACTGCTTTCATGCTACAACAGCAGAGTTGGCTGGTTATGACAGAGACAGAACAGCCATGAAAAAAAAGCCTAAACTATTTACCACCTGACTCTTTTCAGAAAAGGCCAATGCCTGGTCTATTGGAACAGCTATTTTCAATGGAGAAGCCGTGTAGGTGTTGGAGCGGCTCCTTGGAATGGAGAGAGTAGAAAGGGGAGCGATTCCAGACACAGGAAACAGACTGAGCAAGGATGGGGTGGCCTGGCCAGGTTGGGGAAATGCGGCGGTGTCAGAGACTCAGCTCTTTAGGCCTTTCCTCTGCTCTAAGCTGGAAGGAATTGAATCAATTTTTCCACAGCTTGTAGAAAAGACAGGATGAATGATGTCTGTAAATGCTTGAAGCAAGATATGAGAAAAGCATCCCTTCACCCAAAATGCTATTTCTATTTTATTGTTAAATGGATGCTAATTTTTCTGTCTTCCTTTTCTCTTCCCAGCCCAGTTTGCCAATTTCATCCTTCCTATTGTTTTGCCTTAACTAAACAAAACATACCAGACATACCAGCACAAACTGTAATGTGTTTACTTACAGAAACATATTTTCATTCTTTTTCAAATAGGTGGTTCACTCCTAGGTCCAAAATTCAAAAGGTTTAAAGAGCGTACGGAGAAACATTGCCCTCCTATTTTGTAGCCTTCCTGTTCTTCACCCTATAGGCAGCCAAAAGTACCAGTCTCTTGCATTGTATATCCTTCTAGAGATATTTTCTGCAGGTACAAATATTGGTGCAGATACTATTTTTCTTTCTTTTATCACAAATGATTATTTTATATGTGTATATATATATCCTATCTATATATCTCATATATATACGGGCACCATTTTGCAATTAGCTTTTTTCCTCTTAGTAACGGTTTTAGAAGTGTTTCACATTAATGCATCCAGAGCTTCCTCATTCTCTTTTTATTCCTTTCTAGTGCTTCATCCTGTAGATGTATCCTATTATGTTTAAGTGTTTTAGTGGCAAATCAGGGCTGTTGCTCTCTCCCCCTTTCTTGCCAGCAACAAGCCCTGGATAGTATTTATTGCTGGGTTCAGCATATGGGGTCAATAGCAGTGGCTGGGTTCATGATGCTGATGGCTTTGAAACAGCTCTTTTGTGGCCCTTCGCAGGTGAAGCGAGAGAGAGAAGAGAGCTAGATTCCAGCAATCCTGCTGGCAGGGTTCTTCTGCCTGCTTTGGCTGCTGGGGTGGGGTTTGGCTGCCTAGGTGCGATCGCCCTGTCCCTGTGATTTCCCTTCCTCAGGTTGCTGGTGGGAAAAGGACCTGTTGGAAGTTGAAGACATCAAGATTATTCTGATGTAGTGAGATCAGGGAGGCTCTATGGTGGTGGTGGCATTTGGCAGGTGTCTTAGCCATGGCTTTTTGATTGAAAGTTACAAACACCCATCTCCAGCTAGCTTAAGCAAAAAAGGAGAATTTATGGGTTTATGCAGGCAAACAAAGACATTTAGGACTTGAGCAGATACCACCAGTTACTTACACAATGTGTATTTCCTCTGTTGTCTCAGTATGCCAGTTAAAAATACTCAGCTGTTTGGACTTCCTTGCAGTGAGGGGTGGCCATGTGACACTTCTGAACACTGAGATGTAAGCAGAAGGATACAGGTTGGGTTTTCTGGGAATATATTATTTTTCTGATGAAAAGGGATACCCTCAATGGGCACATGCTTTCTGCCCTTCCAGTGTGGAATGTGGATATAACCCCAGAGATGTAGCAATCATTTTGGAGCATGAGGAGATTCATGTGATGGGGATGGCGGAGGAAAACGGTCTTTGATGTCATCATGAAGCCAGAGCAGCAGAGCTTGTCCACTGGCCTTTTAAACATCTGCTACCCAAGAAAAACAAACTCCTTTGGCTGAGCTCTGGAATTGGGCTTTTGCTGCTCACAGTGGAGCAGAGGCCTTGCCCTAATTCAGGGCAACTGAATTCTGGCATTTGTATAGTGTCAATTTTCTCCATCTCTTTCCAGTTTATTCTCTCAGAATCCTCCATGAGGCAAGGGACATGGCATCAGCAGCTCTGGTATCTATCTTGTCAGCTTCCAATCCAGGGGAAAGAGAAAGCTAGCTATTCCTTCAATTCCAAAATGGAGGGGAAAACTCCAGGGAAGACATCTGATTAGTCTGTCTTGAAGGATCTTCCTTGAACCAACCTCTGTGGATCAGAGGATGGGGTAATATGATCAACCACATTACCAGATCAGCCTACCTGGCAGATGGGGTAGGGAGCAGTTTCCTAAAGGAGGAGATGGAATATTTTACCAGGAGTGGGAATAGGCAGGCAGGCAGATGAAAACAACAGATGGTCCTTCAGCAGGCGCTGAAGGTTTAGATGAGTGGAGAGGAAAGGCAAGGTGATTTCAGGGGGATGGTCACCTCCTCCAAGAAGCCTTTTCGGACAGCCTGACTTAGCCACTTATCTCTCCACCCCATCCACTCTTGCTTCCCTCATGGTAGTACATGGCACTGTCTCTTCCTGGCAGCTTTGAAGGTGGGCACTTCTTCTGGTTGATCCTGTATCCCTTCCTCTCATTACTAGTATGTGGCAGCCACTCATTGTTTAGAGCAGTGAGTGAAGGGACAGGAGGAACAAAGACACTGAGGAAGAAAGTCACAAGAAAGACTTTGGTTTGCTTGGAATCTTGAGTGTATGATTAAAAACCTAGCAAATCCCAAGATTCTTAAGGTGGGTTAGGGTTAGATTAGAGTGGGACCCTGAATGTCAGGCTACGAAGTTTGTGTGATGGACAGTAGGGAGCCATTGAACTCTTTTGAGCAGGGGAGTGGCAAGGTCAGGGCTGCTGCACTCCTGTGCCTTGTTCCTTTGACCTCTGGCTGCTGTCTTTCTTTTCCATTCTCTGGCTTCTCCATGATTCTTCTTGGTCTGGTTCTTCATCTGTCTTGAACACCTTTAGTCCATGTTTCCCACCCCTGCTTTTTTTCTCCCCAAACTTCTTCACCAATCAGTTCTGGGCTGATTCTGTTCTGTGTGCCGGGGAGAGGACAGTTTACCCTGGCTGGTGCCAAGTGGGTGTCCTTCCCAGGAAGGTTCCAGTTGAGCAGCTCTTGGCTGCCCTCTTCTGGGCACTGGTGGATATAACCACCTGCTCTTCTGGAACTGGCTAGAAAGACTCCGGTCGCAACCTTGCCTCATGATGCGACTTCTGTCTTTTTGTATCTGCCCACCAGATCCCCTTTAATTACTTAAAATCAGTAAGTTTTTTTTGAGTGCCTACCAAGTGTTTAGATTTGTCTGGCGATAGCTACATATAGAATGCTTCCGACTTCCCACTGATCTAGATATTGTTCATCGTGGGATATAAGCCTTGCATAAATGTCAGAGCACTTCTTTTGCTAATTTACATGTCTGTCCTATTTATTTGACTGAACTGAGGTCACTTTAGTTTTGAAAGCCGTTGAAGAGGTAATGTGCTTGAACTTTATAAGTATGTAAGGCTTACATATTTATATTCCCCGGAGAGCATCTTCCCCCATAAATCACACCCTGATGCTTTCATCAAAGTACAGAAGTCTGTGCACATATTTTTATTATTCACAATGGAATTAAGGCAATGCCCTAATTAATGATTTTGCTAAGAGGCAATTGCTGTTTCCAGGGAACTCGGACCTGTAACATGGATTCGAAGCCATTCCTGGGGTTTTTTGAGCTCATAAAATGACAGATTCACATCCCAACAGGACATCTGACTGGATTCTTGGCCTCACTGTGGGTGATAAAAATACTTTATTCTGAACAAGTTGCTTTCCTCAGGCCAAAGGCTAATTGCTGTCCCGTTCTGGTGAGCAGGCTGTCACTCAAACGCCTAGGCTCTGAAACCTGTAATCTCTTCACGGTGCCAAGACGACATCTTCCTTTCCTGGATCCGCCTTTGGAATTCCCCTATTCCTCCATTCATTCAAATCCAGCCCATTTTTTCAAGACCTATTTCTAATCTCTTTTCTCTGAGATCCCTTCCCTGCATCCTGACTTTTCTTTGTTCTAAACAATAACACTTCTGTAGTCTGCGGCATCGACTTAGCAAAAGTCATGTATTATCTTGCAACATCTTTTACTTTTTAAATAAAACCTTATTTATACATTTTGTACTGTCATTTAACTTTACAAAAGTTTATGTTTCATGTCTTTAATTGGATCATAAAATCCATAATGCCAGAAACCATATCTTACACTTGGTTGTTTACCCCACAGAATGTTGAATATTTATTGCTATGTGTTCAATAGACGAGCAGCAAATGCTCTTGATTGGTGGGTTGTTGTATCATTTGCCTATCTTAGCTCTAATTAGTATACTTGCCTGAGAAATTATTTACAAAAGACAGATTGGCCTAGGCCATCATTAACACTTTCCTGGAATATTTTCATGCATTTAGATGCTTTGCAAAATGTATTGCCCAAATGGCTCCGTGTGTCTATGTGTGCACATGACAAAGAGAAGCCAAATTAAAATCATCCTTTTAATTTATCATTGATGCATGATTATTTTAAAATTTAGTTTTAATTTTGATTAACTTTATACACACACATGATTTTCAGGGTTAAATAATTTTAGAAGGCATAGTGAAAAATAATAGACTCTTCTCTTGACCCAGCATTTCCTGCTTCCTAGAATCAACACATTCAGCTCTTGCAGCTGGTTATTTTGGTATCGCCTCCATGTCACTGGTATATGCTTATAGTGCTCCTTCTTTTTTGCCTAATGCTTTAAGCATTAACTGTTAGCCTCTCACTATTTTAGCCCTCTTTTACCATTTCTACCATGCCCCATCATGCACGGTTCCTGAACCCCCGGACCCCCATGCTCTCATTATCCCACTACTGTTATTTCATAATTTTGCTTAGGTTAATATTCAGTGTGTATATTTTCCTGTCCCTATAAATACTCTTCACAGCTGAAATGTGCTTACTTTTATTTTCTTGCACAATCTTTAGGTTTTCCTGGAGTTAATAGTTATATTGTTTTTTCTTCCTTTGTTTTGTTTTCTATCACTAATTCACTCCAAACTTTCTCCTCGGTTGTTTAAATTTCCTCTCAATACACTCACTCACATCCGGTATTCTAACAAAGCCATCTTTCGATCATCTTTCCTGTACCCTACAGAGCTGCTCCAGCCTGGACTAGTTTATTTCTAGGCTGAGTACATGGCTATACTTGGATCTCCCTTTGCCTTTATCTCTGGGATTTCCTTTGCTCTTTCTTGGATTGACGTTCTCATTTCCCAGACTCCATGTCTTCCTCTTTCTTGCTTTGCCTCATAATTTTGGACTTACCTAGTAGCTTCTTCTTCTTTTTTTTTTTTTTCCTTTTTCACATCAGATGGGAAATGTGCCAACGTCACAACAAGGTTTGAGGGAGGCACATCTCATGCTCGGACATGAACACCCGATCATCATGCTTATGAACTACAAAAGGATCTCCAGTATGGGCTCACGGCAGGTAATTGTTTTGAGACTTATGTCTGAAATGTTTGTATCCCACCCAAATATTTAATTGTTAACTTTGATAGGTGTAGAATTCTAGGCTAGAAATAATTTTTTTCTACAGAATTCTAAAGTCATTGTTACATTATCTTTTTGCTTCTACTGGGGCTGTTGAGAAATTCACAGTCATTTTGGTATTTTGAGCAATGATTTTTACCTTTTTCTGAAAAGTTTTAAAATTCCCTCTTTTATGTCTATTGTTCTGAAAGTTTAAGATGATGGAACTTAGTGTGAGTTTATTTTTATCTATTGTACTGAATATTTACTGTACCTTTTAAGTCTAGAAACTCATGCCCTTCAGTACTGATAAATTTCTTGGATTATTTCTTGTGTCTTTTTTCTTCTATTTTTCAAGTTCTTTTTCTGAAATTTTAGTTACTCAGTTGATGAACTCCTAGAATGATTTTCTATATTTCTTATCTTTTATATCATATCTTCCATCTTTTTGATTTTTCATTCTACTTTCTAAGAGATTTCCCTAAATTTATCTTCTAACTATTTGACTGAAATTTTCATTCTGGCTGTCAAATTTGAATTTATAATTACTATCTTGTTTTACAATTGTTTTCCTTTTGCCAGAATATTGTTTTTATTTAATAAATTACAATAACTTCTCCTATTTGTCTGAGGATGTTGATGATAGTTTCCTTTTGAAGTTTTTATTTTCCTGCAGAGTTTTCTATAAGTTGCTTTTTTTTCCCCCATAATATTTTGGCCTTTACAGTTGGCCCTTGAATAACATGAATTTGAACTGCCTGAGTCTGCTAATATGTGGATTATCTTCTGCTTCTGCACCCTGAGACAGCAAGACCAACCCTTCCTCTTGCTTCTTTTCCTTAGCCTATTCAACGTGAAGATGACTAAGGTAAGGACCTTTGTGACGATCCACTTCCACTCAATAAAAAATACATATTTTTTTCCTCCTTATGATTTTCTTCATAAGATTTTCTTTTCTCTAGCTTACTTTATTGTAAGAATACAATATATAATACATATATGATAAAAAAGTGTTTAGTGATTGTTTATGTTATTGGTAAGTCTTCCAGTCAAGAGTAGGCTATTAGTAGTTAAGTTTTTGGAGAGTCAATTGTATTTTTCAAGTTAGGGAATTTCCTCAGAGTTTTGGTGGTCATTGACTAAGGCTCACATTTTGAAATGAGACGCTTAAAAGCAAATTAGAAACTCAGTGTGTGGGGGTGGAACTTGTTAACTCTGAACTCACTACTTGTAAGGTGATTTGGCCAATCTGCTTCTCCAGGGGTATTCTGTTGTTAGTGCTGCTATATCTTTTCTTGGAGTAGATAGACTTCCTAGAGAGGTGTGCTTCAGTCTCTGGCAAGCAGAGTGTTAAGTCTGGCTTCTTATGCTCTGAGAGCTAAGGTCCTCATACTCAGTGTGTAACCTCTCACTCAATCTTCCTGTGTTCAGTACACTGTCCCTGCCCTCAACAATGCTGTATATGCCCCACTATGCTTTATTCTTTCCAGGAATTAAGCCTTCAGTTGTCTGGGTTGGGGAAGGGGCAGGATGAGGGGCCTGGGGAGGGTCTATCTACTTCTTAAACATACTTCCAGCCAGTCATTGTGTCAACAGACTCAACTTCCCACCTATGTCCAGTGGTACCCTGGGATTCTGCAGTGAAAATCGGGCTTGTTCTTATTGTTAGCTTGGGGTTCAACTTCCTTAGGTCTGTTAAGTGAGTTATCACTGGTTCATCTGCTTCCTAGAGCCCCAGATTTTATTTGTTTATGTTCTTTCTGGTTATCTTTTTCATTGAGGTTTAATGCTTAAAAAAAATTTTCCAGCCGGGCACAGTGGCTCACACCTGTAATCCCAGCACTTTGGGAGGCCAAGGAGGGTGCATCACCTGAAGTCAGGAGTTCGAGAACAGCCTGGTCAACATAGGGAAACCCCATCTCTTCTAAAAATACAAAAATTAGCTAGGCATGATGGCGGGTGCCTGTAATCTCCGCTACTTGAGAAGCTGAGGCGGGAGAATCGCTTGAACCCAGGAGGTGGAGGTTGCAGTGAGCTGAGATCAGGCCAGTGCCCTCCAGCCTGGGTGACAGAGTGAGACTCCATCTCAAAAAAAAAAAAAATTCCTTTGCTGTAATATTTATTGGAATTTCTGGGAGGGAGCAGAAATAATGTTTATGTTCCATCCACCACTTTTAAGTGGAAGTCTATAATATCCTCTTACAGCATTGAACGATTTTATGGTGAGGGTGAGAAGATGTTTTAGCATGTGGCTCAAAGGAAATGGGAACAGCTTTTTCGGAATTGATAATAGATGTAGGAAGTTGGCATGGCTGCCTATCATTCTCTTAGATTAAAGCAGAGATCCTAGGGAAGAATTAGTGAGAAGGATGTCTTTTGAAAGCTTGACCAAAGTTTGGATTCCATTTCATACTTAGAGAAAGAGAATGAGGGATATCTGTATTTAGGAAGTACTGCACTGGTGATTTTGTGGAGACTCTATGCCAAGAACCCAGTTCATATTTCTAGGAGAGGTTGAAAACCGTAGGTCATCAATTCCTAGGCAGGTAGCAGTGCCAGGGCCCCTACAAACTTAACTGTAGTCAGGTTTTGACTTTTACATTGCAACCAACACCCACAGATCATTGATCTCTTTTTCAGGGGGTGGGGTGGGGTAGGGCCTGTAGCCATGGGGTTTATTATGTTAGAATTTGGACTGATGCTTTTGGGTGTAATGAATTGTGACTTGCTGAAATGGTTAGGGAAAAGGTTTATATAAAAGTCTCCTAATTAGCACCACAATGCTGGAAAAGGAGAAGAACAAAATTATATCAAGAGACCATGGACCATTAAAACAATTTTGTTGAAATTCACAACTGCTCTGAACTACTGCTACCACGACCACCACCACCGCTACTACTTATAATGGCAATTATTTATTAAGCACCTGTGAGGCTTCCAGCACCATTCTAAGTAATGGGCATACCTTCCCTCATCTGATTCACATACAAAAATGTATGAAGTATCATTTGCACAGGCAGTCAATAGTTAAGTGAATAACAATAACTAACACTTATTACAAGATTACTATATCCCACTCAATCTTCAAAGTTCTTCATATGCATGACTCATTACAGCCTCATAATAGCTTTACGAAATCAGTTCTTCATACTCACTATTTAATGGATAAAGAATCTGAGCCTCAGAAGGTTAAGGAACTTCTCCAAGGTCAGCTGTGGCAGATTTGGAGATAACCCAGGTTTGTATTACTCTTCCTATTCTACAAATAAGAGGAAGTGCCTGGATTCAAGAGGAGAAAAGCATATACCACATTTTGGGGAAATGGTAATAGAAAAATGAGGTAAAGTCCATCGGAGACACAGTTTTCTCTCTCAGAGTTTGGCCAAAAATTTGCCTGGTGTCTGAAATAGGCTAATGTATCAATAATCCTATGTAATATTTCCATAGTTCTTTGTTGTTTGGAAGGCATACTTGCAGTCGCAATCTGCTTTGGTCCTCACGATAACCCAGGAAAGTAGAAAATTCAGGGACTGCTGTCTCCATTTCACAGACAAGGAAACTGAACTCAAAAATTAAAATAATTTGCCCATATTCGCACAGACAGTAAGTGTGAAAATCTCAGGCATCATTTCTTCATTCATTCATTCAAAACAAATATAATTTTTTGAAGTCTACCATGTACCTGGCAGTGTTAAGAGTTCTGTGAATTTTAATAGTAAGTAAGAAAAAGTTCCTGTCCTTGTGAAATTTATGTTCTAGAAGGAGAGACGAACAACAAATAAAAAAAAATTGTAAAATATATTAATTGGTAGTGATAGGTGCTATTAAGTAAAATAAAGCTGAGGAAGGAGGTAGCAGGTGGCCAGGTGGGAAGAGGGAATGGACTATTTTAAACCAGATATGCAGGAAATCTTCTCAGATGGGCAACATTTGAGCAGGTGTCTGCTGGAAGCGAGGGAGTCAGCCATGCAAGTATCTGGAGGACAAACATCCCAGTCAGAGGGTTCAGCAAATGCAAGATCCCTGATGTTGGAATGAGGTTGGTATATTCAAGAAACAGAGAGAAAGCCAGTGTGGACTTCTCCATGTCAGAAAAGAGAGAGAGGAAGGAAATAAGAGATGTGGTCAGAGTGGTGAGCTAGAACTGAGCCATAAAGGGGTTTATAGACAAGATGAGAAAACTGGATCTTATTCTAAGTTAAGTGGAAGTCTTTGGAGGACTTGGAGTGGGGAAATGACATGATCTAATTTACCCTTGCAAAATATCCCTCTGAATACTATGTCGAGAATTTACTGGGTGGATGTTAGGGAGGGCGGTGACATGGAAGTAAAAAGCCAAGTGGGTAGGTGTATTCATTGGGATGGGCTGAGTAATTCCAAAGGAACAATGTTCCATGTTTTGCAGGTCTGTTCCACATTATCTTCACTCTAGGACCCAAGCTGATAAAGCAGCTCCCTCTGGAGCTATTGATGGTCTCATGGAAGAGACAAAAAAAGATCACAGTGAATCACATTCTGCTTCTGAACTCTTCTGCCTGGAAGTGACAAACATCATTTCCATCACATTTCACTGACCAAAGCAAGTCATGAGTGTAAGCCTAGTATCAGTGGGGTGGGGAAGGAGAAGCAAATTATTGGAAACCACAGGAGGTTATTGCAATAATAAGGCAAAAATGAAGCCAGTGGCTGGGTGCAGTGGCTCATGCCTGTAATCTTAGCACTTTGGGAGGCCAAGGCAGGTGGATCACTTGAGCTTAGGAGTTCAAGACCAGCCTGGGCAACATGGTGAAACCCTGTCTCTACAAAAAATAAAAAAAAAATTAGCCAGGCATGGTGGCATACACCTGTAGTCCCAGCTACTTGCGGGGCTGAGGCAGGAGCATCACTTGAACCCAGGAGCTCAAGGCTGCAGTGAGCTGTGATCTTACCACTGCACTCTAGCCTGGGTGACAGAGTAAGACCTTGTCTCAATAAAAAATAATGAAGCTGGCTTGGTCTAGAGTGGAAACAGTTGAGGTGGTAAAAGGACTTGCTGCTTGAATAAATGTGGGGTATGAGAAACGGAAGAGTTAAGACGGACTCCAGGGTTTTGGTCTGAACACCTTGGTGAAGGATTTGTACCACTTGCTGAGTTGTAGAAGTCTGAGGGAGGTGCAGGGTTAAGGGGAAAAATTAGGAATTCCATTTTGGACATTTCTAATAAGGGAAACAATGGATTTAAAGATAAAATGTGGGAGTCCTCAGCATGTAGACTGACTTTGAAGCCATGGACTGGATGAGATCACATGGAGAATGAGAGCAGAGAGAGGAAACAAGAAGGCTGAAAGTGAGCCTGGGGTCTGTCAGTCTATATAGGTCAGGAGG
Source organism: Homo sapiens (assembly GCF_000001405.40). Classification (NCBI taxonomy): domain Eukaryota; kingdom Metazoa; phylum Chordata; class Mammalia; order Primates; family Hominidae; genus Homo; species Homo sapiens. Next base: position 122,665,863 of record NC_000008.11, on the reverse strand, counting down.
AAGAGGGGAATCCAGAGAGGGAGAGATGGAAGAGACAGATTGGGAAGAGGGGAAAAAAGAATGTGGGACTGCCTAGAAACCCAGTAAAAAAAAAGTGTTTCATGAAAAGAAGGATCAACAGTGTCAGTTGCTGCTATTAAGTAAGATGAGGATTAAAATCCATTGTTGGACTTGGTCAGATGCAGGCACTAGTGACCTTGACAGGCCATTGGTGACTTTGTTACATGGTGGGGGTAAAAGTCTGATTGAAATGGGTTGAGAAGAGCCCGAATGTTCTTCTGATTCCAAAGTCAATGCCTACCTTGTTTTGCTAAGCTGCATAGAAAGTTCTCGTGTGCAGGATGCAGTCACTGAAAATGTTGTAGAACTGAAGAATTTGTACCTCATTCTTGGAACCACTCAACCTGGAAGAACAACTCCCTACAAACGTGAAGGCAACTACCTGAGCATAACTGGTTCACTGCCTTTTCTTCTGGGAGTGTGTTGAGTAAAATTTGAACAGAAATATCTGTTTTTCCATCCAGGCTCTAGGCAAAGTCTCCTTCAATGATGGGGCATGGTACAAATTTGTTAGCTCCCTTAACTATGAAGACACAAGAAAAGGTTGGAAATTAGGATTAGGAAAAATAGAAGCTTATTGTTTACTGCCCAGCTTCAAGTACGGGAAATAAAACCTTTTTCCAAGAGCAATACATTGGATTAAATGAAGTAATTTTACTTCAGAATGATACTCCAAGGGGCTTTCCCAAGTAGTAAAACAGACAGCAAAAGCTCTGAAATAAAGTGAGAGAAAGGTGGGAAATGGAAAAGAAAATAAACATGCATCTATTACTGGGTGCATTTTTGTTTGGCCTGTAGGGCATTCCTGCTGACAGCCATTTCTGGCTGTGTATGAGATATGCCATGGAGACATGGGAGGACCAGATGGCACTTCTGAGCCTCACCCTCAGGTACTGATTGTATCCAAAATAAGCCAGGTTGGTAAGGCCAGGAAAACAAGACTTGGGGGATATTTTCTATAAACTGGAAAGACTTCCAACATCTTTCAAAGATGGTTATGGTTCTTGTCTCATAATCCTGTGCTCCCAGGCAATCGCAGTATTCCAAATATTTAATAACAAGTAAAGAAAAGGGCTTGAGTAATTGGAAGGAACTCCAGATCAATCAGAATAGAGGCTGACTGTATCCAAAATTTTAGCTAAATACTAGGCTTATTCCCTATGTCTAGTGAAAAGAGCATGGGTTCTACAGTTGGTAAAGGTTGAGTTCAATCTTGAATGCCTCTTAGAATCCTTTATTGCTCTGTGATTTGCTGAGCCTCATTTTCATCATATCTAAATGGAGGGAATACTATATCCTTGTACTATTTTGAAGATAAAATGAAATGTGTTTCAGTTGTCTATTGCTACTATATAACAAATCATCCAGAAAGCAACAATGATTCACCATTGCTTATGATTCAGTGGGTCAAGAATGCAGGCAGGTCTCAGCTGGGCAGTTCTTCTGTTCTGCTTGGTATACGCTAGGAGTCACTCATCCAGCTGTATCCATCTGGCAGCTTGGCTGGGCTGAAAGGTTCAGGAAGACCTCACACACATGTCTCACACCTCACTTCTCCTTTACATGGCATTTCTCCCAACATGGTATCACATCATTCAGGAATCTGAGCTGCTTTATAGCAAGCTGCCTGATATCTTCAAGTTTCACTCCAGAAATGGCACTGTGTCATTTCTGTCATACTGTACAGGACAAGGCAAGTCACAAGGCTAGGCAAGGTCCAAGGGGAATGGAAAGGGATCCTACGTCTTGATAGGTAGAGCATCATATGTGTACAGGGAGGGAAGGAATCACTGGTGACCATTGTTGGAAACTATCTACCCAAAATAAACCTTTGTGGCTCCAAATATTTTCAGACTAGCATCCAAATTCTTTGGCTTGGCATTCAAGGCCTATGATTATCTAGTCCCTGCCAGCTTCTCCAAGCCTCTTTTCTCAGTGCTCCCTTCCTTGAAGTTTCCACTGTAATCAAATAAACCTCTTGCCATAATTCATTCCAGCTTTGTGTCTTTACATATCTACTATCTCCAAATAAAATCCCCTTCCTTCATACACCTCTCTCTAACTCCGGCTTATATGTAAAAATTCTCCTCAGTGGTGCCTCCTCTGAGAGGTCTTCCTGACTCTGCTTCTGCCTCACTTCTGTGCACTAACTTCACTTAAGCAAAGGCTTCATCTCTTCATATTGATTCTTTCTTTCTTTCTTTCTTTCTTTCTTTCTTTCTTTCTTTCTTTCTTTCTTTCTTTCTTTTACTTTTCTTTCTTCCTTTTCTTTTCTTTTTTTTTTTTTGAGACAGAGTCTCTTTCTATTGCCCAGGCTGGAGTGCAGTGGCATGATCTTGGCTCACTGCAACCTCTGCCTCCTGGGTTCAAGCCATTCTTGTGCCTCAGCCTCCTAAGTAGCTGGGATTAGAGGCATGTGCCACCACACCTAGCTAATTTTTGTATTTTTTTTTTATTATACTTTAAGTTTTAGGGTACATGTGCACATTGTGCAGGTTAGTTACATATGTATACATGTGCCATGCTGCTGCGCTGCACCCACTAACTCGTCATCTAGCATTAGGTATATCTCCCAATGCTATCCCTCCCCGCTCCCCCCACCCCACCACAGTCCCCAGAGTGTGATATTCCCCTTCCTGTGTCCATGTGATCTCATTGTTCAGTTCCCACCTATGAGTGAGAATATGCAGTGTTTGGTTTTTTGATCTTGCGGCATTATTCACAATAGCAAAGACTTGGAACCAACCCAAATGTCCAACAATGATAGACTGGATTAAGAAAATGTGGCACATATACACCATGGAATACTATGTAGCCATAAAAAATGATGAGTTCATGTCCTTTGTAGGGACATGGATGAAATTGGAAATCATCATTCTAATTTTTGTATTTTTAGTAGAGATGAGGTTTTGCCATGTTGGCCAGGGTGGTCTCAAACTCCCAGCCTTAGGTGATCCACCTGCCTCAGTTTCCCAAAGTGCTGAGATTTGGTGTGAGCCACCATGCCTGGCTGTTTAATTCATTTTTAAATGAGTTTCTCCCACCATTTATTTATTTCACATGAACAGTTGGCTGGGATGGGGTGGAAGAAAAAAATGGCTGGAGTTAAGGAGCCAAGGAATTGAAAAACAGGTGTGTTGGCTGTGTCATTTATGTGATTTTAAACTCACTGGGAATGATAAGGGGGGTTGTGAAGTGGTGGACCAGCAGCCAGGCACCGAAGTCATCAGTGAATTATGAAGAGGGGCATGAGAAGATGAGAAGATGAGAGGAAGTGATGATAAAACTGGGTAAAGTAGACTTCAAAGGAGGTGAGGGTTTTGTTTGCTTTTGTTTTTGATGGAGCAAGGAGGAAAAATAGGTTGGAAGAAACAATGAGGAGCAAAGAGGACACCTGCCTGTATTAGTTTATTCTCTCATTGCTCTAAAGAAATATCTGAGACTGTGTAATTTATAAAGAAAAGAGGTTTAAGTGGCTCACAGTTCTGCAGGCTGTACGGGAAGCATGATGCTGACATCTGCTCAGCTTCTAGGGAGGCCTCAGGGAGCTTTTACTCATGGTGGAAGGTGAAGCAGGAGCAGGCACATGAGATGACCAGAGCAGGAGCATAAGAGTGAGGGGGGAGGTGCCACACACTTTAAAATGACCAGATCTCCTGAGAATCCACTCACTATCACAAGGGCAGTGTCAAAGGGAGGGTGCTAACCCATTCATGAGAAACCCACCTCCATGATCCAATCACCTCCCACCAGGTCCCATCTCCAACATTGGGGATAGCATTTCAATATGGGATTTGGGTGGGAACAACACCCAAAGTGTATCACTGCCCCACCTCCATACCCCAAGGCTTAAGGGTTAGGGGAGAAAAATAATAATTTCTGCTTGAGAAGACTGTGGGACCATCAGGAACTGGCTCGATTTTAGTTAGTGGAGGAAGGTGACTGGAATGTTCAGAGAAGAGGTTGAGGAGGAAGGGGAGTTTGCCGGTGAAAGCATGAGTTCCAGAGGGCTCTGTGGAAAGGTTCTGAGGGGAGATGAGGGATGGGAGATGGTTTAATTAGCAGATGCACCAGCAGTATGAAAATAAGTGTCCATATGATGATGGAGGCATGGTGGGTCACGTCTGCAATCCCAGCACTTTGGGAGGCTGAGGTAGGTGGATCACTTGAGTCCAAGAGTTTGAGACAAGCCTGGGCAACATGACAAAACCCCATCTCTACAAAACAAAAGCAAAAAACATATAATGATGGGACTTCCTATGGTGCCTGAGATAATTGAGGATGCGAAGTGTGATGAAAAAGGCCTTGGATGTCTCTTAGAAGAGGACGGATAATCAGCTAAGGTTATGGCTCAGTGTTGAGCTGGGGCCACTGGGAAGCTGCTTAGTCCTGTGATGAGAACTGGGCAGGTGGCACCTTTAGGCAGCTCACAAGCTGTGGTCCTTGCAGGCAGGGTTGGAGGATGGCCTGTCTCCCCTTAGGTGGAGTTGTCAGGGCAGCTGGAGCCATGGCTCGGTGAATATTATGTGGCAGCCAACTTCTCCTTGGTGGAAAGGGGCTTACTGACTTGAACAAAGGGATTGAAGGTCTGGGTGTCTCTGTCATGGTCGCAGCCTGGCATTGAATAATTCAGAATAAGGACAATGATTTGCCTAAGGATAGATAGTTAATAAATGTCTGACCTGGAGTTCAAGCTCAGGTTTTCTGAATTTGAGTTCATTTTACTTTCAGAACATTCCTCCAAGGGAGCGGGAAGATGAGGCTGAATGTAGGGGAGGAAGGTGGGTGAGGCAGGATAGAGAAGCAAGGAGTTGGAGGGTTTGCTTGAAACTCCAGATAAATTTTAATGCATCTTAGAGCAGAAACAACTCTTGTCCAGGTTTCCCAGGATGTACAGAGAAGTCCAGCCTCACCGTAGCACCTGAGCAGTGGGTGGGAAATAGCTGAGGGACACATCTCAATCGATGAACCAGCACTCCTGATTCTCTGCAGCCTGCAAACTTCGGGTAAGAGGGGTAATGGAATTAGTAGTTCCCAGATGGCCCTTGGAGGGTGTACTGGGTTGACTCGTGGCCCTCCACAAGATATGTCCAAGTCCTAATCTTTTGTAACTGTGAATGTGACCTTATTTGGAAATAAGTCTTTACAGATGTAATTAAGGATCTTGAAATAAAATCATTCTGAATTTAGGGTGGGTCCTGTATCAAATGAGTAATGTCTTTATGAAAAAAAAAAAGAGGGGGAGATTTGAGGCACAGAGACAAATCATTCTGAATGTAGGGTGGTTCCTGTATCCAAGCAGTAGTGTCTTTATGAAAAAAAAAAAAAAAGAGAGAGAGACAGAGGGAGATTTGAGGCACAGAGACACAGGGAAGAAGGCCATGTGGAGATGGAGGCAGACATTGGAGTGGTGCTGCCACAGCCGGGGAAGGCCAGGAGCTATCCAAAGATGGAAGTGACCAGGAAGGATTCTTCTCCAGGGCCTTTGGAGGAACAGTGGTACTAGCAACACCTTGATTTTGGACTTCTAGCCTCCAGAACTGTGAAAGAATACATTTCTGCTGTTTTCAGCCATGTAGTTTGTGGTAATTTGTTATGACAGCCGTGGGAAAAGAATCCAGCAGAGAAGATGTGGGGCCTGAAATAACTGCTGGGTCAGCAGAGGCCTGGCTTAGTACTGATTGTACAGAGACATCTCAGCTGGAGGAAAGGGCAAGAACCACACTTTTCAGCAGCAGGTGCCAGCTTATTGCCCCAAAGGGTGGGGAGGCACTCATTGTGCCAGAGAAGATACCTGTGCTGGGTCCCGGAGACCCGCCCAGCTCAGCTGCCTCCTAGGGAAGATTTGCCTTCCATGAAGGAGGTCTTACATATGAGGTCTCGTCTCTAGCTACTGCAAGATAAAAGCTTTCTTTTGCACCCAGGCATGAAAAAACCCTGAAAAACTGAGCGTTTGCTTCTCAGCGACTCAGCTTGAAAGAGGCTGTTTTAAACTGGAAGAGGTTGAGAGGCCTTCAGTTGGTGAGTTTATTATTTTCCCTTGCTCCTCTGTGAAATGAAGCTCATGAAGAAGCGTAGGTCAGGTACAGAATATAAAAGAATGACCTTTTCTTTTTCCTGGACAATTTAAGTGCACTGTCATCTCACAACCTCAAACTCTTTAATATGGTAATGAGAGGCAAAAGGCATTTTAATTTGGAGCTATGTCGCAGTTTTCCAGCATGTGAAGAAAGCATCCTCAGTTGCCAAAAGGTCACGTGTGGGATTAGTTGCTAGGCTGTGGGATTATTTTTCTAGGCTTGCTGGGGAAAAGGGCAAAAGAGAAGAAGCAAACTAGCAGAGTCATGTGGCGTTTCTGTCCTGGGACTTACGCAAATTATGCAATTGTCCTTTGCATTCAAATCTGTTCCTCTTCCACCTGATATTTTGCTGAGGGGACAAGTGAAATTCCAAAGCTCAGTTTGCTGAAGTGTGCAAAATGCTAATCAGCTTCCACAGCCCACAAAGTGGCAGAGAGGGCGTGCCTCTCTGGAGAAGAGAGGAGAGACTGGACTAGGAGCTGGGAGGAGTCTGGCTGACTCAGCGGCCCCAGACAAACGCACTTCCATCCTTTCCCATTTCCGTTGTGAACTCTTCTCCGTGGGCAAGAAGAGGACTCAGAACAACTGCTATCTTTTTACAAAGAAGGATGATGTGCAAGGGGGTCATTTACAAGAGGATCAAGGGTTTGGCTATGTTGGGAGATGCTGATTTTGATAAATGTTTCCATATCTCTACAAATGTGCCTTTCTGAGTCTCCAGTTAGACTTGAAAAAGACTTTGGAGATTGTCCCCTGCACAGTGGCTCTGAGCCTGGACACCTAGGAGATGCTCAGTAAATATCTGTTAAATAAATGAAGGAATGGATATAGTCCAAACTACTTGGTCATGCATCCAGTTTGTGGCAGATTTGGGTCTCTAAGGCCCAGTACACTAATCACTCAGCTGGGAGTTTTTATTCTGTTCCATCTTGCTGCTAGGACAACTGTAGCCACCCAGAAGGATGTCTCAACGCTCTGGAAAGTTCTCTGGCTGAATGTTGCTATGATACAATCTTTTAACAAGCTGATTGCTCAGTAGCAAGAGCAAGTGCTATTTATGTTGGGTAAATAAGAAGAAATGCTGCCCTACTGATATTTGTTAAGTGCCCCTTTAATATTTGTGAGGAGGCGATCTTGACAAAATTTTGAGAGTGTATACACTGGCAAATTTTACCTTTTATGGACTGTAATATCCTATTGCTACTTGATTTAAAAATCTTTCCCTCTCTTCACATATATCCATATGAAAAAAAACAGCAGAGAGAGATATATGTATATTATATGGGAGATATCTATCTATCATCTATCTATCTCCCACTTATGACCTGAAAGCCCCGTCTTTGAGATGTTCTGCCTTTCCAGCCTAAATCAATGTATACCTTACATGTATTGATTTATGTCTTTGCCTGTAACTTCTGTTTTCCTAAAATGTATAAAACTAAACTGTAATTCAGTCACCTTGGGTACACTTTCTCAAGCTTTCTTGAGACTGTTTCCCAGGCCATGGTCAGAATAAACCTCCTTCAATATTTTACAGAGGTTTTTTTTTTTTTTTTTTTTTTTTTTTTTGGTTATCAGCATTCATCCACCAAGGAGGTCACCAGAAGCTTTGGTGGACAGTTTTCATCCAGGCCAAGGGAATTCTAACTCAGGCATCTTTGTCTCGCTGCCTGAGAGTGTTCTCTGGTGGAAACATCATGCTCAGCCCATGTATTGGGATTGGGGAAGAGATCTGAAGTGCCAGGGAGTTAACTCCTGGGAGAAATCTTCAAACAAAGAAAGCAGGCAATTGGTGGATAAATACCCCAGTTTCTTTACCCCTGATGAAAACTTTCTGAGGTGTATTCTATAGAGGCTTTTGGGGGATACCCAGGAAGCTTGAGCCCCAGTTGCCCACAGCTATAGTCCATTTATTAATGCACCTTTGTGTAGCTGAGGACTGGGCCACCTGCTTGTGTGGCTTATTTATGCCCTCTGACCCTGTCAGTGCCTGATTATGGATGTGCTGCCTCCATGTGGCAGTGGATTGCTGCAGGGTTGCCTTGGCTTATGACTTCTTGGGTGTGGTAGAACCCAGCTCATGATGGGAATCCAGCTCATAATGGGAATCCAGCTCACGATGGGAACCCAGCTCATAATGGCTGCATGATCATTTGATGTCCATGGTTATAGGCTCCATCTTTACTAGCATGTGAGGGACTTTTTTTGCATGGTGTGTTGTTCTTTGCTGTGAATAGCCTGGAATTGCCATAGAATAGGGGTTGCCAACCCCTGGGCCTTGGACCCGTACCAGTCTATGGCCTGTTAGGAACTGGGTTGCCCAGCAGGAGGTGAGTGGCGGGCGAGTGAGCATTACCACCTGAGCTCTGCCTCCTGTCAGATCAGTGGCAGCATTAGGCTCTCATAGGAGCATGAACCCTATTGTGAACTGCACATGTGAGGATCTAAGTGGCACACTCCTTATGAGAATCTAATGCCTGATGATCTGAGGTGGAACAGTCTCATCTCGAAACCATACCCACTCCTCCCCCATTCCCTGTCCCTGTTCATGGAAAAATTGTATTCCACAAAACTGGTCCCTGGTGCTAAAAAGGTTGGGGACCACTGCCATAGAACACTAGAGTTTTCATGCAGTAATTTTTCTTATTTGATCTTCTCATAAACGCTACACACATTTTTTTTTCTCACTCCAAATACCTCTAGAACTTTGTGTATCAGGCCCTTGGCTGACATTTTTTTTTTTTTGAGATGGAGTCTTGCTCTGTAGCCAGGCTGGAGTGCAGCAGCATGATCTCAGCTCACTGCAATCTCCACCTCCGGGGTTCAAGAGATTCTCCTGCCTCAGCCTCCTGAGTAGCTGGGACTATGGGTGCATGCCACCACGCCCAGGTAATTTTTGTATTTTTAGTAGAGATGGGGTTTCACCATGTTGGCCAGGATGGTCTCAATCTCTTGACTTCGTGATCTGCCTGCCTCTGCCTCCCAAAGTGCTGGGATTACAGGTGTCAGCCACCATGCCTGGCCCATGGCTGACATTTTAACCTTGTCACTCATTACAGTAATTGTGACAACTTTGCTTTTGATACTTCAACATTGCTACGTGGCTTTCATTATTTTGAAACCCAATCAGTCCCTTTGCTAGTAGGGGGTCTGTAATAGCATTAGCTGTGACCCACAGAGGATGACCACCACTGAACATCCCAGTGATGCTGGTACCCCACCTCATGGACATATTTCTCATTACTTTGGTAAATGAGGCACCCACTGGGCCATCCCATGGACATTACTGGCTGGTGGGTTTTCCAGCCTTAAGTGTTATATTAGTTATCTATGCTACATAACAACTTACCGCAAAATTAGCAGTTTAGAATAACATACAGTCATTTTCTCACAGTGTCTGGAGGTCAGAAATCTGGACATGGCTTACCTGAAGTCCTTTGTTTGGGGTCTTAAAAGGCTACAGTCAAAGTGTTGGCCAGGCTGCACTCCTAACTGGAGCTCAGGATCCTCTTTCAAACTCATGTGCTAATTGGCAGCATTCAGTTCCTTGTGGTTGTAGGACTGAAGTCCTTGTTTTCTTGCTGATGGTCAGCTGGGTGCTGCTCTCAATTCCTAGAGGTGATCTGCAGTTCCTTCCTGCAGGGCCTCTCACAACATGGCAGCTCACTTCTTCAAGCCAGCAGGAGAATCTCTCATTCCAGGATGCCAACCTAGAGTACTGTATAATGTAACATAACCACAGAATGACTATCCCATTACCTTTGCCAGACACTGTTGGCTAGAAGCAAGTCACAGGTTCTGTCTGCACTCAAGCGGAGGGATTATACAAGGGCATGGCTCATTGAGGGTCATGTAACGGTGTGCCCACCACAAGTACTATAGCAATGCTACACACCTCCTTCTCTGAGCCTTTTGACTCCTTCCTCCACTGTCTGGAGGAAGTCCTGGCATTTGTACCTCACTTATGGTGAGACATCAATTTCTTCAAGCTTTCAGTAGCCATCCAAGATGCATATCAACACCATCTCCTGTGGTTGTTGCCAGTGTTACATCATTTTCTCATATCAATAAACTTTCTTATTCAACTTTATATTCTGTCCCCTTGGTCCAGGCCCTCGGGATCCAGTCCTATACAGACTTTCCTGGCTTCTGTTGATGCATCTTGGTGAGGACTAGCATCTTCTTTCGCCTACGGTTCCTTCATAGCAGGCCTAGCACTTCCCTGGATTTATCATGTTGTAACTCGACCCTAATTATTGTTCTGGTGGCCAGGAGAGGAGGTGGGGTGAGATTCTCAGGGGATCATTTGTTGTCTTGCACTTGAGGACCTCTGCACTCAAACTGTTTTCAAGTGAAGCGGTAGGGGATAGGCTGGAGTGCTGGCCTATAACACGGAGGAATGGGCTACTCCTTCAGGTCCAGGAGGTTCAGGAGGATCCCGTGTTTCAAAATTCCTCAGTGCATTGACCCAGTTGTTTCCACCCAGGTATCAGGGTTCCATTCCTTCCCAATCAGAGCTTTAAGGATGTCAACCTTCTGTGGAGTTCCACGACCTGTTAATTAAGCTTTTTCTGTCCTCTGGCTGTAGGAGATGAGCATCTCTTTGCTTGCTGCCAAGGAAACCCTCTGACTTTCCTTCCTTACCTTTTAATAATGATAAATCACCTCAACATTTCATTGTCTTTCTCTAATGAATTTATAGCACCTAGCAGCAGCCATCTGATTTTATTGTACTTCTAATTACTACTTCAGTTGCCCTGCACCTCTTAATGCTATATCTATTCACCAGCCAGTGCATTTCTTTCCGTAGGAATCTCATCCAGTTCAGAACAGGTGACAGTTTCAATAATTGCAATGTCAACATGCCAGAGCTCTCAGTACTCTGCCTACCACCAGTGATGAGGTACTTATTGCCAGCCAACTGATGGGGGATCCAGCTCCTAAAATTCCATTTTAGGGGACAGACATTGGCAGGATGGCAGAATAGAAGAGCCCCTAGCATCACCCTCCCACGAAATACAACTAGAAACTATTCAAATAGAAGAATACCACCCTGATTTTACCAGGACTCATGGAGAAAGCAGAGAAATCCCTTGGGCCCACAGAATTGAGAGAAGCCATGACTAGTAAGAGACTTGGTCATTTCAGATTGTACCACTCCCTCCCCAAAACCAGCATAATGACACTCACAAAAATTTTCCCTAGACACACAGTTTCCAAGGTGAGAGGAAGAAATTAGAAGTGGACATTTGATTTCTTCCCTGGTCTGGGAATCTTATGGGAGACCCACTACAATCTCATCCCACTAGAATAATTGGGAGCACCAGGAGGGCTGAATTACCTGGGGTGAATTGGGACAGAGAGAAGGGTACTGATAGCAGCAGCGGTCATTTAGCCCTTGGTGGCTACTTTGCCCTTTGATCAGTGGGGATGCCACTTTTAAGAGACTAATGGTGCTGTAGTGCTACAGGGACACAATTTCTTGGAAGGCCCAAATCCCTGTATGGACTTTTCACAAAGCCCAGATGTGTAAGGCCATTCTTGCATTGCTATAGAGAAATACCTGAGGCTTTGTAATTTATAAAGAAAAGAGATTTAATTGGTTCGCAGTTCTGCAGGCTGTACAAGCATGATGCCAGTATCTCCTTCACTTCTGGGGTGGCCTCAGGAAACTTACTCATGGCAGAGCAGGCACATCACATGGTGATAGCAGGAGAAACAGAGAGAGAGAGAGAGAAGGTGTGGTGGGGAGTGGGGAGGTGCCACACACTTCTAAACAACTGGATCTTGTGTGAACTCAGAGTGAGAGCTCACTTATCACCAAGGGCATGACCTACGCCATTCATGAGAGGTCCTCCCCCATGATCCAAACACTTCCCACCAGACCCCACCTCCAACACTGGGGATTACATTTCAAAATGAGATTTGGGTGTATCACCGGGTGCTAATGTGGAGCCTTCCCCTGGCCCAGAAACAACTAAAAGTTTGAGATTAATTTCCAGTTCCCACTTAAATCTTCTGCAGACTGGGAAATGACATCACAGCAGCAATATAGTTTTGAGGAAACATTTAACTTTTCTTGTTGACTATAAGTCCTTCACAGACTGGGAAACAATGGCAGTGTAGTGAGTTAGTTCCAGTGCAGTGTTTTAGTTCTGGTGCTCACCATAAACCCTCCCCAGAATGAGAAGAAACAACAGGGCAGAGTGTAATTTCCAATAATAAGTAGTAAGGGTCTAACATCACCAAATAACACCTGTAAAAAGCGGAAGAGATGACTGTGACCTCAAATGCATGGGTATCAGTGTAAAGATACAAGAATTGTGAAAATTCAGGGAAGTATGACACCACCAAAAGAAACCAACAAAGCTCTAGCAACAGACTCAGAAAAATGGAAGATTTATGAAATGTTGGACAGATAATTGAGAATAATTATAAAAGTTAAGAGAATAACAAGAAAATGAATACATATAAAAGTCTAAATAAAATTTGGGAAACAATTCAGGAACAAAAGGAGAAATTTGACAAATAATTAGAAATAATTAAAAATAAAACATATAGAAATCTTAGAAATGAAGAATACAATAACTGGGCTGGGCATGGTGGTTCACACCAGTAATCCAAGCACTTTGGGAGGCTGAGGTGGGTGGATTACTTGAGGTCAGGAGTTTGAGACCAGCCTGGCCAACATGGTGAAACGTTGTCTCTACTAAAAATACAAAAATTAGCCAGCATGGTGGTGCTTGCCTGTAGTCCTAGCTACTTGGGAGCCTGAGACAGGAGAATTGTTTGAACTTGGAAGTAGAGGTTGCAGTGAGCCAAGATCGCACCAGTGCACTCCAGCCTGGGTGACAGAGCAAGACTCTGTCAAAAAAAAAAAAAAAAAAGAAAAAAGAAAAACTCATTAGAAAGCATCCACAGCAGACTTGATCAAACAGGGGAAAGAATTAGAAAGTTTGATGATAGAATATATGAAATTGCCCAATAGAGGAAGCAAGAAGAAAAAAGGGTCAAAAAGGGTAAAAATGGCTTATGGGAATTATGAGATACCATCAAGTGAACTAACTTGCAAGTAATAAATATTCCTAAAGGACATGAGAGATAAAAAGCCCTAGAAAGCATATTTAAGGAAATAATGGCTGAACATTTCCCAAGTCTGGAAAAAGATGACATCATCCAGGTATAGGATGTTCAATGGTCACCAAATTCAACCCAACCAAGGCACATTATAACCAAAATAGCAAAAATTAAAGACCAAAAAAGAATACTCAAATCAGCAAAGGAAAAGATGCATATTAGATTCAATAGAGCTCCAACATGGCTTTTAGCAGATTTCTCAGCAGAAACCCTGAAAACTAGGAGAGGGTGGGATGCTATATCAAACTGCTGAAGGAAAAAAAAATGACAACCAAGAATACTGTACCCAGGAAAGCTATCCTTTAAACAAGAGAGACACTTTCCCAGACCAACCAAAGCTGAGGGAATTCATCAACATGATACCTGTCTTACAAGAAATGCTAAAGAGAGTTCTTAATTCAGAAAAAAATGGATTCTAATGTATAATATTAGAATTATATGTAAAATATCTGAAGATACTAAATTCACTGGTGAAAAAATAGACAAATCCAGAATACTTTACTATTGTAATTGTGGTAAGTAAACCACTTGCATCTTAAGTATGAAGACTAAAAGGCAAAACTATTAAAATCAGTAATAGCTACAATAATTAGTTAGGAGCTAGGCAATAAAAAAGATGTAAATTGAAACATCAATAGGTCAAAATGTGTAGGAGGGGTGGTATTAAAGTATAGAGTTTGTTTTTGTTACTTTTCTTTGCAATCAAAGTTAGGTCACTCTCAGTTTAAAATAACCTGATATAATTATAAACATTTTTTATAAGCCTCATGGTAATCACAAAGCAAAATCCAGTAATAGATATGCTAAAAATAAATAGCATGGAATCCAAATATCCTACCAGAGAAAATCACTTTACCACAAAGAAAGTAAGAGAGGAAAAAAAAAGGAAAAAAGGATCCACAAAACCAGCAGAAAACAAGTGGCAAAACGGCAACAATACATCCTTCCTTATCAATAATAGTCTTGAAAATAGATTAAATTCTCCAATTAAAAGGGAAAGTGGCTGAATGTATAAAAACAAGTCCCAATTATATGTTGTCTGTAAGAAATGCATTTCACCTGTAAAGACACACACAGACTGAATATGAAGAGATGGCAAAAGATAGTCCATTCAAATGGAAACAATAAAGAGCAGGAGTAGCTATACTTATTTCAGATAAATTAGACTTTAAACCAATAATAGTTTTTTTAAAAGGCTACAAAGAATACCATTATAGAATGATAAAGGGATCAACACAGTAAGATGACGTAACAATTATAAATATGTATGTGTCTAATGCTGGAGCACTCAAATATATAAAACCCATTTGAAAAGACCTAAAAGGGAGATTGACTGCAATACATTAATAGTAGGAAACTTCAAAACCCCACTTTTGGCAATAGACAGATTATCCTGATAGAAAATCAACAAAGAAACAGTGGAGTAAACTGCACTCTAGAGTAAATGAACCTAATAGACATTTACAGAATACTTGATCCAACAGCTGTAGATTATGACTTTTTCTCAACAACATATGGAACATATTCTGGGGTAGACCATATGTTAGGTCAGAAACAAGTCTTAACAAATTTAAAAAAATCAAAATCATATCAAATATCTTTTCTGGTTACAATTGAATAAAACTGGAACTCAATAACAGAAGGAATGTTGAAAATGGTACACATTCATGGGAATTAAACAAAATGTTCCTGAACAATGAATAGATCAATGAAGAATTAAAAAGGAAATCAAAAAATTGCTTGAACAAATGAAAATGGAAACCCAACATACCAAGACGATACAGCAAAAGCAGCACTAAGAGAGAAGTTTGTAGCAACAAACCCTACATTAAAAAGCAGAAAGTCTTCAGATAAACAACCTAATGATGCAGCTCGATGAATTAGAGAAAGAAAAATGAATCAACCCCCAAATTAGTAGAAGGAAATAAATAATAAAGATCAAAACAGAAATAAATAAAGTTGAGACTAAAAATACAACACAAAAGATTAATGAAATAAAAAATTTGTGTTTTGAAAAGATAAACAAAATTGACAAACCTTTACCTACATAAACTAAGAAAGGAAAAGACCCAAATAGATAAAAATCAGAGACAAAAAGGAGATATTACAACTAATATCACAGAATTACCAAAGATAATTAGAGACTATCATAAACAAAGACATATGTCAACAAATTGAAATACTTAGAATAAATTCCTGGAGACATACAACCTACCAAGATTGGACCATGAAGACATAGAAAACCTGAACAGACCAAAAATAAGTACTGAGATTGTAGCAATAATAAAACATCTCCCATCAAAGAAAATTCCAGGACCTGACCATTTCCCTGCTGAATTCTACCGAACATTTAAAGGAGAACTAATAGAAATTCTACGAAAACTATTCAACAAAATTGAACATGAGGGAATATTGAGGCAAACTCAAAACACCCTATGACACTAGCATTACCTTAACACAAAAACCAGACAAAGATACAACAACAACAACAACAACAACAACAAATTACAGGCCATATTATGAAGAGCATAGATGCAAAAATTCTCAACAAAATGCACAAACCAAATTCAACAGCACATTAAAAAGATCATTCATCATGATCAAGTAAGACTCATCCAAGAGATAAAAGGATGGCTCAACATATGCAAATCAATAAATGTGATATATCAGATGAACAGAATCAAGAACAAAAACCATATGATTATATCAATGGATGCTGAAAAACCATTTGATAAAATCCAACATTTCTTTACAATAAAAACTCTCAACAAACTGGGTATAAAAGGAACATACTTCAAAACAATAAAGGCTACATATGTCATACCCACACCTAACATCACACGAAATGGGGAATAATGGAAAACCTTTCCTCTAAGATCTGGAAAAAGACAAGGATGCAGTTGCAATAGAGGATTTGCTGATCCCCCAGCAAGCTTAGAGTTGGGACGGCCTTTCATAGTTGTCCTGCCTTGAGGTAAGGGGGCTGGGCCTTAGGACCCCTGCACTGACCAGTCATTGGATATAGGCTGCCCCTAGGGAAGAGGCATAACCTGGATGTGAGGCAGGTCTCTTCAACCAAGGGCAGTTTCCAGAAGGGGGTTCCTTTGTGATCAGTCAGCATCCAACACTCCCAAATGCTAGGGTAGTATATCCTGATGAGGAAATCTGGGCCAAAGATAATACTATCCACCATATCAGTGGTTGTCAACTGGGGGCGATTTTTTTCTCCCAGAGGACATTTGGCAGTATCTGGAGACATTCTTGGTTATCACAACTGGAGCGGGAGGGTTGCTACTAGTATCTAGTGGTAGAGGATAGGGATGCAGCTAGACATTCTACAGTGCTTGAACTGTCCCCCACAACAAAGATCTGACCAAATGTCAATAGTGCCAAAGCTGAGAAACCCCATGCTTTTTTGGGCCAGCTCCCAAATAAACTGCTTGTACCAAAATCCTTATTTTACGATCTGTGCTTGGAGGATCCCAAATTAAGACAATGTGGATATAAAAACTCCAAGAGATGAAGTAATTTGTTGTGGGTGGCACAACAAGATTGGATTGGGATAAGAACTCTAGACTTTCTGTCTCTTGAGCACACATGTACATGTCTGTATGTACTGTAATGTGGGGATGGTGAATGGATCAGTCTCCAGATCATACAGCACATGTAGAACTTGCTGATGGACTTCGTTAAATTTGTGGACATTTCTGCAAATTCTGGCTCCTTGACAAATTGGTTGGCTATTCAATAGTCATACTGTCATTCTCAACTGGGACTGCAGAACATGAACAATGATTTCCGTGACCTTCTCAATTCTCCTGAAGTTGGTGCTTAGCTAGTACCATTGTAGATGCATAGAGAGAAGTTAATTCATTCCATACTGTGGCTGCCTTAGAGCTTTAAGGAAAATTCTTTTGCACAAACCTGATTGAGAATGGCTGAATGGGCAGAGATATTTCTATTAAGTTACTGAGCTTCCACTTACTAATGTATTTTTTCAATCAGTCACTTTTTCTCTTATTTATTACTTCATTTAACAAGTAGTTATGCTTAGCAGTAGACATTCCCATATTGTAGGCATATTATTCTAGAATAGAAAATGACTTGAGCTATCATTGTCAGATGATTCTACAAATGATGAAATTGAGAAATCCAGATAGGCTAGTAATTTACTCCAAGTCTTAGGGCTTATCCAAGGCAGAGCTGGGGTTAGAATCAGGTTCCAGAGAGAGACAGGTGTGCCTAGGAAAGACAACATTGTAGTCCTTTACTGCAAGCACAGGAATACGTGACTAATCTTAATTTGCATTAATATGCATCTTATATTAATATTATCTGCTCACAACCCAGAGGTATGGGATGTAGCCTTCCCTTCTGTCAATATTTCTCTAGAAAGCTGTGTGTCACTGGGAGCTTTTGAACTAGTAGGTCTCATAGTCCTGGCTTTGATTTGAGCCAAGGGAGAAGTTTAGATTCTGGAGTTCCTCTTCCAGCTGCAGTTCAATGTATAGGAATGCAAATGCTCCCAAATCTCTGGGAAATGAAAGCTCTAGCTTGCCATTTAAGTGAGCAATTTGTGAAACTATCTGATCTGCCCAAACATTAAGCCAGACCTTTGCCAACCTTAATTGTAAGGAGAGAAGCCATTGTCAAGAGGACATAAATTGGGATTCTTTTCAGGCTTGGAGCCTTCACTAGAAACCATGTTGCCTCCTCTGTCTGCTCTAAGTTCCTATGCAAACCTAATTTTCTTATTCTTCTGGGCCGGAGTTATGCACCTTTTGTGGCCAGTACAGTACTGGGGATAAATCTGATTTATTTTTACTGCCATAGACCGAATTCATTCTGTTTAACTCATATCTGAGTGCTGCCAATTCCCAATCTTGTAATCTAGTCAAGAGTATTATATTATCATTACCCCAAAGGTGGCTTTCCCTGGCATTTGGCCACTGGCCTCATGCCAGAGATTACATCAAGTTTCAAGGAAAATGTTCTTAGTACCCAGTACAGGAAGTTAGAGGAGAGTTATTTCCATATTAACCACACATGCTCCAAATTTACCACCAGTGATTTAAGCCTAAATTACTCACACTGTGAGTCTCTCTCTATTAATATGTTTAATTTTTTCTTAGGTTCTTACATTTATATTAGGTAAGAAGTCAAGGCTGTGGGAGAATCCTGGTAGCACTTGCTATAAGGGGGAACAAGAGGGCAACATTCGCTCAGGCAAATGACAGAGTTGTGGGTGGACCTGGCTTTAGTAATAACTGGCATCAGGGACTGGACAGCTCTCAGTTGGGTCTGGCCAGTGCATATTTATTAGGGATAAAAAGCTTCCTTAATCCTGGTGCGTCCATATTCATGGAGGGGGTGCCACTAGGCTAATGCCCTGCTCTTTCCCTTCCCTTCCCTTTGCAGGGGAGGAGGGTGACTTATCTCTCTTAGCAAATTGTGGGAGAACAGACTGAGCATTATTCTCAGTTCAGCTTTTTCCTCTACTTACAGTCCCAGAGAAGATGGCTCTTTTCTGCCCTCCCATGTGCTTGGGGCAGGTCTGTGGTTTTCCCATACTTCTTAGGACTAGGTGGAAAAGTCTTTCTAACTTTGAGATTTCCTATTATTTATTTCTTATACGTTCCCACAAATGGAATCCACATTCTCTAGCAGCACCTCTTGCCAGTAATAAAGGTGATATTTTGGCCTCCGTAGGTCTGATTTTTCTGTCTCTCAAGTTATTTTGAACTTGGATGGGGAAAGAAGAGTTATTTATCAGCCCCTCTGCAATTGCATCATTAATTCATTCAGCAATTGTTTATTGTGTGATCATTATATATCAGGTGCAGAGAGAAAAGCGATGGTTTCTGTCCTTGAAAGGCTCACAGTGTAGTGAGAGCTGCCTGCTGATATATCTCCAGGGCTTTGTCCTCTTGATAAACGAAAGAACAAAGATTCTGCATTATAATGCTGTCAGTGTGCAAAGGATGCTGTGCTGTGCTATCCAGATCTCCCTTTATGATTCAGGCATTCTGTCCTCCAGTTGCTGGGAGTGTTGGCTGCTGATGGGTCTCAGTTGAGTTTCTCTCTAGGAATTGCCTAGTTAGAAGAAAGCAGCCTCGCCCAAGAGCATGTCCTCTCCACAAGGGCAGTCTGTTTCAAAGTGGGACACTCTGAATGGCCATCGCAGATCCATAGCTCCCCATAGGATTGGGATGAGATTTCTATGTGACCGTATCACAATCAGCTTCTCCCCCTGCCTAGTCCTGCTTTCTTCGGTCTTTTGGGTTTTGATCCTGAGAGGACCCATCAATAAATTTCCTGCATGTGGATTTCCATCCCAATCTCAGTTTGCAGGAACCTCATAAGACATAAGTCCAAACTATTGTGGGATTATCAGGAAGGGTTATCAAGTAAAGGCTGGGCATTGAAGAAGTAGAGACAATACTGGGATTGGAGGAGAGGGTAGGACAGCTGGGCAAAGGACGGCATGAGGCTTGCAAGAGAAGGAAGAGAAGGAAGAGGTTCAGGAGGAGAGGCAACTCGAGTTTATAGGGGTGTGTGGAGCTCCTGAGCCCCTGGGAACTGGTGCCGATGGCTGAGAGGATATGATCCCACTAGCTTCCCTCTCCAAGCAAGTTTACCTTGCCCTCTTCAAGCAAGCAGCCCAGCCAGAGAGGTCACAAGACAGATGCCTTGGCCCTGGGTTGCAGCAATCTCAGGGCTTACCTGAAGTGATGAAGGAGGAGCATCAAGATCTGAGGGTACTAGGGGAGGGGACAGTGTGGAATGTGAATGGGGATTCCTGGGTGGAGAAGACCAGAGGTGGCAGAATGTCATGACTGATCTTTTGGAGGGCTGGCTGCATCTGACTGACTTGGGAAGGCTGTGCTTTAGCTCTTGGAGTTCTCTGACGCAATGCTTGGACACGAACAGGATGCAGGCAGCAGAGAGGCCAGAATGCCTGCTGTGGCCAAGTGGGGCTAGCCAAGATGAGCATCTGCTTCTTCTCTGGCAGGTGCCAGGGCAGAAGAGAAAATCAGTGTGGAGCAAGCTACCCAGAGGGCAAGAGAGATGGGGAAGGGCAGGAACTGAATAAGTGGCCTGAGGGGTGGGTCAGACAATTGCAAAAACTTCTCAGTTTATTTTCTTGGTTGTTGATATAAAACATTTGTTTTCCCCCACCCCAGAAGCTTCAGAAAAAGGAAAACAAGTAGCTTTAACTTTCTAGATGACTAAAATTTTTAATCATGCTTATTGCTTGTGATAAGATTTGTGAAATTAGAATCCAACCCAAATAACCCTGCACGTCTCATGTACACCAGGAGCTGAGCCATGCAGCCTGGCTTCATTTGCTAGTGGTTGTAATCAAAGGAGAAACAGTACCTAGAATAATTCTCTTTAATGAGAGAAGAATAAACAGAAATACCGTGTACCATTTGGTTGACTGTTCTTACGTTGCTGTGGATGCTGGCTAGTTTGGCTCTTTAACAGCAAATGCCTATTAATTTCATGAATTTATGAAACACTATAGTATTCAATATCTTTTCAGCGACTGGCACTCTGTCAGGTGCTGGAAATATACATGCCCTGCGTAATGGAAAGTGAGAAGAGGAGGCTTCTGAACTTGCTGTACTCTCAGTCCAGCATGGAAAAGCTCATAGGGTGTATCAGCTGCAATCCCTGCCTCCTGGGCCTTTTATTGCCACAGACACAAAGATGATTCTCTAATCACAGCAAGATTCTAGAGCGGCTTCTGGCTCAACCAGAAGATACTCCCAACTCAATATTAAATCACAGTCTGTATAGTTCAGTGCAAAAGTGTTTTCTTTTTTTATTCTCAGTCTTTAAAACATTGGCAATTCTGCCATTGTCCCTTTAGCCATCCAGTTAGCCATTAGTTAGACTATTTAGTTAACTAGGAAAAAGCTAGTCCTTCTTAGCCAGGCAGACAAAATATTTACTTTAGTTGCGCACATGCATTTTTCTCATACACTGTTTTGGTGATGATATTAAAAAATAATTCAACTTAAGAGTTTCACCTTTTATGTGGTGGTCACGTAGAAATTTGCTTTAATTGCACTTAAGGACTGTGGATTTTGAGATTTTAATACATAAGGACAAAATACGTTGTAAGGACTATGGATTTTGAGCTTTTAATACATAAGGACAAAATACGTTGTTTTTGGGCATTAGTTCCTTCAGCTTTGAACATCTTTAGACTTTAACTTTTAGAAGGATTTAATTTTGTGGCATACTGTATATTTTTCTTTAAGAATTTGATAAGGGAGTGTTTCTGGGTTATAATCATTCTGTTGTATAAATGTCTTCATGCAGTTCATTATTGGATCATTTTACTGTTGTTATTTAATCTCATTGCTACACTACATTGGACAATATGGTGGTACATAATGTGATATAGAAGATGTATTAGGGAGTGAATTTGCAGCCTTAGGTCTGGAGTCATCCTGTCATTGCTTGAATTTTGATTCCGTTCTGATGCATTTCAGAGCCTTCAGGAAGTAATATCTAAACCACTCTTCAGTCGTCCCAGGAGTGGCATTTGTAATTTGTACTGGAGATGCAGACTCATATTTTGGTGAAGTCCTGTGAGGACCATGGTCACTAAGGTTGACCATGGACTAAACAATAAAGATGATCGAGTTGACAGCAAAAAGCTAAAGAATGTTAGAGAACATTTCTCCCCTACATCTTACATTTTCTTCTGTGTTAAAGAAACTCGGTTTGACTTCTGACCTTTCTCCACTCCAGGTAAGATAGAGTGACTCACCTGATTTGCATCTGTGAGAAGCGCAGACTGGGCATGTTTCAACCATATCTACCTTTCTTCCTCTTGGGAATGTGCTATTCTCAGGAAGTCATGTTCCTCTTGGTTCTTCCAGGGAATGCTTGCCCTATTCAATTCCACTGCCTGCATCAGGGTGGTTATGTCCACTTAGTTTACTTAGCCCACCTGTGCTTTGTTCTAAACCATTTCAGAGACTTCTATAAGCAAAATATAAACTATACACCAGTGGTCTCAGGAGATCCCCAAGGAGGAGAGTTCATTTGGCTGTCACAAGAAACCTCAGCCTTCTGGCCGGGCGCGGTGGCTCACGCCTGTAATCCCAGCACTTTGGGAGGCCTAGGCGGGCAGATCACGAGGTCAGGAGATCGAGATCATCCTGGCTAACATGGTGACACACCATCTTTACTAAAAATACAAAAAATTAGCCGGGTGTGGTGGCGGGCACCTGTAGTCCCAGCTACTCTGGAGGCTGAAGCAGGAGAATGGCATGAACCTGGGAGGCAGAGCTTGCAGTGAGCCGAGATCGCACCACTGCACTCCAGCCTGGGCAACAGAGTGAGACTCCATCTAAAAAAAAAAACAAAAAAAAAAAACAAAGGAAATCTCAGCCTTCTATCTTTTAGTAATAGAGGGGATATTTTGAACTCCCACCTGGAACTCCTGTTTTTCAAATTGGACTTCAAGTGTGGAAAATTGAACCACCAATGATAAAATAAGTTTGTGGGTGTGTGGGACAAAAATTCAGGCTCCACATATGTGTGTAAAGTACTTTTAGGAAGGTGGAGACAAATGAAATGAACCTTGCATCTTTCACAGAGCAGCCTCGTCTCATGCCCTAATGTCCCCTGAAGCTTCCCTTCCCTGGATTCTGTTTGAGGTGCTCCTTGTCTATGCTCCCAGATCTCTCTGTGGCTACCTGTGTCACACAGTATTCACCATGCCAAACTGAAATTCCACATTTATATGATTGACTCTGTGTCAGTTTGGGTCTTCCAAGAAGCAGACACAGAGATGAAATTAGGTAAGGGTTTGATTTGTTGGAAGAATGCCTGTGAAGGATAACGGGGAAAAGAGCATGAGTAGCCCAGCCCTTCAGACCTCAATGCTGGTCTGACACCTGTGAAGAGAGAGAGAGAGCAGGCCAGACTGGGCAGAAAAAAAACCAAAGAAGGTTGTGGCATGATCTTGAGAGTTTCTCAGCCAGGCCAATGGGCAGTTGCTGAGCCAAAGTTGCCCATCAGAAAAACCTCACCTTGGGCAGGAGAAAACTGGCTTTAATGACTGGCCATGCTCAGTCATTGGCCAGGAGCAGCTTAAGGGGAAATGTGGCCTTGGTATTCCTGGAGGTCACGGATGTGTCTGCCAACTGTCTTCCCTATAGCAGGTTCTCTCAAAGAAGATCTAAGAGATGTGTTTCTTGGGCACCATAGTTCTTCATCCAGACAAGAGGCTCTTCAAGGGTAGGGACTGATCTTACTTCTGTCTGCATCCTCAGAGCTTGGACAGTGGGTAGGTTTGGCACGTAGAAGGTGCTTAACAAATATTTGTCAAAAGATTTTCAGGATATGGAGAGACTTAAAGTTGAGTGAGTAGTTTGAATTAATTTGGTAAGAAGTGGAAAGTTATTAAAGGTTTTAGAACAGAAGATCGTAGCTGCACTTAAAGAATAAGGTAGAATGGATTAAAGGGGAACCTTTTCACGTTGCAGTAGTATAGGAATGGTGGTAGGCATAGAAAGGAAAACACTGACTGCAAGAGATTTTGGAGGTGGAGTCTTTAGGATTTGGAAATTTACTGGGACTTGGGGTGAGGAAGGTGAAGAGTTAAAGATGACAGTGATGTTCCCAACATCAGAGACTGGGTGCATGGGAAGAGATGGGGAAGAAGAGCTGGCATTTCCGGGAGGAAATGCTAAGTTTGTTGTTGGATTTCCTGAACTAGAGGTTCTCTTACAACAACCAGGTGGAAGTGTCAGACTGACAGAGTTGCCTGTCAGGAGCGTTTCAGAGAGCTCCAGGTTAGAGATATATATTGAGAAAAAGAGGGAATGAGATCAAGGTGAAAGTAGACAATGGAGTTCAAAGATTAATTGAAATAGATCATTTGCATTTTTCTTTTTCTTTTTGCTTCCTTTCTTTTTTTCTTTTTTTTGGCAGGCAGTTGCTAGGCCATTTGGGCATTCTTTTGTAGATTTGAATAAAACAGACAGAATGATAATGTTCACTTCTTCCCTTTTATTCTTTGGTAAGACAGAAAGATTCCTCTTATCTGTCTGCTTTTCCCTCTTAACTGTGAGCTTCCTAAGACTGTGTCTTTTCACCTTCAATGCTCAGAGAACAAGTGTAGTGATTTGTGCAAGGTGTATGAACTCCTGTAGGGTAGAGGCCTTACTCATTTATCTCCACTTTTCTAGTGTTTCAGATGGTGCCTAGACAATAGGAGACACTCAGTTAACAGACATTGAATTGTTTAATGTGTATAATACTTTGTAATTTAGTAAGTCCTCAAAGATACATTGTAACATTTAATCCTCACCTAATGCTGGGAACTGTTATTACCCCCATTTACAAATGAGTAAACTGAATCTGAAAGAGGTTAAGTAACATACTTGAAACAATACAGTTAGTAAGAGGCTGTATCAGTCATAATAGGCTAGGTTATGCTTAGTAACAAACTACCCTAAAAAGCTCAGTGGCTTAATAACATAAAAGTTAATTATTGTGCAAAGTCCATTGTGGGTTTGGAGAATTCCAGGCTTTTTCAATCTTATATTAACAAGTGCTTCCAGAGTTAATGCAGAAGAAAAAAGAGAACACAGAGAACCACACACTGGTTCTTAAATGCTTCTACTGGATAGTAAATCAGATTTCTTACACTCACACTTCATTTTGACTAAAGAAACCACATGGCCTGACCTAACTTCAAGGGAGAAGGGAAGGACCATTTCCCGATGTGCCTGGAAGGAGAACTGGAGTCATTGGGGAGTAATTCCATTGTCTATAACAAAAGTAGAACTGGATCTTGAACTTAGATTTTTTATTTCAAAGGTAGATCACATTTTATTCTTTGCCTCATGTTTTATTTTTTATTAAGCATATTCAGAAAACTATCTACATTAATGCAAGTTAAAATAATTAATATCCTAAAAAACAGTCATGCTCTCCACTCACTATTTTCTTCTGCTTTCTCTTGCCACAGGCCAACCTCTGTGCCACAGGCCACAGGCCAACCAAGGTCTCTTAACCTTGGGTCTTAGAGTATAATGGCTCAAAGAGACCCAATAACAGAGAGATACTGATTCCTTTCTCAGGGATAGAAACGGGTAGGGTTTAAATGCATAAAATAGTATTTGGGTAGAGGACCTCGAAATGCCAGATCTTGCTCTGCCAATTCAATTACTCCTCTTCCCTTTGAGGTTTCAAAGATGAGAAATATCCAAATGGTGAGAATTTGTCATTGACTGGGACAGTGTCTCCTATTCTCTTATAGTGCTCTCCAGCAAAAGATCTATTAGAGGACACACTAGGCTTCAGACCTCATGGGGTTTCCCACCTCTGTACAAGCCCAAATCCATATCATGGAATTCTATACCATATGTCTACTCTTATGGGGGCAGGAGCCATGACCAGCATGCTTATATGAAGAGAGGAACAATATAAGCAGGACTCTTAGGCAGTACAAATGGAGGGGACATTGGGATTAAGTGGGCCTGACAGGCAGACAGATATATACATGACCTATTTACACACAGGAAACTCTTTAACCACTCAGTTGAAGAGTTTTTTTTTTTTTTTTTCGCTCATTTTTTTTTACTGGCCCATTAAAAGTCTGAAAACTTGACCCATCAGAGCTGCACTAATAGCATCTTCTCCAACCAACCATATTTTACTCATCAGAACATTGGAGGCCCCTGGATGTTTGGGGTTCACTAGTTAGGAGTTGAGTTGTTTGACTCCAGCCCAGGATGGCTGCCCCTTTGATGCACAAATTTGGAAGGACTCTGAAGCAAAATAAAGGCTCCAGGGTCAATCAGAATGATAACAAAAGCTAACATTACTGAGATTTTTTTCATGTGCCAGGCCTTAGTGGAGTAGGACAGTGCACTTTCGTTATTCCACTAAGTGCTAAGGTTATTTTATTTAACCGCACAATATTATGGGATAGGTACTTTGAACAACTTTTTTTTTTCATCAATGAAGAGTATATAGTTCAAAAGGGAAGATATTTTTGGTCTCTTTTGCTGTGTACAGGTCTTTTGCCCAGACCTGTACTTGCTATATATTAGGTGCTCAGTTTATATCTATTGAATGAAAAAGCCCAAAGTCACTGAGCTGGTAGGCAGAGGAACACAGGCAGTCTGATTTCGAGGCTTTCTCTAGGGACCGTTACATGACATGACTTCATGTATAAGTTTGGCACTTATTAAATGTGAGGTGTAGTGTTTGCTAATCATTGCATCATCCCTCCCACCGTATTATGAGCACCTCCAGAGACAGAGATGATGCCGATCTCTCCTGCACTTCCCCTGCCCTTCAAAGCTGTGTAGACAGTAGGTGTGAATTACATGCTGATTGGTTGCTTGGCTGCAGAGTTATTTGCATACTCCGGGGAAGAGGGGGCAAAGGCAGCCACAAGTTTTGGCAGCTGGTTTTAACTTCCCTGAGGGGGGTTCCGTCTCTGCACATGCCTTCTTCAGGAGACCAAGACAGTGCACTTTCATTACTCCACTAGGGGGACCCAAATGCAAACAAAAAACCTCTCCTGCCCTCCTAAGGTAATGGGATCCCTGCAACAGCCCTCAGGAGGGGTCTGTCTGCAGGGCTCTGGCCAACCTCAGAGGGGAGCACCCACGTGTCCCTGCTGGGCTCCGGTTCTGCTTTCTCCTTGCCTGATGGCAGCTTTTACAATCAGGGCTTTTGGAGCAAATTCCACCCTTGTGGGGCCAGGACTGCTCAGTTCTTGGGATCTCTGCCGCTTCTGCTGGTGCTGACATATGGATTTGTCTTAGGAGCAGAAAAGATGAATTTTGAAGGGCTGCCAGGCTGGTGATGAGGCTGCTCTGGTTTCACATGGGAAGCCCTGAAATCAAGATCTAGTAAATGAAGGATACTTAATCTTTTCCAGCTCTCTTCTCCTCCACTCAACAGGGGGCCTTAACCACTTTGATATTTCAACAAGAGGCCATTCAAAGTTTAGTGCTTCCATTTCTGCAGCAAAAAGAACTGGTCCTCACAAGGGCAACCTCACTTGTTGAGACACGAAGGATCTATTTTGACACCTCACCTTACAGAGATGGATGTATTTGTGCAACATTGGGTAGTTTTATTTTATTATTACGCTTTAATATGGCACTGTGGAACACTTTTTCTTTTTTTCTTTGAACAGCTTGCAAGCATGCTGCAAGCATTTGGGAAAATTCTCAGTTTTATATTTTCTGTAATAAAATCTGATACAGTTATTTTTTCTTTTCTGTGATGTCTAATTAAATTGCTTGATTTAGTTTTTGTTGTAGAGGTTTTATTTCTTTTTAAGATCTGATATTTTCCTTGAGGAAGAATGCTATAGATGTTTTCAATGAAACGTATTTATTGTTCTGGGGTTTAAAGAAGTTTTAGGAATACTTATTTAGACCTGAAAGGTCCTGGCCGAGAGGGGTGCCATGATCTCTTTGCATTAAAGATGGAGCACAGGAGATGGATTGGCATTAAACCCAGGTGGGGCCAAATCGTTTTAGAGAATTTCAGCCCTAAAGGAGTCCTTAGAGATTTTCTCATTTAACACCGGCATTTGACAGGCAGCAAACCATGGTCCAGAGAGGTAATGACTTGCTTTGTCACAAAGCTGGCAAGTTGCAAAGCCCTAAGAGCATCTGGTCATCACTTGCCATTATCTCACAGATTTTTGGTGTGAACTGAGGGCAAAAATATTGCCTTGCTTCCCATGGCTTTTCATTTGAAATTAGTCTGTCAAGGAATAAGCATCTGAAGTAAAGGAAGTAAATCAGACAGGGAAAAGAGACAGAAGGCTTTGAGCATCGTGTGATAAAGATGACACATTCTAGTGACTCAGTGCCCTGTGACCTGCTGGGGATGCAAAAGGACCATAGTGAGTAGCTCTGTCCATGAGCACAAAAGGCCAGAAGCATCTCTGAAAAGTTGTGTCCAAGAACAGAGAGCACACTCAACAGTCTTGCTTCAACAATCATTTAATAAGACCCTTGGGTGGCTGACAGTGTGGAATGTTCTGGAGAATACCATCTGGCATTTGTATACATCTTTTATGTTGTCTAAGTGCCTTTCCTCACATCACGTCCTCATTCGATACCTTTGTGTCAGCCAGCATTCTTGGTGACCCTGGCTCATCTAAGTATCGAGAGATTTTTTGAACTATGCAGATGGGTCACACAATGGCAGGACCCAGAGCTCTCTGGGGCTGGGACGGGGGAGCGGGAATAAAGGGGTCGTCTCTTCAGGCTCTACCTTTGCCCTGCCTTGGTCCTGACTGTTCTCAATTTTGCATTTCCCTGTTCAGGAATCCGGGGTAAGGGTGTCAGATGGGCCCAGCCTGGGCACACTCCTTGGCCCAGAGACTATGGAGAAACCTTGATGAGAAGGCCCTTCCAAGCTGGGTAAAAAGCAAATTTTGTTGTTGACAGGAGAAGGGGGAATAAGCAACAGATGTTCCCTACATACCCTGTGAGGTGGGGCGTTAGGTGAAAGCATTACCTCCAAGGTACAAATGGGAAACCTGAGGCTCAGAGAGGTGAACTGACATGTCTAAGGTCACGCAGAGATATATAGCAGAGCACAGTTATGTCTATAGATCCTGCTTCTTACACCTAAAGGAGCAGGTGAATCTTGTATTCCGCCTAACCCTTTATCCTTCCTTACTGCTTGAATCACCTGCTTCTTACCCCTCCTCTGTAGCAGCCTCATTACCCCATCACCTGCCATCTCTGGACTGGGAAACATAGATTTTGACTCTACTCCTGGATCCCCAAATTTCCACTACTAACAAAGGATGCTTCTCACTGTGTGGTAATGGAAAAACGGTCAGTCCAGGTTGGCCTTCTGGACACTATGGAAGTCCTTTCTCACTTCTTGTTTCACTGATTAATCATTGTTGGGGATCTGGACCTTGTAGGAGGGAAGATCAGGACACTTAGGGAGTCATTTGTGAAGATCTCTTTGAGATGAGATTGCCTACAAGTGAGGCCTGGACATGGATTCATGGCCCCATCGCGGTAGCATTATTTAGAAATCAATGAACCTTTAGGGACAATGTTTCAAAAACACATGCTCTCTGTTGTCGTAGGAAAAAAGCCCATACTCCCTTGCCTAGCTCCGTGATGCCTCACTTCTGATGCCTGGAGTCATTGATGTTTATGGAAGGCTTCGGAGTCTGCACAGTAGGGAAGGATTACCTGCTCCACCAGTGATGTTTGCTATGGTCGTAGAATGGAGAGAGGTGGTGGGGAATGGTGCAGGTTTGATATTCTTGACTGCAGCTCTCCAGGCTCTTCTCCCAACTTAGCATTCTTGCTTTGTTTCCTCTTCCTCCTCTATGCTTTCTCTACCTTCTGGTGTTCAGGTTTAAAAATAGAAATTAAATGAATTGTTTCTTCAAATGAAATGCATACAGAAGCCCAATAGATAAAGTAGATAAAAACTGAGTTATTCTAGAGATGAATTGAGAGGGCCTTTGGAGTCTACTGTGGCTGTCTGAAAATCCCGGTGTGTGTGGTCAATACTCCAGCCACAATCCAATTCCTGCACTTCCTTGGACATGTTCCTCCCTCCCTCCCTCTTTCTTTTTCCCTTAACCTGGAATGACATCCTGCCCATCCTTCAAGATCCCAGGCCTCACCTGTTCCCTAAACCTTCCCTAATACCCTCTAGCTGGGCACACTGTCTCTCACAACAAAAGCATTCTCTTGAACTTCTCATGGCTTTTAGCGTTGCTCATTCAAGTCCGTTTTGTCCTGATACGCTGTAGATGCCTCTGAGTAGGTCCATGTGTGGTGATTAATCTGAGGTCCTGTAGTCAGTTCTAGTAAAAATGTTACTATTTTTATGTATGGATATTGTTTATTTTGTGTTACAGGTTTTGACAACTCTGTGGTTTTCTACCTCCTTATCCACCTACGTATAACCTTTCTGGACATCTTTTTGTTTTTGTAAAATTGGGATAGTAGTATTATTGGCTTCAGGGTTTCTGAGATGAGTTAGTTTAATTTATGCAAAGTGCTTATAACAGTACCTGGCACAGAGTATGTGCTCAGTAAATATTATTTGTTACTATTATTGTAATTATGATCTCAACACCATTAAGATAACGAGCCTTCTCCACCTTGACTTCATGCCCAGGCTCCTACCAGAGGGGAGGATTGCATTTGCTTTTCACGGGGATTCATGAAGAAGTGAACCTGTGGCTCTTGGCTTGGAGGCTGGGTACATGAAGTGAGAATTAGTCATGGCCTTGTTCACAATCTGAGAACATTCACACTTGTTGCACCTGCTCGGAGAAGCTTGAATTCAATCAGCAAATTTTGCATTTCCCAATCCCAGCCTGGGGAAGAGCTTGACTTTAAAAGCCTTACAAAGACCTCCTCTCCACCGCTCAGTGATTTCATTCAAGAAGTTGCCCCTCCAGGGAGCGAGTGACACAAGCTCTGCTGAGAGAGGCAGGAGAAAGCTGCATCAGCCACAGTGTTTTCCCAGGCAGGGTTCTCCTGGGGTGCCCACGCTTGCCTGTTCCCAGTGTGTGCCTTCAAGCCCGAGCCGCAAAAGAGTTTTCCTTCATGAAATCGACCAAGAACCATTTAGGACACTGTTCCTTGGAAGGGACATATTGGGATGCCAGGTTCTTGGCTGGAATCATTAAGTGAATTTACATCCTGATCTGCTGCACGTGAAACATCTATCCGGATAGGAGAGGCTTTAGCTGGGTCTTGGATCCTTATGTTTTGGGGTACTTTGTTTCTCCTTTGTGCTATCTGTTGGCATTCCCAATTGCTGGGCAATTATTCCTGTATTTCTTATGTTCTCTCTTACCTTTCGGCCTCTACCTAGAAAAATTGCCCCCTCTTCTTCTCCCATCCTCCATACCAGCCCTTTAGCTTTCAGTTTCTACACCATTCTCCCTAGAAATCTCTCTTGACCCCCAAAGATTTTTGGATGGTTTCTTTTCCTTCAGCATCGTGTACTTGCCTCCAGTATGAGGCTTCTAACACTTGGGTTACCTTGGCCTGTCTCTGTGTCTATGTCTGCCTGGAAAATGACCTGCAGGCCCCCAGGGACTGTGTTGTTTGTTTAAGGCTATAACCCTGGGGGCCTGGCCAAAAAACGTACGCATTAATAAACAAAATGAATAAATGGATAAAAGAATCGAGAATAAATGGTTATTTTTGTTTATCTCATTTTTAATGATTTTAAGAATGAGAAGATGAGTGGTGACACCGAAGAACAAATGTTCAAATATTGTCCCACAGAAGCATTTTTTTTTTTTTTTTTTTTTGAGACGGAGTCTCGCTCTGTCACCAGGCTGGAGTGCAGTGGCACGATCTTGGCTCACTGCAACCTCCACCTCCCAGGTTCAAGCGATTCTCCTGCCTCAGCCTCCTGAATAGCTGGGACTACAGGCGCCCACCACCACAACCGGCTAAGTTTTCGTATTTTTAGTAGAGATAGGGTTTCACCGTGTTGGCCAAGATGGTCTTGATCTCCTGGCTTTGTGATCCACCTGCCTCGGCCTCCCAAAGTGCTGGGATTACAGATGTGAGCCACCGTGTCCGGCCCACAGGAGCACTTTTGGAGAGTAAAACTGTGCGCAGCATCTGCATTTTTGGAACAGATCAAAGCAGGACTTTTCTGGTGACAGGAAGTGTGAGGCCCTGTCTGTCTCACTTTCCCCATCCCTCTTCAGAGGTACCTAGGCTCCTTGGGCAGAATTTGAAGACTACTGTCCTTAAAAAGATGGTGCCATTTTGAAAAGAACTGAGCAGAGGAACCACAGTCGAGCTGGGGTCCTGACTCCCTTGTTAGCTGGGGCTAATAGAACAGATTACACATGAATGTAGTCGCTCTGCTAAGTGCTTTGTTTATGTCAATTTTTCATCCTCACAATAATCTTATGTGCTGTGCA
Organism: Homo sapiens; assembly: GCF_000001405.40. Taxonomy (NCBI): domain Eukaryota; kingdom Metazoa; phylum Chordata; class Mammalia; order Primates; family Hominidae; genus Homo; species Homo sapiens. The sequence goes on along the minus strand of NC_000008.11, from coordinate 122,633,640 downwards.
CTATGTTTATTTCTATTTTGGGGTGGGGGGAAATCACTATGAATGATGTTTAACAGCAGAAAAGGGATGTATTGCCATGACATTGAGGATTTTTAATAGCAGAAAAAGAATGTATTGCAATGGCATCAAGTAGCTCACAGAACTGATGAGAAGGGAGAACTAGGTTTATAAAAGTACAGATACAACAATGGTGCCACGGGTCTAGGAATCAGGATGCTTCGGTGGTGTAATTGGGAAATGGAAGTGTAGAGAGGTTAAGTAACTTGCCTGGGGTCCCACGATTACTGAGTAGCTGAGTCTGGAGTCAAGCTCTGGATTACCTGCCTCTAGGGGCCCAGCCCTGAGCAGGTACATGCAGCCCCAGAGCAAAATTGCCCATAAGAACTTTTGTCATCCACTGAGCAAGGCTGTGGCGAGGCACTGTGCTAAATACTTCACAGGTGTCATTAGCTCATGTGATCTTCAGCACATCTCTGAATGCAGACCCTTATTGCCCGGGTATCACATGGGCACTGACATGTGTCTACGCCCTTCTCAGCGGGTTCTCCAGGCTGTCTATTGCCAACAAGGGGATTGAGTAGAAAGCAATTAGCGCAACTTTTGCATGCCTTTAGCAACGAGGTGACTTTTTTCTTTTCTTTTTGAAGAGAAGCCCAGGTTATTTGCACCCAGTGATGCTAATTCAGCTTGGCTGCCTCAGCAGGATAAAATAAATCGACCAATCTACTTTTTGGAAGCAGAAGGTGGGAAAGTGGCTACTCCCTGAGCTGACTGTGCACCAAGGGACAGATCCTTGTTTTATATAAATTGACTATGAAAATTCCCCTAGACGAACACAGGAGGGAAATCTGGCACAAGCCCCAGAGCAGGATAAAGACGTTTGAAAATCCTTTCAGAAATCATAACTTAGATGCCTCTTCCATCTGCACCATTTCTGCCTGTTGTCTGCAAGAAATATGATCCTCTGTCTCACAGGTTCTCAATGTACAGGACAAACTCTGGAATGATATGCAGAGTAGAAGGTGCTGCTGCTTTTCACAGTGGACAATTCAAAACCTCATGGGCCCCTCTCTGATTAGACTCTCAGAGGCTGAGAGCCCTGTGGTAAGAAGCCTAGTGAGAGATGTTTCTATCAATGGCTCTCCCTTGTCCCATCTTCCTTCAGGGGAATCTCTGTGTACTATGAACACAGAAAGCTTCGGCCAACACAGTAAAAAAGGGAGGGACTAAGGGAGATGGCATGATTTTTAAAAATTAAAATGAGATTATGACACTGTGGTATTCATTAAGGCCATTCATATTTTGGCTCTATTCTGGGCCCATGCTAAGACTGTACTTTTTGACCTCATTAATATTAGGCTGTATGACTTGCTGTGGTCAATGAACTGTGAGTGAAAGTGAAATGTATCAGTTCTGGGAGGAAATGTTAACAGCCAGTGTGATTTGCCATGTTCTTTTCCCCTTTGTCACAATGATAGGCAACATTTGAGATGGTAGTTGATTCTTTAGCTGGGGTGTGACGGTTAATTTTATGTCAACTTGGCTAGGCTATTGGGTCCAGTTGTTTGGTCAAGAACCAGTCCAGATGTTGCTGTGAAGGTACTTTTAGATAAGATTAACATTTAAATCAGTAAAATTTGAGCAGGCGATACTCCATAACGTGGATAGGCCTCATCTAATCAGTTGAAGGCTTTAAGAACAAAGACCAAAGTTTCCCAAAGAGAAAAAAATTCTTATCAAGACTGCAAGATAGAATCCCTGCATGAATTTCCAGCCTGCTGGTGTGTCCTACAGATTTGAGACTTCTCAGCTTCACAACCATGTGAACCAATTCCTTAAAATAAATCTCTTTCCATGTATATACCCCATGAGTTCTGTTTCCCTGGCTGACACACTAGGTGAGGATGCACAGGAGCCAAGCACCCTCCCAACTCAGAATGAAAATGTAGTGTGAGCAAGAAATAAACATTTGTTGTTAAAAGCCACTGAGATTTTGGGATTGTTTGTTACTGCAGCACAACCTAGACTATTCTTACTGAAAGAGACATTACACTTAATATTCTATTCACCTATTATTTTCCTTATACTTTTTCAGGAGTACAAATGAATCTCAGTTGGACCTCATGATGCATCTTGGCTTAACTCCAGCCAGGTGCAGTGGCTCACGCTTGTAATCCCAGCATTTTGGGAGGCTGAGACAGGTGGATCACTTGAGGTCAGGAGATCGAGATAAACCTGGCCAACAGTGAAACCCCATCTCTACTAAAAATACAAAAAATTAGCCAAGTGTGGTGGTGGACACCTGTAATCCCAGCTACTTGGGAGGCTGAGGCAGGAGAATTGCTTGAACCTGAGAGGCCAAGGTTGCAGTGAGCCGAGACCGTGCCAGTGCACTCCAGCCTGGGCAACAGAGTGAGACTCTGCCTTAAAAATAAATAAAATAAATAAAGATATTCCAATGATTACCCTTTTTCTAAATACTGGTTTGAAATATCAAAACCAAATCTACATAATATTAACTGAAAGCAAGATTGAAAAAAAATTAATATTAGCTGATGGCTTACTCTTGAAGCAGGTACTGAGCCAGGTGCTTGGCATTTATCATCTCATTTATTTCTAAAACAATGTTATAAGGTATATGCTATGGTTTAATATATCCTCCCAAAAGCATGTGTTGGAAACTTAATCCTCAGTGCAACAGTATTGGGAGGTGGGGCCTAATGGGAGGTGTTCATGCTCCATCTTCATAAATGGGTTAATGCTGATTATAAAGGGGCCTGTGGCTCCAAGTATGATATCTTGCTCTCCTGCCCTCTCTTGCCCTTTTATTTCCTGCCATGGATGATGCAGCAAGAAGGCCTTTGCCAGATGTGGCTCTTTGACCTTGGACTTCCCAGCCTCCAGAAGAGTAAGAAATAAATTTCTTTTTAAAAAATAAATCAAGCAGTCTGTGTTTTTCTGTTATAGTAACACAAAACAGATTAAGACAGTATGCATTATATTATTTTTATAGATGAGAAAACTAAGGCCAAAGACACAGAGTTAGTCAATGTCAGAGGTAGAATTTAGAGTCAGAATTATGTGTTTTAAAGCTGATTATAATTCTATCAATTAGGATTTTTAACAGCACAAAAGGAATATATTGCAATGGCATCAGGTAGCTCACAGAATTGGTGGGAGGGGAGAAGTAGGTTTATAAAGGAACAGAAACAACAATGGTGCCATGAGTCTAGGAATCAGGATGCTTTGATGGTATAACTGGGAGAAGATGCTGGACTGAATGTGCTCTTTCTGGTGTTTAGGGTTTTTCTGTCATTTCTGGTCAAGTTCAAAGACCTGAGTTCAGCCATCCTACCTTGAATCATGGGTTTACCGTCTGGCACTTGCACTGACAGTCCCAGTGAGACTACTTGCCATTGTGGATAGGGGATTCTTATATGTGTGTGTGTCAGAAAGATGAGTGACTATATGGCTTGATTTGGCTGGTGGAAGAGTCCCAGTTTTCTGCCTGTTGTCCTAATAGGGTTGTATAAATGGGATGTTATTCAGTGGTGCCATAATTTATCTTCCAAATAAGGACATTTTAAAGAATAAAAGTAGCTTTTATTAATAATTATGTCTGGTGCAATATCTGCCATCAGGATTACCATGACTGTCTCCTGATCAGCACCTGGCCTTCCAGGTTGCCTCTAGTCAATCTATTCATGCTGTGGTAGTGAGAGTGATCTTTCTAAGCTGGAAGCCTGATTATGTCAGCTTCCCTGCTCTAATGATGTCCTATATTGCTCTTGGTTAAAATCCAGATGCCTTTACCTGGCCCGAAACTCTCTGCATGACCTGTTATGCTCACCTCCTCAGCTTCCTCTCTCAGATTCCCCACCTGTGCCCCTTCTGATTCTCTGTGACTTGGGCCTTTTGAAGAAGTTGTTTCTTCTGTTTGGATCTCTTTTTTTCTTATTCTCCACAAGTTCCTACTTATTCTTAGCTCTTAGCATTGGTAATAATCTTCTTATTAACAGCTCATCTATACAGAGCACTTATTTTGATGCCAGATCCATGCTAAGGACTTCATGTGGAGTATCTCCTTTGATCTTTTTAGCAATCCTAGCAAATAGGTGCCACTATCACCATTAGGATCCCTACCTTATTGATCAGAAGGTTGGGGTGCAGAGATAATAAATGCCTTACCAGGATACACAGCTCTTAAGAAGTGGAGCTAGGATTTGAACCTGGCAAAGCAGACACAGAGCCTCTACCTTAACCCTGTGCTAATGGCTTTTTTTTATCCCTAGCATTTTCTACAGGTGGCCTCTGCTTTCCTTGACCTTCTAAGTGTGTGTTAAGTGCCTCTTCTTGGTGCCTCCCTAGCGTGGAACTTTAGGATCATCTCCATCACTCTTCACCGCAATGGTTTGTTTATGTGTTTTATTTTTCTTCTGGAGTCTAAGGTTCATGAGTTTAGTGGCTATTTCATTCTTTCTTTTTTCTTTCCTTTTTTTTGGGGCAGGGGATGGAGTTTCGCTCTTGTCTCCCAGGCTGGAGTGCAATGGCATGATCTTGGCTCACTGCAACCTCGGCCTCCCAGGTTCAAGCAATTCTTCTGCCTCAGCCTCCTAATAGCTGAGATTACATGTGCCTGCCACCACACCTGGCTAATTTTTGTATTTTCAGTAGAGATGGGGTTTCACCATGTTGGCCAGGCTGGTCTTGAACTCCTGGCCTCAGGTGATCTTCCCGCCTCGGCCTCCCAAAGTCCTGGGATTAAGAGGCATGAGCCACCACACCTGGTTTATTTCATTCTTTCTTACTCAAGTAGGTGTAGCTTTTGTCACAAAGTAGGCATACAATAAATGTTGAAATGATGCAAAAAACTAAGAGATTAGGTCTTGATAGGTGATCAAACGCCTCTCCCATTCTACCTGTATACCTGGTTCCCTAGGCTGTTCTCCATCACCATTGGCCCAGTAACTGTTTCTCCTATTATATTAGCTTTTAATATCCCCTCCTTTAGGCCTTTGCCTATGAGAATGCCTTCGTGCAAAACTCTCTCCTTTCTCCTTTGTGCTAACTCATGTCTTCTGGCTTCAAATGCCATCAGGGCATGAGTCTTCTCTGACTTACTCATTTGTCTTCTCTTTTCCATTTCCTGTCACCTGGAGACTGGCCCTGGGTATGGCAGAAATCGCATTGTTTCTCTAGCTTTGTTTTCCTCTCATTATTAAGGAGATGGCATATTGACAATAATTAAATGACTACCTCCCCCATTTGCCTTTGCAATTGGGATGGAAGCTTTTGATTGACTTCAGTTTTGACCAATGAGATAAGAGCTGTGAGTGAACACAGGAAGTATTCTTAAAAGGAAGAAGTATACCTTTTTTTATTTTTAAACTTTACCTCCCCTCTACTGCCATACGTGTAGGTTGGAGCTCTAGCAGAGCATCTTGGACGATGAAAACCTGAGCTACCCTCCAGATTTGGTAGTCTGGCACAATAGTAGGAGCCTGAGTCCCAGACAACTTTGTGTTCCTTATATGCCGTCCCTAGACTATGTACTGTTGACTTCTTTTTCATTAGTGAGCAATATGCACACTTACTTTTAGCTTCTCTGTTATACGCAGCCAAACCTAATCCTGTCTGATACACTGGTCCCCAGGAGACTCCACACATGCCGAGCCATCTTGAGAAGCTGGATGGTGACTCTGGGTGGCAGGTGGCAGCTGTCAGGAGAAAAGAAGTGGCTTTCACGCTAGTATTTTAAAAGTATTGGGTGGGCGCGGTGGCTCACGCCTGTAATCCCAGCACTTTGGGAGGCCAAGGCGGGAGGATCACAAGGTCAGGAGTTCGAGACCAGCCTGGCCAACATGGCGAAACCCCATCTCTACTAAAAATACAAAAATTAGCCAAGCATGGTGGCAGGCACCTGTAATCCCAGCTACTCAGGAGGCTAAGGCAAGAGAATTGCTTGAACCTTGGAGGCGGAGGTTGCAGTGAGCCAAGATCGCACCACTGCACTCCAGCCTGGGCAACAAGAGCAAGACTCCCTCTAAAAAAAAAAAAAAAAAAAAAAAAAAAAGAAATATTGAAAAGAGAGGCTTCTGCAAGTATTTAAAAGATAGGCTTCTACACATATAACTTAAGTTCTTTGCTTGTGGCTCTGACATGAATTGCTGGTATCTCCTTGGACAAATCACACCACCTTTCTGGACCTCATTTTTCTGCTGGGGATGGTTGGTGGGTAAGTGAAGTTGGACTATGAATTTTCAAAAGTCTCTGGTGTCAAAGGCCGTGTTCCCGAGACAAGAACTGCTAAGACAGGGACCTGGACCAAAAAAACCAAACCAAACCAAACCAAACCAAACCAAACCAAACCAAACCAAACCAAACCAGCCAACCAACAACCAAACAAACAAACACAAAAACTGATCTGGGAAAAGCATTTCCCACATTTTTTTTTTTCCTGAAGCCTCCTTTGCTTGTCCTCTGTCCTTACCCAGATATGTGGTCTGGGTACTTGCCTCAGCCTTATAAGCACATGTTAAGTGAAAGTGGTAAAATTTTGACTGGAGCAATTAGTGCTGTTTGTGAGTGATAGCTCTGACCCTGCTGTTCAATCTTCAGGCACTTCTTAGATCTCAAAGTCTGATCTTGCTCTCCTGGCCTACCCCAGATTCTATCTCTGTCATGTCAAATATCAATGTTTCAGTTCTAAAATTATCTTCCTCTAATAAGCTCCTAACAAAGGCAAAGCTGGCAGGACCACCCTAGTTTCCTATTCAAACACATCTCCTCCTACACATAACCATTGTGTTATGTTGTTTGTTCTTTGATGTCTTCCTAACCTCCATTTGACCTGGCTTCATAGGAGTGTGTGCGTGTGTGTGTGTGTGTGTGTGTGTGTGTGTGTGTGTGTGTGTGTAAGTCTGTGACTGTTTGGAGGTATAGGGAGAAGACAGAGGAGAGAAGAAGGGAGTGATTTCCTGGTTACAGTGTAATTGTCCGACCCTTCCTAGAGATAGTCCTGAGTCTTGCACTCTGCTTTTAGTTTGTGTGCCTTAGAAATCATTCCATCCTTACGTACTTGGGTCATCAAGCCTGTAGGCTAACAATACCCACCCCTCCCCACTCTCAATTATCAATGTCCCCATAGCAGGCATTGATAATCCCTCTCTGCCCTCTTTTCCCCTGAACTGGATAATGTCTTACAAGTTGGTTGCAACATGGTCCTCCAGGCAGCATTTATTGGCTAATTAAAGTTGGCTCCAGACTGCACTGATTGGCTCTGGTCTCCCTGGTAGAGTGTTTTTCTCAGTGGCATGGATCTGTGCCCGCAGTTGTGCTGAGCAGCCAGTACACACCCAGCAAACATGGCTAGCCAGCTGAGAATGGAAGGTGGGCTCGTGGGCTCTGAATATGTGTCTAAATCACATTTCTCATCTGTACTAGGCTCCTGTGTTCTTTATAGTTCAACTGTTTTTAGGATGCTCTTTCCATAGTGGAAAAAAAAAGCAGCACTGGGATTGGGGTCAAGTGTATTAGCAGAAGATCAAGTGGGCAAGGATGCTTTGAGAAATGTAACATGCTGGTGGTGAAACAAGCCCAGGATCCAGAGTCAGATTTTGGCTCAGAGTTCAGATTCTCCCATTTTCCTTGGACAAATGCATGAAACTAACTGTTTTTCTATTTTCCTTAAGAATAAAATGAGGATGAGAATATACTTAGCTCCTAAACCATCAATGTGTGAGCACATGATAGAGAGAACACAGTCGGGGAAAAGGAAACCCTGGGTTTAAGCACTGCTCTTCCTCTTCTGGGCCAATAAATTTTAGGAAAGTCATCTAACTATGAGTCTTCATTTCCTCATCTATTAAATTATATTAATAATAATTTCTATAAAGGAGATTGTGAGTGTTAAGTGAGAAAACTTAGATGAATGTGCTATGATAATGACATACAATTGTTATTATCAGTAAGAATGACAATGATTTTCTTCCATATCCTACCTTACAACTGTTCATACCTGCATGCTGATTATATTCACTCCTCCCATTCTCAGTTATCAGTGCTCCCATGGTAGACATTGATAATTCATCTCTGCTCTCTTTTCCTCCTTTCTCAGTGGTCCAGAGGGCCCAGCAGCACAGCTGGTTGCACTCTGACTTCTGACTGCTTAGCAGTGGGTACCAGGCTACTTATACAGCATAGATCATGCATAGATGAGTGAGATGAGTGTTCGCTTATGATGTGAATGGCACCACTTAGAATGGTGCAGTGCACAACTTGTACAATTGTATGTGGAAGCCTTGGCATCTACCTGTCCATCCACAGACATCTAGAATTTTTTCCCTTTAGAGCGGTATTTAGGCCACAGTTCCAGCTTTGCCAGTAGGGTTTGTACAATGTTAGAGGCTATGTTAGACAGTTTTTCTCATCTGAGATATCAGGAGATTCCAAACACATGGCAGCATGTAGAGAGAAGAACTGTGAATAAGGCTGACATCTAGGAGACTGGAATCTAGAAGCAAGCAGGTAAATCTAGGTGGTTGCCTAAATGAAGGGGTATGATGCAGTTAGGGGGAGAAATGAGCAACCCCAGAACAAGGGAAAAGAACAATTGTAAGTAGACAGAATGCACAGGGAGCATTGAGTTAACTTTCTGGACAAGACAGTATTTGTCTGAGATTTACTTTAATGTGTGGACCATAAACCTGCCAGGTTCTGACGTGGATGGGCTCTGAAGCAGACTGAATTTTGTTTGCCCCCAGATTCATGTGGAAGCTCTAACCCTAATGTGATTGTATTTGGAGATAGGGCTTTTAGGAGATAATTAAGGTTAAATGAGGACATAAGCGTGGGCTCTTAATCTATTAGTATTGGTGGCCTTACAAGAAGAAGAAAAGAGGCCGGGCACAAGTGGCTCAAGCCTGTAATCCTAGCACTTTGGGAGGCCGAGGTGGGCAGATGACCTGAGCTCAGGATGTTCGAGACCAGCCTGGGCAACATGGTGAAACCCTGTCTCTACTAAAATACGAAAAAAAAAAAAAATTAGCCGGGCATGGTGGCGTGTGCCTGTAGTCCCAGCTGCTCCGGAGGCTGAGGCAGGAGAATTGCTTGAGCCCAGGAGGTGGCGTTGCAGTGAGCCGAGATGGTGCCACTGCACTCCAGCCTGGCGACAGAGCAAGAGTCCCTCTCAAAAAAAAAAAAAGAAGAAGAAGAGACAAAGAGAGGAGAGATCTGTTTTCTCTTTCTGCTATGTGAGGACACAGTGAGGAGGCAGCTCTTTGCATGGCAGGAAAATGGGGCCCTTGTGAGCACCTGGCCATCCCGGCACCCTGCCCTTAGATTTCTAGCCTTCTGTTGCTTAAGCCACCCAGTCTGTGGTATTTTGTTACAGCAGCTTGGATAGACTAAGACAGACTTTTTATAATAGAAACCTTTAAGCAACAATTTATTTTAAATCTTATGTAAAAGAAAGCCGGAGTAGGCATAGCCTTATAGGATCATTAAGAAGCCAGCCTCCTTCTATCTTTCTGCTTCAGGGCTTCCATCTCAAGATTACTTCATGGCTCAAGACTGCTGTCAGAGCTCCAACTATAAGAGCAGCATCCCAGGTAACATGACAGAGGATGGGAAGAAGGGCAAAAGGAATGAACCTTCCTGGCTGAGTCTGCTCTTTTTAAGTAATCCTCCTGGAAGGCCCTCATGCTCTGCTACCCATCATTGGCCAACATTTGTCTCATGGCTATGTCTAATTAAGAAGGAGATGAGGAAACTTGGAATTTTAGCTGAGTGCATTCCTGCCGCCAATAAAATTAGAGTGTTGTTTCCAATAAGGAACAGGAACAAGGGTATTATAGACAAATAGCAGGCTTTGCCCCAGGGGCCTTTTGCATATCTCTTCATATTACTATTTTTTTTTTGGAACTACCTTTCTTAAAAGCAACTGGCAAACACAGGTGATTGTGCTGGGCTCAATAAATACCAACTGGGTTATTGAATTAGAACGGCTGTTAAATCATTATCCTGATTGAAGGGTAGGGGAAAATGTGAGCTCTTCTTTTTGAAGACTTGGTAGTCAGGGCCAGAAAAAACATTCCCCACCATGTCAACCTGGCTTGCAGAAAGCCCAACTGTTCCAAAACCTCAGCATGGGTCAGAACTTGATCTTTCCTTTGTTGCTGCTTCAAATGACAGTTTTCCATTATTATATTGTGTAAGATAGCTACTGGTGCCATAGAAAAGAAGTTGGTGACTCATGAAATTACTTCTTAGCCAGAAATATATTAAGCTAAAATAATGAGGCAATGACATTATTTTTTCACCTATATCCCACGGCATCACTTGCCAGTGATTGCTTAAGGAAACTTGGCCTTGACATGGCATACCAGTCTATATTGAATATTGCAAACTTTTAGGGTCACTCAATAAGTGCAAAAGCCAAACCATATGTGTTAGATCACTAGAAGTTCGGCTTGGTTGATTTATGCTTTGAAGTGTCAATCATTACAGCAAAAAAAATTATTGAGCATATACTGTGTCATAATGTTGTATGCCGGCACACTGACAAAGAACTAATATTTGGTTTTTGCTTTAAAGACCTTACCAGTTAGTGAGGGAGGTAAAAGGTGAATGGTAGAGTTAAACAAGGTAGAATGTGAGGAGGACACTAATGGAGAAGCAGTGGGAAGCCGAGCAGAGGGGTGGGGACTCCAAGGAAAGCTGTACAGGAGAGGTAAAGAGTTGAACCTTGAAGGCTGGGGAAGCTTTAGCCCCAGATCCATGGAGACAGAGGTTGAGAGAATGGAGGGGGATTTGCCCAAAAAGGAACAGCATGAAGACGGGCCTGGAGAGAAGGTGTCCTGGGGCGGCTCAGAAACTGCTGAGAAATCAAGCTGTGCTCTGCGGATGTCAATATGGGAAAAAGGGCCCTAAAAGCAATAAGTTTGGGGAAATGCCAGAGATTTTGATTAAATGTTAACATATTGAGAACTTTTTTTAAAGGCAAACTGACATCTATTTAATTGTGTTAAATAAGCAAACCAATTTACATGAGCAGGAAAGAAGTTGTTGTTTTTTTTTTTTTCTTTTCCTGGAACTAGTATTTCCTGAAAGCTTTCCTATAATATTAGTTTGAGAAATACTAATATGCTTGGCATAATGGTTTTAGGATCATTAGAAATGTTGCCTAACAATCATAGTTATACTGAAGGTAATAAAATAGCAAAATTTAATTTTTGCTGGAATACAAGGAGCATAAATGTAGTCTTGAGAAATCAATGCTGGAAAGGCACATTGGGATCAGATTGTAAAGAATCTTGAGTGCCACGTGTATTAGTCAAGGTTCTCCAGAGAAACAGAACAAATAGTAGATATCTGTATATCTATCTATCTATGAGATAAATTATAAGGTATTGGCTCACATGATTAGGGAGGCTGGGAGTCCCATGATCTACTGCCTATAAACTGGAGACCCAGGAATGCTGGTGGTGTAGTTTGCAGGCCTGAGAGCCAGAGATTTGATGGTGTAGATTCCAGCCTGGGTCTGAGGGCCTGAGAGCCAGGGGCACCAAAGGCAGGAGGAGATCGAATGTTCCTGCTCAACAGTCAGGCGGAGAGTAGGTCCAGCCTTCCTCTGCCTTTTTGTTCTATTGAGACCCTCAAATGATTCGGTGATGCCCACACCCACACTGGGAAAAGCCATCTGCTTTTTCCCAGTTCACCAGTTCAGATGCTAATCTCTTCCAGAAACACCCTCATAGACACCTCCAGAAATAATATTTCATCAGATATCTGGGCATTTTATGGCTCATTCAAGGTGACACATGAAATTAACCATCACACCATGCTAAAATGTTTGGATTTTATGTTGTAGGCAGAGAGAATACTACTACTGTCACACTGTGAATACAATCTGCATAGATTTGCCTCAATAATGTAATGTTAAAAAGATGAATACCTGGATTAGACTTCATGGGGTTTAGAGATCACAACACTTCCCGTCATCATGTTTGGAGTCTTCAAAGAACAAAGCTTAAGATTTCGTTATAAACTAAAATGAATGTTTGATTACTTAAGTAGAACCAGTTTGGACAATATACAAGTTAACTGAATTAATTACAGCCATGGTTTTGATGTTCCTTTGAAATTCAGACTGATCAAAATGGAAGTGGTGGTTTAAATGAAGCCATCCATGTGTGATAAGAGGACACCTTCCAATGTAGCAAGGGCACACTTCTGAATCAAATCATGGTTAGGATATTAGTAGATGTGTAAGTGAGGATAATTAATGGTTTCATGTACACACACACACACATGCACATATATACACGTATTTCTTGCCTATGTCAATTTTATTGCAGTTATTCTTTGTCAGGAGGTTCTTCCGGGAAGCTCCTCCAGGCGGTTACTCAGGAATCCATCTACCTTGTGCTCCACCATGTTTAACACATTGTTTCAAGTTTGCTCTGGTGTCATCAGCTGACAGATGAGAAGACAGAAGCATGGAGAAGGTATATCGATATTGTTCTTAACCACTTTGGCCTGGAAGGACACATCACTTTTTTTCACCTTCCTTGGGCTAAAACCAATCACATGGCCTCATCCAAATGCAGAGTGTTGGAAATGTTAACAGTGTTTCCAGGAAGAAGAAATGGGTTTGCTGAGCATCTAGGCAGTCTCTGCTTACTAACACACTACTCGGACTAACATACTGGCCCAATAGCAGGTGAGAGTTCCAAGTACAGAACTGTTTTTTCTTGATCATCAATTCTATTGTTCATCCAAAAAGAAAGTAAGAGGCACTGGTCCTCAAAGTTCTTGCTTCTATATAACCTAAATGTATTACGAAAAATTATGTACTCCCTTACGTGTTTCTTAAATTGACTTATGCATTTTTTCTTCATAAATTTAAATAGTATCAAAGGATGAAATGTCTCACATGTTATAAATATTGAATGTTTTAATATAAAATAATGCATCACTCTTCAACATTAATCTAGTGGCATAAAGATGTCATAGTCACTTGACATTCACTATCTAATTTTTAAAAAATCACATGAATGGGTTTTTATTTAATAGTAGGAAATCTACATTACATGTTTTTGAAACCATGAAAATCATATTTCTACTTTATGCCCATGACAGAGTTTTCTCTTATTGTAATGTATTTTTATGTTTGGAGGGTCTTCTGTTGATCAACCTATGAAACATTTCTGAAAAAGAAAATATGTTTAAAAGTTGAAACAAAAATTGTTTCCTGTGACTCCAAGGCTTCAAGTTGTAAAACAAATTTCTTCTGGATTGAGCTATCATTAAAATTATTCAAAATAACATGTGTATATACTGTACATTTTAGTAAACAATTACAAGTCATGAAAGTAAAATATTTTTATTGGAAATGCTTTTCTTCATGATAAACATGGGTGAGGACTATATTTGCTTATTAATGAATGCTCTGCAGATATCAAAATTTTGAATTGTCTCTTTGTTTGGCACCTTGGGCTTGCTACATACTTATATGGCTGAGAAGTTTTTTTTGTTTTGTTTTGTTTTGTTTTGTTTTTTTGCAGAATGAAAGAAGGGAGAAGGGACCCGGCTTGTTGGCTTAAGGTACTTTCTCACACAGATCAATTTTATAAAATAATGCACCTTTGATAATTATAGATTTGGAACTCATTATATTTGTGCCCACATATGCCTAGGGAGGTCTTTATGAGGATGTAGCTCAGTTTGAAGATTGCTAATGTATGGATGATAAAAATGGCCCTAGAGTGTGGATACCTCATTTCGCTCATAGCTGGCCATGCTCTCCTAAATAAGTTACTGCACCTCAAGGCACCTGGTCTCCTGTTTCAAAGAATTTGGAGCCACTTTGGCGGCCACATGCTGATTCCCAGGTATCCCTCTGGGGGTGAAATTAATTGTATAATGTAGGCTGTACTTGCTACTGACTGTATCCACCAAATTATCTTTTCCAAGCAATTAGATTCTGCAGCCGTCCCATCTCAACATATCAAACAGATTTATGAAAGTAATCTTTGACCTTTGCAACAACCAGAAAGGAACATAGACGAAGAGAACAGAGCTTTAAGGCATTTCTTTCCTTTCCTTTTTTTTATGGCTTGATTAGATATTTGGTTTCCACAGCTTGCAAGACTAATTCTGTGCTTCAATGACTCTCTTATAACCTTAGTACGTAGAGATGGAAAAGTTCCCCCAACATTTTCAGGAGACATTTATTACAGGCTATTTTATGTGTCTGGTCAGAATGGGCTAACTGATTTTTCACAAGAACAGAATTTGGCAGAAAGCCTGGCCTCTCTTAGTCCTCCTTTTGCCAAAAATCACTCTGAAGCCAGCTTGGAGGCCTCTTGATGTCCCCTGTGAGGCCAGGTTGAGAAACGGCCTGGGCGAGAGTAACCCTTTCAACTACAGTCAGAAAAAAATCCATGGAGAGGTAGAGAACCCCTCTTTACCTGCATTTGAGGAAAATGCAAGGGGAAGCTTAGTGGCTCTATCTCCCTGGGAAGACCTGATGACAAGTCACACATGCGAGTTGGGTAGGGCAGAGAGAAGCCAGGACACATTCATCCTCCTAACTAGCAAGGACACTGTAGGAATATGGCTGCCCCCACTTCTCCTTCAAACCTTCCCAAATACCATGGTTCACCTGGCTCAGCAGCTTCCCAGCCCTTGTGTCACCTCCTTCCCCCTCCAGTGTGGTTACTTGGTCCCCATCTGAAGATGTAGCCTCACTCTGCCTCTCAGGGCAAATACTGACAAGAGACAGGAGGTCCCCAAGTCTCAGGAAGGTTTTAAACGGGGGTGTGCCAGGCTCAGGTTTCAGTTTTCGATTTACTGCTCTGACTGCAGCTGTGTGGAGGATGTTCAGGTTACACTGTGGTGATAAAGTTGTTATTCTGCTGGAGAACTCCAATGGGTTTTACATGTGTGTTTCCTGTATGATGTGGTGAACCCTGATGGCCTCTATGGCTTGCGGCAGGAGCTGTTGTCTCGTCATCTTTTATTGGAGATGAGCAAACCAGGCTGAGTTTCTTAAAATGAATATTTTTAAGAGGTTCTTCACTAAGCCGGCTTGGTAGACTCTGAGCTCTGGTCTCAGATGGTCCAGGCTCTGATCTCCCACACCTCTGCTTACTTGGCGAAATTTCTTGGCGAAATTACTGAACATCTCTCAGCCTGTTCTTTATCTGTAAACTGGGAAGGATCCTTGTGTCTATTTACAGGATTATTGTGATGATTATGCTCCTGGTCTGTATAAATATTATACTATCTGTTTTCCTTTTTGAACTAGTGCTGAGGATAGAGTGGAGAGAACTATGGTTAGAGGAAGCAGAGAAAAGGAACGTGGATATAGAGGTGGCGTGGAGGATTTGATGTCCCTGAGTTGGATCGGCAGAGATGCTGCAGTTTTGACTAAGAACAGCTCCTGGTTTGATTTGTCTCAGTTCTCGCTGAAACATCCCAACTGATGGCCCAGAGGTTGGCAGTGGTCTAAAAACGTTTTCGTTTGGTCTCTAGAGTTAGTTGATCTGAATAGTAATAGCTGCTCTGTTGAGGTGGGTGTGTAAGTCAGTGTTTTCCAGAGAAGTAGAACCAATAAGATATATGTGTGTGTATGTATATATACACACACACACATATATATATAGATTGATTTATTTTAAGAAATTGGCTGACATGATCACATGATTGTGGAGGTGCAAGTGAAAATCTACAAGGTAGGCTGCCAGATCAGGGAAGAGTTGCTGTCAGAGTCCAAAGGCCCTCTGCTGGCAGAGTTTCTTCTTGCTTGGTGGAGGCCAGTCTTTGTTTAACTAACTGGACACAGTCCACTTGCATTATGGACAGCAATTTGCTTCCCTCAAAGTCCACTTATTTAAATGTTCATCTTGTCCAAGAAAATACCATCACAGAAATATCTAGGATAATGTTTGACCAAGTGTCTGTGCACCATGGCCCAGACAAATGGACACATACAAATAACTATCCTAGTGGGTACCCGTGGCAGTTGGCTGCAACCTGGATTGCCTAACACCTGACCCATGCCATTCATTTACTTATATTCCTGACTCTGATAGATGTTTGAGTTTGTGGTCTTTACTCTAGCTTCCTTATTCATGATTATGTATCAGATTGCATCATCAGACACTACATGATGCAATTTGACTTGCTGGTCTTGCGTCCCCCATCTATCATTATGAACTGGCTAAAGGACCACTGTGTGGCATGTTGGGGGGTCTTTGACTCTGGTGGATGTGCTGAAACTTATATGAGCTTAGGTGTGAGGCATGTTGGGATTGCAACAGCATGGCCCTGGATGGAGAGAAAGCTAAAGATAGCAGGCTGGGAAAACTAATTGGCAGGAGCAAATGCCCCATGGAGCGGCCTAGGGGCCTGACCCCTAGTGTCCAAAGGATGTGACATGTTCCTGTGTGTTTGGGCGGGTTTGTGTTTGGGCAGTGAGGTCCAATCCAAAAGTGAGGCCTCCCTTGAGTGGGAGGGTCCAGGAGGCTGGCAATACTCTCAGGCTTGGGGCAACTGGTTTCTTCACAACAGGCTCTGAGCCAGGAGGAAGGCAGTGTGAACTACCTTGGTTATAGGTTTCTCATTCAAAAAGCTCAGGTTCAGGGAAGTGTTAAGCTCTAGCAGGAAATGGAGCTAGGACCCAGGTGTAGGGAATGGCCAAGGCATATGACAGAGGCTAGAGTGAAGGCTTCTGTGGTTTAGAGGCCACATGGTGAGCCCTAGTTGATCCTGGTGTCGTGGAATCCAGACCACAGGCAGCAGGATTCACCTTAGACGTTGCCTGCTGCTGCTGCTGAGGCTGCTGCCCTGACTTAAACTGACAAGGGGATGGGGTTGAGGCGGATTGAGAGTGGTGTGGACATCACTGTGGACTGCATAGGGCCCTCATCCCTGTGTGAGTGGCACTGATGGGGCAGTGGTGGATTTCCCCATGAGATGGCGCTCAGAGTTTATCTTTCTGTGTGCTTTTTTTTCTTGCTTTGATTAAAAATAATGCATACTCTGCATTGTACTGTTTTAGAATTCATAGAAATATGACTTGTCTTTCCTAATCTCAAAAGCAGATTTCATGTACTTTCATGATTCCCAGGGGATTATATTTCTGATAGTTATTTGTTTTTCCTTCTGGGATGTGGTGACAGAAGGAGGCAGGGCATAGGTTATAATCTCTTACCCTGACACCCTTGGATCCTACCCTCTCCCTGAGAAGCTCACAGTCGTTATAAGTAAAGATCCATCTGTTCTTCTGATACAAGAGGCGATGAAATGTGCTATGCTAGAGATAAAAACAAGATGCCATTATTGGACGAGAGAGAAAAAGACTAATTCTGTGTGGCATCTCCTTGAGGAAAGATTGGGACATTAATAGGCCATAGATGCAGCTTAATATTTAAGGTGAAACATACTGTTTCTGAAGACTGGGAAGTAGGGACACCACAAACAACTCAGGTCTCCCTGTGACAAAGTTGTCCAGGGAAAATCTTTTCCTAAGAGTCCTTTGAGACAGAGACCTTGTTTGTGAGTCTGAAATTAAAGAAAAGAAGAAGAGACAAAATTTAGGAAGTACCCCCAACTTCTGGAGACAAGAGGGACCAGGTAAATACTAGAGCAGGGTCTTGGTAATTAGGAGGTAATATGCTCTTTTGAAGTTACTTCAGGCAAGAGCTGACAAGAGGTAGTAAAAATGCACAGCCTGGGAATCAACAAATAACTAATAGTACCTTTATATTATACTTTATGGTTTAGAAAGCGGGATCACAATGTAGGAATTTTTTGATATTTCTGTTTAACAAATGAGGAAGCAGAGGCTTAGAGAAGTTAAGTGAATTACTTAAGGTCATGTAAATAGTAAGTGGCTAAATCCTTTTGAAGGAACGGATTTGGACCAGTCTGTTTTTATAGCCACTGTGAAACTTCAATGTTTCCCTCTTCAATAAACATTTATTGAGCACCTATTATGTGTACATACTAGGTATCTGATGGTTTCTGATACAGTTCCTTCTATCTGGGAGCTCACAGTCTCATGAATGGTTCTCAACTGAGGTGATGTTTCCCCCACCAGGGGACATTTGGCAGTGTTTGGAGACATTTTTGTTGTCATGACTGGGGAGTGGGTGTCACTGACATCTAGGGGGTAGAGGCCAGGAATGCTGCTAAATATCTTACAAAGTTCAGGACAGCGCCCACAACAGGGAGCAATCCAGCTGTCCTAGTCAGTTTGGGCTGCTGTCATAGAATACCATAGACAAGTGGCTCAAACAACAATATTTATTTCTCATGGTCTGGAGGCTGGGAAGTGAGGGTGCTGGCAGGTTTCGTGTCTAGAAAGGGCTACTTCATGGCTTGTAGACAGCTGCCTTCCCCTTGTGTCCACGGGGGAGACTAATCTCATTCATGATCATCTCATCTAAACCTAATTACCTCTAAAAACCCCACCTCCAAATACCATCCCATTAGGGGTTAGAGTTTCAACTCATTAATTTTGGGGACACAAACCTGCAGTGTGTAACCCTCACCCAGACTGTCAACAGTATGGCAATTGAGAAAATCTGGCCTAGCTCATCATTCATTCATGTATTGTATCATTTTTAAAATAATATTTCTGAATTATTAGACGTACTAATGTACCTACAAGGGGCCAGGCACAGTTGGAAGCACAGAGGATATGGTTCCGAACAAGACAGAGAAAGCCCCTGCTCTCCTGTCACTTCCATTCTAGGTGTGGGGTGGAGGGCAGAGGAGAGGCAGAGTTGGACATTAACAGGTAAACAAATTAGTAACAAGGAAATTGTCAGGAGGCGATGACTGCTATGCAGAAATTTCAGGTGTGTTGGCACAATTACGTGTAACCGGGTGGTGGCTTTAGGTTTGCTGGTCACAGAAGGCCTTTCTGAAGGGGTGATAATTAAGATTACATTTGAATGGCAAGAAACTGTGCAAGGAAAGGGCATGTTGTGCTGAGGGAACAGCAAGTGCAAAGGCCCTCATGTGGGAAAGAGGTTGGCATGTTCTTTCAAGGGACAGAAGGCAGGTCAAGATGTTCGGAAGGTAGCAGCAGAGGGGGAGAGTGTGATGGAGCTGATACTGGGGAGGGTAGCAGGGACTCCGTCTGATTAGGGCTTTGTTGGCTAAGATAAGGAGTTTGGGTTTTCTTCTAAAGCCTTACATGTAGCTTTTCTCAGGGTGAAAAATGGTGAGGGTTATGAAGAAAACAAAATAGGGTTTTGGGGACAAAGTGTGTGAGAGGGTGTAACATTGAATTTGATGGCGAGAGAGAGAGTCCCTCTGAGACTTGGATGTTGAGATCCAGACAGTTGTGGGATGGCCTGGGGAAACCTACGAGCTTCCTAGGGTTATGGGCCAAGTTGTGTCCCCACCACCATTCATATGTTGAAGCCCTAACCCCCCCACCACCCCAACCACAGAATATGACTGTATTTGGAAATAGGCCCTTTAAAGAGGTAATTAAAGTAAACTGAGGCCATGAGGGTAGGACTTAACCTAGTAGGACTGATGTCCTTTCAAGAAGAGGAAACTTGGACACAAAAAAGGGACCTCAGGGATGCCTGAGCATGGGGGAAAGGCCATGTGAGGCCACGGGGAAAGGCGGCAGAAGGAACCAAGACTGTTGAAAACTTGGGCTTTTACCTTCCTGAACTGTGAGAAAATAAATTTCTGTTAAGCCCCCCACCTGTGGTATTTTGTGCCAGTGTCCTGAGCTGACTAGCAAATCTGAGGTTCAGTTTTCTTATCTGTTGAATAAGAAGCAGCTGTGAATCTTTAAGTTTAGGTTGTTTCCAGTTTTAAGAGTTGTTGACTCTAAGAAATACATGGGCTTAGTGTTGGGGCTACCTGCACCCCATAAGCCTTAGCTACGTGTCCCTTAATCAGAGAATAAGGACAGAGCAGTCCTGACGGGAAACAGAAGAGCCCTTGGGAGGAACTTGGAATTTGATATAAATTTTCCATCAATTTCAAAGAAGAGGGCTCAGGCTGGGAGAATAGCCCAGTCATTCTGCTCCCACATAAGAGGGATTTAAAACTCCAGATGGGACTCTGCGAGATCACAATGGCGTGCATGTCTCCACTGGGGACAGGCAGAATTTGTGCCAGAGTTTCCAGAGAGAAGATGGAACGTCAAGAATTTTTCCTTGGAAAGAGTTCACTAGAGCCCGAGGGGCCCCATGGGGAAATTTCAGTCCCCTTGGTGCTGGCTGGATGCACCATTCCAGGCGTAGGGGAATCCCTGCATTCCATGTGAAAGGAGCCTCATTGGCTCATCACGTCCTTTGTGGCTCTTGTCTCTGAGAGGGAAGGTCGGAGGATGCGACTGGCTCCAGGGCTCAGGAACGAGGTGGTCAAAGCTCTGCAAAATTCACAGGTGCCCAACTTGATGGAAGAGAATCTGACCTAGGAAATGGCTTCACTGTCCTCTAAACAAGAGTGTGTGAAGAATGGCAGTTATAGTTTGAGTTTTACTTTTGTTTCTAACTTATTCTTCACAAATTGAGACATATCAGAACATATTGAAGGGGCAGACTCTGTCCCTTGCTTCCCAGCCTTTCATAGTTAACCATCTGTTCAAATATCATGAATTCAACAAATATTTACTAAGTAATTCACATTGCTTATAATTTTGTCAGCGGGCAGGGTGGGGGGCGGTGGCTGGGGGTAGGGAGAGAAGACACAGATGCTAAACCAGTATTTGATATGTGTGTGTGTGTGTGTGTGTGTGTGTGTGTGTGTAATGAAAAGAATAAAATGGCTGGCAGGGAGTTGCTCATTAAACTAAATAAATGAGGAAACAAGTGAACAGACTGGACATTCTGTTTTTTAATTCCATTTCCATCTTTGCCTCTTTGTATCAGTGTAAACTCTACTAGAGTATAACTCCCTTTCTCCCACAGAATGTCTGCTTTGTGATAGCAGTATTATTCAATGTTACATCCTTAATACCCAGAATAATACCTGGCATAGAGTACACACTCAACTAATATTTATTGAATGAATGAACGAATGAATGAATAACTTCAAAAGAATAAATTGATCTCTCTAGGTCTCATTCATTCATATGACAAACATGTACTAGATCCTACATCAGGTGCTAAGGATGCAGAGATGGTGAAGCTAAAGACCCTACCTTCAAGTAGAGCTTACTGAGGGGAATAGGCAAGTGAGCATACAATTACAACACATTTGGGTGATTTCTATGAAGAAGAAGAGCAAAAGGAATAGTAACAGCACAGAGGTGGTGACCCCGGAGCCAGGGCTATTGCTTGAGTAGAAGTGAGCCAGGAAGACAAGGGGCTGGGGAACGCATTAATGAAAGCATGCAGGTGCAAGAAGCCTGGGCTGCAATGATTTAGCACGGCCAGATTGTTGGGGGGAGGGGACAATGGGAGATGAGGATAAAGAGGTGTAGAGGATCAAGATCATGAAGAGCCTTAAATGCCATGCTCAGAGGTGTGGACTATGATGTGAATATGACGACAGGCCATTTCGGTAGGGAAGTGTCAAGATGAGACTTGTATTTTAGAAAGATCTCCCTGTTTGCAGGGTGGAGAATGGCTTGAAGTAGATTAAAACAAGGAGGAGGGAGACCATTGAGGACATCACTAATCAAGCACAGACACAGATATCAGGGGCATAAAAGATAGCACATAATAACTGATCGATTTTGAGGTCCAAGAGAAGAAAGTCTAGGGAAACTCCCAGGATTCTGCATCCAGGTGAATAGGGTGCCAATAACAAAGACACGGGGAGGTGGAGAAGACCACTGCCAGTTACAAACAGACCTTTGGAGCTTTAGAGAGAAGTCAGTATTAACAGTATTGATTTAGAATCATTAGCATAAGATGCTAGTTGAAGTCTTAGAAAGATGAGCAGAGGCCTCAGGATAGAAACTTGGAAAAGTAGCAACACCTGTAAGTGGAGAGAGAGTAGAATCTACCTTGGACACTGAGAGGTGATCAGAGAGGTGGGAGAAAAATGAAGAGAGAGTGACACCTCCTAAAATCAGATCTTGTCATGTCTGTGCTCTGTAGGCTCCTTACGTCCTACAGAATTAAACTTTGAGTCATTAACATGCTTACATGGGGCACATTGCAAGCTGCTGACCCAGAATTCATTTTTTTTTTTTACATCTTTCTTCCTAACAGAATTCTGATTCCCTCATGTATCTACCCGCTTCTCAGGTACTCAAGGGAGGCTAGCCTCACCCCCGCTGTACGGATAGGTCCTAATTAGTCTCAGCCAATCAGAACATGACAGTCCTTGGTGGCTGTCACTGATTCAGGGACCTGACATGACATCACCTAAAATGGTTCTATCAGACCCAAACCAAGAATTCCATTCTGGGCTGGAGGTGAACCAGGAAGACTATAGTCCCAGTTTCTATTAGCAGCCTCAGGATGAAGCCAGTTCTGTGGATGGCTGAGAAGACAGGCAGAGAGAGTCAAGATTTTTGATGATGGTAATTGTTTTACAGAAATTTACTTCTCATAGTTCCAGAGGCTGGAAAGTCCATGATCAAGACATCAGCAGATTCAGTGTCTGGTGAGGGCCTCTTCCTCATAGATGGTGTCTTTTTGCTGCAGCCTCACATGGTGGGAGAGGAAACGCAGCTCCCTTCAACCTCTTTTATAAAGGCACTCATCCCATTTGTGAGGGGAGAGCCTGCATAACTTAATTACCTTCCAACAGGCCCACCTCTTACTACTATTACATTGGGTATTAGGTTTTAACATGTGAATTTTAAGGGGAACACCAACATTCAGATAACAGCAGTAACAGATTGTATCATCATCATCATCATCATCATCATCATCACCACTATTTTACAGTTCTTTGATCCTGCCCCACCTTTGCCACACTGACCCACACTGCTGACTTTGGCATGGGCCAGGTGACATGCTTGTGCCAATGACTGTAAACAGATGTTCCATTTGCCCATCCTGAGCAGAAGATTTAAGTGTGATTGTGTGGTATGGCTGGCCTCTTGCTTCTTTGACAATAGCATGCTCTGTTGTCAACTCCTGCAGCCCAGGCCCCAAAATGAGAAGAAATAAATGTTGAATTAACCTCAGACTCACTGAGCCTGGTTAAGCCTAGCTGAGTCCAGCAGAGCCCAGTCAAGCCCAGTTGAAAAATTTCATGAACAAGAAATAAACATATGCTACTGTAAGCAACTGAAATTTCAAAATTGTTCTGTTTATTATACAGAATAAGCTACTGAGAGTTACTAAAACAAGCTGAGCAGCTGAATTCATCCACTCAGGATACTCAGTGTGCACTTTCAGACATCAAGGAATATGTCCTTATCATTTACATTATTGTGAGCTACGGTTTTCTGTTACTTATAGCCAAAATCACCTGCTTCTCAAATCAAGTGGTAGGGACTGACTTTTCCCAGTCTCATCTCACTAAACACTTTGGGCCTTCGTTAGCATTATTTCCTCTCCTTGGAGACCCTCTGCTTCACCTCAAAAACTTTCATTCATCCTTTGCAACTGTATTAGTCCATTCTCACGCTGCTACAAAGAAATACCTGAAACTGGGTAATTTATAAAGGAAAGAGGTTTAATTGACTCACAGTTCTGCGTTGCTCAGGAGGCCTTAGGAAATTTACAATCATGGTAGAAGGCAAAGAAGAAGCAGGCACCTTCTTCACAGTGTGGCAGGATGGAGTGAGTGCAAACAGGGGAAATGCCAGGCACTTCTAAAACCATCAGATCTCGTGAGAACTCACTCCCTATCATGAGAACAGCATGGGGGAGACTGCCCCCATGATCCGATTACCTCCACCTGGTCCTGCCTATGACACTTGGGGATTATGGGGATTACAATTCAGGATGAGATTTTGGGTGGGGACACAGCCAAACCATGTCAACATCCAAGGTCAATGCTTTCTTCTACGTGAAATCTTCTTTAAATCTCCATGGAAAAATTAGTTATTTTCTTAGCACTTCAATCTTCCTTTTATTATAGCCATTACCACATTGTATTGTACCTGTTTACAAACCTGTCTTGCCCACTAGGCTGTGGGCGTGGCTTGGTCTTACACATTTTTGTATTTGTTGTGTCTAGCACATGCCTGGTATGTAGTAGGTGTTCAGGAAAATTTTGCTAAATGGGTAATTTTTAAACATGCATTCCTATAAGGCATTACTGGGAGGAGATCAGGTATTTGTTCTATGCATCTTCCCTAAGTTGCAGGTCACTCACTAATAGAGTGAGACACACCGGGTAGTGTGGTAGAGAAGCATCAGTTCTCCAGATTGACTGCAAAAAGGGGAAAGTATTGAGAATCCAAGACTGTCTTTATTAGTCTGACCAAAGCATTCCAAACAGGTCAGCAGACTCTGGGATTTGGCAGCAATTTTGTGCATTCAGAGATGGAAAGAATTTACCAGACCCCTGAGAATCATTTTTGCACAGACAATGAGACTTTTAGGTCATTTTGTCTGATACATTTCTTATCAGCAATGGCCTGAAGAAGTGTATGTCAATGCACTCCATTGCAATCTGATTTTGTCATTCAGCAATACAGTTTAAACTAGTATGTATTCACCCCTGCCGTGTTCCAGATGCTGTGGCAGACATTTCAAATAAAAATCTCTCATAATGCCAGAAACTCATTTTACAGATAAGAAAACTGAGGCTAAAAGAGGTAAAATAACAAGCTGGAGTTTTATGTTGCAAAACTTGACACACTTGAGATTCAACCTTAGATTCTCTGACTCCAAGTTCAATTTTTTGTTTGTTTTTCTGATTTATGAACTAGAGACAACATCTGCCTTGATCACCTTCCAGGGTTGCAGCAAGGATTACATGAAATTGTATAAATAAAGTTCTTCCTTAGATAGTATTAATATCAATGACGCTTAGCTAAAGTTTGTTTTAAATACCTTTTCCCAAAAGATTGAGAAAAACAGAAGTTTATGATACCATAGGATGCTCGTGGAGAAATATATTTTGTGGGGAGTGTGGGGCTGCCCAACCACTTCTCACATTCCATCATGGAAGGTGTAACCTGCCAAGAGATAGGCCATATAGTACCCAGCGTCCTTGCCGCTAAAAGTCTATTGGAAATAATAGCTATCATTTAGTAAATATCCATGGATCTTCTGCTTTTCCCGTGTTATTTTTAATCCTGCAAGAGAATAGGCTTTGCTATTTTTCTTTTTCTTTTTTTCTTTGAGGCGGAGTTTCAATCTTGTCACCCAGGCTGGAGTGCAATGGTGAGATCTTGGCTCACTGCAACCTCCACCTCCTGGGTTCAAGTGATTCTCCTGCCTCAGCCTCCTAAATAGCTGGGATTACAGGTGCCAGCTGCCATGCCCCGCTAATTTTTGTATTTTTAGTAGAGACGAGGTTTCACCATGTTGGTCAGGCTGATCTCCAACTCCTGGCTTCAGGTGATCTGCCCGCTTGGTCTCCCAAAGTGCTGGGATTACGGGCTATTTTCTTTGTACCAGAGAAGAAGTGAGGTTCAGAGAGGTTAAGTAACTTGCCCACGGTAACACAGGTGGTGAGAGGCAGAGCTGGCTCTTGAACTGAGGTGAATATGATTCTAAAGAGCATGATCACTCTATCTGGTCATTATTGTTTATTCTAATAGTTTACGGATGTGGTTCTGGATAATTCCTTTCCCCGATACTTTATCATGTCTCAGGAACTTTAAAAACTTTGGTAACCTTCCTTAGGTGAAAACTCTGTGGTTTTCCAAACATTCTACTTGCATTTTAAAAGAGGCTCAGCTAGTGTGGATAAGGAGCTAAATTTCATTTTGTGTGTATTGGCTGTTTGAACATAAGTTGAACAAGAGCATTTAATGATGTGGAAATTAAATTGATGTCAAGTCATTGCATCTTATTCTACTCTGCCTTGGTCAAATAAAACTCAGTAAGTCAGACATTTAAAACACGAAAAAGGCAGGGGGACCTTGGTGAAGTAGCTGAGGACATAGGCCAGAGTTGGCAAACTGTGACCTGCAGGCTAAATCTGCCAGCTGCCTGTTCTTATGTGGTGCTCAAGAGCTAAGAATGGTTTCTACATTTTTAAATGATTGGATAAAATTATAAAAATATGTTTCATTCTTGTTATGTACACATATGATAATATCTTTGATTTTGCTTTTTGGCCCATAAAACCTAACATATTCGCTTTGTCCTCTTACAGTAAGAGGCAGCCCAATACACAAAAGGCCCCTGGGTAGCCTCAGAATCTCCTCTGACCTGGGGGTGGGATCTATGTGGATCCAATGTGTATGCCTGGCTCCTGGCTCTTTTGGGGTACATGCTGAATCCCCATGTCTCTGGAAATAGATCTGTGGCTACCCATCCCCGTCCCTCCTCCAGGCATAACAAGACCTGCAAGAGAACAGCTTAGGCTCAACCGAGGGCCCCTGCTGCACACAGCTCTGCCTTTGCACTTGCTGTGTAGTTAACAGTAATACTTTGCTGACTGCTGACATAGGACTTTACCTTCCCAGGGTGAAGAAGGGAAGGCTCAGTGTCTCCTCCATTTCTGGAGCATTTTCTTGACTTCCCGTTTCTCTTCAATGTAACAGACATTGTGGGTGGGGCTTTGTGCAGACACTGTGCTGAGCGCAGTGGGGAAATGAAGTGGATAAGGCCAGTTGCTCTCTGGGCTCTTGGACTCTGTGAAATTGCTGTTTCAGAGGAAGAGGGCTTTGTTCTGGGAGTAAAGGAAAATATTTCAGGGAAGCTACTCAGCAGTGAGCAGCGTAGACTCATCTGTGAGTACCTGGTTTCCAATCCCAGGCCCACGGTGAGCCTTTGCCTGATCTGGGCTCCATTATTGCACAAATATGAGGAAGAATGCTTTGTTTTTGTTGGGGAAAGAAAGACTTCCTCTTTTCAACAGTGCAGATAAATTAATGGCAGAAAGTTCGAGCAAAGCTGTCCTTTCTACATCAAGAATGAAAGGGCTTCTGTTTGAACAGGCTTCAAGCAAGAATCAGAGCTAACTGGATGCTTGGCTCCACAGCTGGGCTTTTCAGTTTTTTGCTCTATTAAAGCTTCCCAGCTAACTCTTCTTGACAGCCTATCTTCTTCTAAAGGCCCAGATGTTTGACTTTGGAGGTTGTGATGTGCGTTCCTTCAGATCTGTGCTTCCAGCGGGAGCCAGCCAGCAGGAGCCTAATCATGATCCCGGCCACAAGAGCAATGCCTCACGTCCTTCAGCAATGGACAGAGAGAGCTTGTGCTTTGTGGTATGGCTATCCACTCACCCTACAGGCTGTCTGCACCACGGTCCTAATTAAAGACATAAAGTTGGATTTCTTCAGGGCAGTTTTGGAATAGCAAGTACATCCAGGCCCTTGCCCTGCACTTCTTTGCCAGTTAATAGTTTCCATGTTCTCTTCCTGCATAGCCCCATTCCTATCTCAGGACATCCTTTCTCCTGCTCCCTTCCTGCCCACATCCACCTCTGGGTGTCCCTCCTCTGTCACTGCAATAGACTCCTGACCTTTAGCCTCACCCGTAAAACACCCTCGGCAAGGCAGGGAGATGAGGCGCAGGGTTTCCTTTGCTTTTCCTTTACTCCCCAGATGGAATTTACATGACAACAGATTTGCTCTTAGGAATATACTTTTAACACACCTCAGAGTAAATAGCTGCAATTTGGGTGTTGCAGGCTGCTCCAACCTGAGGGCACAAAAACAAAGTCACAGTAACAGCAGGGATTTTGCTTTTTTTGTAGCTCTGATTCCCTCCCACCAGGTCCCCTGAGAGTTCTCTCCCAGTCTCTGGGAAGCTCAGATGGTGGCTTCTGTGTGGTTAGAACCTCGGCTCTGTCGCCATGCCACCTGCCCTTTTCCTGGTCTCCTGCTCTGGTCTGGGCTCTGGATTCCTGAGACGATGTCCTTAGCCCAGGCCTCTGAGGCTAAGTTGCCTCACCACCAAGCCATAGCTGGGCCAGCCCCAGATCACTGAGCACTGCCATGGCTGTGCTGCAGAAGCCTTGTCATGCTCCTCAGTGGAGTGGGGAGACCCCTCCTCCACTTTTGGGTCACCTGCCATTGCTTCTGTCTCAGTGTAGGACTGCCTTGTGTTGTAGCTCAGTGAGATTTATTGTGGAAGTGGCTCTTTTGTTTCTTAAAGCGCCCTCTCTGTAAGGCTCAGGTGGCAGGTGCGGGGGGCCGAGGTGGCAGCCCAACACAGAAAAGGCTCCTGGGTAGCCTCAGACTCTCCTCTGACCTGGGAATGGGCTCTGTGTGGATCCAACGTGTGCCTAGCTCCTGGCTCTCTTGCTGTACAAGCCACGAAATAGACTCGTGGCTCCTCCTCACCGCAATCCATCCTTTAGGCCTAACCAGCTATGAGAAGAGAACAGCTTAGGCTTAACCTAGGGCCT
Organism: Homo sapiens; assembly: GCF_000001405.40. Taxonomy (NCBI): domain Eukaryota; kingdom Metazoa; phylum Chordata; class Mammalia; order Primates; family Hominidae; genus Homo; species Homo sapiens. The sequence goes on along the minus strand of NC_000008.11, from coordinate 122,605,215 downwards.
CTGGTACACACAGTTCTGGCTTTTTACTTGCTGTGAGCAACAGACTGCCAGACCCTCCCCCATAGGACTGACATAGGACTTTATCTTTCCAGGGTGAAGAAGGGAAGGCTCAGCCTCTCCTCCATTTCTGGAGCATGTTCTTGTCTTCCCCTTTCTGTTCGATGTAACAGACATTCTGAGCAGGGCCTTGTGCAGACACTGCACAAAGCTGGAGGTTCCTAAACCTCCTCCATAGGTTCTTTAGGATTTATAGGAGGCAAGCACAAATATTATCTCATTTAAGTTTCACACAGATTCTTTTAACTTAGTATCATTTTAATGTCCATTTCACAGATGAGGAAATAGAGGCCTAGAGAAACTAAGTAATTTTCCCCAATATTATATAGCAGAGCTGAGATTTCAATGCTTCTTTTTAGATCTCAAAAACCCAAGTCTTTGGGTCACATACACAGTAAGTTAGGAAAAACAAATACAACTTAGATATTTGTTATAGCCCTTATTTGGTTGCACTAAAACTGTATATACAATTTTGTTTGCTTTCTTTCTATTTCTTTCTCAGTCTCAAGACTGTAAGCAAGGGCTGGGTTTTATTAATTTTTAAATCCTCAGAGATAGACAGAATGCCTGGCGCATAGTAGGTGCTCAGTAAGCACTTGTTGATTGTTACCAAGGATCGTTTGTGAACCAGATGCATTCTGAATTTAATTATGAGTGAGAAAACAATCCAGGAGGTTTGGGCATCCAGGTAGAAGCTGTCAGAGGAAAGGGAGGGAAGCCTAGGGAGGGAGGAGAGGAGCAGGCCGGAGGGCTGGGGTACCCCATGGTGCGCTTTGATATTCAATAATCCACACTTTGATTTCCAGGCATGAGGCTCAATTGCTGCCTTTGTGTACAGATTGATCATGGAGAGGGGAGGTTTTTTCAAGTGGATTTTCTAATGAAATCTGTACAGTAGGGACAGAAGTTAAGTCTATAGTTCCGGCTCTTTTTCCTGGACAAATTTCAGAGGAGATTTGTGCAGGAGTCAGGGGTCGCTAAAGCAGAAACATGCCTGTGATTGCTCACGCCAGCCTGCGGAAGCTGGCAGGATATGTGCTGGCAAGCGCTGGGGGCCGGGGTCAGGGGTTTCTTTCCTTTGATTTGCTTCCAGAACTTGTCAAGGTAGTCTGTGGGAATGAGCCTAGTGACAGCAGGCCTGCGGAGGTGGGGTAGGGAGGAAAAACCCACTCATTTTCCTGCTAGAAAAGCATTTGCGACTTTTGGAAATGTGGCAGAACTGTCAGGAGGACATGACAAGCCTAGCTACATGAGTTGAAAAAATTAAGCGATTGCTTCTACCATTCTGTGACTAACAAAACTGTCGATTGTCCTCAACATAGATGATGAAAAGAAAAAAAATTATGAGCACCATCTCACAAGGGACACGTGCTGCATATTCAAGTAATTTGGGTTGCCTCTTCCTTACTGCTCCCCCTCTTTGCGCCCCCTCATCATTTTAGCTATGCCATGCCAATAACTGCAAGGATTTAAAGTGAGAGATTATTGCCTTCTTATTGTTGAAGAACAGTTTCTTGTCTGTACATTTATGACTGCTCAAGTATAGTATGTGGATATGAAACCACCTTTGCAAAAATTACAGTGAAAGAGATCTGGCCTAATTGACTCCATCTTGCTTCTAACCTGCAACCTGCCCTTGTTCATTCCTGGGCATAGCCCAAACTGACGTTGGGAGGAACTTAATTTATAGTTTAACATTGAAACAAAGATGACAACAGCCCTTTACCAAAACAAACCCCCTTTTGCCCAGGGACCAGACTGCCTTTGTAAGACTAACAAATTAGCCACAAGATTAGAAATCACGGTGTAGGAGACACACAGCTAGAGGCCACAAGATTCTAAACTTCCCCAATTGCTCCTAGGGAAAACATCACTATTGTAAAACCTGGTTGGTGGTTGAGATATTTTTCAGACTCTGCCTTCTGATGCACCAGCTGGCACCACCCAGACTGGTAACCGGGCCCAACCAGTCTTGTGGTCACACCTAGGAACTGAATACAGCAAGAGGAACCTTTGATGCCCTATGATTTCATCCCGGACCCCACCAATCAGTATTCCCCACTCCTTGGCCCCTTACTACCAAATTATCCTTAAAAATCCCCAGTCTCTGAATTCTCGGGGAGACTGATTTGAATAATAAAACTCTGGTTCCCATTCAGCTGGCTCTGCGTGAATTAAACTCTTTCTCTATTGCAATTCCTCTGTCTTGATAAATCGGCTCTATGTGGGCAGCAGATAAGGAAAACCTGTTGGGTGGTTACAAATCCATAAAATGGAGGCTAATCAGAACTTCAGTCCTTCAAATGTGATCACTATTAGGTTAATGTATCATTGTGCATAACCAAGGAAAATCTAACTGGGGAGCTTGATTTATTCAGTATTGTTTCCTACACTGATGAACTACAGAGGACAATGGCAGAAACTCCTGAAGGAGATTCCTGTCATACATGTATTATTAATTAGTCAAGTGATTTTGTACAATAACTATATCACATTGAACATTTGCTTCTTTGTGTTGAAAATGAGAGTGTGGGGGAATGTCTTAGTTCAGGCTGCTATAATAAAATGCCTGCTCATGTGGCTTAAACAATACACATTTATTTCTCACAGTTCTAGAGGCTTGGAAGTCCAATATCAAGGTGCCAGCTGATTTGTTTCCCAATGAGGGCCCTCTCCCTGGCTAGCAGATAGTGTGTCTTTGCATGGCAGAGAGAGAATAAGAGCCTTCTAATGTCCCTGCTTATAAGGGCACTAATTGCATTGTTAGGGCTGCACCTTCATGACCTCATCTGAACCTAATTACCTCTCAAAGGCCTGACTCCCTAACACCATCATATTGGGGGCTAAGGCTTCCTCATAGGAATTTTGGGGAGATTCATACAATTCAGTCCAGGGCAGAGAAACACATAGACTGGAAATGTGAAAGGTGGATGAACATTTGACTTTTTTTCCTAAGTCATGCTCATCTCCGGAATGAAGAGACTTTATTAATTTGCATCTAGAAACTGAGTTTATGAGCCTACTCATGAATTGGTCCTATTAAAGATAATGATGATGCAAATAAGTATTTGTTATCTCAGAAAATGAAAATGACAAGCCTCAGTCCAGAGAATTTTAAGTTGTGGGTACATTCTTTCACAAAGCAACTGTCTGCGGGATGTGTCTGGATTTTAGATTGGACTGTGATAAAATGCACAGTCATACATGTGGCCACTTCTAAGAATGGGAGCGGCTAAGGTTTCAGAACATTCCAGGGTTAGGTACTGTGTCTTCAAAGTACTGTGCATGGCAACTGGCATTCTCAAACACCTCTGGGGCCAGTGAAAATTGGTACAATCCTTGTGGAAGGCAATTTGGCATGACATATAGAGCGCCAGCAAAGTACTCATACTCTCTGACTCACACCCACTTCTGGGAGTTTATCCCAAGAAAATAATCTGAAAGAAGGAGAGAGTTATTCATGAAGGTGTCATGGGAGTATTGTTTTCTAGTGGTGAAAAATTGGAATTGTATAAACCAGAAGTTGGCAAGCTTTTTCTGCAAAGGCAAGATGGTAAATATTTTAGGCTTTTTGAATTATGCAGCATCTTTCTCTAATACTCAGGTTTTCTACTATATTGTGCAAGAAGCCATAGATAATATGTAAATGAATAAGCATGGCTGTAATTCAATAAAACTCTATTTTAAAAAGCTTAAGTTAGAATTTCATATAATTTCCACATCATGGAATATTATTCTTTTGATGTCCTTTATAACCATTTAAAAACGTCAAAGCTGTTTTTAGCCTGGAAGCCATATGAAAAAAGGTGATGGGCCAGATTTGCCTCATGAATTGTAGTTTGCTGACCCTTGGTCTAAACAATAGAATAGTTTATTAAATTATTATAAAACCATATAATAGAATGTTATATACTAGTAAAATGATAAGAGAACCATGTAATAACTTGAACTATGCTTATAATATATAAAAAGTATAGGGCATGAAATGGTAAATACATCCTAGAATATAAGCAATGAAAGCAGTTGTGGTTAGAATAAAAAAGAAGTGAGTTTTTCTTTTTATCACATTTTCTGTAAGATTTTTATTTGTCTTTATTTTCTTCTTCTGGAGCTTTGATAAGATATTTGTCAGATATTCTCATTCTATTGTCCAAGTTTCTTAACTGCTAGCTCACTTTTCCCAACTTTTTCTCTCTCTGTTCTGCATTCTAGGTAATTCCTTCACGTATATATTTTCAATTCACTACTAGTTATCTATTTTAAATTCACTAATAGTTCTCTATTCACTAACCAAATAGATAATTATTGCATTTAAAATAATTGAGATGAAACTCATATAATATAGCATTAACCATTTTAGGGTGGTATTCATGTCATTTTAGGGTGGTATTTGGTAATTCTCCATAAACCACCTTAGTTAGATAAAGGCCACCACCTTTATTTAGTTCTAAAACATTAAAAATGTTCAGTCCCAAAGGAGGCCCTATTACCATTAAGCACTCGCTCCCCATTTCCCTCTCTCCCCATTCCCTGGCAATCACTTACATGCATTATGTCTTTACAGATTTACCTATTATGGGAATTTCATATAAATGGAATCATACAATATGTAACCTTTTGTGTCTGGCTTCTTTCACTAGCATCATGCTATTGAGGTTCATCATCTCTGTGGTAGTGTGTGTCAGTATTTCGTTTCTTCTTTTGGCTGTGCAGTACTCCATTGTATGTATATACCTCACTGTGTTTATCCATTCATCCACTGATGGCCTATCCATTGAATTTTTTTCTTTGCTTAAAATGAAAAATATTTGTTATCTTACACAGTTTCTAGGCTCAAGTGCCCATGAGTACCTTACCTGGGTGATCTTGCCTCAGGGCCTCTCAAGGTTACAGTGAAGTTGTTGGTTAAGGTTGAAGTCATGAATGGGCTGGAGAATGTCCTTCCAAGTTCAGTCACATGGCTGTTGGCAGGGGGCTTCAGTTCCTTGTCACGGGCCTCTCCAGGTGGCTGCTCATGGCCAGGCAGCTGGCTTCTCCCATTGTAACTGATGAGAGAGAGACCAAGATGGAAATGGCAGTAACTGTACAACCTAATCTGGGAAGGGATGTTCTATTACTTCTGTCATATTCTATTAATTAGAAGCAACACACTAATTTCTGCTTATGCTGAAGAGGAGGGGAATTAAACTTGAAGGAAGAAATATCGAATAATTTGTAGACATGTTTTTAAAACCACCACAGATATGGAAGGAAAAGTAACATTTATCTAAGCAGACATTAGATAAGGAAAAATGATGACAGGCAAGGAAGTAGCAGAAGCAAATGGATAGAGATACCAGATTATATGCCTTGCAATCTATGGCTTGAGAATTGAGGAGGCTATTGTTATTACCATTTTAAAGAAGACGAAACTGAGGCTTAGAGAGAGAAAGTAACTTTTCCAACATATACAATTGGTAGATGTTGGATCCAGGTCTTGAACCCATATTTCTGATTACAGGGCCCATAATCTTATCAATACCAGTATTGGGGTCTTCCAGAGAAAGGAAACCAACAAGATGTGCATATATTAGTAGAGAGATTTATTTTAAGGATTGGCTCACAAGATTTTGGAGGCTTCATAAGTCCTAAATCTGCAGCGTAGGCTGGCAGGCTGGAGACCCATGAAAGAACAGCAGTTCAAGTCCAGAGACTGTCTGCTGGCAGAATTCCTTTTTGCTCAGAGGAGATCAGTCTTTGTGCTATTAAAGCCTTCAGCTGATTGGATGAGACCCACCCACATTATGGATGATCCGCTTGACTCAGAGCCCACCATTATTGGACCAACTCAAAACTGACCAAATATCTGGGCACTTGTGGCCCAGCTGTAAAATAGTCATCTCAATACTCTGTACAGCAATGAAAACTAGGGTTCAGATTGCAAAGGGTCTTGAATGTCATGTTAAGCTGTTTGTTGTATTTGTGAAAATTAACCAATGGCTTTTTCTGAGAGACATGACATCAATCGTCTGATATGATGGGCAGGCAGGCGTTCCTATATAATATCATAATTCCCTTGGGAATGTATCATAGAATATTGTCTATTGTGCCTTCTCTTCAATCCTGTTTTCCTGTTTTGACAAATGACAAATCTTGTTTTTACTAACATTATGTATTTTTTCCTTTCAATACTTCTCCTTTCCAGTCCACATATTTTTAGTAACTAGCCTTTCTGAAACAATTCTCATATTTCAAAATGATGACATTCTATTTTATTTATTTATTTAATTTTTGCGAAGGAGTCTCACTCTGTCACCCAGGCTGGAGTGCAGTGGCGTGATCTCGGCTCACTGCAATCTCCACCTCCTTGGTTCAAGCCACTCTCCTGCATCAGCCTCTGAGTAGCTGGGATTACAGGCACATGCCACCACGCCTGGCTAATTTCTTTGTATTTTCAGTAGAGACAGGGTTTCAAAATCTTGCCCAGGCTGGTCTCGCACTCCTGACCTCAAGTGATCTGCCTGCCTTGGCCTCCCAGAGTGCTGGGATTACAGGTGTGAGCCACAGCCCCCAGCTGACTTTCATTTCAATAATATTTTTCTCTATGATGCATTTTCTCCTATTTGGATCTTTTTCTCTTAGTCTTTTCTCTCTTCAATGCTTATTTCAAGTCTTCCTTTTAGCCATACCTCCCACTAGAATGAAATTCATTAAATTTTAACTTCAATTATTTTAATTTCTGGAAGTTTTATTTGTAGCTGTTGCTTTTACATCTGCCTCTCAATTTTGATATTTTCTTGTTTCCTTATCATTCCTATATTTAATATATATAAGTACTGAAGGCCTGCTATGAACCAATGATCTTCCAGTCACTATGACGTCATAACAATATACAAAACATATACAACAATACACACACACACACACACACACACACACAACTCCCTGCCCTCAAGCAGTGTACTTTTTCCATAAAAACCAAGACATTTATGTTATATCTTGTTAACAGTGGTTAAATTATCTGGAGTCTTTGAGGCTGCAAGGTCTACATTGCAGGCTGTTAATTTTGTTGACTTTTGTTCTTGATGACTTTTTCTTGCATGTTTTTCTTTTTCTTTTTAACTTTTTCTTGTGAGCTCATGCATCTTGGAACTTTTTCTGTGGAAATTCTCTGAGGCTTGTGCTTACAGTGCATTTACCTAAGGAGAATTTACTTTTGTGGTAGCTTTAGCAACCAGGGATTGGCAGATGCCCTCAGAGCAAACCCCAGCTTTGGTGTTTACTGCTTAGAACTGTATTTTCTTACTGTTTGTGACTCCTGGTAGAAACTCTCACATTATTGTCAACAAAGGCATACTTTTTTTTTTTTTTTTCTGAGACTGAGTCTTGCACTGTCGCCGAGGTTGGAGTGCAGTGGCACCATCTTGGCTCACTGCAACTTCTGCTTCTCGGGCTCAAGTGATCCTCCCACCTCAGCCTCCGAAGTAGCTGGGACCACAGGTGTGCACCCGCATGCCTGGCTAACTTTTTGTATTTTTTGTAGATATGTGGAATTACCATGTTGCCCAGGCTGGTCTTGAACTCCTGGACTCAAGTGATCTGCCCAGCTTGGCCTCCCAAAGTGCTGAGATTATAGATGTGAGCAACTGTGCCCAGCCCCATATTTTTAAATAAAGATCCTTTCAAATAATTTTCTAGAACTTTAGGTATTTTGTTTTGGGAGGGAGTATTTCTGTATGTCTATTCTGCAATAGCTCTGGAAGACAGAAGTGCATATTGTTTTTATATTTTTAAATAAAATCATTAGGGGGAACATTCTTTAACCTCACATGTAGGAGCAGAGGTACTTTGGATTTATGGCTGAGGAGTCACTTTTCCACATTGAGCTCTGGTCTTGGGGCCCTGGAGAGGCCAGGCTAAGGCTCTGGGAGGACAGATTGTCCTGGTTCTTTTGGGCTGTGGAGAGGCTGCCAGCCAGAGGAGAAGAAACAGATATGTTCAGACAATTAGAGAACTTGGTCAACACCGAAGAAGAAGCAAATTGTTTTTTATCTTCTTGTACTGTTACACTGTTACACATCCAAAGGTTTTTTATGGAATTGTTTTATTCTGAAAGTGGTAGCTTGATATAACAATAAAGACACCAACATCCCCACTTAACATGATTGAAAAAGCCTTTATATTCATTATCGCATTTAATTTTCATAGCAATCCAACAAATAAACAATCCAACAAATCCAATAAAAGGGTCCGGAGAGATTAAAAGCTTGCTCAAGATACATAGCTTGGAAGCAGCAGGTCATAGACTCACCTCTCATGGATCCAAACTACTCTATGGATCATCTCTCTGGATTAGTTGAAGTTTATGACAAATAAAGTGGGTTCTAAGTTAATGCTTTTCCAACTCAATCCCATGGCCAACCACACTTCCTGGTGGCCCTTTCCAGCTCTCTCCCAATTCTCTGCATCTTCTGCATTTAACTGTTCATCAAATGATTTTTTATTGAGCACCAGTGACCAAACGATGCATATGACCCAGTTTCTGTTTCATATGTACGACTATATAAAAAGTTTATGTTTATGTAAATGAATATTACACCAAGAGTTAAACTTAACAATAGGACTGTGCATTAGCCATAGGATGGTGCAAGTTGTATGTTCAGGGAACACCTACGAAAGATGAAGAGATTCATGAGTGGAAGGGCATTTCAAGCAAAGGGAACAGCATGAGAAAAGGCATGGAAATATGAAATAGGCCTGTCCATTTGGCGAACTGACAGTATTTTGGCATGGCTGGAGCAGAGGTATATGTAAGTAGTCTTGGGCCAAGAGGGAGGAGAAATGTGTGTGGTTAGAATATGAAGGCTTTGCATTCTCTGCTGATAAGCTTGGACTTGATACCATAAGATTAGTGTTTTCTTTGATTTTTGGACCATGGATCAATGATATATTGCCACAATAATGTCCTATAACAACCCATCCAACCTCAGCAGCATATAACAGTAAGCATTTATTGCTGACATGTTTAGGATTGTTGGCCAGGTGTCTTCTGTTGATACTGATTGGGTTCATTCCCATGTCTGGGTGTTGTCTGGATGTCAGCTAATCTAGGATGGCCTCAGCTGAGATGACTGGGTGACTCAGTGTTTTCCATCTTTCACCAAGCTTACCCAAACATGATGCAAGAGCACAGAAGGGCGCAAGCCCAATCACTCAAGTGTGGTTTAATGTTTCTGCTTGTGCCACATTTGTTAATATACTGTTGGTCAGAGCTAGTGCCAAGGTCAGTCCTTTTTCAAAGATGTTAGTGGGAGGAACTATAAATTCATATGGCCAATGCTGTGGTTCTAAGGAGGGCAAAGGACTGGGGCCTTTGATACACTCAATTCATTCTACACCATCTGCCTTAGGACCATCAGGTGTGACTGACGGTAACATACATGTTGTATAATATACATATGTACATATAACATATATGTCAATAACATACATGCCTGAACCCAATAATGTTTTGCTGAATCATAATGAGAGGGGTCTTGCTGGGCACCTGCATTTTTTTGCCAACTTGCTGAGTGATTCTTTTTATTTTTATTTTTTGAGATGGAGTCTCACTCTGTCACTCAGGCTGGAGTGCAATGGCGTGATCTTGGCTCACTGCCACCTCCACCTCCCAGGTTCAAGCAATTCTACCTCAGCCTCCTGAGTAACTGGGATTACAGGAGCCCACCACCATGCCTGGCTAATTTTTGTATTTTTAGTAGAGATGGGTTTCACCATGTTGGCCATGCTGGTCTCGAACTCCTGACCTCAGGTGATCTGCCCGCCTTGGCCTCCCAGATTGCTGGGATTACAGGAGTAAGCCACTGCGTCAGGCCGAGTGATTTTTTTTGTTTGTTTTTGTTTGAGACAGAGTCTCACTGTGTTTCCCAGGCTGGAGTGCAGTGGTGCAATCTCAGCTCACTGCAAGCTCTGCTTCCTGGGTTCATGCCATTCTCCTGCCTCAGCCTCCGGAGTAGCTGGGACTACAGGCGCCCGCCACCATGCCTGGCTAATTTTTTGTATTTTTAGTAGAGACGGGGTTTCACCGTGTTAGCCAGGACTGTCTCAGTCTCCTGACCTTGTGAGCTGCCCGCCTCGGCCTCCCAAAGTGCTGGGATTACAGGCAGGAGCCACCGTGCCTGGCCCGAGTGATTTTTGTATATAGCAAAGGGTGAGAATTGCTACAGTAGGCTTTTAAACACAGGAGAGACATGATTTGATTTGCTTTTAGAAAAGTCATTCTATGAATGTGAAGTGTTCTCATCACAAAAATGATAACTTTATGAGGTAGTATATAGCTATATTTAGCTAGATGTCGTCATTCCACAATGTATATATCTTTCAAAACATCATGCTGTACATGGTAAATACACACCATTTTATCTGTTAATTGAAAATGTCACTCTAGCTCCAGTGTAAATAATATATTGAGTGAAGTTGGGGTGGCAAGGTAGAAGGCAAAAAGGCCAGTTAGGAGGCCATGGCCATAGCTCTGGCAGTTGTGGGGCGCTGACTGAGAGTCAGGCAGGCCTGGGTGTGAATTCTGGTTTGGCTACCTGCAAGCTCTGTGGCCTCGGTAAGTTATGCACACTCTTGAAGCTTAGGTTCCTCATCTCTACAATGGGAGTAACAATAACCACCATAACCCACTTGGCACCCGGGGCTTCCACCAGTAAGGGGTGAGATGATGAGAAAAGGGAGCAGGGGAGCAAACTTAAATGCTAACCTCTGCCTGAAGAGGCAGCCCCAGGCTCTTGAACTGCTGATAGAGCACCAAGCACAAGAGGTGCTGAACACAGACCATTTTACAATAGCTTATAATTAAAAATATATCTCAGACTCTTTCTTTAAAAAAAAAAAAAAAAGAAGAGAATGAAAGGCAGATCACTTTAGGTTAGGCTTGGAGTTCCCAGCCGAACACCTAATCAAGCCCAGGTCATCTGGTCATCTACCTAGTGCGTTCTCTTCTTGTACCACCAATTTCCTGGTTACAGGGCTTCTTAGATGCTGTAGGTGGGGTCTAGGATGGTGAGAGGAGGGCTTGAGAGGAGAACTACTTGATCTAGGCTTTGCATTTATGTAACTGACAAACAGTATTGAATTTAGACTTTTGACAGTCATTCCAAATGAGGTTATATGGGCAGGCATACTGAAAGGATCAATAGAAGGAGGCATCCCTCATGCAACTTTAAATATACCACTTTGTTTTGGGAATTATTCATTTTTAAAATATCCTGAGATCTTAAAAATATGAGAACATCTGAGGCCTCCTTTGGTTTCTAACAGGGCCTGGGTCTGGGTGCTCCTGCTTCAGGAGCTCTTAGGTGCCAGTCATCTGTTAATAGACAAGACCAAGGCAGCTAATGGGGCCTGACCACCTGAAGACAACTCTGTGCCTAATTCCAGGCTGTAAATGAAATTGCCCACCATACTTCCTTGGCCAAGACCTTGAACTAAAACACAAATTACCCAGGAGGATCAGAGGAAAGTCCTAGGGATGTGTGGAGGAAGGATTTCTCCTTAGAGTCACAGGGCTGTGCTGGGAGAAGGTTTATGGAAGTAACCAGGCGGGCACTGCTGACCACAGAGGCGGTGGCGGCTGGAGGAGGGAGAGGGTCTCCAGCCTGTTGCTCTGCCATCTGTTGCGAACAGTGCACTTCTTGTGACCCAAGCCCTGGAAGTGTTGCAAGCAGGCAGGCTGATTAATTATTTCCCTGGGGTCTTTCCAACAGAGGATAGAAATTGATGCTCAGTGGGCGTGAAAGAGAGGCCAAACCTTTCAACTAGTAGGGAATTTGTTTCCTGGTCTAACTGCAGCCACATGTGAAGGTATTGAAAACATATGTGCCTCTGATAAAAGATCACATTTAAAGAAAAGACTAGAAAGGCACCAGTGCAACAGCATCCTGTTTCTCATCAAACACCAAGCCCTGAATTTTCAAATGCTTTGTGTTACCGGAGGATGTTTAGAAGCGTTCAAACAGGGCTGGCCTCGCTTTCCATGAGCATCTTTGATACGTTTCTGTTACCTGCTGTTCCTACCTAGTGAAATAAGTTATTTTTCACTGTGGTCCCCAAGCCTGGTGACCTCTCAAGCCCACTGAATCAGAATCCACAGGAGTGGCCAGCGGAAACTTAACTTATTTTAATAAGTTCTTCTGGCTGATTCTTGGGCAGCTGTCCTTGAACCTGTCTGTGAACTGAGGTGGACAGTTACAGGTTTACAGTCAATACACACGAGTAAGGCACTGTGCAGCTGAGTTGCTAGTAGGAGAGAGAGAGAGAGAGAGAGAATTTCACATGAGTTTTCTATCTGCGTATAAGGAAAGGGGTGGGGAAGTCAACAGAAGATGGCAGGGATGAGTAAGACGGAAAGACATTAGTAAGGCCACAGGGTCATTGTAGGAGCAATAAAACACACTGAGTGGAGTAAGGCTTTGGAATAATAAACTACCGGTAATGCCAATCTCTGCTAATGGGATCATCATCCATTTAGTCTCCCAAGCCTTAGAGATACCTGCAACTCTTTTGCTTCTCTTCTCTCTTTCCATTCCAAGTGATCATTAGATCTTGTTCATGGATTATATCAGTCACATCTGAATGCTTAGCCAGCAGTCTTTCTTCCTCTATCTTTTTTTTAAAAAATTTATTTCCATAGGTTTATTTCCATAGGAACGGGTTTATTTCCATAGGTTTATTTCTATAGGTTTATTTCCATAGGAACGGGTGGTATTTGGTTACATGAGTAAGTTCCTTAGTGGTGATTTGTCAGGTTTTGGTGCACCCGTCACCCGAGCAGAATACACTGCACCCTATTTGTAGTCTTTTATCCCTCAACCACTTCCCACCCTTTCCCCTTGAGTCCCCAAAATCTATTGTGTCATTCTTATGCCTTTGCATCCCCATAGCTTAGCTCACTTATGAGTTAGAACATACAATGTTTGGTTTTCCATTCCTGAGTTACTTCACTTAGAATAATAGTCTCCAATCCCATCCAGGTCACTGTGAATGCCATTAATTAATTCCTTTTTATGGCTGAGTAGTATTCCATCATATATATCATATATGATATATATGATATATATGATATGATATATATATGATATATATGATTGATATGATATATATGATATGATATATATATGATATATATTATATATATGATATGATATATATATGATATATATGATATATATGATATGATATATATGATATATATGATATATATGATATGATATATATATGATATATATGATATATATGATATGATATATATATGATATATATGATATATATGATATGATATATATGATATATATGATATATATGATATATGATATATATGATATATATCATATGATATATGATATATATGATATATATGATATATATCATATGATATATATGATATATATGATATATATGATATATATGATATATATGATATATATATGATTGATATATATATATATCACAGTTTCTTTATCCACTCATTGATTGATGAGCATTTGTGTTGGTTCCACATTTTTGCAATTATGAATTGTGCTGCTATAAACGTGTGCGCAAGTATCTTTTTCATATAATGACTTCTTTTCCCCTGCGTTAGCTTGGGAGTTAGAAAGCAATGAACTCAGCTGGACTCCTGCGGTAGAGGCTTCATTGGTCTTTTGGTCAACAGGCTCTCCTTTCTTTTATCCTCTACCATGACTTGGGAGTGACTATCCTTAAAAATTTTTAAATAAACGTACTTGTCTGTTTAGAAAAAAATTTGTTTCCTTTTTTTTTTTTTTTTTTTTGAGGCAGGAGAGCAGTGGTACCATAAATCACTGTGGTCTAGAAATCCTGGCCTCAAGTGATCCTTCTGCCTTAACCTCCTGAGTAGTTGGGAATACAGGCATGTGATACCACACGGGACTCATTATTTTTTAATAGAAACAGGGTCTTGCTGTACGGTCCAGGCTGTCTCAAACCCCTTTGATGCCATAATCCTATTCCAAGGAGTACCTTCTACTATGGCTTGTTGAAGATCTGAAATGCTAGTTTGAGTTATTCTCTTAAGGCATTGAAGGTCCTCACTTCAAATGTAAACCTCGTTAAATCATTAGTGGCTACTAAAACTTTATGTGAATGAGCTCATCCTATCAGTTTCTTCACAGTGATTTCTCTGGAGCTTTTATATCTATGATCCCATCTAAATATGTGCAATAATTTATTTTATAGATGTGGAAATTAAATGTCTAGAAGGGAACAAATTCAGGTATCCAGACTAGTATTCTGACCCTTATTCTACTATACATACTGCTTTTACTGGCAGGGTCCTAAGGGAAGGATCAGGACAGGTAAGTTTTGATGCAAGGGAGAAAATAAATAGAAAACAAAATAAAAAACACCTTCAGAGCTTGGAGAATTACCTAAAATATAGCAAGAGGGATCAGAATGAAGCCACTCTCTGCTTAGAAAGGGGTCATAAAGGTATCTTAAGAAAGATTAATGGAAGGGTCTAGAAGGCCCACTTTGCCAGTGTGGTACTGTGGACACAGCACTGGGCTTTGAATAAGAACACTTGAACTTGGTTATTTTTTGGCAATGTGACCTTAAGGAAATTGCTTAACTTCTCTGAGCCAAGTTTCCTCAAGTATACAGAAGGAATCATAACCCCTACCTTGGAGAGTTACAGTGAAGATGAGAAAAATGGTATGTAAGTACTCAGAATTTGGTACCTTCTACTACTATCAGTATTTTGGTATTCTTGCATCATAGGTAGAATTCCTGGTAGGTAGAATTCCTGGTAGTCAAAACTACTAGGTTGACCCACTGTCTGGAGTAGCCAATATGATGGTTTCTTTCCTAAAGGCAAGTAGTCAGGATGATTAATTTGTAGGATCATGATTTCAGTTGGATTTAGGTCTCATCCTTGCAGGTGTATATTCTTGGCAACTAGTAATGTCTTCTACTTTATTTCATAGTGTATGAATAATGAAGGCTGTTATATACTGAAAGCTCAACAATAATAAATTATTGCTACCAGAGGTAAGGTGGGAACAGCAGATGTCTCATTTCCCTAGGCAGAAATTCAGACTGAAAATTTAACTGGACCTGTTTTAGTACCTCGATTGCACCACTCTCTATCTTTTTCTTCTATGTCTTTGAACTTGCTTTTCCCTGGAACGCTCTTCCCCACCCACTCTACTGGGCTACTCTGTCCATTCTTCAAGTCTCAGTGTAAATGCCACTTCTTCTGGAATACCTTCACTGGTATCTTGGACTGGGTAAGACTATTTCTACTCTTCCTGTGAACTTCTCATATCATGATGCTCATCACACCTCATGCTAATTCCTCTTTCTGTTGGCTTTCCCCACAAGATTGTAAGGCCTGTGCAAATAAACACAGTACCTCCCTTATTCATTAACTATATCCCATGCATCTAGTTTAAGGCCCAGCAAATATAACTGTTAAATGAATGAATGAGGATGTTGACTTCTTCAAATAAAACAATTGGGGTCAACTTATTAAAAAAATGGAATAGGCTGGGCGCGGTGGCTCACGCCTGTAATCCCAGCAGTTTGGGAGGCCAAGGCAGGCAGATCACGAGGTCAGGAGATCGAGACCATCCTGGCTAACACGGTGAAACCCCGTCTCTACTAAAAAAATACAAAAAATTAGCCGAGCATGGTGGCGGGCGCCTGTAGTCCCAGGTATTCGGGAGGCTGAGGCAGGAGAATGGTGTGAACCCAGGAGGCAGAGCTTGCAGTGAGCCGAGATCGTGCCACTGCACTCCAGCCTGGGCAACAGAGCGAGACTCTGTCTCAAAAAAAAAAAGGAGTAGAATAAAAGAAAAGAATGCAACCAAGATACAACAAAGAGTAGAGAAACAAATGTTTGGGAATGAGAATGAGATGATAGGACCATGGAGAAAGCTAATAAGCAGATGCTTCAAGGCAGGGACAAGCTTGGCATATCTGAGATACCAGAAGACAGTGAATGTGGCTGGGTGGTAGTGGGCAAAGGGGAGAGTGGTGGGTGATGAGGCCAGAGAGGAAGGCACAGGTCAGATCAAGCAGGGCCTTGTCATCCAGAGAAAGTTGCTTGGATTCTATTCTAAGTTTGGTGAGAAATGATTGGTATGGGGTGGGGGAAAGAGGAAGAAACAGGGTGGATTATTGGTGAAAGAGAATAAAATTTTCATTTCCAACAATAGGAAACAAATAGATAATGTCTAAAGTGGGTAATTCCAAAGACATCAGAAAAAGCATATTACTTTGAAATAATGATATACACACCAGAAAAAGTAACTATAAGAGTTGAAAGTAGGGGCTTGTGAAGATCAGGAATTGGGCTAAGTTAGGAGGGGGACAAATTATGCTATTTTCATAATAAGCTTTAGTACTGTTTGACTTTTAAATTTCTATATGCATGTTTTATTTTCTTAAAAATTAAACACTTATTTTTAAGAAAGAATAAAGACAAGATAAGATGCTACATGCTCCCCCTCTCTACAGCCAAGCCAGTGAAGCTTAAGTCTCTGTACTCTCACCTGTGCAAGCATGGAGGGGCTCCAGCAATGTTCACATTGTATTAGGCCATTCTTGCGTTGCTGTAAAGAAATACCTGAGACTAGGAAATTTATAAAGAAAAGAGGTTTAAATGGCTCATGGTTCTGCAGGCTGTACATATATGGCACCAACATTGCTTGGGTTCTGGGGGGGCCTCAGGCTTCAGGGAGCTTTTTTTTAACTCACGGCAGAAGGTAAAGTGGGAGCAGGCATATCACACTGTGAAAGCAGGGGAGAGAGAGAGAGAGAAAGAGTGTAGTGGTTGCTGGGAATGCTGCACACTTTTAAACAACCTGATCTCCAGAGAACTCACTATCAGGAAGGTAGCATCAAGCCATGAGGGATCTGCCCCCATGATCCAAACACACCTCCTACGAAGTCTCACCTATGTAGCATTGCGAATTACAATTCAACATAAGATTTGGGCAGGGACAAATATCCAAACTATATCACATATGGTCATTTGTTTTTTAAAATTTGCAAAGTTAAGATATTTGAATCAAGCTAGATTAGGACTGTTGTTTTTTTCCACTTTCATACCTCCTCAGGGTGTCATATTTGCTTCTCTTGCTTAAGGGGTCACAGGCATTCTTGGCATCCTGCTAGGGGGAACCTGAGTTGGAGTTACATTTGGTCTGTGTTTAGTGCGGTATATTAATATTTATGTGGTTTGAAGTCACTTCTGTGTACTTTCGGATTTACTGGCTGTTCTGTAGCTGAGATGGCTTCCAGGAATACTTCCTCTATCCACTGGGCTGACTCATCAGTGTCCCAACACAATATTCAGGGACAGAGCTAATCTGGCAACTGAACTTCTTCTAGGGTGCCTGGCACAGAAAGTGTGTGAGAATATTCGATTGTAGTAACTACATAAATGACATGCAAGAAAACTTCAAAGCTCTTCAATCTTACAATTCGTATATAAAATAAATTTAGTAGAGGTGTCCTTAAATTTTGCAACAATCCTGTAATTTGTATATCATTACCAATACTGAGTTGTAAAGCTGAAAGGAACTTTTCTAAACTATCAGTAAAAATACAAATTTTAATCAGCCGCGCTACAAGAAGACTGGATTTTTCTATTTCTTCTATAGATAATATTATAAAATATTTGAGGTGGTTAAAGAGGCGATCAAAATGATTAAAAATGTACAAAAATCTATTGTGGATGCATGCCAAGCAATTAATTAATAAAGATGGCATGCTTTTATTTTGGGTGGATTTTATAATGTTTATAGTATTAGCTTTTAAAAATTTATACTTTGTCATAATTTCTTTTTTCACATGAATTAAATATTTACTTTTGTATTTGATTTTATATAGCTTTGCATTTTTAAGTGAGCTCCCCAGTTTCTATAAGGTTCAGGCCTGTAAAACCTGATTCACCCCTGATGGAGAGCTGTTTATTTTTCATGTGGAACATGTGGTAGGGATTCGGAAGCTGTGTGGCTGCAGTGTGGGGGATGGTAAGAAAGATGGTTGGGCAGACCAAGAACACTCAGAGAAGATCTTAAAAATACAGGCAGGAGACTTCATTTTTCCAAATTGAGGTGGAATTCATAAACATACAATTAGTTATTAAAGTACACAAATTAGTGGCGTTTAGAACATTTCCAGTGTTGTGCAACCACCACCTCTATCTAGTTCCAAAATATTCTCATCACCCCCCAAAGGACACCCGTACCCATTGAATAGTCACTCCCTATTCCCAACTCCCCTAGCCTTTGGCAACCACCAACCTACATTCTGTCTCTAAGGATTTACCTATTCTGGATATTTCATAGAAATGTAATCCTGCAATATATGACATTTTGTGACTGGCTCATTTCACTTAGCATAATGTCTTAGCAGAATGTTTTTGAGGTTCACCCACATTATAGCAATATTAGTGCTTCATTCCTTTTAAATAATATATTGGAGTAGGTGCAAGCATAAGACTGTGTGTGTGTGTGTGTGCGTGCACGAGTAGAGCTCATTTGGAAACCATTTTCCAGTCTGGCTTAGTTGAGGAAATGTTTATTGAGTGCCTATCACATGCTGGGTACCAAGCTAGGCACTCTTTTGTTTTCTTGGTAGCCATGGTTATTGGATGAGAAAGAATGAATCTGAGGGCCCTTGCTTACATTCAGGAACCTGTGCCAGACTCATGAACCCCACAACCACGAGCTTAGCCTCGCAACCCACCTCAAATCTGTACATGATTTTTGTCCCAGGAACTTTTGTCATCTCTTTACCAATATTCCAGGAGCAGATAGAGATGGATGGGGGAGGAGGTAAGATTTACATCAGGATAACTTCCCAGGGTTGAATTGACGTAGAAAAAAAGGCAATGAAAATAAGAATTTCTCAACAGCCTTTGAGATTCCCATCTACTCACTGCCAGGATGTCTCCCTGTTGGAGGGATGGAGAAGAAGCCCAGGTGGGCAATCACACAGCAAGGCGCCAAGCTCTTGTCCTCTCCTTGTATTAATCTTTATGACATTTGGAAGCGAGCTTGGGATTTGTTGAGGCAGTGAAAGAATACATTAATGTATGTATGGAAAGCACTGACTAGTATCGATTGATTGATTGATATTATTTTCATTTGCTCTTGGACTTTCCTTTCATTTACCTTTCCCTGAGCATCGTCAGGGAGGCATCTCTGAAGCCTAGTGGCCAATGGAAATCAGAATCCAATAAGAACTCTGACCTTCCAGGCTCTGCTTGCATCTGCTTTTGTCAGCTGGGCTTCCCTATGGCAGAGAAATAACCAATTAACTAAACAGCCAGCCGCTGTGTGTTGAGCCCTTACTGTGAGTTGAGTCCTGTGCTTGGCAGTAGCACTGCTTTGTTCATTTAAGCCTTACAACTACTTCAAGAGGAAGGGCTTGTTATCTCCATTAAAGACAGGGAAATTGAGACTCAGAAAAGGGAGTGAGCTTCTAAGATCTCACAGTTGGTAAGTGACAGAACTGGAATTCAAACCCAAAGCAACTTCCCTGCAAATGTGGTGTTCTTGATAAACATCCTAGCTAGGGAATAGAGCCTACTCTTTCTGTTCAGAACTGCCAAGGGTTACAAGAAAATAGTCTTTTGATTTTAGACCTTCTCAGACCCCAAGATGTGACGGCGTTCTGTATGTGAGAAAGCTTTTAATTTTTTCTCTTAAATTTTGGAAGCATTTCCCCATAGAAGTAACAATAAAGTTTGGATTTAAAAGTCAATTAATGCATTGAGACAAGAAACTCTAACATACAGCTGGAGAGTGGGAAAGCTTGCCAGGCGAGGCATTCAGCTTGGAAGTAATTGTGTATTTTACTTGGCTTTGGCTTTCTGGAATGAGATCTTTGAAAAAGGGCCTTTTAATTTTACATCACTTCAAACCAGTGGCGTGGACTAGGTCTTTGTGTCGGCTGTGGGGTGGGGGGGTGGGGGGCATTGATCTCAATAGAGAATGGAGAATTGATGAGCCATAAATTCTCCCAATCAGTACTCCGTGTTGGCTTTCCTTTCTCGGAGCTCCAGATGAGGGCTTCCCTCCCTTGTCTACTCACTCACAACAGGCTGCAGCCAGCAGGGCCCTAGAGAGGTTCTGGAGGCACACGAGCCACACCTGGGAGGCAGCACCACCTCTTCCTACTGGGAAAACATCTTACCCTTCCTGTTGTCTCAGACACTGCCCTTCTGTCCTGCAGCAGGCAAGTTCTGCAATGAGAATTTTTACCAGATCCCCTGCTCTCCTAGGGCAACATCACACAGCAGATCTATGAAGCCATGGTGGGCATTCTGGCTCCTCTTAAACTGTGCACAGACTCTGGACCCCCAAAAGTTTGGGAGTATGTGTAAACTTGTATGGTTGTCAAAACTGACTCCCAGTAACTCTGTTTTGCAGTTTTCATCTCTTCCGCCATATTTTCTTCCCTGCCTTTCAGGTGTCCCACATCCTTGTACTTGGCTTTCTTATTTGCTTGTGTATTATACTTATACATGCTCTTTTCCTTACCAAAATATATTCTGCAGAAAATTCTTCATTCAAGTTGAAATAGATCAAATTTAATCCAAGTATGTCAAATAAGTTCTGTAATTGGGACTGTGCTTAACCTGTTGGCCTTGGCTTTAATATAATACACTTTAGGACAGTTTGAACTGGGCACCAAGAGAGTCATTCTCTTAACCCTCTCACCTCAGGGCCTTTGCACTTGTTGTCCCCACTGCCTAGAACTATTTTTCTTTTTTCTTTTCTTTTTTTGAGATGGAGTCTCACGTTGTGGTCCAGGCTGGAGTGCAGCGTTGCAATCTTGGCTCACTGCAACCTCTGCCTCCTGTGTTCAAGCGATTCTCCTGCCTCAGCCTCCCAAGTAGCTGGGATTACAGGTTCCCGCCACCATGCATGGCTAATTTTTGTATTTTTAGTAGAGACAAGGTTTCGCCACATTGGCCAGGCTGGTCTTGAACTCCTGACCTCAGATGATCCGCCCACCTCAGCCTCCCAAAGTGCTGGGATTACAGGTTTGAGCCACCACACCCGGCCACCTAGAACTATTTTTCTAGCCCTCCTTCACTTTTTGCAGCTACCACTATGTAGCCTTCAGTGTCAGTTTGGATGTCCTTTCCTCAGGGAAAACTTGTTCTGAGCCCCCAACACTAGGCTGGGTGCCCCCTCATTGCACTCTGCTCCTCCCACTCGGCATTTCCTGTTGTCTTGTAAGTCTCTCTCACTAAACTGTGAGCTCCTGGGGAGCAGGGATTGCCTCCCTTGCACCTAATATAGTCACCCGTTAAATATTTTTGAATGAGTGAAAAATGAATGATGTCTAAGTGACCACTATGCAGTTTGTTTCTTTTGCAAATCTGAACTTCAACAGAATCAACTCTAAAGTGACCTTGAGATTAATAAAAAAAATTTAGTTTTTTCTCATTGGCATTCAACTCATCTCTGTGCCCTGCTTCTTGGAGAGGTGATGGCTTCTGAGATGAAATCCTAGCAAAGGAACACTCCAGGGCCTATAGGCCCCAGAATGCACTTAGCTTCAAAAAGGTCAAGTTAGACACAACTGACCAGATCAAGAAAATTGATGCAAAACTTTGTGATGGAGAGTGATAACTCAGTAAAGAAGTTTTGAAGGTATGCAGGATACAAATAGACCTCTCTATTGCATTTGCTACTACATAGCTGGGCAGTGGACATCAGGATCCCTGAGAAATTGGCTATAGGAAAACTAAATGTGTCTACTACAGAGTAAGAGGAGCTGTGGGGCTCTGCTTCGTAATGGCCTTTTCTGCCTTTCAGGTCTTGCAGGGGTATGTTTGCTTGAGAGAAGCTGGGCCAGTGGAAAGCCCTAATTGCAAGGGAGTTTGGAAAATGTAGTTTTCAGCTTTCTAGCCTGGTGTATGGGAAGGTATCCTACACAGGGGCTGGAGGACTGAGTGAGCCAGTTTGTAATCTCTGTTCTAATATGAGATGAAAGTCCAACAAAGGATGAGAAATTTAGTATAATTACTTTTAAGCCAGCCCTAACATCATATTCACAAAACAATAATTATTATTTAGTGTGATTCTATTTTAATTAGAGAGAAAACAAAAACAAAAGGCTATATATGTGTATGTAAGTCTGAATCATATTGACAAAAGTGTGGGTGTTTATGCATCAGAGCTGGGTGCATTGTAACGACTGGTCTGAGTTTAGATTGACAAACACAATGACCGGAGTCCTTTTACTTCATTGTATTCCAGACAGCATACCAGCGGTCCAAATGATGCCGACTGAGATCCAGGACATGTGATGGTGTAAGAGGATGTGGCTTCTAGAGACCACCTTAGTTCCTCAGCAGAGTGAGAGATCAGCCACATCACAGGATCTCAGGCACTTAGTGCCTCTGTCCTTTAAAGATGGGGAGAAGACTGGGGACAGGGTAACCCATGTCATGTGGACCTAATGGTCTGGTTCATAATTTGTTGCTACATCATAGTTATATAACTAAAAGTCTTTTTATTTCTTTCTTTCATTGTCCTCTCAGGCATCCTTGAGTGTTCACTACAGCAGGCCTAGCGATGACCTTTCACTGAAAACACAATGTCCTCAAGTGGGTAGGATGTGAGGGAAGGAGGGAGAGACTATTATTGTCCAGCTGGATATCGCAGTTGAAGTTTTCAAACTTCTTAGAATAATATAGAATAATTATAGAATGTCCATGCTTAGCTTTCCTATGTGATATATTTTTAAGTAACCAGTGATAGAATATTTCAACAAAACAAAAACCTAGTGGACCATAAAAAAAGTTCTAGGGCAAATGAACAAAGCCCACATATCAGGATCACTAGTTTCGATGGGGTGACGGGTGGAGGAGAAAGTACAAGGTCACTGGGTATGTGAAATGTAACATTTTCCACTCATGGAAAGAGTCAGTGATGGGAGAAGCTAGTCTGGGAAGGGGAGAACATTCTGGGATGGCTCATTTTGACTCCTCCTCTTTTAAGGCCACGTGGTGTGGCAGCTAAGAGCAAGGGTCCTGGGGCTGAGTTAGCAGGCTTTAGATCCTGGCTTCATCACTGACCCGCTTTAAGACCTTCAAAAATTTACTCAGCCTCTCTTGCCTCAGTTTCCTTATCTTTAATGTTGGGTGATAATAACAATAGTACTTCCTTTAAAGGGTCCTGATGAGGATTAGATGGGGTAACTTGTGTAAAAATGCTAAGCCCCAAATCTTTTACACATTAAATGCCCCATGAATGCTGGATGTAATTGTTACTAAGTTAAGGCCCTTGGAATGGAAAAAAGCCTTGTGACCAGGGTCAGGGGCATGAAACAGTGGTCTGGTCTTTAGTATTCATGCTCTTTAAGGAGATATATGAGATACAGGAAGAGAGAAAACAGACACCTAAAACTTGTAAGACCAAACTGAAGAAACACACCAAAAAAAAATTGCGATGGCTAAAGAACATTCTCCAAGGACCATCTTTTGAAGAAACTTAATCAATTGTTCAATTGTCTCTTCCAAATGGATTTGAGGCATCTTAAGACAAAGGACATTTGTACTATGAAGTGAATAAAACAGAAATCTGACATTAAGACAAAGGAAAAGAGGAAGGATGTAAGTTGCAAACTGAAACAGCTGTGATGACATATCAAGATGATATCAGACAATGTCTGAAGACAAATGGAATGCCTTATCCATTTTCAATTGCGTTTTTATGGATTGCAGGTGTAGTGGAGAAAGGGTGAAGAAGGTTGATAGCAGAGAAGACTATGTTTTGCCCACAGCTAAAAAAAGCAGGAAAAGTTAGTAAGGAAGGGGGTAGTTGAAGAAGTGCAGGGCATATTAGTAAACTGGGTGATGCTGGCGTGAGAGTGGTTTTAAATGTAATGATTTTAGCTAAATATATTGTAATAAAACTCTCTGTTTAAGAGAAGTTAAGGTGTTAACAGGATGAAGGCTCCTCACCCAGGTTTATTACCTGTCTGTCTGTCTGTCTGTCTATCTATCTATCATCTACCTACCTATCTGTCTAATCTCTAGTCTCTGGGTAAAATAGAGGATACACAGAAGGACTAGACAGCATACACACCAAAACCAGCATGTGGTTCCTTGTGAAGTCTTTGGGATCCAGCCTTTCTGAAGTCAGTAGATGAAATCTGCTTCGACTGAGTTATTTTTCACTCAAATAAGCAACGCTTCCTGCCTTTCATTAGCTCCCTCCTATCATGGGCATGATTAACAAAAGTTTGATGACTGATAAAATTAATATATTTGGTTGAACAATGAACCCTTCCATGATTAATCCCCTTCCAAGGCTTTCCCTTCAGACCCTACACAATGGCCATGTCAGCACGGCTTGTTGAAAAATATCTGACACTCATCTTTTGAAGTTGCCTTCAAACAATCTGTTGGTTGGATCTGATGGTTGCTGGGGTGTCAGATGTCTTTCTTTTCATGGTCTGTTTCAATTTGAGGATCAGCCAGAAGTTATGAGGTGACAATTCAGGTGAAACAGAGGATTGAAGTATGATATGAACATTTGTATTTGCCAGAGATTATAAGATGATAAATGACATGGTCAAGTTTTATGCGTTCAAAATTGTTGCTAAGATGAATAAAGCTATTGATGGACCAGAGTCAATCAGTCAGGAGCTGATATATTCTTGAGGGACTTTTCCTGGAGTGAACCCTGTCCACTGAGGTTCTCTCTTTACTCTGTGATTATTAATTCTAAGCTCATTCACTGAACTTTTCAGGAGGGACACTTAAGAAGTCATCACCCTGGGTCAATCTGGGCCAAGTCTTATTACCATATTTCTCATTTCTTAAGCACAGATGGCTGTATATGCACATGTTCCTAGAATTAACCTGAGCCCTTGTCCTTGTTCCTCTTTCCTCTGTTGGAGCTCTGTCACATCAAGCGCAGATGCGGTTTAGGACTATGTTGTCCCTTGGAGATTTAGTTGAAATTGATTCAAACCCCACTTTTATGGCTGGTAACAATCTGAAACCTTTTCCATAATTTCTCTGACTTCCTGGATTTTATTTTCTCTTCCTTTGTCTTCAATATCTTGCTTTTCTCTGCACTGGGTGTTACTTTGTTCTGTTGTATATTGAATAGAATTTACCTCTATGTTGTAGGTATTGTACATGTATTCTGTGTACAATTTCTACATATTGGATGGAATTCTTTCTATGTGGGATGACAAACTCTGCCCATCATAATTTTCCATAAGAAATACGTTCACGATAACCATTTTATGTAGTTTTGTTGGATATATTTTATTCTAAATATTTGGATAAAGGCTATGTGTAGATTCTGCATATGTATCCTTGGGAGAAGTTCACTGCCTGCAGCACAGCCCTTGACCATGTGGATCATGCTGACTCTCTGCAATTCTGCATAATGCAGCTCCTTCATCCCTTACGGCCCTTTCTGCTTCATAGCCTTCTGGAGCCATATATTAGGTAACATTGAACTAGAAGCAACCACCTCAAATTTGTATGGCTCAGACACAATAGAAAGTGTTTTTTCTTTTTTCTCCTGATTTGAGGTCCAAAATGATATTTCTGATCAGGGAATGCCCTCTCTTCCCCTGTCTCCTGCCCTCCTATCACCCCTGGTTCAATTGCTGATTCAGCCTCTCAAGCTCCTTCCATCTCCTGGCTCAGCCATTTTCTTTTCTTTTTTTAAAAAATATTTATTTTAAAAAAAGAAAACTCAGCCATTTTCAACACATGGCTTCCAAGGTCATCATGCCTGTCTGCATCCTGCTAGTGGCAGGGGACAAAAGGACTCTGGAAATGTTGTACATTAATCTGTTCATGTTATATTGGTTAGAAGTCGGTCAAATGGCCGCCAAAGGGGAACTGGGCAGTGTAGTCAGGCTTGCTTTGCCAGAACCAAAGTGCGGTAGGCAGGCTTCATGATGGTCCCAGTGATGCTTATCTTTGGGTATTTGTGCCCTTCTGTGATCCCCTCCCATTGATTGTTGGTGGCACCAGTGATTTACTTCTACTGAACAGAATACAGTAAAGGTCTTGGGTGTTACTTCTGTGATTAGGTTAAAAAAGACAGTGACTTGTGTTTTGCTGGCAAATTCTCACTCTTGCTTACTCTTGCTTGCTTTGATAAAGGAGGCTATGATATTGCAGAGGCCCAAGTGACAAAAAGCTAGGAGTGGCCTCTGGCCAACAGTCAGCTGAAAACTGAGGCAGCCAATTCAACAGCCCAGGAGGAACTGAATCCTGCCAATAATCACTGAATAAGTTTGAAAGTAGATGCTTCCCAGTTGAATCTTCAGATGACTCTGCCCAGTGGACACTTTCACTGCAGTTCGTGAGAGGCCCTGAAGCAGATGAGATTCCTGGCCCACAGACAATGCGTGATGATGAATGTGTATTGGTTTAAGCTGCTATGTTTTGGGGGTAAATTGATATGCAGCGATAGATAACTAACACAGAGAGGAACCCAGATTGGGAAAAGCTTGTCAGGTCCTACTTCGAAGGCTTTTCTCATGGGAGACAGACTCTTTAGGCTTCTCTGCTCCCTCTGATACCCCTACACTGTTGGTGAATGCATATCCAAGTAGCTTGACCACCCAGCATGCAGCTTTCAGTACCAACTGCATTAGTATCCCATCGGTGCTGTAACACATTACTATTAATACAAACTTAGTGACTTACAACAACAGTTCTTTTACAGCTTTTGAGGTCAGAAGTCCAAAATGAGTCTCATGGAGCTAAAGTCGGGGTGTTGGAAGGGCTGTGCTCTGTCTAGAGGTTCTAAGGCAGAATCCACTTTCTTGCTTTTTTCAACTTCTTAAGGTCACTTGCATTCCTTGGGTGGTGACCGTTTCTCCGTCCTCAAAGCCAGCAATAGTATACCTTCAAATCTCTCACTCCCCTTCCTCCCTCATTTACTTATAAGGGCCCTTCTGTTTACATTGGGCCCAGGTGGATAATCCAGGATAATCACTTTATGTAAGATTCTCAATCACAGCTGCAAATTCCTTTTGCCATGTAAAGTAGCATATTTACAGCATCTGGGGATTACAACGTGGACATCTGCGTATATTTGTATGTGTGTGTGATTATTTTGTCTACTACTCCAAGATAGGATTTTTTTGTTTGTTTGTTTGTTTTTTGCTTCCTGGTTTCCTCTTATTTAATAAGCCACTGCAGGGACAACCTAAGAGGCATCAACTCTGGGAGAGACCATGTAAAACTGGGGACATTTGGCTTTTATGTCCTGGATCTATTAGGTCTGTGCTCATTGCCCTTCCCTCAAACCTTCGTTCTGACCTATTTTCATGTTAATCTACTTCTTTTATTGGGAAGCTTTATGGTTAGGGGTAATAAGAAATGGACAGAATTTCTAGCACTAGAAGCAAGATAGAGGGTGATAAGGACTAGACAAATAGAGCAGCTGAGGTTTCAAAAGATGGAACAACTTATCTAAGCTAGGGAGTGGTTGAGCTGGATTTGAATCCTTCTCCTTAGCTCCAAAGCTCATGTTCTTTTTCTTTTACCAACAAAGACATTCAATTTTAAGGAAGAGACAGAAAACTGATACTTAAGCACAGATTAAAAGTCAATCTGATATCAGACTATTAAAAAATGGCAAATGCAGAAATAGGAAGACATTCAAACTGACTAGCTAAAAATGGTAAACTTTTGGGTCAGTATTTTTCCACTTTTAATTCAAACAGATTTAACTATGAAAATAAGAAACAGAAAACAAACAAATCAATATCAAATGTTTTCAAAATTTCTAAAGCAAGACAGAGGTAATATTTCTCTCTTATAGCAGGTTTTTTCAAATTTCAACTCCTCTTTTGATCAACATGAACACTTTACACTCCATAACAACTCTGATGTATTTCCTCCACCTACTTGAGAATCATGGCATCTTCTGTATATTTCTAACAATCAAAAAGATATTGTCACATTTTATGTTCTGTACTTTGTATGTTTTACGGAAATATACTTTTTTTAACTGTAAAATTCCACCATAATTTTTGGATATGCTTATTTCAAGCTATTCAGTAGAGAATCCTGCCCTCCCACAGCTGGGGTGTGTGTTTCTGCAAGAGTCAACCATGGTACAGTGTGGAAGTTCTGTGCTTGGCTCAAGTGTAAATATTTTGAGGGTTGACATCGCTTGCTCTCAGGAAAATATGATTTACTGCTTCTGGGGTAAAAGCAAAATTAATAAATGATATAGCACGCAAACTCGTCTTGGCCTTGTACTTCTTAGCAGTGCTTTAGTGAGTTACATTTGAATGAATGAGAAACATATGGATAAAATGTCCCCTGTGGCTACTGCTGGATTCAGAGATGGAAGGGGGACGTGCGTAACCAAATACACCATATTTTTCTATACACCATGTTTGAAAATGTATTTGGATCTATTTCCTGGAGCCAGGGGAAGACTGGTTTTTCTCCTCTGTCCCTAAAAGTACATATTGGTAAGGCTGGTGGAAGCCCCTGCTATGTCTATGTCTTTGGCCAGGGGTGGGGATCAGGGTGGGGAGACTAGAACTGGACAGCAGTGTGATTCTCAAGGCATGAAAGGAGTGAGTGTTGAGTTATAATTACGATTTATTTCTTCCTTTAATGTGGAATTGTACTTAAGCAACTGTTCTGGAACTATGAATTTCCAAGAAACCAATGGGATAGAGGGACTTTCTCAGAACCAGAAGACAATAAAAGAATTTGTGTATGTGGGTTCTCATCAGATGGAGTAGTTGACCAGTTGGTTCTTTCATAGTTGGGACTCTGGATGCCGGGCCCATGAGCCCCAGTCTTATTGTTTTAATGATAGAGGAAGTCCCCCAAGACTCTTTTCTTCAACCAAAGTAGCTTTCCACACAACTCTCTCCTTAACACCTTAGCTACTTAACCAGCTACTCAAGACAGGTGCTATTACCTGGCTTCGACAGATAAATTGCAGCTCAGAGGAGAAAAATGATCCACCCAGGGTTGCCAGCTAGTCGACTGCAGACCTAGGCCTCAGAACTATTCCATCTGAGCCCCGATTCCCAAACAGTCACACAGTTGGCTCGGCTGAGCACTCAAGAAGCTGTGAGTCAACCAGCATGAAGCATCCCTGCTTTCATCTCCGTTCTCCCCTGAGCTCAGGGAGCAGGGCTTTCCTCCTCAGACAGTCACACTGATCATTTCCTCTTCCCTGTCTTTCCTGCTTGGTGAGTCATCTAATAACAACAGTCTTAGTGAATAGGCTAGTGTTTACAACCTGCTTTATTCCAGCAGAACAGATTTCAGGGTGAAAATACCATACAAACAGGCAAACCATTGGTACCTGGCTTAGATCTAGAGTCCTCTCGGAAAGTCACTAGCATTCATCTGACATTTATGCTCAGTTCCTACTTTGTTTTTTTTTTCTCCAGCTGACCATGCACATCTTTATTGACCCAGAAAGATCCGTTTTGTGGGGGTGAAGATGCGACTCTGCAGTTGCAGGTTTAAACAACCCCTCAAAACCTCAGGGCTGGTCACTTGCTTCTCTGGCTTGGCTTCTGGTCAGAGCCTGCAGACCCCTTACCCTGCATTAAAGCACTACGGTTAGGCCTAGACCCTTTGGTCTCATCTCTTAGTTTCGTCACAGTCATTCTCTCTTGTTTGTTTTCTGTGAGTCTTGGCCTTTACTTTTGTTCTGGCTTCTCTTTAACCTGTGAATCAGCCTCTGTCCTCCCTTTTCTTAGGTGGTGTCGCACTCCCTGGCCTTCACTCACTGCTAGTCACCTCTGCAATTAGGTGGGCTTGGATTTCTCATTTTCTTCCTCTATAAGTGGGCATAGCACACAGTATCGTGGGGAATGAAATGAGTTAACATTAAAATTATCTGTCACTTAGTAGTCATTTGACTGATAGATTTTTTTTTTTTTTGCTTTGCCACTAAAGAAAGTTAAAGTTAAGAAGTTGAGTGACTGGCATAGGATATGGTAGAGCAGGGATCCTCAATGATGAGCAATTTGCCCCCCCTCCAGGAGATATTTGGCAATGTCAAGAGACATTTTTGGTTGTTGCAATTGGAGGGAAGGTACTTTTGGGTATCTAGTGGGTAGAGACTAGGGATGCTGCCAAGTATCCTGTAATACTCAGGACAACCCCATACAACAAAGAGTCATCTGACTGCACATGTCAATACTGGGCAAGTTTCAAGTCTCTACTATGGATGATCAACTGTATATTTTGGGCTCTGAGGCATATATGACTACTGTTTTGACCTTGTAATATTAACATCTGTATATCAACAACAAAATCAGTGTTAATATCAATATCAGTATTAATGTACTAGCCAAAAGTTTATTAAATACTTATTATTTGCCATGAAAATACATCAATAGGTAAATAATCA
This sequence comes from Homo sapiens, assembly GCF_000001405.40. NCBI lineage: Eukaryota > Metazoa > Chordata > Mammalia > Primates > Hominidae > Homo > Homo sapiens. Next base: position 122,574,745 of record NC_000008.11, on the reverse strand, counting down.
CAATAAAATCTTTTACATAGTTACTTTTATTTATTTATTTTTTTACATAGAGTAGAAACAAGTTCAGAAAGGTTAGGTGACTATCCCAAGTCATAGATAGTAGAGTATGAACCCCTGTCTAACTGAGGCCCTTAAATATTACTCTGTTCTACCTTTCACTGTATTATGTTGTCTCTCAATTTTTGATGTGAGTAGAAAGAAGTTTGGGACAAAGCAATCAGCAGGAGGCTGTCTAGGACTTCCAGGAGCATGTTAGAAGTACCAGCTGCTGGCTGGGCACAGTGGCTCATGCCTGTAATTTCAGCACTTTGGGAGGTCAATGCGGGCAGATCGCCTGAGCTCAGTAGTTTGAGACCAGCCTGGCCAACATGGTGAAATCCTGTCTCTACTAAAATACAAAATATTAGCTGGACGTGGTGGCTTGTGCCTGTAACCCCAGCTACTCGGGGGGCTGAGGTGGAAGAATTGCTGGAACCTGGGAGGCGGAGGTTGCAGTGAGCCGAGATTGTGCCACTGCACTCCAGTCTGGGTGACAGAGTGAGACTCCGTCTCAAAAACAAACAAACAGACAAAAAACCAAAATGAAAAACAAACAAACAAACAAACAAGTACCAGCTGCTATGGGATTTGGAAAATCAGGGTAATCAAACCCTCTCTTACTTACTGGTGAATTCTGGCCTCTACTAATGGATTTCACCCCTCTCAAGGGCTGTTGGGGACTCTCTGGTGTGGGAGTGAGTTGGAGATCCCTGGGTTGCTGTATTAAATCCAACAAGGGGGTGTTTCTCTGGACAGCTACTGTCAGGGGTCAAGAAGGAATGGAGGAAGGGTAGAAACCGCTGAGACAGAACAAAGCCTGTTATTAACAGATTCTCTCTTTTTTTCTGGTGAGGGTGATAGTTCCGTGAGCCTCCTATGCAGGCATGAATACAGTGGTGGGAAGCACAGAACTCTGGGCTCCTTAATTGAAAGGAGATGGAGGTGGGGGACAGGGCACAGATAGTTCCTTCCCAGAAGTTGCTGACTCTCTAACGAGGCATTTACGAGAAGCGAAATCTTCCTGCTTGTAGTTTTTCATGGGATGACTTCCGTGGCAAAGAAGTCACATATGGAGCAGCGGCCTCTGTTCATTGTGCAAAGGCCTCTGACCATCTGGACCACCCAGGGGCTAGAGTTTTCCTACGGAGGGCAGGATAAAGGAGAAGGGATTGACACCTCGGCCCCAAGGTAATTACCAGATGGCAAAGTGCTTGTTTTCACTGGATGATTCAGAGCAACCGAGTCACCCCGGGAAAGCCAATCTGATTTCGTCTTCAGAATCAAGCTTTTCCCCTTCTAAGATGTGTTCTTCTCTTTCCCTTTGACTGGCAGCAGTGAAGTCTGCCTCTTAGGAGCTGAGAGAGTGTTGTCTGGTTCAGAAACACCGACAGTATGGGTCAGCATTTGCTCCCTCCCTAGCGTGGCCAGGAATTCTGAGGTCCGGTGTGCCTGTACCCACTGAGGGAGAAGCGTTCCACGTGCGAGAAGTGAGTGAGGTGAGGCATGCAGGAGAGCTCAGCTTTGCCATGCACCAGCTGTGTGATTGAGGGCAAGTTATCCAGCTTCTCAGAACTTTACACAATGGCAATGAAAATTCCTCCTTATTGTCTTAAACGAAATATCATCTATGAAGTGCCTGCCCCATGGTGGACTCTCAAATAATGGATGTGAATTCCTCTTCCGTTAGAATGCTCCTCTGACCTTGTTGAGAACCCTCCAGGCATTTCGATGGGAAACTTCAAACATAAATCATATTAGAACACAGATATTCCTAAAAAGTAATGAACCTATTTATTAGTATATCAAAATAGGTGTGTCTGCACCCCTGCATGCAATAACCACCCTTTCTGTACTCCAGATCCCCACTCCTCTTCTGCCTCATAGTCTGCTGCTCTTTTGCTTACACCGCTGCCCTGCCAGCCTAAATTGGATTAAATGAGAAACTATATATGGCAATCCCTTGCTTATAGCAGGCTGCCAGTAAACACAAGTTCTTTTTGACTTTTCATATTCTTCCCTTAAAAGTTTTGTTTTGCTTAGTCTCAGAAACTCTGCCATTCCTGTTCCTTTATATACAAAGTAAGAAAACAAGGCTTGGATGGACCTAGGTATAGGGCAGTTTTATTGCAAAAAGCAGATGGACACTGGTTCATTCTCCTTCCTGCCCCCATGCACACACCAATTCCCAACAGCGGAGTTTTCAGACCAGCAGAGGGCACCAAAGCACAGGGGACTGGAGTCAAGGGTGTCCAGCACTTAATCTAGCTCTGTCTGTGGGATCCAGGTGGGCCCTGAAGCCAGCTGCCTTGGACACAAGCCTTTGCTAGTTTCCCTTTTGATACATAACCTGATGGGTAAATCATTCTGGGGGAAGAGTGGCAGACAAAGATAGAGAGAGGTGTGAATCCCGATTGTGTTAGTTTCCTGATCTGTAAATAGGAGACAGTAATAACTACCATTTATGGAGTGCTTATTATATGCTGAACACTGTTCTAAGCTCTTTATGTGGATAAATTCATTTAATGGTTGTGGAGATCTACAAAGCAGTCATTGTTATCCCAATTTGATAGATAAAGGAACTGAGACAGACGGATGCCTGACACTGGGATAATAATAGGGTTGTTGTGAGGATTAAAGACAAAGAGTGTAATTATTTGGGGAATTATATATTTGATAAAAAGGAGCTGTTACTTATATATCAATTATAGTTGTTTGAGAAATAGAATCTGTCATTGTAGAACTTGGTTTTAGAGTTCGTTGCTGTTTAATTGGGAACAGCCCACTTCTTGACCCTGACGTGCTCCTCATTAGAGACACAGGACATACTGCTCTGAATGTTTGAAGAGGACCTCACAGACACAGGTATTGTATTAAACAAAGGGTTGAATTTTTTTCCCCTTTTAGTCTCACTTTCTTGCTTTTTCTCTGTTTCTATCTGATATGGTTTGGCTCTGTGTCCCCACCCAATCTCTCCTCTTGAATTGTAACCCCCACGTGTTGAGGGGGGGACCTGGTGGGAGGTGATTGGATCATGGGAGTCTTTTCCCCCATGCTGTTCTCGTGATAGTGAGTGAGTTCTCATGAGATCTGATGGTTTAAACGTGTTTGGCAGCTTCCCCCTCGCTCACTCTCTCCTGACATCTTGTGAAGATGGTGCTTGCTTTTCCTTTGTCTTCTGCCATGATTGTAAGCTTCCTGAGGCCTCCCCAGCCATGTGGAACTGTGAGTCAATTAAACTTCTTTTCTTTATAAATTACCCAGTCTCAGGTAGTTCTTTATAGCAGTGCGATGGACTAATACACTATCCAAAGGCAGATGTGTGGAATCTAATGGAATGAGAGGCCATGCAGGGCTGTTGGGAGAAAGATATCGACACCTCCCCATTCTCCTTCCCTATGTCACTTGTGTTCATGGTACTCACTGAGCTTTGTCCTCAGGCTGGAGTGTGAGGCTCAGCCATGGCCTGGGAGCAGAGCTCAGTGACTGTGCTGTCCAGTGGATTGGGCCTGTCACCCTGGACTCCTCAAAACTGTGCTTGCTTATTCATTTGACAAACATTCATTCAAGCACATTCACTGTTATGCCAGACATGTTGGTAGTTGGAGATTAAATTATTGAAAGAATTTTTTTCTAGCATTAAAGAACTCACAGTTTTGTGGGAGAAAGGCATAGTGAGTAAGAAATAATTAGGGTGCTGGGAGTTGAACAAGGAGAACACATGGACACAGGGAGGGAAACATGACACACTGGGGCCTGTCGGGGGGGCAGGGGGCTAGGGGAGGGATAGCATTAGGAGAAATACCTAATGTAGATGACAGGTTGATGGGTGCAGCAAACCACCATGCCACGTGTATACCTATGTAACAAACCTGCATGTTCTGCACATGTGTCCCAGAACTTAAAGTATAATAGAGAAAAAGAAAAAAAAGAAATTAGGGTGTTAAGGAAATTAAGGAAATTAGGATGCTATTCTGACTGCAGTAACAATGAGCACATGAAGCCACTCTAGAGGTAGAAGTGGAGTAGCTAGAGAGGACTTCCTGCAGGAGGAGGTAATGCCTGAGCTGAGTCTCAGAACAACGAGTGGCAGCAAACTGATTTTAGCCAATTAATCTTGAAAACGGGTGGAGAAATAAGGTTAGTGGTATTGCCTAGGGTCCATCAAATGTTTCACTTATATTTAAAAATACATTTAAAAAATTTAAAGTGTATATTTTTATATTTTAAAAATATGACTTTAACACCATTAAAGAAAAAATGAAACTCCCATAATTCGACCTCTCTGATTTTAAACCTTTGATGCTGATGATGACGATGTTTTTGTGCACTGTCACCGGTTGTCATGCAACTTCATACAAATTTTACATAATTGTAAGCCGAGGGCTTACTGCATTTTGCACTCTTTTTTTTTTTTTCTCGAGATGGAGCCTTGCTTTGTCACCCAGGCTGGAGTGCAGTGGCGGGATCTCGGCTCACTGCAACCTCAGCCGCATGGGTTTAAGCAATTCTCCTGCCTTAGCCTCTGGAGTAGCTGGGATTACAGGTGTGAGCCACCACACCCGGCTAATTTTTGTATTTTTAGTAGAGAGGGGGTTTCACAATGTTGGCCAGGCTGGTCTCAAACTCCTGACCTCATGATCTGCCCACCTCGGCCTCCCAAAATGCTGGGATTACAGGCATGAACCAACGTGCCCAGCAGCACTTTTAAAATGTAATATTTTGACATGTTAAACACAGCATAGTGAGTAAGGTCATGGGCTCTAAATTAATCAGTTCTGGCAGAGTTTCTTGACTGTGCTGCTTATAAGCCTGTTGAACCTACGCACATTACATAGCTTCTCCATGCCTCAGTTTCCACACTTGTGAAATAGAGTTAATACTAACTACCTTACAGAGTCATACAAATGGAATGACTGAATATATGTAGAGCAGTGGCTTTCAACAGGGAGTGATATTGCCTTCTAGCGGACATTTAGCAATGTCAGGAGACAGCTTTGGTTGTCATAGCTGGGGGAAAGGTTCTATTGGTATCTAGTGGGCAGAGGCCAGGGATGCTACCAAACATTCCAAAATGCCCAGGGCGCCACAAAAAGAGAATTATCTGGCTGAAAAGGTCAGTCATGTCCAGGCTGAGAAATCCTGCCGTAGATTATGAGAACAGCGTCTGGCACACATGAAGCATCTGTTCAATTTCATTGTTATTTCCTAAAACTTCCAAAGTCTATGACCTGACACTCAAGGATAGGTATAAACAAAGCTGACCTTCCTACATTTCTCTCCTGCTTCTCCTTTACGCAAACCACAAACTGTAGCCAGACATATCCGTCTGCTTGCTGTCTCCTATGTCATGCCCATTCCTGAGTATGCGTCTCTGTCCCTCTACTGAGAGTTCCTCTCTCCTTAGCACAGCAATTGCCATACCTCCTTTCAGATCCAGCTTCTCTGTGGAAGCCCCCACGTGATTACTCATGCCTGGAAACCCTTTGTACAAAACACTCCAATGACAGTTACATACATCTCCCTCTGCATGCAGGTTTTGTTCCCCTATGAAATCCTGGGCCACCCCAAAGGAATTTTCTCAGGGCCAGGCACTGTGCTAGTCCCTGAGTACAAACATTTAACAAGTTGCTGTCCTATCTGCTAGGCATGCACCGTGTGGCTTACTTAATCTAGTATACAGTAGGAGCTCATTAAACACATGAAGGAGGTCATGAGGCCTAATGGAATGAAATTTGGAGTCTGGCACACTGGGAAGGGTTAAATCTAAACTCTGATCTTACTAGCTGTGTGACCCATTCAAATGACTCATCATCACAGACTCACCTTTACAGTGGGTGTGATATGAAGTCTGTCCAGGGGAGTTGACTGAATACTTAGCCACTGCATAAAAAATGTTAGTTCTTTTCCACCACTGTTTACTCATTCGTTTTACAACTGCTCAACTTTGTTCTGGTCCAGCAGGACTCTCTTGTACAAGCCCCAACAGCTCCATGCCCATCCCTGCCCAGGGTCCAGCCTTGTCTTAGTAAACATTCATCTCCCTGACTCAGGCTGCTGCTTAGAAATTCTGTTTCGGTTGCAGTTCCATTGTGTGGAGCCAGTACTACAACTTGTAAGTAGAATTCCAGGAAAGGCAAAGCCCTCGAGATATCTCTACTTGGCTGAATCTGTGCTCTGTAACCCTTCTCTTCTCTGCATCCAAAGCACATTCTAATTCTGCTGAGGAGATTCCTTCCGGGTTGTTTCCATGCTGCTGGGGGTACCAAGAGCAGCCCCAATTCTTAATGTATAGTACAGATGACATGTGTTTTGACTTACAGCATGTATTGTCTGCTTTGCCGAGTCAAAAAATATGTAAAAGTTTTTGGTTAAGCTATTCACGACATTGCATTTGGAGGGCATGGAGCTCAGTGTGAGATGACCAAAAGACACAGTGTGGTGACAAGCCGGAGGTCATGATGCTTTTTATTTCTGATTGTGGTGTGGATGGGTATGGGGTGGCTCCACCCAAGTCACTTACTCTCTCTGGGCCTTCAGATGCAGCTTAGTATAGAGGGTGGAATTAGGCTAACCAGTATCTGCTGTGTGGCTTTGGACACGTTAATTAGTCTCTTTGAGTCTCAGTTGTGAAATGGAGATAGCAACAACGTATAACAACAGAACCCTTGTGGGAATTAATAAAGATAAGATTCAGAATTCTTAACACAGCATAGCAGACACTGTGGGTGTCCCTCCACCCCTCATCCCATTGTCCGTACACTGACAGTTATCTGTGTATTTCTCCTGTGGCGGGAAGGGGGGGCCTTGCCTTGGGAGGGTGCTCAGTGTATGTGTATGGCAGGCTGCAAAGCTGGGTGATACGGTTTGGCTGTGTCCCCACCCAAAATCCCCATAATCCCCAGGCATCAAGGGAGAGACCAGGTGGAGGTAATTGAATCATGGGGACCAGTTTCCCCCATGCTGTTCTCGTGATACTGAGTGAATTCTCATTGCAGCTGATGGTTTTTTGTTTGGTAGTTCCTCCTGCATTCATTTCTCTTCCTGCTGCCTTGTGAAGAAGGTGCCTTGCTTCCCCTTCACCTTCTACGGTGATTGCAAGTTGCCTGAGGATTCCCCAGCCATGTGAAACTGTGAGTCAATTAAACTTCTTTTCTTTATAATTACCTAGTCTTGGGCAGTTCTTCACTTCAGTATGAGAGCAGACTAATAACTGGAAGTGCCAAGGATTTAATGTACCATGAGTTACCCCAACTAACATGGGGAGGGAGTTGGGGCAGCCTCCTCCCTGCTCAGTGGGGAACCCTGAGATGTGCTCCATGCAGTATCTCAGAGACACGCAGTGGGAATGAGCTCCAGTTGCCCACAGTGGTAGCTCCTCATCGATGTGCTCTTATTGGTTTGCCTCTATTCCCTGTCTTACTCTCCCTTAAAATGCTCCCTGTGATCACATCCCAAATAAACTCTGTAACCAAATCCTTATCTCAGGCTATGCTTTTGGGAGGCCTCTGACTCATGCCTGCTGTTGGTAGTGAAATGTGAAAGCACCTTGAAAATGATAACACACTCTCCACACACATTCATTCCATCTCTACAGACCTGTATGCTACTGTTATTATTCAGCCAGCATCACCTACAGATAAATTTCTAAGTACCCTGCAACCAACTGGTTACAGCTGGTGATATAATTGTAGCATGGGTCTCTTTTTGAGGCCTGAATTGGGCATGCATGGGCATTGCAGGTGTGGAGGTTTTGGCTGAGTTCTAAGTGTGGTTTAGATACATTATTATTTAGATATTTTTGATCAAAAATCCTTTTATGATGGTGTATACATAAATTTGGTTTTGTTATGTGTGTGTATTGGGGGGTAATTGGTCACAAATTATTTTAAGAGACTGGGAAAGATGAGAGTGGGAACAGCGTTATCCATGTGGAAGATGGCTGATTAAAGATGCCGTAAATGGTTGGGCACGGTGGCTCACGCCTGTAATCCCAGCACTTTGGGAGGCCAAGGTGGGCAGATCACAAGGTCAAGAGATCGAGACCATCCTGGCCAACATGGTGAAACCCCATCTCTACTAAAAATACAAAAATTAACTGAGTGTGGTGGTGCATGCCTGTAGTCCCAGCTACTTGGGAGGCTGAGGCAGGACAATTGCTTGAACCCGGGAGGCGGAGGTTGCAGTGCGCCAAGATGGCGCCACTGCACTCCAGCCTGGTAACAGAGCAAGACTCTGTCTCAAAAAAAAAAAAAAAAAAAAAAGCCACAATTTTCTCTCCCATTGAGAGGTGAGGTCTAATTGCCCTCCCCTTGGGTTTGTGCTGGTGTTGCTTACTTGCATTCAGTAGGATGTGCAGAGTGGTCCTGTGTGACTTCAGAGGCTTGGCTAGGAGGAAGCCTGCAGCTTCCTAACAAGTCTATTGGAACCCTTGCTCTTGGACACGCTTCTTGGACTTCCTCTCTCAGAATCCAGCTTCCATGCTGAGAGAACCCCAGTCCCCATGGAGAGGCCATGTGGGGATGCTCTGAGTGACAGTCCTGGCTGAGCTCTCAGCCTACTGCCAGCATCAACTGCCAGCCTTATGAGTGAGTTATTTTGGACATCAGCCCTATTGAGCCTTCAGACAACTTCAGCCCCAGTCAAAATCCAGCTGCAATATAGGAGAGATCCCCAGCCAGAACCCCAAGCTAAGCTCTTCCTGAATTGTGGACTCACAAAATCATGAACGTGATAATAGCATTGCTTTGAGTCTCTAGTTTTGGGGTAACTTGTTCTGCACTGGTAGCTAACTAGAAGAGGAAGGAAGAGATGTGTAGAGCAGAGTTGGAGTCATACCATAGAAACATATAATTTATTTAAAGTATGCACATTTGGTTGTGTATGTGTTTGCGGGGTGCAGAGAGAGAGAGAGAGAGAGAGAGAGAGCACTTGACTGAGCAACTTAAGTTGTGTGGACAGTTCCACTCCTCATTCTATTAGTGGAAATTTTCCCAGAGTGAAGGTCACATGGATGATGTGAATCTTCTTTTTGGTGAGTTGGTCTCAGTTATTACATGTCTCCCCCCTTGCCACACTGGACATGATTCTGGCACTCAAAATTAAATATTTTCACATGTAGTGCCCCCTAAAAGCAGGCTGGCTTTTTTATCTGGTCCTTGACCATGGAAGTTCTTTTTTATTATTATTATTATACTTCAAGTTCTAGGGTACATGTGCACAACGTGCAGGTTTGATACACAGTTATACATGTGTCATGTTGGTTTGCTGCACCCATTAACTCGTCATTTACATTAGGTATTTCTCCTAATGCTATCCCTCCGCCAGCCCCCCAGCCCCCAACAGGCCCCGGTGTGTGATGTTCCCCACCCTGTGTCCAAGTGATTTCGTTGTTCAATTCCCATCTATGAGTGAGAACATGTGGTGTTTGATTTTCTGTCCTTGTGATAGTTTGCTGAGAATGATGGCTTCCAGCTTCATCCATGTCCCTACAAAGGACATGAACTCATCCTTTTTTATGGCTGTATAGTATTCCAGACCATGGAAGTTTTAATCTGCTATTAAATGAAAAAAAATATGATGGTGTTGGGCTTTTTGGGAGATGGTTTGCTAATCTTTAGTATGCTGCTTTCCAAAGAGAAGTTCAATATGAAATATTAGGCTTATGATCTGAATTCAGAATGCAGCCCTAGGATAAAATGGGCAGAATGGATTATATTTCTTTGTATTCACCAAAGTACCTAAATAATGTCTTTATAGAGTAGATGTTTGATAAATATTGGTTGGTAACATTTGTTAGGTCCTAGAAAGAGCCCTTTAAGCAGATTCACAGTGACAGTGTTGATTGATTGCCACAATCCACCATTGTTAATTTGCAATAGGGACTTTGAAGGCTTCTCCATTTGAATACCTTTCATTTGAACTGGAATTTTTCTGTATTAGATAAAACTTTGACCACTGCCAAGAACGTCTGCCAAAGATGGGGTAGTAGTATGAAGGGGTAGAATTGTGTAGAAACCAACTGCAATACTTACTGGAATCTTCTAAGAAAGGATATAGGATGCAGACATCACCTTTACTGTTATGGAGTTAACAGGTTAGTTAAGAAGGCAGATGGAGAACAGTATTGACAAACGTGATGAGTCTTATCCAAAGTGTTGCTATGGGAGCATTGAGGAACAGATTTAACTTTATCTAGGAGGTAAAGGAAAGTTGCTCTAAAAAATGACTCTGAAGGGTGAGAAGATGTTAGCTAGGTGAGGAGAAACAGGGAAATGTTATTTTAGGCAGAAAAACGCACATGTGTAGTCTATAGCAAGGGATGGCAAACATTTTCTGCCTAAGGTCAGGCAGGTAATATTTTAGCCTTTGTGGGTCCTGTGGTCTGTCATAACTACTCTGCTATTGTAGCATGAAAACAGCTTGAGGCAACATGAAAATGAATGGGTATGGCTGTGTTTCAATGAAACTTTATTTGCAAAAACAAGTGGTGGGCCAGATTTGGCTCAAGAGTCATAGTTAATCAACTCCTGCTATAACCCCGTGAAGCAAGTAACATCACTTCCATTTTATAGATGAGGAAATGGAGGCCTAATAGCACAGCACCGGTAAGCAGCAGAGCTGAAATTGGAATTATAATGAAAGTCCAGTTCATTATAATTCCAAACCTGTGCTCTTTCATCATAGTATGCACCTCCTTTCTAAAATATCTTTTCAAAGTTTCTATCAGAACAGCAGAGCCATATAACTGTCAATCACAAAAATGCCCAGTACATTTTACTACCCTGCCAACAACAGTGGCTGGAAGGAATGGCTAAATGGTGGGTGTTAAGTACTCCTCAGGCTCTATACAGACTATTCCATGTGTATTTATCTTGCAATATGTATTATTTTCATTCTTTGGTAATGTTTTATCTCTTTTGTGATTTGCTATGCTATCGATGAATCACACAATCCAGCCATCATTTCAAGAGTTCCGAGAATCAAGTGTTTCCTCTGGCACAGCACTTCATCTGTTATTAATACTAATATGAAAACGCTTTAGGAAGTTTTAATGTTTGCAGACATCTTGTTTCTTTGTTGGATGTCTGGGAAAGATCAGAATGTGCAGTGCTAGCATTATTGGAGTCCTTTGTTCTACATTAATAGTCTACTTTGACGTTCTCTAAGGTAGGCATGTTATGTCGTATGGCCCAGGTTACTTGGTTTATAGCATTTTAAAATGGATTTGTATTTATCTTTAGACAGTTCTTCTAAGGATTCCCTGGCCATTTGGATATTAAGTGATAAATATTTCAACATGCATCTTGGGGTTGAGCAAATGGGTAGTGTCTAGATTGCAGTCGACATGCATCTTGGGGTTGAGCGAATGGGTAGTGTCTAGATTGCAGTCGACATGCATCTTGGGGTTGAGCGAATGGGTAGTGTCTAGATAGCAGTCAACATGCGTCTTGGGGTTGAGCGAATGGGTAGTGTCTAGACGGCCGTCATTGCGGCAGTGCTTGGGCTTCCTGCTAGTTGGAGCGTGGAACGAGTAACCACAATTACCACTTCAGCTTCAAAATCCTGGGGCCAGGATGGTGGTGCATTCAACCTCAGAATATCTGTCAACTCTGTGCAGTTTTGCGGTGATCTAGGCACTTTCTTCTCTGTCTCTCTGAGCTCATTTTTTCATTCACCAAGTATTTGTTAAGTCTGTATACATCTGGCATTGTGCGAGATATTGGGCAAGAACAGACAGCTGCTTGTTCTTATGGAGCTTACGTTATAGTAGAGGAAACAGATATCAGAGAATTACATTGATGAATGCATATTTGTAAACTCAGTTTTTCATATTTGTAAACTGAGTATTTCAGTTTTTCTGAAATAAAGAAATACAGTACTGGAAAGCAGCCTGTCTCAGACTGGGTGGTCAGGGAAGATTCCCTGAGAGAATGCTTAGGCTGGAATTGAAGAGATAAATAAGGGGTAAAAACTAGCTGAAGGTGCTACCTTCCAGATATTCCAGAAAGAGGGACGAGCATGAGCAAAGATGGCAACAAATTGAAAGAAGGCCAGTGGGCTCCAAGCATGCCTCCCTCCTCCCAGAGTGAGTTACCCTTCTCTAAGAATCACTGGAAATCCTGTCTCTGTTCCTGCTATTGGATGCCTGGCGAGGATCCTGTAAAACTAGGTGAGGATTTTCTTTCCCAGTTCATCCACTCAGCACTTGTTCACACTCCCAGACTAGATGATAATACCCATGAGAAGACTGTGTGAAACACTCTTCACCTGGCAGGGGCCTGGGACTTAGAGCTTCAGCTGATGAAGAATTTCCTAGGATCTTGGGTTGGACTGCAGGATGTGGTGCCCTCAGCTAATTTTGAGGTGGCCTCCGACAGACTGTTCAAATGAATCTTCAGTTCAGAGGGGCTGGGAAGAAACTGAGGAACATGGACATACCTCACTTTATTGTGCTCCACTTGTGGCACCTCACAGATAATTGCGTTTTTAAAAATAAGTTGGAAGTTTGTGGCAACCCTATGTCCAGCAAGTCTATTGGCACTATTCTTCTGCCAGCATGTGCCATGTGCTGACTTCATGTCTCTGTCACATTTTGGTAATTCTTGAAATATTTCTAACTTTCTCATTATTATTATATCTATGATCAGGGATCTTTGATGTTACTATTATAATTGTTTGGGGGCACCACGAACAGTGCCTATTTAAGATGACAAGCTTAATACATAAATGTGTGTGTTCTGACTGCTCCACTGACTGGCTTTTCCCCTTTCTCTCTTCCTCTCTTCAGGCATCTCTATTTCCTGAGACCCAGGGATATTTAAATTAGGCCAATTAATAATTTTACAGTGGCCTCTAAATGTTCAGTGGACAGGAGAGTGACACATCTCTCACTTTAAATCACAAGCTAGAAATGACTAAACTTAGTAAGGAAGGCATGTCGAAAGCCAAGATAGGCAGAAAAGAATGCCTCTTGTGCCAAACAGGCTAGTTGTGAGTGCAAAGAAAAAATTCTTGAAGAAATTAAAAGTGCTACTCCAGAGAACACAAAAATGGCAAGAAAGCAAAACAGCCTAATTGCTGATATGGAGAAAGTTTTAGTGATCTACGCAGAAGATCAAACCAGCCACATCCTTCCCTTATGCCAAAGCCTAATCCAGAGCAAGGCCCTAACTCTCTTCAAATCTATGAAGGCTGAGAGAGGTGAAGAAGCTGCAGAAGACAAATGTGAAGCTAGCAGATATTTATTTATAAAGTTTAAGGAAAGAAACTGACTCTATAACACAGTGCAAGGTGAAGCAGCAAGTACAGCAAGAAGCTGCAGCAAGTTATCCGCAAGACCCTGCTAAGATCATTGATGAAGGTGGCTACACTAAGAAACAGGTTTTCAATGTAGACAGAACAGTCTTATGTTGGAGGAAGATGTCATCTAGGACTTTCAGAGCTAGAGAAGAGAAGTCAATTCCTGGCTTCAAAGCTTCAAAGACAGGCTGATTCTCTTGTCAGGGGCTAAGGCATCTAGTGACTTTAAGTTAAAACCAATACTCATTTACCATTCCAAAAATTCCAGGGCCCTTAAGAATTAGTCTAAATCTACTCTGCCTGTCCTTTATAAATGGAACAACAAAGCCTGGATAAAAACACATCTGTTTACATCATAGTTTGATGTATATTTTAAACCTGCTGTTGAGACCCATTGCATAGAAAAAAAAAAAGTGATTCCTGGCTGGGTATGGGGGCTCACGCCTGTAATCCCAGCATTTTGGGAGGCTGAGGTGGGCAGATCACTTGAGGTCAGGAGTTCAAGACCAGCCTAGCCAATATGGCAAAATTCCATCTCTACTAAAAATACAAAAATTAGCTGGGTAATTCTAGCTACTTGGGAGGCTGAGGCATGAGAATCGCTTGAACTCAGGAGGTAAAGGTTGCAGTGAGCTGAGATCATGCCACTGCACTCCAGCCTGGGTAATGGAGTGAGACTCTGTCTCAAAAAGAAAAAAGAAAAAATATTCCTTTCAAAATATTACTCCTTGACAATGCACCTGGTCATCCAAGAGCTCTGATGAAGATATATGTAAAGATTAATGTTGTTTTCATGCTCTCCAGCAAAACATTGATTCTGCAGCCCACAGATTAAGGAGTAATTGACTTTCAAGTCTTACTATTTAAGAAATGCATTTCATAAGGCTATAGTTGCCATAGATAGTGAATCCTCTTTTGGATCTGGGCAAAGTCCATTAAGAATCTTCTGAAAAGAATTCACCAGTCTAGATGCTGCTAAGAACATTCATGATTCATGGGAGGTGATCAAAAATATCAATGTTAGTGAGTTTGGAAGAAGTTGATTCCAACTCTCATGGATGACTTTGAGGGGCTGAAAACTTTACTGGAGAAAGTAACTGCAGACGTGGTAGAATTATTGAGAGAACTAGAATTAGAAGTGGAGCCTGAAGAAGTGACGGTTTGCTACAACCTTATGATAAAACTTGCACGAATGAGGAGTTAGTTCTTATGGATGAGCAAAGAAAGTGGTTTCCTGAGATAGAAACTACTCTTGGTGAAGATGATGTAAACATTGTTGAAATGACAACAAAGGATTTAGAATATTCCATAAACTTTATTGATAAGACAGTGGCAGAGTTTGAGAGGATTGACTCCAATTTTGAAAGATCTAATGTGGGTAAAATATTATCAAACAGCATTGCATGCTACAGAGAAATTTTTCATGAAAGGAAGAGTCAATCAATGTGGCAAACTTCATCGTTGTCTTATTGAAATTGCCACAACTACCCCAGCCTTCAGCAACCAGCACCCTGATCAGTCAGGAGCCATCAGCATTGAGGCAATAACCAACAGAAAGATTATGACTCACTGAAGGCTCAGATGATCATTAGCATTTTTTAAGCAATAAAGTATTTTACAATTAAGATCTGTATTTTTTTTTTGACATAATTCTATTGAATACTTAATAGAATTCTTAGGGGTACAAGTGGTTTCTGGTTACATGGATAAATTCTATAGTGGTGAAGTCTGGGCTTTCATTTTACCCATCATCTGAATAGTCCACATGGTATCCAATGGATAATTTTTCATCCCTCACCCCCTCCCTCCTTCCTTTCTTCTGCATCTCCAGTGTCCACTATACCACTGTATGCCTTTTTGTGCCCATAGCCAGCTCTCGCTTATGAGACCATGTGATATTTGGTTTTCTATTCTTGAGTTACTTCACTTAGAATAATGGTCTCCAATTCCATCCAAGTTGCTGCAAAAGACATTATTTCATTCCTTTTTATGGCTGAGTAGTAGTCTATGGTATATTTAAACCAAATTTTCTTAATTTTTCAATTTTTATTTTTAGATCCAGGGGGTACATGTGCGGGTTTGTTACTTGGGTGTGTGTGTGTGTGTGTATGTATGCATATATATATTTCCCCCCTTATCTTAACTATGAATACCTGAGTATATTACATGATGCTGAGGTTTGGGGTATAAATGATCCTGCCACCCAGGTAGTGAACATCGTGCCCAACAGTTTTTTGACCCTTATTTCCCTCCCTGTCTCCTTCCCCCCAAGTAGTCTCCAGTGTCTCTTGTTGCCATCTTTATGTCCATGAATATACAATATTTAGGTTCTATTTATAAGTGAGGTGAGGCAGTATTTGGTTCTCTATTCCTGTGTTAATTCACTCAAAACAATGGGATCCAGTTGGATCCATGTTGCTGTAAAGGATATGATTTCATTTTATTTTTTTCTTTTTGAGACAGGGTCTCATTCTGTCACCCAGGCTAGGGTGCAGTGGTGCAATCTCAGCTCACAGCAACCTCCACCTCCCAGGCTTAACCAATCCTCCCAAGTAGCTAGGACTACAGGTGTGTGCCACCATGCCCAGCTAATTTTCATGTTATTATTTTTTTGGTAGAGATGGGGTTTTGCCATGTTACCCAGGCTGGTCTCAAACTCCTGGGCTCAAGCAATCTGCCCACTTCAGATTTTATTCGTTTTTATGGCTTTGTGGTATTCCACGGTGAATATGTACCATATTTTCTTTATCTAACCTACTGTTGATGGGCACCTAGGTTGAATCCGTGTCTTTGCTATTGTGAACAGTGCAGCAATGAACATGTGAGTGCATGTATCTTTTGGTAGAATGATTTGTTTTCTCTTGGGTACTTACCCAGTAATGGGATTGCTGGGTTGAATGGTAGTTTTTAAACATGGTACGTGTCCACCAAATTTTCTTAATTAACTTTTACATGCATTGGAAAACAAAAAAGTTCATGTGACTCGCTTTATTGTGATATCTACTTTATTGCAGTGGTCTGGAACCAAATCTGCAATATCTCAGAGATATGGGGTCCCCAACCTCCAGGCCTTGGACCAGTACTGGTCCATGGCCTGTTAGGAATCGGACTGCACAGCAGGAGGTGAGTCGTGGGTGAGCATTACTGCCTAAGTTCTGCCTCCTGTCAGATCAGCGGTGCCATTATATTCTCGCAGGGGTGCGAACCCTATTGTGAACTGTGCATGTGAGGGATTTAGGTTGCGTGCTCCTTACAAGAATCTAATACCTGATGATCTGAGATGGAACAGTTTCATCCTGAACCACTGCCCCCACAAAGTCCGCAGAAAAATTTTCTTCCACAAAACTGGTCCCTGGTGCCAAAAACGTTGGGGACTGCTGCCTTAGTACACAGTTTTAAGGCAAAGGATGGGAGATCAGGACTGGCAAAAAAAAAAAAAAAAAGCCAGAGAGGTGGATGTGTGTATATTTTAGAGGGTGTCTTTGGCCCCTGGTAGGGGTTGGAAGAGGCAGGGAGATGCAAAAATCAAGTGTGAAGGCTTAGCTTGAATTGTAATTGGATTCTTCTTGGAAGAAAACATGACTTCAGTAATCAGGCAGGGCACGGTGGCTCACGCCTGTAACCCCAGCACTTTGGGAGGCCGAGGCAGGTGGATCACGAGGTCAGGAGATCGAGACCATCCTGGCTAACATGGTGAAACCCCATCTCTACTAAAAATACAAAAAATTAGCCAGGCGTGGTGGCGGGCACCTGTAGTCCCAGCTACTCAGGAGGCTGAGGCAGGAGAATGGCGTGAACCTGGGAGGCAGAGCTTGCAGTGAGCTGAGATCGCGCCACTGCACTCCAGCCTGGGCAACAGAGCGAGATTCCATCTCAAAACAAACAAACAAAACAAAAACAAGAAAAAAACCATGATTTCAGTAATCAAACTCTTCTTTTTATTTCTTGGCTCTAGGCAGCAAAGCTTATCAGTAAACCATTTCTACTAAGGGTTCCAGCTCCACAATTCAGTTTATAAGGCCCCACCAACAGTCCCCTTCCTGATGATAACCTGAAGATACTCTCTTGTGCTATGATTCCATAATAGGATACCTGTAGCAGCCCCTTCTTTTTCACTTATATCTCCAAGCTGTCAGTCATGTTCGAATTTGGATTCTTTCTTTTCTCTTTCTTTCCCATCTGAGTTACTGGCTTTGAAAAATTGTCTGAGTTCTGCTGCTCTCCTCTTTCAGGCGGGCTTTTCAACTCAATGATCTAAAGAATACACATAAACAAATCTTGCCCAGTTCCTGGAACATCATCTGTGTTCAGCATAAACCAGTTTGCTGTTTTCCTAGAGTTGGGTTGACTCTACTCTGATTCCCTGTGTTTAGCCTGTGCACCTGCCCACCATCATTTTTCCTATCCCGCTCATCCTTGAGTTAACTCTCTGCTAGGCTAATGGTCCACTCCATGAAGGCTACATTAACATTAAAGTAGAGATATTTATGCTGCTTGCGAGAAGAAGCTTAGCAATCATGCCTCTCAGCCTTCTTTATTTAGAGATACGGAAACTGAAGCTTAAAGAGGATAAGGGATTTGTCCAAGGTTTCACAGTTGGTGAGAGGCAGAGCTAAGCTGAACATTTCTACCTCTTGTGTGCTTCCCTTTCATAGGTGACTTTGTCATATCAGTTTTATTGATTGTATTTTGCCTCGGTGGGTCAAGATGGGTTTTCTCTCTCTACTGCTATCCCAGTTGCACATGGGAGCTGATTTTATTGCCCATCCTCTCTCTTCTCTCATTTATTTCCCCTTCCTTCTTCTTTGTCCCCTTATCCTCCTCCTTTTCTTTTGTACAAGCTTTTATTGCACGTGAATTTACAAGAAACCATGCTTGCCACTGTGGAGATGGATAAGAACAAAATAAGATCTCTGCTTTCAAGGGGCCTGAAGACCATCTGAGGAAAATAGCAAAAACAACAACATTAAAAAAAACCCAAAAGGGTAATAGCTGCTAATATTATTGAACACTTTGTGGGTCAGTAGTTACTGTGTTAAGGGCTTAGGTACATGAACTCACTTAAACTGGACCACGATCCTGTAAGCATTATTTCCCTATTTTACAGATGAGGAATTTGAGACAAAGAGTTCCCTCTCCTTGTTTCTCAAGGTCAAGGTCACACAGAAGGGAAGTGGGGGCACACAGATCTGTACATGAGGCTGAGGGAAGGAAGGGTAGAGTCTACATCCCGAGGTCACTTTGGCACATTGACAGTGGACTCCCCCATCTCCAAGCAGTTGCAACCTTGGATTAAAAATAATAAAATAGAAAACGAAGAAAAATGAAACTCTAGAGCGACTCAGTAGGGCTTGAGAAGAGCCCTGCTCTGCAGTAGCCTTTTGGAGAGACCTTAAAGTGATTTTCTGCAGGGTAGGATTTGGAGATTGTAGCCATGACAATGTCTGCTTGTTGTTTTGGATGAATCTGAACAGCGTTAATCAGCCTAAGGAATCTGAACCTCTGGGTTGTTGGCAGGTCTATGTGAGGTGTACAGAGGCCTTCCCAAGGCAGGGACCACCATCTCTGTGATCTGGATCGCTCCTCAGGACAGAGTCCCTCCTGGAGCCTTGATCTCCTCCAGCAGGTCCCATGGCCATCATGCGAATATAGCCCACTGCCACTTTTCAGGATTTCTTTCAGCTTCTCGTGACCCTCTCCCAGGACACGCACGCACTATGTGACTGACCATCTGGTACAGATCTATAGACCTTCCTCTGTGGTTTTTCTCCAGCTCTTCCCCATCCAGACCATTCTGCGAAGCTTGCTTTGGAAATGGAAGACATACAGCATCTTTTTCCAATAGAATAAGGCTGTCTATACATGAGCCAAAAAATATACATCTTGGGGCTTTGTAGGATTAAATATGTTTTGGCAAATACTGTAAATACAAAGGGAGATTGGAAGAAAGGCAGCCGAACAGGCTTTTAGGTTTCACTTATGTTCCCTTCCTGCAGAATGAATGATCATTTCAAGATGCATCATTTTGTTCAGCTCATCTTTAAGGAAACAAAGGTCACTATTATTCATAAACAACCGGAATGGGAAACAACCATTACAATCAAACCACACAAACGCATATTGGGAAGAGCCTTTTCTTTCTTCCTTCCTTTTCTTTGCTTTCTGTGTTCAGAGGCCATAATGACGACTGTTCCTGGTCTTCATTCATTATATACAAATGGGTTTAGCACATTTTGGCATCTGTACCCTGTTTACAACAAAATGTTCCTGTCCTGTCCTTTAATGCTGCTGTGTGGTTTCTGTAGGGCTGCCTTCCAGTGATAAAAACAGGAGGGATAATGGGGGGGTGAGATGTGTTGGGAGTGGAGGGAGGGGGTTGTTTTCTTTTCTGGGATGGTGGGTCTCCTTGGGCAATTCATCATTCTCTCCAAGTTCACACTGCAAGGTTAAAGAAGCTGGGGCCAGGTGCGGTGGCTCACACCTGTAATCCCAGCACTTTGGGAGGCCAAGGCGGGTGGCTCACGAGGTCAGGAGATCAAGACCATCCTGCCTAACATGGTGAAACCCCATCTGTACTAAAAATACAAAAAATTAGCCGGGCATGGTGGCGGGCACCTGTAGTCCCAGCTACTTGGGAGGCTGAGGCAGGAGAATTGCTTGAACCTGGGAGGTGGAGGTTGCAGTGAGCTAAGATCGCCCCACTGCACTCCAGCCTGGCAATAGAGCGAGACTCCATCTCAAAAACAAACAAACAAAAAACAATTTTTTAATACTCCTTTTTCTACTTGTTCTGCATCTCTCTTTTCCCCTTCATCATCAAAGTTGTTAAAATAGTTCTCTAACTTGCTTTCTGTATTTTCCCAGTTCTCGGTCCTTCTGTAGCCACTCCAATCTGCCGGTACCCCTAAATGTCAACCCTCGCTGGTCTTCCCAAGGTCTGTAGCCCAGGGGTTTTCCTTTGAGTCTTAACCTTATGGGACTAATTAGCCCTATCAGATGCTGCTGCCCACACCTTCCTTTGGAAATGTTCTTTTCCTCTGCCACCTGTGTTATATGCCACCTCTGGATTCTTACCACCTTTTTGGTAAAGGCACGGTATCATTGGCGGGCCCATTTTACTCAACTTATACCTCAAAGACTGCTATGTTTTCAGGCTCTGTATTTGGCCCTCTTCTGTGTGTAGACACTCACCTTGGTTGAACTAATCTTCTCTCATGGCTGTAGTTGCCAGCTGTATGTTGACAATTCACATAACCCTGCTTTTGTTTCTCTGCTAAGATTCAAACTTATATGCCTAAGTTTTTTCCAAAATAATTGGTTGTCTCATGAGAAATTCCAATTCAAAATATCCAAAATGATACTCATCTCCCACCCATATATTCTACTATATATGCTAAAGGTTTCCCATGCTACCTTTAGCAATAAATGCCACTGCCATTTTTCAGTTTTCCCAAGCAGAAATCTGAATCAATCTTTTGCTTCCACTTTTCCACATATGTGATTCCATCAGGTCCTATTGATTTTACTTCTGATTATATCTAAAACAGGGACACTTCTCCCCATCTTTACAGCTACTATTCCGGGTGAGGCCATTATTATCTTTCTACTGCATTGGGACACTTCCTAATAGGTGTCCCCACCTCTTACATTGAAACAGTGGAGATCCTTCTAGAACAGGGGTCCCTAACCCCTGGTACCAGTCCGTGGCCTGTTAGGGACTGGGCTGCACAGCAGGAGGTGAGTGGTGTAAAAGTAAGCATTACCGTCTGAGCTCTGCCTCCTGTCAGATCAGCAGTGGCATTAGATTCTCATAAGAGCACGGGCCCTATTGTGAACTGTGCATGCCAGAGATCTAGGTTGTGCACTCCTTATGAAAATCTAATGACTGATGATCTGAGGTGGAACAGTTTCATCCCCAAACCATTCCCCCTCAACCCCTCCTTCCCCCACCCTGGTCCATAGGAAAAAATGTCTTCCACAAAACTGGTCCCTGGTGTCAAAAAGGTTGGGGACTACTGTTCTAGAATATAAATTTGATAATGTTACGTACGGTATACAGCTCAAACTTCTTTACATGACTTACAAGGCTCTTTATAACCTGGTTCCTTTTTATTTTTCCAGTTTTATTCCCAATCACTTCTGACTTTAACTCTACTACCAAATAATACCAAACATCTTTAATTCCCTTACATGGGTTTCTGACTTCACTTCCAACATTCTGAGCATGCTCATCCTGGGAATATTTTCCTTCCTCTCCTATCCACAGGAGATAGGAACAACCCCTATCCATTAGGCCTCCTATCCTATGGGACTAATTCCTAACCATTCTTCAGTGTTACACTTGGATGACTCTGCTTAACTCTGGGAAGACCAACCCGTCCTCTCCAGGGTGGGCTAAGCACCTCCCTTCTTGTCTTGTATGGTATTTTCCTGCAGCGATTGGCGCCCAATTTGTCCTCACTTGCCAGCATCCATGCCCTTAGGTAGCATTCTCTCACATTGACTCTGGACTTGGCTATTTGACTTGCTAGGGCCAATGAGAAATAGATAATGTCATGCAAGTAGAGACTTGAAAAGTGCTTGCACATTGGAGTTTGTCCTCTCTTGCTGACGGCCACACCCACTATGTGAGTAAGCCCAGACCAGATTATTGCACAATGTGAGAAATACGGCTCAGTGGCCCTTGCAATCCTAGTGGACAACTGGTAAGCCAGACATGTGAGAGCCATCTGGGACCATGTTTTTTCTGTCTGGGACATTCTTTCTCCCATATTTCTTGTAAAATGATACTCATCCCTCAGGAGTCAGCCTAAATGTCACTTTTTTGAAGAGACTTTGCCTGATGCACCATCTAAATCAGGCCCACTAGCCTAAGCTCTCATCAAACCCTTTACATTTTTTTCATAGCCATTTGCATACTGCCACTTGCATCTAATGTATTTAATTGTGTCATTATTGCTTTAACCAACAGTAAACTCCACAAAAGCAGCAAACAGATCCACATCCCAAATATCTATAGGCTCTTAGATATCTGTTGAATGAATAAATGAATGAGTAGCTAGTGTCCAGGGTGAGAGGCTTTGCGGTTGGAAGGGAGGTCAGTTGGAGAGACCATGAGCAACCTTGTGTTTTAGGCTGCAGTGCAGTTAACCTGTAGTGTATGTTTCTCATTACTCTCCTGTACATTTCTTGACTTTTATGACCATAGGTCACACCTAAGGTCACCAATTCTAGTTTTCATGATCTCCAGGACTCAGGATCTTCCCATCTACTTTAATAACCTGTGTTTCTGGCCCTTGAGTATAATTAAGAGTCACAACATTCAACCCTTTTTCATCTGAGAGATAGGAAGCCAGCCTTGTGTGGCAGTAAAGAGTGAGGGCAAAGGAATCAAAAGGCAAGAGATAGGTTCCCATCTCTGACACTGATGAGCAGTGTGAGCTTGGGTAAGTTCTCAGCACTTCTGAACCTCAGTTTCCTCACTTGTGAAATTATTGTGATGAGGATTAAATATAATAATGTAAGTAAAATGTGTAAGATAACTTAGTAATGCATGCATCGTGTCCATTATCCTTTTTCTTATGTTGCTGTTTTTAGCCTATTTCTGCTTCTTTGGTTTTTCTTGTTAATAGTAGGCACGTGATAAATATTAGGCAGTGATTGAATTGGGGAGCTGGAGGACTAATAATTTCCTGCTTACGCTCTTCTCATTAACGGAAAGTTGAGTACATGGCACAAAACCTGTGGGGAATATATCCTGGTCTTTCTTCCCCTTTGATCTCTTTCTCAGCAGGAGTCCAGTCATTGATTTCTGACATAGATTTTCTGTAATCTATACATTTGCTACGTGCTAGACCTATGACATAAACCTATATAGCCCTGTTCTTGCTTGAGCTGACAGAGCCAAGGACATTGCATCCTATCTTTACTGGCGGCAAATCTTCCACTTCCAAAAGGAAATCGGGATGATACTCAAAACAGGAATTCTTGTTGGCTAGGGTTTAGGAGTCTGAGAAGAAATGTCAAATTCAAGAAAATTACCTGGCTCTTGGCCTGATATATGTTGAAATATAAATTGGACACTCAGTCTTTTGCTTTTAAGTTTTCACCTCTCAGGGTCCTGTTTTCCTGAAACAACCACATACTTTTTCAACAAGCACTTCAGTGTCCCCTGGATCCTGGGGCTGGAGCTATGAGCCAATTTAAGGCAGAGGATGAGTCTTCAAGGTCCTGACGGTTTGCTCCCTAGTTTCCTCCCCCTATCTTTAACCTCTCAGCAGGCAGGGAGGCCTTAGACGGTGAGCAAGCTGGATGATGGAAATGTCAAGAATCTGAGAAATGTGGAGAATAACTCTACCTCTTCTCTGAATCTGAAAGTGGGTTAGAAGAAATGCCCATAGTCTCAGCACTTCCACAGATCGCTAAGGGTGGGAGCTTTGAGGCCTATAGAGACAGAGCACCTTCTCCTGGCGTAATGACTTAATGGTGGGCATCCACTATGGTACATCTTGTCTGGAAGATTCTGGTCAGAAACAGATTCTGTGCACAAAAAGCTGACTATTCTTTTCATGATCATTTCAACTTCAGTTTTCTTACCGCTTATCACACAAGTAATAGCTTGTGCAGAGTCAGTCTCTCCAGTTGATTTGAAAGCTCTTGGAGAGTGGAAACAAAGTCTGACTTGTTTATAGCTATATGCCTGGCTCTTAGCACTGGGCATGGCAGAGGGGTGGTTGTTGAATTGTTGAGCGATTGATGAATCAGCAGCCTTATCTGTGCCCATAACCATCTTTACTTTATGGGAAAAATAATGGCATAAAAATAGATACATAAAATAAAAAACCACAGATATGAATCAAATAATCACACACACATGAGTAGTGAGGTTATGAAGAGGGGAAGTAATGATGCAGGTGCTCAAAAATCAATATTAAATGCAAACTTGAAGGATGACACAAAGTATTTAATGAGGATTGTTAAATTAACCTAAGGAAGTAATGATTGAAGTGGAATCTGGGGACATGGCTAGGTGAAGGGGTGTGTGGGTGTGTGTGTGTGCACATGTATGTGTGTATTTCTCCGTGTTGACTCTCTTTTAATATTGCTTAGTGCTATGGAAATTGCACAGGTAAATAAGACTTTGGATTTCTAAATAAGAAAGACTCAGTGTATAAACAAATATTTTTAAAATGAGACAATGGAATTGACAGGCAGCATCAGGTAGTAGAATGAGACAAATTCTAGCTCTGCTTCACACAGCTGTATAATTCTGAACAGGTGCCATCACCTCTTTGAGCCTCACGTTCCTCACATGTAATTGGTAATTATATTACTTTCCTCACAGAGTTAATGGTGAGGGTTTGTGAGTTAAAATGTGCAAGGGCCTGGCACATAGCAGATTGGTAAAGAGTAAGATGTTCTCTTCCTCTTGCCCTTTTGGCTTTCTTTCACTCCTTTTAGCCTAAAGCCCAACAGAAATGCCATAAGTAGTGTTTATTTTACTGTCCCAATTATTCCACCATAGACAAATCCATCAACATTTATTTGACTTATTTCTTCAATACTTTGAAACCTGAGAATGGAATATTGTATCAGTCAGGGTTCAATCAAGAAAGAGAAACCACACACTAATGTGAATAGGAAAAGTTTAATATAAATGATTTTAATAGTAGATTGGAAGAACAGGAGAATTGGCTTATAAGAGGTACAGAGAACTGTGAAGAATAGATGAATAGCAGATGTAGGGGCAGCCACAATCCCTGGGGATGGGACAGAATACCCATGGAAGGGCCTCACCTCCACTCTGGGCTGAGATTCAGACCCAGTTGGAGAGAGTGTGGCCATGGCTTACAAGATGGGGGAGAAGTTTGCTGAAGAATCACACTGGCAGGATTTGCTGGAAATCTCCGCCTGGCATGCGGGGAAAACCATCCACTGAATAGTGCTGCAGGATGCATTGAAAAGCTGCATAAGGGGTTGCAGAGGAAGTTGCCCATGGGAAGATGCCACATCCTGCCAACTACTGGACATTGCAGGGAAAACTGCACATGCTGCAGAAGCCTACTGGAGATGAGTCCAACTAGGAAGGGAAGTCTCATCCTCCTGCAATGTCCCTCAGTGGCTTCTGCTGACAAAGCATACCATTATGCTCCTTGAAAAAACCAAATGATTAAAGAGCCCATCTCCATTATCTCATCAGGTAATGAAGGACAGTTTTAGAGCTGAGAGGGAATTATGGTAACTGGCACATGTATACTAAGTTATGTCTCACCATTCCCAAGGGGCATAATTTTAATTTAGTGCATTTTCTGAAGACGTAGAATTGAGATGAGTACTTATGACCAACACTGGTGTTGCCAATAAACTGCACAGCAGCCAGATTGATCTTTTAGAAACATCTCTGATTGTGTATTTGCCTATGTTAAAAACAGTTTAAAGGCTCCCATATCTTTATTGGTAGACACTGAGGAAATTTACCTTGGCTTATGAGACTCTGCATATTACAACTCTTATCTCCCAATCCAGCCTCATTGTGCAACACTCTCCCTGGGTCTCTGCACTCAGGCACTGTAGTTTTCTCTGCTTTTTTCTACCATGGGGCTTTTCTACATGCCTCTGCCTAGAAATCTCTTTTTATTCCCTACCCTGTACCGCTCTTTCATGCCGTTATTTCCTTCTCATCCTTCAGATGCCACCCTGATCATTGCTTTTTCTGAAAATTCTTCCCTGTTGTATCTAGAATATCTCTTTCATAGCATTTTCAATTTTATTTTTGTGCTGATTTATTTCTGTCCCTTCCACTAGAATATTAAGCTCCATAAAAACAAAGATGGCATTGGTTTTTGCTCATCTTGTGTCCTTAACACCTAGCTCAACATACCTCAACATACCTGGTATGTTGTAGGCACTCAATAAAATAATAAAATATTCATTAATTGAAAGGACCACTGAATGGGAAGGCAGAAAGCTTTTTAAATTTGTCTGGGAGAAATTTCTAGGCTCCCTGGATATATGAGAAAACATAAATCTGTATGAAGAAGTATAATGTGTTCCTCAGGAAAGGAGTATGCCTAAGAAACAACTTTTTATAATAAACCTAATTATAGTTAGAAGACTCATCATAAATGAGACCAATATGTTTATTTTTTTGGTAGCAGCAAGCTGTCTGTGGATATTGCTCATCAGAGCGTGGTCTGTAGATCAGCTGCATTGGCATCACCTAGACCTCCTGAATCAGGATCTGCATTTTAATAAGGTTCCTAGGTGATTTGTGAGTGTGTTCCTTAGAGTCTGAAGTGCACCACTGTCAATCAAGTTAACCTTCTTAATAGGCAGAACACACCCACAGGAGGCTGTTGAGGACACACCTGAGGCAATCTGACCAAAGCTGTGATCGGTCAGTTGAGTGCACATTCTTAGCTACTTCCTTCAGCTTCTTTATCTAGTCTAATTTAGTCTAATCTTGATGTATCTGAACCAAAGGATTGAGCCCCTAACTAAAACTGTTCAGCAGTTGCTGTGATTGTGCATAGGCATTCCTAATGTCTGCATTCATGTAAGCAGGCAAGTGAAAACTGCTTGGCGGCAGATGCTTAGGCTGATCATATCTCCTAAAACATATCTGGGACATGTAATTGATAAAAGGACCCTTTAAAAATTCTGTCTTGTTTACTATGGTGAGCATAAGAGTTCACTTCACTTAATTGCGTACTTAGCTTTCTATTTTAAAAACAATAAAAATTCTTGAACACCCTCATACTTTTACATACTTAAGCTCCTTCTGTTCTTCACTTAGTACTTAGGACAGTTCTGCACCCCCCAGGGATACTCAGGAAATGCTCAGAATTGTAGCATGCTGGAGTGGAAAGGGTAGTGTAGAGGAAAGAATATGGGGGTTAAAGTTGAGTGGGCCTGAGTTTAAATCTGTTCTCCACTATTTGTGGTTGTATGACCTCAAGTGATGTGCTTAACTTCTCTGGGTCTGGCTCATAATTTGTAAAATACGGGATGGCATCAGCCACAGACGTTTGTTACGAGTATGCTGGGTTAATATACGAAGAGCATCTAGCATGGTACCCAACGCATAATAGGTGCTCAGTAATTGTTAGATTCATTTGATGATTTAAAATGAATAGTAAGGGTGAGGCTATTTTTGAGCTTAGGTCCTAAGAGTTATGGCAGGACTTTGTGAGATATTAGAAGCAGACAGCCCCTCTCCCATTCCACCCCCAGCATTCTTGTTAGTCAGTTATTTGCCATGAAGGTCATAGTCTCATAGCTTCCTAACACTGCATAGTGGCCTATTCTTGATATGATTGGTATCATCCAGGTTTATGGGTGGTAAAGACCATAGTGTCCTCAATCTCAAATTCTTTGGTGATTAAATCATCACCTTGAAAAATGGCGTTCTCAGAAGCTGGAGTTGCCTTTTATTTTTTGAATAAAATTCCAACTTATTTATTTATTTGAGACAGCGTGTTTCTCTGTTGCCAAGGCTGGAGTGTAGTAGCACAATCATGGCTCACTTCAATCTTGACCTCCTGGGCTGAAGCGATCCTCTCACCTCAGCTTCCCCAGTAGCTGAGACTACAGGTGTGCACCACCATACCGGCTAATTTTTAAGATTTTTTGTGGAAATGGGGTTTCACCATGTTGCCCAGGCTGGTCTCAAACTCCTGGGCTTAAGCAACTTATCCTACTCAGCCTCTCAAAGTGCTGAGATCAACTTTTATTTTAGATACTGGGGGTACATGTGCAGGTTTGTTACATGGGAATATTGAGTTTTCTATTCCTT
This sequence comes from Homo sapiens, assembly GCF_000001405.40. Lineage (NCBI taxonomy): Eukaryota > Metazoa > Chordata > Mammalia > Primates > Hominidae > Homo > Homo sapiens. The sequence goes on along the minus strand of NC_000008.11, from coordinate 122,546,613 downwards.
TAGCTTATGTGTCTGTTTTTGTACCACTACCAAGCTGTTTTGTTTACTGCAGCTTTATAGTATAATTTGAATTCGGGTAATGTGAAGCCTATTGAGAGAGGCTTTTGTCTGTCTTTTAAATGATTAAAAACAAGAATGTGCAAGAGATACTGTGTATAACATACAAAACCTAAGATATTTAGTATCTGGCATTTTGTAGAAAAGGTTTTCTGACCCATGCTGATATTAACAATTAGGCTGTCATGTCTCTTGATGGATATGATACTCATTTCAGACTTGGGTTTAGACCTAATAGCTATAGATATCAGTTAAATTCTAATACTTATAAAATCCTCCTGCTTCTTCATAACGTTCTAGAAGTCCTCTTTCCAGTTGTATTTTTATATAGAGTAACATATGACCTGATTGTCACAGGCTGTACTGGATTGCTCCTCTTGTCATGACATAATTATTCAATAAAATTCCTTTCACTCTCAAATGTGTTCCATGGCTGAGGGCACTAATATGATGATGGTCAGATTAGAGCTTGTACTTGCCTATAGCAGCGCATTTAAGCCTTGACTTTTTATCTATTTCATGGCTAAAGAAGTATTTTTCCCTCCGTCTTAGTCAGCTCATGCTGCTGTAACAAATACCATAGATGGAGTGGTTTAGGCCACAGACATTGAGTTTTCACAATTCTGGGGCTGGGAAGTACAAATCCACACATGGTAGGGTGGTGGGGGCTGTGAAAGAATGAGAGAGACAGAGAGAGAGAGAGAGAGAGAGAGACTCCATTGTGTTTTTCTCTCTTTGAAAGCCACCAATTCCATCATGAAGATTCCATCCTCTTGACCTCATCTAAACCTAATCACCCCCTGAAAGGCCCTAACTCCTAATACCTCATACTTGGAGCTAAGGCTTCAACATAGGAATTTTTGGGAGACATAAACATGCAGTCCATAAAACCCTCCAATAATGCTCCCCTGCAACGTGGTGGCTGTCTTTCCATTAGGTAATGTTATAAAGATGTAGAAATTAAAGCCCCCAAGTCACAGAGCTAAGAGGCAGCAGAGCTGGGATATGATTCAGGCTCCAAACTCACAGGCAAGGTGATGGTGCACTCTAGAAATTGTTGCAAAGTGCTACTAGCAATGCTTTTGTCACTCTCTCTCTCACTTGAGTCTCGAGTCTTTTGTAGTGTTTTCATTTTTTTTGTGCTTTTTTTTTGTTGTTATCTGTCTGTTTTCTTAATGTAGATCAGAGTCTTTGCTGGCTATTGTGGTGCCACACACGTGTTATAGCCCCATCGGCAGGAAGAGTCTTTTGCTTGGCATCTGGGCTGAGGATGCCTTCATTGCATGGCCTGTGACATCTCTTATATGGCACCATTGGCACCTCTGTCCCATCCTTGTCCCCAGCCCTAACCCCAGTTGCAGCAGTAGCTATAGTCATACCAGCAGGACCAGGAATTCATGGCCCTTACTGCTGAATCACTTCCAGGACATGATTGTTTACTCCAAGAACTGGCATTACCTGGGAGACAGAAATGCAGAATCCTGTGCCTTGCCCTCCGCTCCTCCCCTGCACTACTGAATTAAAATTTGGGGGTTCATCTGCACCTTCAAATTTGAGACCCATTAGTATATCTCATTTGATTCTTAGAGTAGCCTTACAATGTAGATAGTAGGGCCCTCATTTTGCAGATGTAAAAACTGAGGCCAAGAGAGGTAATTCACTTGCATAAAGAACAACAAATAGAACCTGGCAGAGACTATTTCTACAGTACATCATCACCTTGCCTGTGAATTTGGAATCTGAATCATATCCCAGCTCTGCTGCTTCTTAGCTATGTGACTTGGGGGTCTTAATTTCTTCATCTGTATAACATGTTAGTGAACCAGATGATCTCCGAGGTTACTTGCAGGTTCCAAACTCTTTCATTTTAATGTAAGCCTGTTTTACATATGTTCATATGTTCATTTTTTGAAGAGTGGGAGTTCTCTGAACTTGGACAATGAAAGGATCTGAAGTCCTGGAATTAGTATAAGGGGGATCATTCTTCTAATAGACAGCTACTCCTTTGCTTTGCATAACCGATATGGTATTTATTGCAGATTAATAGCCAGCATCTGCCTGTTAAGTGGAACTGTGATTTCCTTTTTCCTTACTCCTAAGCCACAGAGGGAAATAAAGTCACCCCATGGGGAGGAGAGAAGAAATATCATTTTGGAACTACGAGAAAATTTTAATACTAAGAAGTTGTTGGCAAAACATAAAGGAAGATGAAATAATATGTGTTCTTGTTTGGGCTTTATAATTTTGATAGGATCTCTTTGGCAGGGAAATGTATACAGAGCATAAATGGGAACCGTCCTGTAGCTTAGCTGAATTCTCCTTTTCCCATTTAGGTTATTAGTGATTTTACAAATACAGATTGTTATCAGCCACAGTAGCAGAGAGGAAGAGTAGGACCCACAGCTCTGAATTGTATATGATATAATGTTAAAGCTGGATAGGGCCTTCTAGTATAAATTCTTTTAATGGTTGAGGAAACTGAGAAAGTTGTCCAAGATTACACAATGTGTGACACAGCCTAAACCAGAACCTTGGGGTCTCACCCTAGTGCTTAGCCCAGCCCACTGCAGCAGTGTTTCTCAGGTGCCAAGAAGATTTGCATGGGTGCTATGTACAGAGTCAAAATGGGATACAGGTGAGTTATAAAAAAAAAGGTTGTGTTTTTCCAACTCTAAGATAAATGATAGTGGCTTTTCATTGATTGTAGTGCTACAAAGTTTTTTTGATGAAATTGATACATTTAGAATATAATCATGAGCAAATTAGAAAGTATTGAAAAGTAATACAGTTGGTATGCAGCTATGCAACAATGATTAGAGTTGCAAAAGAGTATCTGAAGTTTAGGAGATGCTACACAATTCCCTAAGGAATCCACAGGCTCTTGGTATTTGATACACTGTGTCTTGTTATTGAGGAGGGAACTACACATTTCATATTATAATTGAACTTGGCTTAGCAGGTGTTCAGTTCCCTTTGATCCCTTTCTCAGTGTGCTAAGGCAGGGATCCATCTGGCTTATGATTACACGTCAGGCAGGTTAGGCTACTCTATGCTGGGGTAACACATAATCTCAAAATCCCAGTGACTTACTGAAAGTGTAGAAGCGGAGAATAGAGTGATGGTTACCAGGAGCTGAGTGTGGGGGTTGGGGAATTGAGAAGATACTGATTAAAGGATACTAAATTTCAGTTACATAAGAAGAGGAAGGTCAGAAGATCTATTGTATAACTTGGTGGCTACAGTTAATAACAAAGTATTTCATGCTTGAAATCACTAAGAGAGTAGAACTTAAGTGTGCTCACCACAAAAAGTTAAGTATATGAGGTAATCGATGTGTTAATTAGCTTGATTTAGCTATTCTGCAACATATACATAGATCAAAACATCATGCTGTACCCCAAAAGTACATACAGTTTTTATTTGTCAACTTAAAAAAATCTCAGTGACTTATAATCACAGTTTTATTTCTGGCTCATCATGTATTTCCATCATTGGCCTGGTTTTGGCTTTACATGTGGAGACCCATGCTGATGAGCAGCCTCTACGATAAGTATTGCTGGTATCATGACAGATGGGAGAGAGGGAAGCAGAGCCAGAAAATTCTGTTCAGAAGTGGCCGGAGTCACATCACTTTTACTTTCATTTCATTGGCCAAAGCAGGTCACATCTCCACAGATGATGCAATTGGGTGGGCAGTGTAACCTTCCTATAGGGATGGGCCCAGTGGGGAGGGGCACTGAGTACGGTGACAATCATCACTTAATAGTAATAAACCATTCAGTGAAGAGCACATGTCAGGAACTGAGAATTACTTACAACAGCTTTGTATATTGGGACAGTAGTGAAATAGCTGATGCCACAATTCCCTCTATGTATAAGTCTACTGAGGATCATGTCATTCCTACAAGGCAATTGAATGTCTCTCTGTTGGCTTCTGAGGCTACTAAGTACTTTTAAGCTTGTGCAGATATGGAGAATGGTTGAGGGGTGAGAGTTGCCTTAACGTGATTTTTCTGCCTTTGCATAATTGGGAAGGAGAAGAACAAGGCTGGGGTATGGCTGGTAAATTCTCCCATACCTTTGCTCTCCATTATGGTGACCTGTGCTGATTCTCCAGAGTTTCGTATTTACATTGCTGGATTTTGTAGTCTGTTGTTCCCCTGCTTAGCTGCTTCTCAGGTATACAAGGGTGACTAGGCAATAATGTGTGATCTAAATAAACCTGACTTTCTGTAATAATAAACTAAAAACATACGATAGTCTAGCTTAACTTAAAAATGTTGGCCGGGCATGGTGGCTCATGCCTGTAATCCCAGCACTTTGGGAGGCCATGGCGGGCGGATCACAAGGTCAGCAGATCGAGACCATCCTGGCTAACACAGTGAAACCCTGTCTCTACTAAAAATACAAAAAAATTAGCTGGGCACAGTGGCGGGCGCCTGTAGTCCCAGCTACTCGGAAGCCTGAGGCAGGAGACTGGTGTGAACCCGGAAGGCGGAGCTTGCAGTAAGCTGAGATCGCGCCACTGCACTCCAGCCTGGGCGACAGAGCAAGAGACTCTGTCTCAAAAAAAAAAAAAAAAAAAAAAGTTAACATGAATAAAACATTAAGTTATATATTTAAAGGCATCTATGATTGAGGGCATGCTTTAAAGAAATCTGGTCACCTTGGATTATTTTTTCCTCAGTATTTTCCACGTTCTCCATCTCAGACTCTAAGCTAATGTTTGCTTGACTTTAGGTCTTGTGTAGCTTAAGTCAACCTAAATTTCTTTTGGATTCTAAATATCTTGGGGATACAAGTTCAGGCACACTTTGGCCATGGTGCTTTGGGCACCTGGGCCATGGCAGCTTTTCTTCTATCCTTTTATTCTGTCTTTTAAGAACACTCTTAAACAATTTCATAGTGGAAACAGTATATTAGCATTCCTAAGACCCCACCTCTGAATCCCCACTTTCTTACTTCCTTATGTCAAAGCAGAGAAAAATAAAGTTTTAGATTGGACTGTGTGCCTACAGACTTCAGAAGGAATTTCTGTGATTCCAGTTTCCTTTAGTGGTGTTTCTGGTAACTAGGATCAGTTGTCCTAAGGTTATAGCTTTCATCCTGAAATTTCCCTTACATTTATATAAAGCACATCTCTTCAGTTATAACTAGAGTGACCTTTCAGCTCTCTTGTCTTGGTGTCGTGCAGTTTTAAAAATGGGATTATACTCTTTAATCTGAATATATTTAAACATATTACGTATATTTATATTAACATATTTAAACATATTTGAATATGAAATTGAAGGGCTTTTTGATAGGACTTAAGAAGTGATTTCTGAATAGTTCCCTGGGAATCCAGGTCCCCTGAGAATTGAGAGAGGAGCTTTTCTTATTGGCCCAGCTGGGGAGCTGGTTTTGGGAATCCCCCACAGATAACTTAGAATCAGCAAAGCAAACTTACATTTTGACCCTGTAAGAAGCAAACACCCCTTTCCCCTTTCTGCCCATTGGCACATCTCTGGAGGACAGAATGTCTTCTTTTTATACTTCCTCCATTAATGTGGAAACTGGTTGGAGAGTCCCTACTGTGGAGGCAAGAGGGACTTTTCTTTCTCATTCAGAAAAAACTACACAGGCTTCCTAAATATAAAGGAGAAGAAACAGGCAGTCTTAGTGATACTGACCAAATTACCCATTACTCTTGACTTGGCATTCTTAAAACAAGTTTAGAATCATACGTGCTGACTAGAGTAGAATTGAATATATTTCTTTTTATTCCTTTGTTATAAAAACTGAAACAACAAAGATTCTTAGAAGCAAATGGTAAATATCTTAGTCCCCATCCTGTTCCTACCCTTCATTGCCTCATCCTAGTACCAAGGGCTGATCACTCTTTGTAGTATGGAGCATATTTTTTTCTACACTTGGGTTTCTTTTGAAGTTGTCAAGCTATCTTCCCTGTTCTAGGTGCTGCTGTGAACTTAGAGGCAGGAGATTCCTGGGTGTGCTATGGAAGTACTTTGCCCAAATTTCCTGGGGGAGGGTCTGAAGAGGCTCCGGTTAGAAATCAAGTTTCTGCTCCCTCAGGAGAACTCTCACCCTATAAAGAGACATTAAAGTAGAGGACTTCTGATCCTTTGTGCAAGGCATGTTTCTATTCCAACAGGTGGGTCTTGTGAGTTTGTCTCTCCTTTGTTTTGCTGCCAGTCTTCTCCTCTCTAAGGACCCTTCCCATGACCACTTCAGAGCATTGAAATCCTTTGACTTCCTTAAGGTCCAGTGCATTAGTTACCCATTGCTATGCGACAAATTATCAAAAAGCTTAGCTAGTTAAAATAAGTACTTATTGTCTCACAGTTTCTTTGGGTCAGAAATTTGGGAGTGGCTCAGCTTTGTTGCCCTGGCTCAGGGTCTCTCCTGAGGTAGCAGTCAGGACAACCAGGATGTGGTGAGGGCTGCAGTCCTCTGAAGACTTGCCTGGGGCAGGAGAATTCCCTTCCATGATGGCACCCTCATGTGCTGTTGGTGGGAAGCCTCAGTTCCCGGCCATGTGAGCCTCTCTGAGAGCTGCTTAAATGTCCTCCTGACACAGTAGGTTAGCTGGCTTTTCCCAGAGTGAGTGAATTCAGAAAGAGTGATACAGAGGCCTTAATATCCTTTATGACCTAGCCTTGAAAGTCACACTGCATCATTTCTGCGTGTCCTATTGACAACAAAAGTCAGCCCTGTTCAATGAGGAGGGGGACTACAAAGGTCATTGAAAACCAGGAGGGAGGAATCAGTGGTGGCCTTCTTGGAGGCTGGTTACCATATCCAGTTGAGTTCCTATTTCTTCTGTTCAACTTGTTATTAAATTCCAACCTCATGATATTCTTTTCTCTGAAGTTCCTCAATACTTTCTCAATGAACTGTTAATGTGGGTGTATGAGGTTCTGCCTTTGCTGTTTGATTAGGTGTTTTAGGCTCAGATGCTTTCCATTGTAAAGTGGCTGGAGGGTGACGCAGCTGCTTAGGATTGCCTAGGATGGGGAGGGTGGTAGAATGAGATTCTTAGGTACTAGGGAGTGAGTTCCAATTCCTCTGGCCAAGCCTTTGTGCTGGGCTGCGCCTGCCTGAGGAAAGGGGTGCTTTCTAAGAATTGATACAAAGGTAAGTTAAAGGCTTGGAGAAAGCTCTAGCATGAGTCCTTAGTAAATGCTTATAAGAGGAATACATAAGTGAATGAAAAGTTTTTCCTGGGATCTTGTAGAATTCCATGGATACTCAGTGTTTTTTTTTAAATTTTAATAGTTTTTGAGGAACAGGTGTTTTTGGTTATATGGATAAGTTCTTTAGTGGTAATTTCTGAGATTTTGGTGCACCCGAGCATGTACATTGTAGCCAATGTGGAGTCTTTTATCTCTCAGTCCCCACCCATCCTTCCTGACAAGTCCCCAGAATCCATTATATCATTCTTATGCCTTTGTGTCCTCATAGCTTAGCTCCCACTTACAAGCGAGAACATACAATGTTTGGTTTTCAATTCCTGAGTTATTTCACTTAGAATAGTGGTCTCCAACTCCATCCAGGTTGCTGTGAATGCCATTATTTTGTTCCTTTTTATGGCTGAGTAGTATTCCATGGTGTATATATACCACATTTTCTTTATCCACTCATTGGTTGATGGGCATTTCGGCTGGTTCCATATTTTTGCAATTATGAATTGTGCTGCTATAAACATGCTTGTGCAGGTGTCTTTTTCATATAACGACTTCTTTTCCTCTGGATAGATACCCAGTAGTGGGGTTGCTGGATCAAACGGTAGTTCTACTTTTTGTTCTTTAAGGAATCTCCATACTGCTTTCCGTAGTGGTTGTATTAGTTTACTTTCCCATCAGCAGCATAAAAGTGTTCCCTTTTCACCACATCCAGGCCCACATCTGTAATTTTTAAATTTTTAAATTATGGCCATTCTTGCAGGAGTAAGGTGGTATCTCATTGTGGTTTTAATTTGCATTTCCCTTATAATTAGTGATTTTGAACATTTTTTCATATGTTTGTTAGACATTTGTAACTTGGGAATATACCTAACCAAGGAGGTGAAGGATCTCAGTGGTATTTTGTTTGATATTCCCTTCTGGTTTTAGATTTCAGGGGGCTCATCTTCTAGGAACAATTTCTAGTCTTGGTATAAAAGAAGTGCCCTCTCACCTCTGCCTGTGAGTGGATAAATGAGGCTGGCTTTTGGAGCTGGGGGTTACTAATTCGAAGTCACTTCTGATATGTTGTGAAGTTTATGTGGTTGAGGGTAGAAAGCTGTTCTTGGGAGGGACTGCCTCAGACTTGGGTAGAGCAGATAAGAGTCTTTCCTTTCCTGGGCTCAGGTCTGGGTTGGGGCTGCCAACCAGGGAACAGACTTCTGGACAAAAGGGCAAGTCTGTGAAATAAGCCCCAGAAGCCTCAGCCAGTATCCCTCCCTTCTCCCTCTGAGGTTCAAGGGAGATTGCTGAAGAGTAGATGAGGGGCCAGGCTGGGAAGGTTGCCATGGGCCTGGGACTCCTGCTGCTTCTACTTAATTGCTCACACCCGTTTCTCTGCTTGCAGGGCTCCATTTCATTAATGAGCAAGACGTGCACTGGCCACGTGTCAAACCGCCTCAGTATTTATTTGGCTTTAAGCTGGGTCTTTCTAGAACATATGTGCCTCTGGGGGATTAAAACTCAAACAACTGTGACTTTGGCGGTTTTAACTGAGCTGGTACTGTGGATCTTAAAGCAGAGTGTGTAGCTTTTGGTGGTGAGCAAGTGCCCACCAGGCAGGGGAACATAAAGTGACTTTGAAGGTCAGGAGTTAAAATAGGGGAGGGAGCCTCCATGGTGAAGTTCAGGAGGCTGTCCCTTGCATGGCCTAAGAAGGCCACCTCCCTCATTCACCTTTCCAAGGTCAAATTTTAGGAATTATTCCTTTGGACTCAAGCTTGTTCACTAAGCATCAGAGTAGAAGGAGGGCCCTGCTAACATACTGGTTAAGAGCAAGCATTCTGTAGTCTGAGAGACCCAGGTTTATATTTTAGACCAGCCACTTGTTAACTATTTGCCTTTGGGAAGGTTCTGTATCTCCTCTACACTTTACTTTCCCCACCTGTGAAAGGGACTAATAGCTTGACCCATACATTTACAGCCAGTTCATGAGGAACACTGGTGTGTATTACAGTTTCTTACACATTCTTTTCAGGTTTTAGTAGCAGAGTTACTCTGACCTTATAGCATGAGTTGGGGGTGGGGGTGGGGTGATATTTATTCCTCTTGTGTTTTTTGGGAGAGTTTCTGTAAGGTTGATTTTTTTCTTTCCTAAATATTTGATAGAATTTAGCAATAAAACCTGAAGTCTTCTTTGTGGGGACAATTTTGATAACAAATTTGATGTTGTCACTACTGAGAACCAAGTAGAGGAGTATATAAGCCTGAAGTCCAAGCAGCCAGCCAGTGCTGACAGACTGCTGTGGCGTCCCCCTGGATAAGACCGCCCACCAGCCTACTGATACCACCTCACACGCTGCGCATGGAATCCTGCACCAATGCACTGCGTGCACACGAAGAGCATATGAAGATCTGTGAAAGAGATCAGGAAACCGAGACTCAAGGTGTCTCAAGTAATAAAAATCACTCAGCTAAAAGATTGCAGAATAAAACCAGGACTGCAGCTCAGTTATTTTTGACTCAAATCTCGTGATATTTCACAATTCCCCAGCTGCAATGTCACAATTAATAGATGAATCCCATTCTGTCGTCTGATGATTGCATTCTCCTCCTCTCTGCTTTTAGATGGGTGCTGGAAGCTGGCTTCAGAGAGGAGTACTATATAGATTCATTCTGTATTCATTCCCATTTCATGGTGTGTCTCAAAGGCTCCATGCAAGACTTGCTGCAGAACAAGCAAACAAACAAACATGCTCACAAGGGTGACGGCCTTTAGAAAGCTCAGGGTGGGGGGTTGGGGGGGAGGGAAGAGAACTTGCTTGAAAAAGATGGGCAGATTAAAAGGAACACCATTCTCCCACCCCACCCAGAGCCAGAGACCCTTAACTTCCAGCAAGTACTTCTGCAAGTCATCAATCTTCCTTAATTGCAGATGACATGCAGTTAAACAACCTCAACCCAGAGAGCTTTCTCCTGACCCCAGATGGGTTCTCTAACACTTATGAGAACATTTGGAAGACATCAAAGTGAATCAGTGGATAGGTAGAACCACATCGCCACCTTAACGGGGCAACTAAGAAGTCAAGGAGAAGTGGGAAAGGGCAGTGGATTGTTTCTCCGGCTATCCAGGTCTAAATTAGCAAGTCTGGCAAATGGATAATGAGGTGTGTGGAGAGTGAAACTCCATGGATTTCCACAGGTGGAAAGGGGACAGAGAAGTCAGGGATGATGGTAGCACCGGCAAAGGCAAGCGCATATAGAAGCAGGTGTCGCTAGTTACTGGGTGTTCGTGACAGTCCTTGGCTGGATATACGCACCTGCTATGAACGAAATTGTGTCTATAGTTACATGTTGAAACTCTAACCCACAATATGGTGGTATTTGGAGATGAGATCTTTGGAAAGTAACTAGGTCTAGATGAGATTATGAGGGTTGGGCCCCCATGATGGGGTTAATACTCCTATTAAAAGAGACACCTGAGAGCTGGCTTTCCTCTCTTTCTCCCTGTGCAAATGCACCTAGGAGAGACTGTGAGTGCACAGTGAGATGCTGGCCTTTCACGGGCCAGAAGAGAGTCTTCACCAGAAAAAGAATCTGAAGGCACCTTGATCTGGGACTTCTAGCCTCTAGAACTGAGAATATGAATGTCTGTTGTTTAAACTACCCAGCCTATGGTATTTTTTGACAGCAGCTCGAGTTGCCTAAGACAGAACCCACACACTAACTCACACACACAAACACACAGCCCAGAAGAAAAACTGCAGATCCTTAGGGTTCCTGTGCCTGATTTGTGTTAGAAACACTAGGACCTCATCCTTTCCAAGAATGTTGTCAGTACCAGGTTACTATCAAGCAGTTTTCTAATCAACCAAAATCATATCTAAGAATTCTATAAGGGAGACCAAGTGGCAGGCTCATTCAGGCCCAGAAGGCCAATGATCCACTTGTGAGATTTGTATCTCCAGTTCTTGGCATGCAGTAAAATAGGATAATAACAGTATTAATAATAGCAGCTGTGGGTATCAAAGATTTCCTTTGTCCCAGACACTGTGCCAAGTGCTTTATGTGCATTTCCAAGTTTAATTTTTCCCTGCTGCCCCATGGTCCAAGCCACGATTGCCCTTTCGTCTGGACTATGCTGATAGCTTTCAAACTGGAAGCCCTGTCTCTGCCTTTGGCCTCTACAATCTCTTAGTTGTATAACTTCAAAAGTGATTATCTTAAAGATAAAATGAGATCATCCTGTAGCTCCAAATCCTCCTGCAGCTTTTGGTCTCTATTACAGTAAATTCCAAAGTCCTTCCAGTGGCCTAGGAGCCCCCACTTTCCCCCACTGATCTCTAGTCACTTTGCCTCTAACTTCCAGTCACTCTGGCCCCCTATGTGGTTCTCAAGTGTGTCAGAAACTCTCCTGCCTCTGGACCTGTGTGTTTACTGTTCCCACTGGCTGAAATGCTTTTTCCTGGAAATTAGCTCAGCTAGCTGTGACTTCCTTCAGTTTTCTGTCTACGTGTCAACTAAGTAGAAGGGCCTCCCCCATGGACCCTTTATTAAATTGACCCAAGCCTTTTAAAGTTCAGGATTTGTCCTCCTAGCCCTAGTTACACCTGGATTTGTTTACTGGTTTATTGCCCCCTTTTCCCACTAGAATATAAGCTCCCTGGGGACAGAGTTTTTAATCCATTAGAATAGATGAGTAGATCTATTAATTATTCATTAATTCTGAGGGCTATTCTAACTGCTAGGGATACAGCAGAAAATAAGATATCCTAATCTGAGGACTGTTCTTAGAACAGTCCTCAGAACTATTTGTTGAGCGAACAAAAGAACAAATAAATAGTGCTTTTCCTATCTTTATTTATTTCCATTTAATAATAAATTTTCTCCAAAGAGCAAGTTACTCATTTTAGAAAAAGACTAAATTTTGAACTGTGACAAGATTATTATCTGGGAAGTTTCATCAATGCACATTGCAGTCAGTTCTGATTCAAGGTGGTGGGTGACCTGTCTCACTTGGCCTGTGAGAGGTAGCATGGCACCCAGACCAGCAGAGAAGATCACGATAGATTAGAAGATGACAGACATGCATATCCACCACATGTTACCTTCCTTCCTAGTTAAGATTTCGTGAACAGTGGTCCCCAAACTTTTTGGCACCAGGGACTGGTTTTATGGAAGACAATTTTTCCACAGATTGCGGGGTGTTGGGAAGGGGGATGGTTTCAGGATGATTCAAGCACATTGCATTTATTGTGTACTTTATTTCTATTATTATTACACTGTAATATAGAATGAAATAATTATACAACTCACCACCATGTAGAATCAGTGGGAGTCCTGAACTTGTGGGTCCCATCTGGGGGTGATGGGAGACAGTGACAGATCATCAGGCATTAGATTCTCATAAGGAGCACACAATCTAGATCTCTCACATGCACAGTTCACAATAGAGTCCCTGCTCCTATGAGAATCTAATACCGCTGATCTGACAGGAGGTGGAGCTCAGGCGGTAATGAGAGCAAGGGGGCTGTGTAAATACAAATGAAGATTTGCTCACTTGCCCTGCCCTGTGCTCACCTCCTGCTGTGCAGACTGGTTCCTAACAGGCCACAGACCAGGTCTGGGGACGCCTGCCCTAAGTGGTTTACCAGTCATCCTAGAGCTGCATCTGTATCGTGTGTGTGTGTGTGTGTGTGCGCACGCGCGTGTGTGTGTGTGTATGGTTCTGTAGAGTTTTATATTATAGCTGCTCTTGATTACTTGAAGTTCGTTAACTTTGTAGAATGCTTCTCGTTCTTAATCATTTTGTAAAGAAAGAATAGAACTCTTTTAGAAATTGTTAACCCATTTTTTTATTCATATATTTAATATGTGCCTTCTATGTTTCAGAGACTATGTAAGAAACTGGTGATATAACAAGGAAACCAGAGAGACAAAGTGTCTGTTCTCAGGGAATGGCTTGAACATATTAGGACTAAGTAACATTTTTTCTTTAAGATCCCAGTGTTCAGAAAAGGAAGAGAGGTAAGACCTTATTTTATAGTATTTTCTGTGTTGCCTATTTCCACCTGGGAGTCCCACCCTTCACAGGATAATTAAGACAGAGCGTGACAAGCACATATTATGAGGAAAGGAAGGCAAAGCAGCAGCTACAGGCTCTTACCTGTGTGCAATCTTTTGAGAATTAACTCTTCCCTATGTGTAATCTTCTGAGAATTAACTGGATTTTCTTTTTACCCACTATGGCACTTGTTAGGTATTCCAAAGAAACTTCAAATATGAAAGATAAATGATAAAACCTTGGAACTAGTAGTATAAAAAGAAACTGGCCAGCCTATATAGACAATTATAAATGATATTTCAAAAGTTACTATAAGTGATATCATGGTGTTGACAGTTTTATAGTTGGGTGGGTAGCAGCCCAATCTGGATTTTTACAATTTTTTTTAATGTGCTCTAAAGCATTGCAACCTTCCACCCATGGAAAAAATGTTTCAGACGGCTTCTTCTGTAGCTCCCTCCTTGTTCTCACCACCCTGGTAATGCTACATCTAGTTTCTTTGGAAAGGAAACATGAAGACAGCTTGATACTTAGATTCATACAAAACTTTATGGATTGAAAAATTCTTTGATGGTCTCACTTTATAAGTGGCAGAACAGTTTCGTAGACAGCTGCTGCTTTTCAAGAGTTTTGCCTCTTTTTTCCAGTGACAGCATGTCACTTTTCCTGTAGGGAGCTTCCATGGAGTCCAGATGATTTTCAATCATCGTGTCTCCTCCTGCACCCCTCATGGCTGTAAAATTGGTTATGCTACTCAAGTTTTGGAACAGCTAATGGAAGTCATGTCCTGTGCTCTCTGGTGGGTATAAAGTCCTATGATTCAGGTTACTCAATCAGATCTAATTTCTTGGGATGAAGGAAGCATTTAAGCCAGTTATTGGAGATGAAAGGTGAGTGAGTCACAAACCTTAATCTCAAAACTTTTAGTGGAGGATATAGGCATATATGAAAATAATTATAAGGAAATATGGTGGTAGCTACAATAAACGTATGTAATGGGAGTTTAGTAAGCAAAGAGATGTGTTATTAAATTCCTCAGAGGTAGAGATGCCAGAACTGGGTCTTTCAGGATAAGTAATAATTTGATAAGCAACCAAAAGATAAGGGAAGAAAGATCTTGGCAGAGTGAAAGCAAAGGCACAAAAAGGCATGAAAACCTTATAACTATACAACTGTTATTATTATCATTATGATTTTTATTTTCTTTATTTATAAATGGAAAGAATTGGAATTAGATTCTAAGTTTCTTAAAGTGTAGTCCAAGGATTACTGGGGTGCTTGGTAAAACGCAAATTCCCGGGACCCATGCTGTATCTATTGCATATCTGTTAAAACTTCTGTAGGTCAGGCCCAACAATCTGCATTTTCAAATAGCTCCTCAAGTGATTTTTATGCATATCCCATTTCAGATTAAATAGTCCTGAGGTCAGTTTCCTTTCTAAAGTTCTGTGTTTACATAATGCCAGTTTCCTTTGCCTGGCAGAGGAGACATATTAAATGGATGATGACTAAATGGATGAATGAATAAGTGAACAAATGAACGGATTAGGCATTCAAAGGTTTAGAACCCTATAGCAAATACTATCCAGGCTCTGCCCATATCTCCTTGGAATTTACCATTGTAGTGAATGACTGTTCAATCTCTGCTGGGTAAGGCCGGAGCTCCAATTACCTGCATGCTCAGCAGCCCTTTCTAATGGTTGGTGCATGCTGGTGTGTAAATAACTATCTCCTTTGTCCTTAGTTGCGATAATTCAGAGGTGCTGGTCTACATTGACTTCTGGAGTCCCTAGTAGAATTAAGCTCCAGTGAAAACTGCCCTGATGATGCACCCTTCTTGATCTGCCTTTTTTTCCATGTTTCACTTCTCCACACCACTCGTGGTGTTTCCTGGGATCACGATTTGCACTCAACCCTATTCTGGAGAAATTCAAACCAAGATCACCTCTAAGTAACACTGTGAATTAGAATATAGCTCCCAGGAATGCCATCCCCTTGGGGGCAGGTCCACCCTCCCTTATTTGTTCTCTGAGTGATCCCACTTACCTAGTATAGTGTCCTTTATACTAGGTGCTCAATAAATATTGTTGGATTGAATTCTTTGGGATCAATGTTTTCCAAGTGGACTTTCTGCTGTTTTTCCAGGGAAGAGCATCTTGCAACTGTGCTCTCTTCTGAGTGCAGTTGTGTAGAGGATATTCCATGGTAGTCTTCATGTGGCGTGATGTCTAGGTAGCTGTGGTAGCAGCGTTATCTGCTGAATAAGGGCTGGATGAAACTCCTGTCCACTTGTGTGTGGGCTATTCCTTACTCTTAGAGTCCAGGAGGTTCTAAGAAAAGAAGAAATCTTTTTTTTCACTCTGTTGCCCAGGCTGGAGTGCAGTGGCACCATCTCGGCTCACTGTAACCTCCACCTCCCAGGTTGAAGTGATTCTCCTGACTCAGCCTCCCAAGTAGCTAGGACTACAGGCATCCACCACCATGCCCAGCTAATTTTTTTATTTAGTAGAGACAAGTTTTCACCATGTTAGCCAGGCTGGTCTCTAACTCCTGACCTCAGGCAATCCACCCGCCTTGGTCTTGAGATTACAGGCGTGAGCCACCGTGTTCTTGATGATCTCTAAGGCTCTTAAAATATTTGGTCAGGTGTCTGTGTGAGAATCTGATGAAAGCTATGGGCTGTCTTTTGAGAAAGAAAGAACACACAAACACAATTTTACATTTACATATGATGCCAAGGACATTTTGAAGTCCAACTGAGAAACCTCTGCAACAGTGCTTCTCGAGTTACCTATGGACAATCTTTACATATTTTTTCAAAATTTCAATCTGCCACTAATCAATACTGGCTCCCAGCTCAAACCACGTGAGACTCACCCAAGAAGTGTGACCACACTCGACCTGGTCTGCATCCTGCTATGAGCCCACTGATCACGTGCTTGAATGTCATGTCATTGTGAAGTTTCTAAAGGCTCATTTTCAATTCTGCTACTTACTTTGGTGGGTTGGTATCTGTGGCTGCGGTCTGTGGACCACACTTTGAGTGGCTCCATTCCATGGTCTAAGGATTATAAACTGAGACTGACTACGCTCAGCGCTCCTCTGTGCTTACAGACTGAAGCTCATTCCTCACCATGGCAAATGAAGCCCCAGGCTCCAGCCACAGCACATTTGTTTCCTGTTTCCTTTGCCATACTCTTCATTCCATCCCTCCTTTTACTTTTCCCTAATGTTCCCTCCCTCACTTGTAATCATCCTAGGAAGGATTTATTGCTTCCTCACATATATCCCTCTAGCATTTAGAATACACTACTTATCACAATATATTATGATGACATAGTGTACATCTTTATTCCCCTCCAAACAGTTATCTCTTTAAATGCAGAGGTAACTTTGCTCATATTTTTTGTATGCGAAGAGCTATTCACAGAACCTGGCACATAATAGGTGTTCAGTGAATGTATGTTGAACCAAAGTGAAGTGAATAAGAGGTATTGGCCAACAAGGAAAGAGAACACTGATGTCCAGTTCCTAATGAGTCCTGTGTGTTCCTTAGCTGGTTGCTGTCACTGGGGAGAGATCAAGGGCTCAGCCACAGGTGTAGCTGATGAGAAAAGCAGAGCTGAAGACTTAGCTTTGGCCCATGAACATGTTTGTCACTGTCTTGGCAGGGATTTGGCTTTGGCTGAAGGAAGGTTGATTTAGATTTTTCCTGGGCCTTGGGAAAGGGTTGCAAACTCAATGGGAAAGGGGATGGGAGTATTTGTAAGCTTAGGTACACCTGCTCTTAGCAGAAGATGCTGTTTCTTTCCATCATGTTTTACTCTCCAAGCAGGACCCCTTCACTTGCTAAATAAATGATTGATTTCACCTCCAGGTGGGAACATTTATCTTTACTCATCTGGCTACAGCTTACTGAAAATAATCCCTACTCAAACGTCAAAGGGGACTTGGGGGTCACCACCTTGGCTGGAGTCGGGAACTGAACTTGAATTACATTTATATGGGGAAATGGTTGCTTCTTGGGCCTTGGAAGGCAGGCGTTCAATGTCAGCCCAGAGGTGGAAGTTGGTGGTGGGTAAGAAGAATAGGAATTCTGGATTGATGAGGCAAGTTGGTTATGTCAATGATTGACATTACAAGGAAATTAAAACTTAGACATTCTGGAAAAGATTATTAAGGTATTTTAAAAGAAAGCCATGTGAGAACACATGGACACAGGGCAGGGAACATCACAGGCTGGGGCCTGTCATGGGGTGGGGGCTAGGGGAGGGATAGCATTAGGAGAAATACCTAATGTAGATGACGGGTTGATGGATGCAGCAAACCACCATGGCAAGTGTATACCTATGTAACAAACCTACACATTCTGCACATGTACCTCAGAACTTAAAGTATAATAAATAAAAGAAAGCCAGGTTTTTAAAAAGTAATGAAGACTCTGAGCAAAGTAAGGGGAGAGGAAAGCTTAGGGATAACCACTGGAAATACCCTCAAAGCAAGCAAAGGCAATGGAAGGGTCAGATCTCAGTACAGGGCAATAGGGAAGGAAAACTCAGTCCAGCTGTCGCTCCTGAGCACTAGACCTGTACACTCAACTGACTCTATAAACATCCCCACCAGAATCTCAAACTCAAGGAGGTTGAGTTTGAGATCTGGCTGGACCTCAAACCAGAATCACTTTTATTTATTAGGGAATATTTTACTTATTAGTGATCACTTTTATTTATTAGGGAATATTAACCCTTGGCCTTCTGCTCCCCTTGTGTTTTCTATCATTGGGAGTGGTTCCAGCACACTCTTGCTTAAACCATTTCTGGGTGTGACTATCGGTTTCTTCATCTCCCTCATCTCGCACATCCTCAACTCGGACATCGCCAAGTCCTATTAACCCCAATGTCTAAATATTTTTATAATCCTGCCCACCTCTTCCAATCTTCACTGAAACTCTCTAGGTCAGGCCACCACCGTTTTGTGCCTAGATTAGTTTTGCTCCCTCCAGTTTATTCTCTACTTTACAACTGTGTTGGATTTCTTCCCAAAATATCTGATTGTGGTATTTTTCACCTTAACACCCTTCAATGATCTATCACATTGCTATTAATCATTATTCATATTGCTCTTTGGATAAAGTCCAGCTCCTTACAAGCTTTTGTGATCTGCCTCATCTCTCCCCAGCTCATTCTCCTTACTCTCTCTTGCACTATCCTTGCTCTGCACTCTCAGTTCTCTGTGCCACATTGTCTCAGAATATCTGCTCATGTTCCCTTCTGTCTTACTAGTTACCTTTCTCCTGCATCATACTTTCCTGTTCTTTTTTTTTTTGGAGACAGAGTCTCACTCTGTCTCCCAGGCTGGAGTGTAGTGATGGGATCTCGGTTCACTGCAACCTCTGCCTCCCAGGTTCAAGCGATTGTCCTGCTTCAGCCACCTGAGTAGCTGGAATTACAGGCACCTGCCACCACGCCTGGCAATTTTTGTATTTTTAGTGGAGATGGGGTTTCGCCATGTTGCCCAAGCTGGTCTCGAACTCCTGGCCTCGAGTGATCCCCCCATCTTGGCCTCCCAAAGCGCTGGGATTATAGGCGTGAGCCACTGTGCCTGGAGTACTTTCCTATTCATTAAATCTCACGCTGGGCATTACTTCTGTTGGTTCCCCAAGATTAAATTAGTTGTCCCTTATATTGAGTTACATTGTTCTTCTTCTGTTTCTTCTTAATGTTTTTCTGGTGTATTCATTTTTTGTTTCCTTCCCTGGAAAGCAAGCACTTGAAAACAAGGACTGTGTCTTCTGCACTATTGTATTTACAGTGGCTAATATCCTTAAGTCCTCAGTAAATCTTATTTGAATAAATGAACAATTTTAGAGAGATTCAGGAAGAAGCTGAGTGTCAGGACCAAGGGAAAGAAATCATGTGGGTGGAGCCTCAAGAACATTGACCGGTTGTCTGTAAATCAGTATAGAAATGAGAAAATTGGGTTGGACTCATGCCCCGAAGGAAAAGTGATCATCTTTATTCAGTTACTGAAGGGCCTGAAAATGGACTAGGTCTGGTATGTTAGTAAGGTTCTAGAAAAAGCTTTTAATAAAGGACCTACCCATAGCCATGTGGTTGGGGTTAAGGAAATCAATAAAGGATGCTGATGCTCCCAGAGACTAGGAACAGTGTGAAGCTGTTTCCACCTCTAGGACTCAAGGAACAAAGAGAGGAAATAGTGTTAAGAAACCTAACAAGAACATGGAGGGGATGATTAGCAGGAGCTGCAGTGTTCAGGCAGGACCAGGACAGGGAAGAAACACCTTGGTCTCTCTCCTGTTGCTGCTGTCCCTTTCAGTCATACTCAATGTAAAACCTGAGGACAAGGGAGCCTGGGTGGCACAGCTCCCCCAGAGGTGTTGATCTCTTAAGGCTCATAGGACAGAAAACAGATCTGGAGGCACAAATGAACCAGCACACCTGGTTGTGAAAGGAGAGAAAACTAGTAGGAAAAGAGAATGCCTCTAAGTGTGGGAGTTAGAAGAAAATGTGTGATGATTGGAGGACTAGTGAACATTCTCAATGACTTGGGTAAGACTCTGGAATCTTTACATCTGCACCAAGGATAATGTCCAATGGGGCCTTGTGACCTTGGCCATGGGTGGGGTGTGCATGCGGAGATTTGTTCCCTCATGGTGTTTGTGAAGGTCAGGTGACCTTGAGCAGTTGGGCTGTTCACCTGGAGCAGGGGTCGTGCTGCCAGAGAAGCAGTGTAAGGGTAGGTGTGTGGGGGAGGGGAAGGTCAGGGCTTGGGCTTGGAAGAGAGCTCTTCCCCTTTTTGGATTACTACATGCAGCATTGAACACATGCTGTGAGAAGCGCGTGGCGCCCAGCCTGACAGCCCGGCAGTCGTTGTTGCTTGTCTATGCATGTGCATGTGTGTGTATGCATGTGTGTGTCTGTGTGAGCAGCTGGGGATGTGCATTTGGAGCAGGCTGCTCTATTCTTTTGTCATATGTGACCTGGCAGAATTTCTCCTGGAAATGCAGTTCCTTGGAGGGTATTTTACAAGGAAAATACCCTGGTTTATTACCTTCTGTTAGAATAAAATGAGAATAAATGGTCTAAACGACAGCAGGAAAAATTTAGTTTAGACTTAAGGGATGGCTTTTAATAACTTGTGTATCAGATTTTCTTTTGACCCCAGGGAGACATCGTTTTTCTCTTCAGTTCTGAAT
This sequence comes from Homo sapiens, assembly GCF_000001405.40. NCBI lineage: Eukaryota > Metazoa > Chordata > Mammalia > Primates > Hominidae > Homo > Homo sapiens. Next base: position 122,526,113 of record NC_000008.11, on the reverse strand, counting down.
TACATCACATATCCAAACAGCAAGATTTCTACATTTTAAGTTCCACTTAGATGACATTAAAAAAATGGATGTACCAATTTTCTTTAAAATTCTGACTGCAATAGCTGAATATCCAGGTTGTCTGTATTCTGAGATTATTGATGCTTGTTTGTCTAGGTCCTTTCTCTCTCTCCATGCCTGCAGGGTGCAGAGAGCAGAGGTGAAATTCATACACTCTGGGGGAGAACTCAGGAAGATTCAAATACTGCCTTTCCTACTTAATCTGGCCCATAGCCACTTCTCTGATTTCTTTCTCTCTTTATCCCTTTCACTCACTGAACTCCATACACACTGGCCCCCTTGATGTTTCCTGTATGACTTGGGACACTGTGGAGAAATTTCCTGTATTGGTAGCTGATCCAGATCTGTTGTCTCTACCATGTCTTCCAACTCTGAGATTTCCAAGTTTCTGTGTTAGTGTGTGTGTGACTAATACGCTTATACATAGTGAAACAAACATTGGCCTCATAATCTAAAATCCCAGAGTCAGTCTTAGATTTCTCCCTTACCAGTTGCAATAGCTTAGCCATCACTCAATCAATGGAGATGGTAATACCTGCTCCAAATAATTTATGTGAGGAGCATCTGAAACAATGTTTATAAAAGCATTTTATAAAATTCTAAGGAAGAGGTAGCTACCATTAATTACCTCTGACACAGTGATGTTAACAGTGGAGAATAAGTGGTGCTAATTTGAAAGACAAAAATCAACCAATCTAAAGACTGCTATATTCTTGCCTGATTAAGACTAGGATAAAGGCAAAAATATGATTGGAGAGAGAATCACTCAATTATTCAGGAAAACAGCCTAGTAGACACCTTGTTTTCCATAAGAAGGCCCAGAGAGGGTCTGGATGCCAATGGCTGAAACAAAGAAGATGTTAAAATTCCTTTGCATAATGAAGCTATAGGAATTTTTGTGTCCTTCCTCCTGCCCTGCAATAGGCAGACACAGGAGAGAAGAGGTAAGGGGGTTAGAAAGGAGAAGATTTACTAGATAAGTGCATTAGTCTGAGTTCTCCAGAGAAATAGAAACAATACAAGATTTATTTACTTATTTATTTAAAATTAAGATAAGTTAAAGGATGTGCAAGGAAATTTATCATAAACCGTTCAGCAGTTATGGAGGCTGAGAAGTTTCAGGATCTGTAAGCCTGAGACCCAGGAGACTGAATGGTGTAAGTTCTAGTCCAAGTCAGAGTTTGAAGGCAAGGAGACAATGTCCCAGTTTAAAGATAGTCAGACAGAGACAGAGGTAATTCTTTCCTATCCAATTTTTTATTCTTTTTAGACCTTCAGTGGATTAGATGAAGCCCACCGACACTGGGGAGGGCAATTGCTTTACTCAGTCTACTGATTCAAATGTTGATCTCATCCAGAAACACCCTCACAGACACCCTGGAAATAATGTTTGACCATGTATCTGGGGCACCCCATGGCCCAGTCAGGTTGATACTTGAAATACTTAAAATATTAACTAACACATTAGGGAAGGAGTTGGTACAGGGAGAAGGGACCCAGTCCCAGTTCTGGGTTAAGCCCTAAGAGGGAGATGGCCTAATGTCAGAGAGGGACCCTTCATCTGAGATGGGGACTCTAAGCTTAGTGATATTTGCAGTCTAATATTAGGCGATTACTACTTGAGTTAATAATATTGTAGGAATGAAGGAAGTGGGATTAGGCTGTGTCCATGTAGAGCAGTGGGACAAGAGCCAGAAAGAGCAGGTGTCCAGAAGGCCATAGATGGTGTTGTAGTAGCCTGAGCTGGAATTTGGAGCAACTAACAAGAGGTGATAATCGCCATCTTTTTATACCCAAAGGAATTTTCAGAAATAGTTATGAGGGGACTGAATTTCTCTTGGCTGGTAAGGAATAGGGCTTGAGTAATTTTACATTGATATTAGAGGAAAGTCTTCCTTAGAGGGCCCAGGCACTTGGGGCTGCTCAGGTGGTAGTTGTTTCCTACTAGATTCTGTCCCATGATGGTAGGGACAAAGCTCATTTTGTTCACTGTTGTAACCCCAGTGTATAGAACAGTGCCTGGTGGTTAGTAGGTGTTGAATAAATATTTGCATTGCCTTTTTTGTTGTTTGTTTAAATATACTCTTAATTTTGAAATACTTTTAGATTTAAAGAAAAGTAGCAAAGATCATCCAGAGAGTTCTATATATCCCTCTCCTTGTTTTCCTATTGGTATCTTATATTACCATAGTAATTTGTCATAACTAAGAAATTAACATTGGTATAATATATTACTCTAAAGTAAACTCCAGATTTTATTTGGAGTTTCCAGCTTTTCCACTGATGTCTTTCTTTTTTTCTGGAAGCCCACCCAGGGTACCACTTTACATTTAGTCATCATGTCCTCTTAGTCTCCCTTGGTCTGTGACAGTTTCTTAGTCTTGCTTTGTTTTCCATGACCTGGTCAGATTTGAAGAGTACTGGTCAGACATTTGGTAGGGATATCCCTTAATTTGGGTTTCTCTATTTTTTTCATTGTAAGACTGGGGGCTCTGAATTTGTAGATATGCACTGCCCATTGGTGTAGGATTTCTCCTCTGAAGAAGTTGCAAGCGGGAGGGTATCTACAGCTGGAGAGGCAACCTGGTGGGCAAAGTTGGTGAGGCTGAAGCCTACAGTCAGTTGTTTTTTTTCTGTTCTGACCTGCAATCCCTTAGGTGATGCTCCTAATCACAGCCATCTCACAGTGTGAAAGGCTACTGAGAAGTAGCAAAAAACCATCTGCATTCCTCAACAAATGAGCCACTTGTGGACCTCTCTAACAGTGCCTGGCCCCAAGCAGGCTCTCAGCTCATGGTGGCTCTTACCATAAATAATCCAGAAGGCTGTTTTTTTTCTTATAAAGGATGACCTTCTGATGATTACTTTGAGAGGCATGAAATTACACAGCCTGCCTGCAATCATTTTCTTAGCTAAGCATGCTTTTTGTACAAATATTTTTGAGGAAAAACCAAGGTCTTTGAGATAGGAGTGAGAGGAATAAATAAGTTAGAATCAGTTATATTTTCTTTGAATTTTTTTGAAGCCTATTGTCCCCAAAGACTTCCTATATTCCTCCTTTGCTGTTTCCTTTGACTGATACTACATTAAGGAGTACATAATTTTTGACTTATTGAGTTATTTCACCTTGAGGAATTTATTTCCTGCTTGCTCAATTTGCTTTCTCAAACAACTGGAATCATGCTGTTTTCAGTAGAAAGTCTCCCTTAATCCATTTTGTGTTGCTATAACAGAGCACTAGAGATTGGGTAGTTTACAAAAAGAGAGGTTTATTTAGCCCATGGCTTTGCAGTTTGGGAAGTTTAAGATTGAGGGCTGCATCTGGTGGCTTCTAGTGAGGGCCTTGTGCTGTATCAAAATGTGGCAGAGAAACAGAAGGGCAGCTGGGCTCATGAGAAAGGGCAAAACATGAGAGGCAATCTCACTGTGCAACAACTCACTTTCATGGGAACTAATCCAGTCCCAAGAGAACTAACCCAGTCTGGGGGGAAAGACATTAATCCATTTAAATAACCTAATCACCTCTTAAAGGACCCACCCTCCAACACCACCACATTGGGATCCAAGTCTCAGCATGAGTTTTGGTGTGGACATGCCACATTCAAACTACAGCGGAGGCCTTGTGGTATAGAAAAGGGAATGTAAAGGTTGGAGTTAGGGTTGTTTGTGTTGCCACATCACTCATTATGGTGAATAAATCCCTTATTCTCTCTGAGCCTTGAGTCTTCTTATATAAAATTGGATGGATGCAATGGATCCCACATCATCCATTATGGTGTCAGTGTGGGCAAGTCGCTTATTCTCTCTGAGTCTTAAGTCTTCATCCATAAAATTGGATGGATGGAATGGACCCCACAGGAGTGTTGCCAAGAGCACAGGAGATGTGAAATGCATGTGAAGAATGTTTGATAGATGAAGCCCTATTGAAATGCTCGTTGCTATCTCTAGAGCTTCCTTCTTTCAATGCAGAAGTGTGGAAATTACAAAGAAAAAAGAACAAATACAACTAAATGGTTCAGGTCCCCTGCCTGAATATTGAAAGTCAGAATTTGCATGTAGATAGAAGAGGGATGAGAAGACAGGGAGGGCACTGGGTGTCACATTCAAACAATTCCTCCTCTTTGCTTGCTGTAGCTTGGCCCTCTGCCCAGGGCTCGTTGTTATCAATAAACTCCACCCAGCAGCTGAAGGAAACACACATTGAATGGAATAATGTTTGCTGAACACTGATCCCAAGATGCTCTTATCCTGGGCTGTGGGGGTAGAGCTTATTGGAGTTTGAGTTTTGTTGAACATCTTTCCTTCCTGTTCTGTGCATTTTGGGCCACAAGCAGAGGTAGTATTTGACATTTCTGGGCTCCCAAGCAAAAACACAAAACTACTACCTTATCTTCTCAAAGGGACAATCTTCTCCTTTCTTAAACTTTCTGACTCTAGACTTCTCCCATAAAATGGATTCTTAACTGTGTTACAGGCCAGGTTTCTAGGAAACAGCAAGGTCTTTCAGACTCATTGCAGGAGAGTAAGGAGAGATGTGAGGGTAGGAAAAAATGTCATTTTTTTAGGAAACTATCAGCTTTTTGTCTTGAATGCATTTTGAAATATTATGTCACATATAGCTTCTTGAGATCTCCTCCTAGCCATTCATACTTCCACTGCCACGTGGCTTGTGGTCCTTGTATCTTGTGGGGGGAAGCTTGTCTTTGGCCTCCTGTAGCACTTAATTTTACATACATGATCTTATTTAATAAGCAGAACAGCAAAATGGTAATATGATTTCTTCACCTGCTGACTTTCTACTCTACGTTATAGTGGCTAGAACACTAAGGAGACTTGTTTCCTCTACCAGATAGAATTTGCCTTGAGGACAGGAGTGATGTCTTGCTCATCTTCATATTTCCCATAATACCTCACTCATGATGACACATAATAAATGTTCCCTAGATTTTTGCTGAATAACTAAATGGCTTCGAGGATACTCTTCTATATTTTTGTTAATGGCAATACATTGCTCTAAAAACAATGAATATTTTCAGAGAACAAATGTATCCCATGAAACTGTGCCAAAATAAGTCTTAAATTCAAGGCCACAGATGAAAGAAGCTTATTTTGCTGAAGCTTTTGTATTTATTAGATTTTTCTAGGTTCATTAATCCTTTGGAATTCTGTAATCCTTGTGGATATGGGAAAAGATGAATCAGAGTGAGCCATCCAAATTTCTAAGAAAGCAAGAATGGAGAGAAGCATGCAAAGACTGAGAGGTAAAGAGTAGACCTGAGGCTGAGTGTGGTGGCTCACGCCTGTAATCCCAGCACTTTGGGAGGCCGAGGCAGGAGGATCACGAGGTCAGGAGATCGAGACCATCTTGGCTAACACAGTGAAATCCCGTCTCTACTAAAAACACAAAAAAATTAGCTGGGCGTGGTGGTGAGCACCTGTAGTCCCAGCTAGTCAGGAGGCTGAGGCAGGAGAATCGCTTGAACTCGGGAGGTGGAGGTTGCAGTGAGCTGAGATCATGCCACTGCACTCCAGCCTAGGTGACAGAGCGAGACTCCATCTCAAAAAGAAAGAGTAGACCTGAGCCAACCGAACAACAGAGGTAAAGGCATGAAGTAGGAAGGGTCGTTGTCCATGACTAGCAAGTAAGCACAGGTACATACCTGGAGGAAACTGTGTCCATGTAAGGAACGCTGGACTCTAGGTCTTTATGTTTCCTTCTCAAGGAAGTCTTATAGCCAGAGTGAAATGGAGGACTGTGTAATTTCGATAGATCTTGGGCCTTGATAAAGTTGCTCATGGTAATTTGGTAACCAGGTCCCATCTAAAGGCTGAAGCAACTCTATTGGACCATATTTCTATTTTGCTTTGGGCAATTCTGACTTTTTGTTCTCCAGAACTGTGAGAACAACTCGTATGCTGTACCTATGAGCTGGACAGCTGTCTCTGGCAATGGCTATGGTATGAGAGGGACAGCTATGTTCCTTGATGAAGATGTGCTCCAATGTCCCAACTTTTCTTGATAACCCATGTCAAGCATAAACATATCTCAACACTTCATGAAGCTACTTAATATTTTAGCCTGAACTGTTACTTTTAGTTAACAAGGCTTACTTACTTTACTACCTACCATGTAAAAACTCCCCTTTGTTTGTCTGAAATAAAGTAACTGTGGGTTAGAGGAAAGAATCATAAGCTTGTATTCAGAAGTCTTAAATTTTAACCTCAAAATTGCCACTTACTAAGTGTGTGTTGCTCTAATCAAATCCTTTTTTAGGATACATACATACACACATATACACTGAAGTAAAATGGCTTGGGGGTTTTAGAATTAGTTGGCCTGATCAGCATGAATATTGGAATCAGATGGCCTGGTTTACAAAATTCCTTCCATTACACACAAGCCATGTAATTTTGAGATGTTCACATGGTTCTTTAAGTCTAAGCTTCCTCACTGTATAAAGGAGATAATAACAGTACTGAATTTTCAAAAGTTGTTGTGAAATTAAAAGAGCAAAATAAAGCATGGAAATGCTTAACATAGTAGCCAGTGCATGGTAAAAACCTAACAAATGGTAGGTGTTATTATGATTTATATTCATATATACTAGCAAAGCAACCTTGGCAGAGGTCAGTTAAAAGCTTTAGGGTTGTTAGTTTTGAAATAAAATCTAGTCTCATAGGACTCCTGCTTTGTCTATCAGAAATCACTATACAGTTCATTGTATAAATTTCTTCCTCGGGAATTCAAGGTGGGTATTCTCAAAGTCTGGTATTTGGGATTTTTGCTGAACCAACTATACGTCCACATCTGTAATAGTTTAATAGATTTCAACCATATCCCTTTTCAGCCCGTGGCATTTTGTTTTGTTTTGTTGACTCTCTGTCTTCATATGGCAGCTTGCCAAATCTTTTGGTCATTCATTTATTTTTTCCTGGACCTTCTCCATCCATGTTCTGTCATTCTTATGAGGCAATGACTGGGGCTATTCTGAAATACACACAGATGTCAAAAGTAGAAAAAAGACAGAAGAGAATTAAAATGTGCATTGATGGTATTCATTTTTATTTATGTGACTTTGTCCTGTCCAATCTGGGGAAACAAACAAAAGGCAGGTATAATTAAACAAGCTCTCCAAACAGTATACAAACATGAAGGTTTTCTTAGTTCTGAGCCAATGAGCTTACACTGGCCAAACTTTCTTTTCTGGTGAACCACTACCCAGTTTATAGGCTAGTTGCTATTTGTAGTGCTGATATACTTAACTGTGGTTATAAGACATGGAGGGATGCATTTTTCTTTCATAAGAAATAAAATACCTTTTTCTCTGACCTCCACTCCATCACTATCTAAATTATCTGACAGAAAGGAGGAAATAACGTGAAAAAACACCCACTCCTCTGAATTGGCCCGTTTTGCTAGACAGTGATTGATCCCCAGAACCATCCACAAATCACAACTAGAAAAAAATTATTCCTGACAATGAGAATTGTAATTCAAGTTTTCATTTCCCAGCACATGCGAGAAGCTATCTTGATTGCCTTCAGGGAGCCTACCCTCCAAATTGTTTGGGGGGAAATAAGGCCAATAAAATAACCTTATATAGCATTTGGTGAAATTTATGACTTACCCAAAAAGTTTCTGTGTCCTTGTCGAAACATTGCTTTTAAGAAAATGACTTTAGATATGTTTCTCCCAAATGACTACATATAATTCATATCATGAATAATTCAAATTTGCTGAATTTGGAAGTTTAGCTGCTTGATCGGTGACAGAGATTTTCCGCAAGAGTATTTTAAGTAGTCACAATAAAAGAGCAAATGTCAGATCCTTTTGTGATTGTTGCTGCAGTGGTTTGACTGCAGACTCTCTGACCTGGGTGGGAACTCAGAGATCTCTGAAACAGATACATCCATGGTTTAGGAGTGAAGCCAATATTTATAGACACTACTGCATCTGCTGTGTTTGAATGTCTAGCTGATTAAGTGCGGTCTGTCTGCTATACAGAGAGCTTCAATACAGTATAGTAGTTCTGAAATCTATCAGTTCGTTAGAATTGCCTGAAAAATTTTAAAAACCCAATGCCTGATTCTCAACCAATTGAATTAGAATCTAGGGGTTGGGAACTCCACTGTGAGTTCTTTGAAGTTCAGGATTATATAGAATCTTTCCCTAAAACCGTAATGCCTAGTATAGTGCCCAGCTCATAAAGGCACAACACATATTTGGTGATTAAATGAATGTCATTGAAGTAAACATTTTAAAATTCTTCTTATATATGACTTAAATCTTTCCATGAATGGCCCTAAAGCTTATGAAAGAGAAATGTCTATACAAGAAGGGGATCCTAAAGGTGGGAAAATAAGTTTGGCAAATAGGTGAGGGCATGTGTTAGTCTGATTTGTGTTGCTATAAAGGAATACCTGGGTCCGAGTAATTTATAAAGAAGAGGGGTTTATTTGACTCATGATTCTGCAGGCTGTACAAGCATGACACCAACATCTACTCAGCTTCTGGTGAGGCCTCTGGAAACTTTTACTTCTGGCAGAAGGCGAAGGAGGAGCTGGCATGTCACACGGTGAGAGAGGGAGCAAGAGAGAGAAAGGAGGGGCCAGGCTCTTTAAACAACCAGCTCTCCTGTGAACGAACCAAGCAAGCATCCACTGTAATGTGCAGGGTGGGCACCAAGCCATTCACGAGGGATCCACTCCTATGACCCAAACACCTCCCACTAGACCCCACCTCCAACACTGGGGATCACCTTTCAACATGAGATTTGGAGGGGACAAATATCCAAACTATATCAAAGAGCATCAAAGATGGGCTTTTTTTTCTTCTTCATCTAGATGCTAGGTAGAAAGTGATTCTTCTCTTTGGATTAAACAAGGTGATGTGTGTGAAATATTCAGCACTGTGCTTGGCATGCAGTGGACAGCTTGTGAGCACACTTCCTACAGTCTTTTATTGCAACGTGGGGAACATCAACATGGGTGGAATTAGGAAGAATGAATGGGAGATAAGAACCTCCGCTCTAGCAATATACAGAATATACAATATATTCAAAATACAGTGCATTTGGATTTTCAAGTTAACTCAGCGAATGTTTCTTCATTACCCGAATGTAATGAAAAATCTCTGTCTCCTTGCAGTGAGACATTTTACATATTTTTCAAAGAAGCTGTATTTAAGAAAAATATGAATCTAGATAAAAGAATTAGTTGTTGTTTCCACTTAGAATTAGGGAATCTCAGTTTGGAAAAAACCTTAAATGTGGGATATCTACTCTTCCTCTGCCTTCAGCGGCTGCCAACTTGACATCGACAATAACTGTAGCTATAATTTGTTGAGCACTTTACCTTCAATATTTCCTAACTCCTCCCTCCAAGCTGTGAGGTGGTGCCCTGTATCTCATTTTTATTGAAAAGAAAACAGGGGCTTAATGAGATTGGTGGCCTGTGCAAGATTACACAGCAAGAAAATTTTACAGCCAACATTCAAACTCATTCCTGATTTCCTCTATTCCAGAGGTTCTCGACCAGGAGGGACACTCCCTTGCCTTCCTCAATTCAGCCCTGGGAGATATTTTGCAATGTCTGGAGATAGTTTTGTTTGTCACAACTGGGAATAGGTGGGTACTACTGGCAGGGGCGCTGCTAAACATTCTGCAAGGCACAGGACATTTCCCCCACAAAGAAAACAGCCAAAACATCAATAGTTCCAAGATGGAGAATTTTGTTCTAACACCTACACTTTTGAGTACTATGTTAAACTCTCTTGTATCCATAGGGTTTCAGTTTTAGCTTGAGTATTTTCAGGGAAGAGACACTCACTTCCTTTTGTCCATCTCCTTTTTGGACAGCTCTGACAATTAGCAAAGTCTTTTTGTTTTTTCCAACTGGAGTCTGTTACTTTGGCGTTTCCACCTACTGGCATTGTAAAAAGCAATATAATTCATCAGAGTGAGAGTCTTCCCTCAGTGTCATTATTCACGGTCAAACCCACTTTCAATATAACACTGTACACCCTACCCATATTGCAATGATGGTGTACTTCTCCACTTCCTATCAGAACTTCAGTTTTTGAGGATAGGGACTGTGTCTATAGCCCTAGGGTTTAACAAAATGTTTGTCACGAAATATATGTCTAATAAATATGCTGGGAACAAACACAAAATAAATGTCTAACAAATACACTGGGAAATAATAATCATGACAGCTTTGGGTGGTCCCTTTCCTGAGAAAGCATCTCTTGTTCCCTCAACCATGGTGTTGCACCACTTCCTGGTTACTCATGTAAGGGAATGTTTAGAGAGCCTTGAGTACCTGGTCAGGAACCTGAATTTCCTCACAAAAAGTTTCTCAATAGCCAGCTTGCATGGTACAATAAACAGTGACTTGGCTTATACAACATTGATATCTAAATCATATTTGAGGACCACCTGGACCAAACACCTTTAAAATCATGTTTGCTTGTGACAAGAACTAGCAGTGGATTTTTAATGGGGCAACTGACTATGCCATTTAGTTTTTATTCCCATAAATTGTGAAAATAAAAGTCACCTTCCAGGCTGAAAAGTTGTTTTGCTAACAAATACCTCCTGTGGATATGTGGTGAGATATAGAATGAATGATGTGATTTGTTTATAACTTCGGGTCCAGACCAACCAATGTTGATGGGGAATACTTTGACCCACTGGTACACTCTGACATTGTATGGATGGAGATTTCTTTGGACTGGACTTTTATTTCTCTCACTGTTGGGGTAGTGTCTTGGTTGGCCCAGGCTGCCATAACAAAATACCATAGACTGGGTGGTTGAAACAAAATAAACCTATTTTCTCACAGTTCTGGGGGCTGGGAGTGCCAAATCAACATGCCAGCAGATTTGGTTTCCGGCGAGGGCTCTCCCCCTGGGTTGTTGATGGCCACCATCTTACTATGTGCTCATATGACATCTTTGTGTACACACCAAGACAGTGAGGGAGTTCTCTGCTTTCTCTTCTTACAAGGACACTAGTCTTATTGGATCAGGGCCTCACGCTTATGACCTTATTTAACCTTAGTTCTCTAGAGGCCCCATCTCAAAATACAGCCTCATTGAGGATTAGGGCTGCAACATATGAATGGAGGGGGAGTGGAATTATAAACATTCAGTCTAGAACAGGTAAAGATGCCTGTTTTAAGAGAATTATTGAGAAAAGTTGACTAGGGAGAAAACTAGGGTGGTGTATAAGATAAACCAGGCATCCTCAGGGATACAGCTGGGAGGACACTGGAGAAAATGAGAGGCAAAGGGATGTTAGGTGCTGTAGATATCAGGAAATTGAGGCTATGATCTCAGCTCTATTGGCAACTGGGTATGTGATCCCAGTGTAGTCACTGAAAACCTGTGATTTAGTCTCTTCAGCCACCTAGAGCTTTACAGAGGTGTGATCTCATGGATGAGTAAGAGCTGGCTAGGTGAAGAATTGGATAGAAGTAAAGAAGAAAGGAATACCAGGTACAGTAAAGTAACGTGCATGAAGATGAGGAAGCAAGACAGAACGTATTTACTTTTGGATACAGCAAATATATTTTTGAGGGCATTGATAAATGTTATTTTTACTGAGCATGTACTGTTTGCTTGGCAAACAGCATGTACTAGGTGCTATGTTTATTTTCTCTTGCTGTGTAACAAATAACCACAAACTTAGTAGCTTTAAACAACACCTGTTTATCTCACAGTTTTGTAGCCCAGGGTCTAGATGTGGCCCAACAGGGTTCTCTATTCAGGATTTTACAACCTTGGAATGGGGACATTGACTAGGCTGTGTACTCATCCGGAGGGTGGGATTGGAAAGAATCTGCTTCCAAGCTCATTGTGCTTGATGGTAGAAATCAGTTCCTTGCAGCTGTGGGACTGAGGTCCCTGCTTTCTTGCTTGCTATTGGCTGGGTCTGTCTTGGCTCCTAGAGATCACCTTCAGACCTACCTGTGTGGCCCACTTTATGACATGGCATTTTGGTTCTTCAAGGCCAACAGGAGAGTCAGAGTCTTTCCCTCTCTCTCAACCTCTTCCTTCATAAAGGACCTAACACTTCTTTTATGGACTCATCTGGTAGGTGAGGCTCACACATGATAATCTCCATTTTTATTAACTCAAAGTTAGTTTATTAGTAACCTAGTCATAGGAGTCAGATCCCATCATATTCACGAGATCTGTGTACATTCGATGTAGGTAATTGTATAGGGCATGTATACTAGGCAGCAACAATCTTGGGGACCATCTTAGAATTCTGATTACCATCGATGCTTTATATAAATCATACAATTTAATCTTCACAAAGCTTTCTGAGCTAGATAGTGTTAAGCATATTTTTAAGGTGGGGTTGTTAAGGCTTAAAGTCACACATCTAGTAAGCTAAAGAGCTAGCTGGAACTCAAACGTGTTTTACTTCGAGCTTTTCCTCTCTTTAGTATGCTGCACTGTCCTGACAGAATTTGTAAATGTCAGGGTAAAGCCCGTTTAGTTCAGGGCTTAAGTAACATTGGTCTAAGAAAGGGGGATGACAGCATCAATAATAGCTTGGCTTTATTTAGTACTTGATATTATCTGAAGGACTGTCACTCATCTCATTTGACCTTCACAAAAACAAAAATTTAGCTTCAAAGAGAGTACGTGATTTGTCCAAAATGTGCAGTTCTATAACACCAAGCCAAGAAAAGTCTATAAAGATTATGCAGTGACTTCAGTGGAATGGAGGAAAAGTGGGCGAGTGTGTGTGTGAGTGAGTATGTTGAGTCTTAAATCCAGAAGGAGTTTTCACTGTGGAGAGCATATGGTTCCAAGGGAGATTCTGTGGCTGATAGTTGGCAGCTATGTTGAAAAGCAAGAGGTACACAAAGCTTGGCATGCTTATGAGTAAATAATCAGCAGGATCTCAAGATGACACAGTCCCAGATGAAACCCTGAGAGAAAGCTGTCTGAAGTGTCTTGTGGACATGCCAATTTCATGATATATGTAAGGCTTGAGAAGACCAGGTATGCGATGGAAAAAGATGGTGGATTTGAGTGCTAGTTTAGTTACTCAATAGAATTATTTGTCTGAATCCCAAACTTCTTTTCTGTAAAGTAGAAACAGTAATAGGAACTTCTTAATAAGGCTGTTATGAGAATTAAATGACCTGTAAAGCAATAAATAAGGCATGGCATGGCTCATAGAAAGTGTTCAACTTGTTTTTATTACTCATATTGTTCTTATTAAAAGTTTTAAAGGAGGTCAATGATGGTAGCTTTTGGTTTTCTAGAAAATATGAAAAAATGTTTTTCTTATTCACAAATGTTCCAAATGTAATTTTATGAAGAAGATAAGTAAGACATAGCATATGGCTAATTTTCTTATGTTAACAAATGACTATATATATCCAGAAGGTATGATACACTTTTCTAAAAGGTTATTATTCCCTCATCACAAAAGTGACTTTTTCTCCTCTAATAGCTTTAGAATTTTGAGAAGCAATTTGCATTAGCTTGTAAATTTGTACATTCTCATGCCCTATGACCCACTAGTCTTAATCTTAGGATACATCCTCCAGAGACACCCATATATATGTGCACAAGGGGACAAACACAGAATGTTCATATCTGAACTATTTATAATAGCAAAATCCTGGAAGCATCCTGAATGTCCAAGAAAGAAGATGGTCCAAATATTGTGGGTGTGTACATAATGGACAATAATGCATCTGTTACAGTGGATTAACTATGTTACATTGACATTATACCCCAGGATATCCAGTAAAGCATGATACCCATTTTAGAAAAGTCAAACATAAGTAAAATTAGATAACTGAACAAGAAAAAACTTGAAAACTTTTAGTGAAAAACTAAAAAGAAAAAGCAAAGCAAGGTGGTAATAAATGCTGTGAATATAATCTCAATTATATTATTAAATGGGACTTAATTTATATTAAATTATAATATATTAAATTATATATTAAATATATAAGTTATATATTAAATATATAAATATAATAAATTATATATATTATATATTATATATATTAAATGGGACAATTATATTATTAAATGGGACTTAAATAAATGGGACTGGGAGAACACATGGAAAGACCTCAATTAGAAGTAATGCTCTAGTTCTTAGATTGGGCAATAGGTTCAGGGTGTTTATTATGTCATTTAAAAATACAATAGAATGAAAGAGGATTATGCATAGACTGATGGTGATAGTGTATCTTGAAGCAAGGATTACAATGAACATAATTCTGCGTTTTGGGGGTTCCAAAACAACATAAAGACAAGCAAATTAAATGAAGAAGGAGGCAGAAGTAGAAGTAATAGCTCTGGAAACTGGTAAAGAGAAGCTCCACAGAGACATCACCTGGGAATTGAGGGAAGAAATGTGTTGGAGCAGCAAGATAGAAAATGTGCGCATAATAGAGAAGAAGTATTTTGCTCCTGAGCTTACTGAAGCATGCAAAGTCACATGCCAAAAATATATGTATATGAATATATTTAAGAATGGAATAGGCCGGGAGCGGTGGCTCACGCCTGTAATCCCAGCACTTTGGGAGGCTGAGGTGGGCGGATCACGAGGTCAGGAGATCGAGACCATCCTGGCTAACATGGTGAAACCCCATCTCTACTAAACATACAAAAAATTAGCCGGGCATGGTGGCGGGCACCTGTAGTCCCAGCTATTCGGGAGGCTGAAGCAGGACAATGGCGTGAACCCGGGAGGCGGAGCTTGCAGTGAGCAGAGATCGCGCCACTGCACTCCAGCCTGGGCCACAGAACAAGACTCCGTCTCAAAAAAAAAAAAAAAAAAAAAAGGAATAATGGAGTAATCAGGAGCAAGTTGCATACTAATTGTTGACTGTTTTAAAATCAGCTTTTCGGGGTACATTTACATGATTAAAATGGCCCAATTTTAAGTGTAATGTTTGATGACTTTTGACAGATATGTACACTGTGAAACCATTTCCACAGTCAAGATACAGAACATTTCCATTATCCCCCGCAATTCCCCAAGGCCCCATTGCAAGTCCTTCCCCTCCTGCCCCTGGCCTCAGAAACGATAGATCTGCTTTCTGTCACTATAGAGTAGTTTTGGCTTTTCTAGACCTTCATATAAATGGAATCATACTGATGTACTCTTTTCTATTTGGCTTCTTTTGCTCAGCAAATTGTTCTTGAGATGTGTCCATGTTTTGGTGTGTACAAGTAGAATATTTATTTATTTATTTTAGAATATTTATTTTTATTGCTGAGTAGTATTCAATTTTCAGGCTAAACTATAATTTGTTATTCATTTCCCTTTTGATGAGCTTTTGTGTTGTTTATAATTTGGGGGGCTATTGTGAATAAAATTGCCTTGTTGTGCATTTTTTATTTCCTCCAAACTTGAATCTCTTGGAAATTTCTTGGAAAGTCATTTTTACGACGTCTTCAGGGCCATTTCCAATTTTTTTGAACTAATAAAGTCCTTCATTCAGACAATTTAGTAAGAAAGCCCAATTTTTAAAAGCTGTTCTGGTCAGGGAGTCTAAAGTTTAATCTTTTCAGTCTTCCTTTTATCAACATCTTAGAATGTGTTCCAGCTACATGGAGGTTGAAATTTCATGGAATAGTTTTGAAGCTTAGTGGTGCAGTGGAAAGACTACTAAACTAGAAGTTTGGATATGTGAGTTTGAGGAAGACTTCAGCATTAATACAGAGGAAGGGCATTGGAGTGGCAATGAGTTTGGAAGCTCTGTTTGTGGAAACAATGCATTACTTTAGCTTATATACTATGTCTATATATTAACATATTTGGGATGCCACAACACAATACCACAGACTGGGAGGCTTAAAAAACAGAAATTTATTTTCTCACAATTTTGGAAGCTAGAAGTCTGAGATCAAGGTGCCAGCAGGCTTGATTTCCCCTGAGGCCTCTCTCCTTGGCTCGCAGATGGCAACCTTCTCTCTGTGTTCTCACACGGTGTTTTCTTGGTCCATGTGCATCCCTCGAGTCTGTGTGTGTGTCCAAATTTCCCCTTTCTATAAGGACACCAGTCAGACTGGACTAGGGCCCCCGCTAAGGGTCTCATTTTAACTTAATCACCTACTTCAAGCCCCAATCCCCCAGTACATTCTGAGGTACTGGGGGGCTAAGGCTTCAACATATGAGCTTGGTGGGTGGGGGACGCAATCCAGCCCATAACACTGTATACCCAGGGTGACTTGGGCAGAGGAGGGATTCAGGGTGGAGCTAAAATCAGCCTCAGCCACTCCTTGATGCTCTGCTATCTAAATTAAATCATTTCATTCATCAAATAGTAGTTGGGAGCCCATTATATTCAAGACACTCAAGGAGCTTACAGTCTAGAAGAGGAGACAGACTTGTAAAAAAAAAAAAAAAAACAATTGAGCAAATTCTAGAATAGTTGAAACTATATCCTGTGACCCAGGTACTCCACTTCTAGGCACATACCTTAGAAAACCCTCACAGAGACATGTTCAAGGTGTAGGGCAGCATTATCAATAATAAAGAAAATTCAGAAACAATATAAAAGAGTCATCAGTGGAACAGTGGGAGGTAGATTGTGGTACATTTATACAAAAATGGAAATGAATTTGATCTATTATGATTACATATGGCTAGATCTAGAAAACATGAGGCTCAGTGATAAATTCAAGTGGAAGAATGATATTTTATACATTTGTACACACACACAGGTATATGTAATGCTCAAGTTGTTTAGGGAGATAGACACAATAAAATATAAAATGTGGAAGGAAAGCTTACACAATAACTCTGTTTGTGGTTGACTCCAGGGAAGGAAGGAGGGGAATAGTCTTAGGAAGGGAAGCAAATGGAACTTTTACTGTATCTATTCTATTTCAAAGACAAATCAATAAAAGGAACAGGACCAAATATAACAAAACAACATTTGTTAATTCTGGATGGTTGATTCATGCATGTTCACTGGGGTAATGAGCATGTTTTTATTTTTCTGTATGGAATAGGTAGAGATTGCATTCAGGGGTGTCTAATGGAAAACTCAACTAAACAGTGTCTTAAAAAATTTTGGTTTTATTTTTTTATCTGACCATAAGTTGAGTGGTTTCACCTATATGTCATCATGGACCCAGGTGGTCTCTCTTTACACTCAGACATGTTTATGTTGGCTTTTGTTCTCAAGCTTTTGGTTTCACAGTTACAAAATGGCTACTGTATTCCTACCAACAGACTCTATCAAGGCAGGTGGAAGAGGAAAGTAAAAGGCAAATCCAGGTGAAACTTCCTCTCTTTAAAGATTTTTCCCCAAATTGCCACCTAGCAACTTCTACGTATGTCTCACTGGCCAGAATTGGATCAACTGCTTTTCTTAGCTGCAAGGGAAGCTGAGAAATGTAGAATTGTAAGTGCTTATGTCATTACTTTAAATAAAACTGGTGAGAGAGTGACTATTGGGCTGGCAGCTCTCACTTATGCTGTACATTTAACAATTTTTACATTAAAACGAATTGCAGAACACTATGATGAGTCCATTAACCATTGCATGGATAACTTTTCTGGGGATGAAAGAAACCTTCATAGGGGAGGTGAACCCTAAACTGTGTTTTTAGAAATTACTGAGAGTTTGGGCCGGGTGCAGTGGCTCGTGCCTGTAAACCCAGCACTTCGAGAGGCCAAGGTGGGTGGATCACGACATCAGGAGTTCGAGACCAGCCTGGCCAACATGGTGAAACTAAAAATACAACAGTTAGCTGGGTGTGGTGGCAGATGCCTGTAATCCCAGCTACTCGGAAGGCTGAGGCAGGAGAATTTGAACCCGGGAGTTGGAGGTTGCAGTGAGCTGACATTGTGCCATTGCACTCCAGCCTGGGTGACAGAGTGAGACTCCATCTCAAAAAAAAAAAAAGAAATTTCTGAGAGTTTGAATGTTGCCTCCTGTAGCTGATAGTGAGACATTGACCAAGCTACTTTGAGTCCATGTTTACTTACCTGTAAAACAAGGAATGGGACTCAAACCCAGTGCTCACATGGCCAAGCAGGTACTGTAAGCAGGTGAAATAGGTCTGTGGAATGTAGGGGTGGAATGGAGCCTATGTTATTCTGGAAAGTCCATACCACTCCCCTCCAGAAGTCCCAATGCCAAAGAGTACTATGGGGGTGCCATGTTGCTTGGCCTTATGGTTTTTCAAGAAAAGTCAGAAATAGGATTTTTATGTGACAATTTTAACTTTGGAAAAAAAATTCAATTATAAAAATACTGGGTTTGTTAAAAAAAGAAACACACATGCATCTACATAATTACTTTTGTCTGAAGAATACTCATTTGTAAAATTGAAACTGGATGATCTAGAGATCTCTTCTGGATTGAAGTTAGAGGTCTACCTTTGTTTTTCTCTGTCTCTGTTGTAGCTGAAGAGACCTTGGAGAACATTGTATTCTGTCTCTTGTACAGAGGCACAGATTTAGAAAATTTAATTGACTTTTCCAAGGAGGCCTAATTAGTAAGAGTCAGAGTAGAAGCTGAACTCATTCCTAATCCTAAGTAGTCCTGACATTGGTCTTCATGAGAATTGCTGTTTTTCCAACTGGTGGCTTTTGAGTCCCAGTGAGCAAAGGTAGTTGTTAAAGAGCAGAATCACAAGTCCTACCCTCACTGAGTCTTATTTAGTAGATTTGGGGCAAGACCTGGGAATGTGCATTTTGACAAGCACTTCCCCTCCCTCCAAGCCTCACAGGTGATTCTGACAGAAAGTTTTTGGCTTATGCTTTGAGAAACATTGGTATGCACTATATTCATAGATGTCAAAATATATTCTATGCCTTTGGAAAAGTGAACCACAAAAAACCCTTCCTGAAGACAGTCATTGGCAACTGAAAGCTGGTGGAATGTGTGATGCCTTTTCTGATTCCTTCCTTACCCTAAGCCCAGGAACAAGATTTAAGGCAGGGATCAGAATTTTTCATGCTTCCTCCTCCCACTCCTTAAATGTAGCCATGATGCCTCAATGAAGAGCTGGAAGCTGGGAACAATATGTTTTGGTACATTTGGAAAGGCTTCCTAGTCAGGAAGTTATAAAACCCTTAGAAAAAGTCCTGATCATATAAGTTCCTACTTGTGTTTGCAACAGAACAAGCAGTTGAAAAGAGAGTGCTGCCAAGTCAGTGAAGACCCTAGGTACAGTTGAGACATCCTATAAAGACTGAGGCAATGTCATCAGCTGGAGAATTTCAGAGTTGCTGAGACTGTTTCAGTGAGATCTAAGTCTTTTCCTCAAATTTTTACTGGAAGCTGCTAATATTCAAGAAGGACTCTTTATGATGTTGTGATCACAAATAGGTTTCATCTTGAGGGTCATTGGTGGTGTGTTGGTGTTGCTGCCTGGAGCACTGTGCTGAGGCTCATGTGGGCTCATTGAGAAAGTGTGCCGTGATCAGATAGTAATGTCTGTCATGGTCAGAAAAGGAGGAGCGTGCAACTGACCTGCCAGTTTGAGGGAGTCATGAATCCAGAGGTGTGCCACCAAATGGAGTCTAGATAACATTTAGCCTCCTTCCCTCCCTTTTTCCTTTGTTTTTCCATTGTATTACTATGTCTAATATTTTGATTTATTGGTTATCTTTGCAATTTTTGTATTCTGTGCTTACTGATGAACAGAAGAGGATATTGAGGCCAGGGAGACAAACAAGGCCATTTGGTTTATGAGGGGTTGGAGTAGAAATGGAAGGCCTCAGTGTCTGAGTTCAAAACCACTGCCCTGTCTACTCTAATGAGCTGCTACCTCAGCAGCCCTTGACTGGCTATTCACCCATTCCTTCTTCAAATATTGATTCAATGACCATTCTGTGCCCAGGCACTGTGCTTCTCCCTGATTCTTTGATGTGGGAGTGGGACATTTATCCTTCACCATGGCAGAAGCATGGTATGGAGCCTGCTTTGCCATCTTGGTAGTTACTTCTTTCCAAGCCTCTGTCTCTTTTTCTATAAAATGGGATGGAGGGTGTAGTGAAAGTTAAATTCAAACCTATCAAACTTGTAGTGAAACACTTAATATTAGTTATTAGTGCTGAGAAATGGGGGTGAATTTTCATGGAACTTTCTACATTATATGAACTTTCCTATTCAAAAGTGTTCTTGACTAGCTATAAATTGAGAAAACTGACTTTAAACCACTTTGTATGGGGGAGTGAAGGTTTCCTTGAACAGACAATTTCTACCCTACATCATCGTTTTTATGAAAACTGCTCTCTCTTTGTGGAACACACTCACCCCTAACTCAGAGAAACAGCTTCTCATCCTTTTCCAGAGAGGTCTTCCCTGAGATCCCTCACCTCCACCACCTCCTCCCAACACATACCAGGTCTCCCTGGAAAGCATTGTCATTATACCTTAGGACCTATTATTTTCCTTCAAACGTTTATTACAATTTATATTTAGATATTTATTTTTGTGCTAATTCACTTAATGCCTGCCTTCCACTAGTCTATGAATTTGGTGAGAGTGAAATCTGTGCTGCTTTGTTTGTCATTGTATTGCTCCCACAACCTGCACTTGTACCTGGCTGGCCCCTTGGCGGTGTTCAGGAATAGGCTGTTGGGTAATAAATGCAGAGTGGGAAGACTGATTCTGGTCGGCCAGTGCCAGGTACATCTTTGCTCTCCCACTTGAGTAAATTTCATAACCTCTTTAAGATCTGGCTTCCTCCTCTTTAGAAGTGGATAAAGATGCTTTCTTCAGGCAGTACAATAATGAGTGGTTGCCAGGGTTTTGACGGAGTGGAGAGTGGGGAACAGAGGATTTTTTTGGGCAGTGAGACTCTTCTGTATAGTGCAGTAATGGTGGATACATGTGACTATACATTATGTATTTGTCAAAATCCACAGAATGTATACCAGGAGTGAATCCTAATATAATCTATGGATTTTACTTAATAGTAATGTATCAAGATTGACTCATCAATTGTAACAAACATACCATACTAATGAAAGATATTAATAATAGGGGAAATGGAGGTGGGAGGTGGGAGTAGGGAACATATCTGTACCTTTACTCAATTTTTCTATAAACCTGAAACTGCTAAAAAAAAAGTCTGTTAATAAAAAAAAGTGCTTCCTTAGAGGACAGCTGTGAGGATCAAATGCTTAGCTTAGTACCTAGAACATAAAATTGTACTATAAGTAAGAGCTCCTTTTCTATAAGGAGAATCTTTGTTGTATCTAGGTAATATACAGTCACTGGGTTTTTATAGTTAGCCCTAGAATGTCCAAATTCTCTAAACTCACATGTCTAAGAGGAGCAGTGGAAAAATGATTTTAGATTTATTTTAAAGCTAGCTGCAGGAAATCTGACATCCACTGAAGCTCTCAGCAGAAGCATTTATTTTTCATTTGTTGCAATGCAACTCCTATGCCAAGGGACCCTCTCAGAATATGAGCAGCAGCCTGGCTCTGCATCTGTGTGTGATGCAGCTCTTGACACAGTGGCTGTGAAGCCAGCTAGCAACAGGAGACAGGCCAGAGCAGTCCTGGGGCTGATTTGTGGGTGGTTCTGAACCCTGGTTTCCTCTGAGAAGTTCTGTAATTGCCCTGAATGTCTTACTAGGAAGTGGGCTGGGGGCATGAGTTTGCTTAGATTCTCACCATCTTTGTTACCCTCGGACAGATTTTTCTTATCTCCTTTTTTACCACTGACTTGCAGACCTTCCTCTGGGAGTGGCTTTTTTTTTAAGCTATAGGAAGACAGATTGACCATAAGGAAAGAAAAAGAAGCTACAAAAGAAATAATAAAGAGACTAAATAAAACCTAGACAGTCTGAGTTCCTCTGCAGTCATGAACTTTGATTTGTAACCTTCCTCAACCTGGTTTTGGGTTAAAATCATAGACTCCTAGAGCTGGAGGATCACCGTGCCCAATTCCCTCTGTTTTCAGAGCAGAGTCTCAAAGCCCATAGAGTTGGCACAAACCCTATGGGGCAACTCAACTGGAATACAAGCAGGTTTCCTGCCTTTTACCTTTTGAACTACCTGTTTCACAGCTAATCTTTCTCTAAAAAGAGCTTTTCCTCTAATTATACACTACTTCTTTCCATAGACCTTAGGGGGAAACAAGAAAAGATTATTTGCCAACAGTCTGTTAACCCCAGATGTATTTCTTTGGACTTATCCTTTAAATCCTCCCTCTTTTTCCTCAGATTCATGGTAACAATCACTTTTTTGTTATAGCAAAGGTGCCTCCCTTTCATATATTTTAAGTGCAGTTTCTGCTTGGAACATCGGATAATTGTGAATACATTTAAAGTGGAAAGTGAGGAGTAGGCTGGCGATGTTAATATGACCTTTAGATGAGAAATAGTCCCAGAGACCTTGAATGGCAAGGTCAAGGTAACATGCACTGATCGCTAAGTGCAAACCAAGGACTCAGGCTGAAGACTCTTCAACTTAGCGAAGACTAAGTTCAGAGGTAGAAGGCAGGGGCTGGCAGTCTTTTCAGATATCTGGGCAATAGAAACTGCAATAGAGGTTGCACCATGAAGATAGTGTCCATTGGACAGATTAACAGATGAGGGTGGGCTGCCTCGTTGACTCCTCATTTGGTCTCCTGGTGTCTCTGATGTGTTCTAATACTGATCTTGCTCTCTCAGAACCACAGATCCCACCTTCTCTTTTCTCGGTCACCTCCTAATATAACACTAGCTTTCATGTCACTCCCAAACATTCTATTGGATTGAGGACTCTGTTCTTCTCTTGGGATAGCTAATACTGGCCCTGCATGCCCTTAATGTCTGTGTCCTTTTGGCTTCCACAGGGGCACAGAGTGCAAGGAGTGTGAGGTGAGTAGAGCTTCCTAGGGTCATGCCTAGAAAGAGGAGCAGAGATGCTGCCACTCATAGTATTCTGGGGTTACTGAGACAAAAATAGCGGTCTCCAGTCCTTTGACTTCTGTAGCTCCTGCACAGAGCAGGTACTCGGGTACCCTGTATGACCTCAGAGGAGGTGGGATATCTGAATGGGGGTGAGGAAAGAACAGGTCTGGGATTTAGGAGGCTCCTATATGACCTGAAGCAGCTCAGTTTCGTAAGGTAGACAATGATTTTCTCATCTGTAATGAGGGGGATGATGAAACACCCTGTTAGATTTCTTGCAGTTCAGTAATTCAGTGTTGCTCTATTCAGATCTTCTTATCAGGCCCTGCTTTTGTGCTGGTATAATGACTCCCTTCATCTGATTTGTTCCTAAGGACAGGCCAAACCCCAACAAATTCAGCCCTTCCATCTAATTCACCTCTACAAAAAAGCCAGGTGGAAGGATGCTTGCTGGCTGTGTCCTTGTGAAGATGTGATGCTCTTCAGAACCCTTTCCCACACAGCTAGCAGGAGGTCCATTAGGCAGTTCAGAGTAGTCCTTATCCTGCCCCTTTTCAAAACCTTCCAATGACTCTTCACTGTTTATAATCTAACATCCGAACTTCTCCAGATGACATACAAAGTCATCCTACATAAAATGCCTGACTGCGTCTCCAACGTTATCTCCCTCCATCTCCACCTTGAAACTAATGCCTTATAACTGAACTTTACTTTCTCACACGTGCCTTGAGGTTTCTCACCATGTGGCTTTGCTTACACTGTCTCTCTGCCTGTAATGCCCTCCCTTCTCTGATCTTCCCTTTCTTTCTCCAGGAAAATACCCATTCATCCTTCAGGATACAAGCCAGACATGAACTCCTGATATGGTTTTGCTCTGTGTTCCCATCCAAGTCTCATCCAATCCCTGTTGGATCATAATTCCCAATGCTGGGGGAGGGACCCGGTAGGAGGTAATTGGATCATGGGGTGGATTTCTCCCTTGCTGTTCTCATGATAGTGAGTGAGTTCTTATGAGATCTGGTTGTGTAAAAGTGTGTAGCACTTTTCCCTTCACTCTCTCTCCTGCTGACCACGTGAAGATGTGCTTGCTTTGCTTTCACCTTCCACCATGATTGTAAGTTTCCTGTAAGTTTCCCAGCCATGCTTCCTGTACAGCCTGTGGAACCGTGAGCCAATCAAACCTCTTTTATTTATCAATTGCCCAGTCTCAGATTGTCCTTTATAGCAATGTGAGAAGAGACTAATACAACTCTGTCATAAGTAAATAAAAAAGAGAAGGGACAGAGCCAAGCATTCAATGTGGCATGGGATTACTGTGATGCTTCACTCAAATATTTTAGAATCCATGAATTTGGAGTGAGAAGGAGACATGAAGGGAGGGTCCCAACTTGAAGTAACTCTGATACCTGGATATAGAATCTTGACTTAAGAGGTTCTGATCTATGGCCTGCTGCTTGTTTGCTAGAGATCACTAAGATCATGAGCCAGATTTTGTTTCATTTTTTATTTAACAGGGATAATAAGAACTATATTAAAGGAAAATTGTAATGATCAGTTTGATTCTGGGTATAAAAATGCTATGCAAATATCAATTGATTTCAGCCTTTTGTGTGGTCAGCACAATGATAAAGCATGTGGTGCATGGTAATTATGTGATTAGTTAATATTATAGAAATGAGTAAACAAATGAATGAATGAAGCATGCCAAAACACTGTAGAAAAATGCATGACAGAGCACCACCCTACTCATGCTACCACTACACTGACTAAAAATATTAGCTTACTTTTCTTGAGTGCTTCTTATCAGCCAAGCAGTGTGTTGGGCACATAAATATATTATTTAATATTTAAAAGAACCCATGATGTAGGTAGCAATTATTCCTACTTTATAGATAAAGCAACTAAGAGATTATGTAGCTAGTCTATGGTAGATCATGTTATCCTTTCCAATTCTTTAGCCTCCCTGTAATGCACACCTTTTCCTATGTAACTTTGCAGCTCCTCACACTAATGGGGTGGGGAATATTTTGAAGGTCTTTGATTTCAGGTTTGACTCTGAGACTGACTTTGGCTGATCGAGTATGGCAGAAGTGATGATGTGCCTATGCCAAGACCCGGCTGTGGAAGCCTGGAATGTTTTTGCTCACCTACTTCTACTTTTGCCATTGCCATGAAAACATGCCCAGGGGCTGGGACATATAGTTTGCTGATCCCAGGAATAGGATAGGAGACATGTGAAGAAAGCCACCTCAGGCAAGCTTTCCTGGCCAACCTGAAGATGTGTGAGCAGGGGCAACAGGGATCAGAAGAGCCACCTGGTTGAGCCTCGCCTAGAGTAGCCGACTCTTGGTTGACCCATGGTCATTCAGGCTAAATCAGTGCTTATTGTTGCATGCCACTGAGATTTTGTGGTCATTTCTCGTGTGGCAAAATCTAACTGATGCATTCATTGTCTTTAAGTCGCAGAGCTAAGAGTTGACTACACCAGGATTTCAACCACTGGGCCATGGTTGAAAGCTTACGAGAGAGACCTGACCTGAGCAGTCCCTACAGGAGAGTAATTAACAGTCACTGCATTTTTTTTTTTTTTTGAGACAGGGTCTTACTCTCTTGCCCAGGCTGGGGTGCAGTGATGAGATCATGGCTGATTGCAGCCTTGACCTCCTGGGCTCAGGTGGTCCTACCACTTCAGCCTCCTGGGTGGCTGAGAGTACAGGCACACACCACCACACCCAGCTAATTTTGTGTATTTTTTTTTGTAGAGACTGAGTCTCGCCATGTTGCCCAGGCTGGTCTCGAATTCCTGGGCTCAAGCAATCTGCCCACCTAGGCCTCCCAAAGTGCTGGGATTACAGGCATGAGTCACCATGCCCAGCCACTACTTTTTATGGAACACTAGTGATGTTATATTATTGAATCATTGTAGCAAGCCAACATAGTAGGCATTAATATCCCCATTTTATAGATGAGGCTTGGAGAGGTTAAGCAATTTTCCCAATAATCACAGGAACATGAAGGGGTAGAGCCAAACTTAATGTCCATGTTTCTTGATCTTCTAAGCCAATGCACTCTCTGCTCCTGCTGCATTTGGGTAGGCTCCCTGGCTTGCCAGAGTTCATCCTCTAAGACTGACTTCTTTTGAGTTCATTTGTTAACAGGCCAAAAACCTACTGGGTATGTAAGATGTGCGTGTATGTGTGTGTATTTTGTGTGTGTGTGATATGTGTGATGTGTGTATGTTGTGTTTGTGATGTTGTGTTGTGTATATGTTGTGTGTGTACATTCTATGTTGCGTGTGTGATGTGATGTGTGTGTATGTGTATGCGTGTGCATATGTTGTGTGTGGTGTGTGTGTGATGTGTGTCTGTGTGTATGTTTTGTGTGTGATGTGTGTGTGTGATGTGTGTATGTGTATGTTTTGTGATGTGTGTGTATGATGTGTATGTGATGTGTGTGTGATGTGTGTGTGATATGTGTGTATGTGATGTGTGTATGTGTATGTTGTGTGATGTGTGTGTATGATGTGTATGTGATGTGTGTGATGTGTGTGTGATATGTGTGTATATGATGTGTGTGTATGTTGTAATGTGTATAATGTGTGTTCATGTGTGTTTTGTGTGATGTGTGATAAGTGTGATGTGTGTGTACGTTGTGTGTGTGGTGTGTAGGTGTATGTTGTGTGTATGTGTATTTTTTGTGTGTGTATGTGTATGTTGTGTGTACGTATGTGTTTGGAGGAGCTGTTGGGGGTTTCCTCATTGTGCATTGTGTCTTTTCCTTGTTGGACTCTTTTGGCCACAAGGTGAGGATCCAGTTACTAAGTGTTCTGAAATTTCTACCAAGGGAGAAAGAAGTGTTATTTTTTTCTTTCCTTTTTTTTAAAAAACAAAACAAAACAAAAAAAACGACATTCATGATTTTATCAATGGATATCATTGTTCAAGTTTTCAAAAGTCCTATCATTTTTCCTGTGTGACATTTTCTCCCTTTTCTTAACAAATTTGTAAGTGGAAAAGCGTGCTGCATCTTTTAAAAGGATTTTTCAGGAAGCATCACCAACACTGCCCTCCCAGCAGGCTTCTCGTGTTGAAACTGTTGTCGAAATATGGCATCCTGCCACTGCTCAGAGTGGGACTTGTCATTTATTCCAAACGCTATTGTGGAAATTTGTCTTGTAGCTGTGTCCCGAACCAGCAAGATTTATTTTCCTTTCTTTACCACACAGTCACAGCTCTTACTTCTTTTCGTTGTTTAGATTGTGAAGAACGGCTTTTAGAGATTAGGACAGTGTAGATGCATGACAAAAAAAAGTGCAAGACAGTGGAAGACTTCCATGGGAATGTGTCTCCAGGGGCATCTGTCATCTAAAGGCATTTATGGCCCAAGTGGAAACAAGCATGTCTGAAAATCTTTGTCCACAATAGGATTCAGGAGAACAAGAGACTCCAGAGCATCATGGGGTGTTGTGGAGAGTGCACAGACATTGGAGGTAAAATCAGAATAGAATTGCAGCTCTGCCACTTAGTGTACATGTGAACTTTTTTAAGTTAACTGATTTCTTGGTACCTCAGTTTCCTCATTTATAATAAAAAGTGGATTGATAACAGGCAATATAAACTAGGTTAAGGAAAATGGTATCTATCAGCTCACAATCTAGCTTCAGTTATGGCTGGCTGTGGGTTTCTCTGGCTTCAGCACTCCATAGTACTTCATCACGGTTCTGTCTTTCTCCCTTGCTTGGTTTTTCCTATCTACCTTTGCTTGTTCTTGTTGTCAGATAGGCTTTTTTCATGTTGTGGCAAGGTGCCTCCAGGATTTCCAAATTCCTCAGAGCTCATGGACTCATAAAAATTGCAAGTGGCTTTCCCAATATGTCTATGACCTATCTATGTGTGGGAGTGAGTGTGATATACATCTTTTTATTTCCTTTCAAATCCATGCTCCAGAGGGGAGGACACTTCACTTTGCTTTCTGCCTTGGGAGGCTATTTGTTCTGCATGGACCACACTAGTGTCTTCCTTGTCCTCTGTGGTTTCTAAATGGGTTTGGCCAATGTGGGGCCCTGACAAGATATTGAAGGGAGGATAGAGAGTGGGATTAGGGTATTTGTTCTCTCAGCTGTCTCTCCGAGATGTTCCCATGGGTTGGCTGCATTCCTCAATGGAAGGTACAGCGACTGCCTAGCAGCCCTCTCCATAGGGCACTCTGTCTCCAGGTTCTGGTCCATGCTTCTTCTCTGTGCCACCTCAGGACCAGGAGCAGTGATACCAGTCCTCACAGTTACTAGTCCTGGGATACTGTTCTTTCTCATGTAGTTTCTCCACATGCTACATCTCAAAAATAGTCCTTTTAATAAACTGTCATCAAATTAATTTCAACGTGCTGTTTTCTGCTGGGACGCTGATGGATGCAGCAAGCAATCAGAATGTGTGGAGGCCACTCACATGAGTTAGGCACCGGGGCTCAGATGCTTCTTCCCTTCACACCTTCCGCCGCTCACTGGTTCCCCCTTTACCTCACTTATTTTCACTTCTGTGCATAGCTTGTCTGTTGCTGTTACAAGCTCCTGCTCTTACCTGGAGGCAATAGCTGCAGCGATTTCAATCTTTTACATTTGTAAAATGTTTTGAGATGAAAGAACCACTTTCACATATAACCTTACAAAAACTTGTTGACAGAGTTGTTACAACCCATGTATTAGATATACAGAAAGTGCCATTCAGTAGGTTAAGTGGATGACATAGGTCAAAGCTAAGAGTGGCTGAGCTGGACTTCAATCCTGGGGCTGTCTAATGCACAGTGAATGAAGGGATATATAATTAACTCATAGATTTAAGTGTCAAGGGGGAGTGATACTTGAGATGGATAAAAGAATAAAAACACATTATGACTGTCTTCTTTTATGTGCAATCAAAATCATGACCCTAATATCATCTCTAGTACCACACATGGGGTAGAGTATTGAGTGATGAGAGTGTGGAATCTGGGATAGAGCTAAATGGCTCTTCCTAAGAAAAGTAGGCATTTCAGAAACCATGAGATGGAAGGAGACTGAAGGCTGTCTGTGGGGAAGGTTGGGGCTGGGGTGGGGTAGAGAAGAGAGATAGAGCTATGTAGAGAATGAGATAGAGACAGAGAGACAAACAGAGAGAGACAAAGGGACAGAAATTGAGATAGAGAGACAGGGCTTGAGAAGGACAAAGAGAGATACAGAACAGACAGAATGAGACACAAAGAGACTCAGACAGACAGGGAGGGAAATGGATAAGTCAGTATGGTGGTGGAGCATCCTGGAGAGATTTTGTGAAAAGAAACATGCCTCACAGGAATTTTTCTAAAGTGAAATACTGTTAGTTAAACTCTGCTCTCTCTACAAAAGTCTTTGAAAAAATCTTTTTAAATTTTCTTTTTTAAAAAATTTTAAGTTCAGGGGCACATGTGCAGGTTTGTTACAAAGGTAAACTCGTGACATGGGGGTTTGTTGTACAGATTATTTCATCACCCAGGTATTAAGCCTGGTACACTTTAGTTATTTTTCCTGATCCTCTCCCTCCTCACATTCTTCATCCTCTGTTAGGCCCCATCCTCTGTCGTTCCCCTCTATGTGTCCATGTATTCTCATTATTTAGTTCCTACTTATAAGTGAGAACATGTGGTGTTTGGTTTTCGGTTCTTGCATTAGTTTGCTAAGGATAATAGCCTTCAGCTCCATCCATGTTCCTGCAAAAGATATGACCTAATTCTTTTGTATGGCTGCATAGTATTTCATGGTGTACATGTACCATATATTTTTTATCCAGTCCACCATTGATGAGCATTTAGTTTGATTCCATGTCTTTGCTGTTGTGAATAGTGCTGTAATGAACACATGCATGTATGTGTCTTTATGGTAGAGTGATTTATATTCCTTTGGGTATATATACCCAGTAATGGGATTGCCAGGTCAAATGGTAGTTCCATATTTTTAGCTCTTTGAGAGATCATCACACACTTTCCACAATCGTTGTACTAATTTATATTCCCACCAATAGTGTATAAGTCTTTAATTAAATATACATTTCTCACTAATGCCTCATGGAATGCCTTTTCTTTTAGGGACTAAACAGAGTATTGTCCATGCTCAAGGGTTGAAATGGACGAGAGAGAATTTGCCATCAGGAGACCTCTGGGCTCCACTGCAGGTGCAAACAGAAATTACGGCCTTTGTCCGTCAAGTCTCAGGTTTGCTTTTATTTTTATTTTTTATTTTTATTTTTTGAGATGGAGTCTCGCTCTGTTGCCCAGGCTGAAGTACAGTGGCACGATCTTGGCTCACTGCAAGTTCTGCCTCCTGGGTTCGTGCATTCTCCTGCCTCAGCCTCCCGAGTAGCTGGGACTACAGGCGCCCGCCACCGTGCCTGGCTAATTTTTTGTATTTTTAGTAGAGACGGGGTTTCACCATGTTAGCCAGAATGGTCTCAATCTCCTGACCTTGTGATCTGCCCACCTCGGCCTCCCAAAGTGCTGAGATTACAGGCTTGAGTCACTGCGCCCAGCCTCAGGTTTGCTTTAAAAAACTGCAGAACACTCCTGTATGAAGGGAGCACCAGGAACTGGTCATTCATGAATAAACAGCCCAGATCAGCGCAGCCACATGCTGGTGAGGATAAAGGTTTCAGGTGAGGTGCCACCAGGCTGTGCTCACAGCTCTTCTTGTGGCTACAACAATGACGAGGTGAGTCTGCACTGAAGAGGAGGCTGTGTCAGGTGAGGTTTGCCCCCAAGCTCCTTTGCAAAGCTGTTTCCTAAAGAACACTTTCAGCATCTAAGGCCACCTTCTGAGGTATGTGTGAAAGCTGTTTAGAGAACCCAAGGGTTTAAGAAAAGATTTACAACCCTTTTTCAATTAAGGTATATTAAATGATAAACAAGGAAAAAAATACAAATGATAGCAGAGCTGCTGAACTGGAAATGGGGGAATTCAGAGCTTACTTGCTTTGTAACCAGAGTAGGGTAGGAGTCTCTCCAAAGTCTCTCTGTGAAAGCTCCTAGGCCTCCCCAGAACACAGCTCTTAAAAATTGATTCCTTTATTCTTAGTTTTTGCCTCTCCAGGAGATTCCTAGAATAACTTATCCTATTAATAGTTCTGAGGTGTTCTGCTGAAAGAAAACATTTTACAATTTGTTTAACTAGTATTTCTCCAGCTTTATTTATTTGACCACAGAACACATTATTTGCCTATCTTTCCAGTGTATTTATTAACATATCAAGGCCAGTATTCTGAGGTAGCTCTGTATGAGAAATACTGCTTTATAGGCTAAAGATCTATACTGTCCCATGTGGTCGCCACTAGCCACTGGTGGCTACTGAGCACCTGAAATACCATTAGTCTAAACTGAGATGTGCTATTAAGTGTAAAACACACACTAGATTTTGAGGATTTTGTATGACAAAATGTAAAATTTCTTATTAATAATTTCATATTGATTACATGTTGAAATGATAATATTTTTCATATATTTCATATTTTTCATATACTTCATATACTATATTATATTAAACAAAATCTATTACTAAACTAGGTATAAACTAAAACTTGTTTATACCTAGTTCTTTTTACTTTTTAAAATGTGGCTATATATAAAAAGAATAACATACCTAGGAATACAGCTAACCAGAGAGGTGAAAGATCTCTACAATGAGAATTACAAAACACTGCTCAAAGAAATTAGTGAAGACACAAAGAAATGGAAAAACATTCCATGCTCGTGGATAAGGACAATTAATATCATTAAAATGGCTATACTGCCCAAAGCAATTTATAGATTCAATGCCATTCCTATCAAACTACCAATGACATTCTTCACAGAACTAGAAAAAAAACTATTTTAAAATTTGTTTGGAACCAAAAAAGAGCCTGAAGAGCCAAGGCAATCCTAAGCAAAAAGAACAAAACTGGAGGCATCATGTTACAACTTCAAACTATATTACAAGGCTACAGTGACTAAAAGAGCATGGTACTGGTGCAGAAACAGGCACACAGACCAATGGAACAGAATAGAGAACCCAGAAATAATGTCACACATCTATGACCATCTGATCTTTGACAAAGCTGACAAAAACAAGCAATGAAGAAAAGACTCCCTATTCAATAAATGGTGCTGGGGTAACTGGCCAGCCATATTCAGAAGATTGAAGCTGCACCAATTCCTTACACCATACACAAAAATCAACTCAAGATGGATTAAAGACTTAAATGTAAAACACAAAACTATAAAAACTGTGGAAGACAACCTAGGCAATACCATCCTGGACATAGAAACTGGCAACAATTTCATGACAAAGACACCAAAAGCAATTGTGACAAAAGGAAAAATTGACAAGTGAGCTCTAATTAAACTTAAGAGCTTCTGCACAGCAAAAGAAACTATCAACAGTAAACAGACAATCTACAGAAAGGGAGAAAATATTTGCAAACTATGCATCTGGAAAAGGTCTAATATCCAGCATCTTTAAGGAACTTAAACAAACTTACAAGAAAAAAACAACCCCTTTAAAAAATGGGCAAAGGACATGAACAGACACTCTTCAAAAGAAGACAAACGTGGCCAATAAGTATGTGAAAAAAAACTCAATATCACTGATCATTAGAGAAATGCAAATCAAAGTCACAATGAGATATCACCTCATACCAGTCAGAATATCTATTATTAAAAAATAAAAAAATAACAGATCCTGGTGAGGTTGTGGAGAAAAGGGAACACTTATACATTGTTGGTGGGAGTGTAAATTAGTTCAAGCATTGTGGAAAGCAGTATGGTGACTCCTCAAAGAGCTCAAAGCAGAACTACCATTTGACCCAGCAATCCTATTACTTGGTATATACCTAGAGGAATGTAAGTCATCCTACCATAAAGACACATACAAGTGAATGTTTATTGTAGCACTATTCACAATACAAAGACATGGAATCAACATAAAAGCTCATTCAATGACAAACTGGATGAAGAAAATGTGATACATATACACCATGGAAATACTATGCAGCCATAAAAAAAGAATGAGTTCATGTCTTTTGTGGGAACATGGATGGAGCTGGAGGCTATTATCCTTAGCAAACTAATGCAGGAACAGAAAATTGAATACCACATGTTCTCACTTATAAGTGGGAGCTAAATGATAAGAACTTATGAACACAAAGAAGGAAACAACAGGTACTGGGGTCTACTTGATGGGGGAGGGTGGGAGAAGGGAGAGAAGCAGAAAAGATAACTATTGGGTACTGGTCTTAATACATGGGTGATGAAATAATCTGCACAACAGACCTCCATGACATGTCTTTACCTATGTAGTAAACCTTCACATATACCCTCAAAGCTAAAATAAAAGACAAAATAAAATGTAGTTGTAAGAACATTTTAATGACATGTGATTTGTATTCGTGACTCACATTGTGTTTCTATCAAACAGTGGCAACATAGAACATA
Source organism: Homo sapiens (assembly GCF_000001405.40). NCBI lineage: Eukaryota > Metazoa > Chordata > Mammalia > Primates > Hominidae > Homo > Homo sapiens. Next base: position 122,492,728 of record NC_000008.11, on the reverse strand, counting down.
GCTGGACCATCTTCACCCACCTACAACAGAACCTCATTTCCAGCCCCTGGTGCCTCCATCTCCTTTCCCAGCACTCTCCCCCTTGCTAACTCTGCTGCAGCCACAGCATTCCTCACATGTGCCTGGAATGCTCTTCCTAGGTGTTATGGAATGAATGATGGTGTCCCCCCACATTCATATTTGGATTCCTAACTCCTTCAGGTGATGGTATTAGAGCTGGTACAATTAGGGAGATAATAAGGTCACAGGGAACCCTTGGGAAGAGAGTGTTCTTGCTCTCCTTCCGCCTTGCGAGGATACAAGAAGCTGAGTGTCTGCAACTTGAAAGAGGGCCCTCACCAGCACCTGATCATGCTGGCACCACCATCTCTGACTTCCAACCTCCAAAATTGTGAGAAATAAATGTTTGTTGTTTAACCACCCAGGCTATGGTAATTTATTATAGCAGCCTGAGCAGACTGAGGCACTAGGGCCTCTGCCTTAACCGTTCCCTCTGGAATGTTCTTCCCTGCCTTACCCACACAGCCAGTCTTCTTTCTTCATTCATGCATCTGTTCATATGTTACCTTATTAGAGAGGCCTCTGTGTTAGTCTGTTCCTCATGCTGTAACAAAGTTCTTTAGACTGGGTAATTTATATATAGCATTTATTTTTACTATTCTGGAGGCTGGGAAGTCTAAGCTCAAGGTGTGGGCAGATTCAGTGTCCAGTAAGGGCTTATTCCTCATAGGTGGTGGCTTCTTGCATGTCCTCACATAGTGGAAGGGCTCAAGCCTTTTTTATTAGGGCACTAATAAGCCTTTTTTATTAGGGCACTCATCCTATTCATGAGGATACCAACCTCATCATTCAGTCACCTCCACAGGCCACACCTCCTAATATCCCCACATTGAGGATTAGATTTTAACACATGAATTTTGGAGGAACACAAACATTCACACCCTAGCAGTCTCCTATCACTACTCACTTATTCATTTTATTTTCTTTCTTAGCACTAATTTTTACCTAACACATTACACGTTTATTTACCTATTTATTGTCTAGTTCCCTTACTAGAGTGTGAACTCCTTGAGAAAGGATAAGCTTTCATTGCTTTATCCCCAGTGCCTGGAAGAGTAGGACAACAGAGGTGCTTGATAAATATTTTTTCAAACAAAGGAGGAATGAATTAATGAATGACTCAGTTGAAATCTTTTTTCCTGCTGGTCCCAGATGCTGCTTTACAAGCCTTTTCATTGTATACCCTGGGCAGCCATACCCTATCACTAGAGCTGGCATTCTAGACAAGGCCCTTCACCATGCTGCAGAGATACCCTTCTCCCCACAGCCTCTGCAGGGTATATGCTGCCTGAGGGAATCTGTGGCATATCCACTGTGATTTTCTCCAAAGATAACTGCCAACAAGTTCCCACCTCCCTCGGTGCACAGGTTGCCCCACCAACTTAGAAATGGAGTCTATTTCCCCTCTCCTTGAATCCAGGCTGGCCTGTGATTTACTTTAACTAATGGAATGTGGCAGAAATGATACTGTGTCAGCTCCAGGACTAGCCCTTAAGAGGCCTGGAAGCTTCTGCTTTTGTTTGCTCAGAGTCAGCCACCATGATGTAAGGAAGTCCAAGCTATCCTCTTGAAGAGAGAGGACATATGGAGAGACACTGAGAGGTAAAATGCCACACAGTACTAAGGACCACATGGAAAAGAACTGAAGCCCCTCAGCCAACAGCTAGCACCAAGGCCCAAACTCTTCAGAGAGGCCTCTAAACTTCCAAAATATACCAGCCTTCAGCAGGATGCACTTGCATAAATGACCCCTGTGTGATACAAAGTGGGGCAGAACCACCAGCACAAGCACAGATCATGAGAAATAATATATTTTACTCTCTTACTCCACTAAGTTTCTAAGTGGATTGTCATATAGCAAAAGATAATTGACAAACCCATCTTGTCTATTTTTTTTTTTTTTTTTTGGTTGAGATGGAGTCTCGCTCTGTTGCCCAGGCTGGAGGGCAGTGACGCGATCTTGGCTCACTGCTGCCTCTGCTTTCCAGGTTCAAGTGGTTCTCTGCCTCAGCCTCCCGAGTAGCTGGCATTACAGGTGCCTGCCACTGTGCCTGGCTAATTTTTCTATTTTTAGTAGAGATGGGGTTTCACCATCTTGGCCAGGCTGGTCTTGAACTCCTGACCTCGTGATCCACCCACCTCGTCCTGCCCCATCTTGTCTTATTTTCTCATCCTCTGCTGATTACCACCTTGTCCACCTGGCTCAGGAAGCTGGCCTGCATTGCTGTGATGCTACCATGATAATACAATTATCTTCCTCTCCAGCGCAGCAACTTGGTCTGCTGTGCAGCCCACTTCAACCCCTGCAGGCCATGGTTGAAGGTTTGTATCTATCGGGCCTTACCTCTGGCCCTCTGCACAGTTCTGGGAAAGGTGGGTGGGGACTGTAGGATGGGGCTTTGGAGTCAGGTCAACCTGAGTTCCAATCACTGCTCTGTTTCCCAGCTGCTGAGGGGCCACAGAGTTATTTACATCTCTGAGCCTCAGTTTCCTTTTCTGCAAACAAGGACAGTGATACTTATCTCACTGGGCTCTTGTGAAGATTAGAGGTGATGTGTGTGTGTGTGTGAAGTGTCTGGCACAGTCATGAAAATAACCAGTGAAAACAAAACTCACCCTCCACATTTCCTTGGATAATATTCTGTCTCACTTTCTGAAGAGCTTGGCATTTCTAGTCAAACACAAGGAGCAGAACTGAGACCTGATTTCAGCCTTGTGTGGACTTTGAACATTGGCCCCCCAGAAAGTTCTCTCTAAGGCTTTGTTGTAGCAACCACAAACAACCAGCAGCCCACTCACAGGAAGCCCTGCCCTGTGGGCCCTGCGGCAGGGCTCTGCACAATAGGGATCTGTCTGCTGATTACCATGACCGTGACATGGCTTTGAAAAGCACATCTCATCGCTGCCTGGTGACTCCTTTCAGAGGCTCCCCCAGGGCAGGTTGTTTTGCAACCAGACAATGAAATCCAAATTTACTAGGTACTTTATTTTGGAGGTTGAGAGGGAAACAAAAATTCTTCAATTAATTGTTCATCCTAAACCATGTTATTGCCTCTAAACATTGCTTTCACCTTAATAAAACTCATACTCCAGGGCAGTAGCTATGTGGATAATGACAAGCTAAAAGTGAGTGCTAGCTGGAGTGAAAGTTAAGAAACAGGATCTGTCAAGTTGCCCTCCTGTGGAGACACTGATCCAGCCCAGGAGGCGAGGTTGTGTTGGTGTAGATAGGCCTGACTTTGCAAAACATGGATAAAGACATGGATATTAAGAGGTGTCCAGAGTTAGTGGGTACAGGGATGAGGTCAAGTTGCTCTACTTTCAGCTTTCCTAGGGGCAGGGAAGATATCCAGCTGGTAGGGGCTGGAATGGCACCCTGGAGAATGTCTGTTCTAATTGGTTAGGATCCCATGCTGATTGGCTAGTTGGACAGTGCTACAAACACAATCTGTACTGAAGGACACATCTGAATCAAGATCAGGACATAGTCAAATTCCTTTTACTTGGCTTTAGGGCTAGAAATTTGATGTATCATTCACTTGCACCCATTGAGGTAGTTTCCTTGAAAGCTTCCTTGGAGGGAAGTGGCAAAAGCTGTTAGAGGAGTGAAAGCTTTGGGAACAATCAGAAGAGTGTTTTCATTTGGTAGATTTGTAAATTCCAAGTTTGAAAAAGGAAAAAAAAAATGAGATGTAAGGAAGGGGTCCAGTTTCAGTTTTCTGCATATGGCTAGCCAGTTTTCCCAGCACCATTTGTTAAATAGGGAATCCTTTCCCCGTTGCTTGTTTTCATCAGGTTTGTCAAAGATCAGATGGCTGTGGATGTGTGGTGTTATTTCTGAGGCCTCTGTTCTGTTCCATTGGTTTAGATATCTGTTTTGGTACCAGTGCCATGCTGTTTTGGTTACTGTAGCCCTGTAGTATACTTTGAAGTCAGGTAGCATGATGCCTCCAGCTTTGTTCTTTTTGCTTAGGATTGTCTTGGCTATGCGGGCTCTTTTTTTGGTTTCATATGAAATTTAAAGTAGTTTTTTTCTAATTCTGTGGAGAAAGTCAATGGTACCTTGATGGGGATGGCATTGAATCTATAAATTACTTTGGGCAGTATGGCCATTTTCACGATATTGATTCTTCCTAACCATGAGCATGGAATGTTTTTCCATTTGTTTGTGCCCTCTTTTATTTTGTTGAGCAGTGGTTTGTAGTTCTCCTTGAAGAGGCCCTTCACATCCCTTGTAAGTTTTATTCCTATGTACTTTATTCTTTTTGTAGCAATTGTGAATGTGAGTTCACTCATGATTTGGCTCTCTGTTTGTCTATCATTGGTGTATATGAATGCTTGTGATTTTTGCACATGGATTTTGTATCCTGAGACTTTGCTGAAGTTGCTTATCAGTTTAAGGAGATTTTGGGCTGAGACAATGGGGTTTTCTAAATATATAATCATATCATCTGAAAACAGAGACAATTTGACTTCCTCTCTTCCTATTTGAATACCCTTTATTTCTTTCTGTTGCCTGATTGCCCTGGCCAGAACTTTCAATACCATGTTGAATAGGAGTGGTGAGAGAGGGCATCCTTGTCTTTTGCTGGTTTTCAAAGGGAATGCTTCCAGCTTTTGCCCATTCAGTATGATATTGGCTGTGGGTTTGTCACAAATAGCTCTTATTATTTTGAGATACGTTCCATCAATACTTAGGATATGAACAGACACTCCTCAAAAGAAGACATTTATGCAGCCAACAAATATATGAAAAAAAGCTCATCATCACTGGTCATTAGAGAAATGCAAATCAAAACCACAATGAGATACCATCTCATGCCAGTTAGAATGGTGATCATTAAAAAGTCAGGAAACAACAGGTGCTGGAGAGGATGTGGAGAAATAGGAATGCTTTTACATTGTTGGCAGGAGTATAAATTAGTTCAATCATTGTGGAAGACAGGGTGGCGTTTCCTCGAGGATCTAGAACCAGAATTACCATTTGACCCAGCAATCCCATTACTGGGTATATACCCAAAGGATTATAAATCATTCTACTATAAAGACACATGCACAGGTATGATTATTGCGGCACTGTTCACAATAGCCAAGATTTGGAACCAACCCAAATGCCCATCAATGATAGACTGGATAAAGAAAATGTGGCACATATACACCATGAAATACCATGCAGAAAATGATGAGTTATGTCCTTTGTAGGGACATGGATGAAGCTGGAGACCATCATTCTCAGCAAACTAACACAAGAACAGAAAACCAAACACCACATGTTCTCACTGGTAAGTGGGAGTTGAACAATGAGAACTCATGGACACAGGGAGGGGAACATCACACACTGGGGCCTGTCGAGGAGTAGGGCACTGGGGGCGGATAGCATTAGGAGAAATACCTAATGTAGATGACGGGTTGATGGGTGCAGCAAACCATCATGGCACATGTACACCTATGTAACAAACCTGCATGTTCTGCACATGTACCCCAGAACTTAAAGTATAATAAAAGAGGGTGGCAGAGATTGATTTTTTCCAATATTTATTTTATCCATTTTTTTTCTCAATAATAACATCTCTATTTTGGCTCGTGGCCACTTCAGAATAAAAACTTCCTTGCTACTGGATAGTATCAGCTGAGATGTCAGTAAGAAATGCGTGGCACACTTAAACTGGATAATTGACCAGAGTTTAATAAAGAGACTATTTACAAAGGTGTGTGCGGTACAGGGTTTTTAGAAACTCAGTGGAGCATATGCAGAGAGCTGTTACCATCCCTAGGCCTGAGAAGCCAGGGGAAGAAGTGGTCACCAAACCTCCAGAGTAACTGAGTAGGAAGGGGTGAGTGACAGGAATTGCCTTGGGAGATGTGGTGGCTGCCCTGGGGAAGGGGTGGAGATGGGAATGGTCTGTTCCTGGCAGGAAGAGTGTTTTATTATTGACATTGTTTAGAATTGTCTGTGGATGGTGATAATAAAAAGTTGGTAGACTTTTATTTGGCTTTCTTATTGCTTTTAAATTATCTACAGGCAATGTAGCCTTTATTGTTTGCAACCTGAAGTAGACCATTCTTGCTCATGCACTAGATAGAGGGATAGTGCCAACCCACATAGACTTAGAAGAGAGCAAGCTGGAGGGCCAGTCTTAACGTCCTTCACCTCCTCCGTTCCTGAGTGTGTCTCCCACTGGCTGTACTCAGTAGAAGCCAGAAAGCCAGGGGGCCCACTGATGTCATCAATTCAGGTAAATCCTTGACAGCACAAGACAGCGTAGAAAAGGGTGAAGTTGGATGTGGTGAAGGGACAAACAGAAAATATCCAGCACCAAGGGAAAGCCTGGAGGTTCAGTTCTGACCAATGGGGTGGAGCTTTGGTCGGTGGATTTGCAACTGTATGAAGTATCCTTAATATAAGTGGTGTGCCCACTCCTCTCTTCTCTTTCCTGCTGGTTAAAATTCAGATGTGATGGAGAGAACTGGAGCAGAAATATTACAGCACATGGTGAAAACACACATTGAGAATAGTGGGGCAATAAGAGAGAAGGAGGTTGGAAGGGTCAGGAAGGCTCCACACTCACCTATATTCACATGAATATAGGAAAACATATTTCCATTTTGTTTAATCCACTGTCATTTCTTTTGCCATTTGCTGCCAAACCTAATCCTACCTATTGCAATGAGTTTCTTCTGTGTGAAAATGTATGGAATGTATCTGTTTATCCATCAAATAGTTATTTAACAACTTCTGTATGCTAGGTCTGGATAAAATGGCACGAAGACACTGCTGGCCCCCAATTTTAGTCTCTAATATGAATATTTACAAGGCAGAACTGTCTTACCTGTATTTTCTCAAAAGGAAAGAGAAAGGATTTGAAGCCTCTAACCTTTGGATTAGGAAGCCAGAGTCTTACCTGTGTGGGACCCTGGGCCCTAGCCTACAAAGAACACCTAATGAGACTCTCATCTTCATTCTTTTTTTCAGGGATTTCAAGACACATTTGATATCTTACAGAGCTGATAGCTGCCGTGCATAGGGGAAATAAATGAGAGGAATATGTCTGCATAGTGGGGGTGCAGCTAGCCTTGGGTAGTGATTCATTTAATATTCTTTTGGCTGCAAGTAACAGAATATCCAAATAAAATTGGTGCTATGAAAAAAAAAAGTGGTGCTATGAACTGAATGTTTATGTGTCCCCTGAATCCATATGCTGAAACCCTAATCCCCAATGGGCTGGTATTCAGAGATGGGGCCTCTGGGAGGTAATTGTCATGACAGTAGAGAATGATGGGATTGGTGCCTTTACAAGAAAAGACAAAGAAGAGCTTGCTTCCTCTCTGATCTCCACCAGGTGAGGACACAATAGGATGACCATCAGCAAACCAGGAATAATGCCCTCAACAGACATCTGATCTGCTGACACCTTGATCTTGGACTTCTAATTCTGCAGAACTGTGAGAAATAAATAACTGTTTTTAAAAACCATCCAGTTCATGATATTCTGTTACAACATCCCAAACTAAGACAAGCGGCTAATGCAAAGGGCTTTCTTATCTCATGCAACGAGAAATCTGGAGGAGTACATTGGAGGGGGCTAATACAGAAGCTCAGTGATGTCAGGACTTTGGGTCAGCTTCCTTCTTATTCTCTTGACTTCCTCCTCTTGGCAAAAAGATGGCTGACTAAACTTCAAACGCCACATTTTCAAATAACAACATCAAAGTCAGGGAGGAAGGAAAGAAAGAAGAAAGGAAGAGAACATTTTTCTTTGTTGTATCTTTTTCTTAAGAAGGAAAATCTCTCCTAACATCCTGCTTCCCCTGACCCTCTTCAGATTTCCCCTCATTTATCATAGTCTAGATCTTGCACACATGGCTATCACCTTAAACCATCACTGGGTGAGAGAGGTGATTGCAGTGACTGGAGAAGGTCAATCATGATCTATCCCTGGGGCTGGAGCCATCTCCCTGTGTATACCAGTGCCTCACAGTAGCATGAAACCAAGACACCGTTAATAAGGGGGAAGCGCTGGTTTTGGCAGTAACAGGAAAAAGGAAATATAAAGGCCATTCTTAAAAGAAGGAAAGGGAAATTAAACACAATTTAACTGCAAATAAATTAAGCGATATTTTAGGCTGAAGTTGACTGAACAAATGCTTAGAGTCTGGGCCATTGTTAGGGACAGAAGGTTGACTACTATGATGGAAAGGAACAATTAGGGTGAAGATTCTAAGGAGAGGGAATTATAAGTAGAAAAAGGCAGAGATTAATCATTGATTTTCTGCTTCTGTGTCTTGGTCATGGCTACCTGGAATGCTACTTTGATCTAATTATGTAGTTTATGGATATACATGTCAAGGCCCCTATAGGAAAATAATGGCTCACTCAAATTGGGTAATTACAGAGAATTTAGTATAGAGACTGTTTATAAAGGTGTAGGCAGAGTTTAAGGAAATCAACAAGGCATACTGCAGTACCGTAGTGCACCAAGAATGTGGAGCCATTATCATCCCCAGGACGGAAGAGGCAAGGAGAGGGAACAATTACTGTAACCTGGAGAGAGATGCTTTAAAAGGATACTGTTATAGGAGCTGTGGCTTTTGGTAAAGGGACATAACTAACCCATAGTAGCCTGGCAGAGCAGGAGTCTGGACACCTCACCCCCATTCTCTGTCATCTCTAATATCCACTCCCCAACTTCAGCTGAACAAAACTGAAAACTAGAGGGCAAGGGAACATGTTGACACAGATTATAGAAGATTTTCTGGGGCACAGAGTAGATGGGTGGAAAGTGGATCTTGAGGTGCAAATGGGAAATAAAGAATATACTCTCATAAATGTAGCAAGAAAATTAATGTGTCTCTTTTAGTGCGGATAACAGAAACAAGCATAATAAAAATGGATGGTAATAATAATAGTACATTTTAATGATACATTTCATAAGCTAAAGCCTGAGGCTTGGAGACCTTAAATTACTTACTCAGTTTAACACAGCCTGGGATTCACACCCACATCTGTCCTACGAGAGTCCACTCCATTTCCATCACGGGCTGGATGGTGACTGTGGCATGGCTGTCCTGGCATTATGAATCAGCATCAGTTGCCTTTAGACAGTAAGGAGGCAGGAAGAGCAAATGATCATAAGAAACCCGTTTCCTGTTTTTAGATCCTTACTTTGGGGAACATGACTAGGACTCTGAAGACCTTAGGGGAACCTCACTCTTCCTCTTGAGCCTTCTTATGTTGTGACAGAAGGTGTCTGTCCTTGTGTAAATCTCATACTATGAGGCCATCCTTTTATAGTTAGCACTGATAGCCATCCTGGTGACCTCTTCAAAGGGAAACATCCATCTTTGAGTCTAGAGTACCTGGAGGGACCTGTCTGCTTTCCACTATCATGCTTACCCTCTCAAACCTGCTGCTTCCCAACATTCTCTACAGCAGTGACTTCAGGATGGAGGGAATCACTGGGCAGCTGCAGAAGGAAGGGAGCAGGGCTCTAGGGGAGGAGATGGTGGTTCATGGTGGTGGCTTCATGGACTTGAAGACCTATTGTGGTTCCATCCCTGGCTCTGCTCCCTACAGAAAATATATATTTCTATGTGATGTGAATTTTGGTATTCTGAGAGGACCCCCTAAGCTTCATCACAAATCTGGTGCCTAAAATCCTGTAGTCCATAGTACATTTCTTTAAAGCAGCTTGATGTATTACAATTGTATCTTAGCTACTTTTTAAGGTACTATATTGTATGCATAGTTTAATTGAATAACTACAAGAAATTATGCTACTGAGGCTCCTAGGGGGTTCACAGTCACACAGTTGGTGGTTGATGGAACTGGCATTTGAAACAGACTCCTCTGATTCCAAATCTAGGGTTCTTCACTACTATATTTTACTCATCATGGCTTGAAGTAAGGTGGGCATAGATTTGCTCATCAACTGATGTATGTATGAGATCTCCAGAAAGTTGTTATTTTTAAGTCTGAATTTTTTCCTCTAAAAAATGGGAGCTGAAGGAATGGCAAAACAATATAGAATAGACAGGCTGGAGACACTAACGTCAAACTCGATCTTCTTTAGAACTTTTTCAAAGCCAGTGGTGGCAGGTGGGGATGGTTCTAGTCTTCCCCGGGTGAATAGCATCATGAGCAGATTATCTCATGATGAGGGGAGAGGGGCAGAATATTGGCATTGGAGAAGAAGTACTGGATATAACAAGAGTGGAGTTTTTACTCTTCCACTTGCTAACTGAGTAAACCCGTGCAAGACTCTTAATCACTGTGACATACCTAGAGACTGTATCTTTATCCGTACAACATACACCTGCTTTATGTAACTATACAACATCATTGAGAGTCTTAATTGATCGACTGAGAAAATGCTATGTTGTAAATTATTATATGCTGGGTCATGTAATTTGTTATATAATCACTTTTTTTGTTTTTTGCCATGAAGAAACCAAATCTTTACCAACAAAACTAATTTGTGTCTAGGGAAGTTTGTTTCTCTCTTCTTCGCCTAGTGGTTACATTACTTTCCAGCTACAAAGGGGTGTTTGACATTGATATATTACAATTTGACCATCTTATTTGCTTTAAATATTTTTAAAGATACGATCTATTGAAGAGGTAGCTATCATAGAGCATTTAAATAATACAGTTTATAAAAATAATTTTTATTAACTTATGTGGAACATAGGTTTATAAAAGTTACTGATAAATACACGGTGAATTGCTTTAATCTGTTATATATATTATACAGAGGCAGGCACATCTGTAATTGGCTGATTAAATTCTCCTTCTCTGATCTCAGAAGCCAGCTTGATGATTTTTCCCCTTTCCAGTGTAACACAGTGTGTGGCTGGCCATCATTAAGGTTCCATTTCATAGATAAGGAAAATGATGCATAAACACATCGTCTGAGTTCTATAATGTTACTTAGAATCTGAAGCACCAAGATCCCACCTGTGTATTTCCCACTAGATAAATCAGACTGCTGCACATACTAGAGAAAGTCAGATGTGTATGGGCCACGTGAACATAGCCTAAAAATGATGACTTATTAAGAGTAATTATAGACTTTAGAGGTGATTTTCCAAACTATCGTTTTCATTTCTTGCCCTAAATGTACCTTTTGGTGTTACTATCAGATAGAATACAGGCTTGAAATTGGGCAATCGTTTCTCTTCTTATATTTTAGAAATGTATTTTGAGAAACTATTATCAGAAATAAAGAGCCACTTTCCTCAAGTTGGAATCTGTGCATTTTTAGCTAAAAAATAAGAATGATCTTATATTTTTGTGGTTAGAATCATTTATAAGGATGGGACAGACCAGAATAAGTCTGAACTTTTTCCATATAAAAAATGAGAGCTGAAAGAATAGCAAAACAATATAGAATAGACAGGCTGGAGACATTAACATCAAACTTGATCTTCCTTAGAACTTTTTAAAAGCCAGTGGTGGCAGGCGGGGATGGTTCTAGTCTTCCCCGGGTGAATAGCGTCATGAGCAGATTATCTCATGACAAGGGGAGAGGTGCAGAATATTGGCATTGGAGAAGAAGTACTGGATATAACAAGATCGTAAAGATACGATCCATTGAAGAGGTAGCTATCATAGAGCATTTAAATAATACAGTTTATAAAAATAATTTTTCTTAATTTATGTGGAACATAGGCTTATAAAAGTTACTGATAAATACGTGGTGAATTGCTTTAATCTGTTATATATATCATCTCATATTGCAACCAAATCTGCTAGGCCAACCCAGCATATTTGGGAGTTATTTACAAAACATCCTTAAAGATATTTTGCTTCTATAATAGATCCATATCTTAAGGGAAGAGTAGGCAATCTATCTGATTAAGCTTTATTCTCATTCATGGTTTTAATGATTATGAAGAAATGGAGGGAAAACCTAATTATAGGCCTTTGGAGTTTGCTGACCCAGGCTTAAAAATACCCAAATCTCCTCCAATTCTTTAATTTAAATTGCATGTTCTCCTTACATTACAAAGTTTAATGTAAAACTTTTTAAAGTAAGAGAGGAGCCCATACAAAGTTCAAACGAAGTTCATATAAGTTTTAACCCTCTACTGCTATGCTGTGAAATCGCCACAGGTGAGATCTGAGATCGTCCCAAGTTCAAAAAAGGAGCTACAGAGATCAGTCCTGTCCATATTCCCACCTCCTAGAAAAATAGAAAGTAGTGACTGGTTGATGCAGGCTTTCTTTTTTTCTTTCTTGATTTTGTTTTAGAATTGATTGAATTCAGGTTGGTCTTAGCCAAATCTAAGCTGTGCTTTCTTTTTTCAAAAGCTCTAACAGAATTCCAGAACACAAGGAGAGTTTTGGGGACAGTGGGGTTCTTTGAGAAGTTGGTTGGTGGATGGGTTCGCTCACTCATTCTTTTTCTCATTCATTCATTATTCTTATTTCATATTCTTAAGGAAACTATGAAGTAGATATTACTATATTTATCTCATTCTCACCACTAAGGAAATGAAGCCTCAAATGTTTTGCTTACTCTAAATGAGAACTTATATTTAGCAAAGGGGTTTGAGATTTGGATGGATTATTATAAAGTTTATACTTTTAACCACTACACCATGGGGCCTGAGAACCTCCTATGAGCTTGACACTGATCTAGGTACTGGGATACAAAAGTACTTGCTGCTCAAGCCTTACAGTCTAGGTTTGTAGATAGATAATTATGGTAAGTGCGTGGTAAGTGCTGTGACAGACATTAGGTAGAGAGAAAGTCTTTCTAATTCACTTAGGGTCGGGGGCAGTGTTCACTGAGAATACCTTCCTTCTCAGGGAGGAAGAGGGGTCTGTAAGCTCTACTCAGGGTGGTGCAAGGGCACCATGCGGTGCAATAGTTCACTAAAATGTGTTCCTCCAGTCTAACTGAAACTGTGTACCCTTTCACTATCATCTCCCCTTTCCCCATCTTCCGTTCTCCTGCTAGCCTCTGGTAACCACTTTTCTTTTCTTTTCTTTTCTTTCTTTTTTTTTGAGACAAGAGTCTCGCTCTGTGGCCCAGGCTGGTGTGCAGTGGCACGATCTCGGCTCACTGCAAGCTCCGTCTCCTGGGCTCATGCCATTCTCCTGCCTCGTAACCACTTTTCTACTTTCCATTTCTATGAGACTGCCTTTTTAAAGACTCTCCAATAGGCTTTTAATGTTCTTACCACACACAAACAAAATAATAAATTGATGAGGTGATGTATATATTAATTAGCTTGATGGAATCTTCCTGTAATGTATACATAGATCAAAACATCACATATTACACCATAAATATACACAATTATTATTTGTCCGTTTAAAAAAAAGAAAAAGAAGAAAAAAGAAAAAACAAAAAGAAGAGTCTGTAGGATTAGGGATAGAGGCATATTGTGTCTTAAGACAAGGGAGTCCTTCCCAGCAGAGCTGCTGGAAGGGAGAGTAGGAAGCCCTGGGAAGCAATGACTGTCTAGTGAGAGGAGTTATCAAGCAAAACCTGGAAGATCAATTGCACACATATTTAAGAGGGGCTTCAAGCACTGAATAAATAATTGATTGGATGACTCTTAAGATTCTTTAAAATGCTGAGAATCTGAGATCATAAGGGAGTGGAAGTGCTTAGGTGCACTTCTTGGGGGTGGCCAAATCAGAATGCAGGATGGTTAATCTGGGCAATTTAGCTGTCTAGTTTATCAATAAAGACCAGGATGGTGACATGTTCATACTGCAATATAATTAGTTACTTTCAATTTATTTTATTTCAAAAATAACATAGTATTCGTGAATGAGTATTCATTATTGAAAATTTAAATATTACCAAAGCATATGGAGTCTTGTGTCCACCCTTCCCCTTACTCCTCTCTCAGCCCCACTCCTCACTTCATATCACTATTCACCTATTTCCCTCCCCAGACATAATGACTTTATCTTTTATTACCTATCCATCCACACCTATTTTTTATTAATTTCTGTGCCTACATATGTACATGTACACACACTCGTTCAGCCCTCCAGAAAACATAAATGGGATCATACTATGACTACTATTCATTAACTTTTCATTTAGCACTAAATCATGGAGAGGTTTCCATGACAATGCAATATTCAGTTCCTCAGTATTCAATTCCTCAGTATTCAGTTCCTCATTTTAAAAGTCCCTTTCTTTTAAAGGCTGCATTGTGTTACCTAGTGTGACTATGAAATGACTTGATGGAGATTTCTATCCTTTCCAACTTTTGCTATCATAAGCAATACTGCAATGAACATCTTTGTGCCCAAGTGCAATTATTTTGGTAGGAGAGATTTCACAGATGAATTGAAGTTGAATTACTCATCTAAGTGGATGCACCTTGTAAATTCTAATGGATGTCAAATCACCTTCCAGAATATTGAATTAGTTTATACTTTTACTAACAATGAAAGTAAGTGACCCTTTCTTCACAACATTTACTAACATATTAACAATCCTTAAATTTCTTGTCAATCTACTAGGTAAAATTGATTTCTAATTATTTTATTTTAAATTTCTATGATTACCAATAAAGCAGATCATATTTTAATATATTAGCCGGCTTTTGGTATGTCTGTGAATTACCTCAATATAACTTTTGCCCATATTTGCATGGGAAACACTTTACTATGGAAATTAACCTTTTTTATTTATGCATATGTCCTGGGCACTCAATACATGCTCAAAGCTTTTCTGCTGAGCTTAGTATGAACTGGTCACGTTGGCATGTGGTCTTTCATCAGAAAATAAATATAATGTATTTGTTTATTTTTCTCCTTCTTCCCACATATCAGTTGTTATCAAATTTAAAGAAAAAAAATTATGGTCGATTATAGTAATCAGCTAACTTCAAGCACTTGGAATAATTTGCTGTTGCTTCTTAACTTAATTTCTAGTCTATGCTTTTGCCTAATTGTCAGACTTTGTGGTGTATTCACTTTTACAAGTTGTTGCAAAAATTTTATAAGTTAGTATAAGTATATATAAATTTATAATGGGTATTCCTTAACAGTTTTAGTTTATTATTATAATATTATTATTAGCTTTTATCTCAGATATTTTCATTATGATGTCAGTAGAAAAAATAACAGCAAAGATATAAAATAGAAATAACAAATTACCCTGCCCCGCCACACCCTAGTGCCGTGAGAGCATGAAAATATCACAGCTATGTATACTTCAAGGGAAATTATAAATTGAGATAATTAAACTTCAGATCTGGTTTTGAGCTTTCTGGAAACTAAGGTAAAAAGAGAAACACAAGAGATTTATTTTCTTAAAGTGTCTCCTTCTGGCAGTGACCTCTCCTTTTTAAAATGCCTATTTCTGCTGGCCCACACTGATGTCAATAAACGTTACTCTCAGTTTGTTTCTTGGACATTGGTCACAGCCTCAACTAGACTGAAAGATTTTCTTTTTTTTTTTTTATTATACTTTAAGTTCTAGGGTACATGTACACAATGTGCAGGTTTGTTACATATGTATACATGTGCCATGTTGGTGTGCTGCACCCATTAACTCATCATTTACATTAGGTATATATCCTAATGCTATCCCTCCCCCCTCCCCCCACCCCACGACAGGCCCTGGTGTGTGATGTTCCCCTTCCTGTGTCCAAGTGTTCACATTGTTCAATTCCCACCTATGAGTGAGAACATGCGGTGTTTGGTTTTTTGTCCTTGCGATAGTTTGCTGAGAATGATGGTTTCCAGCTTCATCCATGTCCCTACAAAGGACATGAACTCATCCTTTTTTATGGCTGCGTGGTATTCCACGATGTATATGTGCCACATTTTCTTAATCCAGTCTATCATTAATGGACATTTGGGAAAGCTTTTCAAAGGTAAGAATCTACCTTATGTTTCTTTTGAATCACTCAGGGTAAATGATTAGGAAACCTACATTGAAAAATTAGTGCTAAAAGTACAAAACCATGGGATCCTCCCAAAGTAGAAATCAGGGCCAGGCCTGAAATTGTAATTTCAATAGAAGATAGAAGGAGGTGGGAGGGGAATGGGGAGAACAGTGAATAAATGGCAAGCACCCAGACTTTGCTTTGCATCCCAGCTTGCCTTGGACAAATAACCTAACCCATGTCTCAGCATTCTCGTATTTTGTCTCAGCATATCTCTCATTTATTTTGAAAACTATGTTGTATTATACAGAGCTGTTACAATTATCACTATTATGGAGGTGTTTGGGGGCTACATTGATCCACCACAAGCTTAGATTGTGCATCGTGAAGGTTGATGATGCTTGCATAGTCAACCACTACTCCCACTTCACGCAACAAAAACCTGCCTGTTGAGCAGGTCTTTGAAAGGGTGTGGGAGGTTGTTACTATTTGCTGGGCTTCAAGAAAAATTAGTTTGCCCAGAGGTGTTTTCTATGATGACAGAACTGTATGACTCTGGGTACAGGAATTAAACAGTGAGTGGGGTATACATGTTAAAGTGCGTTGGTGTTGAAAGACATCTCTGTGCTGGGTTGGTTGAGGGTGAATTGTACTCTCTCTCATGCAAATCAGAATTCCTTGTATGTGTTTGGTCCTAGAAATGAATTTTAGATTTTTTTTAGCAGTTTTTAAGAGGCAAGCTTTGGCTTGAGCCTGGGGAAAATTTACCTGGGCTTGTTTGAATAACTGAGATGTGAGTCTCCCTGAACCCCTGATACTTCAGGATCTGATGAGACACATAAGGAAGAATTGGGGAAATTATTCTAGGGGACCAGTTTACCTTCCTCCTCAGGATGGATGCAAAATTCATGGGCTGTTGTAATATTTTTCACTGACATTAGTTTTTCAAACTAGGTTCCCATAAATACAGATGGTTCCTGACTTACCATGGTTTGACTTAGGATTTTTGGATTTCAGGATGGTGCAAAAGTGATATGCATTCAGCAGAAGCTGTATTTGAATATTTGGTGAATTACATGAAGTATTCTATACTTTATTATAAAATAGGCTCATGTTAGATGATTTTGCCCAACTGTAGGCTACTGTAAGTGTTCTGAGCATGTTTAAGATAGGTTAGGCTAAGCTACTCTGTTCAGTAGGTTAGATGTATTAAATGCGTTTTTGACTTAGGACATTTTCATCTAATGATGGGTTTGTTAGAACATAATCCCATTGTAAGTTGGGGAGCATCTGTGTATGATTGAGTCCTACTGAGATGGAGAGGGAGATGCAGTTAGCAGTGTAAGTCAGAGCAAAAGAGACATTCTCTCATTTTAAAATGCTGCAAGTCACCCAGTGGCTCTGCTTTGCCCTCTCAGAAAAAAATGAGCCACATGTTCCCACAGCACTGCCAGGCTTGCCCTCCCGAGGGTTCCCGTGCATCTATGGCAGGGTCTGGTCATGCCTGACGCATCCAGATGTTCTTATTATAGGTTGACACAGCCCAAAGGACAGGGATGGCAGGCTGACATGGTGACACCCACTGTGATGGGACAAAGAGGGAAATAAGACTCCACAGGGAAGCTTTATCTCCATATCTATCTATCTATCTATCTATCTATCTATCTATCTATCTATCTATCTATCTACCTATCTATCATCTATCTGTATATCATCTATTTGTCTATCATCTATTATATTCCTGAGTACATGAGAGATACCTGCTAGGAAGATCCAGAAATATTTGTTGAGACTTTTAAGGGAGCTGTTACCGCATGAACTGTTGGAGTCAAGTTAGAGAAAGAGAGGCCTTAGTTTTTTAGTCCCATATTTAGAGTCAGTGGCTGATACTAAAATTAAGATGGGCTGGGCATGGTGACTTATGCCTATAATCCCAATACTTTGGAAGGCCAAATGGGGAGGATCGCTTGAGCCCAGGAGTTTGAGACCTGCCTGGGCAAGATGGCAAAACCTGTCTCTGCAAAAAATACCAAAAACACCAAAAAAAAAAAAAAAAAAAAAAAAAAAAAAAAATTTCGCCAGGTGTGGCGCAGGCCTCTAGTCTCAGCTACTTCGGAGGTTGAGGTAGGAGGATCACTTGAGCCTGAGAAGTTGAGGCTGCAGTGAGCCATGATTGAGCCAATGTACTCCAGATTGGGTGACAGAGAGAGACCCTGTATCAAAAATTAAAATAAAGAAGGTGGAGCTGTGAAAATAATTAATTGGGAGGTCATTGGGCTGAGCCGACTTCAATGCTTTGAGTTCCTATGTAAGCAAACTGAAACTCATCTCACTGTAAATAGTAAAACAAAACAAGCTTAACTAATCAGAAACGACTAAGCAATCTTTAACTAGGGACTTTCTGCTTTAACCAATCAAATATTTTCTTTGTTTCACTTCTTCCAGCACCTTATAAAAGTTTTACCCTGTCATTTTCTCAGTGGAGTCCAAACTGCCTGTGGTTTGGCACTGACCAATTCATGCATTCCTGTTTGCTCAAATAAACCTTTAAAATGTTAATGTACCTAAGTTTATTTTTTAACAGAGCCTAATGCAATATAGTGGTAAGCCCTAGAGAAAGATGACTAAATTGGAAAGAGAGAGAGACAGAGATAGAACAAGAATTGTCAAAAATATGCATTGTGACTTAAAGTCCATATAAAGAAAAAAATACATTCATTAAGATAAAATCATTTTTAAGATAAGGTTAAAAGATTCAAGAACACTAGTGAAGACCTTAATCAAGAATTATTGGTAATGCAGAGAGAGAGAGAGAATAGACAGAAATTTGAGTTGGACCACCTGGTTGTGTGTGTCTTTGCATAATATCTTAACCTTCCTGTGTTTCAGTTTCAGTATCCTTGTGGAGATCCCCCTGTATTTTACAGGATTGTCGTGAGAACTCAGTATGCCATACTGAAACATCTAGCTGAGTATCTCATGTGAATTATGTGCTCTGCCTTTGTTTTTAAATATTTATTAAAATCCAGAAGGAAGGATGGCCATGGAATGAAAACGATAATTTCTTAATTATCATCAAAACACTTGTTTTGAACATTTACTACTTTTTAGTGATGATACTTTTTAGTGAGGTGAGGGTTGTTACTATCTTTCTTTTGTTAAACTTTTATTTTAGGTTCAGGGTTACATGTGCAGGTTTATTATATGGGTAAACTCTTATCACAGGGATTTGTTGTACAGATGATTTTGTCATCCAGGTATTAAGCCTAGTACTCATTAGTTAATTTTCCTGATCTCCCTCCTCCCACCCTCCACCTTCCAGTAGGCCCTGGTATCTGTTGTTCTCCTCTATGTGTCCATGTCTGCTCATCATTTAGCTCCCACTTATAAGTGAGAACATGTGGCACTTGGTTTCCTGTTTCTGCATTAGGTTGCTAGGGATAATGGCCTGTAGCTCTATCCATGTTCCTGCAAATGACATGATCTCATTCTTTTTTATGGCTGCATAGTATGCCATGGTGTATATGTACCACATTTTCTTTATCCAGTCCAGCACTGATGGGCATTTAAGTTGATTCCATGTCTTTGCTATTGTGAATAGTGCTGCAATGAACCTATGCGTGCATGAGTCTTTATGGTAGAACAATTTATATTCCTTTGGGTATATACCCAATAATAGGACTGCTAGGTCGAATGGTAATTCTGCTTTGAGTTCTCTGAGAAATCACCAGACTCTTTTTCCACAGCAGCTGAACTAATTTTTACACTCCCACCAACAGTGTATAAGTGTTTCTTTTTCTTTGCAACCACACCAGCATCTGTTATTTTTGACTTTTTAATAGTAGCCATTCTGACTGGTGTGAGATGGTATCTCATTGTGGTTTTGATTTGCATTTCTCTAATGATCAGTGCTGTTGAGCTTTATTTCATATGTTTGTTGGCTGCATGTATGTCTTTTTTTTTGAAAAGTACCAATACCATGTCTGTTCATGTCCTTTCCCCACTGTTTAATGGAGTTGTTTTTTGTTGTTTGTTTTTCTGTTTTTTTTTGTTTTTTTTTTTTTTTTTTGGTAAATTTGTTTAAGTTCCTAGTAGATGCTGGATACTAGACCTTTCTCAGATGCATAGTTTGCAAAATTGTTTCCTGTTCTATTGGTTGTCTATTTATTCTAATGATAATTTCTTTTTCTGTGCAGATGCTCATTAGCTTAATTAGATCATATTTGTCAATTTTTGCTTTTGTTGCAATTGTTTTTGGTGTCTTTGTCATGATATCTTTGTGGATTCCTGTGTCCAGAATGGTATTGCCTAGGTTGTCTTTCAGGGATTTTGTAGTCTTGGGTTTTATATTTAAGTCTTTAATCCATCTTGAGTTAGTTTTTGCATTTGGTGTCAGGAAGGGGTCCAGTTTCAATATTCTGCAAATAGTTAGTTACCCCAATACCATTTATTGAATAGAGAGTCCTTTCCCCATGGCTTATTTTTGTCAGCTTTGTCCAAGAGCAGATAGTGTAGGTGTGCAGCCTTACGTCTGAGCTCTCTATTCTCTTCCATTGGTCTATGTGTCAGTTTTTGTACCAATACCATGCTGTTTTGGTTATTGTAATCTTGTAGTATAGTTTGAAATTGGGTAGCATGATGCCTCCAGCTTTGTTCTTTTTGCTTAGGATTACCTTGGCTATTTGGGCTCTTTTTTAGTTCCATATGACTTTTTAAATAGATTTTTCTAGTTCTTTAAAGAATGTCATTTGTAGTTTAATAGGAATAGCATTGAATATATACATTGCTTTGGGCAGTATAACCATTTTAACAATATTGATTATTCCTATCCATGAACATGGAATTTTTTACAAATTTGTTTGTGTCATCTCTGATTTCTTTGAGTAGTGCTTTGTAGTTCTCCTTGTAGAGGTTTTTCACCTCCTTGGTTAGCTGTATTCCTAGGTATTTTATTATTTTTGTGGCAATTATGAATGGATTGTGTTCTTGATTTGGCTCTTGACTTTGATGTTGTTGGTGTATAGAAATGCTACAGATTTTTGTTTGTTGATTTGTATCCTGTGACTTTGCTGAAGTTGTTTATTAGCTTAATGAGTTTTGGGGCCAATACTATGGAGTTTTCTAGATATAGTGTCATGTCTACAAACAGGGTTAGTCTGACTTTCTGTCTCCCTATTTGGTTGCTCTTTATTTATTTCTCTTGTCTAATTGCTCTGAAAAGGACTTCCAGTACTATGTTGAATAGAAGTGGTGAGAAAGAACAACCTTGTCTTGTTCCAGTTTTCAAGGGGAACGCTTCCTGCTTTTGTCCACTCAGTATGATGTTGGATGTGGGTTTGTCATAGATGGCTCTTATTATTTTGAGGTATGTCCTTAAACACCTAGTTAATTGAGAGTTTTTAATATGAAAGGATGTTGAATTTTATTGAAAGCCTTTTCTGTATGTATTGAGATAATTATGTGGTTTTTGTTTTTAGTTCTGTTTATGTGATGATTCACATTTTTAAATTTGTATATGTTGAACCAAGCTTGCGTCTCAGGGAAAAAGCCTAGTTTATCATGGTGGATGAGCTTTTTGATGTGCTGCTGGATTCTGTTTGCTAGTATTTTGTTGAGGATTTTTGCATCAATGTTCGTCAAGGATATTGGCCTGGAGTTTTCTTTTTTTGTTGTGTCTCTGCCAGGTTTGGGTATCAGGATGATGCTGACCACATAGAATGAGTTAGGGAAGGATCTCTCCTTTTCAGTTCTTTGGGATATTTTCATTAGCAATGGTACAGCTCTTTGTAAATCTGGTAGAATTTGGCTGTTACTTTGTCTCGTCTTGGATTTGTTTTGGTCGGTAGCCTATTTTTTACTGACTCAATTATGAAGCTCACTATTGGTCTTTTTAGGGATTTAATTTCTTCCCAGCTCAGTCTTGGGAGGGTGTATGTGTCTAGGAATTTATCCATTTCTTCTAGGTTTTCTAGTTTATGTGTACAGAGGTGTTCATGATATTCTCTAATGATTACTTGTATTTCTGTGGGGTCAGTGGTAATATCCCCTTTGTTGTTTCTAATCATGTTTATTTGAATCTTCTCTCTTTTCTTCATTAGCCTAGCTAGCAGTCTACCTATTTGACCAATTTTTTTAAACCAATTCTTAGATTTATTAATCTTTTGAATAGTTTTAAATGTCTCAGTCTCCTTCAGTTCAGCTCTGATTTTGATTATTTCTTGTTGTGTGCTAGTTTTGTGATATGTTTGCTTTTGGTTCTCCAATTCTTTTAGTTGTGATGTTAGGTTGTCAGATTGAGATCTTTCTAACTTTTTGATATGATCATTTAGTGCTATAAATTTTCTGCTTAACACTGCCTTAGCTAAGTCCATGAGATTCTGGTATGTTGTGTCTTTGTTCTCATTAGTTTCAAATGATTTCTTGATTTCAGACTTAATTTCATTATTTATCCAAAAGTCATTTAGGAGCACATTATTCAATTTCCATGTAATTCTATGGTTTAAAGTGAAATTCTTAGTTTGATTTCTAATTTGATAGTGCTGTTAATCAAGTTTAGCCTAAAGCTGCCTCCTTACATATTTAAGTTAGGCCTAAAAGTTTTTTCAGTACATCATGAACTATAACAAGTGGAAGTGAAAACTGACCATAGCCCACACCTGTGCCAATTACTGAGCACTGGGCAATCAAATGTAACCAACTGTTCAAACCATGTTCAAATAAGGCAAACACCAACCTGTAACCAATCCAGCTGTTTCTGTACCTTGCTTCCAATTTCTGTACGTCATTTCCCTTTTTTTTTGTCTGTAAATCTTCTTCCACCATGTGGCTGTGCTGGAGTCTCTCTGAATCTGCTCTGATTCTGGGGGCTGCCCTATTTGTGAATCATTCATTGCTCAATTAAACTCCTTTAAATTTAATTCACCTGAAGGTTTTCTTTTACTAGCACTGTGGTCCAAGAGAGTGATTGTTATGATTTCACTTATATTGTGTTTGCTGAAGAGTGTTTTGTATCCAATTATGGGGTTGATTCTAGTGTATGTGTTATATGGTGATGAGAAAAATGTATATTCTGTTGCTTTGGGGTGGAGTGTTCTGTAGAGGTCTATCAGGTGCATTTAATACAGTGCTGAGTTCAGGTCCTGAATATCCTTGTTAATTTTCTGCCTCAATGATATATCTAATACTGTCAGTGGGGTGTTGAAGTTTCCCACAATTTTTTTTTTTTTTTTTTTTTTAGACAGAGTCTTGCTCTGTCACCCAGGCTGGAGTGCAGTGGCATGATCTTGGCTCACTGCAACCTCTGCCTTCTGGGTTCAAGTGATTCTCCTGCCTCAGCCTCCTGAGTAGCTGGGACTACAGATATGTGCCATGACAACTGGCTAATTTTTTGTATTTTTAGTAAAGACAGGGTTTCACCGTGTTAGCCAGGATGATCTCGATCTCCTGACCTTGTGATCCACCTGCCTCAGCATCCCAAAGTGCTGGGATTACAGGCATGAGCCACCATGCCCAGCCAAAGTTTCCCACTATTATTGCGTGGGAGTCTAAGTCTCTTTGAAAGTGTCTAGAAACTCGCTTTATGAATCTGGGTGCTTCTGTCTTGGGTGCATATATATTTAGCATAGTTAGGTCTTCTTGTTGAATTGAACCCTTTATTTATTATGTCATGTTCTTTGCCTTTTTTGTTTTTTGCTGGTTTAAAGTCTGTTTTGTCTGAAGTTAGGATTGCAACCCCTGCTTTTTTTTCTGTTTTCCATTTGCTTGGTAGATTTCTCTCCATCCCTTTATTTTGAGCCTATGGATGTCTAAGCACGTGAGATGGGTCTCTTGAAGACAACGCACCAATGGGTCTTGGTTCTTTATACAGCATGTCACTCTGTGCATTTTATTTGGGGCATGTAGCCCATTTACATTCAAGGTTAGTACTGACATGTGTGAATTTGATCCTATCCTCATGATATTAGCTGATTATTATACAGACTTGTGTGGTTGCTTTATAGTGTCACTGGTCTTTGTGCTTAAGTGTGTTTCTGTAGTGCTGGTAATGGTTTTTCCCTTCCGTATTTAGTGCTTCCTTCAGGAATTCTTGTAAGGTAGGTCTGGTAATAAATTCCCTCAGCATTTGCTTGTCTGAAAAGGTTTCTATTTCTCCTTCACTTATGAAGCTTAGTTTGGCTGAATATGAAATTCTAGGTTGGAATTTCTTTTCTTTAAGAATATTGAATATAGGCCCCCAATGTCTTCTGGCTTGTAGGGTTTCTGCTGTTAGTCTGATAGTTATTTGTAGGTTACCTGACTTTTGTAGGTTACCTGACCTTTCTCTCTAGCTGTCTTTAACATTTTTTCTTTCATTTCAACCTCAGAGAAACTGATAATTATGTATCTTGGGGATGATCTTCTTGTGCAGTATCTTACTGGGATTCTTTGCATTTCCTGAATTTGAATGTTGGCACGTAACTAGGTTGGGGACATTCTCATGGATGATATCCTGAAATATATTTTCCAAGTTGCTTACACTCTCCCAATCTCTTTTAGGGTCCCCAATAAGTCATAGAGTTGGTCTCTTTGCATAGTCCCATATTTCTTGGAGGTTTTGTTCATTACTTTCCATTTTTTTCTCTATTATTATCTGACTATCTTATTTCAGAAAGCCATTTTTCAAGCTCTGATATTCTTTCCTCAGCTCGGTCTATTCTGCTATTAATACTTGTAATTGCATTATAAAATGCATGTGGTGTGTTTTCAGCTGTATCAGGTTGGTTATGTTCTTTCTATACTAGTTATTTTGTCTGTCAGCTCCTGTATCATTTTACTGTGAGTCTTAGCTTGCTTGAATTGAGTTTCAATGTATGCCTGTAGCTCAATGATCTTCATTCCTATCCATATTTTGAATCCTATTTCTGTCATATCGGCCCTCACAGCCTGGTTCAGAACCCTTGCTGGAAAGGTGGTGCAGTCATTTGGAGGAAAGAAGGCACTCTGGCTTTTTGTGTTGTCAGAGTTCTTGCGTTGGTTCTTTCTCATCTTTGTAGGTTGATGTTTCTTCAGTCTTTGAAGTTGCAGAACTTTGGATGAATTTTTTTTTCCTTTTATCCTATTTGATGATGTTGAAGATGTGATTGTGGTATAAGGTGGATTCAGCTAACTGGCTTTGTTTCTGAAAGATTTTAGGTGGTCAATCCTCAGCTCTTGACTCCTGGACTGTGTGCTCTGACTATAGAGGACTTGTATCGGGCTCCGACATTGCTCTCTGGCTTCTCAAGGTTAGGAATCCACTGCAATGGGGATAGCCCCTGAGGTGCTTCCAGACTGGTGGTCACTACATTCTGATGGGTGGTGTCATCCAAAGCATTTTGTCATGCTATGGCAGTGGGATCTGTTCTCATCTACATGTGCCAGCAGCAGCGGTAGTGGCAGAGTGTCAGGGTGCATGCTCTTTTGCTGCAGCAGGGTGCTAATTGATGCCAGGGTGCCTGGGGCTATATGGACGTTCACCACAGTGGCAGAGGCAGCATGGCTGGGGCAGTGGGTGGGAGCCCCCTGCTGGTAACTGTGTTAACTGATGGGCTAACAGTGATTTTAGCATGAGGGCGGGGTGCAGGTGGGAGCAGGCCTCTCTGTGCACCACAGGCAGGCAGAGAAGGTAGCTCAGAGTGGGGGAGGGTCTGCTGTTCCCTGTGCCTAGTTCCTGCAAGGGCTGGGTGCAGGCAGGGTCAGGGCTGGCTAGCTCTGTGCCTACCAAGGCTCCAAGTGCAATGGTGGTCTGGGGGTCGGGGAGGTGTGTGGGAGGTGGAGTGCACTCTCTCAGCAGTGACAGGGCAGAGTGAATGCACATTAGGCGTGCTGACTGGGCAAGGAAGGCAAAACCCACAAGCACATACACATGTTGGCAAAGCAATGTGAGGGCTTGCCATGGGCCTGGAGGAAGCTGCAGTGTGGGGAGGGAGTGGGTGGGTTGTTGTGTTGCTGGGGGCCATCCTGCTGGAGCTCTCTTCACTGGTCAGGCACAGTCTGCCAGTGCAGGAGCTATAATGCAGGTCCCTCCCCTTTCCTCCCACCTGAGGCTGCCCTGCAAGCAGGTGCAGTCAGGCTGAGGCCCTGGGAGAGGCCAGCAGGCCAAAGGGGGCTCAGATAGGACTGGCTTCATCTTATGGGCAAGGCCACCCTACAGAGTTCAGATAGGACAGTTCCCCTAGGGCTAAAGTCTCTTATGGGAGCAAGTCAAGCTTAGAGAGATGGGCTTCCTTGGCTGTGCTCCACTACAGATGCTCCCACACGAAACCTCTGGGCTCTGCATTAGCTGGTGTGTTACTCCTATCATTTCTCTAAGCAGCCCTCTCTGCCAACTCAAGTGTCTATGGTGGTTAAGGAATTTCCTCTGCTGGGATTCCAGAGGCCAGTGGCAAGAGCAAATTAGTCCTTGCCAGTTCAATTCACCCATTCCCTTGGGGTCACTGGGGGCCAGGAACAAGTTTCCCAGTGCGCAGTAGTCCTGTGCAGGGTTCCCAGCTTCCTCCCCCTTCAGCCCAGCTTGTGTGTGTTCCCTCCATGCACTCTCAATGCCTTCCCTCTGAAGATCTGTTAGGAGTGCACCAGTTGTCTCAGTCTCTCGGTGGCAGCTGTTCCACCTGGCTGTGTCTAGTCAGCCACCTTCCCTTCTTAATCTCTTCATTTTTGCATATTCGATATTAATATCAAATGTCATGCTACATTCTACACAATTATTATCTTGTTTAATTTTCAACAAACACCAAAACAGCTGGTTCTGTTTTTATCTTCATTCTACATTATGTGTAAGCTGAGCTCAGAGAGGTAAATGATTTTCCCAAGTCATTTAGCAAATTTGGGTGGCTGTGCTGGGTCTGAAACTCATGGATTTTGAATCACACATGAGCTGTGTTCTGTTCACAGAGCATGACTCATGTCAGTCAATCAGAATACAGAAGGTTCCAGAGTATGGTTTTGGACTGTGGCATTGTTTTATTATTTGCAATGCTGATCTTTGCTTTTGGGACTTGATGCAGAAAGAGTAAAATAAGTCAATCCACCCATGGTCACTGTCTGTAAGGTTTGCCTAACAGCATCGCTTACTTCTTAATAATTAAAGTTGCAGCCATTTGATGAGGCAGAGGCTTTCCCTTCACACTGCCTTTCTTTCCTCTAAGGTTTGTTCTAAGAAAATGCCCATGTGGTCTCAATCAGCATTCTCCCTTGCACCTTTGGTTTAATAAGCTTCCGGCATTTGGGTGTGCCTAAAATATTGCAGTTTTTTTAACATTAAAAAACATGTAAGTAAAATATAAAATGAAATAAAGACATAATTAATATCCATTTTTGGAACACAGTGACTAATTATAGTGACACAGGCCTGTGGGGGGTTGAATGTAGCTAATCGTTAGCAGGTGTGTTTGCTGCCAGATGACATCTTTCTTAGAAAGTGGAGTCCAGAAAGCTTCAGAACGTCAGGAAGAAACCCAAGTGATGGGGGGTGTCACACAAGAAAGAAATCCTAGACCTTCACTGTGGAAGATAGAAGCCATTAGCTACATGTTACTGTTTGAATTCAAATGATGAAAATTAAATAAGACAAAAAAAATTCAGTTTCTCAGTCTCTCTAGTCATATTTCCAGCACTCCATAGTCACATATGCACCAGAGGATAGCACAGAAATTGAACCGTCCTTGGGAAGTTCTGTTGGACAGCATGGACCAGATTGAAACAGGTAAGGGATGTTGGGGTGATGAGACAGATTAAGTTAGAATTCTAGCTCTACCATTTTTTTTGCTGGGTGACTATGGCAAATGATTTAATCTCACTCTCCGTCAGCATATTTTTCCATAAAATGAAGAATGTACTGCGTAGTGCTTAGGGTTTCAATGATTCATATACTCCTTGCACTTAGCATGGTGTTTCCTCTTCTGAGAGGCTTCCCTTACCAACCTATCAAATATGGCCACCACATCTGTTACTCTTATTGGTACTACTCTATCATTTTCATCACAGCATTTATCATTTTGTAAAAGGGCAGAGTCCTATCTATCTCTTAGTTGATTGTCTCTTGCCACCACCCCCAATACACACATTGTGTAGTTTTTTTTCCAAACACTAACCAATTCTCTAATTCTCTGACAGCAATAGAGTGGGCAATAATTCAATTCAATTCTGACACTAACTACCCAGGGTTTAAGGGCTTAGTCTTGCAAGAATGCTCCTACTTCCAATGCAAATACAAAGAAGGTGCCCAGGCTACCCACACTTCTGTCTGAGCTGGCTACAAATATGGAGGTTCCCATATTTGTAATGGAACCCTTCTCTGGTTCCATAAATCACTAAAAGGACTCACAGAACTCAAGAATGGGCTTTACTCACAATGACTGGTTTATCATAAAGGACACAAGTCAGAAACACCCAAGTGAAAGAGATGCATAAGGCAAGGTTTCGGGATAGATGTGTGTGTGTGTGTGTGTGCGTGCACACACAGAGGAGGGAGGTAATAGGGAGGGAGTAAGAAGTGGGGTGGAGGGTGGAGCATAGAACTTTGGGTGTGCCACCCTCCTGTATAATAATGAGTTCACCAACCCAGAAATTTCCTTAGATTCCTTGTTTCAGATTTTTTATGAAAGCTTCATTATGTAGGCAACATGACTGATTAAATCATTGGCCATTGGTGATTGAACTCAATGTCTAGCCCCTTTCCTCTCTCTGGAGGCTGGGGACTGAACATTCTAACCCTCTAATCATGTGGTTGGTTTTTGTGGTGTGACCAGCCCTCATCCTGAAGCTGTCTAGCTCCTTCCTTGTTCCTCTCCCACTCTCACCATGAGTCATCTCCTTAGCATAAGCTCAGGTATGGTCAAATCGAACTCATTACGAATAGTAAAATATACTTTTTTTTTTTTTTTTTTTTTTTTTTGGAGACAGAGTTTTCTCTGTTGCCCAGGCTGGAGTGCAGTGGCACAATCTCAGCTCACTGCAACCTCCACCCCCTGGGTTCAAGCGATTCTCCTGCCTCAGCCTCCAGAGTAGCTGGGATTACAGGTGCCCACTGCCACACCCAGCTAATTGTTTGTATTTTTTAGTAGAGACAGGGTTTCACCATGTTGGCCAGGCTGGTCTCGAACTCCTGACCTCAGGTGATCGACCTGCCTTGGCTTCCCAAAGTGCTGGAATTACAGGCATGAGCTACCGCTCCTGGCATTAATAATAAAATATACTTTTATCATTCAGGAAATTGTGTTTTAGGAGCTGTGTGCTAGGAACCAGATTAGGGACAAAGACCAAATATATATTTTGTATTATCTCACACACACACACACACACACACACACACACACACACACACACTCAGAGAGAGAGAGAAGAATGTAAACCTCATTAGAGGAGAGAACTTGTCTGTCTCCATCATGTGTAGTCCCTAACACATAGTAGGTGATCAGTCAATATTTGGTAAATTAAAAAATAGTGAACCCACAATTATTTGGTTGAGAGGCAATGTAATAAAAAAATTAATGAGGCTGGGCACGGTGGCTCACTCCTGTAATCCCAGCACTTTGGGAGGCCAAGGAGGCTGGATCACCTGAGGTCAGGAGTTCGAGACCAGCCTGGCCAACACAGTGAAACTCTGTCTGTACTAAAAACACAAAAATTAGCCAGGCGTGGTGTCAGGCATCTGTAATCCTAGCTACTTGGGAGGCTGAGGCAGTAGAACTGCTTGAACCCAGGAGCCGGAGGTTGCAGTGAGCTGAGATCATGCCATTGCACTCCAGCCTGGGCGACAAGAGTGAGACTCCATCTCAAAAAAAAAAAAAAAAAAAAGTAATGAACATGATGCTAATGAAAATAATAATAGTTATAATAATGGCCGCTTTTATTGAGGATTTTCTGTGTGCCAGGTACTTGTTAAATGCTGAAGTACATTATCACGTTTAATCTTCATGGCAATCTTATCAGGCAGTCAATACTATTATCTTAATTAACAAGAAAGAAATTGAGCCTCAGAGAAGCCCAAAAACTTGCATAAATCTCATACCTTGTAAGTAGTAGAGCCAAGATTCTAACCAATTTTAATTACTTTTTCTTATTGGTACATACTATTAAAAGGGAATATATTTTTTCTACAGAGTCAGGACACTTTTTTTTCCTTAGGTGGATGTGGAGCCCGCAGGAGAGTTTAGAAAACATTCTTCACCTTGGATTCAGTTCCCTCTAACCCCCTCATTGTTAAGACTGATGTACTGACTTGCAATTAGGCTCCTGGGATTAAAAACTAGGTGTTTGTTTATATGCCTTGTTTTTGTCAATGGATTAAGACATAATCAGCATGTAAATTATGGGATTCCTCAAACTGTCATTAGCTTTGTACTCTGAAAATCTTCCAAGTCTCTTCGTTTATGGTAAAATGAAGCTGGAGAGTCCTGTCATATCAAATGGCTATACCTGCACCATCTGTGCAGTGTCCTAGGAGATGCTAAGGGACCAGTCCGCAACGTGGGAGATGTCAGGCCCTGTGGTACCGATAGGCTGCACCCCCTATAAACTTCTTGGAGCCATCCCCAACAAAGAATCCCAGGCAAAATTGCAGACCATATGCCATGGCATCAGAGTTGACTCAGGAGGTTCTGGAGCAGTGCAGAACCAGGAGTTGTGAACTCAACAGGTTGGCAGAGGCCACTGCTAATTACCTAAGTTGTGGCTTCAGAGTACAGCTGGGGCCAGAGCAGGTCTGATGATTTCTGGGAGACAGGTTTTAGCAGAGACAGCTTGTTCTTTCTCAATCCCCTTGGGCTGTGCCGTCTCTGCTTGGAGAAGCACTGGGGTCTGGTGGAAAGGACATTCCCTGCACATTTCTGTGAATGGGTGGGATTTGGGAGCTAGAGAGGAGAAAAACATCTACGGTAATGATGAAAACCTTTTCATTATGGAAGCAAGGCTATTTGAACAGATGTTGGTTGCCTTCTGTTCAAAAGCAAAGATAAAAATTACTTTTCTTCCAAGGAAATCTTTACAGTTCAATTTTTTTTCTTAGAAATAATAAAATACATAAGCCCTATTTAGGGATTGCTATGTGCCAGGTATTATTGAACATGCTTTAAATATATTAACTCAATGAAATCTTAATAGCTCTATGAAATAATTACTACCATTCCCACTTAGAGATGAAGGAATTGTCACAAAGAGGTTAAGTGACAATTAACATTGCTTTCAATCATCAGCCATCTTTCAACAGAACATTTTATTTCCTAGTTTGTTCATACGTAACTTAGAGAGATAATAGTGCCTTTTGTTCTTTCTCTCTTTATTAAACATTGTCTTCTAAGTCAATCTGTTTGACTTCTTCATAGAGGTAATATTAGCATCTTGGGTTGGGCCGTTTTTCATCGCGTGGACTGTCCACTCATTGTAGGGCATTTCACCTTCTTGGCTCTCACCCCCTACAGGGCAGTAGCAAATTCCTCTTGGTTATTATGACAACCAGCCCCCTCCTTCTTACTCAGGAGCCCCTAGGTGGGGTTATTTCACCTCTGGTAGAGAATCACTGAGGTATCGTCTGTGCATTTGCTTTTGAGATATGTTCTTTAGTTGTTTTAAAATACGGTACATTTTTAGCCAAAAATCTTACATCAAAAGTTGACATGCTCCGTCTCCCTTTTGTGGCAGGTGTAGATAATACTCCACATTATGTCTTATCTCCATAACCCTTTCCCCTTGAGTTTAGATCCTAGAGTCTCTGTTTTCAGCCTCAGCTTCAGAAATTGGGTTCCACCAAGAACTGAAAAAGTGTTTACAACCAGGGTCAATTTACTACAATTATGCATGAGATGCCTAGGGCCCGGCAACATGTTTTATTATTATTTTTAAATCAGAAGAAAATATATGACTGCATATATCTGTATGTAGTCTTAATGTGTATATATCTATATATACACATTATATATATATATACACACATTATATATATATACACACATTATATATATACACACATTATATATATACACACATTAAGACTACATACAGATATATGTACATATATGTACATATATACGTATATGTACATATATACGTATATACGTATATATGTACATATATATATATATATATATATATATGTACAGAGAAAGGAGTCACAAATGAAAGAATGTGGCTCTATTTAAAAACACACCCTGGCTTTATGAGCTGCTGGGAAATAATCACTAGACAGGACGCAGTATCATGAATATAACTGAAATATTCAGCTTTGTTGGAACCTGCCAAGATATTCCAAATTCAATGTGTTGTTTAAGAATTCAATGTATCATGAGATTTTTCTATAGCTTTTAAAAGTACCCTGCTATTTAAAAAGTTATGCATATTTAAAAAAGCATTTTTATGACCCCATTTTCAGGTCTTTAAGCCAAGTCCATCCTTACAAGCAACACATCTCAACTAGTCCTTAAAACAAGCTGCAAAATCCAGATGGTGTCTGAGATCATCTCTCAAGTCAGGCTCCCACCACTGTCTCTTCCCACCATTTATATTCTAAACTACGACATTTCTTCCTTTGTTTCAGATTTTGACTCAATACCCAACTTCAATGTCCATTTCTAGTCTTCTATAGATTTTTCATTCCTCTTGATTGTATTTAATAATTAGACATTGGAGTCCAGGTTTGGTTTCTGGCTTTATTCGTTTCTGACCTTGCAATGACCATGTCACAAATGAGTTGTTCCTGCTTTAAGATCCTTCTTCTGTGTACAGCACCCCGACCTTGGGGATCTCCTCTATTTCTCTTTCTACAAAAGGCCCCTGCGTGCTTCAAGCCTTTATTTAAAGAGAACCATTGCAGACTTTTGGGTGCTTTTGTGTGTAGCCTGATGAATTGCCTATGTTAAAGAAGAGAGAGCCTGGAGGCTCATATCAGCATCCTGCCAGGAATTTTTTTAGACAAACATTTTGACCAGAGTTTTATAAATTGTAGATAAAAGGATATTATAATGATATGTTTGCACATTATTTTCCTGAAAATAGAATGTTTTGAATTTTGTCATCCTTCTAGAAAATGTGCATTTATATTGACATTTATGGTTCAAGTCTTGAGATGCAGCCAAACCACAAGTCTAGATTTGGAGCAGTGACCATGAGGCTATGAAGATGGGTGATCATAGTGGGAGAGTAAATCAAACATTGATACTGTGGTTGGTTGACTTGTGCTAAATGAATAAAGAAAGTAATGAGTTGTACATTGTTTTTCCTAAGGCTGATGTAAACCCCCTTTTCTCTCTTGTTATATTGAATTCTTTTGGCTACCAGCCCAACATAAACTGTTGTCAAGGACTCTCTGAGCCAGTGATTCTTAGCTTTGCACTCCACTCCTCATCTTCAGGGCATACTTATGCTTAAACTCCAGGGGTTGGAGTATCATAGAAGTGACCTGCAGAATAACTGGGGAATTTTCCTAAGAGGGCAAGCAGGGATTCTTACATACATTTTATAAATTCTTTTAGGGAACACCATGGATTGTCTTTGGAGAGTCTACAAAACTCCTAAGATTCTCTGTAAAACTCATATGTATGTGTACTTTTGTCCTGTAGAGAAAGCCCACAACTTTCATGACATTCTCAAAGCGGTCTGTGATACCCCCAGTTTTTGGAACAATTGGGACAGCATATGGAAGTATGTAGTGGTAGCTCAGAATTTTGAAGCTGAAGGCTGAAGTCATGTGGCTTCTCTGCCGGGTATCACGGTCTGTAAAAAGGGCAGGGGCTTTCTTACTTATTTTTGTCACCCTCCACTTTCTAGCATGGTGGCTAGACCTAGGACATTGTCACTTTATGATACATTAGCAAATTAATAGACATCTTTGCAGAAGAAAAAAGCCATTATGTATATTAAATGCGCTTTGATTGCTGAAATGTGAAAAAAGATTGGTCTCAGAATTGAGAAAATACATTAGTATAAGCTTAATTATTCTTTGTTGAATGGATGAATAAATACTTGGTAACCGCCATGAATAATCATAACCGTTATCTACCATTTCCAACATAGTTATTACATGCCAGGAATCTCACTAAGTCTGTTACATGTATTATCTCAATTTTGGGGGTTTTGGCATTGCGTGGCAAGTACTATTATCTCAGCTTGACAAGTGAGAAAAATTGAAGCTTAAGAGAATAAAATTTTTTTTAAAGATTGTAGTACTCATAAGGACAGAATTTGAACTGAGGCTTGTTTGAATACAAATCTCAGTCTCTGAAGTTTGGAAGGTAAAGCCACATGAAACAGATTTATCAACCTATCTCCAGTTTTCCCCCATCCTCAATAAAAATAAAAATAAAATTCTTGATGTTGGTCTCGGTGATGCCTTGATTTCTTTTATATCACTCCCCTCCACCCACTGTTTCCACTGTGTCCTCCCTGGGGTTGATGTAAACTTTAAGCCCTAAAAATGGCTACAGGTCTGATTAGTATTAATCTCGTAGAAGTGTGGCTAATGGTGTTTTTCAAGAAGGGCAGAGGGGTGGTGGTTGCCTTATAAAAAGGTCAGAGAAAACCTCTATGAGGAATACAAGTTAGCATTTGTCACATATTACTGTATATGTGTGAGAGTGTATTTGTGTAAATGCATGTTTTCTTTACAATATACCAATAAACACTGGCAGCAGAAATAGGTTGTCTTTTGAAATATATTGAATCTAGCAAAAAAAGAAAAAAGAGAAAAGTCTGGCATAGAGTGAGTGCCCAATACATCAATACTTTTTTCTGGATGACTAAAGCAGAATGAGGAGGTTTGTAATTTGAAGAAGAAACTGAAATAGGAACTTTTAGTATCACAAGCAAAAAAATATTGTAGAAGTAGCAGAAGTATTTTAGGATATAATTTGAAAGAAGGAAGAAATAAAAGGTTAATCACCATCCAAATATGTAGCCATCCACTATTTTCTTTAAGAGAGTAGGAGGGTTTAGTTGGGTAGATTCAGAAGTTCATAACCATTTGATATTATTTCAATTTTAGTAATCTTCAATCCCATTCTTGATCAATAGAAGCACTTTTCAGTGTCATGATTCTGAAATCTTGTCTTGTTTTGCCCTTAATAGGAATCTCTAAATCTCAATTATGATGACAATGTGGAGTAGAATTCCTTAGTGAATCTACAGATTCTCTTAGGCAATTCAGGTTCAATTTTGCTGGTTTATTATATTCACTCCATTCAGATTGACATGTAACTTGAATCTAATGTTAAGAATATTTTTGGACTTTAAGTTACTCCTTCCTGTGGAGTTGGCAAGAAGTCTGGTGAACATTAATTTTTAAATCCTGCAAAGAGAGATTAACTTTAACTGAAGCCCCTTTGGAGCTCGATCAAGTTAGAGCCATAATTTCTTTGTAGGGACATGGATGAAGTTGGAAATCATCATTCTCAGTAAACTATCGCAAGGACAAAAAACCAAACACCGCATGTTCTCACTCATAGATGGGAATTGAACAGTGAGAACACATGGACACAGGAAGGGGAACATCACACTCTGGGGACTGTTGTGGGGTGGGGGGAGGGGGGAGGGATAGCATTAGGAGATATACCTAATGCTAAATGACGAGTTAATGGGTGCAGCACACCAGCATGGCACATGTATACATATGTAACTAACCGGCACATTGTGCACATGCCTAAAACTTAAAGTATAATAATAATAAAATAAAAAAAAGAACACTAGTGGTAGCTTGTCAAAATATTTATATTTTTAAAATTGACTTTTCTTGGTTCACTTCAGAAGTTACCAAAAACAACTGCTGATATGTTCAACATATAACAGTTTAGAAAACTTTGTGCTGTCCAAAGTAAAATAAAAAGATTCTGTTTAATATTCTGGCTTTAATGTGTATGTTGTGTTTATTTATTTTAAATGTAGCAGACATTTTTATAATAAAGACTTAGCATTTAAAAAAAAACTTCAGTTGGCTCTTGGTGATTTATCTAAGGTAATTATCTAAAATTTATCTAAGGTAATTTCTTTCCTGAGTATAGTCATCAACTTCTTTGTATTTACTTTTTTGAGGTTTTGTTGTGATGTCTTTGTTTCTATTTTTGCTCATTTATATTAAGAGAGTATAGTATGGAAGCAAAAATACTATATTTGAAAGCAGAAAACTTGGGACCTCAGACAAGCCATCTAATATCTGGATCTGTATTTCCCCATCTGTAAAATGGGATAAGAATTATGACACTTTCCATTTTATAGAATATAGAATCTTTATCAAGGTGAAGTAATGTATGTGGAAATTGCTTTATAAACCAACTAAAAATAGAAAAGTATATGTGTGCATGCATTTTTTCCATCTGTCAAATGGAAATAATAGTACCTCTTTATAAAGTTGATATGAGGATTAAATAATTCATAGATTTAAAGTGCTTGTGTTTGCACCTGGAACATAATAAACATTTGATGAATGTCAGATAATATTATTATTAGTCTAATAATTAGTTTATTAAACTTATAGTCCAGAGAGGTCCAGTCTTATATATTTTACAGTATAAAATAATCCGTCTGAAAATGAGTCGGGCATCATAAAACCAGAATCAAACCCGGCCAAGAACCAGAACCAGAAACAAAAACAAAGAGTCAGAGGAAGAATTAAAAAAGATAAATTTCTAGTGTGTTTTCAGTATCATTTGAGGAGAAAAAAGAGATGTGTTTGAGCTTAAAATGTCTATCACATGCTTTTTTGGAAAAATATAGTTTCATTGGTTCCAACAGTTAAGTCAACTTGGACATCTTGGTGAGAAACCCAAAACTGTCAAGTTTAATTTTCAAAATCTTGGAATGATGACTGTTATGCAAATATAAAATAAGCATGTATTAAATGTGTTTAGGCTTCTCATTAATTAATAAGGTAACCTGTAAGATGGCAAAGCTGGTTCAAAAGAGAATTGGAGGAATGGTGATTTAAATTTTCATATAAAATAATGTTGAACTTAAATTTGCTAATACATATGCACTGGTTAATATCATAGAGGACAATATAACTGTAACCTTCGGGTTTATCTTTTATATCAGACAGAAATCTATGATTTAACATGCCACTTCCTAAAATCTGGGCTTTAAGTGAAAAGTAAGTATCAAGGACAAATTAAGCTGTATTCTCCTTGATAATTAAACAATTCTTAGGTAAGCCTCAGTAATGCCTCATATTGAAAGAACATAAAATCACCCTCTTATTTCCAAGTTTTGGATACTTTTTTTAATAATAGAAAGACAACAGAATGTTTTAAAGAGAATGATACAATATTCATATTTTAAGAGAATCTCTAGGCTATTTGGGAGTAGCAGGGTTTAGGAGATCAATAGAGGAGGTAGGAAGACCTTCTAGGAGGCAATGATTTCAGTCCATGTGAGAGATTATATTGATGTAGACTACAGTGGTAGTGGCTGAGATGAAGAGAAGTGGCCATATTTGAAATACATTTTTAAACTAGAGCCAAGAGCATTTGTTAATGGATTGGATATAGTGTGTGAGAATTATTAAGGAGTCAAGTTGAATGCTATGTTTTTGGCTGAGACATGGGTACGTAGTGGTGAGGAACATAAATAAATTCCCTGCCCACGTGGAGCTTATAGGTTACTGGGAGATTTTTTTTAAAGCAAACACAATGTTAATTCAAATTCAAAATTGTGTACAACAAGTAAAGCATTATAAAAAATATGAAGTGCTGAGATAGTGAATAAAGGATGGGAGCCTACTTAATAGGTGGTGGAGGATGTCCTCACAAGCAGCCAGGGAAGTGAAAGTTGAGGAGCTAGTCATGCAGAGTCAAGGGAGAAACATTGCAGAAAAATAAAATAGCTATACAGGTGTTCCAAGGGAGAAAGAACTCAAGTTTTAGAAACTGAAAGAAGTCTTGCATGGCTGGAACACATTGAGTGAGGTGAAGAGACAGCTAACTGAGGTCAGAAAAGCATTGTAAAGCACTGCATAACATTTTAAAGCGTTTTGGTTTTATTCTTGGTACAATGAAAACAGTAGTGCAGGTGAGAAATGATGGTTGCTTGGACTAGGGAGGTGGCAGTGGAAATGGAGTGAGTAGACATGGGAAATAGTTTAAGGTAGAATTCATCAATTGGATTATATTATTCAGTGGGGAGATTCCAAAAGGAACTCAGTGGGGGAATAAAACCTCTATTGATTCCTGACTCTCTCACTAATTATGGATATCACCTGTGAATAAAAGACTTCACTTCTCTGGTTTTCAGGTTTTCGTTGTATGAGTTCTAGGTTGCAAGTCATTAGGCTGTAAATGAGAGAAGTCTAATTAAAGGGAATTAACTGACTCATAGATTCCAATAAACAACAAAACTCAAGGACGGGGACCCATCTGAGCCTCAGAAACAAGTAGAAGTAGGTGATCAATGATACTAGGTCTGATTCACTGACTTTTTTCTCTTTTTAAATTTTAAAATATTTAATTGAAAAGTAAAGATGGACTATATTCAAGGTGTGCAACATGATGATTTGATATACATTGTGTAATGATTACTACAAATTAGTGGTAACACATCCATTACCACCCATCTCTCAGCTGTGATTTGAGAGCAGTCCTGCTCACAGAGACTCAAGGGAGATGTGCAGGAGGATCACTTGAGGCCAGGAGTTCAAGACCAGCCTGAGCAATATAATTAGACCTCATCTCTAATTTTAAAAAATTAAATTAAACAAAATCCTAGGAAAACGGTCTGGTTGGCCCAGCTTGGGCTAGATACTTACGGTGGAATAAATCAACTCTGGCCAGAGAAGCATGAGGTCATGTAGGAATACGGCAGCTTCTGTGAAATAACTGAGGAATGGGGGAGTGGATCCCAGAAGTGTGTGTGAAAGGGTGCTAGTGTTATTATTCTAACATATAATCTGAGGGTGTTGGACTAGAATCAGTAGTTCATTCAGAGAATAATTACTGAGCATCTGCTATGTACTGTGTACTGAGTGCTTAAGGTATAAGATGTCTACTAATGACTCTTCCAAAAATGATGTTCGCAATTCTATGAGATTTTAACAATGGAATGACAAGACAGCCAACTGTTGTAATACCTTTACATTTTAAATAATTATCTTCAGGTTTACTACTCTTTCTCCATAGTGGAAATAAGTAGTTTAAGCTCTTTGGACAAAACAAAGCTTTAAGTTCCAATTTATTATGTAGAGCCTTTGTTTTTTTTCCAACTGCTTTTCTCCAGCGTTTGGGGTTTACGTATCCCTGACACTAACACTAACTATGTGCAAGGCTTTCAGGATGACAAATTAGATTGGATGTTATTACTGATAAGGTTTCTCCACGTTATGCTGTCACTTGTTTCCAGGGCCTTACAGCTAACGTTTGGGAATCCATTCTTGTTTATACTCTAGCAAATTGCATTAGGCACTGGAATTTGGGAATTGAACAATGAGAATACATGGACACAGGAAGGGGAACATCACACACTGGGGCCTGTTGTGGGATGGGGGGAGGGGGAGGAATAGCATTAGGAGATATATCTAATGTTAAATGACAAGTTAATTGGTGCAGCACACCAACATGGCACATGTATACATATGTAACAAACCTGCACGTTGTGCACATGTACCCTAAAACTTAATGTATAATAAAAAATAAAAAAGATTTTGTAAAAAAGCTGACTCCTCCTTTTCTCCTTCCTTTAATTTTTATTCAACCCTTAAACCTTTTTTTTTTTGTATTTCGTTCATTTCCTTGGGTATCAAATAGATTTAAATAACATATATTTGCTTCTTCTAACTGCCTACTTGACATCTCCACTTGATTACCTGATAAATTTTTAAAATCTACTATGTCCCAAGCTGAGCTCCTAATCTTTTTCCAAGGATCTGTTCCTCCTGTGGTTATCCTCATCCAGGTAAAAGGCAATTTATCCTTCCAAGTGCTTAGGCCAATCAAGCCCTCTCTCTCTCACCCAACAACTAATTCTGTCAGAAAACCCTGCTGGCACTACTTTGAAAATATTTATAGCATCTGACCATTTTTCGCCATATCCACTGCTGGATTCAGGTTCAAGTCACTATTATCTCTCACCATTTTATTTTTTTATTGGTCTCCTAACTGGTCTCCTGCTTCTGACATTGATTACTATGGTAAATTCTCAACAGAGTAGCAAGCAGGATTCTATTAAAGCTTCAGTCAGGTCATGCCATTCTCCTGGTAAACTTCCTTCCGTTATTTCCATTTTACTCAGGGTCCTTCAGTCATCTACAAGGCCTACAAGACACTGTAGTATCTTCCCTTTTTACATTTCTGACTTCATCTCCTTCCACTCTCTCGCTCTGTTCAAGTTATATATCCCTCCTTGCTATTCCTCCAACATCCCAAGAATACACGCCCATAAGTGACTCAGTTTTCACTTTTCCCTATTCCTGGAAAGCTCTGCCTCCTAAATATCCACAAGGCTTCATTCCTTACCTTCTTTACATCTTTACTCAAGTGTCACTATGATAGGTGACCCCATCATAAGACCCCTTCTTATGGCCCCCAAAAGAAGCTCTGCAACCTGTAAAGATGTTATGTTACATGGCAAAGAGTGATTAAGGTTGGAGATGGATTAATATTGCTAATCCATTGGCTTTAATAGGGGAAGAAGCCTGGATTTATTCTGGTGTGTTCAATGTAATTATGAGCCCTTAAAAGAAGAAGAGGGAAGTAGAAGAAGCTGCGCCAGGAGATACAAATACGGGATAACATTCAGAAAGCTGCAACATTGCTGGTTCTGAAGATGAGAGAAGGGGAATAGGAAGTAAGGAAAAGTGAGTGGCTTCTAGGAGCTGGAAAGGGGAAAAAATGGATACTCCTTCAGAGCCTTGATATGGCTTAGCTGTGTCCCCACCCAAATCTCTTCTCCAACTGTAATCCCCATAATCCCTACGTGTTGAGGGGGGGAACTGGTGGGAGGTGATTGGATCATGGGAGCAGTTTCCCCTATGCTGTTCTTGTGATAGTGAGTTCTTGCGAGAGCTGATGGTTTTAAAATGTGGCACTTCCTTGTTCTTGCTCACATGCTCTCCTGCTGCCTAGTGAAGAAGGTGACTGCTTCCCCTTCTGCCATGATTGTACGCTTCCTGAGGTCTCCCAGCCATGTGGAACTGTGAGTCAATTAAACCTCTTTCCTTTATAAATTACCCAGTCTCGGGTATTTCTTTATAGCAGTGTGAGAATGGACTAATACAAGTCTCTAGAAAAGAATAAAACTTTTATGACACCTTGATTTTAGCCCAGTGAGACCTCTATTAGACTTATGACCTGCCAAACTCTAAGACAATGGATCTATATTGTTTAGGTCACTAAGTTTGTGGTAACTTATTATGACAGTAATAGGAATGAATACAGCCACCTAAGGCCTTCCCTGTCAGCCCTCTTTAAAATTGAAACCATTTCCCCATCTCATACTCCATGTTTCTCTTTTCTAATCTATTGTTTTCCACAATGCTTATTACCATCTATCATAACATATATTTTACTTATTCGTTTATTCTCCAGCTCCGTCCCAACTAGAATGCAAATTCCTGGAGGGAGGAGTTTTCTATTTTATTCAACAATGCATATTCAGTATCTGTACCTAGTAGGTGCTCAGAAAGTATTTGTTATGAATGAATGAATTTACTGAACCTTGAGTCCAGTGAACATGGCTAGGTGCTGATAATATAAAGAAGAATAAGCCATAAACCTTGCTGCCAACCAGAGCATAGTCTAGAGGAGACTGGGGACATGTAAACAAATACTTGCCTGGCAATTATACATAAGGCTAAGTAGGCAGTCACATAGCACAACAGGAAGTGGTTGCACAAGGGATTTAGAGAAGGTTTCAGGTAAAGGTAAAGTCAGAGACCATAGTAGGAGAGGCAGATAAAGACATTTTCATTGGAGAATTTGCATATCATATTTAAAGCTTGATGTCTTTACTTTCTTAAACTTTCTGCCTTCTCTAAGAAATCACAAACTTTTGGAGGTCAGGGACCATCTGATACGATCATGCAATGATTCAAGGTTAACTTAATATGCTAATCTCTTAAGTTTACATAGCATTTCAGAGTTTATAAAGTGTTTTCACACACATTTTATTTTAAGTCTTTAGGTATCACAAAGATTCTGAAAATGATGTAGATTAGGTGTTTTTGTCTGAATTGTACAAATGCTGAAACCATGAAGTCTAAATGATAATAATGGTGTATCATTGGCATACTTTTTCCGTATTTATATAGCGCTTTCCTGTGTATCAACTTCCTTCATCTCCCCCACAATCTTGAGTAGGTAGGTAGGACAGCTACTATTGACTGAGTTTGCTGATGAAGAAATTGAACCTGAGGGTGTTTAAATGACTGCTATGGATCATGCAATGTTAAGAAATGGAACCAGGATTTAAACTCTTTCCATGCCACATCCAGTCCAGTGAATTCATTTTTAATTCATTGATCATGAGGAGCTATGGGACATCCTTGAGAAGCTATTACGAAACAGTGGGGAGGTAGAGGCGGGTGGATCACCTGAGGTCAGGAGTTTGAGACCAGCCTGGCCAACACGGTGAAATCCCGTCTCTACAAAAAAAAAAAAAAAAATTAGCCAGGCATGATTGTGCATGCCTGTAATCCCAGCTACTCGGGAGGCTGAGGCACGAGAATTGCTTGAACCCAGGAGGTGGAGGTTTCAGTGAGCTGAGATCACACCACTGCACTCCAGCCTGGACGACAGAGGAAGACTCCGTCTCAAAAAAATACAAAAAAACCCGACAACAAACAAACAGAACACAGTGGAGAGAAAAGAGTTCAGGCTTGGGGTGGAGTCCAACACTCTTCAATCCTTTCCCTTACTTCCCTAAGTCTTTGCGTGAGTCACTTAAACTCTGCAAGCCTTAGTTTCCTCATATGTAAAATGGGAATAATGTAATGTTGTTGTAAAGATTATATAAAACGATTGTATGCAAAATGCCTAAAGCAGTGTTTCACTGATGATGATGATTAGTTTTAGTATGCAATTACATTTATAGGTATGGAGTTCAGAGGAGCAATCTGGGCTGGATTTGGGAGATGTGAGCATAATAAGGCCTAATATATCTACTGGGGGAAGTTTAGTGAACAAGCTATTTGGTTAAGACCAGAAGCATTGAAACCTGTGGCCCTTATGCTGTCTCCTGGAGTCCTCTGTTCAGCGGTCATTTTTTGGCCAAAAGGAAAGCAAACCTTCCACCTGACATTATTTTTTAGAGAATAAGAGAAACCAACCTCCTCTAGCATTAGCATGAAAGGGGACAATATCATGTGTGTATAGGAATGTCTCAAATAATTTAAAAGCAGAAAGTAGTTAGGCCTCAGGAGTGAAAAAGACTAGTTTTTCTCTATTCTCATCTTTTTTTTTTTTTTTTAAATCTGCTGAGTGACCCACTTTCTCTGAAGACCAAATTTCTCTCCTTCATTCCACATGCTTGTTCCTAGGCCTGTGTGTTATTGTTGTAGGCCACCCACAAGGACTCGCTCAACTCTCTTGGTTGAGATTCTAAATTCTAAAGTCCTGGGAGTTTAATATTTAGAATCTCATTGTTCTGGCCTTAGTCAAATGTCCTTCCCTGATTGAATCGACTAAGCCAAAGTTAGAGGGAAGGGTTGTGTGGCATAGATGTGACTGCTGGAAGCCACTCCTGTGAGTGGGGTGGGGTCTTAGAGACTGGGAAGGTACCCCAAAAGTTGTTCACAAATCTCCTCCACTCTGTCTCTCGGTTTTCATGGTTCCCACCCGACCTCATATAATGAAATAGACCCTCATTATGAGACTTGCAATCCTTAAGAGCACTGATCTTTTTCTATTCATTTTGGATCTTAAGTGCATGGCATGCAGCAATATTGATAATTCATGAAACGCTCTCAGGTCCAGTGTTAAGCTTTCACATGCATTATCATATTTAATCCTCATATAGCTGACCAATGGGTGAGTATTATGTTTCCAGTTTCTATATGAGATATTAATGCACAAAAATATTATATGCCTTGATTAAAGTCCACAGCTAGTAAGTGACAGAGCTAATGTTCAAACCCACTTCTACTTGGGCTCTCAACTGTCACGACACTGCCTCTTACTGTGCTGTTAGCAGAGGCTCAATATATTCTTGTTAACTGCTTTTGCCCTAAAATTTTAGTCAACTCCAAGAAGCTGCCAAAATTCTCCCTTTGGGAGAAATTTGTTTGCCTAAATACATTTGAAAGGAGTGAGATATTTGGAAATATATTCTGTGCTGTCAAGAGGTTATTTGTGGAAATGATGGAGAGAGTGGTGCCATCAGAAGAGATTGGAGGGTAGAATCTGTTTATCTATATCAGAACAATTTGTTTCTCTAATTCTTCAACGTCAAGTCATTAAATGTGTAGACACACACTTGCACATTAGAGCAACTCTCCAAGGGGCTTGGTTCCTTTTGTTCTGTCTGAGCTGATTAGAAGGAAGAGATCTGAGTTCTGAAGACTTGGTGGGTGCATCTCTCAG
Organism: Homo sapiens; assembly: GCF_000001405.40. Taxonomy (NCBI): domain Eukaryota; kingdom Metazoa; phylum Chordata; class Mammalia; order Primates; family Hominidae; genus Homo; species Homo sapiens. Next base: position 122,448,302 of record NC_000008.11, on the reverse strand, counting down.
TCCTGATGCTGAAAAGCCCAGGCAGACTTTCCCTTCAATACCAAGTGAAAAGTATCCACAGAATTGTATTTATGTACTTTCTAATTACAGCTGTCAAGAGAAGGCTCTGTAATGTGGGACCGCTTGTACCATGATAGCTGAGGTGGGGAGGAGGCAAGTAGCATTATGTTTTGCATGATAGGAATGGTGTGGAACAAAATAAGCTCATCCAATATGTAACAAGCCAATAGGAGTGTGATCAGAGAACAGAGTGTCTTATTGAAACATCATTTTTACCCAGAACTTGTGGATTTCTTCGTGTGTGTGTGTGTGTGTTTGTGTGTGCACGCGTGTGTGTAAGAGGATGGAATGAATATTTAACAGTCATACCCAGTGAGCCACCCCACCTGGGTCTATGCTCTCTTGGGCGTTTATTACTTTTTTCCTTCCTTTTCCTCTTGAGTCAAACTTAGTACTTTCTTTGATCATTCTGATCTTGCCCATCAATAGAAAAGGTATTTTTTTCTCCAAATCACAGCTTTGTATGAAAGGGATACTGGAGACCTCTGTCACTCAAGGTTTGTATTTACATGGTTTCCTGGGGGCAGGCATTAATTTTGTCACATTTTAACCATCTTTGTTTATAATAGATTTCTATTTATTGATCAGTAACTGGGTATGAGATACATGGCCTATAGAGGGAGACAGAGGCTGTTTCAATGATTGAGGCCGATGGAAATATTTCAAAAACTGTTTTGGCTACTTGGCCGAGGCAGTTATTTTTCATGGTTGATATATCCGACAGCAAGATCAACAGAGGACAGCTATTCCTGAATCACACAACCATGCAAGCATACCACAAATCATGATTTGAAGAAAAAATTAAGGTGTCTCTCAGAACTTTTCAAACTTCCATTCTGTGAGTAGATACAAACCAAAGGAAAGCAAGTTGCAGAACAATCCTTAAACTCCAACTGTTTTCCTGTTAAAAGGAGAAATCCTGCATGAAAGAAAAAAAAAAGAGTGGTAAAGCTGGTTCATTTTGAGGCTGGAGTTAGTTCTGTCCTACTGTATTCCATGGCTGCTCACCTCCCTGGTCAATTACTTTCTTTATATTTCACCTTCCTGTCTGATAATGATACGTCTGCAGGACTCAGTATCTCTTAGTCATGGTGAGAACCTAAAAAGGCATATAGTATAAAACCTTTCTGATAATAGTCAGGTTTCTAAGTTATGGTCTTCCTTTCTTTTTAACTACTTAAAAAAGAATCACAGCAATGTGAGGAGCTGTGTGATAGAATTTGCAAAGATGTAGACTCTTGACCTGGGGTGAGAGTGGTAAGTTCATTAATCAGAATAAGCACAGTGGTTTGACTCCTTCTCCTCTGTGTCTGTGAGAATACACGGGGGACTCTTTAGATGCTCCATAGGATGGAGTTCTTTAGGGAAGGGGCACCCCTTCATCCAACAGAATGAAAATATGGTAAATAGGGTAATGTTTTCATTTTTCATTAACCTTTCTGTACCGTAGCAGTGAGGAGAGCTCCTGAAAGAAAGACTTGTGCTACTCTGGGAGGTAACTCCAACTACATCTCTGTATATTTAGGGATCACTTAGACATAAGAATAGGGTATTATGTGGCCATTGCTGAAAGATTTGTGACCAGCCCATTCCAATATCTCAGAATCCCAGAAGGAGCTCTATTTGTTCTGGATAGACAGTAGAGAGCATAAGCCTGGAGAAGACACCTAGACGAGAAGAAAGCTGCTCATGCCAGTAGAGCCTCGTATTACTGGAACTCCTTACCTGTGGTGTGCAGGTAAAAGTTTAACAACTGGCCAATAGAAAACAAAAGGGTCTGAGTTTTAGTGTTTGCCAATTTTCATGGTGTAAATATCCCTGGTACTTCCTCCATGAGTGGTTTCAAGCTACAAATTAGACATTGCTGATGCAGAGTTGGAAAGAAATGTGCACTGCGCTCTTGCAAGCTGCTGCAAAGAGGCCCCAGCATACCACGGTTCTAACCCTCCTGCACATTCCTCCGTACTCAGGGACTATGGGTCAGCCAGCACAAGGCAAGTGGAATCCAGATAACCACTCCTGTGTCTGGACAAAGAAGCCTGACCTGAATCTTGTCTCCTTTAGTATTTTTGAGAATGGAGTTGAAAGATCTTAGAAACCTTCCCTTCTTTTCTCTGGGACAAGCAGTGGTATGTTAGTGACCAACAAAACTATTTCTTTATAACGAGGATCTGCTTTCCTTTTGGATCCAATCTGGAAGATATTATTTGTACCAAAATATGAGGGGCTATAAATTTCTCTACTACTGTAGCAGAAATATAGAGACATGGATTACTGGATATTGAAGAGACAGAGAGACAGGGTTGAGTTTTAGTAGTAAATGAATAAAACAGTCAATTCTAAAATTATAAATTACAGATGATGGAATTTTTGTAAAGTATATTGGTAGAAATTGAAACCTTATAAGAAATACACTTGAGAACCACTACATAATTAGTAAAGTCTGAACTTCGAACCATTGTAGACTGAGAGACTGATAGTTTTCTTTTTTTTTTTTATTAAATTCTGTTTTCATTATTATTATACTTTTAAGTTTTAGGGTACATGTGCACATTGTGCAGGTTAGTTACATATGTATGCATGTCCCATGCTGGTGCGCTGCACCCACTAACTCGTCATCTAGCATTAGGTATATCTCCCAATGCTATCCCTCCCCCCTCCCCCCGCCCCACAACAGTCCCCAGAGTGTGATATTCCCCTTCCTGTGTCCATGTGTTCTCATTGTTCAATTCCCACCTATGAGTGAGAATATGCGGTGTTTGGTTTTTTGTTCTTGCGATAGTTTACTGAGAATGATGATTTCCAATTTCATCCATGTCCCTACAAAGGACATGAACTCATCATGTTTTATGGCTGCATAGTATTCCATGGTGTATATGTGCCACATTTTCTTAATCCAGTCTATCATTGTTGGACATTTGGGTTGGTTCCAAGTCTTTGCTATTGTGAATAATGCCGCAATAAACATACGTGTGCATGTGTCTTTATAGCAGCATGATTTATAGTCCTTTGGGTATATACCCAGTAATGGGATGGCTGGGTCAAATGGTATTTCCAGTTCTATATCCCTGAGGAATCGCCACACTGACTTCCACAATGGTTGAACTAGTTTACAGTCCCACCAACAGTGTAAAAGTGTTCCTATTTCTCCACATCCTCTCTAAAAGCAATATCAAATGCTCTTATGTAAAAGTGTAATCGTCACAGTGCAGACTAGAAAGATGAAAACAAAAAGGAATACTGGTTGAATGGAGTCAGAGATAATTCTTCTAGACCCGAAAACAATGGTGCTTCAGCTTTAGTGTGCATTAAATTAAATATCATGGAGGTTTGCTGCTGTCAGTGCACTGCACATATTCCGGGCATCTCATCTTCCTGTATATCTCAAAGACTCTATACAACAAGCATCTCTAACTCTCTGCTTGGGGACTTTCCCTCTAGACCTAGAAAGAAACATGCTCGACCTCTGTGCGTGGCAGCCTGGAAGTTCCAGGGAGCTAGTACACCCTCAAACAATCAGGAATGAGAGTTGGGACACAAATACCCCAGCGTCCTTATTCTTCAAATTGCACAACTTTGATATAGGTTCTACACTAGTGGTTCTCAAAGTGTGCTCCGGGGACCTCTGGAGGGTCCCTAAAATTCTTTGAAGGTCTTTGAGATCAAAACAATTTTTGACCTACTATCAAGATATCACTTGCCTCTTTCACTCCCATTCGATCACAAGGGTACAATGAAGTATCCCAGAGGCTACCTGACAGGTGATAATGTCAGCCCTATGAATTCTTGTGTTTAAAAAATATTAGTTTTAATTTCTAACATAGTAGGTATCAATAGCTGTAATTCACACAAAAACTCTTTGGAGTCCTCAACAATTTTTAAGAGCGTAAAGGGATTCCAAAACCAAAACATTTGAGAACGACTGTTCTCTGCCATCTCCCAGGCCCACACAGAGATTCAGCCCCAGGTGTGTGAAGTAGTGACCTGCTCATTAACATATTCAGTGTTGGTACCTTTATATCCTTGCCTCATTTTCTCTTACCCATTCTGGTCTCAGCGTCTGCTATTAAGGGATCCAAGTTAAGTCTCCAGATCTCACTCTCCAACTCAAGACTGGATGATGCTTGGGAATCTGAAGTTTAATAAGCAACTTGGGATGATTCTGATGCTGATGAATCATGGGCCTCATCTAGCTCAGATTTTCATAAATTCCTTGTAAAGAGTAGGAATATATTGGAAGTTTGCACTTGAATCATCATAATGAGTACACACACACATATGCTCTCTCTCTCTCTCTCACACACACACACACACACTCACTAACTGTTTAACTCTTTGGGTCTGTAAATTCAGGTTTTAATTCTGTTTTATCACCCAGCTTCCCAGGGTTTTCTTAATCTCAATATCAATCTCTTTCTGTTTGTCTTTCTCATTCTAATTGTATTTACATTCTGCAGTGTAGTCAAATATACCTGTATACTGTATATTTGATATAATTCTAGCTCTGTAATGACAGTTGAGTCCATTTGAAATGTGTGGGTTTAATTGCTAAGATTATGCAATTCTGAGTTAAAAGACACCTCCAATATTGGAAAAGAGCTATCTAAACCAGGTGACCAGTGTCCAGAGTGGAGGATTAGATAAGTAGTATATGTCAGGGAAGGTTATTCGATAGACATTCATGCTAATCAATGTCTGAATCAGAATGTTCATAGCCCTAATGAAGATCTAATATGCACTCAAGGGAGCTGCATGGGTGGCAGTATAATGAGGTGGGACATAGGTTGGAGTCTCTAACTTAGCTGCATGACTAAGTCACCAGATTATTGTGGAAATTATAAAGAGAACACATGTAAAGCACTTAGCCTTGTGAATCTCACAAAGTAAACATTTCATAAGTGCTAGCTATTATTATTATTACTCTTATTACCAGGTTTTCAAAAGTATAAGCCGTATTTTTAACATTCAAGAACTTATAATATGATTGGAGGATGGCAGAAAATAATCAAGGATTGTGACCAGCACAAGAGAGTATGCGATTAAGTGCTAAAGGACCAGGCACAACTTTAAGGACTCAAAATTTCAGAGAAGGGAATCAGAGAAACTTGCAGTGGTAAGAAAAAATTCTACGGTGACTGTGATTTGATGCATGTGTCTTTGAAAACTAATTGGGCATCCTGTTTCTGAACAACTAAATCAGCTCACACTTTTCATGGCAGATTGAGAATGCAATGTATTGGACTGCCAGAGCTTGGGGCCACTTCTCAAAGTAAATGTCCCATGAAAAAATATAGACACTGTGTGTCTGCTCATGCAGGACATTCTGGATTATCTATAAGGGCCTTTTACCTACTATACATGTGATGCTTTGTCATAGGTATTTCCTCACAGTCTGTTTTCTTTCATAGGCATTTCATCACATTTACTTAAAAATTTCCATGGGAAGAATTACAGTCATTTATTTTCTATGTATGCCTCTGTTTAGTTTTTGGGAAAGTCAAGGTGCCATATTTATCCATCCAATATGTCATTCCTTTGGAACTTTCAAGGAAGTATCTCTATAGCAAAACATTTTTCTTCTTTCTTCACTTACAAAATAACCAAAAAAGAATTCTATTATGTACATGTGTATGTGTGTGTGTATACATATTTTTGAACCACAGTCATATGGGAAAAGGTATTTTATTGTTGGGTGGGCCTTGTTCTCTCTCATTAAGAAAAACGTATTGAAAGTCTAATTGTTTTACTCTCTTGTAGTAAATGGCTCATTTGAATATAAATTATGATGTTACCATTCAGCTGTATCCTGTAATCATTATTAGTGATTATTATTACATTTCTATTACTTTATTAATGCTAAGATAACATTGATTTTAAGACATTATTATTTTATGTATCACTAAGGATGAAGAAACGATCTTACAAATGGAAATGTGAGTGATATTTTCCTGACATTTTGAATTTTGAGTCATACTTGTTAAAAGAGCTCTTTTTGACGTATTTAGATTTATGAATTGTATTACATTCACTTTTTATTACATAAGAAGGAACTTCTTCATATTCCACACTCAAATGTCTTTAATCATTAAAACTCAGAATTCTTTTTTTTTTTCTTACCACTACTATCCTCTTTATCTTTCGAACTGCTGATGCACTCTTCAGTTTTGATGTTGCTACATTCCTATTTGTAATTTTTTTCAGTTGAATCTCATGTTGACCTCAGAAGTTAAGCAGTTTTTCTTCAGAGTCATAGTGAACTTTAGACAAATTGATATTTGACAATGTAATGGCAGTCCTGAATGATGCATAACTCGGTCACACCAGCACTTCATTGCTTTGAAATGTCTTTAAATTATTTTTGTTGGACTTGTCAACTTTTTCCTCCCTTCAGTTGCATTTCTTGGTGTGCAATATACCTTGGCATATATTTCAGTAATCAACTATAACACAGCTTTATCTACTTCTGGGGATGCTTTGCCAGAAAATATGGAATTGTGGTTGTGCTAGTCAGGATGGACTAGATTATATCAAAATATCTGTGGCTTAAAACCACAGGGCTTATTTCTTGCTCATACGACACAGTTTTCTGGGTTGGCTGGGAGCTGTTCTCCATATTCTCTTCTCTAGGACCCATGCTGATAGAAAGTAGCCACTGTTTGGAACATTGCTGGTCATTGCGGCAGAGGGAAAAAAGAAGAAATAAATTTCTCACTGCTCTTAAATGTACCCATGCTACTGGTGTTCATGTTTCTCTTGCATGTTATTTGGTCCACACCCATCTTTAGTGATTTGGGGAAATGTAGCCACACCAAATGCATGAGAGAAGAGGTGGAAATATTTGGTAGACAGTAATAGTGGCTACCACCATTTACACTTCTGGTCACACAATATCCTGTTCACACTGTTTTACTATACGCTGAACATACTTATCGCCTCCTCGAAGGAATCTGTTCACAAATTCAATCCATTTTTATCATCCAGCTTAAAAACAGGATATCTGATGATGTAAGATGATTTCTGCATTAGGAGGTGGTAAGCAGCGGCTTCTATATCGGGTTTGAATGTTGCTTCTCTTGATCCAGAGACCTATGGACTAAGAAGGCTATTTGCTGTGTTCTTCTCACCAATTCCCTATGCCACACAATTAATATGAAAGGTAGAAAAGGGACTTTATCATTACCAACACTTGCATTCACAGAGCGTAAGAATGGGAGACACACAGTAGTCAGTCTTCTGAAGCAATTTTGAAATTCCATTGGGTAGGCATTACCAAGGTCTCCTATCTTGAGTGAGGAATCTTCCTTGATAAGTCTGCTGGGAGGGTATATCTCCCTACTCAGTTGTTCACTGTGAACTTTAGGTCCACCCTTTGGGAGTTTACTCTCCTTTATTCTCTCTGGCCACAATGCTTGAAGAGGGCAGTGGCGAATATGCCTTACTTAGGAGCTGACGGAGATTGTAGCTCACTATCTACATGTAGATAACTGGGGAATCCAATGTTGGTTTTAAGTCTCAAATAGTACATTGATGTTTAATCCAGGCTGGTGGTTCTTTAGACAGTGTAATTTTCCCCAAATTGTAGCTTTTTATCTGTTTAATTTTGGTCAGTTTCATGTGTCAAGGGAGGTTATAGTTATCTTACAGACATACTTCTTAGATTTCTTCATTTCTCCTGTCTTCACTTAATTGTGAAGATGTCTATTTTCCCTGACACATTTTGTTTACTAGAAAAAGTTTATCCTGAGCCATTCTTTTTTTTTTTTTTTTTTTTTTTTGAGACGGAGTCTCGCTGTCGCCCAGGCTGGAGTGCAGTGGCGCGATCTCTGCTCACTGCAGGCTCCGCCCCCCTGGGTTCACACCATTCTCCTGCCTCAGCCTCCCGAGTAGCTGGGACTACAGGCGCGTGCCACCATGCCCGGCTAATTTTTGTATTTTTAGTAGAGACGGGGTTTCACTGTGTTAGCCAGGATGGTCTCAATCTCCTGACCTCGTGATCTGCCTGCCTCGGCCTTATGCTGTGCCATTCTTAATCTGAAATGGCTTATTCCAGCGATGGGATGGTAAATGTTTACAATCCAGCTCTCCGAAAACAAACAAACAAACCCTGATTCCTAGCATTTTATGATTTCTAGGGCATAAATACTCCCACCATAGCCCGTTTTAAGCTGTGAATGTAATTGATATAATTACTGATTATATAGTATACCCACCATAGGGATAATATAGACATGAATAACTTCAATAGCATAGATGATAGTAAGAGCTTATAAAATAATTAGAAAACAATGAGTTTTGAGTATTTATTACCTTTGTTCAAAAATAAGTTATTTTTTAAAAATTAAGCAGCATGCATTAGAGGTAGTTATCCCATCAACATCTGCATTGAAATGTTCATTGCCCTATATTTCAGCCCTATAGATACTTGTATTTAACAGTTGTCTTACAAATTTCTAAAAATTTAACCATTGGCTCTTGTTGAGCTGGTGTGAACTGGTTCCAGACATCACTGCCTTAATCCCGTCAGATATTGTGACAGTGAGTGTGGGGGCCTTACTTTTACTTTTGTGCATTCTAGGAGACTGAGCTTTTACTGTCTATTACTGTTTCACCCATTTCTCAGTTTTGGGGTTAAAAAACCATTGCCTCAACATGTCCTGAAATGCTCGACTGAGAGCAGAAGACCCTTCCAGTTTATGAATAATGAGTTTTGAAATGGTTTGTTATATAGCAGTATCTAATCAATAAACTATATAGTAAGTTTTTGTCTGGGCATAAGTAGTCAAAGCCAAATGTAGGCTTGCTTAGGACAAAGTGAAGAAGTCATAGGTTCACAGCATCAAAGTAGTGTTCAAAACCAGAGTGTGGGATCAGTAGGACTCTGGGAACATCTGCTTTGAGAAAAACAGAAACCGGGGTCTTCAGCACTATTGGTACACTGTTTCTCTCATCTCTGCTGTTTTCTGCATGTGGTTTTTCTTTCTCATCATCTTCCTCCACCTCATAGATTTTAAGATTTTCATCTTGGAGTTACCACCACAAAGAAGGAATAATCCTTCACTTCCAGTTGAAATCTCAAGAAAAGACTTGAGATTATTGGTCTAACTTGGGATTGGTGTCCACCCATTGACCAGTGAACTGTGATTGAGGGAATGGAAGTGGTGAGGCAGGTAATTATGACTTGCCCCCAAGGTGGCTAGGCATCCACCCTTTAACTATGGAAGCTCACACTATACCATCTAGATGGTGGAGTAAAGGTGTATAGTTATCCTGACAAGGCAAAGCTGTACATTATAGAGTACACTGTACATGTTTTCATGTTACCCTAGTGATAATGAAGAAATTGTGCAGAGGTACCTGAGAGTTTGTTTTTAGCAATTGTCTATTAATTTCATTATCCATCCATCCAAATGAATTGACCTCCTGGACTCTTTGAGGTAAACAAAAAGATGAAGAAAGAATTCAAAATGGAAAGATTAAAAAGGCTTCAAAATACAAGGGTCTTTTAAACTGAACATTGGAAAGTTTTAAAATAATCTACTTATTGAGACAGGTTGGCTCTGTTAGGCTGCAAATCAATTTTAATATTTGTTCATATTTCTGCTTTCACGTGAAGTTAGACAAGTGCACATGTTTCAACTCTTGAGTAAAATTTAAACAAACTCTACCAATATTGCAATTAAACCATCTGAATGTGTGGGCTAGAAGCCAGGAGAAAGTGGAAGAGGATACAAATGCAAATACAGAATTCCTACCACAGAAGTAAGGGCAAATGGATTGGTAAAGATATGTTTTCCTGACTCTAGACTAGTGGTTAGGTATGAACTATATGATACCAAGCAGCTTTATCGGAAACTGAAAAGTTCAGTCCATTGCAAAGAGTATTTCTTATAGCCGTAAGATTCAACATTTGTACCCAATCTCTTTCCTTTGTTGGACAGTGCCTTGGTGAGGAAAAGCCTGCTTGATAGTAGTGCACAGGGCAGGACTGGCATGGGGATAGACTGCCTCTCATCCTGTAAAGGCGCAGATTGGAAGTTGTCTACTGAAAAGGTGCCAGGGTCCAAGTCAGTATAATACGTTCAAAATCAGGCTGCCTGTCCAGCAGTTAAGAAAGAGGGTTGACAAAGTAGGGCCAAAGCAGGGAAGGCCAATGCATCGGGTAAGTAGGCACAAAGCAGTCAAACAGACACAACCTGCAGGAATGCCACAGATGAGTGTGTTGACACCATTAGTAGTGGCGAGGTACTGCAGTCTAGGGCCATATTGCTTGGGAAGGCCTGGTTTATCACAGGAACTGTACAGGATGGGCAGAATAAGTCATAGCTGAAGCTAAATATATACTTATTTGGCAACAAAGAAATTGGTTACATTTTCAGTTTATTTACATATGTGGTGTTAGGACTGGGATGATGCTGAGATGAGCAGCAAAGGGTAAGGGCATGAAGGTGGTAGGTGGCCTAATGTGTTGGAATGAATGAAAGAATGGGGAAAGATCTGCATATAAAATGTTCATAAGCAGGTCAGATGTAGTGGCTCATGCCTGTATTCCCAGCACTTTGGGAAGCTGAAGCAGTCGGATCTCCTGAGATCAGGAGTTTGAGACCAGTCTGGCCATTATGGTGAAACCCTGTCTCTACTAAAAACATAAAAGTTAGCCACGTGTGGTGGTGTGCACCTGTAATCTCAGCTACTAGGGAGGCTGAGGCAGGAGAATCACTTGAACCCAGAAGGTGGAGGTTGCAGTGAGCCGGGATTGCGCCATTGCACTCCAGCCTGGGCGACAGAGCAAGACTTTGTCTCAAAAAAAAAAAAAAAAATAAGATGTTGATGAGCGAAAGTCACCCATACTTATTTACTGGTCTAAAGGTTGCTGCTGTTCTGCCATCATTCCTTCCTGCTCTCAACTCCTCATCCTCAGGCTTTCCATGGCTATTTGATTATGGAGGTGGGGGAGGGGAGAGAGTTATGATTACAAGGATAGGATTTAATTTTGCAGTAGAAACTATTCTGTATTGTTTACCTATTTCCCAGGCATGTTCTGAGGATTTTTACTGATGAGATAGTTGAGAGTGTTATACAAAAAATCCAAATGTGCATTGTTTAAAATATTGCCTTCTTAGCCTTTCATTGCCTTTGGTAAAGCACAGATGTTTTACCATGCTTGTTTTTGTATTAAAATATAGATAAGATTCTACTTTCAATGACAATAAGTGACTCTCATTACAATTATTTCTTTTATTCTGTACACATGTGCATTTTATACCTATTAAGGTGAATATCATGGAGCCTCTTAAACATTCCTAACTTATGTGCTGTGCATTAATTATTTTTTAGAGTACATATTTGTTGAAAGTGCTGGTGAATTCACTTGCTCTGAATTTCTTCCAAACATATTAAATCACCTTGTAGTATGATTAATCAGAGTTGATTTTTTTAAGAACTCATATCATATTTTGATTTAACTTAGCATTTTTTTCTTCTTGGTTCCCTCCGCCCAATTCTTTTAATGAGAAACCAGATTCCTAGAAAAAACATTCCTTGGCACAGATGCCAATTCTCTGAAACTGGTGGATTGCAATGCCGCTGTGTTGAATCTCCCAGTGGGATGGGGTATCTGCAGTCAGGTTGTTTTCAAAAGGTTGACATTGGGGTTCTGGCTATGACACTACGGTTCCATTCAGTCTTTTATTATTCCTGCTCTGTAACCTGACTTTGGTCCAGGAAGAGGAAATCCTTAGGCTTAATCGAAGACAATCAGCGTAAGGTCAGGAGGGTAATGCTAAACAGACTGGAGGTAAAGGTAGCATGGAAATAAGGAAGAAGGTAAGACCAGAGTGGATTCGAAGATTAGACTCAAAGATGTTAGCCAAATGCACCTGGAAGGCAAAATATGAACCCTAAAATATACAGAGCCCTGGGGAGATATAAAAATAAATCAAGCTTATTTGGTTTATTGCCTTTCCATTTCCCTGGTGGCTTGTCCAGCTGTTACCCCAGTTTGAGCAGGCAGCTCATATGCCTGATTTTTAGGTGTTTATCATGGGGTGCCTTGCTAGAACAGCTGCTGGTAAAAGGACCCTCAATTCCTTCATTATGCATCAGCTCCCAAACTTCACAATTCCTAATATTAAACTACTTTGATTGGAGATTATAGTGTTTCATTTAAATTTTAAATGGCATGTTGCAATGTGCTTTTAGGTAATTTGTAATGTGCCTTTGGGCGTAACACTATTTTAATGTTGGTGTCTAAATTACACAGGAGAGTGGGAATGCTTTAGATGAAAAGGAGTAACCAGCTTCACGTAGGATCTTCTTTCAGACAGCTGTGTCACCCCTTGCACTCCTGTACATAACTGATAAAATACTATAGCAAAGTTACCGAATGTTCAAAGTGGATTCTCCTTTGCAAAGGCCATTGAGAGTTGGCTGTAAGTTTTCCCTGAAAGGTGGTTGTTAATACCATATTACACATGAGGAAACCAAAGGCATTTACATAAGACTCATAAATTCGGAAGTACCAACACAGTGGTCAAAAGCCAGGCTGTAGGACAGACTGCCTGTATTAGAAAACTGCCTCCATCACTATCTGTGTTACGCTAAGCAACTTACTTATCTGTTTTGTGTCTCAGTGTTCATATACGGAAATAGGAATAATAGTTTCTACTTCATATAGTAATGGAGAATGATGAGTTAATATTTTTCAAGCATTTAGAACAATGCCTGATACATAAGGATGATCAGAGTATTCCAATAGATCCATGGTCTCTTATCTGAAACCCTAAGGGACAGATATGTTTTTGAATTCAGAATTTTTCAGATTTTAGAAAAGTAATATGAAGCAAATACTATTTTACATAACAGCTACAGCAGGGTCAGGGGCACCCCATAATCAAACACTTTGGCAGTTTGCAACCCAATAGATGAATGATCGTGGTAAGTGAGAAAAAAAAAAAGAAGATATAAATAGGCTTACATAAATTCAGGCCAGATTTAGTCACTAAGTAATTACAAAAACCTTTCAATTTCCAGAGGCTTTTCATATTTTGAAATTGTGAATAAGGGATTGTGGATCTGAATTAATATTGAGTGGTAGATAAATTATTTGGAATCCAGAAATTTCCAAGCTCCAGGTTAGAATTTTGAGCCAAAATTCTTCCTTTTATAGTTTTGCAAACTGAAAACAGAGAATTTAAGTGGTTTCCTCACAGTCACACAGGTGCTCATGCCAAATAAGGGACCAGATCCTTGGCTTTCTGCTGTGGAGCACAGTGTTCTGCACTAAACACAAATTTTTTTTAAAAAAGTACACCCCTAAATGTTCATTCCATGGAATAATGCTTGATGAAATGTTTTAGAAAAAAGAAAAAAGAATTCTGATATTCTTTTTTTGAAATCTGTTTCCCCTCCCCCACCACCCTGAGGCTTTACTCTACTAATGAGCTTCGTGAATCTATGCAAGGGAGATACGTTGCACACCTCTCTTCAATGTATTTTACTGTACATTCCTTATTTTGAGAACTTCTCACAGAGCACAATGGGACATTCTGTTTCATTTTATTTGAAACAAGAGTTTTAATGATCATTGCACTGTGTGAATACAGGCAGGGTGGTGATTCCCATCATTAGAAGCAACACAAGATACCGTTCTCTCTCTTAGACTGCATTTCTTTCCAAGGAGAGCTGCAGGCTCATCAAGCTTTATGAACTCCATGCTTCTAGATGAGGTTAGCTTGCTTGAGAAGGCACTGCAATCCACAGTTAAGGCATCCAGGAATCTCCATGTAGCAATTTTCAAAAATGTAAAGTCCCGACTATTTATGGATGACATTTCTACAAACGACATTTTTTTTTTTCAAAGAATGTGGTTCATGGGTAAACAAAAAAGAAGTGAACCCATTCAAAACTGACTTCATCCAGTATCCCATCCAATGACTCTAGTAAAGATGCACAGTTTCCTTATGTGGCAGGATTTCAGTTTCATCACTCTCACCACAAGGTGGTAAGGGGGTTGATGCTTACAACATCTGTGGGTAAATCCATGGGTTTGAAATGAAATGAACCTCCTGGTATGTATGCCCTCAAGTCTTCCAAAGAAAACATGGTTTCTTTTAATCTTAAGATATTCCAGAAATGTTGCTCAAGCCCTTAGAGATGAGTTGTTCTTCCTGAAATAATACCAGTTCTTTTTGACATGCAATGAGGGTGTACACTACGTGCTTAAAGCATTTTGTTCTACTAAGGTTCTGTTGGGAAAACTTTGGGTTAGGAATTGGCTGTTATGTTCCAACTTTAATAATGCCCTGTATTTCTCTGAAATCTCTAGTTCCCTAAATATTTACTGTTTATGTTTCTTTTATAAGCAACTGACTTTTCTTCTAAGTTTGTGATATCTGTTATTAAATAAAATATTGACTACTTTGGAAAGAAGGATTGGGTGGACAGACTTTACCTGTGTTACCAGAAGCATAGTCAGTTGTATTAAAATGGACTCCTGAAAGAAGTAGTGCTTACTTGGCTATACATTAGAATCATTCAGAAATCTTTCAAAGTATCTGATGCCCTGGGTAACCCTGAGTAATTCTATCAGCATCTCTAGGGACAGGATCCTGGTATCAGCTCTTTTTAAAGTGTCTGGGTGATTATGTGTGGACACAGTTGAAAAACACTACCTTGGTCCAAATGGTTCATTTGTCCCATCTGATTCTAATACCTTTCATTAACTCTGTCTCAGGGGTTCTAATCTAGTAGCCCATGAGCTGAATCCTCTTTTGTTTGACCAGCACAGAAAAGGTTAAATATGATTGAATTAGAAAGACCCTAGACAAGCTCTGCACTGCACAGTGGCAGTATCAACAATCTGTTGTGTTATATCCAGCCACTTCTCACATTGAGGATACCTGTCTGGCTCCTACAGGTATTTGATTTTGTGAGTCCTGAAATATCTGAAGGAGTTCTTTAGTTGAAAACGATATGAAAACAATAACAAGATTAACTGAAAATGACTAAACATGCTTTAAAGATGAAAATATTTATTGTTTATGGAACCATAGATTATCATTGTCTCCCCATGGCAGAGTTCCCTTCAGAGCAAAGAGCTGTTCCTGGGGTGTTGGGTAAATTGACACCCAAGATTTGGAGACAAGTCTTGGGTGTCAGTTTACTTGTCACCTCCACTGACATGTGGTCATTGGCAGTAGAATCAGACTGAAACTGAGACCTTCCCTGAGAGGAGTCAATAAGCCCTAACATGGCATCCCAGGGAGACACTAAGAGGAAAATAGTAGGATGAGTAATAAGGTTAGCAGTTGAGAGGGTTGAAAGCCAGATTGAGTTCAGATTCAGGAAGTTTCCAAGAGAAGCACTTTGAATCAGGGTGATGAGGGTGGAGTCTTCTGTCTCTCTCTACCTGGAGGTGCCCTGTGATAGTGGCAGGTGTTACAGACTCACCTGGCCTCTCGTCAGGGCTGCCCTTCCATCCCATTTCAGGTATTGCATGTCAGTACACACCACACCAGAGTCAGTAACCTCAAGCATTTCAAAGGTATATTACTCATGCAAACATAGGTAAGATGAGGGGAGTCCTTGGGCAAGGGGATCAGCCAGCATGAGGCACTTTGCTGTCTGGGATAAGAGAGAGGGTCTGGACAGGAGCCTTCTGATGGGATTTTTGAATAATGCCTGGGGCAGACTAACTTCCAGTGGCCTGTCCCCATGTGGGGGTAGACGAAAGGCGCAGGCAGGTTGCTTTGCGTGTGTCTTAGGGGGATCGCATAAGTGAGTCAGGTAAGATATACAGAGAAGAAATAATTAGAGACCTTTCAATCTATTAATACAACCCATTTAATTGAACAGTCATGGCATTATACATAAACACTGTGATCCCTGGGCAGAGAGACACAATAAACACACAAATAAATATACATTATATCAAGTGGTAAAGATGGGATTCAAATAGCATGTTATTCACATAGAGCAGTCAAGGAAGGGCTCTCTGATAAGATGACTTTTGACAGGAGCCCAAATGAGGTGAGAATGAGCTTAAAACTATCTGGGAGATGAGGCAGAGTGTGCCAGGCAGGAAATATTAAGTATAAAGGCTAAGGGTAGCGAGCTGGCTGAAGGGAGGGTGAGGAGGCCAGGGAGATTGGAGTGGAGGAAGCCAGGGCAGGCCAGGGAAGACTGAGGTCAGAGAGGTCATTCCTATGGGTCTATAATGCTATTGTAGGGAGTTCAGATAGTTTTTCGTCTTGTTTTTATTTAGCATGAGAAGGAAGTCATGGGAAGGTTTTGAGCAGTGGAGAAGAACAATCTGATTTACCACATACAAAGGAGTAACAATTTGTGGTATATATACACTTATTGCAAAAGGAGTTGTGGAAGGGAGGAACGAATTTGGATCAGAACCATGAGACAAGGCTGTAAGAAGAAGGGAGATCAATTCATTCTGCTTCTCTTCCTGCATAGACCCTATAAAGAAATACCAATGTTGGAAAATTGTCATGTGTTAATTTACCAAAGATGGGGTTTGTAGCCTGAAAAATAAAGAAGAAAAATTAAGCACTCCACATAAAAACATTTACTGGGGAAGAGGAAAGATGGACAAACTTGAAGCGCTTCCAGAATGGGCACAGTCATTTCGATAGAATGATTGTCCTTGGCAGTTGCAATCAACTGTGTAAATCTGGTTTGGATCAGTCTGAAGTGCATCTCTTGTAAAATCTTGAATTTACTTTCAATAGGCTGTATGTGTGTCTTATTGTAACCCTTGAATGAAAGATAGCTATGGTAAAGATAGCCATGTAAGGGCCTGTGGAAGTCCTTATGGTCATCCCACAGTATCCACAGGGGATTGATTCCAGGATGCCCCCCATGCCAAATTTTATGGGTACTTAAGTCCCTTATATAAAATGGCATAGTATTTGCATAAAACCTATGTGCATCCTCCCATATACTTTAAATCATCTGGAGATTACTTATAATATCTAATACAATACTATGTAAATAGTCATTATACTGTGTTTTTAAAAATTAGTATTACTTTTTATTGTTCTATTATTTTTTTCCCCAAACATTTTCAATCCACGGTTGGTTGAAACTGCCATTGCAGAAGCTTGGATATGGAGGGCCAACTGTATTTATTTTCGGCTGAAGCCCTTTGCTGGGAGCATTGGTCATACGTCTAGTTTGGGTCCCCTTCCTTTTCATTTCCTTAGTCTATATCTATAACTCCATTTCTTAGGTTGCTCCATTCGTGTCCATAATGAGATTTATGCAAGACTTTTGTTTTGGAGCTGACGATACGTTAATTACAGAGTTTTCTTTCTCTTCAACTGTAGTCACTTAAAAGCTCAATCTTTCCAAATTTCTACCTTATCTAAGTTCTGCCATATACTTGTACTTGCCTAATTATTTGCATCTGAATTGCTACTGCACAAACCCATGCACAGTGAATGCCTTGGGTGTACAACTCTCAGGGCTGCAGAGGTCTCAGTGAAATGCCCTGTGCCCATGAATGCCTTCTACAGTTTTTGCTACTTCTATGGGATAATTTTTGTTTTAAAAGACACTTTTCAACTTTTATTTTAGATTCAAGGGTATATGGGCAGATTTGTTACCTGTTATATTGTGTGATGCTGAGGTTTGGGGTATGAATGATCCAGTCACTGAGGTACTGAGCATAGTACCCAATAGTTAGTTTTTCTACCCTTGCCTCTCTCCATCCTTCCTCTAGTAGTCCCTAGTATATATTGTTTTTATGTCCACGAGTATCAAATGTTTAGCTCCCATGTTTTCACTTATAAGTGAGAATATTTGGTATTTGGTTTTCTGTTTGCCTAGGATAACAGTCCCCAGCTGCATCCATGTTCCTGCAGAGGACATGATTTCATTCCTTTTTACAGCTGCATAGTATTCCATGGTGTATGTGTACTGCATTTTCTTTATCCAATCTGTCATTGATGGGCATTTATGTTGATTCCATGTCTTTGCTATTGTGAGTAGTGTGGAAATAAACATATGCATGCATGTGTCTTTTTGATAGGATGATTTATTTTCTTTTGGATATATACTTAGTAATGGGATTGCTGGGTCGAATGGTAGTCCTAAGGTTTTTGAGAAATCTCCAAACTGCTTTCTACAGTGGCTGAACTAATTTACATTCCCATCATCAGTGGTTAAGCATTCCCTTTTCTCTTCAATTTCACCAGCATCTGTTGTTTTTTGTCTTTACAGTAGTAGCCATTCTGACTGGTGTGAGAATGGCTATATCCTTATGAATTCTGGATATTAGACCTTTGTCAAATGCATAGTTTGTGAACATTTTCTCCCTTCTGTAGGTTGTCTGTTTACTCTGTTGATAATTTCTTTTCCTATGCAGAAGCTCCATAGTTTAATTAGGCCCCTTTGGCAATTTTTGTTTTTGTCTCAATTGATATTGAGGACTTAGTCATACATTCTTTTCCAAGGCTGATGTCCAGAACGTTGTTTCCTAGGATTTCTTCCAGGATTCTTGTAGTTTGAGGTCTTACATTTAAATATTTAATCCATCTTGAGCTTATTTTTGTTTATGGTGAAAAGAAGGGGTCCAGTTTCATTCTTCTGCATGTGGCTGTCCAGTTATCCCAGCAGAATTTATTGAATAGGAAGTCCTTTCTCTATTGCTTATTTTGTTGAAGATCAGATGGCAGTAGGTGTGTGGCTTTATTTCTAGTTTCTTTATTCTATTCTGTTACATTGATCTATGTGTCTGATTTTGTACCATGTTGTTTTGATTACCGTAGCCTTGTAGTGTAGTTTGAAGTTGGGTAATGTGATACTGCTAGCTTTGCTTTTTGCTTAGACTTGATTTGGCTATTTGGGCTCTTTTATGGTTCCATATGAATTTCAGGATAATTTTTTTCTAGTTCTGCAAAAAATGACATTGGTAGATCTATAGTAATACCATTGAATCTGTAAATCACTTTGGGTAGCATGGCCATGTTAACAATATTGATCCTTCCAATCCAAAAATGTCATGGAATGTTTTTCTGTTTATTTGTGTCATCTATGATTTCTTTCTGCAATGTTTTGTAGTTCTGCTTGTAGAGATCTTTCACCTCCTTGCTTTCATATACTTCTAGGTATTTTTTTTTTTGGTGTGTGTTGCTATTGTAAATGGGATTGTATTCTTGATTTAGCTCTCAGCTTGAACATTATTGGTGTATAGAAATGCTGCTAATTTTTAGACACTAATTTTGTATCCTGGAACTTTACTGAAGTCATTTATCAGTTCCAGGAGCCTTTTGGTTGAGTCTTAAGGGTTTTCTAGGTATAGAATTATATAATCAGTGAAGAGACATTGTTTTACTTCTTCTTTTCCTATTTGGATATTTTTTATTTCTCTTTCTTGCCTGATTTCTCTGGCTAGGAGTTCCAAAAATCACTTTTTATAATGTGGAAATAATTTATTTTTGTAGATGTCTCAAATACTTCTTGGTTCAAAATGCTTTCATCTTTATTTCTAAAAAATCTCTCCCAATTAAATATCCCTTCTGCCTAGCTTCCAAGTTGGCAGTAAAGCTCCCTCTTTGTGGCTTTACAACTTTATCTTTCAATACTTCCATGGTATGAATCATGTTCATCTGTGAGGTATGATGAGCTCCTCATTGCTGTGGATTTTAGCTAAAACTAAAATTCACAGCAATGCCACTCTTGCTGCAAACATTGGGATCAGCCGTGACTATCCCATAACATAATATTTCTGATTTCATTCTTTTCCTTTCTCCTACCAATTTAATCTGCAATCACTTCAAGAGAAGTCTGTTTAAAGGATATTCACATTCTGGTAAGGTTCTTTTTGAACTTTTATATGAAATGTAATATGTTGTGTATCTAACACATTGTCTTGCATGGAATATACATTCCAGAAACATCTTTCAATTCTCATGAATTTCTCCCATGCTACTTCTCTTTTTCTCCTACAGCCTTAAGTCAGAGCTGCTTTTCATATCAGGTCTGTTGCATTAAACCCTTGATTGGTTTTCTGTCTTGCCTTCTCTGGGTCTTACCTTTCCATCAGGACATAAGCTCTTAGAAAGCAGATACTTTCTCTTATTTCAATTTTTTCAATGTCACACACAATGCCAAGCATATAGTAGGTTCTTACTGAGTTTTTATTTTATTTTATTTTTTATTTAAGAAATGGTGCTTGCTCTGATTTAGAAGTACTCTAAATCAGAATTTTCCAAAGTAAGGAAAATTCTGTGAGGTTCTTTCTCCAATATTCTCTGCTTAAAACAAACAAGTTTCATGAGCAAATAATTAGGGGAACTATTACAAACTGCACTTCTATCTTGGATATTTGTAGTGGGCTTTAGATATCAAAAGCTATAGAAAACAAACCTGCTTAACTTTGTTAACTCTTATTTCCCAAACATATTTGACTATAGATTTTATTTTTAAAAACAGCATATATTGCTGTCTTTTGGAATTATTAATAGTATTTTCTGTGCCACAGTTTAGGAAATGTTATTCTAAATTTTTTATTTACAAAAGAGCTAGGGAATGAATATTGTCACTTATTGAGTCAATTCACTTATTAATTAAACTAAGTAATTCAGGGTTCTCTTTAGCTCTCGCCCTCCAGTTTCTAGCTAATAAAGTATGCATACAAAGGACTTGCAGCAATAGTGGTCAAAGTGTTATTTTAATTAATGGCTAGGCAGTGCCAAAATACTTCCAAATTTATGACTGTGTTAAGCTCTGTTGAAGAATGTGGATGATAGTATAGGATATCCTATTCTTTTTCCTTACTGAATTGCAGAAAACCAGGCCCATGAGTGTCACAGATATAGACACCATAGTCCTGTGCTTTTACTACCTGGATTCTGGAAGTATTATCACCTCTGGACTTCCTAAAGATCTAAGGAGTCATGCAGAACCAAAGACAGGGGTTGGGAGTTGCTTTGCACTTGAGTTAGAGAAACTTTGCTCACCAGTGTCAAGGTGGTTAGACTCTCAGAAATCACATTGATTGCTCCTGTTACACTGAAGAGATGGAAAAATAGATAGAGAAACCAAAAAGTTTATCTGAGTATACTTTCATTTGTAACAAAATACAGCATAAGAAAGTAAAGGTTTCCTTCTTTCAATACTTTCCAACAATTTGTATTTTTAGCCATTTGGGCTGAGTAGCTGTCCACTTGGGGAAAGGGCCTGCACTGAATCATTGCAATTGCAGTCTTATTTTTATTGGGGTTGTTTACCTCATATATACCTTTGGTCTTCTATGGCCATTGGAAAGTTTAGCTTTTGCCCCCAAGAAGGTACTAAAATGCATTATACAGAATATTAATTAGATTTGGCCTCTTTACATAATCCCATATTTCTCGGAGGCTTTGTTCATTTATTACTGTTTTTTTTTTAAATTTTTGTCAGATTAAGTTATTTTGGAGAGTCAGTCTTTAAGCTCTGAGACCCTTTCCTTAGCTTGGTTGATTCTGCAGTTGACACTTGTGATTGTATTTTGAAATTCTTGAAGTAAGTTTTTCAGCTCTGTTTGATCAGTTTGGTTCTTTCTTAAAATGGCCTCTTTGCCTTTCATCTACTGTATAATTTTATTGTATTTCTTAGAATCTTTAGATTGGGTTTCAACTGTCTCCTGAATCTCAGTTATATTCCTTCCTTTCACATTCTGAATTCTATTTCTTTTATTTCAATCATTTCAGCCTGATTAAGAACCATTGCTGGGGACCTAGTGTGGTTGTTTGCAGGTAAGAAGGTACTTTGGAGTTACCATAACCTCTGAAGATTGAACCAGGAAGAAATTGAATCCCCGAACAGACCAATAATGAGCTCCCAAATTGAATCAGTAATAAAAAGCCTACCAAAAAGAAAAAGCCTGGAACCTGATGAATTCAGCTAAATTCTGCCAGACGTATAGAGAAGAGCTGATACCACTCCTACTGAAACTATTCCAAAAAAAAAAAAAAAAAAAAATGGGGAGGAAAGACTCCCTCCTAACTCATTCTATGAGACTGGTATCATCCTGATACCAAAAACTTGGCATAAACACAACAAAAAATGTACCTTCAAGCCAATATCCTCGATGAACATAGACACAAATGAACAATGAGAACACATGGACACAGGAAGGGGAACATCACACTCTGGGGACTGTTGTGGGGTGGGGGGAGGGGGGAGGGGTAGCATTAGGAGATATACCTAATGCTAAATGACGAGTTAATGGGTGCAGCACACCAGCATGGCACATGTATACATATGTAAGTAACCTGCACATTGTGCACATGTACCCTAAAACTTAAAGTATAATAATAATACTAATAAAATTCTCAACAAAATACTAGCAAACTGAATCCAGCAGCATTATCAAAATGCTAATCCACCATGATAAAGTAGGCTTTATCTCCAGGATGCAAGATTGGTTCGACATATGCAAATCAACAAATGTGATTCATCACATAGACAGTACTAAAAACAAAAACCATATGATCATCTTAATGGATGCAGAAAAGGCTTTCGATAAAATTCAACATTCCTTCGTATTAAAAACCCTGAACAAACTAGGCAATGAAGGATCATACCTTAAAATAATAAGAGCCATCTATGACAAACCCACAGCCAACATTGTACTGAATGGGAAACAGCTGGAAGTATTCCTCTTGAAAACCAGAGCAAGACAAGGATGTTCTCTCTTACCACTTCTATTCAACAACTACTGGAAGTTCTAGACAGAGCAATCAAGAAAAATGAAGAAAGAAAAGCCATCAAAATAGGAAGAGGGAAGTCAAACTATCTGTTTGCAGATTACATGATCCTATATATAGAACACCCCCATAGTATTGGCCCAAAAGCTCCTTGTTCTGATAAATAACTTCAGCAAAGTCTCATGAGACAAAATCAAGGTACAAAAATCAGTAGAATTCCTATACACCAATGACATCCAAGCTTAGAACCAAATCAAGAATACAATATCATTTACAACTGCCACATAAAGAATAAAAAACCTAAGAATACATCTAACCAGAGAGGTGAAACAGCACTACAACAACAATTACAAAACACTGATGAAAGAAATCAGAGATGACACAAACAAATGGAAAAACATTTCATGCTCATGGATGGGAAGAATCAATGTTGTTAAAATGGCCATACTGCCCAAAGCAATTTACTGATTCAATGCTATTGCTACCAAACTACCAACGACATTCTTCACAGAATTAGAAAAAAAATACTTAAAAATTTATGTAGAACCAAATAAAAGCTCACATAGCCAAGGCAACCCTAAGCAAAAACAACAAAGCTGGAGGCATCACATTACTCAACTTCACACAATGCTACAGGGCTTCAGTAACCCAAACAGCAAGGTACTGGTACAAAAACAGATACATAGACCAATGGAACAGAATAGAAAGCTCAGATCGCACATCTACAATCATATAATCTTCAACTAATTTGACAAAAACAAGCATTGGGTAAAGGACTCCATATTCAATAAATAGTGCTGGGATAAGTGGCTAGCCATATGCAGACGATTGAAACTGGACCCCTTCCTTATACTATATACAAAAATAAACCCAAGATGAATGAAAGACTTACATGTAAAACCTAGAACTATAGAAACCCTGGAAGATAACCTAGGAAATACCATTCTGGACACAGGACTTGGCAAAGATTTTATGACAAAGATGTGAAAAGCAATTGCAACAAAAACAAAAATTGATAAATGGGAACTAATTAAACTGAAAAGTTTCTGCAGAGCAAAAGAAACTAGATATTTTCTCCCATTCTGTAGCTTGTCTGTTTACTCAACAGAGTAAATATAGAGTAAACAGACAAGTAACAGAATGGGAGAAAATATTTGCAAACTATGCATCTGACAAAGGTTAAATATCCAGAATCTATAAGAAACTTAAGCAAACTAACAAGCAAGAAACAAACAACCCCATTCAAAAGTGGGTAAAGGACATGAACAGGCACTTTTCAAATGAAGACATACATGCAGACAACAAGCATATGCAAAAATGCTCAACATGACTAATTATTAGAGAAATGCAAATCAAAACCACAATAACATATCATCTCACACCAGTCAGAATGGCTATTATTAAAAAGTCAAAAAATAACAGACGCTGGAGAGGTTGCAGAGAAAGGTGAATGCTTACACACTGCTGGTGGGAATGTAAAAATTAGTTCAGCCACTGTGGAAAAGAGTTTGGTGATTTCTCAGAGAACTCAAAGCAGAATTACCATTCGACCTAGCAGTCCTGTTATTGGGTATGTACCTAAAGGCATATAAGTTGTTCTACCATAAAGACTCATGAGTGCCTAGGTTCACCGCAGCACTATTCACAATAGCAAAGACATGGAATCAACCTAAATGCACATCAATGGTAGAGCGCATAAAGAAAATATGGTACATATGCACCATGGAATACTATACAGTCATAAAAACGAATGAGATCATATTATTTGCAGCAACATGGATGGAGCTGGAGGCATTATCCTAAGCAAACTAACACTGGAAAAGAAAACCAAATACCACATATTCTCACTTATAAGTGGGAGCTAAATCATGAGAACTCATAGACACAAAGGAGAACAACAGACACTGGAGCCTACTTGAGAGCAGAGAGAGGGAGTAGGGTGAGGATCAAAAAACTACCTATTTGGTACCATGCTTATTACATAGGTGGCAAAATAATCTGAACACTAAACCCCTGTGACATTCAACTTACCTATACAATGAACCTGCATATATACCCCTAAATCTAAAATAAAAGAACAAAAAGAATGTTAATTAAACTAACTTTAGGCTCACCCTGTACCTCATAGAAAAAAAAATTCCCTATTTACTCTTCCATTTAACATATACCTAGTCATGTTGTCTGGTGTAGCTTACTATAAAATACTGTACAAGTATATCGTGCATGTGCAAAAGATGGCATAAAAATCCCCCCATATAATTCACTCTTAACAATATAAAAGTGTCATGGTGAACAAGATAAATGATGTTCTAATTATTGTCTTCCCAGAAAGAAATAGAAATGAAATATCCTGAAAACATCCAGAAAAGTTAAGATCAAATATTTTTCCTCTTTAATTGCATATTCTACTCAGTCTACACTCAGAGGGAATAATGATTCTCAAAACTGGTAGGATTTCAGAATATTTTCTGAGGTATATTTACTAGTAATCAGGCTCGCTTGCCCTCAATGATTCTAACATCTTGCCTTCATTCTTTCTGTCTCTTTGATTAGAAGGATAGGAATTTCTTCAGATTATTGTACCCTTCAGCCAAGTAGGAGATAGAAGGTTTGCTACCATGAAGACAGTTTACGTTCAGACAGAATGTGGAGGGTTCATCTTGACTAAACCAAAAGGACCTGCGTTGTATCCTTTTCAATTACTTCTGCTCAATAAACTGCTCAATAAGCTCCTTCATTCAATAAACATACATTGAGTTTCTATCGTGAATTAACTATGTGATAAAGAGCAGGGATTTGCTATCTGCCCCTGTGGTGCTTAGAGTAAGTGGATTTTGCAGAATACACAAACAATGATTATTTGCAGCTGTGGGTGATACACTATCAGAGAGGCATAGAGAAATTGGGTGTGTCAAAAGAGGAACAAGCATAATGATTATGACTCTGCCAATCATATCAAATGGATAACAGTGGGAAGAACCAGGTATATTGCATCTGAAGGTTAAGTAGGCATCTGCCCTTCAATGTCACTATGTGAAGAAAACATAAGCCCATTATGAGTGGTCCTAGGGGACAAAACTAATCACAGTGGGGAGAAGTAACAAGGAGGCAGTTTAACAAAGGGAGAAGCTAAGTTGTGCAGGCACAGAGTGGACTGTCCTACTGATTGTGGAACTTCCAGTCTTCAGAAGTGCTCAAACAGTTGCTGCTTAAATTTTTGACAATGCTATAGAAAAGATGCTGAATAAATAAGGAGATTGAGCTAAATAACATCAAGGTTCTTCAAGCTCTTAAGATTTAACATCTATAGATGTTAAGGGCCTGAAGAGCACATCTTAACACCTGTTATGATCTGTGTCAGTTCAGATCCTCTGGGAAATAGACACCAATGTAGAGTTAGAAACACCTGTGAAGGATAAAGGAGAGAAGCAGCCAGAGTTGTTGGAGAGAGCCTCTGACTGTTAGGCAGGTCTGACTCCTGTGAGGGGAGAGAGGAAAGGAAGGGAGATTGAGTAGAAAGATTCTCATGCTACAAGGTGCCTTTGAGAAAGTCTCAGCCAGGCTGATTGCAAGCTCCAGAGAAAAGATCACCTGCTAGAGGAGTCCCACATTGGGTGGGAATGGCTTGGCTATGGTACCCCTGCTGTACTTGGTCACTGGTTGGGAGCAGCTCAATGACAGCATGTCCTCAGCATGAACACCACAGTGGATCACAGAGCACAGTAGTTAGACACTGTCCACTCACTCCAGTCCTCACACCAGGTTCTCTCTTGAAGGAGGAGCTGAAAAGCACACTCCTATGACTGTCACATGATCTCTAGTGCCCAGCAGAGCATCTTACATATGGCAGATATCTAGTAAAGGCTTGGTATGAATGAAGGCATTAATGTATTTGCGTTTTAATGTCTTAGCCAAAGAGCTGCTCAGTAGTGAATTTTAATTATTGTATAATGAGTCTCATTATCTGGAGCTGAATTCAGTTAGGCACATTGTGGACCCCAAGGAAGCCTGGTGCTCTGTGTTCTACCCTGGGTCCTGAAATGAACAGGGTGAGGAGGAATAGGAGGAGTTGCTCACCACGAAACTGTCTGACCTACCCTGAAGTTCACATATATTAAGAGCAAGGACCAAGAAGGAACAAGCTGTAGGAAGACATCCCAGTCCTATAAGGGGATGTAGTCCTGGATAGTTTGTTTTCACTCCCAGCTATGTTTCACTCTGCCATTCCATTTCTGGATATATCTAATTAAAAAACTTGTGTCTCTTTTTTCCCTGGATATTGACTTCTTTGGTCTTGCCTTTGGGGCTCCTCCCTTTCCTTCCCCCCTCTGTCCTCCCTGCCCCCAATCCACCCTTTATTTAAAGCTTCAAGTAACTATCTTCCTGATCAAGTCTGAAACTGTCTCCAGTACAGACCTACTTGGCTGGGGTCCAACCATTTTTAATGAGAAAATAGACATATGTCCACTGTTTCTGTGATTGAATGGATGTTTTTATGAAATCCATTGCAAATCAGTTTTTAGCCCAACCAAGCTCTGGTAGACTTTGTTTTTTATGTTGACTTTATTCTCCTTTCTTCTCCATCATAAAATGTTGGTTTGATTTCAGGTCTCATGCCTGAGGAGAAGCCAACCCTTGCCCAGCTTTATAGGTGAATCTGAGTGATCTTAGGATAATCTCATCTTCTGTTTCCAATGATTGGTTCAGGAATACAGGGCCAAGCCAATTATCACATGACATTCCTTGGGTTGCCTGAATGCATTCCTTGGGATGCATTTAGGATGGACCCATAACCCCATTCAAGCCAGTGAGTCTTATAAGAAAGGTAGCTGGAGCTTTCAAGAAGTTTATTTGCTTTTAAAGGAGGAATTAAAGGAAGAAATGATCTTCCTTTACATGGATGTTGTCAGAATGTGAGGTCTGGAACAGCTGAGGACATTTTATCAGCTTGACAATAAAGACTACACACAGAAGTTGGCAGGGCCTTTGTGTTAAGTTTGCAAAACAAGTCATCTAACTTTGGGACTTCCAGTTCTGTGAGCTAATGCTTTTTCAGGATGTTTATGCCAGTTTGAATTGGATTTTCTGTTACTTAAAGGTCAAAGACCTTTTTACTTATGTACAGCTTAATATTATTAAATCACAAATAGAAGGCTGTGGTCCCTTGAAGTCCTAGAAAAAAATATGTGTATATCCCACTGTCTCTCTCAAGCACACACACACACATGCACACACACACACATACACACACACACGTACACACAAGTGTGTGTATATATGTATGTATCTCTATCATCTATCTATCTATCTATCTATCTATCTATCTATCTATCTATCTATCTACCTACCTACCTATCTATCTATCGTCTATCTATCATCTCCCTGTCTATCTATCTAGATACATTCTAAGATTGGGAAGAGCATCAAGGAGAAGCGTACAAACTTGGGGCCTAAGGAAATGTAGAAATACCTGGAACTTAGAAGAAGGGACATTTGTTATCTTTAGCACCAACAAGTGATTGGGTAAATGATAATGAATGAATTTCCAGAATTCTATCACTATATGTTTAATAAGTCATAAAAAATGGCAGAAAAAGTATTTTCATTGAAAAACCATCTTTGTTCTGGTGAGGAGCTATCTTTTCTACTAGGAAGATCATCTAGTTACAGCTTTGCTTACTTCGTTCTGCTTCCAAGGAAGCCTTTCAATCATTTCAACCCCTGCCCTGGCTGCGGCTGACATGGAAAA
Source organism: Homo sapiens (assembly GCF_000001405.40). NCBI lineage: Eukaryota > Metazoa > Chordata > Mammalia > Primates > Hominidae > Homo > Homo sapiens. The sequence continues at coordinate 122,419,790 of NC_000008.11, read as the reverse complement.
AATTGAAAATGGGACAATATCTTGCAGAAAATAATTAGCAAAGGTTAAGAATACCATGGTGCTGTACAGAAGCTGCTGTTGATAAGGCATATAACAGTCAGTGCTGATCATCTAGTGACAGGAAACTGGGCAGAGAGGTGATGGTGAACTCTAATATTAGGTTGGTGCAAAAGCAATTGTGCAATTACTTTGATAGTTCAGCTTTGAAAATGGCACGGCTTCTTCTGTCCCTGTTGTATTGACTCATATAGAGCTGCTCTTTTAAAAACACCAGTGGGGGACTGTGTGGATACAGTCATGTATACATAAAAATTTAAAGGAGAAACTTAATATTCATTTTTTATTGTGGAAGGGATCCCTAAGAAGCAATTTCCCTATGATAACTCCTGCTTTTATATTGCTGAGGAAAATGGGCAGTGGTCACTCTTTGAAAAACGACTGTGTAAAGGAATCCTCATCTTCTTTTTCTGATTGTGCTTTATAGCTTACACAAGTTTAGAGTATCATGTCACAAAGCAATGTATGTAACCAACTTTAGGGGTTGAAATCAACTAGAAGAAATTGGGGAAGAAAACAGCTATGAGCAGTAATAGAGCTCAGGATAAGCCTAAGTTCCATTGCTGCTGCAATATCCTCCAGTACTAGATTTTTCATCTCTATTTGGCAAAAGAATTGGTAGCTGCAGGTTATTGCTATGGATATCAATCATGATATATATGTATATAATCTAATGTACCTGAAAATGTTTTGCAACATTATATATAAAACTAGGAAATTTTAATTATTGCTTGAACATGTAATTACTGAGTACATTTTGAAGAATGACTACATCCAGAGGGTTACTAGGTGCCAGAGATATAAAACACTACAAGACAAATTTCTACCTTCTACTGTCTAATAATCTGGTTAGGAGTATTACATAATAGCATTTGTAAAATAATGAGTAAGCAAGGGAAGGGAAATAACAGAGCTTGGGGAAACAGATTAAAACAATATAATAAATATGATTTGATTGTAGTGGTTTTAAAAATTCCACAGTTAGTTTCTATGCTCTATTTGTTATGCTATAAAATGTGTTTATAATAAAGGAATTTTGTGGTAGATGGTCTACAAATATGGTTGTCATCAGTCTCTTCTCTATCTGTGTGTATGTTCTGCTTCTTACCTTAAGAGGTGGGACCTAGTTTCTCCCTTTGAATCTGGGCTTGTTTTTCTTTTTACCTGACAAAGTCTTGCTCCAACCTCAAACTCCTGGGGTCAAATGATCCTCCTGCCTCAGCCTCCAGAGTAGCTAGGACTATAGGTGTGTGTCACTATGCTTGGCTATTTTGTTTAAATTTATTTTTTGTAGGGACAGGGTCTTCCTATGTTGCCCAGGCTTGTCTGGAAATCCTGGACTCAAGCAATCCTCCCACCTTGGCCTCCTAGTGTTGGGATTACAGGTGTGAGCCACTGTTCCAGGCCTGTGCTGGTTTTAGTGACTTTGTTGAGCAATCAAGTGAGAAGGAATTAATACTTGGATTTCTAGGGTCCAAAGTCATAAGCATCCTTGCAGCTTCTGCCCAACTGAGGCCATTCAACTGACAGAACCATGAGAGATAGTCAAATATTTTTAAGTTACTAAGTTATGAGACATTTATTATGTATCAATTGTTAGCCACAACAGAAGCTATACTGAAAACCGGATACTGCTGTAACAGAAATCTAAGTCATATTGGCATTAGCTTTGGAGCCAGGTGGCTGGAAGAAGCTTGGAGAGCCTTGAGGAGCCCATAAGTGAAGGTTTTAAGACAGCAAAGAACTTGTTATTAGAAAATTGAGAAGAAAGGACTGTGTTATGGTGTGGCAGAAAGTGTCACAACACTGTCCTCGAAAGTAACATGGAAAATATAAACATACCTAATGAACTGGTGAATTTTGTTAAGGTGATTTTCAGGCAGACTATTCAAGGCATTGCTGGTTGCTTTCAGGCACCTATGATAAGGTAAAGCTAGAGAGAAATGGACTAACAAAAGGAACTGTTTAGTTTTCAAGTAGAATTTAGGGGAAGTGTAAATGAACCATGGCTTTATGGTTTTTAAAATACAACCATTTCTATTCCCAGCCTTTTCACAGAGTAAAAGGTTCTTAAAATAAGAGATGACTTGAAAGCAAAGATTAACTTAAGGGCATAGTTGCAAGATCTTTTACTGAGACTTCAGAAAGTTTTAAGGACATGCCTTAGAGACCCTCTTCAATTAGATACATCATAAAGGGTATTGACCCTCAACAACCTAGTTCTCAACCCAGGTCAGAGAGGGTAAAGTTTCAAAGAGATTTGTGGGTATAACTTTTGTCTGTTGAAATAAATTACAGGATTCATAGGAGATCCACGCACTTTGTAAGAGAACCATATTGTTGAAGTTCTATCAGATTGAACTTAAAAGGACAATGACAATTCAAAATGAAAAGAGCTCTCAGGACTCCAAACTTTTCTTGGATAAGAAGAAAGCTGTAAAACCTATTCAACTGAAAACACAAGCTATTTGTTTAAAAAAAAGGAAGGATGACAGAGTAAAAAGTCAAGAATCACAAAGTCCCAGGCAGCAGGACTGCATCATCATCAAAGAAATGGTGATATATGCCTAGCTGGACTTCAGAATTACTAGGAAGCAGTGACTTCTATGTGCTTTCAGCTCCCCTCCCACCACTGAATTTGAATGCATGTGTTTATTGTATTTATCTTATCACCATTAGATAGATATGTAGGAAATAATTTGTGTCTTTAGTTCACAGAGTTTGAGAGAAACTGTATTCAAGTTGCTGAAACCAAGAAGCTACACTCACGAGTCTCACCTAAACTCGAATCTGATTTAGATGACATCATCCTGGACTTTGAGTTGATGAAACCTTGGAGGTCTTGGGAGTAAAGCAAGTGTGATTTGCATATGATGGATATGAATTGTAATGGCCAGAGCATGGCTGTGGTAGGTAACATCTAGAGATGGCCACCATTATTTTTTTTTTCCTCTATCCGCACATACTACTTCTCCTGTACTCTTGAAACTGGGATGAAATTAGCAACTTTGTTAACCAATATAATGTGCCACAGAAGTGACTTTTGCGACTTGTGAGGTTAGATCTTAAGAAGTCTTGTATCTTCTTTCTGGATCACTTGGAATGCTTACTACGGGAACCAAGCCACTGTTCTATGAGAAGTGCAAGTCACATGGAGAAACCATGTTTTGGCAAGCTAGTCTGCATCTTCAGGTGAGCTGCCAGCCAATAACCAGCCTTAATTTCCAGTTAAGTGAATGGCTGGATGTCTAACTCAGTTAAGACTTCTGATTATTGCAGCCTCAGGTTACCCCTGACTGCAACTGCACAAGTGGTCCAGATGAGATCAATCTCACAACTATGGGAGACAATAATGCTATTTTGTGTTAATCACTAAGTATTAGTTTGTTACACAAAACAGATATTAAGATTAAGATATTTATGTCTCCAGATAATAGACCCAGGAGCTTCCTTATGTCTATTCCCCTTTAAAGTCCTTTTTTTTTTTTAAACTCACAGCTGGAATAATTATGCCAGAGCAAGGCAACTTGGGTAGCAGCATTTGGCTTCTGATGATTCTTTCCTTAGTGGATGCAGGATGCTGTCATCTTAGGAACTTGAAAAAGAAAGCATACTGTTTCTTGAACTTTAATTAGTCATGCTAATTGTAATAAAATTTTTGCTGGAATAAAAAAAGGGCAGCGTGTCTGAAGTAAGCAAAAAAAAAAAAAAAAAAAAACCCATGTATGCACAGTAGTTGTAGTGATCTGCCCCAGTTAGTTGTAACCATTAAATAACTGCTAGGAAAAATACATGGCCTTGGAAAGTGTTTCCTTGGCAGTAGTGGAAGGGCAGGAACAGATTTGTATAAACACATTTTTGTTACAAGCTAGAGGCAACTTTAGAGTTTGATGGATAAGAATGACATTAGATAAAGCATATTGTATTGTACTGGGAATAGCTCATTAACAAGCAGTTAACTTTGTGCGTGTTTACACTCATATTTGTCATGTTCACTGCTGTATCCTCAGCAGCTAAAACAGTAACTGGCACTTTAGAGAGACACAATAATTATACGACGAATTAATAAATTCCATTTGTTTTGTTTAACGAAGTCTTTTGATTTAATATTCAGCTGTACTTAGATCTATGGGTCTGAAATAACTCAAATTTTCTTTGAAAATAAATACATTTCTTCTGGTGTAAATGTAGTACTCTTAATGGTCTATATGTGAATTATTGAGTTCAATTTTAGAAATTGACTCTTGTTTTCCTTCAATATGCTTCTAGTACCTGTTCTTTACCTCTTTCATCCCCGAGACTAATGATGAATTTTTGTTTGTTCAGGTAACAGAAACACAGTTTCTTAATATTAATAACAGATTTCCAGTATGTATTATGTGTCAGCCACTGTACTTAGCTCAACTAAGCCCCGTGATAACTTTTGATGTATTATTATCCTACTGGTAGAGATGAGGAAAAAACTATAGAGGAGTGAGTCTTTGCTTGAGATTATAGTGATTTTTAAGAGATGGCACCAAAATAAGAGTCCAGAACAAGTGGCAAAACCCAAGGGGCACTTATTTCCTATTGCCTGATTTTTAAAGTTGCTAGGGTCTAACTATGAATCTTTGTATTGGATAACTATTTTGGGGGTTAGGGGAGTGATAATTATTTATGGTTCTGACTGTTCCTTTTGTGTTTGGAACAAATTAATAAAAAGATACAAGAGTCACAGAGATAGAGATTTAGAAATGTTAGCTCTATAATTGGTAAAAGTGAATTGTAGAATGCTCCTTGGATTCACCAAGAAGATGGAGCCTTCCATTGTTACCTCCTTAATTCTAGACATAGAGTTAACCCAGTAGAAGGAGTTGAGTTCTGCAGAGAAGACAAGCAGAAACAGCACCTTAAATTTAGTACAGAAACTCCAATATTGTAATCACAGAAATAAAATGCTCAGCAGATGAGCCCTAACCCATGAGTTCTTACATTCCAGTGTAAAGTCCAGAACCAAATTCATTAGTTTCATGAATAGGTAGATTTCACAACAGAAGGGAAAAGGCTGCTGAGCTAGACATGTTCATATTTGTCTGCCAGGCTCACCAATCAGGTTTTAAGTTGGCCCTCTTCCCTTGGGTAGGAGAGAGCAAGGTATTATATATGTGAACAGAAGCTTTTTGTCTATTACATTTTCAGAGATGAAAACTCCCATTTTAGGGAACCAAGACTGAATTCCATAATTTACATGGATGTTTGGAAGGTGTCTGCAACTTAATCTGTGTTCGTTTCTGAGATGTTGGGCAACTCCTTCTTGGAAGATGTGGTAATGGTCTCTTCGAAAAGAAAATAATCATCTGAGTTTTGGCCAAAATAGTTGATCGGATTACCTATGAAAATGACTCTCACCCAACTACAAGAATGTTATGATGTAGAAACTCTAAATATATGAGTAATTAACTATACAACACTCCATCCCCATGTGAAAATCTTTAATCTTTTAAGATACTGAAATTTTGTGTATGTCTCATAATTTTCTGTATATGGTCAATGAGTTTTGCCTTAGCCATAAGTGGTCTGTCTGAAATCTTCTCTATTATTTGTGCATTTTCTTCCTGATGTACCAAGCCTAGTCTGTTTGTTTTTTCCTAAGAGAAAAGCAGATGATTCAACTGTGTATTTCTCAGTGTTGATATTGTGGTTTGAGGTATTTCATAATCTTGAGTAAAATCTTGTCAATTTTATGCTATGCCTTGTGGGAACATATTTTTACTTTTAAGTCTCTTTGGCAAGTGGAGCTTCCTTTGTGTTTCCTCACCAAATGTATTCCCCATTGTTTTCTGATTAATTCTTTTTCAGAATGTTTACTCCTTCTTACCTCAATGTCATTACTTTTCAGTCTTGGCTTTGGGTAAACCTAGGACAAGAATTGGATATCCAAAGCCAATTTCAATATAAAAACTATAATATCTATCAAAATCTATGTAAAATCCTGTGTATATTTCTCTTCTTTGTTGAACAGGGGCTTATAATCATGTAGGTAAATACACGTGGTTTTGATTTCAGCACTGATTACTGAAGATTTGTCTTCCATTCTTCTGGGCCAGGCCCATACACAACCATAGTTAGAAGTAAAAACTATTTGTTATACCTGGAATGCCTTTCCTTTCAATCTCTGAATGTCTAAAATTACTTTTTCTTTGAAGACCACCTCAGGTGACCCTACTGTGGGGAAAATGCCTGAATTATCTTTGTAATCCCAGCTCAGCCACTTAAAGATTGTGTAAGTTTAGTGTCAGCATATTACTTAAGTTCTTTTAGATTTAGTTTCCTCATATGTAAGCTGGGGATAATAATACCTACCTCATAGAAAATGAATGAGAATCAAGTTATATAATATATGAACAACACTTGACACTGTGTGTGAACACTCAATACATGTAAATCATTATTATTAGCAAAATGATTATTAGGTTCTCATGCTAATCCACAATTTTTATTGGCAGATATCCATTAGTTTATAGTTAATGTTATTCATAATCTTTTCTTCATATTCAAATAGGAAGAGATGACTTCTCAATCTAGTTAATCCTGGATGTGTATTTCTCTTAATTTATTGAGTGTAAAATGCTTATTTATATACATACAATTTCCCTTATTAGTGAACATCTAGAAGGCAGAATGGTACTTCATTTCTTTCTGTATGTTTAGCACCAAGGACAGTACCTGGCACATAGAAGATACATATTAAAAACAAATAAAACAACTCTTAATGGATCTCATTTTAAAAAAATTCTCGGTTAATTATAAAGGCTCTAGTAAACCAAATAATTGTATGTTAACTTATTTACTTTTATTACTGTGTTTATTTTCTCCAACTGCTTCATCATACAAAGTAAACACCTGAATGTAAGCTGCATGAGGGCAAGAGCTGTGTCTTGTTTACTGCTCTCAAGAACATTTGAGCAAAGTGCCTGGCACATGGCAGACACTCAATAAGTTACAATTAATACTCAATGTATGAACTGATCTATACTTAGAATTGACTAAGAAGAATAAGTCTTACACAGACTCAGTCTCTGAGAACTTGAAAATCTAAGTTTGCATATCTCTGCTGTTGTGTTTTCAGGTTACTCAGTAGAAAACCAAGTTATTTACACATCCTCAAGTGTCTCAAGGTTAAATCTTCCATGCATAAAATATCTGGGCGATTGATTGTGTTTCTTACTTTGCTCCTAAGTATGTTAGCATCATATAGGCATAGCCTAAGCCAGACCAAAATGAATTCATTGATTGACTCAACAAATGTTTATGGATCTCAGATATTATATGGAGATGGTGTCAAACAACGGGATGTGCTATGGAATTTGATGTGGAGGCTGAAGGAAAGAGGAATCTAGGCGGACTCACAGATTTTTTGGCTTGAGTAACTTGGTGAGTAACTGATAGTGCCACTTAAGAAGGATGGAAGAATGAAGGAGGAAGAGTTTTGTAGGGGAAATTAAGTATTTTAGCTTAATCTTAATCATTTTGAGATGCCTACTAAATACAGAAATATTTAGGATCCACTTTCATCATCTTCATCCATCCCTTGTACTTTTCCACTCCTAATTTCCTAGACCTTCATTCTAAGCAGTGCTCAGCACTTAATGCTATAGCTCTCTACACAGGATGCTATCTAAAATATAACAATTCTTGCCGGGTGCAGTGGCTCATGCCTGTAATCCCAGCACTTTGGGAGGCCGAGGTGGGCAGATCACCTGAGGTCAGAAGTTCGAGACCAGCCTGGCCAACATGGTGAAACCCTGACTCTACTAAAAATACAAAAATTAGCAGGATGTGGTGGTGCATGCCTTTAATCCCAGCTACTTTAGAGGCTGAGACAGGAGAATGGCTTGAACTTGGGAGGCAGAGGTTGCAGTGAGCTGAGATGGCACCACTGCACTCCAGCCTGGATGACAGAGTGAGACTCTGTCTCAAAAAAAAAAAAAAAAAAAAAAAAAACTAAAAACAATTGTGGTACACAGGCAGTACTCTGGTGCACACTAAGATGTGGTTGTCTGATTAACAGCTAAATGCATTGCTTTCCTTAAAAGCTTTGCTTTCTGTCAGATAATCCTATGTTAACATAAAGAAAATAAGCCACCATGGAGAACGTCCAGGCAACAGTACTCTGACAGCATTATTATTGAATAGTAGGCCCTCACACACTATTTTCTATACCCATATTTTTGGTATAAAATCCGTAGAACACACTTTAAATGAATTCTTAAGTTTGCTTTGTGGAGATAGAATAAAAGTAGAAATAGCTACGTCATTCATTTTTTAAAAATTTGAGTCTATCACTTGTTTGTGTTTTATCTGGTATGTTGATGCTCACTTTTTTACATCACTGATCTAGTTCATATTGAAAACATAAATAATTATGGAAGACAAGTTTCTTATTTAATTCTATAAGAGTAAGTAGAATGTATGTATATGGTTGTGGGTGTGCAAGCACATACATATATTTGGTCTATTTTTACAATTATCGAAAGTCAAAGTAATCCATGTGATTGTGGTATGACACCAAAAATGACAACTCACTGTACTCTGTTCTATTTTTAAAAAATTTTTCTCCACTCATTTCTTCTGTTCCCCCGTGCTCCTCACTCAAGTTTTGCATTTTCCCCAAAGAATGCAGGCATCACTTTTTTTTTCCATAACAAAAATTTCAAAGTGAAACACAAGCTCTGGGTAAGTAACGAGATATTGAATTCAAAATTTCAACTGTGGCAACTGGATCCAATAGATATGAAATATCAAAGTAAAATGCCAGGCAAAGATGCAGATTTTTAAGTTTAAGTTATGGAGCTTCCTGAATTTTTATCTAAGTGTAGAGATGGAGATAAGGCTTGCGGAGAGAGGTAAAACATGCATTTGTGATTTTATGTCACAAATTTCAGCTTATGCAATTAATTGGTTACAGAACCTGTGGTAGAATTTAGAAAGACACATGCATATGTATGTTTATTGTAGCACTATTCACAATAGCAAAGACTCAGAACCAACCAAAATGCCCATCAATGTTAGACTGGATGAAGAAAATATGGCACATATACACCATGGAGTACTATGCAGCCATAAGAAACAATGAGTTCATGCCCTTTGCAGGGACATGGATGAAGCTGGAAACCATCATTCTCAGCAAACTAACACAGGAACAGAAGACCAAACACTGCATGTTCTCACTCATAAGTGGGAGTTGAACAGTGAGAACATACGGGCACAGGGAGGGGAACATCATATACCGGGGTCTGTCAGTGTGTGGGTAGCAAGGAGAGGGATAGCATTAGGAGAAATACCTAATGTAGATGACAGGTTAACGGGTGCAGCAAACCACCACGGCACTTGTATACCTATGTAACAAACCTGCACGTTCTGCACATGTACCCCAGAACTTAAAGTATAATTTTAAAAAAAATCTTCTCATGGGCCTCAGCTATGTTTATGTAAGCAGCATGTTTATCAGCATCTTGCTCCTTGACTGCAATCTCAGACTGCAGGAGGTATCTAGACATAACTTGAATAGAAAAACAATGTTCAGTTTTTCATCATTCATTCAAGAAACACTTGTGGATAATCTAATGCATGTTCACAACATATGAGGTTAGAACCACTGCTTTTAGTTTTAACAGAATAACTGAAACTCTGACTCAAATTTTAGCTGTACATTTAGAAGCAAATCCAATGATAAAATCATCTTTCAACCTTTTGATTTGCTTGTATTAATTCATGCTAGCATTACACTACAGGACACAGAACATCTTTATAAAGCGCTACACGTGTAGATTATTTTCGAAAACAGTATTTTTCATCCCAAACAATACTTTTCTCCCCAAACAAACTTATCTGACCCTGTCATTTTTTATGGGTTATTCTAAAGTACTATTTTATTAAAAGTGTCAACCCCTGTCCTCTATAATCTATTTTCAGTTGCTACATTTATTAGTAATCAAATTAATAAAGAAACTCTCCTTAGAAAACATGATACGGTCTTCCATTTTAGCCTTGGGAAAAATCTCAAGAAATCTAGTTTAAAAGATATGTGTAAAAGAGCCTGGGAATATTCTACTTCTTTTAGCTAACCACCTGATTTCACCAGGCCTCTTATTTCTTGATGGACTAGTCATGCATTGTGGTAGCTGGTGGTGGCAATGATGCTGGGATGAATATGTCTTGCAGGACATTATGGTGAGTTATTGAACGGAAGTCTAGGGATTGTTCAACCCCTGAAAACAGACCACATCCCATTGCAGGAGGAAATTTGGGTAAGGTTCTGCCTTTTCTCATAAAATCAGACTCTGATCTAATTTCTTTCACAATTAAGCTTACCTAAAATATGTTCACACTGAAAGTTAATGCATTTTTGTCTGTCAGCATTTGGTGTTGCCTTGGTGACAGTGTACAGACCAATTGTTAAGAGCTTTTTTTGAAGCAACTTTGCCAGTTCTTTCATCGTAGTGCATATGCAGCATTATATGTTCATTGTTATTTGCTTCATTTTCTACAACTGGAAAGAATGTATTTTGAAGCAGCATAAGAGAGTATATTTGAAGATTCCTCTTGTACTTTGATATAGTCATTAAGAAAGCTTTTAAAGGAGTAATACTTGGCATTCGAAATGTGAAACCAAAAGACTTCAAATGGCATTCGAATTAAAATTTAAAAATATATAAGTGAAAGAAAATATCAAGTTTATTTTGGGAATTATAAATCATAGTCCATGTGATAAACATGTGGGAACTGATTCTTGTTGCTTAACACAGCTGAGAAAACAATTTAATGTCAACCTACTGACAAATAAAACTGCCATAGCATCATTATTGTTTTAAGAAACCACATTGGAAGCCAAATATTTCAAAGTTAAGATGTATGCTATGTATTTTGTCAGTATAGTTTGCTTATTACTGAGTGAAAGAAGGCAAATCATTTTACTTGGTCTAATGGTCAACAGAGGTGAGATTATAGGATTATGGGATACTATAGTGGAATGGTAAGTTGGCAGTCCTCTGGTTACCTAACAGGAAAACTGAAGCTCAGAGAGGTCAAGACACTTGCTCAAGGAGGTGAGTCCCAACCCCCCACTTTTATTATCTCCCCTAACTTCAGGTCAAAATTCTAGAGAGTACACAGTTAAGAATCTATGCTTACATGGAGCAGGGTGGTACCTTTCTACTCCAGCATCTGTTGAAGAAAATCGAGCTTAAATGTGTATGAAACAGAATTTTCTTTATGAAGCATAGAAATTATTTCTTGGAGAAACAGCAGTTAATATCTCTTGGATACCTTTAAAAAATGCTCCCTTTTAAATGTTTGTCCTGTTCATGAAATAATTAATAAGAACTTGCTATTAGGATTTTATTTTTTTCTGAGCACAGAGAAGCTAAAATATGGGGCTATTTATCTCAGTGACACGGTAACAGATTTCTAAAAGTTATTTTGGGTATATATATATATGTCTATTTAGCTAAAGATGTGGTACACCAAAACATGCTTTGCAAGCTTAATTTATTCTAAAGGGGCTTATTGTGATAAGTGAGTTAGCAGCATTGTATTAGGAAAACTGGCAATATTATGATCACATACCCAGGCACAGAGTGGAAACAGAATGAAGGGATTTGCAGTGAAGAATGATGCAAAACCTACCAAGACAGGAGCTTTCATAAATTAAGGCTCATTAACTAGAAAGAAGAGTTGAGGCCATGCTCCCGTCAGAAAATGTCATGCCATAGATATTTTTCATAGCGCTTCCAAGTCTCTCATCTGAGCAAATCCCACTGGAGTCTTTGTTCATGTATATATCCCAAGGTAGATGGTTGGCAAGTGGGATGATTCCCTTTGCCATAACCTCTCATCTATGAAGTTTGGGCAGGGTTTTACCAGAGCTTAAAACCTTAAAGCAGCCACAGAACATTTTGAGTTACTACTCAACAGTGCTCCTAAATACATCCTAAAATAACATAAAGTATGAGTCTAGGTAATAGAGGTACCTCATTTTGTATTAAACCAAAGTCATAGGCATTTGTTATTAATTTGAAGTCTTTTGGTTTCACATCTTAAATGTTGTGAAAACAGTTAATCTTTCACTTTTTTTTAAGAAATATCTGGGTATCTACTACATACCAGAAAAGTCAGACACCAGTGATAATAATAATACCTGACTTTATTGCCTGTTACGTGACAATTCCTCTTGTAAATGATTTGCATGCCGTAGCTTACATAAACCTCACAACAACTCTGTGTGTTAGGTGTCATCATTATCTCCATTTTGCATATGAGGATTTCAAGGCAAAGAGTGGTTGGCTAACTCTCCCAAGGACACAAAGCTAGAGACAGTGGATCTGGATGTGAAAGGCAGTGCAGTGTTGTTTCAGAGTATGTGCTCTTGCCCCATATGCTATTCTGCTTCTCCAACAAATGGTAAAATGACTCAGGCCTCTGTGTTCAAAGAACTTACTTTTTTAAAAAAAAATTTAAGTTCCGGGATACATGTGCAGAACATGCAGGTTTGTTACATAGGTATACATGTGCCATGGTGGTTTGCTATACCTATCAACCCATCATCTAGGTTTTAAGCCCTGCATGCATTACGTATTTGTCCAAATGCTCTCCCTCCCCTTGCCCCCCACCCCACAACAGGCCCCGGTGTGTAATGTTCCCCTCCCTGTGTCCATATGAAGAACTTACATTTTAATAAGATAAAAAGATGATCACATAAATAGTGTAACAAGTGTTGTATTAGAAGTAGAGGACTCCAAGGGAACACAGAGGGGACACCCAGCCCAGTCTTGGTCCATTAGGGACAAGTCCTTGGAATGATATGTTAGCAGAACCCTAAACTTTAGGTTGCCTTCCAAAGTTCTCTATCACTAACTTGAGTCACAGGCTCATAGAATCTTAGAAAATATTTATGTCAGCACCTTCAGTATACAGATGAAGGAAATGAGGGCTCAGGCAAGTTATTTGGCTAGTAGCTGATAGAGATTTAGCAAGAATGCAAGGATCCAGACACCCTTATGCTTTTTTTTATTATTATATCACATATTTAGTCAGTGTCTTAAAAATAAATTAATAATAGTCTTATCTTGATTGAAGACAAAATAGTCTTCCTTCTTCTTCTGCCTTTTATAGAACTTTTCACTTTTTTTGATGTCATGTGAACGTCAATCAAGATATGAATTATTTATGTAGATTAAGTGATTTTACAAAGTAAAGAGAAAAAAAATCTTACTGCTTATGAACCCTGCTGAGTATACATTAATGTATTTTGAGGTGAGTCACAAGTAGGCCACCATTAACATAGATTTTTGGTACATTAGAATTCTAGCTTTATTACTTATTAGCCAGTAAACTTGGGCAACTTACCTTTTCTAGGCCTCAGTTTCTAATCTGTAAAATAGGAAAAATAAATAATAATCCCTCCTGTGCATGAGCATTTTGAATCCAAGTTGCACTAAATTTTTAATCTTTCAGTTGGTAATTACCCAAAAGTCTCTCTCTCTCTCTGTTTATATTATCTTTCTGTATTGGATGTGACTGTCTCCAAAATTTAAATAATAGTTAATGATAGTGGTTGTAGTGGAAAATTTGACTAATTCTTGAAAGCATAGGAACACTTAGTAAGTATTACGTTGGTTGTTCATTTGAAATAGACATTCTTCAGCATGATAAAGAAGGATTTTTTTATTCTTAGATTCTAAGACTTCTTTTTTTAAGTATATATGTATAGAATTGATTGTTTAACTTTATCAAATGTCAGTAATCAAGGTGCTCATATGGTTTATTTCCTTTGGTCTGCAGATGTGATAAATTTGGATATATTTTAAAATATTAAGCTCTCCTTGCACTCCTGGTTGATCATGATGCATTTTTCTTTTAAGATTTTTCTTAATTTAATTTTAATTGATAAGTAAAATTATATATATTTGTAGTATGCCAAATGATATTTTGATATGACAAACGTCTCTCTTACAGATTTTCTGTTAACTAGATAGTATAACTGATGTTTCTACCAAGATTTTGATTGAAAACAGATGCATGTTTATTTATATTCTTCACTGTGGATTTTCATTTGAGGTCCATGTATGTCTTAAAGTATATGGATTGGGTTAGAGAGTTCTTAACTGCCTAATATTGTGCATTTTTAGAGAGAGAAGGCTCATGGTTTTCTTAGTGTCTTCAGAGGATGTCCATGATCCCCACATTTTAAGAACTACTTTGTATTCTACAAAATAAACTCAAAGCTGCTATCTCTTGAAACTGATGTCTCTGTTCTTCCCCCTTGCTAATCAGAACTTCTCACTATTTTGCACTCTCCCGACTACACATTAGTGGTAGGAAAAGTTTTATATTCCCTTCTCGATTTTCTCTCTAGAAAATAACTTTCAGGTTATGTATAACCAGAAAAGATCTCTTGTTAACCGAACCAACCAACTGGTGAAGCAACCAACCACCAGCTAGAAAGACAGTTGACAGACAATCAAACTCTACTGAAGTAAGCCTGTGGAAATCATGAGGTCTGTGGCAATGTCTCTTCTGATTTGTTTGACTAGATCCAGGAGCTGTACCTAGATGTAGAGGAGCTGATTTTTTTGGACAAACAAGCTTTAGAATTGAGAACAGAAAAGTGGTTGAGGCCTTGTGTCCATCCATTTTAGACTGGAAAAAAAAAAAGCAATGACCAGGTGAAGCCTACTGTCCAGTTGCAGGAAAGGGTTGAGTTGCACACTGTGGCTTCTCTGGCATTAAGTGGTGTCAGAGACAGAGAGGCTCACACAGAAGGTAGATCATCTGTGTTGTCCCATGGCCTGACTATGCAAATGGAAACTAACATTTGGAACCAAGAATATTTGAAAATGAGCAGTGCAAAAAACAAAAGAAAGAAGGAAGGAAGGGAGAGAGGGAGGCAGGGAGGGAAAAAAGAAAGAAAGAAAATCAATCAGTCAATCCCATTAGATAAGTTAGTATCACGTATATGTGTGTTTCCCTTTAATTGATTCCATTTGGTCCCATAAGCCAGAAGCACTCTGTCTTATCTGAAGTCAGATAAGACTTGGATGAATGTGCTCCTAGGAACTCTTGCCTGTCTGCCTTCTTAAACTGGTAACTCTCTTATCCAGGGCATCCATCATCCTATAGTCTTCTATTTCCTTCTTCATCTTATACATAGTCTTAAGGTCCTCTACTTAAAGTCTGTTGCCTCACAATGACTAGGGTCCTCCCCACTAGAAAAGAAGAAAGTAGGCTAATTTCTGCTCTTGAATTTGAAATGTTTCCTAATGGCATTCCCATTTTTGGATGGCATATTGTTGTCTGTGTCTAAGCAACCTGACCTCTTCTGGTCACTGAAGTAGTCAAAAGGGCTTGGCTTGGGCCTTGAATAATTAATTTCTACCTCCAAGATAAAAATATTATTTGCAGTTTAAAAAGTTATAATTGGGGGGTTAGCTTGTTTAGAACAATATCTAGTGATTTTTAAGATTCTCAAGTTAAAATGTCTTATTGATTCAAATTTGATGCTTGCTTTAAGCCTTCTTGCATAGAGATTTTAAATAATTTCCCAACTACATAGTGTGTGTTTTTCAGATTTTAACATTTTCTCTCTAAAGACAATTGCAGTTAAATTTGGGAAAGTTGTGGCAATGCTTGTTGGCAAAGTCATCTGTCTCCTAATATTGTAATCTGTCTCCTAATATTGGTCATCCATCTCCTAATTAGGAGTCATTAGGAGTCATCTGTCTCCTAATATTGGTAGCCTGAATAACTACATTCTAAACAGCATGTTTTTTGTTTGTTTGTTTTTACTGGCACACACTTTCATTGTATAGGGGTGGTATATGGATCATCTCCTATATTTTTTTAATGAGCCCAGACTCAAACTCTAATCCAGGCAATAGAATTCCAAATAAGTAGTGATAGTGAAATCTACTAACTATTTGCCTTAACATCTAATCTTCCTTTGCAATTTATTTATTTATTTATTTGGTTTGGGGAGGCAGGTAAACTTAATACCTGAAGGCCCCATCAGGTTATGTGGATGGCCTCTGAGTAAGATTATAGGGAACTTTAGGGATTAAGGAAACTGAAGAGAATTTTGTTCCCAGAGAGCAGCTAATACTCACTTCCAGACAACTGTGCTATACAGGAATATGGTGCCAGTGTTGCTAGAATGTCTGATTTTTTAATAGAAGGCTGAAATACACATTTTATATGAAATATTCTGATTTTTAAAATATTCTTTTTTTCACTTACAAATTATATTTTATTTTTAACTGAGAGATAATAATTACATATATTCATAGGGTGCAATGTGATGTTGTGGGACATGTATATGTTGCAGAATGATTAAATTAGGCTAACTAACATATCCATTACCTCACATAGTTTTCTTCGTGGTGATAACATTTAAAATCTTTTAGTAATTTTGAAATATACAATATGTTATTATGAACAATAGTCAGCAAGCTGTGCTATAGATTACTAAAACTTATTCCTCCTGCCTAACTGAAACTCTGCACCCTTTGAGCAACATCTCCTGTTTTCCTATCCCTCCTCCTGCAGTTTCTGTAACCACCATTCTACTCTCCAATTCTATGAGTTTGACTTTTTTCGATTCTACATGTAAATGAGACCATATGGTATTTGTCTTTCTGTGCCTGGCTTATTTTATTTAGCATAATGTCTTCTGGGTTCATGCATGTTATTGCAAGTTTTCTTCTTTTTAAGGCAGAATAGTATTCCATGAGGTATGCACACAACATTTTCTTTATCCACTCATCCGTTGATGGACACTTAGGTTATTTCCATATTTTGACTATTGTGAATAATGCTGCAGTGGACATAGGAATGCAGTTATTTCCTTGACAAACTGATTTCAATTCCTTTGGATATATACCCAGAAGTGGGATTGCTGGATCATATGGTAGTTCTGTTTTTAGTTTGTTTGAGGAGCCTTCATACTGTTTTTCAAAATGGCTGTACTAATTTACATTTCTGCCAACAGCGTGCAAGCGTTCCCTCTTTTTCACATTCTCTCCAACGCTTACCTTTTGTGCTTTCGATAATAGCCATTTTAACAAGTGCAAATTGATAGCTCATTTGGTTTTAATTTGCATTTCCTTAATAATTAGTGAAGGTGAACATTTTTCATTTACCTGTTAGCAATTTTTACATCTTCGTTTGAGAAATATCTATTCAGTTTCTTTGCCCACTTTATTTTTTAAATTTTAATTTCTATTTTTTTTAACTTTTAGGTTTGGTGGTACATGTGAATGTTTGTTACACAGGTAAACGTGTCACGCGGGGTTGTTGTACAGATTATTTAATCATCCAGGTAATATGCCCAGTCCCCAATAGTTCTCTTTTCTGCTGTCCTCCCTCCTCCCACCCTCCACCCTCAAGAAGAGCCCAGTGTGTGTTGTTTCCTTCTTTGTGTTCATAAGCTCTCATCATTTAGCTTCCACTTATAAGTGAGAACATGAGGTGTTTGATTTTCTGTTCTTGCGTTAGTTTGCTAAGGATAATGGCCTCCAGCTCCATCCAAGTTCCTATAAAAGATATGATCTCATTCTTTTTTATTTTGCCCATTTTTAAATGAGGCTATTTGTTTTCTTGTTATTGAGTAGTTTGAGTTCCTTATATATTTTTGACATTAGCTCCTAATCACATATATGATTTGCAAACATTTTCTCTCAATTGGGGGGGGTGGTTCTGTCTTCACTCTCTTAATGTTTTCCTTTGCTGTACAGAAGCTTTTTAGTTTGATATCATCCCACTGTTCTATTTTCGCTTTTTTATTGCCTTATATTTAAGGTGTTACAACATGATGTTCTGATATACACATATACATATAGTCAAATGCTTAGTACAGTCAAACAAAATTACATATTCATCATCTTCCATAATTACCTCTTTTTCCTTGTGTTAAGATCACCTAAAATCTACTCTTAGCAAATTTTCAGTACACAGTACAATATTATTAACTACAGTCCTCATGCTGCACATTAAATCTCTAGATTTATCCTACCAATTTTTAAATGATAGCAATTCATTCACTTTTTAATTTTTGGAAACACTGTGTGGTCAAGGAGAACAGTTTTATGCTGTGTTAGAATTTACAAAGCACTCTTAAGTCCACATTTGGTCCAAACAAACAGGCTATCACATAGGAAGATTTTTTTTTCCTTTGCAAATAAAGAAACTGAGGAATACAGTGATTATGTGACCAGCTCAAAGTGACATATCTATTATGAAAAAAGAACGTAGGACTAAAACCCAGTGTTTATACACCTCAGCTTAATCGAAACTCTCCTATGTTTATCGAACCTTTGTGCAGATGCAGAGTCAGTCATTATTTATGTTGTAACAGTTTCCACTTAATTTCATTCTTGCTCGTTTGGTTCTTCTGCTTTTGCATTTTATGTAATCTGGGTTGTCTCCCAAACAAAACTCAAAGAGTAACCTTAACACTTTTGATGTGGTGTACTTCACTGACTTGACTTTGAGGAGTAAAAAGAAAATTTCATAATGGAATTATTTATTCTCCATCTAGTTTTTTTCTTCATTTCATGTAATAAATAATTTCAGCACATTTTCAGCTGTAAGTCTCTTTGCTGAAGTCATTCTGAACAAAATTATGAACATACTACCAAAAAGAAATGAGTTTGTTTTTGTGAAATACATCTCAGAAAGAACAACTGTGATAAACCTATTCGTACAAAAACTTTGTACTTTAAGTTACAAATTATCTTTAATTCCTGGGATTTACTGCTGTAATTTCTGATAGCCTAGGCCTTCCGAGACCCTCACCGTGAACCACTTAAGACAGAATAGAGGCTTTCCTTTAGTAGTTAATAAGAAAATTATATTTTACTAAAACCAAACTTTTTTTATTATTATACTTTAAGTTCTAGGGTACATGTGTACAACATGCAGGTTTGCTACATAGGTATACATGTGCTATGTTGGTTTGCTGCACCCATCAACTCGTCATTTACATTAGGTATTTCTCCTAATGCTATCCCTCCCCAAGCCCCCAACTCCACAACAGGCCCCAGTGTGTGATGTTACCCGCCCTGTGTCCAAGTGTTCTCATTGTTCAATTCCCACCTATGAGTGAGAACATGTGGTGTTTAAACCAAACCTTTTTTGAAGTAGTAGATGAGGCATTTCTCTTCTATAAATGAGATTTGCAAATAGTGATTTTATTTATTATTTTAGGAATCAAGAAATCCCTAGAATGAATGGTAAGGTAATTTTAGGGCCTTTTGATAGAATCAGACTATTGGGTGTTTGGAAAGTTTCTGGAATTTTTTTTTTTTTTTTTTTGGTAAGCTTTAGCACCAGAGTTTCAGAGAGAGAGAGAGATTGGAACATTTCTCCAAGGGGCATTCATTGGTTTTACCTGCAGCTGATAAGGTTCTTGATACCAAGCAGGTGCATCCTCAGCAGCAGCCATGTCTTTAGATGCTGCTGAGGACGCACCTGCTTGGTATCAAAAACCTTTTAGATGTTAAAACTAGCTCTTGGGCTAGTTTAACATCTCTGAGGCTCTGTTTCCTTAAAGGTTTCCTGAAAATTTTAAATGAAATAGTTATTTATGCCCTACACTATTAGACTTTAGACTTCCCAATGGCCTCTTCCCCAGAATTATACATATACAATTATACATGTACAGACACTTGAAACACATGTAGTCTCTAGAGCTGTTCCATCTTCACAAAACAACATATCTTTTAAATTATTTGTATTACAAAGCTTTATTATTGCCAAAAAAGCAGAACAGGGTAAACCTTTCAGGAGAGCAAGAACAATTTAAAACTACCCACCCCTTTTTAACTTTCCTTAGAGATTTAATAATTACCTTAAAAGACAGAAAATTCCCCAACAGTACATCTGCCTATCAAGTCTTTTTAACATTTCTACTTTAGCTCAGTGATTTTCAAGTGTTCAAACACAAAAGTACTATTACAAACGGTTGTATGCTCAACACCATGGTGATTCTGATGCACAGCTAATTTGGATATGGTTGTGTTCCTCTTTTTCCTCCCTTTCACCAATTTAAGCATGAGGGATGGTAAGAGACTGCCATTAGTCTACAAAACTAGTTCATATGATAGGTCACTATCTGGAGCAAAATCAGGATCTTTTTTCATTTGTTTCTTTTTGGTGTTGCTTACCTGAACTTCTATTTTTTTTTTCCTATTTGGATAAATAGCAAATCCTTCCAGATTATTTTCATAAGGCTATAATATTTCCAAGCTGATCTCTGTCCTGCTCCCTCTGTTCAAGCATTCTATTTAATAATATATTTGAACAAAAACATCGTTTTAAAGCAGCAATGTTTACAGTGGTGATGGCTTGATTCATTTGTTTATTTAAAGTAGTTGTCTCAACAATGACTTCACTTGTTTATTCATCTAAAATAGTTGCTTCAAGATTCAGAGCAACCTGAGAAGGTTGAAAGTTTTCTTGGAATCATGGAAGGTCAAGCTGAAAGGATGCTTTCAAGTTATTTAAATCCACATGTGAAACCTGGAGAGGGTGAGTAATGTGTTCAACATTATACATCAGGTAGGCATAAGGGCTAGGATCTGCGTCTCCTCACTCCTGGACCAGTGCTCTCTCTCGTCACCGTTTTGCTACTTCTTACTTTATGATTTCTGTCATCCTTAAGGCTTCCAGTGTGATCCATTCCACGAGGTAATTTTAACTTAATACCCCATGGGAAGTGTGATGCTTTCCCCTTTGCACCTTAGTTTCTGCTGGGAAAGCCTAGGGAATACAGAAGTCACGTAGGCTGCCTCATGATCCCATCATTGGACTCTGAGTTTAACTTTTCCACTTGACTCATTTGGTATTTTTCACAATAACTGTTTTTTATGAGTTGATCCTTATTTTGTCTTATTTTCCGTGCTTAAATGTGCCAATCCTTGCTCAGATGCATACACTGGAAAACAATCTAAGAAACAGCCTAGGAAAACAACATAATCGCCACACTGCTTGTTAGTTTCATTGTTTTTTGCAAAACATATGGATCTTCCTCATAAATATATTTGTGTGCATCTTCTTCAGAGGGACAACAGAATATTTATAGTGATTTTTATGCCATTTCTTTGTTTTCAAATTCTAAAACTATATTTGGTGATTATTTTTATCTACTTTTCTTTTTCCTCTAGCTCTTTAAGATGTTAATAGTTGATTTTGCACCAGCCCTTGACTTCCTTGACTTCTTCAAACAAGGCGGGGGCTTGTTTTCCCAATATGGTTGACCTATATGTGATTTCCTTTAATAGAATAGGGAATTTCAATTTCTTTGATGACATTTAAGTTGCATAGGACACCTTTTTGAATGAAACCTGATGAATTAAATAGAGTTAAATAACATTCAAGGGGAGTTTTTTTTCTCTGATATCTAACAGTTGTACATATTTTTGCCAATTGGGATTTTGAAGGTGAAACCAGGGGGCATGGATGTGGCAAAGATTGGCTAGCTCGTAACCATATGAATTTCTTTTTTCTCTTGGGAATGAAGCCAGACACATTTTTCAATGCCCATTGCAGTTAATGTGTCCCTATGACTGAGTTTTAACCAATGGAGTGTCGGTAGAGTAATGTGCACCACTTCCAGGCCTAGGCGTTAAAAGCACCTTACGGTCTATTCATTCCACAAATATTTATTAAGTGTCCACCATGTTCCAGGCCCTTGTAAGTGGGTAAAGTGATGCTGTTGTCAAAAGGATGTCAATAGGCAGGATTTAAGAATATAAAGTTTCTTTAATGGCAAATAATATAAAAACTTATCTGCAAAACTCCCCTCACCTCCAATTCTAGGTGCTTGACAAATTCATAGTACATCTTTACTTTTAACAGCTTTATTGAGGTATAATTTATGTGCAAAGAAGTACACATGTTTAATATGTTCAATCTGATGAGTTTGGACAGTTCCAAATCCTTGTGATAACCATTACCACAATGAAGGTAATAGATATATCCAACACCTTCTCTTTTTTTGTGGTAAGGACACTTAACTTGAGAGCTATCTTCTTAATAAATTTTGAAGTATACAATATTTTATTGTTAACTATAGGCACCGTCTTGTACAGCAGATCTCTAGAACTTATTCTTCTAGTATGACAAACTTTATATCCACTGAACAACAACTCTCTGTTTCCATCCTCACCCCCCACCCCTGGCAACCGCTATTGTATTCTTTGTTTTCATGAGTTTGATTATTACGGATACCTCATGTGGAGGAATCATGCAATATTTGTCCTTCAGTGACTGGCTTTTCCTAAATGAGCAAAGAACTTGAACAGATGTTTCTCCAAAGAAGACATGGTATATCTTAATGAGATTAATTTAGAAAAGCTGGGAAGACAGTCTCAGGAGGCAGTTAAGAGTGGTGATCTCAAACGAAGACTTAAAAGGACCTTGGGTTTATTTTCCTTTGCTTTAATGAGGCTAATATCAAAGTGGGAGGGCTCAAACCACAGCAACAAAAAAGAGGAACCACTGGGTGGCCTTACAGCAGAGTGGGGATGCTGGGACACCCTGCAAACACCATGGTAGGGGAGCTGTGGCTCTACGAGGAGGTTGGTTAAGGGTTGGTGGTGATAAACAACACAGTTTTCTGCACTTAATAAATAAGAGCACAATGTACTGTTATATTTGGCAATTGTTTTAATGAGATCTTGTTTTTGTTCAAGCAGTTTCATTGTCAGCTTCATGTTTTCCGTGAGACATGGAAGTCAGGGAAACTTGTTCTTCTCACTAGCTCTAGGCGTCTGTGCCTCTTGCTCTGTGTAGCCATCATTGTCCCATTTGTTTCCTCCATCAGAGGAGTTTCATTGTGTCTGTTGGTGTTTTCTGTCAAACACCATTTCCCTTGTGTTCATTCTCAGTGATGGTAAATGAAACAAACATATAGGACCTATCATTATTTGCCTGCAGTGGATTCAAATAGGCAGACCAATAAATAAGAAAGCAATCTAATAACTAATAAAGTCATAAATGAAATAATATGGACAATTCTAAGGAGGAAATAAATTAGGTGATGGACAGTGCCACTGTTGGTCCATGGTATACCTCTTCAATGAAATTAGAATATGACACTTTCTCTGAGCATATGCTGCAGAGTTTGGGGAGCAGAGGGCTAGAGCTCAATTCCTGCTGACCTCCCTTGGTTGGATGCCTTTGTGTAGGTACAACGTGCACAATGTTCTTTGTGTAGGTATGACCTACATAATGTCCTTTGTATAGGTAAAACTTGTACAATATCCTTTGTGTAGGTACAACCTGCACTATGTATGTGGCAACCATGGTGATAAGATAGAGCACAACTTTAGATAATGTGGTGGGAGAGGATGCTGAGGCTGAAGGATGAAAACGTACTAGCTTTTTAAAATTGGAGGGAGAGTTTTAGAAAGAAAAATCAACATATGCAAAACCCCTAAGACAGAGAAGTGCTCTGCCTGTTGTAAAATCAATAAACAAAGAAAGACCAGTGAAATGAGAGGTAGTGAGCAGAAACAGTGGGTGA
This sequence comes from Homo sapiens, assembly GCF_000001405.40. Classification (NCBI taxonomy): domain Eukaryota; kingdom Metazoa; phylum Chordata; class Mammalia; order Primates; family Hominidae; genus Homo; species Homo sapiens. Next base: position 122,396,173 of record NC_000008.11, on the reverse strand, counting down.
AGACAGAGATGGAAGCAAATTTTCCGGCCATGCAAGATTTAGAAGCCAATATAGAATTTGTATTTTTTTCGGAGTGCAGTATTCATTGAAGGGTTTTAGAATGAAACTATATAATCTGGTGGGCATCATGGCTTCTGTGTATAGAATGCAGGCCGGTGGAAGAGTCCAGATGAGAGTTAATTGTGGCTTGAACTGGTTGGAAGTAGAGCTGGAATGATGAAGCAGATGGGATATACATGTACATGCAGACAGGATGGACAGAATGTCTGCTTGCTCATCAAGACCTCAGATGAGGAAACTAAGACTCAGACGTTGAACTTGCCAAAGGTCAAAGAGCTAGTAAATGTCGAGGCGGGTTTCAAACACGGGTCTGTATGACTCCATTTCCCACACTCTTAACCATCACGCCATGCTACAGTCCTTGGTGCATAGAAGATCCTCACAGCTCCTCAAGTTAAATTGCCAGTATGTTAGTACTTAATAAACAAGGCATCCTGAATGATAAAATGAATGAAATAGTCGATAAACTATACACACAGGAATTGCATGTTAATTGTTGCCCCTTTAGATACTGTCTGAATTGGGAAGAATATGACACAGAGGGATAGGTTCTAGCCCTTGCACTGCCATTGTATACGGTGTTTAGAAATCTCATCCAACTTATCTGAGCGCCACCATTTCCTCACCTATTTAGTCTGGTAATTGGACCGATTGCTTAGATCCTTTCTAGGTTTCAGATTCTATCCAGTTTGTAATGTTCTCTTGGAGTCATGCCATGGGGACCAGTTGGAAGCTATAGTGATGCCTATGGTAATGCAGCCTCTGTCCTTCACTACTCTAGGGGCCTATTCACTGACTGCAATGTTAACATTGCCCTCTGGAGTTGTGCATATGGTAGGGTCGCTCTTTCCTCACTGTCCTCCTGCATATGTTTCTTGGGGAGTGGTTTTGTTGGGTGAGCGGATATGGCTGTGAAACTCGTGAAACGTGTGGGGCCAGGCTAGAAGAGTTATTTGGAATGAGCGGGTTTTAAGAGCATGGTATCATTATTAAAACTTTGTCCTAACTAAGCAGGACTATATTCAAAAGGTGAAGAAGGAAGGAAACACAGAATGTTTCACTTCATTGAGCCCTGTGGCTGTTTTATTTGATCTATCTATCTATCTATCTATCTATCTATCTATCTATTATCTATCTATCATCTGTCTATCTCTATCATCTACCTATTTGATGTGGGCATAGTGTGCTATCCAGGACTGGGTCTCTTATTGTAATAATCCTTAAGATCTTGAGATAGCCCTGGGCATTAAGGATAGCTATTTTTAATTGAATGACTTACACCAAGTCACCTGGCAGCCAGCCAGCTAGCTGATCATCCAACTGACCCAATGAGCAATGAATAAAAAACAATAAATATCTGACTTAAATACTGAATGATAGTGTTTTTCCACCAGATGAACACTGAAAACATTCATGCTGGAACATGAGCTACATAGTTCATCACAACTACTGAACAACTAAAACCAACTTGATTTTTTTCTCCTCTCAACTAATACTTTATTCAAAACTATAAATTATTCTGATTTCAAAACTGCATTCTGTTATAATTTCCCCTGTTCTCCTTCTATTCCCTCCTCCGACATCTCATTCCTGTGTAGATTTTAAAAAATGCTGCTGGAGTATGTAGAATATTGAAAAGATCTGGGTTTAGAAAACATGGGTTTTAAATATCTTTCTGCTTTTTTATAACGTGTGTGATCTTGGTTATGAAGCTCAACTTGCCTTGTTTTCTCTTTCTTCAATTTGTGTAATGAGAATAATAGAGTCTGAGCTAATGCATGTGAAAGTAATTGGTGGGTACTTGGCATATAGTAAACACGTAATAAATGTTTGTTGAACCCGAACTCAGTTAAATAAAAAATAAGAGCACGACTGGGCAAGATTTGGGAACAAACTACGGACACCTCAAAGGGTTCTCTTCCCTCTTGCCTTGTGTCTGCTCAAAGGTGACAACTTGAGTCATGACTATAGCTCCTTTTGTCTCTGTAAGTCCAGCAATTTTTACCCTTATCTTCTCTGACATAGTTAGGGGATGGTCATTGGAAAGAAATTTCTCCAAATAGTATCAACACAATCAAGTTTATGCTAATTTGAATCATGTTATTTGAAATGGTGAGATTACAAAAGCCCTAGGGAAGCCTTGTTTTATGTATACAACTAGAAATAATGTGAAACCTTTCAAATTAAAAATTCACTGAGAAGAGGAGAATTCCAAGGTTAAAGGACTCAGTAGACAGTAAAATGTATTTACTTCCTTGCTCCCACTTAGCTGGTAAACAGAAATACTCAGCATGCTTTGAGCGATGTGAGCTTTGCATAATATAAGTCCTTAGGTAACACATCCTTACAAGAATGCATTATGCAAGTAGTAAGTCAAGGGAAGGAAAATTATAAGAGAATAGTAATGAAAATAGGAATGAGATGTTATGGTTTTCTAAATATGTAAGGAGGGGAAGGATACATTACTAAGGAAAAGGTAAAAAAAAAAGGTGAAAATATAACTCATAAGCTTCTAACCTTGATTGAAGGCCCTTTCTTTGTGTGCTGGAAGCCTGGGTTTTTTTGATACTTAGAAGCATGCCAGAGGTGTGAACATACTTTGGGGACTTTTCAACTCTAAGTCAGAGAATCCCTGGTAAGGTAATTCTTGTCTAAGCTGGGGAGATAGCCATGTTTCATTAAACAGAGAATGAAACTGTTTGGATCTAGCAAATATTGTGTCTATTAATGAATGCCAACATAGTGACATTTATTTATATTTTGTTCTAAAATGTGCATTTCTCAAATGTACGTTTTAAGATCGAGATATAAATATTTACATACAATTTTGTCCTTGTAAATAGTACTACTTTTATGTAATACATAGCCCCCTTTAATGGGACAGGAATCTCATCCATATTGCCTGCAGGTCTTTCAAAACTGCTGCAAAGTGGACAACATTATCCCCTTCCTGGGAAGGTTGAAACTGAGGCTCAGAAAAGTTAGGCAACTTGTTCAGAACCACAGATATGGAAAGTGGCAGAGCAGAGATTTGAATCCAGGTCTGGCTTCCTAGCCATGCACCTTGTTGCCCCAACCAAGATACCACTTTGGGGATGCTTACTCCCAACCGAAGCTCAAATAAGAGGAAGCTGGTTTTGAGCACTAGCCTCGCAAACACAAACCTAAACATGAGAGACACCACAGGCATCTAGGGCTGTTTTGTAGTGGTCTTTAAATTATTTGGAGAAGTACCTGGAGAGCATCTCCCCTCAATGTGACCCATTTATCATCTCCATCTTAAAGAAATAGGAGACCATCCTTTCCAGTACATCACACTCTAAGTGCTGGCCTAAACTCAGTTGGGACACCCAACTGCCAAAAGCCATCTGTCTGCTTTTTGTGCAGCTGATACAAACTGAAACTGAAACAGTATTAAGAGCCTTGATTTTTCTCCACGTGAGTTCTTATTTCCAAGATCTACCTTCTCTGGATTTCTTTCACTTCCTCAGTTCTTGTGTCCACCAGGGGTCATTTTACTACTGCTACTCACATGGCCATCCCTGGCCCTGTCCTTGGGTATGGTCTATACAGCATGGTTAATGAGAGAGACATATGCCCAGAAAGGAGAATTTGAAATTCCATTATTTATCATGTAGGGAGGAGGATGGATGGTGAGGTTGAATAACACTGTAAGATGATTTGAAGGACATTTCAATGTGTAGAAGCCTACTGAAATGCTGCAATGCGTCACTGTGTTTTGAGTACCAGGAAGAGTTGAACTGTGTTTGGCACTTTGCCCCATATCCTCTTCAGATAAGTCCTGGAAGCATGTCTGGGGGACCTGGGACAGTGTAGGGATATGTTGCCATGGTCTCATTTGGAGCCAAGGTAATGTTACCACACAGAGCATCTCCAGCAGGAAGAACTAAATCAGAGCCAGGTGGACCTGGTGAAATTGCTACTTGTTCAAGGGAACAAAGAGAGGAAGCCCAAGTAAAACCCAAGACAAAAAGTGTAGTGGACTGATGACAGACAGGTAGGAGCAGAACTTGAAGCATTGCTGTAGTTATAAAGATTCTTTATCCAAACCCTAAGTAGAAGCTTGGGGAAATTTTGAGACTCCTTAAAGAGTCTCCTGAAAATGGATATCATTTAGATGAGAGATTGGAGTAAGTAAGAACATATCATTTTTATATCCGAGTTTTTCACAAGAAAATGTGTCATTTCAATAGAGAGGTCTCCTTTCAGATAAGTTAAGGCCTAAGGATAAATAACAAAGCAGAGATCTGTATATGGCACTGGCTCTCACCTTTCTACCTCTCACCTTTCTTCCTCTGATAGTACAAATGTGTCTTCCATGATAAATTCTTGGGAAGTGTGGGACATCAGCTGGATTATTTGCCAAATGAATAGAGCTGTAAAATGAAAATTCTGTAACTGTCACCCATAGGAAAAGGATCTTTTTTATATATTTTCTGATGCTAGGACTGATAGAAGAGGAGTTTGAGGTTTGTTATAGGAAGAGCAAATGTGTGTTTGGATGTGTATGTCTGTTTCTCACAACATTCTAAATCCAAATGTAAATTGCTTAGAACTACTCTTAGGCTGTCTTAGATAGAAACAGAGACCCTGCACACTTTTAGGGTATAATTTAATGCTTTATGAATCAGTTGGCCTAAATCCACCATTTTAAATCCGGGTTGGCAAATTAAAGCCCTGTGACCAAACCCAGCATCCTACCTGTTTTTTTAAATAAGTTTTATTGAAACACAACCATGCTCATTGTATTAGTCTGTTCTCACGCTGCTAATAAAAACATACCTGAGACTGGGTAATTTATAAAGGAAAGAGGTTTAATTGACTCACAGTTCAGCATGGCTAGGAGGCCTCAGGAAACTAACAATCATGGCAGAAGGGGGAGCAAACACGTCCTTCTTCACATGATGGCAGCAAGGAGAAGTGCTGAGCAAAGGGGGAAAAGCCCCTTATAAAACCACCGGATCTTGTGAAAACTCACTCGCTATCAAAAGAACAGCAGCATGGAGGTAAATGCCCCCATGACTTAATTACTTCCCACTGGGTCCCTCTCGTGACACATGAGGATTATCAACTATAGAGGATATGTGGAGATATCTCATTCAAGATGAGATTTGGGTGGGGACACAAAGCCAAACCATATCAACCATATCACTCATTCATTTACGTATTGTCTGTGGCTGCTTTTGCACTGTAATGGCAATGTTGAGCAGTTGTAACAGACCATATAACCCACAAAGCTGAAAATATTCACTCTCTGGACCTTCACAGAAAAGGTTTGATAAACTCTGATTTAGATGAATAGAGTGGGAGTCAGGCAAGTTACACTGAAGCTGGATATCTTAGTCACTTCCATGACTGCACTTCTGGGATGTCACTTTCACCTGGGTCTAACTCACAGATCACTTCTCAATACTCTTTTTTGAAGTAGACTTTATTTTTTACAGCAGTTTTAGGTTCACAGCTAAAACTGAGTAGAAAGTACAAGGATTTTCCATAAACCACTTGCCCCACACATGCATAGCCTCCCCTATGGTCAACATTCCCCACCAGAGTGATACACTTGTTATCAATGAACTTACACTGATATCACTCAGAGTCCCATAGTCTACATTATGGTTCATTCTTGGCATTGTACATTCTATGGATTTGAACATAATGCATGTGCCTATCATTATGGCATCATACAGAGTAGTTTCACTTCCCTAAAAATCCTTTGTTCTCTGTTTTCACTCCTCCTTCCCCTCAATTCCTGGCAACCACTGATCTTTTTATTGTCTCCATAGTTTTGCCTTTTCCTGAATGTGATAGAGTTGGAATCACACAGTACGTAGCATTTTCAGATTGGCTTCCTTCGCTTGGTAATTTAAGTTGGATTTAAGTTTCATCCATGTGTTATCCTGGCTTGATAGTTCATTTCTTTTTAGCACTGAATAATATTCCATTATCTGGATGTACTACAGTTTATTTACTTCTTCACCTATTGAATGACATTTTGGTTCCTTCCAATTTTTGGCAATTATGAGTAAATTTGTGACGACTGTCTGCATGTCGGCTTCTGTGTGGACACAGGCATAGATTTTCATGTCTTTGGGTAGATAACAGGGAGTTCTTTGTTGTTGTCTTCGTATCTCCCTAGGAAAGTCCTTAGACCTCTTTTCTTATTTATCTACACTCATTTTCTAGCTGATCTTATTTTGGTCTGGCAGTTTCAAATACTTTAAAAATACTAACTTCTAAACTTAGTCTCCAGCCTAAACCTCTCTTCTGGATTCCAGACTTCAATACCCAATTGCCTACTTGACTCTTCCATTTGTATGTCTAATAATTACTTCAAAATTGATGTGTCAGAAACTCCAGATTTCCTCTCTCCAAACATACCAACTTCTCAGTTTTTCTGTTCTCAGTAAATAACAACTCCATGTCTCCAGTTGCTCAGGCTAAAAAGTTTGGAAATGTCTCCCACATCCCACATGATTATTTAGCAACCTGTTGGCTCTACCATCACAGTATCTTTATAATCTGCTCCCTTCTCACCACCTCCATGGTTGCCACCCTGATCCAAGCTACCATTATTGCTCATTGGGATTTAGCCATGCCTTTCTAACTTTCTTGCATCTACACTTATCAACCTCCAGTGTATTTTCAACACAGTAGTCAAAGTGATTCTGTAAAATTAAGAGGTTCTTGTTGACTATAATCATGTCACTGTGCAATAGGACACCAGAACATATTCTTTCTTTCTAATTGTAACTTTGCATCTGCTGACCAAACTCTTACCATGCCCCTCTTCCCCCTCCCCTTCCCAGTTACTGGTAACTGCTATTCTATTCACATGTATGGAAATATCATATTTTACTTACTCCATAAGTATGTACAAATACTATGTGTCAGTTAAAAAGAAAAATAATAAAAAGAGATTCTTGTTACTAATGACAATAATTACAAGGAGCAAATTAAGACAAATTTTGCTTAATTGTTCCATGTATATAATTGAGGGAATAGATCCAGGTTACCATTTATCTATTTACTGAGTATTTCACAAATATGTGTCAGTTCCCATGAATGGTAGTAGTAGTAGTCATAGTGATGGAAATAATTCTTTGCTAAAAAATTTCCCAGATTCCAAAAGATTATAAATAAGAGTCTCAGTGTTAATTGTTGACAACAGTACATCTGTAGCACCGTGGTGAGCCAGGAGAAATGTCTGCTCAGGGATACTTCAGGTTAAGTATCTCCTAAAGAGTTACTTAAGGGGTAAAGGGGAAAGAGGGGATTGGTAGGAAAAGGATATTAATATAGCGTCTACATGTCAGGATGGGAAGAATGGGATTAGATTGTCAGACACAAGTCAGGATTGTCAAAATATATGGAATGATTATAAATTGTAACACCAAGTCACTGTAGCACACCCATGTTCATAGCAGGGTTATTTACAATAGCTAAAAGGTGGAAGCAACCCAAGAATTTACTGATGGGTAAATGGACAAACAAAATGCAATATATGTATACAATGGAATATTACTCACCTTAAATAGGAAGGAAATTTTGATACATGCTGCCACATAGATGGACCTTGAAGACATTATGGTAAGTGGAAAAAGTCACTCACAAAAGTACAAATATTGTATGATTCCATATCTGTGGAGTACCTAGAGTAATCCAACTCATAGAGAACAGTGGTTGCCAGGGACTGGGAGAGGGAGTAACAGGGAGTTAGTGTTTAATGGGATTGGAATTTCAGTTTAGGAAGATGAAACAGTTCTAGAGATGGACGATGGTGATGGTTGTACAACAATGTGATTATACTTAATGCAACAGAACTTTACACTTAAAATGATAAAAATGCTAAATCTTGTGTGTATTTATCATAATAAAAAGGGGGAAGTCTTGTACTTTTCTGAAGAAAACCTTTTAAATGTTCCTCATTGCACTCAGAGTAAATGCCAGTGTCCATGCCATGGGCCACAAGGCCCTGTGTCATCTGGCCTCCCTCCTCTAACTCTCCAGTATCATCCCCACCACTTTCCCCAAGCTCCAGTCTGCTCTAGGGCACTCCAAATGCATTATTCACTCAGGCCTTGGCTCTCAGCATCCCCTCTTCTGACAACATATTCTCCCTAGATATGCCCATGACATGCCTCTTTTCTCTCAGGTCTTGCTCAGATACCACCAGATCAGTAAGGCCTTCCTTAATAACTTGATCTTAAATTACAATCCTGGTATTTAGCATTCATCTACTGCTCTTTCTGCCATAACTGTTATATTCCTGACACATTACTTGCTTAATTTAATTGTTGTCTGCAACCATCATCCCCTGCAATGGAATTTGAGCTTTATGACAGAAGTGATTTTGTCTGTTTTTGGATGGCTGAATGCCCAGTGCCTAAAGCATTCAAACATATGTTGTAAAGAATATCTAAGGCAAAAATTAATAAACGAATGAAATTATTAAATGAAATTAAATAAAAATTCAGGTGCCTAAATTCAGCAAGGAGCACCTGTTTTTCTCCCTTGAACTAAGACTTAGCTAATCTTAATACATTTTCAAGTGACATCCAGATTTATCAACAACCTAGGACTTGAATACAGTCCTCTGTATTCAACATGGTTATTTCTCTCAACCATGGCTCTTTGCTTTTCATCATGCTGCACATCAAGGAAATAACCCTCATTATGCTCTCATCTTCCATCCCTCTGCTTTGTCGTCATGATAAACAACAACTTGATAATATTTAATCCCAGTTCATCATAGGCTTCATGCTTTTAGTCTGCTCTTGAATAGTCCACAACTATTTCAACATGGTGGCTCCATTGGACATATCATGCACCAAACACAAGAGGCCATTGTAGATAGAGAAATCAGGGACTTATTAAAACCTGGAGTCTGAAAACCTCATCTTATTCTACCCACTAGTTAAAAAAAAAAAAAAAAAAAAAAAAAAAAAGACCACATGTAGCTAGTTGAAAGCTGCATTTTCAGGAAGGAGGTCTCTTCTCTAATCACTTCCAGGACTTAGTTGGATGTAACTGCTGTTCTGGGATTCTGGTGAGTGAGTAAGTTCCCCGAGCCTGGGGGCCAACTGGAGTTGAAGCTCTAGAGGAGGAAAGCTGTTCAATTCAGAGCTGTCAGCACATCTTTCTCTATGAATTACTCTCCCCAACCTATCAGGCTTTTTTTCTTCTTTTGGTATAATAGAAGACTTTCTGTAAGAATGGGGCCCATTCAGAGCAGTCACCACAAACATAGATTTCCTTGTTAATACTCATTTGAGCCAAAGTATACTTCTCAGTAAATAGGATTGGGAAGAAATGGAATGGTTGAATCAGACATTTGTTATGTGGGAATTTTTAATACATTCATATTAACTCAGCCAAACAAAATCCCTCTTTTCTATTTTGGCACTAAACATGGGTGGCATTTTGACACGATGGCCAGAACATATGAGTTTGTCATGGAAATGAGGTGACAACATACCTTGGGTGGGGAAGTAGAAAAAGAGTGAATTGATATTAGGCCTGGCCCCCCTACATTGAAGGCCCTCCCCAGAGCCCTTGAAAGAACAGGAATAGTACATTAGGTGCAGAGATCCAGCCAGCTTTGTCTTTTGACCTTGGCTGCCACGTCAAAAATGGATTTTGTGAAGAATCAGGCTGACCCCATCGCTCATCCATCACTGGCCCTGGAAGCGATGTCTACACAACAGCAAAACAATTGAGTGATTCAGGCTGCAGCTACACCAGGGAGTTCCCAATGTGTTGTTGCTTCCAGTAGTTTCAAGGCGTGTTACAAAATTTCACCCACTGGTTTGTTTTTTTTTTTTTTTTTTTACAAATTAAGGTAAATATATTTTATAAAGAACAGAAAAAGAAAAGATGCTGTTTGAAATGAAAACTTCAAAAGGAGTAAGGATCACCCATCTATGCAAGGCCCATGTAAACAATGGGGATCGAAAGAATTCATTAATCCACTGGTTATTTGGACTTCAACAGACCACATAGCCCTTTTGGTGAGCTTTTTAAAAACTGAACAATGCCAACTTTTTATATTTCCTTGAGAAACATTCTGTTGTATTAAATGAAAAGTGAGAGTGAATTATTATTATGAGAAAGGAATCTTTTAATGAAGCAAATAGAGCTTTTCTTTTTTCCTCCTTTCCTCCATCTCTTCCTTCATTCCTTCCATTGTGGAGAGGGAGGCTATTTACAAGTCATTTGAATACAATAGTGCTTTGTAATCTAGGGAGAGAGGTGAATATTTAGGTTTATAAGAAAATTTTTGTTTATACCACTAAGACACTTGGCTAGGCTTTGAGTTTTTAGTAATAAAAAGGGGGTTAGATGAAGCTTCATGTATTCAATTGTAATTCATTGTCCTCAACGTGCCTCCGATCACTTTTCGATGTCTCCAAAGTCTTTCCCAATCAAGTATAAATGAACAGCATCACTATGGCAAATATCCTCTCCAGTTCTAACATCATGCATTTGGCAAGTCACATATGTCTGTGAGCCTCAAAATGTTAAAATCTATATCCTGTATTTCCAACTTCTCTGGGAAGCTGTAAGTGTTCATTGAAAATATTTTGAGACATAAGAGTTAAATAAAAGCGGCTTATCGCAGTGGTGAAACGGGATCCTGGAATTACAGTTTATACATTTGATTTCAGTTGCTTTCATATTAACTTTGCAACTGTAAGTAAGATTTCTTAATCTCTGTGCATATAAAACTCCAGATAATAGCATTGTGTTATTAACAAAATTATTAATATGATAAGAAAATAAACCAATACATGGAAAACATTTACCATAGCATCTGGTGCAAAAATAAGTCCTCAATAAAGGCTAATTGCAATTTATATGCCTAGAGATAATTATAAAAGAGGATTGAAATACTTAAATAGGAGAAACATTTCTTATTTGCATTATATAATGCAAAAGTAAACTTCTTTACCACAGATTTCCTAGTTATCATGAGTTCTGAATTAATAGAATCCAAATTAAAAAGGGAATTTGGTTTTAAAGCAAAATTCATAGTGAAAGATATGGTTACATAAACAATTAGGGATAGAGGCAATAGAAGTCATATCTGAAAAAAGTGAAAACAAGCCATTAATGTTGTTGGTCATTTAAGCTCAAAGCAGATCTCTCCTCTCTGAACTCTGTCTCCCGAGGAGATTCCGTCCATTGCAAGCCTTTTTACATTACATAGGTCTCATTATCAGTCTTCAGCCTGGACCTTTCTTCAGAGCTCCAGCCCTCATGTGTTCTCATTTCCTCTTGAGTGAATAGCAGGCACCTCAAACTTAATTCCTCTGAATTGGAACCTTTGATTTCTCTTTGGAATCTTTTGCTCCTCAGTCTCTATCTCTGGTCAATGGCATCATAGGCTCATAGACACAAGACAGAAATCTAGATAACATCCTTGAACTTTCCCTCTTCTACACCCGTTATTTGTTCAATCATCAATTCCTTTGATTCTATCTACTTAATCTTTATTGAATCTGTATATTTATTTTTCCCATTTCTACCACAGCCACCCTCACTTCAGGCTACCTTATTCTCTTGCCCAAACTCTTGCAATAGCCTCTTGATAAGTTTCCCCAATTCCACTCTTAGCTCTCTTTAATCTACTTTCCATATAGCTCCAGAATGTTATTTTACAGAAGAAAATTGGACCAGGCAACTTCCAAGCTTCAAATCATTTGACACCCAAATCATAGAATAAAATCCCCGTCCCTTAACTTGGCCTACAGGACTGCATGGGCTGGCTCTAGCTCAGTAGGTTCTAACCACATATACTTTTTGTTAGTTTTCCAACAAGCTAAGGCCAAGTTCCTTCTTGTCTTTGAATATTTTTACAAAGCTTTTTGTCTGCCTAGAATTTTCTTGCCTCTCACCTTCATATGCCTACATTCTCCTTATTTTAGGGGGTAGAGCTTAAGTTGTAATGACTTTTCCAGACTATTCTATCTATTCTATCTAAATAGATATCTACCTCAGTGTTCTCTATTTCAGAACTGTGTTATATAAATAGCACTTACACAGTTTGAATTATGGGGGTTTTTCTTGATTTACTTTGTATTATCTGTCTTCTCATTATGCTTTAAGCTCTATGAGGGACTATCCTTTCTGTTCATAAATGATGCTCAATTTCTATGACAAGCACAGGGCTTGTCATAGGAATTCAATAAGTATACAAAACATGACATTTTAAAACTTGGAAACATGTGCCTGATAAAGGACTGTTATCCAAAGTATATAGAGAACACTTAAAGCTCAACAATATGGAAATAGGCAACCTGATTAAAAATGAGCCAAAGACTTTAATGGACACCTCACCAAAAATGATAGATGGCAAATAAGCATATGAAAAGATGCTCCACATCATCTGTCATCAAGGAAAGTGCAAATTAAAACCATAAGATACCACTGTACACCTATTTGAATGGCCAAAATCCAGAACACTGACAACACCAAATGCCGATGATGATGTGGAGCAACAGGAGCTCTCACTGATTGCTGGTGGAAATGCAAAATGGTACAGCCATTTTGGAAGACTGTGGCAGTTTCTTACAAAACTAAAAATACTCTTACCAAATGACATAGCAATTATACTCCTTGAGATTTACCCAGAGGAGTTGAAAACTTACGTCCACATAAAAACCTGCACATGAGTGTTTACAGCAACTTTATTCATAATTGTCAAAACTTGAAAGCAACAAAAATGTCCTTCAGAGGTGAATGGATAAATAGAATGTGGTCTATCCAGGCCATGAAATATTATTAAGTGCTAAAAAGAAATAAGCTATCAAGCCACAATAACACATGGAAGAAATGTAACTGCATTTTCCTAAGTGAAAGAAGCTAATCTGAAAGGGCCACATACTGTATGATCCCAACTATATGACATTCAGGAAAAGGTGAAACTATGGGGACAGTAAAAAGATCGGTGGTTTCCAGGGTTTAGGGGGATGAGACGGCTGTATAGGTGAAGGACAGAGGATTTTTAGGGCAGTGGAATAGTATAATAGGATAGTATAATGGTAGATATATGTCATTATGTATTTTTTCCAAGCCTATGGAATATACAATACCAAGAGTGACCCCAATGTAAATTGTAGACTTAGTGATAATGATGGTCAATGTAGGTTCTAAATTGCAACAAATGTGCCTCTCTGGTTGGGGATGTTGATATGAAGGGGGCTATGCTGATGGAGGGGCAAGGGATAGAGGCAGTATCTCTGTACTTGCTGCTCAGTTTTTCTGTGAACTTAAAACTGCTGTTAAAAATTAAGTGAAAAACGACCAGGCGTGGTGGCTCACGCCTGTAATCCCTGCACTTTTGGAGGCCGAGGCGGGCAGATCAGGAGGTCAGGAGTTCGAGACCATCCTGGCTAACATGATGAAACCCGTCTCTACTAAAAACACACACAAAAAATTAGCCAGGCATGGCATGGTGGTGGGTGCCTGTAGTCCCAGCTACTCGGGAGGCTGAGGCAGGAGAATGGTGTGAATCCGGGAAGCGGAGCTTGCAGAGAGCCGAGATTGCGTCACGGCGCTCCAGCCTGGGTGACAGGGCGAAACTCTGTCTCAAAAAAAAAAAAAAAAAGAAAAGGAAGACAAAAAATTAAGTGAAAAACAAAAATTTAGTCATTGATTGTGGTCTTAAAAGGCATAGATTAATAGTTAGAAGATTTGAATTCTGAATTTGAGGTTTTTCTTTAATGACTTTTATGACCTAAATATAGTAGTTTTATCTCTTTATATCTCTCATTGTATTTTTTAAGAGAATGAGTAAACAGCAAATAATAGATGCCCTATGTTGACTCTTTAATTTTTTATTTTCAGAAAGACTATTTATGTTAAGGTAAGTTGGTGAAAAAGAGCATCTACTCTTTTCATGAGTCTTATAGAAAATAATTGCATGATCCAATGGTCCAGAGTCCCAGTAAACTTTATATCTATTTATTTTCCCTGTGTGTCTCTCGCAAACAGGCAACTTCTGTCTCCTTGAATATAATCTTCATCTTTAATAATTTTCAGTTGCCAGGCTCTAGTTTTTACTTTTCATCCACGTGTTTGGACTCAACAACTTTTGCTGGTTGTTTGTGCTATCTCTATGTCACCCTTTTGAAGTTTTCTTCATAGGCACATCTTTCCAGTTACCTATTTATTGTTACACTTCAAAACTTCTCCAGTTCCCATTATCTGTCTGATCCCTCCCAAAGTCCCAACTCAATAGAGAGTTAGGAGGAAGCAATTGATTTTGTAAATCTTTTTTTCATCTTTGCCAACTGAGCCTATTTGATCAATTCTAATAATAGCACACATTTCTGACCTTCTGTTAATTTCAAGGAGTACTTACCTAGAGATGCCGCTATCTAATTTCAAGGAGTACTTATCTAGATAGGACTCCTCATAGCCAAGATAGTGGCTCTCATATAAGACTGGACATTCTTGCTTTAGTGTTGTAACAAGCTTACCTCTTGGGCTCCACAGGAATCAGAACAGCTCTGTGAGCAGTACTTGTTATTTAACCAGTTCATGAGGGGATAACTCACCCTTCTTCTTTCCAAAGCTTTGGCAAGAAAGCCTTCATTAATATCTAGATACAGTGAATAATTCTGGAATTGACAAAACAAAGGCAGGACAATAAGATATAAACTTTCTCTTCCCATATTATGTTATAAACTAATAAGCATTATTATGCATTTTATAGTGTATAGTATCCTTTAATTAATTTCATATGCAAATGACATTCAGGTATACTGTTTCTGTTTAAAATACTTTTTGGAATGAATTATTTTGCTTTATTATGCACTTTGTCTATTTTTAAAATAAATGTGATGTTTTAAAGTATTTGTGAACTAATATTTTTATTATAAATAAGTATAGTATGTATTATGTATAATTAAATTTTCATAGTATGTTTAGTATGTATCATTAAATCAACAAACATTTACTGGCCACCAACTTTGTGCTGGATATGGGACTGCAAGGTTTAATGAAGAACTTAAGGTTTAGTGAGATAAACAACAACTATAACGGAACACTCATTTTGGTCTGTGTGATGATTTGTAAGATGATCAAAGATTTCCATTCAGTGCACAGTACTCAGCGTATTAATTTCAAATAAAAAAATTGTCAGAAAAAAATTAGGAAACTTATGAAGAAGAGAAGAATGTCAGCAGGGAACTCTAATTAGATTAATGATTAGAGCTGAAGGTGCCAGGTTCAGCTCCAGGTGCCTTATATTATACTGTAACTCATTTAATTTTTGCAACAACTACATGACACGAGTGCTGTTATTACCCATGATGTACAGGTTAGTAATCTAAGGAACAGAGAGGTAAGTCATTTTCCCAGGGTCACATGGCTTGTGGGGCTGGGTTTTAACCCAGGTAGCCTACCTCTGGAACCTATGAGGTTAGCCATGTTGCAAAACTGGCTTCCAGGTTAGTCACAGGATTGACTTTGCTTGCTCATGCTTATTCTCTGCACACCATTCCCTCTCCTGCTCATGCTCTCCCATTCTACCTCTCCCTTCTCTTTCCATTGTAGAATGGAATAGAATATAAAGGAGATAAAGACGTCACATTTCATAGATCATGAGAAGACAAAGTGAACTCAGGTCTTTCCTTAACTAACTCTGATGGGCCAAGCAGCAAGTGCAAACCAGTTTAGTGGAAGCTGAGAAAAACCCTGAGCAGAGTTGAGGTGAAATTGTTATACTAAGCACAAGATCCTGGACCATGCATGTTTATAGTGAGAGAGTAGAAGTTGGGGATATCCATTGGCAGAAAACTCTCTCTCTCTTTCTAATGTGAGAATATTCAGAAAGAAGGTATACAAAAGGCAGTTTTTTAAAGCAATGACTTCTCCTAAGTTTTCACTTTTGGCAATAGTGTTTTCATGATATGAGCATTAGCTAGTCATAAATATAGTTTTAAGCTTGGTTTTAATAAATTTTAGATGATAGCTAATATTTAAAGCAATTAGTGTGTACCAGGCATTGTTATATATTATTTTACTGTATTAATCCATTTGGTCTTTTTAACAACTAAGAAAATTATATACAACTATTTTACAGATGAGAAAACAGAAGAGTCGTGAGAGGCCAGGTCACTTGCCCAAGTTCACACAGTCACACAACTGGCACAAAGTACTGCTTTGAAGCCAAATTGACCGACTGCAGAGCCCATTCTCTTAACCCTTTCTATAACAAGAGTACCTGTATCTGTTTGCCTGGCATATTGTAGGCACTCAATAAACATTAGTTTATTTATGGAATTACATGAATTCTTGTTGGGAATGCTTGCCATTACAGATCCCATCTTTTTAAAAAATTGGGATAACTATTACATTAAAATGAAAAGTTCAAGCCAGAATTGGGAAGTAGAGCAGAAATAAGAGCCGCAGAAACTTTCACAATAAGAGCGTCAGCTTTTTCACAGCCCACAAGTCATTTCAAGCCATTTTCCAAGCATGCCTCTCTCATGCCTCTGTGATGTTTCTAGGGACATTTAGTGCTTGAAGTATCTTATATTATTCGATGAGTGCAATTCACGTTTATCTTTCAAAAGTTCCTGCTTAATAGCCTCTGATATGAAGTTTGTATACTTCCTCTTCAGTTATCAAGGACTCCGTTCTCCCTCTCCAAGCTGACAAGAAAACTACACCAGGTAAGGAAGACTTCATTTAAGACTTTTGCAATAGAGGATGAAGATTGAACTCAATTCTGCTCAAACAAAAGCAGGCTGATTTTTGAGCACTGGGTGAGCTAGTGGAAAAGTCCTGGAAGACTTTAGCAGGGTGGTTAGTCAATTTGATTAGGTCATCTGTGTTTGCTAACTGTTGCTTGTCTAAGTTAAGCTCCTATTCTCTCATAGAAACTGGGAGATGGGGTCTCTCTCTTTCTTGATAATTACATTTCAAAGGGACAGCTCCCAGGTCCTTGAGAAAGACATTCTTGGGTTGTAAAACTGGCAGGAGATTGGGAGAAGATTTGCATCTCAAAGAGTCAAGAAAGAATTTACAATTAAAAGTTTCCTACCATAAATGGTCTAAGAAAAGGAGGTCAGGGGCCTCTAGTCAGGAAGAAATCTTTCTAAAGTTGAATCAAGCTGGGGAGAACTTTAGTGGTGTTTTGGTCATAGCACAAACCTCTTTTATACTGGCTTTCATTGTATTATAACCAAGTCTTTTGCCTCATAAAACACAAGCCTCTTAAACAGTAAGTCATGGCCTGACTGCATCAAGCTCAGTGCCACGCTCATTGAAATACCCAGTAACTGTTTATTAAATGAATATATAAAGACTCCAAACACACATAATAAAAAGCCCTGGGGTACCTGGCTGTTTACTTCTATTTCTATCCTGAAATGCCTTTTGCTGTAGACTTTAACAGATGTGAAACTGAAAGGAGAGCTTTCTCTTGTGTAATTTTTCCTTTCAAGTAAATCGAATTGAAAGAGTCTTCCTGAGAGCAAATGTTAGGAGTTAATCTTATTGCGGATGACAGTTATGTCTAAAATGTCTTCTTCTATAAGCACCTATTTTCTCTCTGCTTGTTGATAGAGCTCTCTTGTTAGGTCCCTTTGCCATCTGGCTGCCCTATCTGTATCCTATATGTATCCTATATACACTTGTGATATAGTCTTTATCCAGGAGAGTGTTGTAAGAAGAGCACACCAAATAAAGAGGCAGAAGGCTTGGGTCTGAGGTGCCTGGGTCTGTTCCAACTTAGTTCTTGTTGTTTGAGACAGGGTCTCACTCTGTTGCCAAGCTGGAGTGCAGTGGTGTGATCATAGCTCACTGCAGCATTGACCTCCTGGGCTCAGGCGATCGTCCTGCCTCAGCTTCCTGAGTAGCTGGGACCACAGGCACATGCCACCATGCCCAACTAATTTTTAATTTTCCTTCTTTTTTTTTTTTTGTAAAGACAGGGTCAAACTATGTTGCCCAGGCTGGTCTTGAATTCCTGGGCTCAAGTAATCCTCCCACCCGGGCCTCTTAATGTGCTGAGATTATACAGGCATGAGCTACTGTGCTCAGCCTCCAACTTACTTTTTGAAGGCAAATATTCTACACTGAGTGGCCGCATTGGCTTATGGACAAAGAGTACACATTAGGCTATTTCACATTAAAACTGCAGTTTCCAGAATCTCTTGGAAAGTTTGAAGCCCTGTTCTGTTGGAAGACTGTCATTTCATGCAACAATAGTTCTCGTCATTCCTCCACACTCAGCCTACTCCATTCATATATATCACCTGCCTGGTGCACGGTCAGCCCAATTTCTTCCTCTTTCCAGGACTCAATTTCTTCATTTATTAAGTGGAGTAGGTCTACTAAGAGGAGGAGGAATAATACTTTGTAGGAAATTTAGGAGAATAAATGGAATTTTATTAATGGTATTAATGGTCCATGTTATTTACACATTTCATATCCAGGTTTTATTTTTACTGCTGGTATAGAATAAATATATTGCTTGGATCTGCTTATCAGACAAATTTGATGGTAGCTAAAATATGTTGATTTTCTGCTGACATTAACCAGTTAACTCATTCAAAACACTCACAAAATGTACATTAAGGCATTCCTTAAGGATCTTCTTAGTTGAGTAAACATAATATATCAGTCATCCAACCTTCCATTCTTCCACCTACCATGTGTTTCCTTTGTGGATTAAACATTATATCAAGTGTTAAAGGTACATCATCATTATACAATATCTAAGTTGACTGACCATTAACTATGCAGTGATTACATTAGTTCATTATTTCACTTAATCTTTACAACAGTCATATAATTTAAGTAATATTTCCGTTTTAGAATGAGGAAACTCAGGCTCAGAGAAATTAGACAACGTTCTCAACGTTGCCAGGACTGTTAGGTGGCAAAAATTAGAATACATTAACAATACATAGTATTCACCTTCAAGAAATTCATAGTTTTATAGGGGAAGACCAAAGAGTATTCTTCAAATTTTTACTGTTTTTAACAGATTATAAACTTTAACGAATTTTCTCTAATCTAAGCTTCAACTAATCTAGATAGGTTGACATATCTCTTTTTTCAATCCTGTAGTAACTAAAATAAAACAGAGAAAATAAAATAGAGAAATAAAACAGAGAAATAACTATAATAAAACTATAGCTCCATTGTATAAAGTTAATATTGAGAAATTATTAGCAACATTAATTTTCTTTTTGTCTCTGAAGCTAAAAGTATTTTCATTTCTCCTTTTCTTTCTCCAAAATGCACACAAATTTTGGACCCTATGTGTGCCTTTTGGTGAGGTTGGGATACGTAAAATGTGAAGACCTTTGCTACTTAGACTTCATCTACAGCTCCCCTTTTGAGCAAACCATTAGCATATATAGAAGATATTAAGAGTCAGGCACTGTGCTTTAATAAATAAGACACTTGCCTACCCTGGTTGACATAATTGGGCTATTATTCAGGTTTTTCCTTTCTCCTGCCCTTCTAAAATATTTTCTGCTTCTCCAGAAGTTGATTTTTCAGCTTTGTGTAATACCATATTGTTTATGTTCACCTTGTATTTTACCATGTGGAACCTGGAATGATTTCTTAGAAGAAAGACTACTTTTCCATTCTCTGGTAGTTTCCATTATGTTCTCTTCAGAGTTATTGTTCTACTTTTTCTTCTTTTTCTCTCTTCAATAATGTTTAAGACAAAAAAGTCCCCCTTTCTTCCTGAAAGGGTGCCATCAGTAGCAACAGACCTCAAAACTCCTCAATGGCAGACCTATATCTCTTGGTACAATTTTCTTGGGTTACATCTAACTGTGGAACTCCCCTAATAAAAATCTTTCAACTGAGCTTCTCAATGCCCATTAGGATAAATTCCAAGCTCTTCATTTCAAGATCACAATAAGCTCTTTATAATTTGTCCCTGCTTGCTGGGATTTTATATTTTACCACTTTCTCCCTTGAGCATGAAGCTTAATTTTCATTCTGAATCTTCATTTCTTCAAAGGCAGAAGCTACCACTGGCCTTTGAAATCTTTTGCCCCTATTTTAATGTCTTTTGCAGGCTTTTAATAGCTATTTATTTAAAGCTGATTCTTGTTATTTAAGGTATTTATGTTTTATAAAGTTGCTGCAACACTGCATTAGCAGATATTAAACCATTGCTCCTAGAGGATATGTATGTAAAGATTATAATCTTAAATCCTAAAAATAACTCATCCTGGTGGATTCTGTTTTCTTTATTCTACGAAAGAGTAAACAAGGTCCAGAAATGTTAAGTGACTTGCCTGAAGCTGCCCTACTAACAGGGGCCGGAGTTGAGATTGAAACCCGATTCAGCTGGAGCAGTGTTGGAGCTCTTTGCACCAGGTGGTGCATTCCTTACATCTCCATCTTCTACTCATGTATATATAAGAGCCGAAACAAAGAGGAAGGGTTCCACCTGGTTCATGCTCACCTGCAAACATGTGAGTTGAGGCAGTCAAAATGCACGCCATTTTGAGCATGTCTGTAAATGATGGGAAAGTGCTGTAAGTATTGATTCTGGGGTTCCAAGCACATTTTAGTGATAGATTATTTTGCAAATACAGAATCTGCTAATAGTCGGAATTGACTGTGCAAGCCTCAATTGCTACTCTTAGAATGGGTTACATATTCCTGCTGGTTGCTCTTGAACTTCCTGTATTATAACCTTTATCATACAGTATTGGAATTGCCTATTTCATTATCCTCCTACCCTGTGACAGTATATAATATACGAGAATAGGGAGTTTCCTCTATTATTCTTCTTGTTCTCCAGGTCCTGTCCCAGCACTTGACATATAACAGAAATCCAAAAAGTGCTTGTTGACTATGCAATCTAATGAAAACACTACAAAGCATAATATAAACAAGTGGTAGGAAGTGGTACCCCTCTATTACACCACCAAGATTGTACTACTCATGCTATATGGGTTTCACACTGCTGTGCTTATACAACCACCTTAGTACTGGGGGCTAGCAAGTCTTTGGTTAGAAACTTACCAACAAAGACAAATGGGCAAGTGCTTTGAGGACGTTTTGATCAACTTTCCTACAGTTCTTGTGAAAGGCAATGATAATGAAGCAACTTTGAGGCTCTGGGTGTTTCCTCCATTGTTTTCTTATATCAGGAAAGCCTTTAACAGATATAAGTGGAGTCATTATTTCAAAGGGTTCTTGTATTAACTTTAATTAGAAGATATTTCTTCTTTTACCCAACACACCCATAAAATAATAGCTGTGTAAGAAGCTTAAAAGGGAGGCTGACAAGTCCAATTTCCACATCTTATCTTTGAATATAGAGAAATTGTCCAAGTGGCACATATTTTGAAATGCTAGTCACTGAAGTAGTTTGAAAAGGTCAAAGTCAAACTGCTTTGTCCTGCGACTAATTTTAACCATGCCCTTCTACTTGTGGAGGGACAATTATCTTGTAGAAAGAATAAATATATTGCAATATGAGGAGTAAACTTTTATTTCAATGGGAAAAATTCTCATTTTGATACAATAAAATTCGTTAAAAACCTATCATGTCACATCTGATAGAAAATGAACCCACTCATGATTGATATGATTATGACTAACACTGAATAAGTCTAAGAGGCATTTCTCTTGGACCTCCACTCTATTGGTGATGTCCAAGCTGCCATGAGGAAATTTGCTCTGGCCACAAACCAAGTCATCATAGGAACCATGGACCGAACTCCAGTCCTCCGGCTCTTAGGCAATTGCCTTATACATCACACTGCCCTTCTAATCTCAGCCATGTTTATCTTGAGAATAAAGCTTGGCAAGACGTAATGAAAACATGGTCATTCCAAAATTTTTATGAAAATAAATGATTTTCTCATTTCAATATTGAATTTCTTTCTGAGTTCTCACTTTTTTTTAAGTAACCATCAGATGAGGGTCTCAAAAATTAGATTTTTTTGGCTAATTTGAGTAACTTAGTTACAAAATTAAAATATAACATTTGTTATAACATTGATTTAATCCTTCTAAGCAAGAGAGCTCTTGAATAGGTTCAAGATTGTTTGGGAAGGAAGTACTGACCACTTGCCAATGATAACTGCCAATGATAGACAGTAAAATAGCCCCTGGTGACAAGTCTTCAAGGTGAACTTAATTGGAAATAATTTGCATTGATCTTATTTTCCTCTCCCATGATGAGCTATGCTGTAAGAATGTAGATGTGAAATGTTCTTACTTAGAATTGGTTATTTCTAACTCATTAAGTTGGGTTTTTAATTTTTGTCTCCAAAGGAGTAAGGCCAAGTTAGAATGTGCAGAATGTTAGTAGTTTAGAAACCTAATAATTTGGCAAGTTTGTTTTTTAGCACCAATGATAATTTCACTGATGTCTTTAAATGCACATTGTGCCTGAGTTTTTCTTTTTAAATGTTTTATTTATTCTTAGGCGTAATTGGTATCGAAGCCACTGTTCTTTTTTGTCAAATATTTATGGGGTAGTCCTAGACAACCACATCCCTCAAATACTTTGTCCTTTCTTCTTTTCTTTCTTTTTGTCTCTGCCCCCCACAAAGTTTCTATATAGTTTTGTTAATTTTTCTTTCACCTCCATATTCTATCATCTTCCCATTTTTTGTCTCTCCTTTTATACCCTATGCTTTCATATGTGACCCAAGCCACTAAATAAAAGGAAACTGATAAATCAGAGCTACTTCTTAGATATTTTTTAAACAATTTAGACCCTCAAGTTAACTTTTGTAATAAACCTAAATTTAAAATGACTTGACAATAATACCCAGAGGGTGTGTACTGTCAATTGTCATCATTTTTTCCCACATTTTGTTGATGGAATTAACAGAGAAAAGGTAAAAATGACTCTGAAGAGAAATATAATCTTAATATATTAGCTTAAAAAAATTAATTAAAAAGAAAGAAAACAGGCAGTCAAACTGATGGAGATTCTGATTCTTTTGAACCTTTTATGCTGGTCTCTTTTTGTTAGGTTTCATGCTTTATACACAGAAATAGTTGAAGAGTTCAAAGACCTGTTTAAGTACTAATTAAAAATTTTGTGGTTTCTAAACACTATTGATAAGATTTGGAATTTTGTAGAAAAAACACTATTTATGATGCTTCTCCATAGTTAATCATGGGAATAAATTGCCAAAACAGTTACAAGAATTTAGAGGTTGATTTTCTTTTTGGCATAACTGTAAGTGTAAATTTGTTTATGCTGGCTTCTGTCAACCTCAAATCTTCTACTAATAAAATATTTAAAAATATGGCTTGCTATTTGCCCACTAAGAAGAGATATTTTGAAAGTTGTTATGGTATTCAAACAGATATTTAGGTCTAGAAGAAAGAATTTATAATGAGTTTAATGTTCAAACATTGTCTAGTGTTGCTTGCATAATAATCAGTGTTATATACATTTATCAAAATAAACCCCAACACAAAAGAATTCTTGATTTTTTAAGGATAAACATAAATACAAATTCAAAAGTGAAGATTCTCAAGAATGTTATTAAAATTATGACCCAGAGGATGAAAGTGCAAACTTTAAAGAACTACTCAAGACTTATTGAGGAGAATATTTTAGTTTATTTTGCCCTTGAATGCATATTTTAGTTATGTTTGCCTAAACTTGCATGGTTGTGTGTGTGTGTGTGTGTGTGTGTGTGTGTGTGTAAAACAGTTTCTGTAACTATTCAGTTGACTCAGTTGTGAAACACAGTTATTATGATGTGCTGGAAAACTGGAGACTAAAGATGTTAATCCTGAGACATACATGTCTGAATCTCTGGTGATTATAATGAATAAGCTATTCAGTTGTATCCAATGTAACTACTCATTGTTGCCCTGGAACATACACGAAACATCTGCTAATAAGGGCACGTGTGACTGTTGTAAATCCGCATTTATTCTTATTCTGGAATTCAAAGGAAAGAATATGGCAACAGTCCACCCCTCCCCAATTCTCATGGGGTAACTGAACATAGAGAGGAAATGGTGTCTTTTTGCCCCACAGAACCAAAGGAATTTGGTCCTTTATTCAACAGTTTTTGAATACACACATTGATGTAGACATTAGCTACCCATGGGTTTATGTTTCTGTCAATTCCTTTTTCATTTGGAACTCAGGCCTGACTGTTTTTTAGTTAATGATGGGAACACATGTTCAGCTTGCTGTTTCTACTGAATTTCAGTCAAATTTGCTGTCTGGTAACAGAATTATTTTCTTATTCCAACAACTCACTCTCTGCAGAGGAGTGAGAGTGATTTTCAAAAACATAAATGTAGTTACAAAATGTTCCTGGTTACAGTCTCAAAATGTTATCAATTGCACTTAGAATTAAAAAAAAAAAAAAAAACCCTCCTCATCTTGTTCTACAAAATCCGAGATGATCTATCAAACATCGTTTTATGCTAATTCCTTCCCAGACCACTCAGCTCCAATCAGCTCCTCAAACGCCCCAGGCTTCTTCCTGATGCAGAAACTTGGATAGGCTGTTTGTCTGCCTGAACACTGCCCCATATTCTCATCTCAGCCTAGGTCTTTGCATGAAAATTTTTGTTTCCTCCTTTATTATTTTTTTTTTACATCTTTTTAAAACTTTCGTTTTTAAGACCAAGGGTACATGTACCTGTTTGTTATACAGATTATTTCATCACCCAGGTGTTATACCTAATACCCGTTAGTTATTTTTCCTGATCATCTCCCTCCTCCCACCCTCCTTTCTCCAAGAGGCCCCAGTGTGTGTTGTTCCCCTCTATGTGTCCACGTGTTCTCTTTTCTTCTGAGGTCATTCCGATTGACCCACTAAGAAACTTCCATCATTTCTCATAGCGCATTAATCAGGGGTCTCTAAAGGGACACAATAGGATAGATGAATATATGAAGGGGAGTTTATTAGGAAAATTGACCCACAGGATCATAGGGTGATCCCATAATAGGCCATCGGCAAACTGAGGATCCAGGAAGCCAGTCTGAGTCCTAAAACCTCAAAAGTAGGGAAGCTGATAGTGTACCCTTCAGTCTGTGGCTGAAGGCCTGAAAGCCCCTGGCAAATCACCGGTGTAAGTCCAAGAGTCCAAAAGCTGAAGAACTTGGAGTCTGATGTTCGAGAGCAGGAAGCATCCAACACGAGAGAAAGATGAAGGCTGGAAGACTCAGCAAATCTGTCCTTTCCGTTCCTGCTTTCATGGTAGCAGCTAATTAGATGGTGCCCAGACTGAGGGTGGGTCTGCCTCTCCCAGTCCACTGACTCATATGTTAATCTCCTTGGCAACACCCTCACAGACACACCCAGGAACAACACTGCACCCTTCCGTCCAATGAGGTTGACACTCAATATTAACCATCACACATAGTATGCCCTTTATTCTTTATAATATTTATTACAATTCTAAATTATATATTTGCCTTTTAACTTTTTTGTTTGTTCCCAAGACTAAATTAAAAAATATTTCCTCTGTCATGGATTTTATACCTAAAACATATTCAATAAACAATGAGAATAACTAAATGAGTGGATGAACAAATAACTTCAGCACATGAGCAGAATTAAATAGCATAGGTTTCTACAAAGTGGCAAAAAGAAGCTAGAGATTCTTCCCAAGAACTTTCTCATCTTAATCATGAGGCATCTGAGGGACAAGCTCTGAATGAATAGATGTATTTTATATATATATATACATATACATACATATATATATTTTATTATACTTTAAGTTCTAGGGTACATGTGCACAATGTGCAGGTTTGTTACATATGTATACATGTGCCATGTTGGTGTGCTGCACCCATTAACTCATCATTTACATTAGGTATATCTCCTAGAGAACACTTGGACACAGGAAGGGAAACATCACACACCGGGGCCTGTTGTGGAATAGATGTATTATTTAAGGCAGGATAGATCCACTTCTTGTAGGGATGGTGGTAACTGCTTAGATAGCCCAAATGAAACTCTTGATAGGTTACCAAATCTCATGGTTAATATTAGGTGTCAACTAGATTGGATTGAAGGATGCCTAGATAGCTGGTAAAATGTTGTTTCTGGGTGTGTCTGTGAGGGTGTTGCCAGAGGAGATTGACATTTGAGTTAGTGGACTGAGAGAGGAAGACCCAACCTCAATGTGGGTGGGCAGCATCCAATCAGCTGCCAGTGTGACTAGAACAAAGCAGGTGAAAGAAGGTGGAATGAGCTGGCTTGCTGAGTCTTCTGGCTTTCATCTTATTCCCATGCTGGATGTTTCCTTCTGTTCCTCCCACCCTCCTGCCCTTGGACATCAGACTCCAGGTTCTTCGGCCTTTGGACTCTTGAACTTACACCCGTGGTTTGTTTGCCTGGGGCCCTTGGGCCTAAGGCCACAGACTGAAGGCTACACTGTCAGCCTCCCTATTCCCTGCTTTTGAGGCTTTTGGACTCAGACTGAGCCACTCCTGGCTTCTTTCGTTCCTAGCTTGCAGATGGCCTATTGTGGGACTTCACCCTGTGATTGTGTGAGCCAATTCTCCCCTTTCATATATACATATATCCTATTAGTTCTGTCTCCCTGGAGAACCCTGATTAATACCCCAAGTGAGCAATAACTTTTTTTTCACTACAACCTGAAGAGGCGCAATGCATAGACTTGGGCTATAGACACATATGGAAGGATGCTCTTGAATTCAAATATGAAAGCAGCACCTGAGAAACTGATTCTTAAGAAAGAAAGGCAGTTTGAAACCAGCCCATTTCAGATAGAGAGACTTGGAGTTGTACAGACCTGAAGCATTGGACTAATTATAAACCATGCATCTCTCCTACTGTGAAGAGATTATTTCATTCCACCGTTTGATTAAACACATGATAGTGAAGGGTGATAGGTGTAAGGAAAGAGAATTTGGTGATATGGAGTATCGTAGTATGGAAACTGTATCAGTCTGCTTGGGCTCCCATTAAAAAATACCATAGACTCGGTGGCTTACACAACAGAAATTTATTTTTCACAATGTTAGGGGCTGGGAAGTCCAAGGTCAAAGTGCCTACTGATTCGGTTTCTAGTGAGGGCTCTTCTCCTGGCTTATAGAAAGGGGCCTTCTTGCTGTGTCCTCATCTGGAAGATAGAAAGAGAGAGATCTCTCTCTTGCCACAGTCCTATAGGATCAGGGCCTCACCTTTAAGATTTCGTTTAACCTTAGTTATCTCTGAAAGACCTGTCTCCAAATACAGTCACATGGGTGTTAAGGCTTCAACATATGAATTTGAGCAGGGGGCGGGGCAATTCAGTCCATACTAGGAACACACCCTAGTTGCTGAGCTAACATAGTAATAGAACACTAAGTCCTTGGTGTGTATCACACTGACACAGAGCACTTTACACATTTTTCTCATTTAATCCTTTTAATGGCCTATAAGGAGAGTCCTGTTTATAGTGGCAAACCGAGACTTTGTGTTGTGTTTTAAAGCTTGTCTTTTACAGTCACTTAATTTTACTTGTAAACAAAATTTTTGCAAAAAGTTATGTCTTTAATTCTCTTCCTAATTTTAGGAATGTATGCACACTAATTGAAATAAGGTTATGGTTAGTGGCTTGAGTGTGAAGTCAACTTGCTATGATAGTACTTTCATCTTGAAGTGGACAAACATGATTTTCTACAACAAATAATTTAATAAATGTGGTTTCCTATAATTTTTTTAAAAAACTCTCCAAGGTTACAAGTCCTTGTAATTATTAAACCAAATCTCTGTAAGTTTTAGATTTGTTCACCTCTCTGATGACATTGTATAGAATAACTATAGATAGAATTTATTTGTTTTGTATGTAAATATTTTCTCACCCATTCCTTAACTACTGACAAATTTTAACAACCAGCTCAGGGTTTTGTCCCCTCCAGTACCTAAGCTAACTATTAGGTACTGGATGTGACAGTTGTTTCAGTGGCTTAGGGCTTCTAGTTTCATTTATAAATTCATCCAGAGCTGAGTTAAAGAATGTGAGACTGATTATATATTTTATTCTACACTTACAATAGGGAAACTGAGACCCAGTGATTATAAAACTGTCTCACAACACTCCCAGCAAGAAAAGTAACTTGAAGCTCAAGCTCATTCCCATAAGATGCATTGTCTTAACCACCCCACTCTTTTTTTTTTTTTTGTATGTTGCTGAGGATGCTCTACTTTTCTTAATATGTAGAAGAATTTTCTGACTTAATAAGTTTTCTTCCAGTACTTTTCAAGTAATCCCCTAATGTTTCTTATCCTTTATGGGCTCTCTTTCTCTTCCCCTCACTTTCTTTAACAATTTATTCTAAACAAAGCACAAAGAAAGTTTGACTACCAAATTCTCCTCTCTGGTATCTAGTTTTTTGTGATGACTTATTTTTAATCATGAATATATTCTTGTGATATGATTTGGCTGTGTCCCCACCCAAATCTCAACTTGAATTGTATCTCCCAGAATTCCTACATGTTGTGGGAATGACCCAGGGGGAGGTAATTGAATCATGGGGGCTGGTCTTACCCATGCTATTCTCGTGATAGTGAATAAGTCTCATGAGATCTTACCCATGCTATTCTCGTGATAGTGAATAAGTCTCATGAGATCTGATGGGTTTATCAGGGGTTTCCACTTTTTCTTCTCTCTCATCTTTCTCTTGCTGCTGCCATGTAAGAAGTGCCTTTTGCTTCTCGCCATGATTCTGAGGCCTCCGCAGCCATGTGGAACTATAAGTCCTATTAAATCTCTTTCTGTTCCCAGTTTTGGGTATGTCTTTATCAACAGTGTGAAAATGAACTAATACATCTTGTTAAAATTGATAAATTCCAGGATTTCTTGCTTTGTGGTTGGACTATAAAACATACGTGATCATCGTGGTTCAGGATCTTGGCTGAATTCTGAATTAAAGGGGTGTATAAGTGAATGATCCCTTTGGTGACTCCTGGGCAAATTTGAAGTTCATGCATGCAGTTCCAGGTTCCATTTCTAAGTACTAAAGGCTTGTAAATTCATCTTCAAAAATAGTAGGTTTGTGTCTCTTGGGCGACTCCTGAGGACCATAACTCTTAAACTTGCTCTTAATTTCACAGTTTTGACAGTTATTGTTGCCCTATTTTAAATGCTCTTAATGATTTTTTCTTTTTAAAGATTTTCCTTTGTGGTAATGATGTTTGCAAGTATTAGAAAAGAATTATTCTCCCTCTTAGTTTTTTCCATATAACCTTTAATTCAAACTCCTGGATATGATCTGTAGAGTTAAAATGTGTTTCTAACACAGGAAAGTATGCTCCTTAAGTGTCTATATTAGTCAGGGTTCTCTAGATGTACAGAATTAATAGGATATATACATACATATACATATGTATGTATATAAAGGGGAGTTTATTCAGGAATATTAACTCACACAATCACAACGTAAGGTCCCACAATAGGCCATCTGCAAGCTGACAAGCAAGAAAGCTAGTCTGAGTCCCAAAGCTGAAGAAGTTGGAGTCCAATGTTTGAGGACAGGAAGCACCCAGCACAGGAGATAGATGTAGGCTTGGAGGCTAGGCCAGCCTAATTTCTCTATGTTCTTCTGCCTGCTTTTATTCTGGCCATGCTGGCAGCTGATTCGATGGTGCCCACCTTCATTGAGGGTGGGTCTGCCTTTCCCAGTCCACTGACTCAGATGTTAATCTCCTTTGGCAATACCCTCACAGACACACCCAGGAACAATACTTTGCATCCTTCAATCCAATCAAGTTGACACACAGCATTAACCATAACAGTGCCTCTTCTGTGCTGCTCCATGTTTTGAAGAAAGATGCTTAGATGATTTTTGCCATAGCATATCAAGCCAGGGTATAGGAACTATTGAGAACAAACAGAGACTTGCAGAGGACTGGCTGCATTTAAGCATTTGCACAGTACACAGACAGCAAAGCTTTCCTTGGCTATCCTACCATGTAGGACATGAATATTGCCCACCTGCTGAGTGTAACTCACATGTTTCCCATCTTTAATGTAAGCTTCAGGTTCAATGGGTCAATATTCATCTCAGCGGATAGTTTTTCTGAGGTCTCAGTTTTCTCCAATGTTCCACTGTAAGCACATAAAAGTAGTGCAGCACTGTGTAAGCATAGTATCACCTAGAATGTTTTGTTTGAGGTATGAGTTTTAATTTATCAGAAACTGTGGCACAGTCCCTAAAAGTCTCTAATTTCACAAGGAATTATGAAGCACTACCTTTGTTCTATTGGAATACTAAGAAGTAAAGACTGACTTATCAAACTCTGAATTGCAAGTAACCTTCCCCTGGGCAAGAGGCACTTTTTTCATCTTTTTATTCTGGAGGCTATCCTGGTACCTAGTACATAGTAGTTGGTTAATGAATATATACTATGTGAATATAGAAATGTTCGAATATTCCTAATATAGCTCAGGTGGGACAATTCTCCCATCTACACAATTGCATCTTCCAAACCTGGTTTAATGCCACACTCAATAAAAAGGAAAGAAGATTTTACTGAAGTGTTCTGGGGGAATGAGCAAGCAGAATCAGATTTTACAATAAATATATCCGATTTTCCTTCACAAGGTTCCTTTCCCATGACTGTTACTCATCTTCATTCTTTCTCATAGCTCTTATCTTGCTTTTACTTGATGCCTCTCTTTCTAGAAATTCCAGTTTTGTTGTAGGTGAGTCAGCTTTGAATTCAACTTATGAACTTCACTCAGTAAAACATAAATGTAGTCATTAGCCAAACTGTGACTCCTTGTTTTTTCTTAAGTATGCTCTTTGGTAGCAGGGCAAGAGGTGGGAAACTCATCTTTTTGTAACCCATAGTCCCCAGTTTGGGGTATACACTGTGAAAAAGTACCTATTTGTAACTGTTGCACCTTGAGTTCCAGTTGTTTCAAAAAGTTCCAGGAAGAAGCTCAGCCCTGGAAATACAAAAACATCTCATTTGGATCCAAAAATACCTGAGTAGGAAATTAATTTTGGGGAACTCCCCTCATTACCATACTAAAAACCCTGCCCAGGGAGGAGCTTATTCTTCATTCTTTGTATATGCAATATATGTAGAAGCATGATCTGCGACTGTGCCTATACCGACTTTACTGCACCTCTTCATGCAATGATGCAGCCAACCAGCCCAATAAAAGCCCTGTTTTCACCATTATTCAGGAGGGCACTGCTTTGAGGGGACTATCGTGATGTCCTTACTTTTGAAAGTAATAAAATCCCCTTGTTAAGTCCTCCTTGGTTGTGGTCATTGGACTGTCACCCACAAGCAATAAAGCTCACCCATTGTGTGGGTAACATTTTCACTTCAAGCATACAATTTATATATGCCCAGTAAATTCTCTTCCAAAGGAGAAATTCTACTGCTGGAACAATGAGGTTCAACCATAATATTCCTCCAATTATTTTCATTTTCTTTCTTTGGCTTCTTAATCTACCTCTGGGACAAATTGTAGTTTGGCATGGAAGGGATTCTGATTCTTAATTATTTATCTGAATTACAGTAATTTTAGTTGTTAATAGAACTTCTTTATTACTGTAGAAGATTAGGGATTATGTTCCAACTCTGTTACAAAATAACTGTGTGACCTCAATCACTCTAAAACTCTATGTTCTTCTGTAAAATCGAGCTCTTTAGAATTAAACCAGTCAGCGGTTTTCAATCTCAGTTGCACATTGGACTCATCAGGGAGTTTCACAAAATATGACGCCTGATTTAATTTGTATGAAGTAATTCTCAAGCATCTAGATTTTTTAAAGCTCCCCAAGTGATTTTAATGCACAGTTGAGGTTGAGGATTACTAACCCAAGAGCTATTGTGATAATTAAGTTAATGTGTATAGAAACACTCTGATAAACTGAAAAGGATTATATGAATATAATTTACTTCTAGAGTTTTTATTAAAGTAAAACTGAGAAGACATTCTAAAATCTTTCTTTCATGCCTGTAGGTAGAAGAACCAAGCTGTCTCAGTTTGCCCAGAACTTTCTTGGTTTTAATACTAAAAATCCCATGTCTTGGGAAATCCCTCTGTCCCAGGCAAAATTTGAGAGTTTGTCATCCTAACTGCAGCTGTTATTGCACAAGTGAGATTTCAGATTTACAGAGTTCAAGAAGAATGTATTATCTCTTTTCTATTTCTCACAATGCTGGGATATTCAATGGAGCTATAAGTTAAAAGAACAGAACTCCTATCTGAATTGAATTGAATGTATTTAAATGTTTCACTGTCTTCTCTCTGCCTCTAAAAAACCCTTTCTATATTCTTTTCCTTGTTTTCCATGTTTTTATTTAGGATAGTTTCTCAACCTGAAAAGTCTTTCTTCTCCATCTTTATCTACCCAACTTTTAAGGTTTTTGGGATTTGGGTGATTATCTAATTGTGGAAGAAAAAAGTAAGGCAGGTAATAGCATTTGTGTTAAAAATTACCTTGGTGATGATTTTTCCCCCTTAAAAATATAAAATTTACACTAACATTTAGAATCAAATAGTGAGACTGGGTATGCTTAAAACATGTCCTGAATAAAAAAAAATGACTTTCTAGAGGTCACTTTGTCCCAGCTGGCATAATGGTTTGATTTAGTAAATTTGCTCTGATAAGTAAAGTAGATCAATTGATTCAGTAATAATTAGGACCCTACTTTGCTGCCTGGCCCTGTTAGGAGAAGTCAAGCCAATGAAAGCCTTGCCCTTAAGTAATGGGATGATGCGTATGCATTTGTTTCTGTTTTGTGTGCATGTTTGTGTGTGCTGGTGTGTGTGCTTGTGTATGTGCTTGTGTGATAGTAGTGCTGGGTGATAGGGATGAAGTTTTCTTCTGTGCCACTGATATAGTTTGGCTGTGTCCCCACCCAAATCTCATCTTGAATTGTATCTCCCATAATTCCCATTGTTGTGGGACTCAGTGGGAGATAATTGGATCATGGTGGTGGTTTCCCTCCTACTGTAGTCATGGTAGTGAACAAGCCTCATGAGATCTGTTGGTTTTATAAGGGGAAACCCCTTTCACTTTGCTCTCACTCTTCACTTGTCTGCCACCATGTGAGATGTGCCTTTCACCTTCTGCCACGATTGTGAGACCTCCCCAGCCATGTGGAACTATACGTCCACTAAATCTTTTTATTTTGTAAATTTCCCAGTCTCGGGTATGTATTTATCGACAGCATGAAAATGGACTCATGCCAGAGATTCTCTGTCATTGTCTGAATCTAGCTCCCTGTTGGAAGGGAAGACTGAGTTACGCATTTTCAATGCTTTCAGATCCCATGGTGTAAGGGCAACCATAGAAGGGTGGTGAAGACACTGAATATTAGTACACAACATCCAGCAAATTACCACATTGACTTTAACTTTATAACTAGGGAAGACAACTGACTCCATATAAGAAAATTACTTTCTGGTAAAATTTGATTTTAATGTTAATAATTTGAAGTCATAAATGGTGTACTCCTTGGCTCCTATGATTGTCCAGGGAACTGACTGAAGGAAGGTCACCACCCATCTCACTGCCTGGAGCATGCCATGCACTCAATAAATGGTGGTTGTCATTACTGTTAGAGCAGCATGAAAGGCAATTAGCTCTTGGCAGCATATTCAGGCCACAAGCCTGAGTCACTCAAGAAACTTGGGCATTGGTCACAGAAATCAGTGTCACTACCACATAGAAAATGGACAGTTGATTGGAAAAACAACATGTTGAGCTTTGGTCTTTTCACATCATACTCTACACCTCATTGCCCAACATTGCCAACATTTTTGAATTTATCCTTGAAGATTCTCTCTCTCTCTCTCGATGTTCTCAGTTTATTCAACAAATGCTTATTGAGTACCTGCTGTATGAAAAAGCACTGTCCTGGGAACCAATGAAATAGAAATGTGACAGTTAATGGCTACCTTTATGGGACTGATAATGATGCAGGGAGAGAAGGAAATGTGTGTTGTGTGTGTGTGTGTGTGTGTGTGTGTGTATTTGGGCACCTGGTGCATATTATGCCATAGGTACTGGTGATAAAGCTGCAATAATAATTTTCTCCTTTGTGGGAATGTGTTGGTATAGTAGGAGGGCTACGACAGGTATGAAAGAGAGCTTGGGGAGATTTAGATATTAAAGAGTTCATAAAAAGAAGAAATGCGTTCCTGCTGGATTTGCTGCTAAACATTTTAAAGAGAGTCAAAAGGTGAAGAAATTGAAAAAATTAATAATGTTGAGGCATATCCCAAGGACACAGGTGCTAACTTAAAGGGATTCCTACTGGCAAAATCTGGGACAATTTGAGTGCAAAATAATCAACAGTAGTAAATGGTCAACCATCAAAAAATCAGTAATCTACTAATTTATCTTAATAATAAATAGGTAGATAGGTGGAAGATGGGGGTGAAAGGAGTTACTGCTCACAGTTCTTGCTAACTGGTAAATGTAGAGAGAATGTGGGGTATGGAAAATCATTTTACAATCATTATAATGAAGAGTGTTTCAGGCAAAACTTATCAGTTAAATGTTTAATCGAGGCAGAAATTTTTATAAGAAGCAGCATGTTTACATTCTTATAAAGTGTTTCTCCCAACTGCTTATTAGTTGTGAAGGAGAAATAAAAACCATACAATAATTTTTAACAATGTATATTACCATTAGCAATGTATGAGTAGGTCTACATTCTCGTCTGTTTGAATTTTAGCTGTTTTCATGAGCTTGAACTCTGGCAACTCAAAAAGCCAGAGTGTCTTCTTACCTCCAAACAATTGCACTAGTTTCCCTGCAATGGTTCTTAACTAGGGTAAAATGGCTGAAATGACAGAAATAGAATTCAGAATATGGATAGGAATGAAGATAGAGATTCAGGTGAAAATCAAATACTCAATCTGAGGAATCTAAGGAATACAATAAAATGATACAGGAGATGAAAGATAAAATCGCCATTTTAAGAAAGAACCAAACTGATCTGAGAGAGATGAAAAATTCACTTCAAGAATTTCAGAAGCAGAATAGACCAAGCTGAGGAAAGAATTTCAGAGTTTGAGGACTAGTTCTCCAAAATAACTCAGTCACATAAAAATAAAGAAAAAACAATAAAGAATGTGAGAAACCTCTGAGAAATATGGGATTATATGAAGAGACAAAATCTGTTACTCATTGGCATCCCTGAATGAGAGGGAGAGAAAGCAACAACTTGGAAAACATATCTAAGGATACCATTCATGAAAATTTCCCCAATCTCACTGGGGAGGCTAACATTAAAATTCAGGAAATGCAGAGAACCCCTGTGAAATACTATGCAAGACAACCATCCTTAAGACACATAGTCATCAGATTCTCTAAGGACAAAATGAAAGAAAAATTGTTAAAAGCAGCTAGAGAGAAGAGGTAGGTCGCTTATAAAGGGACCCCCATCAGGCTAACAACAGACCTTTCAGCAGAAAACCTACAAGCCAGAAGAGATTGGAGGCCTGTATTCAGTAATTATAAAGAAAATACATTCCAACCAAGAATTTCATATCCAGCCAAACTAAGCTTCATAAGCAAAGGAGAAATAAGATCCTTTTCAGACAAATGAATGCTAAGAGAATTCATTACCACCAGGCCTGTCTTAAGAGATATTAAGTGAGTGCTGAGTATGGAAAGGAAAGACCATTACCAGCCACCACAAAAACACACTTAAGTACATAGACCATCAACATTGTACAGCAGCCACACAATCAAGTCTGCAAAGTAACCAGCTAAGAACATGATGGCAGGATAAAATATGCATATATCAATATTAACCTTGAATGTAAATGGGCCAATTAAAAGGCACAGAGTGGCAAGTTGGATAGAGAAGCAAGAAACAACTGTATGCTGTTTACAAGAGACCCATCACACATGGAATAAAAGCCATAGGCTCAAAGTAAGGAAATGAAGAAATATCTACCAAGCAATCTGAAAAAAAAGCATGGGTTGCTATTCTAATTTCAAAGAAAAAAGACTTTAAGCCAAAAATGATAAAAAATGACAAAGAAGGGAAGTACCTAATGGTAAAGAGCTCAATTCAACAAGAAGACACAACTATCCTAAATATCTATGCACCCAACACTGGAGCACCCAGGTTCATAAAGCTAGTTCTTAGAGGCCTATGAAGAAACTTAGTCACACAATAATAGTGGGAAACTTCAACACCCCCTTTACATCAAGGCAGAAAACTAACAAAGATATTTAGGACCTGCACTCGATATTTGACCAAATGGACCAAACAGATATCTACAGAATTTTTAACCAAGAAACAACAGAATGTGCACTCTTCTCATCTGTATATGAGACATACTCTAAAATTGACCACATGATCAGCCATAAAACAATTCTCAGCAAATTAAAAAACCCAAAATAGAAATTATAGCAACCACACTCTTGAACCACAGTGCAATAAAAATGGAAATCAATACTAAGAAAATTGTTCAAAACCATACAATTACATGGAAATTAAACAGCCTCCTCCTGAATGACTTTTGGGTAAACAACGAAATTAAGGCAGAAATTAAGAAATTCTTTGAAACTAATGAGAACAAAGATACAACATACCAGAATCTCTGGGATACAGCTAAAGCAGTGTTAAGAGGAAAGTTTACAGGACTAAACACCCACATAAAAAAGTTAGAAATGTCTCAGTTGAACAACCTAGCATTGCAATTAAAAAAAAAAAAAAACTAGAAAGACTAGAGCAAACAACCCCAAAGCTAGCAGAAAACAAATAATCAAAATTAGAGCTGAGCTGAAGGAAATTAAGATGTGAAAAACCATAAAAAAGATCTGAGTCCAGTTTTTTCTTTGAAAAATAAATAAGACTGATAGACTGCTAACTGGACTAATAAAGAAAAAAAGAGAGAAGATCCCAATAAACATGATCAGAAATGACAAAAGGGTCATTACCATCAACCCAAAAGAAACATCAAAAAACTCTCAGAGTACTATGAACACCTCTATGCATGCACAGAGACTAGAAAACCTAGAATAAATAAATACATTCCTGGAAACGTACAACCTCCAGAGATTGAACCAGAAAGAAATTGAGTCCCTGAAGAGACCAATAATGAGTTCTGTGATTGAGTCTGTAATAAAGGGCCTATTAGCCAAAAAAAAAAAAAATCCAGGACCAGATGGATTAACAGCTGAATTTTATCAGATACAAGAGCTGGCAAAACAATGAACTGGTAAAGCTATTCCGAAGGTCATGAGGAGGAGGGACTCCTTCCTAACTCATTCTATGAGGCCAGCATCATTCTGATACCAAAACTTGGCAGAGACACAACAAAAAAAGAAAACTTCAGGCCAATATGCTTGATAAACGTTGATGCAAAAATCCTCAACAAAATACTAGCAAACGGAATCCAGCAACTTTGTCAAAATGCTAATCCACAACCATCAAGTAGGCTTTAGCCCTGGGATGCAAGGTTGGTTCAATGTATGCAAATCAGTAAATGTGATTCATCACATTAACAAAAGCAAAACCAAAAACCACATGATCATCTCAATAGATGCAGAAAAGACTTTTGATAAAATTTGACATCACTTCATGTTAAAAACCCTGAACAAACTAGGCAATGAGGCAACATATCTCAAAATAATAAAGAGTCCATCTATGAGAAACCCACAGCAAACATCATACTGAACGGGCAAAACCTGTAAGCATTCCCCTTCAGAACAGGAACAAGACAAGGATGCCCACTCTCACTCCTCCTATTCAACATAGTACTGGAAGTCCTAGCCAGAGCAATCAGGCAAGAGAAAGGAAAGGCATCCAAATAGGAAGAGAGGAAGCCAAACTATCTTTGTTTGTAGATGATATGATTCTGTACTTAGAAAACTCAAAAGTCTCTGCCCTAAAACCCCTAGAGCTGATAAACAGCTTCAGCAAAGTTTCAGGATACAAAGTCAATGTGCAAAAATCTTGGTTCTATAAACCAAGAACATCCAAGCTGAGAGCCAAATCAAGAATGCAATCTCATTCACAATAGCCACAAAAGAGTAAAAAGACTAGAAATACAGCTGATGAGATAGGTTAAAGATCTGTACCATAAGAATTACAAAACATTGCCAAAAGAAATTGAGATACACAAGCAAATGGAAACACATGCTATGCTTTGTAAACGAAGAATTAATATTGCTATAATGGCCATACTTGTCAAAGCAATTTATAGATTCAATGCTATTCCTATCAAATTATCAATGACATTCTTCACAGAATTAGAAGAGTCTATTCTAAAATTCATATGGAACTAAAAAAGAGTACAAATAGCTAAGTCAATCCCAAGGAAAATGGACAAAGCATGAAGCATCACATTACCTGACCTCAAACTATATTACAAGGCTAGTGTAACAAAACCGGTATGGTACTGGTATAACAATAGACAAATGGAACAGAATAGAGAGCCCAGAAATAATGCTGCAAACATGCAACCATCTGATCTTTCACAAAGTTGATAAAAACAAGCAATAGGGAAAGACTCCCTATTCAACAAATGGTGCCAGGGTAACTGGGTAGCCATATGCAAAAGATTGAAACTGGACCTCTTCCTTACACCATATACAAAAATCAACTCAAGATGAATTAAGGACTTATATGTAAAATCTAAAACTATAAAAACTCTGGAAGATAACCTAGGAAATGCCATTTTGGACATCGACCCTGGCAAAGATTTCACAATGAAGATGCCAAAAGCAATTGTAACAAAACCCAAAATTGACAAATGCGATCTAATTAAACTAAAGAGCTTCTGCACAGCAAAAGAAACTATCAACAGAGTAAACAGACAACCTAGACTGGGAGAAAATCTTTGTAATCTATACATGTGACAAAGGTCTAATATCCAGAATTTATAAGTAACTCAAATCGGGCAAAAAATAAACATCCCCATTGAAAAGTGGGCAAAAGACATGAACAGACACTTTTCAAAAGAAGATGCACACACGGCCAACAGACATATGAAGAAATGGTCAACATCATTAATCATTAGAGAAATGCAGATCAAAACCACAATGAGATACCATCTCATACCAGTGAGAGTGGCTATTATTAGAAAGTCAAAAAATAACAGATGCTGGAGAAGTTGTGAAGAAAAGAGAAGGCTTATGTATTGCTTGTGGGAGTGTAAATTAGTTCAGCCATTGTGGAAAGCTGTTTGGAGATTTCTCAAATAATTTTAAAAAGATCTATCGTTCAACCCAGTAATCCCATTACTGGTTATATACCCAAATGAGTGTAAATCATTTTACCATAAAGACACATGCAAGTGTATGCTCATTGCAGTGCTATTCACAATAGCAAAGACATGGAATGAACTTAAGTGCCCATTAATATTGGACTGGATAAAGAATATGTGGTACATATACACCATGGAATACTACACAGCCATAAAACGAATGAGATCATGTCTTTTCCAGCAATGTGGATGAAGCTGGAGGCCATTATCCTAAGCATGTTAACCTGGGAGTGGAAAACCAAATGCTACATGTCCTCACTTATAAGTGAGAGCTAAACATTGAGTACACGTGGATGCAAAGAAGGGAACAAGAGACGCTGGGGCCTACTTGAGGGTGGAGGGTGCAAGGAGGGTGAGTTTTTATTAAAAAAACTACCTATCAGGTACTATGCTTATGATACTAGGGTGATGAAAGAATATGTACACCAAACCCCTGTGGCATGCAATTTCCCTATATAACAAACCTGCACGTGTACCCCCGAACCTAAAATAAAAATTAATAAAAATAAGAAAATGCCTAAATCTTGGATACAATGGAAAATTATTCTTTTCCTTCTAATTTTGGGTTTCTTTCTTCTTTTCTGAAATCACAGACAAAAAGCACTCTAGCAAAATAGGAAGAAATATCTATGCTTGGAAAATAATCCATTCCAAGAGATTTATCAACAAAGAGCTAAAATGGTGAGGAATTTAAAGCCTTTCATTCTATTTTATTTTGATTGCTTTTAGGTCTGAGCCAACTTTGTTAGATGTAGAGGAGTTTTACATCTGTCTCTAGCTTCAAAGGCATCTATTTTTTCAACCTTCCTAAATGAGAAAAACAGTCTTTTAGAGGTGTGCTAAAAGATCAAGGCTGCCAAGGCTATAAGTACCCCACTGACACAATATGATTTTCTGTGTCTATATTTTTTACTTACATCTGCAGGCTGTGGATAAGTGCCTGAAAAGTAATCCAATCTCAATCTAGGCATACAATTGTGTTCATGGGAATATCTATCTCCCTGTTAGGGGGAAATGGAAAGATTCAGAAATACACATGAATTAACCTGGTAAGTTGGTAAGTCGTCAGGCAACTTGGTGATATAAAATATTTCAAAAAGACTTTAAGTCATCAGGCTTTTCTGATTCATTTAAAAACCTTATCCTCCTGATATTCAAAAGGTAGTATGGAAGGATTTGATGGAGTACTGATGAGAAAGGTAAGCGACTAGAATATCTGCTCAGATGTGAGAAACCATCTTTACACAAGGGCTCAAGGGGACATTAGGAAAGAGAGACCCTAAGACATCCAACCTTGAGGCCATGAAGAGACCAAAAGATGTATCTAAGAAGCATTCTGTCTGTTGGTTTTACAGGCTGGGGCAGAACTAGCCAGTGGAGTTGGGAGGAGGAAGAAATGTGGTATGATAAGGTGATGGTCTCTATTCTTTTTCAAGGCAGTGGTTTCTGTAAGTCACCAAAAAAGCAAACAAAAACCACCCAGCTTTGTGTGTAGTAGATGAAATGACTCTATCCTTTCTTTGCCAAGGATCTAAAAATAATTTATTCTGTCTGAAGTTATTTTTGATACTTTTAAAGTATTAAAGCAAAAATATTAAAAGTATTATTTTTAATACTTTTAAAGTATTAAGAGCAATTAAACATAGTTTAAAAAGCAATTGCTCTTAGTATGTTCTGTTATAGAAAGAAGCTTGGGAGTGGGTGTTCAGTGTGGCCCCTTCTCATAACAGATCTTTTCAAGCTGAGAAAGATATTACCTGTGTTGGGATTTGGTCAGCCATTATTCATTAATTTATCAATTTATCAATGAATTTACTCATTCCCTGCAAACAGACAGGGTAACATACCACTTCCTCTCCACTTATGATAAGTGCTCTTGATTCCTTGCTTATGATGGCCGTGGGCTTGAGACAAGGCAACCATTAGACTCAGCTCAGAGTTCAGACTCTATCTTCAGAAATACCTAGTTTTTAGATCCCAGCTTCATTGTGCAATAGCTATGAGACCAGTTTCTGCATCTATGAAATGGAAGGCATAATGGTATCTACTAATATGATGGCTGCAAGACTTAGGATATTGCATTAAAGATAATAATGCAGATGGCACACAGGGAAGCACTCAAGAATGTTAGCTATTATTTATAGTAATTATCACCATTATTATTATTTGTGAGTACTGTAGCTAAACATACCCTAAATAAATATACTTCTAATGATATTCTCATATAACTTTTGGAATTTAAACTTTCTGTTACATGAGAGAGAAGTGGGTAATAAAGAAGGTGTATGACAAAGAAAATGGGGAAAGGAAGAAAACAGGG
This sequence comes from Homo sapiens, assembly GCF_000001405.40. NCBI lineage: Eukaryota > Metazoa > Chordata > Mammalia > Primates > Hominidae > Homo > Homo sapiens. Next base: position 122,354,568 of record NC_000008.11, on the reverse strand, counting down.
GTGCTGTTTTAAATAATCTTATACCTTTAAGTTGGAAAGCAGAATTAATAAACTTCCCCCCAGGAAACACTGAAATCTTTGTGCATTGGAAATATTGTTTTAAGATTGTAGGTTTCGGATCATTACACTTTGTAAACTTCAATAGAGTTAGGCAGAAATGCCTAACCATTTTCTGATACTTCTGCGTAAAGAAGTGCTTTAAAATTGTATCTTGAGGTTATGATACTTCTTATCAGGATTTCTCATAATTTATTCAATGCTGATTTTCACAGGCTCATACATAGAATTATTAAATCTGGAAATGTACAACTACAAATGATCATTGTGCTATTAATGTAAATCTTATAATTTATAGATGAGAAGGAGGATAAAGGAGGTGAAATAACATGCTTTCCTTTATACAGTGAATTAGGGCAAAAATATAGGTGTATTAACTTCCTAGGCTAGCGTTTTCTTTTTTCTCCCCATTTACCTTCTATCTAAAATAAATAAATACATAAATAAATAAATTTTAAAAGCTGTGCACATTTAAGAATGAAAAGTTATGTATATGTTTGGCTTATTTTCTATTTTCCTAAATGTAAATGATTACTCTAGATCGGTAATTCTTTTTTCGTTTGGTTTTTTTTATTGTGAAAGGTATATAACAATGTTTATAATTTTAAACATTTGTAAGTTTGTAATTCAGTGGCATTAAATACATTCCCAATGCTATGTATTCATCACCATTATTATACCTCCCAATTTTTTTCATCCCAACCATAACACGTACCTACTAAATGATAATTCCCCCTCCTCTCTCCCTGAAGCCTCTATTGACCTCTATTCCACCTTCTGCCTCTATGAATTTGGCTATTCTAGATATTTCATATAGGTGAGATCACACAATATCATCCTTCTGGCTTATGTAACTAAACATAATGTTTTCAAGGTCCACCCATGTTATAGCATATATCAAAATTACATTTCTTTTTATGATTGAATTATATTCCATTGTATGTACATACCACATTTTGTTTATTCATTCTTCTGTTGATAGACAATTGGGTATTTCCACCCTTTTACTGTTGTGAATAAAGTTGCTTTGAACGTTGGTCTATAGATATTAGTTTGAGTCCCTTCTTTCAATTATTTTATATATAGGCCCATAAGTGGATTGCTGGGTCATATGGTAGTTCTATGTTTAACTTTTTGAGAAACTACCAGACTATTTTCCACAATGGCGGCACAATTTTGCATTTCCACCAGCAATGCATGAAGGTTCAAATCTCTCTACATCCTTGTTGACACTTGTTATTTTCCTTTTTTAAAAAAATGCTAGGCCAGGCGCGGTGGCTCACGCCTGTAATCCCAGCACTTTGGGAGGCCAAGACGTGCGATCACAAGGTCAGGAGATGGAGACCATCCTGGCTAACACGGTGAAACCCCATCTCTACTAAAAATACAAAAAATTAGCCAGGCGTGGTGGCTGGCGCCTGTGGTCCCAGCTACTCAGGAGGCTGAGGCAGGAGAATGGCGTGAACCTGGGAGGCGGAGCTTGCAGTGAGCTGAGATCATGCCACTGCACACCAGCCTGGGGGACAGAGCGAGACTCCGTCTCAAAAAAAAAAAAAAAAAAAAATGCTAGCATTCCTGGTAGGTGTGATGAGATCAATCGTTCTTAAACAGGAGAATGATTTTGTCCACCCAGAGGAAGTTTGACAATATCTGGAGACATTTCTGGTTACAATTTGGGGGGAGAAGGGATTTTGCTACTGGCCTCTGGTGGATAAACCCCAGAGATGCTGCTAATTATCCTACAACGCACAAGACACCCCATTCTCTGACTACAAAGAATTGTCTGGCCCACAGTACCAATAGTGCTGAGGTTGAGATACCTTTCTCTAGATACAAGTCCAGTAGTTGGAGCTAGGTTTCTGATACTCATTCTTTTTTAAATGTTTGCCATTGAAAGGGCATTATGATATGAAACAGATTCCTTAACACTAGATGGCACAGAGATGAGTTTTTGTGAAATGATGAAATGTAGGACACTGGGAGAGACAAGACTTTACTTTGAAATTTGTACAGAGCAATTAGCAGGCTTATCTGATGAACTCTGTATTAGTCTGTTTTCATGCTGCTGATAAAGACATACCCGAGACTGGGCAATTTACAAAAGAAAGAGTTTTAACTGGACTCACAGTTCCACATGGCTGGGGAAGCCTCACAATCATGGCATAAGGCAAGGAGGAGCAAGTCACATTTTACATAGATGGCAGCAGGCAAAGAGAGAATGAGGAAGAGGCAAAAGAGGAAACCCCTGATAAAACCATCAGCTCTCATGAGACTTATTCACTACCATGAGAAAAGTATGGGGGAAACTGCCCCCATTATTCAATTATCCTCCACTGGATCCCTCTCACAATATGTGAGAATTATGGGAGTACAATTCAAGATGAGATTTGGGTGGGGCACACAGCCAAACCATATGTAACTTTATTTAGAAATCACCCAAATTGTAGTGATACCACTGCCACTTGTGATATTACCTCAAAGCATCTCTTTGTACTGAACTTATACCAAATCAGAAGTTCCCTGGGAATTACCACAATAGTCCCAAACCTTCTTGAAACATGAAACCTATATGAAAGAAAAATACACCTATATCAAAGAAGAATACAATCTGTCATTGAACCTTTTTGAAATTACTTATTATATGTAGATTGAAGACCTTTGTTAACATAACTCTTTATGAGGGAAAATTCAATTAAATATTTATAAGGTGCCCAGACATCCTGTCTTCAGTACAAGGTATATTACTGAAGGCATCTACTACGTGCTCAGCACTGTTCTATCCTTAAGAAAAATATGACAATGCTTAAATAATGTCTCAGTTTTGTGGAGGATACATGCATGTTTCTCTTAAATCAAAAGTATGTACCTGACATAACTTATGATGTAGTACCATGTGACAATAAAGTCACATTTTGATGATTTAATGCAGGTGGAAATGTTTATTGTTTATTATTAGTTGAAACAAAAGTGTAAATAGTATAAATTGAATTCTACCTTAAGGACTGAATTTGTATATTTACTGTTTATTATTTCAATATATATTATGCATATGCATGAAGGAAAGACAAAGACAGTATAGCTAAACGGTAACTGCTTAGCTGGGAAGTTACAAGGTTTTTTTCCAAATACTTTCTCAATTTTTAAAGATTTTCCACATGCACTAGTTATAATTCAAAATATATGGTACGTATTAAGAACATAAGATTAACCTAACTTAGATGATTGTTGACTACCCCTGCACCCAAGGGGAACAGTGTTTACTCAAACCCTTCTCAATTTGGGGATAGGGAAAGAAGAACATGGAGGAAGATTCAGAAATCAATCTCGTGAGTCTATATTGTCTGGACAATTCATGGAAGTCTACTAGGAAAGAATGACGAACTGTGAGACTGAAGTAAGGGCTATGCTTCGCAAGTATGATGTGCATAGAAATCACCGGGACGTCCTATAAGAATGCGCATTCTTTAAACATTTGTCAATGTGTCAAAAATGCCACCATTTTCCTAAGGGTTATTTGCCCACATGTAAAATCTCAGTTGTGTGTGTGTGTGTGTGTGTGTGTGTGTGTGTTGGGGGGAATGTAGCTGGGATAGGGTAGGAAAGAGTCACCAGAGAACCAAGTTTGTGAATCTTTCTAGGGCTCACAGAGGGAAAGAGAGAGAGAAAGAGTGGTAGGGAAAATCTGCTTATTAATGAATGCACAACACTTCTCAATGGGAAGCATTTTTATTTCCAGCATTATTCTATAGATTGGTCCTGAGGATTGATTTATTAATATCTGTAATTCTATGCATTTGACAGGCTAATAGTAATACTATTTTCTTAATGCCTGTGGCACTAAAGCTGCATTTTAAGGACTTTTCCAGGAAGCTCTATGGAGGAGAATAGCTGGAAGACCACTCAGAAATGGAATGAAGGCTCAAATTTCATTAATCCAGTTGGGAGTCACTTACAAATGCAAGGTCAGGGTTTCAAAACTTAACCACAGAGTTTCCCTTACTGCCTAAAACACCAGCTAAAATCAAGAGGATTGCAAATTTCAGATTAGCTTTGCGTACAATATTGTTTTCCCATTGTTACTATTTTGTCTGTGATTATCTTGTACTCATTAGGAAACAATGAAATCTAGGTCAGAGCAGAGATGGGGCTTTGTGCCCACTAGGCTAAAGGAATATATATATTAGTTATCTATTACTGCATAAAAATACTCCAAAATTAAGCAGCTTAAAACAATACACATTTATTATGTCATAGTTTTTGTGAGCCAGGGATCTGGACACAGTTTAACTGGGCCATCTGCTTTTCCCATAGGGTATAATCAAGGTGTTGTTAACTGTGGCTGCAATCATATAAAGATTTGATGGGGGAAAGATCCATTTCCAAACTCACTCACATCGTTGTTAGCAGGATTCAGTTCCTCAAGAGTTGTTAGATTTAAGGCTTCAGTACCACTGGCTGTTGGTTGGAGGTAGCTCTCCTTTCCCACATGAGATTCCCTATAGTGCAGTTTACAACATGGCAACTTTGTAAGAGCAAGCAGGCAAGAAGAACTGTGTGAGTGTGTGTGTGTGTGTGTGTGTGTGTGTGTGTGTGTGTGTGTGTGTAGGGAGGGGTGAAAGAGAGAGAGAGAGAGAAGGGTGGGGGGGCAGGCAATGTTAGCAAGATGGAAGTTAGCCATTTGTAAGCTAATCTCAGCAGTAACATCCTGTCACCTTGTAGCGTTCTATTCATTAGAAACGAATCACTGGATACAGCTCACACTCAATGGTAAGGGGATTACACAAAGGGCCATGAATACCAGAAGCAGGGGTCATTGGAAACCCTTTTAGAAACTGCCCACTCTAAGGCGTCTACAATCTTACAGCATTGCCTACATGGCATCAGATTTTAAGAAAAATCAGAGAATCTCACACTGAGATATCTACATTTTGAGGATGGCCCAAGGGACTTAGCCTTGAGTCCCTTTGGGCCTCAGGGACTTAATAGGGCCAGGGTATACTAGAGGCCAGAATGCAGTTGAGCAAATATTTATTGAGTGCCTACTAATTCTAGAGGCTTGTGCTAGCCATTGCGAAGATTACAGAAGGAAGCAAGAAAATGAACTTAGTATGTGCCTGGCCCCATGCTAGCTGCTTTCCTGTTCATCATTTAGTCTCGAAAGTGAGAAAGCTGAGACTCAGCAGCATTAAAATATTGCTTAGGACCGCAAAGTTATTTAGCAGTGGGGATGGTATTTAAATCCAGAAATGCCTCACTGTTAGACTCTTCTTTTCCCCATTAAATGCCATTATACAGTCTTTAAAAGAATTAGCCAAGTGTGACAAAATCTCAACACAAATGGAAGTATTGTTCCTATATCCACAGTTATCCCAGAATTGATTTTATTGAATTAATTTTAACATGATGTATCAGGCTACTCTGAAGAGTATAAGAAAGAATTTCCATCATGTGTCTCTTAAGGATGTAGATCATTATTTCTCACAGAGTCCTTTCTAGCAAGATTTTCATGGAAGTAAGAGCTGCTATTCTTCTAGTAAGTAATTGTTTAGTTGTCATTTTATAGACAGCTTTCCCATTTTGGAAAATGGTGAGCCATACATTTGGCTGTCAGAAAGCTCAGAGCCAAAAGCCTGAGGGCTCTGATGATATTAACTTTTAATCTCACTCCTGAATCTGATGTGTTCGTACTCTTGATTTAATTTCTACTCTCAGAACATTACTTTTAAGTTAACACTTTCATTTATTATATATGCCTTTTTAAGCAATCTTGAAATACTTATGAAACAAGATGGAATATAGTCAATGAATAAAAGTTAACTATACATCATCTACTTGAAACTAGAAAAAAAGGTTTTAAGTGCTACACGGTGCCATAGCTATAGCTGAAGTAGGACTTCAGATGAGAGAGAATGAAAACAATGTGGATTGTTGCAGTATTACAGTTGATCAAAGTATAAAATTAACCCTCCCACTTCAGGGAAAGGCTTGTCTGGGGGCCAATAGGGCCCAAAAAGTGTGTCAACTCAGAATGGTAAATAAGAGGAGAATGAATGGCCTCTAAATCCTAGTGAGTTCTCTTATTTGTCGTTGGTTCCACACTTGCCACTTCAGCTAATACTTTCTGAAGCCCTCTCTAGGAAGTATGGCTATACAGGTTGTGCTGCCAAGGCTCCCTGATGTTGTGGCTTGCCTGAGGTCACACACTTAGGAGTGAAATATAGGGATCCTAACACCCATTCAATTTACTTTATTGGATCATTTTTCTATCTCCTGCAAGAGATTCTATTAATGTTTAACGCAGAAACTTCTCCTATCAGTAGGTGGAGCTTTGTGACTTGCAGACAGCCACTTTCTTCTCTTTACTATTACTTCTGAATCTTCTCTTCATCCATTCTTTTTCAAACTCATCCTCTTCTTCCTCCTTTCTTCTTTCTCTTCTGTCCTTTCACCCTTCTTTCTTGATTCACATTGACTTTATTGCCATACTGCCTATATTCTACAACTGTAAACGTTTAGACATCAAAGTCCTGTCATCTGTCTATCGGATTGGCTGGCTCTTTAAGGCAAATGTCCTAAGACTCGCTTCTCCTAACTAGCACCTTCAGGGTGAAGAAGATACCCTTCTCCACTGCTTCCCTGTCTGGGCTTTTCACGCATGTGCGAGACTGGCCTTCCCATCATGAGAACCACAATTGCCTTGCTCACTTTGTTCCTTCTCTAAGACCCAGGCATCATTGCATGTATGCAATGATGTATCAAATACATTGCATGTATCAAATTTAGTAAATGTATCAAATTTAGTGACTGTTTAAACCTGCATCCCTGATCAACCTATCAACCTCTTGCCTTAGAGCACTTTTCACTACCTATTTATTATTTATTTATTTGTTGACTGTCTCTCACTGACGTTATGTAAGCTTAGTGAAAACACACACCTTGCCTTGAGTTTACCATTCTAGCACTAACCCAGAATAGAACTTGGCATAGAATGACAGAATTGATCTTAGAGCCTTGATACTCAAAGTCTGGCCTGAGCATCAGCAGCATTGCATCACCTGGGAGCTTGTTTATCTCAGGCACTACCCCAGACTAACTGAATCAGAATCTGATTTTAGTAAAATCCCCAGTGATTTGTGCATGCTGCATTAAAATATGAGAGCCACTGCTCTAGAGGAGCCCTTCTAAGGTGCAGCTAGAGCTATACCACCAACCTGTCACTACCAGAACCTGGAGAATGAACACTCAGAGATTCAATTTAGTAATAGACGGTCAGCACAAGTAGCCTCTACCATTGTCAATGCCTTTTTAAAAAAATGTAAAAAACACATACATAAAATTTACCATCATTTTAAAGTGTACAGTTGAGTACTGTTAACTATATGCATACTGCTATACATCAGATTTCTTTTTCACCTTGCAAAACTGAAACTTTATACCCACTGAACAACAACTCCCTCTTTCCTCTCCTCCCAGCCCCAGGCAAAAACCAACCTACTTTCTATTTCTAAGAGTTTGATTATTTAGATACCTCTTATAAGTGAAATAATGCAGTATTTGTCTTTTTGCAACTGGCTTATTTATTTCACTTAGAATGTCATCAAGATTTACCCATGTTGTAGCAGGTGAAAGGATTTTTCTTTTTTAAGGCAAAGTAATATTCTGTTGTATTATAAACCACATTTTATTTATCCATTGATCTGTGGATAGACATTTAGATTACTCCACCTCTTGGCTGTTATGAATAATGCTACCACGAACATGGTAGTACAGATATCTGTTTGAGACCTTGTATTCAATTCTTTTGGATCCATACCCTAAAGTGGGAATGCTGGATCACATGGTACTTCCATTTTCATTTTTGGATAAATCTCCATGCTGTTTTCCGTAGTGGCTGCAGCATTTTACATTCCCATCAACAGTGCACAAGGGTTCCAATTTCTCCACATCCTAACCAACACTTGTTATTTTTTTTTTATTTTTTGCTAGTGAACATGTTAATAGATGTGAGGTAACATCCCATTGTAGATTTGATTTGTGATGATTAGTGATGTTGAGCATCTTTCCACATGCTTGTTGCCCATTTGTGTATTTCTCTGTAGAAATGTCTATTCAAATCCTTTGCCCATTTTTAATTGAACTTTTTTGTTATTAGGTGGTAGGAGTTATTTAATATTCTGGATATTAATTCCCTATGAGATATATGGCTCACATATATTTTCTTCCATTTTGTAAGTTGCCTTTTATCTCTGTTGTTTCTTCTGCTGTGTAGAAGTTTTTAAGTTTGATGTAGTCCTATTTGTCTATTTTTGCTTTGTTGCCTGTGCTTTTGGTGTCATATTCAAGAAATCTTTACTAAATTCAACGCCACAGAACTTCCCCTCTATGTTTTCTTCTAGGAGTTTTGTAGTTTCAGGTCTTACGTTGAGGTCTTTAATCCATTTTGAGTTAATCTTCGCATACTGTGCAATGTAAGAGTTCAACTTCATCCTTTTGCATGTGGAGATCTAGTTTTTCCAGCACCATTTGTTGAAGAGACTATTCTTTCACCCTTGTGTAGTCTTGGTATGATTGATCATTTGACCACATATGTGACAATTGGTTTCTGGGATCTTCATTTTGTTTCATTGGTCTATATGTCTGTCTTTATGCCACTACCAGGCTGTTTGATTACTGTAGCTTTGTAATATGATTTGAAATCCGGAAATTTGATACCTCAGTTATGCTAGTTCTTTTAAAATTGTTTTGGCTATTTAGGGACCTTTAAAATTCCATATAAATTTTAGGATTTTTTTTTTTCTAGTCTGCAAAAACTGCTATTGGGATTGCATCAAATCTTCAGATTACTTTGGTTGATATGAACATTTTAACAATATTAAGTCTTCCAATCCACAAATATGGAATGATTTTTGACTTATTTGTGTCTTTAATTTCTTTTAAAAATATTTTATCATTATCAGTGTAAAAGTCTTTTGCCTCCTTGGTTAAGTTTATTCCTAAGTATTTTATTCTTTCTGGTGCTCTATCACTGCTTTTTGACCTGCACAATGCTGGGGAATGCACATCATAACACTACTCAGGAATACTCACATTTTTTATGACCTTGCTAGATGGCAACAATAGCCAAAATCTGCAGGAAGATTTCTCCACCTTGTTTCCCTTTCCACATCTCATAGAACCTATATCTGATACAGAAACTTAGCTGCAAGGAAATCAGCAAAATTAAGTTTTTGACTTTCCGCTTTCTCTAATAGAATGAGGGTAGAAGAGAGGCTGAGTGAGCTAATAGAATGAGAGTAGAAGAGAGGCTGAGTGAGCCACTCCAAAGTAGCTGTTCCAGAGCATGAGCAGTGCTGATGCTCTCTCTAGATCCTCTCTGATCCCTTATACTGGTTTTATGCACCCATCACCCTAATTCTGTGCTTTGCTGCTAAACTAGCTTCAGCTTTCATTAGAGGGTTACTCTTGAGCTATTGGAGCCACTCCCTCCCACCAGGAATTCCCCCGCAACCTCCATCTGGGAATTTACCTACTGACTGCCTGACTGCCCATCGGGCAGTGGCCTGTACCAATGATTGGCTGGTATAAGAGTAAAGTAGGCCAGGTGAGGCTGGAAGTCAGCCTGAAATCCTGTCTTTTCTTGGCTTTTCCCCTTTCCCTATTCTGCTTTCATTATTCCCATTACCAGCTCCCTGAGGAGCACGTCCTTAAATACTTGGCACAAATACTATTGCCTTAGGCTCTGCTTCCAAAAAACTAGACCTAAGACAGTATGGACATCATGTATGATGTAGCTAAGAAAGATTTATGCTCAGATTTGTAACTGTTTCCTCACATACTGCTTTATTAAAACTGTTAATATGCAATCCATATAACCTTTTCCTTCAGGCATAAAGTTAGTGTTTCAATTAAAAGAATGGACATTGTTTTCTCTAGTCAAACATATTTTGTGAATTAATGCTTGCTGATTATAAATTTATTATTCCCTGGATGCTTAAAGAAGAAAAATCCTTCAAATTTGTTCCATTACCTCAGAATTTTCTTCCTTTAAAAGAACTCTCACATAGTAGGCATAAGATAATCTGAAACAGTTTTAATTAATTGTGACAGAATTAGCATTTTTAATTGGTTTATTCACATGGTTATTTCAATCCCATAGCCAGCCACTCTGCTCCATTCAGAGTTATGTGATGTGGAAAATTCGAATAATTAGAAGGAATTATCTCTATCTTCAAGAAGAATAGTCTATTTGAAATCATGAATTATCAGAACAATCCAGAGGCTGTATCGATGTTTCAGTTTTTAACTTAATTGCACGACGTGTAAGAAAGTAGATTAATATATGGTAGTGGGTCAATTTCCATCAGTTCATTAATTTTTTTAAAAAATTCCTTTTAACTTAGCCTTCTTTCCCATCTGCAGACGTTCAACAAATAGTCAGTAATCACTACCTCCACTTCCTTCTCTCCTTCATTCTTTTTTCCATTGAATCTAGTTCCACCTCCGTAACTGTACTGAAAATGCTCTAGCTTAGATCACCATTTCAGTGGACATTTTCCCATCTTCATCTCTCTCTATTTTATGTAACTTTTGAAATACTCGCAAGTCTTCTCCCATAGTTTCTATGATAACACTAGGTTTCTACTTTTCAAATACTCTTCACTGTTCTCTCTCTACCCTTGAGGTAATCAAACTTTTTCTTAGTGTTTTTCTAGTCCTACATCCCAAGCTTTTCTTCTTGATCTTGTCCATTTCTATGTTTTACAATACATTAGAATACTAACATAAACCCATTCACAGTCTAGAAATGGAGAGGGCCGTGGCATTCAGAAAATCAAAAGTAATCTGAAAAATTCCAATGATCTGTCATCTGTGATTTACTTGCTGATGGCAAACATTGGTAGTGAATTTTCACAGCATAATTGGGAGAACTGCTGCTGTTTGGAAATAGTTACACATTAAAGGCTTAGTAGAAGATGAAATAAGTATGACCTGTGAACAAAAACAGATAACTAAGAAGTAGACACAAGTTGTTTTACTCATCTTGAATCAGAAATAGTAATATTTGTAAAATTTGATGGTAATAGATACAAATTCGCTTTGAGTTAGGATAATGGGTCATAAAATACCTAATCTGAGGAAAACAAAGCTAGCACTTAAAATACACATTGCTTCCATCTCCATTACTTGCTTCACTCTTAAGAGAGCTACCTAATAGTTAAGATCCTGTTATTAGCCTTTTTTGATTGCAAATGAAAGAAAAATCAACATGGACTAGCTCTCCAAATTAAGAAAATAAATTCACTCATGTAATGTAACAAAATCTGCGATAGTTCTGGGCATGGGCGGATCCAGATGCTTAAGCAATACAGTCAGCAAGGTTTCCCTCTTTTTTCCTTGTTTCTGTGTTTATTTCTGTTGGCATCATTCTCAGGTAGGTTCTTATTCACACAGTGGTAAATATGCCTGCAAATAGCTTCAGATCATCTACATTTTATTGATTCAGCAACCCCGGAAAAGCAGCACTTTGCTGACAGCTCCTAGATATGATTTTTCTAGCTTCAGCCTGTGTCTTGTGTCACTTTTGGAATCAGGGGATGGAATCAACCTTATCTGAACCTATTATGTTGGTGATGGAGAAGGAATGGACCCAAGATGCACACAGAAACACACACATATGTCTCTTTTCTTCTGTATATTACAGTCACGTTTATTATCCTATTGTATGAAAAAAGCACTCAGAGACATTAAGTTACCTGCCAAGGTCATATGGCTAGTAAGAGGACTTTATGAGAAACAGGAGTTACCCTAGTGTCAATGAATTATAGATATTTAGAATTGAAAGTAACTTACAACTATAATGTACAATCTTTTTCCATGGTTTTCAAAATCTTACTTGGGTTGGGCATGGTGGCTCATGCCTGTAATCCTAGCACTTTGGGAGGAGGGAGGATCACTTGAGGCCAGGAGTTCAAGACCAGTTTGAACAACATAGTGAGACCCAGTCTCTACAAAAAATTAGAACAAAACAAAAAAAAAATAGGTGGGCATGGTGGTGTGTGCCTGTAGTCCCAGCTCCTTGGGAGACTGAGGCGGGAGGATCACTTGGGCCCAGGAGGTTTGAGGCTGCAGTTAACTATGATTTTTCCACTGCACTCTAGCCTGGGAGACAGACTGAGACTCAGTCTCTTAAACAAACAAACACAAAAAATTACTTCTTGTGTCCTAAGTGCTGTGCACTTGTTCCAAAAGAATGTGAAATCCCTCCTCACTGCAGCAGCATTGAGTTTATCTGCTTTACATTTTAGATTATGTAAGATTCTGTAGGAGAAAAGATTTCATCTATGTTAGAAAAGTTTTCAAACAACCACCCAAAGTCACCCTCTTATTGTATGGAAGTTATTTGCTCTGTTATAATTAGGTCAAAAGGTGCTTCATAATCAGTTTAACTAACTTTGATCAGTGTAAACCAATAGTGCCAACTGAACTCTGTTCAATAATCCCTGAGGCGAATATCAAATATGTAATAGAACAGGCATTCACATTTTCCCATTTCTCAGTTGCTTTGAGTATCTAAAGATGTTCTCAGCTTCTTCACATAAACCCACAGGGTATGACCTACTTGCTTTAAGAGCAGTTGTTCTTTTTTTTTTTTTTTTTTTTTTTTTTTGAGACAGGATCTCGTTCTGTCTGTCACCCAGGCTGGAGGCACAATCATGGCTCACTGAAGCCTCGACCTCCTGGGCTCAGTTGATCCTCCCACCTCAGCCTCTGGAGTAGCTGGGACTACAGGTGCATGGCACCATGCCTGGCTCATTTTTATATTTTTTTGTAGAGACAGAGTTTTCGCTATGTTGTGCAGGTTGGTCTTGAACTCCCGGGTTCAAGTGATCGATCCTCCCTGCTTATCCTCCCAGAATGTTGGGATTACAGGGGTGAGCCACTGTGCCCAGCCTATGAAGCAGTTGTTCTTTATGGAAGTATTCTAACATAGAAGGGAGTTAATATGACAAGGGTAAAGATGGGAAGAAACTATTTTATGGTGTAAAATCTCAACTTAAAGTTTTAAGGATTTATCTTTTCTCCTCAAACAGAGTATAATTTAATGAAAAGTTGTCAACTTTTTGGCATCAGTGGGTTGAGATTTCAAGTTCTTTAGGGCCTGGCAGATAATGTACATTATTTTACTGGAGTATGCACAATCTGTCTACTGGGACCAGCCTCTATTCAGCGGCAGCTGACTGTCACTATACATAAATTATCATTGAGAAGTTGTTTTAAAAACTCCAAATTGCATTTTTACATGAATGTTTAAACATTAGAAAATCAGATATTTGAAAATAATATTGTTCCTGCTAAAATGTGTCTGTAGATTAAACAAGCCTGTAAGTTGAACATTTGTGGTCTCTGTTTTACATAATTAATGCATGGTGAATTGTTATACTATTATTGACTTTGTTGGGGAAGGTTTTTTTTCTTTTTCCTTTAATACTTGATCCATACTCAGAATATACAGGCACAATCAGATTCTATACAACAGATATTTCAAAGAAAAGATATTCAGAGTTTATACAAATTGAAGTAGGGAACCATATTTTTAAATTTATTTTTCACTGAAGCTCTATTGATTTCTTATTTGGCTGAACCTATATGATCTTTTGTGACTAGCTTACCTGTATTTGAGTATGTTCACCCTACACCATTAATCAAACCATCCTCTGTGGAAAAGTGAGCTTATTTCCTGAAAAATATTTAAGAAAAGAGGAGACATTTACTGTCTTTTACATACTCCACCCCCAACATAAAAAATTGTTCTTACATTCAAAATGTATTGTGTATTTGGCTAATTCACAGTTTGCATCTTCGATCCTAGGCTTGGCAGGTTCTTGTCTAAGTGCATAATAAATCACTGCTCATCCTCCTTATTCTCTGCCACCCAAAAGAAAGACTTAAAATCTAAAAACTCAGTGAAAGGCATTCTGTAAGGACAAGACAGGATTGAAAATTGGCAAATAGAATCCATGTATAGGTTAATACCAGGGTTGGAAAAAATAAAAGTGAAGGGAAGCATTCCTGAGACTTGTTTACCTGAAGCCCAGTCCAACTGCTTTTATTCTCCTGGATTTTGAATTTGTATATGCCTCTGAGAATCTCCCATTTTCCTCAGAAATGTTCTGAAGCAGAATGGAAGTGAAGGTACTTTGTGCAGTAGAGTGGGTATAAGTGATCATTCTCTTGTCAGCTTTCCAATGGGAAAAAATGGGAAGCTTGTGGATTAAGAGGCTGCATTGAGTAGTAGTTAGTGCTTAGAGTTATGAGTCAAACAGAAATGGGGTTTGGTCTTAGTTTGGTCCCTCCTGCATGACCTTGGCCAATTTACTTATCTTTTTAGTCTCAGTTGCCTGTCTGTAAAACAAGAATCATATTAGCACTTCTTTCATAGGGAAAATGAGCTACTGGCACAAAGGAAGTGTCCAATAGTTCCTGGAAATGTATAAGAATAAGAATTTCTATAAAATAAAGATCCATAAGAATATGGATACTACCCCTTCTGAATACTCAGCTTGGACGACAAAATCCCTTTTGTTGAAAAGTCACTTATTCACTGATTAAATTAAATCATTCATTTAGACATTTATTAGACACCTGCTGAATGCAAGAGAATGAGCTATGTGTACATTAGTAATAAAATGTATTATCCATTTTTATGTGTATACTAGCAAAATAGACATTCAACAAGTGTTTGTTGGATGAATGGCAAGAATATTTAAGGCCAATAATGGCCTGGTATCTCTTTCCAGAAGGAATAAAAAGTAGGTAGCCCCTGCTCCTGTCAACAGCTATTGAATAGAAACTTTAATTTGAGTCCAGGACTCTGATTTTAGAGGAAGAAGCAAATCTCAAGCTGTCCTTGGTGGTTGCTTTTATACAACAGGTAGAGATATAAATAGGAGTTGAGGATTTGTGCAATAATTATCTCCTAAAATACTTGCAATATAAGCAAACTGGTAAACCTAAAACTGAGTATTTTCCTGCTGTAAACCCCATAGGGCCAGAATAATTAGTCTCAAGTTTTGTTTGAATTAGAACTGAAAGAACTGAAAACCACTGAAGACCTCAGATCTGATATGTGCTCTTTCCTAATCCCTAAACCTTTTAAGAAAATGGTCTATCTCCTTTTAAATTCCCAGGAGCTCAAGACATGCCCATACTTGTCAAACTTTCATTTTTATGAACTTCATATTTTCTCCAGATATATTTATTTTTGAAAAGTGACTTGTCAATAATATTTATTCAGATATTTTGTTTTTTTTCCAGGAGAATTTGGGATTAAAGACTGAATTCACATTCTTTCTAACCAGTGGCCTTTTTTGGACTGTTAAATCCTTGATGCCAAAAGCTTCTGATTGTGAAGCTAATGAACCAATGCCTAGTGTGATTACCTCCAACTGCTAAATGTAATCCAAAGAACATGCCTGATTGCAAACAATCTTGCCAAGCATAGACAAAGGAAGACCATTCATTAAAACTACTTGTTTTCGAGCAGATTCCAGCCCAGATTTTATTCAGCTGCCTAATCAAGGAAGACTGCTTTCACTTTCTGCAAACTAGGCAGTAAAAGCCACAGAGGCCAATGGCCTCCTGTAGATTTTTCTAGGAGTTGGCAAACTATGGCCCATCAGCCACATCTGACCTGCTTTCCTGTTTTGTAAAGCCCATGAGCTAAGAATATTTTGTACATTTTTAGATGGTTGGGGAAAAATCAAAAGAAGATTACTATTTTGTTATGCCTGAGAATGAAATAAAATTCACATTTCAGTGTCCATAAGTAAAGTTTTATTGGAACACAGCCATGCTCATTCATTTATGGTATATATGACTGTTTACATGCAACAATGGCAGCACAGTTGTGACAGAGACCATATGGCATGCAAAGCATAAAACACTTACTCTCTGATCCTTACAGAGAATATTTGCCACTTCTGTACTGAAAAAATCTTAAGTATGAGTTTAGAAAAGCTTGGGTTGTCTACCATGCTACCACTCACTTGGAGGCAGGACTGCATTCAGTGAAATCAGCTCAAACAGACCTGCAAGTAGGGATAGAGTAAAGAGCAGAGAAACTGCCATCAGAGAGCCCTAAACTGGAGTCTTAGTTCCTTCATTGTATAGTAGTATGACTTTAGGCAAAATTCTAAATATCTCTGATTCTTAGTTTTCTCTAGTGTAAAATGGGATGGATAATTCTTCATTCTCAAATGATTGTAAATAAAATGGGATGGATAATTCTTCATTCTCAAATGATTGTTCAGAAATCATTGTGTCTTCTTCTCTAACTGTATATTTATCATCTATCTATCCATGCCCGCATCTTACATAGCAAACCTATATCTATACCCTTATCTTGTCTTGCCACATTATGAATAGGTGCTCAAGGAAAAGTAGTTCTCCTTTTTCTTCTCTTATTCCCCAAAGTCTTCAGAGAAAGAACCTTCATGACCTTTGTTGGTAACATTGCTTTCACTCACTTTTACATTGGAGAATCTATGCTTAGTGCCTTATGAAAATCCCTGCCATGTGCATTCTTAAATGAAACCCAAAACCTGTTTTATATCAACCACCAGTTTTCTATGGGGTGGATACTTTTTATTAAATATATCATATTCCATGATGAACCTTTTTCTTTTCCTAGGATAAGCAACAAACTTCTTTGATGTTTCTCATGGCAGTAATTTTTCCTAATTTTAATAATTTTAATTTTCTCTGGGCTTTATCCTAGTTTTCTGTTTCAACCTAGTTCACTGTCTCGAGTGATTACTAGCTCACTTGGACTCAGTCCAGTTACCAGATCCAAAATTAAATTCTGTACTCTAAGGTAGGAACCCCTGCCACACCCCCCATCTTCCCCCACCACCCACCGCCAGCCATGATCAAAGGAGAACCAAGTTTTATTTGCTCCAGATCTGAAGATCTCTAAGAAAGAGAGGACAGGCACTGGGTGTGCATTTTTTCACTGGACATGGACATCAACCTAGTGAAGAACTCCAGTGGTGGCTATTAGAGTTAAGGCCCTGTGTATCTTAAGACTTTAGTACTAAACTCATGGCCAGCCATTTGGAGCACCCAGAGGTTCTATCAGTAGACCCAACCCAAAATTGCATAAGTGTATTATAATTATACTGTGTGTGCAAATTCTACATGTCACAAATATACTACTTGGTAGACAAGCAATTGCACATTTTAATGTTGTAGAGCTAATGTTGCATTCACTTATTTTCAAATCTGATCTGGCTCTAAGATCTATTTCAGAAATTCGGAAGAGGGAAAATTCCTCTTTCATCCCACATGCATAATGAACCTCTGATTCAGATTCAACTAACGTATTAAACACCTGATATATGCCTGAAATGCAATTGTCACTAGTAAACACAATGTTTACATGCATTATATTATTTAATCTTCATGCAATGTGTGAAATAGATATTATTAGTTCCAATTTACTATTTATTTTCTACTTTTTCTGTTTATTTTATATCTATCTCTCCCCTTCTTTCTGTCTCTGTTGTTTAAATTTCTAATTTATTTCTTTTCTATTTTCTTTCTTCCAGTTTTGGGAATGTATATGCTCTCTCTATATTCTTTTATTGCTTACTCTAGCTGTTTTAACATACATACATACTTAAAGTAATTGATATCTTTATTTTTATTCTGCACAGTAAAATATATTAGAATAATTCATTTCTGATTACAACTCTTCCAAATTAATGAATTTTTCCCCAGTGTTTAAATTCTATCTTGTTCGTTCGCATTTTACATTTTAATAAGGTCATTTAAAAAGATATACCCACATATTTACAATATTTTTTCTCCTCTTTCCTTCTTGCATCTCAGATCTCCTATTTGCTATTATTTTCTTTCTACTAGAAGCACAGTCCTTTAGAATTACTTTTCTTAATGACTGTTGGTGGTAAACACTCTCAAATTTTGTTGGTCTGAAAATTGTCATATTTATTTCAAAAGTGATACATGTTAATTGTAGGAAATATAGTTGAATCATACAGCTTATCACATGTAAGCATCCTCACTTTGCATGTTTCTGATATGCACAAATTTCAGTTACCATGGTTTACTTAAATATACAAACCTTAGGCCAGGCGTGGTGGCTCACGCCTGTAATCCCAGCACTCTGGGAGACTGAGGTGGTTGGATCACGAGGTCAGGAGATCGAGATCATCCTGGCTAACACAGTGAAACCCCATCTCTACTGAAAATACAAAAATTAGCCAGATGTGGTGGCGGGTGCCTGTAGTCCCAGCTACTCACAAGGCTGAGGCAGGAGAATGGCGTGAACCTGGGGAAGCGGAGCTTGCAGCGAGCCGAGTTCGCACCACGGCACTCCAGCCTGGGCAACAGAGAGAGACTCCATCTCAAAAAAAAAAAAAAAAAGAAAAAAATATATATATACATACACACACACACAAACCTTACATCAGCACAGCGCACATTTTACTAACCATGCTATATTAACTGTAATTGCATAAATACAAACTTTGCTCCTAATTCTTCATTCTACAAATGAATGTGAAAATAATCAATGCTAATCTGATCAGTTACCAATCACATCATTTTTTCAAAGTCTGACAGTGATTGGTCACTGGATACCTGTTGCTCAGTTTATTTATAAATGGCAAAGCATGTAGTATTCACCCTAGTCTTCCAGTAATAAACTAGCGCAGCATTTTTAAAAAATGGAAATCATAAGAGAATTGGCCAAAGGTGAAAGTGCAGCAAAAAAAACCCAAAAAATAACAAAGATGCCAGTGAAATTTGAATCACATGTAAATGGAGTTATAGAAGAAATAGTTGCCTGTGAGAATTTTGACATTACTATTGTTTAAGAGACTACAGATACACAGCTAGAGAAACTTAGTGAAAATGAACTTGTCAACATAAATGAGGAAAGTGGTAGTGACAAAAGATACCCCAGAGTAGGTGATGCTGGCAAAAAAATATATTAAACCAATTCTTGGTCACATTGAAAGCACAAAAGATACAATGCTGGAAGCTGATACAAACTTAGAATTGAGCATTAAAATTTGTCAAGGCATGAGAAAGATGTTTGCTCTGTGTTCTAATTTATACAATGAGAAGAAGGCAAGCACTGTTCAGACCACTCTTGATGAGTTTTTACAAAGAATAAGACACTTTTAGTCACAAAGTTTCTAATGTTTTCAATAACAGTGGTATTTAATAAATGTTAGTTTTATTATTTTCTTCATTTTGCTATATATTTATAACTGACAGAAAGAAATTATTTAATGTTTTGACAAAAACTTTTAAAGGTCATGGAACAAATTTAATTTTCTCCATTGATTATTAAGGTCACTTTGTAAGATTTCAGCTTGCATGGCAGTTTTATGATCCTACATTATCATGCAAAGCCACAGCCACCTATGTCTTACCATAAGCACTTATGTATAAATATAATATTGTGACAATCACAATGCCCCAAAATAATCACTGTTATTATTTTATGCACATAATTTTGATATTTCTATCTTTCTTAGATATATCTTTATTTTGAGATTGTTCTTAAAAATAAGTTTTGCCAAGTATAAACTTCTTGGTCTGGATGTTTTTCCTTCATCTCATTAAAGATAGTATTCCATTGTCTTCTGAATTCCATTGTTGCTCAGGAGAAATCAGCTGTAAATATGATAATCAATAGATTTTTAGGTGATTTGATTTTACTCTGGCTATTTTATTATCTCCTTTCTTTATTGTTCTCCAGTTTTACTATGATGTATATGGAGGTGGGTGTGTTTTATTTAATCTTGTTTATTTAATCTTATCCTAATGATAAGTGTACAAATGTATACATATACATATGTATATATTTCCTTCATTTTTTGGCCATTTTAATGATGCATATTTAAGTGTCTAAGAGTAGCCATATTGCCAGAAGATATTCATCCCAATTTTCAATTAGAACTATCTTAATATGATAATTTATTGTTTTGGAGACGTGAGATTAAATATTATATATTCTCTACTCTAATATCTGTTATGTTTTATAATTCCAAGTTTAAGTTAAACTTTACTTATATTCCCAATTCTCTCAATAACTACATACTTAAGACAAAAGAACATTCAAACATACACTTAAAAGGATTGTAAAAAAATACAAAAATTCCAGTCCATGTATGACCACAGATATGTTTTGAGAAGTATCTAACCTGTGGTATTAGGATATGCAGAATAAAAACAATAAATATTGAACTGAAGAAAAATGTAGTTATAAATCCCCTAGATTTAAAATATTTGGCTTTATGCACCTTTATGGTTTTCTACCATGAATCTGAAATAACTATGAAATTGAAGACTATTAAGGTGATAACCAATGAAGGATAAAAATGACTGGAAAATTTCAAACAATTTCAGCATAACTCCAGAGTATCTTTTATAGACAATATCATACCCTTGAAGTTAGTAAGGCTGAATATTAGTGAAGTAGATCATTTTTTTCTGTGGATTAATTTATATTTTTAAGGAAGAAATGAACAATCAGATAGAATGAAATGCAATGGCATGTGCCTTATCCAAGATGAACATCCTAATCAAATGTAAGCCATGTCGAGTACACACTGTATAAAACTTACCTGTCAAGACAATCAAAATCAGACAAGTTATGTCATAGAGTAAAATGAGCATGGATTTTAAAGCCAAATCAACCTTGGTTTGAATATGTGTGAATTTGCACTTGCTAGATAGTCAACTTGAATCAATTAAGTAACCTATACATAGTATCTTACATCTCTGAATTCCATTTTCCTGATAACTTATATAGGGATATTAATACATCTTATAAGCTTTTTTATTTTATTTTTTTTTATTTTTTAAGTCAGAGTCTTGCTCTTGTTGCCCAGGCTGGAGTGCAATGGCACAATTTCAGCTCACCACAATCTCCCCCTTCTGAGATCAAGTGATTTGCCTGCCTCAGCTTCCCAAGTAGCTGGGATTACAGGCACCCGCCATCATGCCCAGCTAATTTTCGTTTTTTTAGTAGAGATGGGGTTTCACTATGTTGTCCAGGCTGGTCTCAAACTCCTGACCTCAGGTAATCCACCCACCTCGGTCTCCCAAAGTGCTGGGATTACAGGCATGAACCACTGTTTGTTGTGATTTATCAAACTTAAAAATGTGTGAAAGACCTTTCAAAATACCCACAAAATAATAAGCATAAAATGAATGGTAGTTCTCTTTCTGAAATAATGAGAAAACATATTTTTCTCCCAGTCTGACATTTCCACAAGCAAAATAGTGAAACAGAAATAATATTCTTCTCATATGCTTTTTATTTTAAAAATCTTTGGCTACAATTACTTATTGCATAACATTCTCTTTTGAAATAAATCTGTCATCTCCCAATGCCAAGGTTAGATTTTGTGATCCCGAGGTAATCTTTGAGGTCTC
Source organism: Homo sapiens (assembly GCF_000001405.40). NCBI lineage: Eukaryota > Metazoa > Chordata > Mammalia > Primates > Hominidae > Homo > Homo sapiens. The sequence goes on along the minus strand of NC_000008.11, from coordinate 122,333,040 downwards.
TTCCAAATCTCATTCCATGAGTCTATAAATCGAACAGGCCATTTTAATTTTAACCTTTGCTCATGTGTCATTCAAACTAAGTTTACCACTGAATTATGGCATATTAGAACTGTAAGACGCCTTTCTGAATTTCTTTAACTTCTCATTTTACACAAGAGTAATCCCAATGCTTAAGGAGATAAATGGGCTTATGCAAGGCAGATATTGGTTAGTGGTGACACCCAGACCTAAATTACTAAAACCCAGCCTTTCTTCATTTTTTCTGAGTTCTAGGTCCAGATAGCATTTTGGTTTTTTTGGGTTTTGTTTTGGGTTTTTTTGCCTCTATTTCCTGATGATGAGACCAGATAGCTTTTGAAAAATTAGAATTTCTTTATATAAAACATTTCTAGATTCAGAAGATTGGTTATGAGACTATTATTAAAAATTGACAGGCCAGGTGCCTTGGCTCATAACTGTAATCTCAGTACTTTGGGAGGCTGAGGCAGGAGGATTGCTTGAGGCCAGGAATTCAGGACCAGTGTAAGCAACATGGTAAGACCCAATATCTACAAAAAAAAAATCAAAAATAATAGCAGGGTGTGGTGACATGTTCCTGTAGTCCTAGCTACTTGGGAGGCTGAGGTGGGAGGATTTCTTGAGACTGGAAGGTAAAGGCTGCAGTGAGCCATGATTGCACCACTGCACTCCAACCCAGGTCATGGAGCAAAACCCTGTGAGAAAGAAGGGCAAAAAGAAAGAGAAGGAGAGTGGGGGTGGGGAGGGAGGAAAGAAAGAAAGAAAGAAAGAAAGAAAGAAAGAAAGAAAGAAAGAAAGAAAGAAAGAGAAAGAAAGAAGGAAGGAAAGAAAGAAAGAAAGAAAAAGGGAGAAAGAGAGAAAGAAAAGAAAGAGAGAGAAAGAGGGAGGGAGAGAGAGAAAGAAAGAAAGAAAAAGAAAGAAAGAGAGAGGAAATGTCCCTGTCTGACAGCTTTGAAGAGAGCAGTGGTTCTCCCAGCACGCAGCTGGAGACCTGAGAATGGGCAGACTGCCTCCTCAAGTGGGTCCCTGACCCCTGACCCCCGAGCAGCCTAACTGGGAGGCACCCCCCAGCAGGGGCACACTGACACCTCACACGGCAGGGTATTCCAACAGACCTGCAGCTGAGGGTCCTGTCTGTTAGAAGGAAAACTAACAAACAGAAAGGACATCCACACCAAAAACCCATCTGTACATCACCATCATCAAAGACCAAAAGTAGATAAAACCACAAAGATGGGGAAAAAACAGAACAGAAAAACTGGAAACTCTAAAACGCAGAGTGCCTCTCCTACTCCAAAGGAACGCAGTTCCTCACCAGCAATGGAACAAAGCTGGATGGAGAATGACTTTGACGAGCTGAGAGAAGAAGGCTTCAGACGATCAAATTACTCTGAGCTACGGGAGGACATTCAAACCAAAGGCAAAGAAGTTGAAAACTTTGAAAAAAATTTAGAAGAATGTATAACTAGAATAACCAATACAGAGAAGTGCTTAAAGGAGCTGATGGAGCTGAAAACCAAGGCTTGAGAACTACGTGAAGAATGCAGAAGCCTCAGGAGCCGATGCGATCAACTGGAAGAAAGGGTATCAGCAATGGAAGATGAAATGAATGAAATGAAGCGAGAAGGGAAGTCTAGAGAAAAAAGAATAAAAAGAAATGAGCAAAGCCTCCAAGAAATATGGGACTATGTGAAAAGGCCAAATCCACGTCTGATTGGTGTACCTGAAAGTGATGGGGAGAATGGAACCAAGTTGGAAAACACTCTGCAGGATATTATCCAGGAGAACTTCCCCAATCTAGCAAGGCAGGCCAACGTTCAGATTCAGGAAATACAGAGAATGCCACAAAGATACTCCTCGAGAAGAGCAACTCCAAGACACATAATTGTCAGATTCACCAAAGTTGAAATGAAGGAAAAAATGTTAAGGGCAGCCAGAGAGAAAGGTCGGGTTACCCTCAAAGGGAAGCCCATCAGACTAACAGCAGATCTCTCGGCAGAAACCCTACAAGCCAGAAGAGAGTGGGGGCCAATATTCAACATTCTTAAAGAAAAGAATTTTCAACCCAGAATTTCATATCCAGCCAAACTAAGCTTCATAAGTGAAGGAGAAATAAAATACTTTACAGACAAGCAAATGCTGAGAGATTTTGTCACCACTAGGCCTGCCTTACAAGAGCTCCTGAAGGAAGTGCTAAACATGGAAAGGAACAACCGGTGCCAGCCACTGCAAAATCATGCCAAAATGTAAAGACCATCGAGACTAGGAAGAAACTGCATCAACTAACGAGCAAAATAACCAGCTAACATCATAATGACAGGATCAAATTCACACATAACACTATTAACTTTAAATGTAAATGGACTAAATGCTCCAATTAAAAGACACAGACTGGCAAATTGGATAAAGAGTCAAGACCCATCAGTGTGCTGTATTCAGGAAACCCACCTCATGTGCAGAGACACACATAGGCTCAAAATGAAAGGAGAGAGGAAGATCTACCAAGCAAATGGAAAACAAAAAAAGGCAGGGGTTGCAATCCTAGTCTCTGATAAAACAGACTTTAAACCAACAAAGATCAAAAGAGACAAAGAAGGCCATTACATCATGGTAAAGGGATCAATTCAACAAGAAGAGCTAACTATCCTAAATATATATGCACCCAATACAGGAGCACCAAGATTCATAAAGCAAGTCCTGAGTGACCTACAAAGACACTTAGACTCCCACACATTAATAATGGGAGACTTTAACACCCCACTGTCAACATTAGACAGATCAATGACACAGAAAGTCAACAAGGATACCCAGGAATTGAACTCAGCTCTGCACCAAGCAGACCTAATAGACATCTACAGAACTCTCCACCCCAAATCAACAGAATATACATTTTTTTCAGCACCACACCACACCTATTCCAAAATTGACCACATACTTGGAAGTAAAGCTCTCCTCAGCAAATGTAAAAGAACAGAGATTATAACAAACTATCTCTCAGACCACAGTGTAATCAAACTAGAACTGAGGATTAAGAATCTCACTCAAAACCACTCAATTACATGGAAACTGAACAACCTGCTCCTGAATGACTACTGGATACATAACGAAATGAAGGCAGAAATAAAGATGTTCTTTGAAACCAACGAGAACAAAGACACAACATACCAGAATCTCTGGGACGCATTCAAAGCAGTGTGTAGAGGGAAATTTATAGCACTAAATGCCCACAAGAGAAAGCAGGAAAGATCCAAAATTGACACCCTAACATCACAATTAAAAGAACTAGAAAAGCAAGAGCAAACACATTCAAAAGCTAGCAGAAGGCAAGAAATAACTAAAATCAGAGCAGAACTGAAGGAAATAGAGACACAAAAAACCCTTCAAAAAATTAATGAATCCAGGAGCTGGTTTTTTGAAAGGATCAACAAAATTGATAGACCGCTAGCAAGACTAATAAAGAAAAAGAGAAGAATCAAATAGACACAATAAAAAATGATAAAGGGGATATCACCACTGATCCCACAGAAATACAAACTACCATCAGAGAATACTACAAACACCTCTACGCAAGTAAACTAGAAAATCTAGAATAAATGGATAAATTCCTCGACACATACACTCTCCCAAGACTAAACCAGGAGGAAGTTGATCTCTGAATAGACCAATAACAGGAGCTGAAATTGTGGCAATAATCAATAGTTTACCAACCAAAAAGAGTCCAGGACCAGATGGATTCACAGCCGAATTCTATCAGAGGTACAAGGAGGAACTGGTACCATTCCTTCTGAAACTATTCCAATCAATAGAAAAAGAGGGAATCCTCCCTAACTCATTTTATGAGGCCAGCATCATTCTGATACCAAAGCCGGGCAGAGACACAACCAAAAAAGAGAATTTTAGACCAATATCCTTGATGAACATTGATGCAAAAATCCTCAGTAAAATACTGGCAAAACGAATCCAGCAGCACATCAAAAAGCTTATCCACCATGATCAAGTGGGCTTCATCCCTGGGATGCAAGGCTGGTTCAATATACGCAATCAATAAATGTAATCCAGCATATAAACAGAGCCAAAGACAAAAACCACATGATTATCTCAATAGATGCAGAAAAAGCCTTTGACAAAATTCAACAACCCTTCATGCTAAAAACTCTCAATAAATTAGGTATTGATGGGACGTATTTCAAAATAATAAGAGCTATCTATGACAAATCCACAGCCAATATCGTACTGAATGGGCAAAAACTGGAAGCATTCCCTTTGAAAACTGGCACAACACAGGGATGCCCTCTCTCACCACTCTTATTCAACATAGTGTTGGAAGTTCTGGCCAGGGCAATTAGGCAGGAAAAGGAAATAAAGTGTATTCAATTAGGAAAAGAGGAAGTCAGATTGTCCCTGTTTGCAGACGACATGATTGTATATTTAGAAAACCCCATTGTCTCAGCCCAAAATCTCCTTAAGCTGATAAGCAACTTCAGCAAAGTCTCAGGATACAAAATCAATGTAAAAAATCACAAGCATTCTTATACACCAACAACAGACAAACAGAGAGCCAAATCATGAGTGAACTCCCATTCACAATTGCTTCAAAGAGAATAAAATACCTAGGAATCCAACTTACAAGGGATGTGAAGGACCTCTTCAAGGAGAACTACAAACCACTGCTCAAGGAAATAAAAGAGGATACAAACAAATGGAAGAACATTCCATGCTCATGGGTAGGAAGAATCAATATCATGAAAATGGCCATACTGCCCAAGGTAATTTATAGATTCAATGCCATCCCCATCAAGCTACCAATGACTTTCTTCACAGAATTGGAAAATAACTACTTTAAAGTTCATATGGAACCAAAAAAGAGCCCGCATCGCCAAGGCAATCCTAAGCCAAAAGAACAAAGCTGGAGGCATCACACTACCTGACTTCAAACTCTACTACAAGCCTACAGTAACCAAAACAGCATGGTACTGGTACCAAAACAGAGATATAGATCAATGGAACAGAACAGAGCCATCAGAAATAACGCCACATATCTACAACTATCTGATCTTTGACAAACCTGAGAAAAACAAGCAATGGGAAAAGGATTCCCTATTTAATAAATGGTGCTGGGAAAACTGGCTAGTCATATGTAGAAAGCTGAAACTGGATCCCTTCCTTACACCTTATACAAAAATCAATTCAAGATGGATTAAAGACTTAAACGTTAGACCTAAAACCATAAAAACCCTAGAAGAAAACCTAGGCATTACCATTCAGGACATAGGCATGGGCAAGGACTTCATGTCCAAAACACCAAAAGTAATGGCAACAAAAGACAAAATTGACAAATGGGATCTTATTAAACTAAAGAGCTTCTGCACAGCAAAAGAAACTACCATCAGAGTGAACAGGAAACCTACAAAATGGGAGAAAATTTTCGCAACCTACTCATCTGACAAAGGGCTAATATCCAGAATCTACAATGAACTCAAACAAATTTACAAGAAAAAAACAAACAACCCCATCACAAAGTGGGTGAAGGACATGAACAGACACTTCTCAAAAGAAGACATTTATGCAGCCAAAAAACACATGAAAAAATGCTCATCATCACTGGCCATCAGAGAAATGCAAATCAAAACCACACTGAGATACCATCTCACACCAGTTAGAATGGCAATCATTAAAAAGTCAGGAAACAACAGGTGCTGGAGAGGATGTGGAGAAATAGGAACACTTTTACACTGTTGGTGGGACTGTAAACTAGTTCAACCATTGTGGAAGTCAGTGTGGCGATTCCTCAGGGATCTAGAACTGGAAATACCATTTGACCCAGCCATCCCATTACTGGGTATATACCCAAAGGACTGTAAATCATGCTGCTATAAAGACACATGCACACGTATGTTTATTGCGGCATTATTCACAATAGCAAAGACTTGGAACCAACCCAAATGTCCAATAATGATAGACTGGATTAAGAAAATGTGGCACATATACACCATGGAATACTATGCAGCCATAACAATAATGAGTTCATGTCCTTTGTAGGGATATGGATGAAATTGGAAATCATCATTCTCAGTAAACTATCGCAAGAACAAAAAACCAAACACCGCATATTCTCACTCATAGGTGGGAATTGAACAATGAGATCACATGGACATAGGAAGGGGAATATCACACTCTGGGGACTGTGGTGGGGTGGGGGGAGGGGGGAGGGATAGCATTGGGAGATATACCTAATGCTAGATGACGATTTAGTGGGTGCAGCGCACCAGCATGGCACATGTATACATATGTAACTGACCTGCACAATGTGCAAATGTACCCTAAAACTTAAAGTATAATAAAAAAATAAAAAATTAAAAAAAAAGAAAGAGAGAGAAAGGAAGGAAGACAATTTGCATATATCTTGCACATATCTAGAAATAATGTGAAGGAAGATTTGGCATCTGGTATTTCTTTTTTTCAGTCTCATTAACAATCTCTTTCCTGTGCCCTTCACCTTATTGCGCTAGGATTTGTCATCTCACTGAAGGTACTTCATTCAAGCAGGAAAGTGACCCAACAAATCCATTTACCAGAAAGTTTTAATTCTTAACATGTTTGTCCTAGAGGATTTCTGAATAGGAAAATGCTCAACCCCCTCACCTCTCTGGCCGGTATTCTGATATTAGGGGTGGATATATTACAGCCTCCTTTGCCTATTTATAAATATAAACCTGAAATTTTTTTGCCACTACCATCAATAGAAAAATTTCTAGATTCCTGTCAGTTTAGTAGAAAGCTTGAGGATATATCCAAGTATAGGATTATTTGAGTTAAAAGCAGAATTTACAAGTATGACGTTTGAATGTTAGGGCAGGATTGTGTATACACATAGGACACTGGAAGAAAAGAGCAACCATTGTTGTTTTTTAATGGTCAATCTGATGCACGTGGCCCAATTAAATACGCCTGTTTCGAGTAAAATGAGAATTCTCTGCCATGTACTTAGGAAATGAATACAGGAAGGTGATCATAGCTGGGCAGAGGAACAGAGAAAGAATAGAACTAGGTAGCAAAATATGCCTAGCTCCTCTATCAAAAAACAGGAAAATATGCAGTAGATTTTTATCATGTGAGAAAAATAGAAAAAGAGAGCCAGAAGATTACTATATAAATTTTATTATCCCTCCATAGTTTAGGTAGTGTGTTCTTGGTAGTGGTCTTGATTTTTAAATTATATTTTTAAATTGGAAAATAAAAATATGTACTACAGAAAACTTTAAAATATTGTAAATTATATAAAAGAATCCCATTCCAAAATGTCACCACCATCTAGAGATCACATAACTATTTATCTACATTTTTTTCTATTTTTTTAATTGGAAGTTTTATATTAACTTCTTTATCTGGATTTTATTTTGGTGTTGGATGTAAGTGGTGAATCTTGGCTGCGGAAGTATCCACTGTTGGGCATTTTAGGGTTGAGGCTGTTGGAGGCCAGCCCTGGTACTGTGTGCAGGTTCATAGGAAAGGCCACGTGGAATAGGACAATATACCAGGATTTGTGCTAAGTGCTTTCCATACATTATGCAATTTAAATTCTTCCATCCTCATTTTAAAGATGAGGACACGAAAGGTGAGAAATTTAAGGTGATTTATCTAAGCTCATACAGATACGTGAGTTGCATACCAGCCTCCAGCCTGTGTGATCATGAAGACTAAGCTCTCCATCATGACAGTACACAAAGACAGACTTTGCTGATTCCCCAGTGTGCCTGGAGCCTTGCTCATGAGGGTTTCCTGGTGGAGCTCCAAAGTTTGAAAATCCCCCAGAAATAGTTTGATAGGTAACTGGAGATTCTGGGATTTTAAAAAATATTCGTTACCCACACTCCCTTTTAAAGTGCAATGATCAGAACCTGGGGTTACCCATTTTTGAGCAAATATATCAGTCGGTTTGGTTAATGAGCTTCAGGACCACAGATAGAAACAGCTCTCCACAGGGAGTAAAACCTGTCAGCCCATTAGTCAGCCAAAGGCTTTGCTGACAGTAGTTTCCCTGGGGAAAACTGCCCAGTCAGTCCCGTAAAAAGTTCTGATTAAATAATGTGTTCCTAGTCTGCTGAACAACGAGGCTTCCTTATTCCCTATTTTAATCTGCCATCAAACTGAAAATGATTGATAATTGCTTTTTATCTCGATAGCCTTGCTTAAAAGTGTGTAGGAGAACTGTGAAAATGCATTGCATTTAATGTCTTTCTCAGGGTAGATTTTTATATTAGCTTATAACCTGGACATCTGGCCCCTGGTTACTAATACTCTTTAATACTGTAGTTTCACATTTCTTACATTCTTATTAAAATAAGCCCCAAACAAATCTCTTATTTTTTAATCTCTTCCCAAAAGCCACACCACATACTCCTTTCAGAATTTTCTGAGACAAATATCATTTTCTTGAGATGCATTATGGAGTCGAGTAATAATTCTTAAATATTAATCACGTATATTGCCATTTTAAAAGACAAAAATATCTCATAGATTTTCATTGTTGAGATTTTTTTACTTTAATATTATGTGAATATGAGCAATATAAAGATAGCTATAAAGTCCTTGTGCTCACAGCTCGTATATAACTATAGAATCAAAAGCAAATTTGTGAATCAATTATCAAAATCATAAAGCCAATCAAAATTTAACCATCAATGTCATGATTTTGTCTTTTGGAGAAGGCATGGACTTGCAGAATAAGTCCATGGATGCTTGGAAGTAGAAGTAGCAAGACCTAAGCTATGCCTTAAGTTTGGAGACCAGTTTCATGCTGATGAACTTGAGTGAACTTTTGCATTTCTCTGGGTCTCAGGGTTTTCATCTTTGGGATGGTTTTTAAAAATGTCTATTTTCATAGAGCTTTTTATTTTTTTTTTACATTAAACTAGATCACTCATTCTATTGTCAGCCTAATGCATAGTTGTGGGGAGGGGCTGTTTCTATGTCTTCTTTTCTATGAGGGGGCCTCTCGTGATGGAATCCTTTTACTCTGCCCCCCTATCCAGTACTTTGTCCTTATCAAGGGAAGAGAAAGGATGTTTGATCTGTGATGTTGAGAAAAGGCTTAGCTTTTTAAGGTTCTCTCTTTTGATCTGCCTACTTTTAGCTGTAGTATATCTTTCTCCTGCCTTACCCAGATACACCTTACTGGAGTAGAAGAGTGATCTGCCTTCTGCAGATAGGGCTGGAGATGATTTCTCTTTCTCTTCGTCTCTGGAGCCTGACGTATTTGGGGCAACTGAATATGAGGCAGTAATCTGGGGAGAGCTAGCTTGGTAAACTCATGTTTCTTCATGAGTGGGTTATCCCAAGCTAGACTTGATGGCTGCAGAGATCTTAGAAAATCCAGTGGCAGGGCCATGTTGAACTATTTCTCCAGTGAATATTTGTCAGCAATAGAACTGAAATTTTCATTTCCATTTGTCTGACTCTTGTGTCTGCCTGTCAACTCTTTCTAAACTTGGTGGTGGAGAGGATGGTGTGGTTATTATTCCCCAAATCTTAAATGTTCCTCTTCTATTCCTATGCTAAATACATGTTTATGGTTTCTGTTTGCCTGCAGGAATTACCTCTATTTACGTTTTACTTTGAAAGTTAATATTTTCTTTTCAACCCATTGAGAATGTCATTACTGGAATGTAAGTTTCATGAGGGCAGGAAATGAACATTTCCTGTTCATATAGTGATAGAACATGTCTATCACTATATTCCCAGCACCCTAGCATAGTGCCTCCCATGTAGTACGTTCTCAATAAATCTTTGCTGATACATAAATGAAAGAATTTTGTACATATTTCCTTATATGGTATTTATAATCTTCTATTCTATGGCTCTAACTACCTTTCTAGGCTCATCTCCTCTCAGTCACTTTTTCTATCAAGATGCAATAAAAAATATCAAACTTACTAAGTTTTAAAATAATATATTCAAATAATGTCTTATTTACTTTAGACTCTATTAAAAAGTCTTTTAGAAATGATTTTTTTTCTGGGACTTCTGGATGCTATAGAGCTGTCAGATAACTACGTGTCTGTGATTACGAGCTATAACATTTTTCCCACACTGAGCAATGTTCATTCCACTGCAACATTAAGTACAAAAATGTTCCCTAAGGATTTCCATGTTTCTTTGAAGAAGGATAGTGCATTTGAAAAGCCTTACTGACAACACACTCCTTTTCTTGGTTTTTATACTCATCCAGAGTATAAAATGGAAGTTTCTAGTAAAATAATCTAAACTGTATTTAAAATAATTTCAAATTGGAGCTGAATACAATAGCACCATTAAAAATTCACTAGTATTATAATGTCATTTTAAGACCTTAATTGAAGTTAGAATTGTGAGGATGTTTATACTTAACAGAACTTAGATTTTATCATTAGAAAAGCACTACTTACACATACTATTTTTTTTTTTTTGAGATGGAGTCTCTCTCTGTCACCCAGGCTGGAGTGCAGTGGTGTGATCTTGCCTCACTGCAACCTCCACCTCCCAGGCTCAAGCAATTCTCCTGTCTCAGCCTCCCGAGTAGCTGGGATTACAGGCACATGCCACCTCGCTTGGCTAATTTTTGTATTTTTAGTAGAGACCGGGTTTCACCATGTTGGCCAGGCTGGTCTCGAACTCCCAAAGTGCTGGGATTACAGGCGTGAGCCACTGCGCCCAGCCTACCTACACATACTTATAAGTAGAGACATGTAGAATATAGCTATTTTGTGTATGTGTGTTTGTGTGTGCATTGTGAAAACATTTCCATGAATAATGGAAATTAATTTTTTGCATCTCCATTTTTTGTAGCTCTCATTTTTTTCTGATTTAAGTTTATTTTCATTTAAAGGTTTGCTGCATTAACTTGATCAGCTACATTTTGCTGAGATACTGATATTTCTATGTTAGTTCCTTCAGTGCGACATAATATTTAAGCTTGGGTTTGTCTATGAAAGCTGGCATGTATGATGACAATACCTATTACCATGACAAAACTGAAGTCAGTTTAAGTTCAGAGGTTGTGTAGACATTGACTTCATTTATACTTGGGGGAAATAAAAATAATGAAGAATTGATGATTTTTGCACCTGAATGTCTGCTTACCTCCTCCTACAATATAGCTGAATGGTAATTGATCTTAACACATTTGGTCTTATTCCATTGGTCTTATAAAATAGTCTTTGTGGACTTCCTGTCTTTTCATTCTTATATTTTTCTGGAAGAGATTGTTTCTTCTCTTTCCAGCCAGAGTGACTCCTCTCTTTGAAAGCACATACCTAGGTTTATAATTTTTTTCAGATTTAATATTTCCAGTCTTAACTGTTATTTTTGTCATCATAGCCAACATTTGAAGAATGGCAGCTTATTTAGAGTTGATTTGTATCTCTTCAAAATAATTAATGCTTCCATTTGATAACTTATTTGTGTGGGCAGAAAATTTAAAAAGTATCAAAATACACACATGCATAGACATATCCATACCTGTGAACATACACACAAACACAGATTTGCAATAGTCATTAAATATGTTTTTATGTCCCAGCCATCCTCTTAATAGTGATGGAACCTTTGTCCAGGGAAATGTCATGGCCTAGTATTTAGAAAATACTAATAAAAGATTGGATATTGTTCTAATATTGACTCTTTTTTTCTCCTGTGTATTCTTGTGCTGATAACTAATTTTAAATGATGTCCCTCTATCCTTTAGTTATATAAACAAAAATATTTCTTCTATGAATCTATTGCTTCTGCACCCAGGAGAGTAGGGCCCCAATGCAGATGGTGGCAGCGAACAATAGCTGGTGAAACCAAGTTTTCAAAATCTTCCTTATTTGTTTGGGGAACTGTTTCCCATGAATGGTCAATGCAAGCACTTTGCTGTGGCAATCCAAGCTTTTTCATATGTGAATCCCTAATCTTTTCTTTACCTGCCTTGTATGAAAATCAAACAAATGCTGTGAAAGAAAGAACAAAAATGAAGGGCTGCAAAAACTTTTTAAAAAATCACTTGGACACAATGGAAAGAAAACATATTTATTTTTGTCATTCAGCTGATCCTAATGCTTTAGGCCTTGAATAAACCTTAAAAGTGATCTTTTCTGGCTAAGTGCAGTGGCTCACACCTATAAATCCCAGCACTTTGGGAGGCCAAAGTAAGAGGATTTCTTGAGCCTGGGAATTCCAGACCAGCCTGGGCAACATAGTGAGACTTCATCCCTATAAAAGATAAACAGAAAATTAGCCAGGTGTGGTGACACACACCTGTAGTCTCAGCTACTTGGGAAGCTGAGGTGGAAGGATCTCTTGAGCGCAGGAGGTCGAGGCTGCGGTAAGCCAAGATTGTGCCACTGTACTTCAGCCTGGGGGTGGCACAGTGAGACCCTGTCTCAAAAAAAAAAAAAAAAAAAAGAGCTTTCAGTGCTTGAATTTCCTCAATCATATCCCTACCCAGGGAAATGGTTCCTTAGCCTCTGATCACTCCAGATATATGGCCAGTGGTTTTAGGCTGTAAACCAATTAGTACAGTTCAAGAGGTAGAAAGACCATTGGCTTTGAAAGTAGAACTGAAATCCTATTCTCCAACATCAGAGAATATTAGATTAGCCAGGATATGTGTATTTCAATTCCAGTACTTCCATTTGCTGGTTCAGTGCAAGTTGCTTCATTTTCCCAATCTTTATTCACCCGTAGAATGAGGTAATAATAACCTACCACCAACTTTATAGATTTGTGTGATTCAAATAAAAGAATGAAAATAAAATCGTTTGCAAACTGGAAAGCATATGACAATATTATCATGGAGAAAATATTCATAGTATGCTCCTTCAGGAAACACAATAGAATAGTGAAAATATTTTTTTGATACAAAGTCTCACTCTGTTACCCAGGCTGGAGTGCAGCGACATGAAACCTCTACCTCCTAGGGTCAAGCGATCCTCCTCCTTCAGCCTCCCAAGTAGCTGGGATTATAGATGTGCACCACCATTCCCAGTTAATTTTTTTATTTTTGTTGAGGTGGGGTCTTGCTATGTTGTCCAGACTGGTCTTGAATTCCTGGGCTCAAGCAATCCTCCTGCTTCGGCCTCCCAAGGTGCTGGGGTTACAGGCGCGAGTCACTGCACCTGGCCAAAAATTCTGCATGATAGTATTAGTTTACAGCCTACAATCCCTGGTGGGTCAGAGAAATAATTGATTTAAAAAATAGCCAAATTTTTCACCCAAATATATTGCTTTTAAATGGAGAGAATTTTAAAAGGTGGCAATTGATAAGAAAAAACAGTTTGTTTTTGTTTTGATTCTTTGTGTATATTCTTCTGTACTTTTTTAAAGAGTATTATGGGATGGGTGAAAAAGCAGGAAGACATGAGCCTACCTAGGAGGAAAGTGGTGCAGATTTGATGATTCAAAGAATAATATAAGTGGAGTGGTGTTTAGAGATCAACTCTTAATGAGTTTACCTCTGTTATTTCTGAGAATAAGTCAGAACCACAATGATGCAGTATTTTCACATACGGACCAGAGCTCAAGTCTTTTCATAGCCAGTTCCTATCTCTCTTAACAGTACCAGAGATGGCAAATTGGTAGCATGATGTACTGTTATTCTCTTCAGCACTTCACCTCATGGAAATCACTGTGAACTAATCTCCTTTATTCTAAACCTGGGCGTAATGCAACCCAGAAAGCTATAGCCAATGGATTAGAGTTGGCAAGTAGCCCCTATCCTATGTTATAGAATTTCTATAGAAACCACCAACAACATGTCTTCAGTAGGCAAGACCAACTACACTTATTTTTTTTTTCAACTACACTTATTTACAGTAGTTTAGTTTATTGTAGGTCTGTCCAATTCAGGGTCAATAGGGAAATAACTTTTAATAGGAAATTATGCAGTCAGTAGGCGTAGTAGCCACAGAGAAATGTATTTCTGGCCACCCACATTCTGTGGGGGCTCTGAAATTTACATACGCATTTGGATGAAGATTTGCAGTGATCAGCCTGCTAACATGGGCTCTGTTCCATCTTGGATTCCCCAAGAGTTATGATACAGCATGAGAATCTGGCCCATTAGGCAATAACCCACAGTCATGGAGTTGATACAGTCATTATGAAGACTAGAGTCATAGACTGAGGACATCATGAATCATACCGTATAGGAGAGATTGCAAAAAAGAAGGCTTTTAAGGGTGAAACTTGGCTGATGAGGTTGTGGGTTATCGTAGGAGTCATGTGTGTAGAGCTGAGAGCATTTGCAGGGGTTTCCTCCCATTTGTGTGCGAGTCTGTTGCCAAGTCCCCTGTTATGCTTCTGGGGGACACCAAGTGGGGAGCAGATGAGGATTCCAAAACTGGTACTTCATTTCCTTTTAAACCCTTCCCCTCATCTGTCTGGGAAATTCATAATTACTTCAAAGGCATGTCTCATCCTCCAACATAATCAGTTTGGTGTTAGACTCATTTCCTCTGTCAAATTGGGACATGAGAATTCATCATAAAAGTACTAACTCCTCAGAAGTGATCAAAAATTCTACTTCTTCAAAATCCACTTAATTTATATCACTATGTCCATGTACCTTATCATTACTCTCTTACATTGCATACAGTGAAATGCACAGATCTTAATAGAACTGTCTGTTCAGTTTTGACAAATGAATGCATGTAACCAACACACCTATCAAGATGAAAAAACATCTATATCACTGTAGAAACTTTCTCAGGTTCCACTTTTGTCAGTTGCCTTCCCACCAGAGATAAGCATTGCTCTAATTTCTATTACCATAAATTCATATTTTTCTTTTAGATATCTCTATATATGGAAACATACAGTATGTACACTGCGTGTCTGGGGATTTTACTTAGCATAGTGTTTTTAAGATTCATTCATATTCATTCATGTTGTCTCATGTATCAGTAGTTTATTCCCTTTAATTGCTGCATAATATTCTATTATATCAATGTACTAGTTCTGTTTTTTTTTTTTTACCCATTCTCTGATACATAATCATTATGGTTGTTTCCAGTTCTGTCTACTAATAATAAAGTTGCTACAAACATTTCAAAATAATGTCAAAATATATTTTTATTTGTGTTGGGTAAATACATAGGTTCATAAGAAGCTACCAAACCATTTTGCAAACTGGTTATACCAATTGCACTCCACCAAAAGCGTATGAGAATTCTGGTTTTGTCATACCCCTGCCAACACTTACTATTGTCAGGGTATTTAAAATTTTTTTTCACAATTCTAGTGAATCTGTAGTAGTAACGCATTTTGCTTTTTATTTGTAGTTTCCTCATGACTGATATTGATCACTTTTTCATATAATGTTTTGGCCATTTGTATTTCTTTATGCAGTGTCTATTAAATATTTTGTTTATTTTTATTGGATTGTTTTTCTTTTTTATTATTGAGTTGTAGAAGTCCTGTATATATTTTAGTTACAAGCCTTTTGTGACATATATGTATTCCTCATATTTTCTCCTAGTCTATGGCTTGCTTATTCATTTTCTTTATTGTGTCTTTTTTAAAAATAATTTTTAATTTTTATGATGTACAATATGTGTATGTGTGTGTGTATACATATACATATTATGGTTAGTGCTTTTGGGGTCTTTTCCATGAAATGTTTTACCTCAGGGTTGCAGAGTTAATCTCCTATGTCCTTTCTTTAGAAATCTTTTATTTTTTAAATAAAAAAAATCTTAAAAAAGCATTTTGGTTATTATTTATTCAAATGAAAATGTTAGCATAGCACTTGGTCTCATCTTTTGGAATTCAAGACTTTCTATTTTCTGGATTATGAAAATAGAAAGTTCTCAATCTGGAGAACACAGGGCTTTAACGGAATAAAGCCTTTTTTCCTAGAGTGTGACAACAGTTTGCCACTTCGTATAGCATCATTTCTCAAGTATGATGACTGGATTCCTTTGTTGCCACTAAAAAATGAGCCATGGTCAAAACGGGTAGGTGCCATGACCTTTCTCTTTCTTTATACTCCAGAGTATCACAGAGATTCAGTATTAATAAGCTGTAATAAAGAATCAGGCAGATCACGAGTATTATAAATAATGCATACATGTATCAAGCCTAGAGCCTATCCAATGTACTACTAAATGTTAGGCATTTTATTCTTCTATACTTATTTTGAATGGAATATTATTTTTATTTACTGCAATTGTTGATATTAATGATCCTATCTAACAATTGGATGATGGCTGACTACTCTTTCATGTCTGCTGCTCCTTACACCTGTATGATAAGAAGATGGCTTGGAGGTCAGACACACCTGGGTTCAATCCTGGCACTCCCCTTATTATTGATGGGGCTTTTGGCAGATTGTATAAACTTTCTGTGCCTCAGCTTCCTCATGTGTCAAATAACGAAGATAATGCTACTTTATAGAATTAAATGAGATCACGTGCATAAAGCACTTAGTTCAACAAGTGAATGGTGGGATTAGACTCATACCTCAGTTTCCTAACCCAAAGTCAAGTGCTATTTCCGTTGAATTGTGCATTTTATCTAGAATAAAATTAAACCCTATTCAGAAAACAAAAGCCATTTTAGATTCTTGTGAGTCTTCTGAAAAGACTACTAAACTCTGCACCAGGAACTAGCCTTAATGATTGCCAAACTTTAAGCTTCTTTTCCTCCTGCTGCAGAGTGTGTGGGTTCTGTGGCTGTGGACAGGCTCAGAGGAACTTATCCTTTAAGCTGTCGCTGCGTGAACTTGAATGGACACATGAGTCTCGCTGGATAGCAGCGCTTACTAACACTTTCTCCAATTTCCTAAAGGGTGCACCATTATATGCCCAGTTTCTTTCTTTCTATGGTTCCCCAAATTCCTACATTGCTATTTAGTGGAAAATGTACATTTAGATGTAAGAATTCCAGATTAAGTTTTGCAAAAGCTTCCTCCTATACTTCATTGCTCACTGAAACCAAGGGCTCCTTCCTCCAGGAGACTCAAACACCTCCAGGTTGTGTCTTCTTCCTCTCTCACAGTAATTATTACAAAGTCAGGTATCTGCATCCTTTAGGGTGTTTCTCTTATAGGATGTTGCCCCACTATGTGTAGTACCATTATTTGGGTTCAATTTTCTAGGAAAAAGGGATAGTGGCCTTTTTGAAATTATAATATAATATTGTATTCTGGGCACGACTGGGGTCGGCTTCAGCTAGAACCTCACAGCTTCCTTCTGTCACAGCTGACAAACATTTTTGAGTTTGACCTCCTTGAGTAAATTGCATTCTCCAAACTCTTTATACATCTCCCCATCCCATACCATTTATTTTATTGGAGTCCCTTTAAGAGTCCAAAAAATTAGCTTCCTTTTTTCTCTCTCTCTCAATGCTCTTTCAATGGAATTCATGTGTCCAATGCTTCTTGATGCTTTACTGTGGTGAACATAACTCTGTCTCATCACTCTCTGTGGGCATTGAGTTGACAGGTAGAGGCAACTGAAGACATTTTTGTGGGCTGATTTATCTCTTCTTCAGCACTGTTTTTCCTCTTCCAGTTCAGCTGGTGACCTTGCCAGAAAAGCTCAGAATCTTATGATAAATTTATTTTTACAACTTTTAAGAAACAATCAGGTAGTCAAATGAGGGGAATTAATTGAGTCAATGTGCAGGAAATGATCCTTTTATTTTATTTTATTTTATTTTATTTTATTTTATTTTTTACTTTCTCTTTAAAGCCTTGTAAGGGCTGGGTGAATGGAAGATTTTTATTACAACTTGCCAAAATAAGCTCTGTAAGACATTAGAGCTAGGCTGGATTTTTATTTTACAGCTGCCATCTTTTCGTCTATCTGGTCTCATATATTGCACAGTCATCTGTACTCACTTTTGCAGAGTGACATTGTTTTACGTGATCCCCTTTTTCCCCTCAGTGATATAAAATTTTCCTCTCTTTGATTTCTATATATAACTTCATGAAGGGCTCAATCATTGTAAAGTCAAGAGAATCAACAGCTAATTCCATGGAAGAATTTAGTGTCTGCGAGAACTTCTAAGAACAGCTTCACAAGTTGTAGTATATTGATGACACACTAATAGCTTTCAAATTGTGTACTTGCTCTAGAAACAAAAGCTTTCCAGTTTCCAGTACTGTTATTAAAGTCACAGGCAATTGATAGGATTCTCTGCCAGAGAAGCAATGGTAAAACATGAGTTAATAATAAGAAATATCAGTGGCATGCAAGGGACTCCAAAACCAAGACTCAATGTGTATCTGGAAATCTTCACTTTAAATAGATTTTGAGTTTATTCTACTCTGCCTTCTCCATTTGCTGATGTTCATAGAAAGGAAAACAGTGTTCCTTAGCAATATATTGTGATTTGGCTGTTGGTATGTACTTTTTTCCATATTTATCCATCTCCTCATAGTAAATAGGATACTCATACTTACTAATCTGTAAAATGAGGAGAACCTCTTATAACAAGGTAAGCATACATTTTATTTTTTTGTCCAAATTGGGAACTTTTTGAGAGTTAAAAGGGACACTATTAATAATTATTTATAAACAACAGGTGTAAATTATGATTATGTGGGCAAAGCATGACAGTGATTACCCTACTGATATACAATTCTTTTTTTTTTTTTTTTTTTTTGAGACAGAGTCTCACTCTGTCAGCCAGGCGGGAGTGCAATGGCATGATCTCAGCTTACTGCAACCTCCGTTACCCAGGCTCAAGCAATTCTCTTGCCTCAGCCTCCTGAGTAGCTGGGATTACAGGTGTGTGCTACCACGCCTGGCTAACATTTGTATTTTTAGTAGAGACGGGGTTTCACTATGTTGGCCAGGCTGTTCTCAAACTCCTGACCTCGGGTAATCTGTCCACCTTGGCCTCCCAAAGTGCTGGGATTACAGGTGTGAGCCACCGCGTGTGGCCTATACAATTATTTATAATTCTGGTGATGGACTTTTATCTTCTCACCAAAGTACATCAATTTTTTCTTAATTCTAATATACCAATCTGCAAATGTGTAATTTGTGTTAGGTTTTGCAAATGTCGTGGACTTGCTATATCTACTTCTCATGATGTCCATGGGAAGTCAATCAAGTAAAGTTGATAGAAGTGTTTATAATCTTTAAAATGCCCCCTAGGCAGCTGACCACCACTTACAACTACATAAATAGAATCTGAAGATGTGTTAGGAAACTGTCTTCAATTGAGATTCACTGGAAGAGTCTGAGATGGAGAATTATCAGAAATTTTATTACAGGATGCTCTGGAGCTCAACACCTATTAAAAAAAAAAACTAGAGAAAAGGACAAAGTAAATAGGTTGAATTATGATGCGGTTACAACAGTGGCATCAGCTGATACTACTGGGAGCTCTGGACCATAAATGGCCCTTCAGAGTTGACCTCAACTGAAGCAAGGAGGCTAGGCCTTTGTATTTCTGCATTAAACAGTTCTTAAATGTGTGTTGCCTCTGCGGAGGAGGTGTAATGATGAGTGAGACATATTTCTGTGGTCTAGGTCAATTCCTGGGGGTGGACTTAGCTGTAAACCATCAATAGCCAATACTCCCAGAGGGTGGGGGAATGAGTGCCTTCATCCTAAAGGGGGTTTCTGGGATGTGCACCCCAGTATCTACTACTGAAACTCAACTTCTGTTTAGAAGGCTTCTATTCAAACACAGAAACACCTTATCCTCATTGGTAATTAAGAAAAGCAATTAAAACATTGGCTTACTATTACAGATAACTTTTTAAATGCTAAAAACATGAGAAAACAAATCAAAACAAAAGAAATTTTGCTTTCTATTTAATTCGAACTAACTATGAAATCTGCAGGGACCAATTCAGAAATGGCGCCTGATATTTCAGAGTCTGGCTACATTCACCTGGCAAAGTTAATTATTGGAATATATCTGGCCAATTTTGTAGTAAGAATGTGTCAGAGGTAATTTTCAGAACCACAGCTGAGATGACACAGAAAAGGGCCTATCCCTGTTTTAGTTATGAGTTCTATATTCCAGGAAACCTGCCAGCTATGGATACATCAGGACTGTTGGTCATCCTAGATAGGAAGTAAAGCTGGGGATAATTAATTGCTGAAAGTCACACTTGAGTGAATTGGTGGTTGGGAGGAAAGAATGACTCCTTCCAGCTTCTACCAACCAAAAAATCTTTCTCAGTTATAGGCAGAGACCTGGAGGTAGAACCTGAAGCCATGGCTGACCTTGAGTGAGTCATGGTTAAGTATCAAGTGGTGAGTTGTATAAAATCATTTGTTTCTATTTAAAATTTCCACTTGCCTAAAACTGATTATAAAGATGTAGAAGTCTCTGAAAACACAGACAAAATTAAGCTGTGCTAGTGATAGTTGAAAAGCTCTCCTTAGCTCAATCTAGCACCAAAACCATCTCACAGGGAAATTCATCTTCCATAAAAGGGTTGAATGAGATTTCACATTCAATGTGTGAGTATGTTATCAAGATCTGGGTTAAGTCAATGGACTTTCAGAATAAGAATATGCTAAACAAACAGGAAGTAAGGAAGAAGATAAGTTAATGAAGGAACGGATGTGAGGAGAAGATTGTGGCGCCGTGAGTGGATGGGAATACAAGACTTCTCCAAGCTCAATTCACATAAGCTAATGGCTCCAAGCTCAATTCACATAAGCTAATGGCAGCATCAGACATTTCAGACCCACAAGCGGATACTCCTAAAATTGTCTTGTCCTGAGTGAGATGAGTTCAAGAACAGAATGGGACTGAATGATAGTGCTAAGGACATGAGAAGGCAGAGCAGGTCCGATGTCCTACTCCTGGTTATTTTCTTTCCAGTGAATTGGAGAGGTAGTCTGATACATACAATCTTTAATCTCTGGACTTGAGTTTTCTGATTTGACTTCTGAACTCACTGCTTCCCAGAGCCTCCCAGCTGTGTGCTTTTCTTCTCCAGTGTTAGCACCTCAAAAAGTCCCAAGGGACACCCACTGCCCGTGATCTGAAAGGATGACAAAGCCAATGGTTGTCTTTGATGACAGTCATAGCTAATGCATATGCCTAAAGAAGGCTGTTTTTTGTGATTATATTTTTACTTTAAAAATTAAATTATAAAAATAATTCATGCTGATTGATAATTTTGAGACAATATCAAATTGTTTAATGTAAAAACATAGTCTATCATTTCTTCTCTTTTGTTGTACTCTCCATTTGTTAAAAAATAGCTGCTTAATGTTTTATAAAATTTTGAATGGGAGGAATTACTTGGCCAGCACCTGCTGTCAATAAATACATGTTCCTTCTCCCTATGGAAGGAGTCATTCTGACCCCAGATTCTGAGATAGCTTGAAATGTTTGATCTCAGATTTTGATAGATGATCTTTCTTTAAGTGGGTTAGATAAGGGATGTGTTATTTAGGGAAAATGTAGGCAATTATTTTGATGTTTCTCTCTTACATGATGCCAAACATCTGGATATTTGAAGAGCTGGGAAAATGAACTTTACCTTAATAACTTTAACAAGAATTTCTCTTTAGCAGAATTTTTATGTCAGAGTTGCAATGAATCTAAATGTCTTGACATTTAAGCCACTGGAATAATTGGGCAAAGGTGCTGCATAGAAAAAAGAAGTCTATGTGAGATGAAAAAAACATGGAAGAGTGAATTTTTTAAACACATCAGTGATTGATGTCAAGTAGACAATGTCCCTGGATGGCATTTTTAATCTATCCCTAAGTAGGTTGGGTTCAAGCGGCTTTTGCTGCAGCCCTGCCTAGAGGCAGAGGATTCCATTATCTGATAAGCTCCCCAGGGCTCTTTGTGGCTGGAAGTCCACTACATTTTCTTTGTTTTATCAAGTGTGCATTAGAGTAGACTCCTGCTTTGCTTCCCCATATCAAGTGCAAGAGTCATTTCTGGCTAAACAGCTCTTGATATTGAATTAGAAAAAAAAATCCTATCGTAAATCTATGTAAGTGCCTGAGTTGCCAAGTGATTGGGCACTGGGATTTTAAGGTTTTATTCCTGACATAAGGGAAATAAATTCCCCAAGATACTTTCTATTGTCATTAGCACACATTTGACAGTTTTACTCTAATATATGACTTTTTTTCAGCACCCTCCACTCCATCTCTTCTGTTTTCTATAATCTTCAAATGAAAGCATTTTATCTTTAGACAGTAACTAGTTTGTGAAAGTGGCAGGGGAATCTTGATTACTTAGTGAGTTGGTTAGGGCTAAGATCAACCCACCTACTTGTGATAGGTATGAGAGTATCTTGAACCATTGTTTCTGTATCTAGATGGGGATCATTCATCAGAACAAGATTGAAGTCCTCTCTGCAGAACAATGGGAGTTTGGGGCTTGGGTGAAAGAATATGTAAATCATGTGTAACTTTCCAGGACAGAGATACTGTGTAGTGGATTAGTAGAATACTGCAGAATAGCAAGGAGATTTCTTTTGCTTGTTGTTGTTGTTTTTGTTGTTGTTTCTGTAGAACAAGATGTTTAAGGCAGAAAATAAAGACCAGTAAACATTCATCTGTATTGAATCAAGTAAATATAACTTGGCAGTGGGAATGACCCAGAAATTCTTTGAAGTTTTGTTATCCCTTGGGGCCTGGAACAGAACTACAGGGATTATAATGAATTTGTGCATTGAGATGCTCAATGTTGGGAACACTGAAGACATACATTTTTAAAATTCCTTGGGACTAGTGTCCCCAGCATTTCTGATAAAGGAGCTTCTTGGTGCTTCGGAGATAATATAACTCCATGAAATCACTGATCTTGCCATCTAACCATAATACTTGTATACATGCATCCACATGCACACAGATATACACATCCAACATACGCATTGTCAGAAATTAAATTTTACATTCATTTCTTTATTTTATAACTCTTTAAAATGTACTATCTAAGTCTAAAACATATTAGAATACTTGAAGATACTGTCTTTTGAAGCAGATAGACTGGTGTGTAGTTTGGCTCTGCCACATACTAGTGGAACTTGGGCAGGCTTCCTCACTTGCAAAATGGGAATAAGAATAACCTTCTAAATGAATTATTGTAAAAATGAAATTCAACAATGGGTGCAAATGGTATAGTATGGTACCTGTCATATAGTAATACTCAATATAGGTTGGCTTTTTAAAAATTACTTGTATAGTTTTCTTAAGCTCTTGCCATCTGAACTCTCTAACTATCTTATCTGTGAACTGAGAAAAATGACAAGTTAAAGAACAGCTATGTACATATAGAGGGTGACCACTGGACATTTGTCCATCTTTCCCCCTGTACTATATTTTATTTCTTAGTAATTTGCTGGATGTAGGTCTTGCCTGCACAAGCAGCTTAAAATAACGAGTTTTAAAGGAACTCACCATATGTGTTCTTGCTGTTCTCTAAGGCGCTTAACAGTCTTAGGCATAGGGTAGATATCAAAAATTCTTCATTGATTGATGATGATATCAGTATGCCCCTCATATTTTTCCTTCTGTCCCACCATAGCTGCTAGTATCATCTCCACTTTTTGAATGGGACATTAATAAAGAAGATGAAGAACTTCTGGATGTTAGGGCATATAAGTGTGTTATCCATATCAAAATTGATCTATATAGTAAATAGTTGTTGCCACATACAAACTGTCCAAACATTAACTTAAAAAGTGAAAGTGCTGTCTATTTGATGCCAATTTATCATTTTAACTGCTTGCATTTTGCAACATGTAAACGACAGTAGCTGGTTTTCTATTGCATATTAAGGGTTAGCACTCCAGGAAAAGGAAATCAATATATTTATTCAGGCGCTTTCATCTCTGATCTCTCACTTCTTGACTGCATTGGTCACCAGGGAGTGTGGGTCTTATGTCTTCCAGCTCGCAAGGAGTTAAGAGTGAGTTAGATCATCCATTAATAATAAAAAGACAATATAAAAAGAAAATAAATTTAACTTTGAGGGGAATCAGTTAAATTGATTGAAACTATTTTGCATGTGGATACAGTATGAATGGGATCCACTCTTTGGAAAACCTCAACTCTTCTGAGAATTTTGCCAAAAATGACCCATTAGCTCTCCTGCTATTACCCTGCTTAGGACTTGAGTGAGCATATCTACTTTGATTTCTAAACCAATTCCAGATTTCTACCTCCTAAGGAACTTATGTTAATGAAATAATGTATCCTTAAATCTTTATATAGATTGTACAATGAAATAAGATTTTGCCATTTTACTTGGGCATCAAAGAACATAAATCACTTTTTTGGATTCCATCTTAACTATTCTCAGTTTCCAAAAGTAAAGACATATCACACAGAAGCTTCTGGTTTTTTGGAAGTGAAAAATATTAGTGTCACTTGGGGACTAGAGTTCACCGTGTAGTTCATGCTAGTTCTGTGGGAAACTTGTACTGTAAATTGAAAAGCAGTTTAAATATACTACCAATTTGGCTAAAAGGGAATTTGTGATGATCATAGTGGCATTTGAAAAATAAAAATTAAGACGAGAATGTACTTCCTTATATAGAAAAAAGGGAAACTTCACATTGAGTTGACAGAAGACAGAGAAGTTGTCTATAGCTAATTCAACATCAGGTCACTATATTTGGGGTTAGATTTTGAGACAGTGTGTGGGTATATTACAGTCAGGGAAACTATATAACAAAAAGAAAGAGCCAAGGTTGGGGAAAGAGATAAAGATAAAGATAGACTGAGATGTAGAAACAGACATAGAGAGAGGTGGTCACAGATAAACAGACGTAGAGACAGACTAAGAGATAATTATGTAGGTACTGAGAGGGACACAGAGGATGCATCGAGAGGGAAAGACTCCACGAAAAACATCATGGTCAGGAGATATCCTTTTTTTTCTTCTTCTTTTTTTTTTTTTTTTGAGATGGAGTCTCGCGCCGTTGCCTAGGCTGGAGTGTAGTGGTGCAATCTCGGCCCACTGCAACCTCCACCTCCCAGGTTCAAGCGATTCTCTTGCCTCACCCTCCCGAGTAGCTGGGAATACAGCATCCCGCCACCACACCAGGCTAATTTTTGTATTTTTAGTAGAGAAGCGGTTTCACTATGTTGACCAGGTCCTTTTTTCTGTGTGTGTGTGTGTGTGTGTGTGTGTGTGTGTGTGTGTGTGTGACAGAGTGAGACTGTCGCAAAAGCTCTGTCACCCAGGCTGGAGTGTAGTTGTGTGATCTCAGCTCACTGCAACCTTGACCTCCTGGGCTCAAGTGATTCTCCCATCTCAGCCTCCTGAGTAGCTGAGACCACACGTGTGTGCCACCATGTTTGGCTACTTTTTGCATTTTTTTTGCAGTGATGGGGCTTTGCCATGTTGCCAGCCTAGTCTTGAACCCCTGCATTCCACCCACCTCAGCCTCCAGAGTGCTGGAATTACAGGCGTGAGCCACCACACCTGGCCAGGAGATTTTCACATTCCAAAAAACCATACAGTTCTTCAAGGTAGCAGCTTGGATACTTGGACATATATCTCCTTTTGAAAGATGCATACACACAACACACAACACACATGCACACACACACATACACACTTCATCAAGGTGTATGTAAGTGGATTTTTAAAAACCTCATGAGATATGAGTTTTGAAGAGTGTGGGTATTGGTGAAGGACCCCATCCTGATGGGCTTTGTAATTTTGTGAGAAAGCATGTAAAAGTATTTGCAAATATTAGCTTCAAGATATGACAGATCTGTCATTACTGTGGGGCCTCCCTAGCCATGTGGAACTGTGAGTCCATTAAACCTCCTCTTTTATAAATTACCCAGTCTCAGGTATGTCTTTATTAGCAGTGTAAGAACAAACTAATACACAGGTCACGTCATGGCCTAACTTTCCAATCACATTGTCACTCATTTTCACTACATATGAATGAAGCTTTATTCAGGCTGCTGTAACTTTCAACAATAATCGCACACACAGCCACACATGTACACACACACACTCATATATATAATGCTATATACATATATATGTATTTATGAACATATGACTATAATTACATATTTAAAATCACTGGCTACTTTTGAGTATCCAGTAAAATGCAAGAGGGTAGGCAGAAGCTAGTGAGGAGGAGCTTATGCAGAATTCATGCTGTAAAGTGTTTTACTGTGCTCGCTAAATGTTGGCTACAGAATTAACAGCTTCTAGAAGTCCTTTCACCAAGGAAAATAATAATGAGTGAAAACTGCAGTTTTAAAACTGCCACTGCTGACTATGGAGAGGTACCACTCTCTAGACATATCTGCTGATGCCCAGGTCCTTGGACTTTACATGTTCTCATTCTGTGTCCACCTGGGTGTGAAAGAATCTCAGCTGTGGAACTGATGTGCAGAGCACCCACTTAAAATTCTGGTGTTTTGAATTCATTCAGCGACTGCAGCCATGCTAGATCAGCTGAGGTCTTCCTGGCCAGCCTCTGATGAATTGAAATTGGGCAGGAAAACCTATAATCCCCATTATGCCTTGCACATAAGGCTCTTTCTATTTCTCCCCTGACCTTAAGTGTCAAATTTATAGAGACTTCTGGGACTCAACAGGCCAGCCTCTCCTCTCACTATTTTCTCCCTCCATTGTTCTCCCCCGATGATTCCTCCTATTATTTTAGGAGTCACAGTCTGGAACCCATGTATAGAGATATTGATGTGTGGAAGAAGAGGTAGGAGATACACAATATTTGGATCCCTTAGAAAGCATCCCCCACACAGTGGAGAAGTGGTTGCCTAGTTCTCTGGATAGTAAAAACTCTGAATTTCGAACCAGGAGTTGAAGAGTAGAAGGTGGGAGAAAACATCTTTCTTCCTATTTTCAAGCAGATGTAGCATGTTGGCCCAAGTTTTGGAAAAGAAAGAGCAGAATCTAAGACAAGCATTCACCAGTTTATTTTCCTAAGTGTTCTCAAGGAACTGCGAAGAATGCAACAGATCAGGAAGGAAAGCCACTCCAACTGTCTGCTATTGAATTGGTTACTGCAGTGGGCAACTGGAGCTCCACCCCATCAGGAATCCTCTGAAGAACTGTGTGAAGTGTGCTTCAGAATTGTCTGCCTGAGATACAGCAAAGGAAAGGACTTTCTTACCTGTGCCTGTCCCTCATTGCTCAAGGGTGATTCCACGGAGTAACTTGCTCACTCATGCAGGTTTGCCAATGTGCTTGAATGGTTGTGTGGCTTCTTGCAGGCATCACTCACAGCAGCAGTAATGTCCTAATGGAATGCAAGAAATACTCAGTCTGGTGGTGGTAAGGTGCTGCCAGGTCATATTTGCCTGGGGTTTGTTGCCACAGTAACACTAAAGTAAGAAATGGGAAAAGAGATTGTGAGGTGGGGTATAAGAGGGGTCTAATATACATAGTAGGAGTGCAGGTCTATTTATATTTCACACTTACATGTCATCAATAGAAAGCTCCTCCATTCTAACTCCCTATAAGAACATGGAAAGAAACTGCATCAAAGGTTTTTCTTTTTCTTTTTTTTTTTTTTTAGATGTATGGGTTGCTAAGACATCTGGCTATTGGAATTTATTTTGCAATAAGTGGAGTTTAGTATCAAATATGTATAGAATAAAGAGATAAAATTTTAAAAATGAGTAGTAAGACCAAAAATTTAAAAGTAAAAATTGGTAAATAACTTATAGATGAAAAAAGAAATGTAATAACTTTAAATGATGAAAAATTAGCAAAAGTTATTCTAAGCATCACACATGTGAGTTTTCTGAGTTTTGGACCGTGAGAATGTATTATTTTTCCTTAAGAGTTATTCACATTGAATAGATAGGCATTGTATTCCCCCAACAAATTTCTTCTTTCAAAGGACTAATAATGAGAATCTAACATAAGAAAATATAAGAAATGAGAGTGATTGAGAGAGTATGAAGATAAACAAAATGGATGGTTTAATAAAGAAATGTATGAGAAAGAACCAGAAAAAGCTTTACCACTGATAAACCTGAAGCAATGTGAGATGTTAAGTTCTACAATTGTTTACATATGTGATGAAAACTGAAGACAATGCAGGAATAGGGGAAAAACTCTGTACTGGGATATATGAGAAAATTAGAGGAAAGAAAAGTATTTCAAGGCAACAGTAGTGTATTTGCTTATGAAGGGGCTGTCTTGCCCTGAGCAATTACACTTCATATCATATCTTTGGCAAGAGTCAAAGATCTCCTTTCCTTTGACCCCTTATCTCATGCATTGCCTTTGAGGATATTAATAATTTTAATCATAACTAATATTCATTTAAAAACTTGCTCTGCACTCAGTATTCTGCAAGTCCTGTAGCTTGGGTTTTATTATTTAATTCTCACAAAGACCTTAGGAGGTGGGTTTATTATCTCTATTATTGCAGGCTGGTTCAATGAGGCTCTGAGGGGGGAATTAAAAGGCCCAAGGTCAGAGCTAGTAAGTGCCAAGTTGGGAGTCAGCCCAGTTCTGACCTCAATGCCAGTGCTCTCCACCACTTTGTTCTCTGCTGGTAAACAGGAAAGGAGCAGTGTTGATCTAGAGAGAGCCCAGTGCTTGACTTTCACCAGCCCAGGTTCCTGAGGGGATAGGACCCTGGGCCTTACTGGTGATCTACGGTGACTTAATTTTCAAATTGGAATTTCATAGTCTTATTGCTACTGCTTATGGCCACGGTGGTTTGAAAACAGCCCCAGGGCACATGGTTTGACAATGGCTATCTTCTGATTTGTGTATTTATTTGTATTAAAATGATTACAATGTTATAAAATTTAAAGAACATTTAACTCTCATTAACACTTACTATTATCTAATAATACAGTTATTAAAACTGATACAGTCACATAAAATCAGGTCCATGGCAGAAAAATCTGAATGCTTTCTGTGTACATATTCTATCTGTCACCTAGCTATCTGTCTGTCCAGCCATTTATCTATCCATCCATCCATCCATCCATCCATCCATCCATCCACCTCAACATTGTTATCATCAACAGGAGCAGCAACATCATGTGTCTATCTAGTTAATATGGTGAATGAGTGCCTGGGTAAGTGTATGGATGGGTAATGGAGTATATGTTATTTTTCTCAGGACACTGGTGCTATCAAATGAGTAAGAAGATCATAACAGGCCAGGCACGGTGGCTCACTCCTGTAATCCCAGCACTTTGGGAGGCCGAGGCTGGCGAATCTTGAGGTCAGGAGATCGGGACCATCTTGGCTAACATGGTGAAACCCCGTCTCTACTAAAAATACAAAAAATTAGCTGGGCGCGGTGGTGGGCACTTGTAGTCCCAGCTACTTGGGAGGCTGAGGCAGGAGAATGGCCTGAACGCGCGAGGCAGAGCTTGCAATGAGCGGAGATCGTGCCACTGCACTCCAGCCTGGGCGACAGAGTGAGACTCTGTCTCAAAAAAAAAAAAAAAAAAGAAGATCATAACAAACATGGTATGTGTATTTTTATTCTAAATCTCTGACAACAGAGGTGGTTTGGAATGATAATGACCCTCATATGGAAGTGGTTACAGAAATGTGCTTTTCCACATTAGTCTTGGCTCCAGTTTCTCTCCAGCAAATACTGTGGTGATCAGGCTGCTGAGAGAATAGACGAGCAATTTGGGGCAGAGTGTCTTTTGCCCCTGTTGATGAGACTCAACAAACAAATTCTGGTGTAGCAAATGATTGTACCACGAGTGGGTGACAACCTAATGGATTGTAGTTATAACCACAGCCGGTTCTGCTGAAGCTTAATCCAAACTTTTTTTTCCTTGTGTTTCTGGGAAATTCAGGAAAAATAATGACTTTTGGATGGAATCGTCTTGTAAAGTCAAGCCAGCTAGATTTTTCTTGGTGTGGTATTCAAAGACACATCAGTTCTACACTAAAGAATGAAAGAAAGAAATGATAGTTAAATATTCACTACACTTCACACAACACAAAACACCAATAGTGGAGGTTGCATTCATCACCCACAGCAAAATTCCTTACCTCCTCCTTCACCATCTCTTATTCACATAGCAGCTGTCACCAGAGTCCTCTAGTCTCTGATCTCAAACTTCCCCATACATTCTTTCAACTTACCAATATATTCCTTTTTTCTCTCCTTTCACGCCTCCCCACTGAAATCCCACTCCAGGAAGTTACTCTCTGTTTTGTTTTTTCTATTATAGAAAAACCCATAAACTTTTCTGTCATCCCTATTTCTACCACTTTCACAAAACAGCTTTCAAGATAGACACAGCCTCCCTCATCTTAATGATAGTGGAAGTGTGGGGTTGGGAAAATTGCAAACACTAATAATTTAATTTAAATATGTTCTTTATTTCTTATCACAAATACTTGAAGAATTCCTCCCCCACCCACCATATCATTTTATTTCAGCATAAATGTAAACTACCGAGGGGCTTTAAGGAAGGACATGATGAGGCATGTTGGATCCAATGTATATTCTGGCTGCTTTATGAAGATTAGACGGATTGGGAAAGGTTAGTGAGATTTAAGGCAGGGAAATTCTACAATAGTAAAATACCATAATAGTCCCTGGAAGGAATAATAGTGGTCTGAAGTGTGGGTAAGGATTGCAAAAGGCAAGCTGACAGATTCAGGAAACAGAAAAGAAGTGGTATCAATAGGGCTTCATGACTGACTGGGTGTGGCAGGTGAGGAAGAAGAAGTTCTTGCTGACCTGGGAGAGAGAAATCATGCAGGTAAATTACTTTCAGTGCTGCCTTGAACAGACTGAAACCCAGGAGTCAAAGCATAATCTTTCTGTTCCCCTCGTCTAACCTCTGAAGATGTGATAAAATGGCTAAACCATCACCATGGGAACCTACTCAATTTAAGAAAAGGACCAAAGCTGTGTAGACAAAATTAGTTTCCTTGTTTCACTTATCTTGTTGATTTCAAAATGACCCAGCTCTTCTAAAAAGCATCTTGGAAGATAGGAATTACCAAGCATCATTCAACAAGAAGAGAGGTTATTAGAATTAGAAAACAAAAATATGGGACAGGCCGTAAAGTCAGAGATCTCTGATTCTTTTTTGTCTCCTCTGGATACCTCTGTGTCTGTTTTACTTTCAGAAAAGAAAGGGGCTTTCTAAATCCCACATCACTGTTCTTCTCCTAGGCAAAGTTATTTGGAGAAGGGATGAGACAAAAGCTCCTTTCCTTCTCCAGCTTTCTTAATTGATGAGCCTTTCATGCCCCTTGGCAAGAACTTCCCCACACAAATCTCTAGAACTCTGCACTTAGTGGGCTAAGGGGCAAGATAGAGGCCAGAGTTCCTGTGTGAGCCAGCTGTTGTGTAGATGAACAAGTATAAGGACTGAATTCTTACATTTTAATTCTAGATTTGATACTTAATAGCTTTATTGCCCAAGTCAAACTTCTTTGCCTTTCTGAGCCTTTTTTCTCATTCTACAATGGTTGTTGTGAGGATTAAATGAGAGAGTATAAAATAAATATATTCCATTAGTTGACAACGCCAAGTGACCAGGAAATGTTATTTGAAATTGGTATGTAGCAGGGACCCTCTGTGCCCAAGGCTGAGCTATTGTTTGACTTACTCCCAAACTTTCCTGTCTCCAAAACTTTCCTCTCTATTGGTACTGTGAGAATGGATCTGTCAGGGAGGGGGGTTGGGGGTGGGTCTCTGAATTCCCATTGTTTTTTTGATATTTCACTGATGGCCCCTTTAAACTTCCTACCAAGTTTTGCTAGAAATCTTTGAGATTTACAAGGGTCATCTTTCAGTGGAGGCAAATTGAGTGGCCCGTAATAGAATATTGATTCTATTGGCAATGGGAGATTTGGGGAAGAGAGAGGGAGAGGTCATATGAAGATCTTCTCAAATAACTGTGATTACCAGGGAGTATTTGTCAGATGCTGCATTGAGTGTTTTTGAGACATTTTTTATTTAACTCATATAACAATTTGTGGTAGATGTTTTGACCCCAGTGGGATCAAGTCAGTCCCACAAGGTAACTAAGCCAGCTAGAGGCAGAGCTGGAATTAGAACCCAAGTCTGTCCAGCTCCCAAGGCCGTACATACTCAGTTGATTACATTCCCTGCATCTCATGTGAAATAGCCTATAGGCAGCTCACTCCTCCACTCATTATTAGATCCTTCACTCATTATTAGATTCACATTAGTGACAGTTGTGTATTTACTTGGCTCTTAATCAATGTCCAGAGATTCCTCTCCTCAATATATTAAGAAATAAGTGAAGATAGTTTATTTCTAGTCCTTCTTGGAGCCTTTCATGTTCTGTTTCTACTCTTTGTTTCTTCTAACATGGTGTTTATTTTTCTTCTTAATTGCATGTTTATTATTAGTCAATGACTTAATCCTCCTCTCTTCACACTCTTGTAATGGGAAAATAGAGTTTTGAGATATTTATAATCTTCCTTTCCAGATTTGACCACCACTTCCTCTACACTCAACCTACCTGGCAAAAACTTCATGCATTCTTGAAGCATAGAGTGTTTCTCTAAAGGACAAACAAATGGCAACAACAATGACAAAATCAAGATGAATTTTTGTCCACTTTGGTTTTATGCTCATCTACAACAGATGCTGTCCATTGGCTGTGAAAGATTTTTCCAGAAACTTCTGTCAATCCATTAATGTTTAATTCCTGCAAAGAAATATTGGTTCAGTCTGTTGACAGAATTTGAAAAAAAAAAATGCTGCAAGTGAAACAGCCAAGGGCAAAGTCAATATCTGACAAGGCCAAGTAAAACTTCAGCGGCCAAGGCAAAAGCAAACAGCAATCAGCAACAAGAGTCCTTTCATTTGGACACTAATATTGGGCAAAGCAGCATAAAACGTAGGCAAACTCAAATACATTTAAGTAGAAGGCTCAAGGCTTCCTAAAATTTTCTTCCTGGTGGACACATTCTGTTCTAGGAAAAAAATTCTTTCTTTCTTTTCTTTCTTTCTTTCTTTCTTTCTTTCTTTCTTTCTTTCTTTCTTTCTTTCTTTCTTTCTTTTAATTTAATTTTATTATTATTATACTTTAAGTTTTAGGGTACATGTGCACAATGTGCAGGTTACTTACATATGTATACATGTGCCATGCTGGTGTGATGCACCCATTAACTCATCATTTAGCATTAGGTATGTCTCCTAAAGCTATCCCTCCCCCCTCCCGCCACTCCACAACAGTCCCCAGAGTGTGATATTCCCCTTCCTGTGTCCATGTGATCTCATTGTTCAATTCCCACCTATGAGTGAGAATATGCGGTGTTTGGTTTTTTGTTCTTGCGATAGTTTACTGAGAATGATGATTTCCAATTTCATCCATGTCCCTACAAAGGACATGAACTCATCATTTTTTATGGCTGCATAGTATTCCATGGTGCATATGTGCCACATTTTCTTAATCCAGTCTATCATTGTTGGACATTTGGGTTGGTTCCAAGTCTTTGCTGTTGTGAATAGTGCTGCAATAAACATACGTGTGCATGTGTCTTTATAGCAGCATGATTTACAGTCCTTTGGGTATATACCCAGTAATGGGATGGCTGGGTCAAATGGTATTTCTAGTTCTAGATCCCTGAGGAATCGCCACACTGACTTCCACAAGGGTTGAACTAGTTTACAGTCCCACCAACAGTGTAAAAGTGTTCCTATTTCTCCACATCCTCTCCAGCACCTGTTGTTTCCTGACTTTTTAATGATTGCCATTCTAACTGGTGTGAGATGGTATCTCAGTGTGGTTTTGATTTGCATTTCTCTCATGGCCAGTGATGGTGAGCATTTTTTCTGTGTTTTTTGGCTGCATAAATGTCTCCTTTTGAGAAGTGTCTGTTCGTGTCCTTTGCCCACTTTTTGATGGGGTTGTTTGTTGTTTTCTTGTAAATTTGCTTGAGTTCATTGTAGATTCTGGATATTAGCCCTTTGTCAGATGAGTAGGTTGCGAAAATTTTCTCCCATTTTGTAGGTTTCCTGTTCACTCTGATGGTAGTTTCTTTTGCTGTGCAGAAGCTCTTTAGTTTAATTAGATCCCATTTGTCAATTTTGGCTTTTGTTGCCATTGCTTTTGGTGTTTTAGACAGGAAGTCCTTGCCCATGCCTATGTCCTGAATGGTAATGCCTAGGTTTTCTTCTAGGGCTTTTATGGTTTTAGGTCTAACGTTTAAGTCTTTAATCCATCTTGAATTAATTTTTGTATAAGGTGTAAGGAAGGGATCCAGTTTCACTTTCTACATGTGGCTAGCCAGTTTTCCCAGCACCATTTATTAAATAGGGAATCCTTTCCCCATTGCTTGTTTTGGTCAGGTTTGTCAAAGATCAGATAGTTGTAGATATGCGGCGTTATTTCTGAGGGCTCTGTTCTGTTCCATTGATCTATATCTCTGTTTTGGTATCAGTACCATGCTGTTTTGGTTACTGTAGCCTTGTAGTATAGTTTGAAGTCAGGTAGCGTGATGCCTCCAGCTTTGTTCTTTTGGCTTAGGATTGACTTGGCGATGCAGGCTCTTTTTTGGTTCCATATGAACTTTAAAGTAGTTTTTTCCAATTCTGTGAAGAAAGTCATTGGTAGCTTGATGGGGATGGCATTGAATCTATAAATTACCTTGGGCAGTATGGCCATTTTCATGATATTGATTCTTCCTACCCATGAGCATGGAATGTTCTTCCATTTTTTTGTATCCTCTTTTATTTCATTGAGCAGTGGTTTACAGTTCTCTTTGAAGAGGTCCTTCACATCCCTTGTAAGTTGGATTCCTAGGTATTTTATTCTCTTGGAAGCAATTGTGAATGGAGGGTCCTGTCTATTAGAAGGAAAACTAACAAAAAGAAAAGACATCCACACCAGAAACCCATCTGTACATCACCATCATCAAAAACCAAAAGTAGATAAAACCACAAAGATGGGGAAAAAACAGAGCAGAAAAACTGGAAACCCTAAAAAGCAGAGCGCCTCTCCTCCTCCAAAGGAACGCAGTTCCTCACCAGCAACGGGACAAAGCTGGATGGAGAATGACTTTGACGAGTTGAGAGAAGAAGGCTTCAGATGATCAAACTACCCCGAGCTACAGGAGGAAATTCAAACCAAAGGCAAAGAAGTTGAAAACTTTGAAAAAAATTTAGACGAATGTATAACTAGAATAACCAATACAGAGAAGTGCTTAAAGGAGCTGATGAAGCTGAAAGCCAAGGCTTGAGAACTATGTGAAGAATGCAGAAGCCTCAGGAGCCGATGCGATCAACTGGAAGAAAGGGTATCAGCGATGGAAGATGAAATGAATGAAATGAAGCGAGAAGGGAAGTTTAGAGAAAAAAGAATAAAAAGAAATGAACAAAGCCTCCAAGAAATATGGGACTATGTGAAAAGACCAAATCTACGTCTGATTTTATACCTGAAAGTGACAGGGAGAATGGAATCAAGTTGGAAAACACTCTGCAGGATATTATCCAGGATAACTTCCCCAATCTAGCAAGGCAGGCCAACATTCAGATTCAGGAAATACAGATAATGCCACAAAGATACTCCTCGAGAAGAGCAACTCCAATACACATAATTGTCAGATTCACCAAAGTTGAAATGAAGGAAAAAATGTTAAGGGCAGCCAGAGAGAAAGGTCGGGTTACCCACAAAGGGAAGCCCATCAGACTAACAGTGGATCTCTCGGCAGAAACTCTACAAGCCAGAAGAGAGTGGGGGCCAATATTCAACATTCTTAAAGAAAAGAATTTTCAACCCAGAATTTCATATCCAGCCAAACTAAGCTTCATAAGTGAAGGAGAAAGAAAATACTTTACAGACAAGCAAATGCTGAGAGATTTTGTCACCACCAGGCCTGCCCTAAAAGAGCTCCTGAAGGAAGCAGTAAACATGGAAAGTAACAACTGGCACCAGCCACTGCAAAATCATGCCAAATTGTAAAGACCATCGAGGCTAGGAGGAAACTGCATCAACTAATGAGCAAAATAACCAGCTACATCATAATGACAGGATCAAATTCACACATAACAATATTAACTTTAAATGTAAATGGACTAAATGCTCCAATTAAAAGACACAGACTGGCAAATTGGATAAAGAGTCAAGACCCATTAGTGTGCTTTATTCAGGAAATCCATCTCACGTGCAGAGACACACATAGGCTCAAAATAAAAGGATGGAGGAAGATCTACCAAGCAAATGGAAAACAAGAAAAGGCAGGGGTTGCAATCCTAGTCTCTGATGAAACAGACTTTAAACCAACAAAGATCAAAAGAGACAAGGCCATTACATCATGGTAAAGGGATCAATTCAACAAGAAGAGCTAACTATCCTAAATATATATGCACCCAATACAGGAGCACCCAGATTCATAAAGCAAGTCCTGAGTGACCTACAAAGAGACTTAGACTCCCACACAATAATAATGGGAGATTTTAACACCCCACTGTCAACATTAGACAGATCAACGAGACAGAAAGTTAACAAGGATACCCAGGAATTGAACTCAGCTCTGCATCAAGTGGACCTAATAGACATCTACAGAACTCTCCACCCCAAATCAACAGAATATACATTTTTTTCAGCACCACACCACACCAATTCTTTCTTTCTTTCCTTCCTTCCTTCCTTCCTTCTTTCTTTCTTTTTCTTTCTTTCTCCTTCCTTCCTTTCTTCCTTCTTCTCTTTTCTTTTCTTTTCTCTTTCCCCTGTCTTCCATTCCCTTCCTTTATCCCCTTCCCTTTTTCCCTTCCCTTTCTTTATCCCCTTCCCTTCTTCCCTTCACTTCTTACCTTCCTTTTCCTTGCCTTTCCTTTCCTTCCTTCTTTCCTCCATTCTTCCCTTTCTTCTTTTCTTTTCTCCTTCCTTCCTGAAATGGCTTGTTGATGTCACTAGAGTGATCACATATCTAGAGCTTAGAATTTGTGCCTCTGGAGAAATTTGGGAGTTGCTCAAATCTCCATGAGCACACAAAAGATCGTGAACCCTTCTAAGCCCCTTTCTTTTGGATGTCACATCACACAGGGCTCACCTGCATCTTAGCACCCTATGCACTTTGTCACTATCTGTGTTTCTTTCAGTGCACTAGGATTCCTCCTGTTCCAGTAAACTGAGTGTGTTCATCTGTGTATGCTCAGCACAGTATAGGCAATAAGCACTCAATGCTTTTGTAGAATTTAAATGCATGCTTTATTTTGTGTTTGTTGTGAGAAAAAAATTAAATATTTGTACATTCAATATGGACAGCCATCTGAAGTTGGTGCTCCATGGATAATAATCTTTTCTATACAAGCTCTTTGTAGTTCTTAACTTGTTAATCAGGTGCCTTTACAGGTTGATATGGTTTGACTGTATCCCCACCCAATCTCATCTTGAATTGTAGCTCCTATAATTCCCATGTGTCATGGGAGGGCCCTGGTGGGAGGTGATTGAATCATGGGGTGGGTCTTTCCCATACTATTCTTATGATAGTGA
This sequence comes from Homo sapiens, assembly GCF_000001405.40. Taxonomy (NCBI): domain Eukaryota; kingdom Metazoa; phylum Chordata; class Mammalia; order Primates; family Hominidae; genus Homo; species Homo sapiens. The sequence continues at coordinate 122,295,640 of NC_000008.11, read as the reverse complement.
ATAAGTCTCATGAGATCTGATGGTTTTATAAAGGAGAGTTCCCTTACACAAGTTCTCTTGCTTGCCACCATGTAAGATGTGACTTTGCTCCTCATTCACCATCAGCCATGACTCTGAGACCTCCCCAGCCATGTAGAACTGTGTGTCAATTAAACCTCTTTCCTTTATAAATTACCTAGTCTTTGGTATGTCTTTATTGGCAGCATGAGAACAGACTAATACAGTAAATTGTTACCAGTAGAGTAGGGTGCTGTTGTAAAGATACCCAAAAATGTGGAAGCGACTTTGGAACTGGGTAACAGGCAGAGATTGGAATGGTTTGGAGGACTCAGAAGAGAGAAGATATGGGAAAGTTTGGAACTTCCTAGAGACTTATTGAATGGCTTTGACCAAAATGCTGATAGTGATATGAACAATAAAGTGCCAGCTGAGGTGATCTCAGATGGAGATGAGGAACTTGTTGGGAACTGGAGTAAAAGTCACTCTTGCTATGCAAAGAGACATTTTGCCCCTGCCCTAGAGATCTGTGAATCTTTGAACTTGAGAGAGATGATTTCAGGTATCTAGCAGAATAAATTTAGAAGAAATTTCTAAGCAACAAAATAATTCAAGAGGAAGCAGAGCATAAAAGTTTGAAAAATCTGCAGCCTGATAATGCAGTAGAAAAGCAAAATCCATTTTCTGGGGAGAAATTCAAGCCTGCTTAGAAATTTGCATAAGTAATGAGGAGCTAAATGCTAATCACCAAGGCAATGGGGAAAACATCTCCAGGGCATCTAAGAGACTTTGGGGGCAGACCCTCCCATCAGAGGTCCAGAGACCTAGGAGGGAAAAATGGTTTTGTGGGCTGGGCCAAAGGCTCTGCTGCTGTGTGCAGCCTAGGAACTTCGTGCCCTGCATCCCAGCCACTCCAGCCATGGCTAAAAGGGTCCAAGGTACATCTTAGGTCCTGGCTTCAGAGGGTGCAAGCCCCAAGCTTTGGCACCTTCCACATGGTATTGGGCCTGTGGGTGCACTGAAGTCAAACGTAGAGGTTTGGGAACCTCTGCCTAGATTTCAGAGTATGTATGTAAATGCCTGGATGTCGAGGCAGAGGTGTGCTGCAAGGGCAGGGCCCTCATGGAGAACCTCTGCTAGGGCAGTGCAAAAGGGAAATGTGGGGTCAGAGCCCCCACACAGAGTCCCCACTGGGGCACTGCCTAGTGGAGCTGTGAGGGCCACTGTCCTCCAGACCCCAGAATGGTAGATCCACTGACAGCTTGCACCATGCACCTAGAAAAGCCACACACACTCAATGACAGTCTGTGAAAGCAGCCAGGAGGGGGGCTGTACTCTGCAAAGCCAGAGGAACAGAGCTGCCAGAGGCCATGAGAGCCTATCTCTTCAATCAGCATGACCTGGCTGTGAGACATGGAGTCAAAGGAGATGTTCTTAGAACTTTAAGGTTTAATGACTGCCCTATTGGATTTCAGACTTGCATGGGGCCTGTAGCCCTTTGTTTTGGCTAATTTCTCTCATTTGGAACAGGTATATTTACCCAATGCCTGTACCCTCATTGTATCTAGGAAGGAACTAATTTGTTTTTTATTTTACAGGCTCATAGGCAGAAGGGACTTGCCTGGTCTTAGATGAGACTTCGGACTATGGACTTTTCAGTTAATGCTGAAATGAGTTGAGACTTTGGGGGACTGTGGGGAAGGCCTGATTGGTTTTGAAATGTGAGGACATGAGATTTGGGAGGGATGGGGGCAGAATAATATGTTTTGGCTGTGTCCTCACCCAAATCTCATCTTGAATTATAGCTCCCATAATTCCCATATGTCATGGGAGGGACCCAGCTGGGAGGTAACTGAATCATGGGGGCAGGTCTTTCCTGTGCTATTTTCATGATAGTGAATAAGTCTCATGATATCTGGTGGTTTTATAAAGGGGAGTTTCTCTACACAAGCTCTCTTGCCTGCTGCCATGTAAGATGTGACTTTGCTCCTCATTCACTTTCCGCCATGATTGTGGGGCCTCCCTAGCCATGTGGAACTGTGATTCCATTAAACCTTCTCCTTTATAAATTACCAGGTCTCAGGTATGTCTTTACTAGCAGTGTAAGAATGAACTAATACACAGGTCAAGTCATGGCCTAACTTTCCAATCACATTGTCACTCATTTTCACTACATATGAATGAAGCTTTATTCAGGCTGCTGTAACTGTCAACAATAATCACGCACAGCCACACACACACATATATAACTATATATACATATATATGTATTTATGAACATATGATTATAATCATATATTTATATGTTTAAAATCACTGGCTGCTTTTGAGTATCCAATAAAATTTATTAACTACAAGGGCAAATGTGCACAAAAATTTGACAAAAAGAAATCAAACTCTCTGAAGCATAACATTAGAAACTTTAAGACTCTAGGAGCACCAAATTAAGAACCATTTTCTAAATTTATCTCAAGCACTATCTCCTGAAGAAAGCCTGCTTTGATTTCTCTAAGATCTAATATTTTAGAAAACAAAGGATTTAGAAACTCAAGTTTTCCTAGCAACTGCTAGAGATCTCTTTTATAACAGACCACAGGATATTATTATTATTTTTGTTGGAGATTTCGCTACACTAGACTGAAACCCCTTAAGAGTAGGTAGTTAATAATCTTTCTTTCTATTCCTGATAATAGCACAATTTCCACATTTGTGTGGGCATCAGTTGTCTCAGCAGCCTGGTCAAAAGCCTGAGCCCATATATACATGCTCCAATTATCAGGAAATCCTAATTTTTTTTCCTCAGGGCTTCATTTTTCCTCCCGTTTTTTTTTTTTTTTTTTTTTTTTTTGAGACGGACTCTTGCTCTGTCACCAGGCTGGAGTGCAGCGGTATAATCTCAGCTCACTGCAATCTCTGCCTCCTGGGTTCAAGTGATTCTCCTGCCTCAGCCTCCCAAGTAGCTGGGACTACAGATGCATGTCACCACGCCCATCTGATTTTTTTAATTTTTTTTAATTTTTGGTAGAGATGGGGCTTCACCATGTTGGCCAGGATGGTCTCGAACTCCTGACCTCAGGTGATCCACCTGCCTCGACCTCCCAAAGAACACCTTACTTAACCAGCCTAAATGTTCTGATACTCTCACTAAGTACCTTGTAGAGCCTTTTTCTATTCCATTGATTTTGTGAACATTGCTTTCGCTGCTGCCAAAAGTTGTTATTATTCACATCTAGTTCACATAGTCTGATTTTTTTCGTGATGGCAGAGATGCTCCACTGTTTTGATCCTTCTGCGGCCACAGTTATCCTTTGAGAAATACCTTCAATAGCCTCCCTTAAACTTATTCTTAGCCAATAGGTTTTCTATACTCGGACTATCAAGGGTACCACCACATGCTTAGTAATTCTTGCTACATCGTTTTTGAAGAAGGACTCTCAGACTCACCCAGATGCTGTACTAGAATAACAAATATGAGCATAAATTCATAAAATAGATAACAAGGCCAGGGTTGGCTCTTTGTCAAGGCTAATGAAACTGTTAAGCCTCTGACTTGACTGAGATTGAATAAGAAAAGAGAAAATGCAAATAAGTAATATTAGAAATTAAGTAAGTGACATAACTCAAAACCAGATGGGGGAAGGGGGAGGGATAGCATTAGGAGATATACCTAATGCTAAATGACGAGTTAATGGGTGCAGCACACCAACATGGCACATGTATACATATGTAACAAACCTGCATGTTGTGCACAGGTACCCTAAAACTTAAAGTATAATAATAATAAAATAAAAAAGCAGATTTATGTCAGTTTATTTATAGTTAGATAAAATGGTTAAATTCCTAGGAAAAAAAATGAAATGATCAAAATTGGCTCAAGCAGAAGTTTAAAAGCCCGAATTGTCTAATTGCATTTAAATAAATTGAGTACCTAGTCAAAATTTTTCATACCAAGAAAACCACAAGGCCCAGAGGTTTCTACAGGTGAGTCCTAACAAAACTTAAAAGTACAGATGATTTCAATCTTACACAGAAGCACACCCCAACTCAAAATTACTGACAGATGTGCTATGTCACATAGCGATTGTAATTGGTAGGATTCTTAACATATTATGCAATTGGACCATTTTAAATATTCTTGATAAATTTCCACTTGATACATAGCTCTTGAGAGCTCACTTTCTGAATATTCTAACTGATGATGATATAGATAGAAAAAAACTATAAGTCTTGTCCTTAAGGAATTCACAATCTACTGAAATATCCAGGAAAACAAATACACAATTATTAGTCATTATATTATAAAATTTTACCTATCCAGGGCACCTAAACTGTTCCGCCTAGATTGGAAAGAGGCCGTCAGGTTCAGGCTTCCCATAGGAAGTGACACCATTGTAGAGTCTTGAGTTGTGAGTAGGATTTGGGCAGACAAATAAGAGAAAAGATCATGTTAGTAATAAGGAACTCTAAGGGCCAAGGCTTAAGGATAAAATAGTTGATGATATTTAAACATTTTAAACATTATTTAGTATGTCAGTAATTCAGATCAAGGTAAGACGAGAGACTGAAAATTGTCACTATATTATCTAAGACCTTGTGTGATGCTCACACGGCTTGAATTTTCAACTTGGGGACACTAGGAAGCCATGCTCAAATCAAAAGAGGTCAAATGTGCCAATCAGAAGCTGAGTCGGGGACTATCTTCATGGTTATTTTTGTCTTCATATTTCCTCTTCTCTGTAGGTATGTGCTTGTCTTTGGGAGTTTGCCTTGCTCTGTATTTGCTCATTGATGGTTACTAACTCATGGTCAGAAGCTCTCAGAATTTTATTAAATGAGTCCAAATTCTGAATAAGCGCAGGATATTTTACTACAGCAACTCTGAAACATAATCATTAAATTAGTTTCAGTATTTTCGCCCTCACAAAATAGCTCACCCTTTGTTAGAGGTATCATGATTATAATTACTATTTATTAAGCACTTTGTACTTGCATTATGGTAATAGTCCTTCATTCTTTGTATAAATATGTTGTTAATTAACTTACTAAGTACAGAAAGATTTGTAGAACAGCTACTATGTGCTAGGTATTATGCATACTAGGAGTAGAATGATGTGTAAAATCAACATAGGTGTAAGACAGGTAATAATCAGGTAAACAATCAAATTTTACAAATTTATTAAAATATAACCATGTATACACATACATGACTATACACACCTGTATATATGAATACACACATATGCATACATATATAAAATTATGAACCCAAACATTGCAGTACTACATAAATGATAATAAGATATGTGGTTGGTATAGTCAAGAAAGAAATTTCTGTGAAGGTGACATTGAAATAGCATTCCCTTCTTACAAAAGCTTATGGATAGGAATTAATGGCACCATTTTAAAAATGAATAAATTAAGGCTTAGAGAGATTATATAAATTGCCATGGTTCACGTTATTAAGTGATAGATCTGGGATTAATTCCAAATACTAGCTTGGCCACAGTGTTCGTGATTTCTTAATACTGTTTAGTTTTTTTCCAAGATAAACTTATATGTACTTTCCTGAACCTTAATCTACTGCTCTTTTCTTATACACTTTGGAACAAATCAGTCCATATTTAATCTCAAATATTTGGAAAACATTGCTTCTTTTTGTCCTTGCTCTCCAAATTAGTAATAGCAACTCTCTTCCAAGTTATTAAAAATTGATATTTTGAGTTATTCCTGCATGCCAGGGTGTGCAGTGGTGAACAAAATAAACATGATCTTTGTCTTTATTAAAAATACAATCTAGAGACAAAGTGTATCAGTTATCAATTGTCACTATAATTTTATGTAACAAGGCATACCAAAATGTAAAGACTTAAAACAAAGATAATTTATTATTTCTTATTTGTTTCTTGGTGACTCAATTCTCTTTCACATGCCACATCCCTCTAGACAGCCAGCTCAGGCTTATTCTCATGGAAGTCACAGTGTCCATGTAAGGATGTAAGGAAGTGGAAATGTGAACATGCTTTTCAAATCTGTTTGTGTTTATTGCTGTTCCATTGCCCAAAGCAAGTCCTATAGCCAAGACTGAAATCAGAGAGGAAGGGGACTATGAAGGTACAGATAAAGATCATGAATATAGAGAGAAGTCATTAATTGGGGCTACTAACACAATCAATTTACCATTGGAAATTTATGGTTTTCTGTGTGATGTACAAAGCATGGTTTATAGATTTTTTATAGGTCATTCAAACAGAACATAGTAGATTGATAAGATGAAATTATAAATATAGAAATATTTCAATATATATTAGGCAATTATATTTGAATATATGAATATTCATCATTCTACCCAGTCAGTACACAGTGAATGACAGTAATGATAATTTGATGATGATAATCTACTGGACATTCTCATTAAGAATGTCCATGCAAGGACCACGGAGTTGTTATTTAAAATAAAATGCAGATGAACCAAAGAAAAAATATAGTGATGGTGATTCCTTAGCTGCCTCTTTTTTAATATAGAGAGAACTTAAAAGCTGCTAAACATTCAATGGTCTCATATCAAATTATCATGTTATAATCTCACATCAAATTATGTTTGTATTGTGATCAAGATAACATTATAACATTGTGACCATTCAGCCTTTAACATTGGTCTTTTATTTGTTTATTTTTTGGGAGGACAGTCTCGCTCTGTTGCTCAGGCTGGAGTGCAGTGGTATAATCTCGGGTCACTGCAGTCTCCGCCTCCTGGGTTCAAGCAATTTTTGTGCCCCAGCCTCCTAAGTAACTGGGACTACAGGCGCCTGCTGCCATGCCCAGCTAGCTTTTTGTATTTTTAGTAGAGACGGGTTTCCATCTTCTTATGTGGCCTGATTGTATGGAACAATGTAATTGAATAACAATGTAGTACTAATGCTGAATACATCCTGTTGTCCTAGTCCACAGATAAGCTGGAAAAAAATCATTAGCACAGATTTGGCTGTTTACCGTTGTGATATGTTGATGTATACAATAATGTCTTTGCTTACTTTTATAACACACTGTATTCATTTGCTAAGGCTGCTGTAACAAAGTTCCACAAACTGAAGGGCTTTAACAATAGAAATTTATGTATTCACTGTTTTGGAGGCTAAAGTTTGAGATCAAGGTATTAGCAGCATTGGCATCTTCTGAGAACTGAGAGGAAGAGTCTGTTCCCTGCTGTTCACCTAGTTTCCAGTGGTTTGCTGGCAATCTTTGGCGATACTTGACTTGTAGAAGTACCTTTGCATTCTTCTTCATATGGCATTCTTTCTGTATGTGTGTCTGTGTCCAAATTTCCCCTTTTAATAAATATACAAGTCATATTGGAGTATGAGCCAACCTAATGATCTCATCTTAATTAATTACATTTGCAATGACCCGTTTTTCAAATAAGGTCACATTCTAAGGTACTGGGAGTTAGAACTTTAACATGTGAATTTGGATTGATGGGCAAAATTCAACCCATGACACACACACAGAGAAAATTCAAGCTCAAAGTTGAAGTTTTATTATTTTAGAAAAATTTCTTACTTACTGACAGTACAAGCTAATTTTGGTTATGATGTATATGTATAACCAAAGGACTAATACTTTGTTAGAGTAAGTTGTTCAAGCCAAAGCTGCTAATTAGTAGTTATTGCTGGGTGTTAATCTGTACCAAAACATTACCACAAACGGGGATCCTAGAAAAAGGATGTTCTGTTGATAACATTCCTAAGTTGCATTAAATGCTGTAAACCTCACCATAATGGCAAGTTTCTTTCTGGGTTTTGGAAAATCTTCCCTTTTTTTGTTCTTCCTCTGCCTCTGCAGTTTTTTTCACCACAATTACTTGTCTTCTGCCACTTCTCTTGACCTTCAGATTTGGGGCCTTCTTGAAATATGAAAAATTTAGGTAAGAATGACACTGGAGACCCAGCAATTACAAGGAGAATGAAAAACAATGGTATGTATTTTAAAGATGAGGATATTAAGATTCAAAGAGACTGCCCAGAATGAATTGTTAGGAAATAGCAGGGCTTAAAAATATAGACTCACCTGAGGAGTAGATTTCTGTCGAGAATTAGATATTCGACACTGATATGGTTTGGCTGTGTCCCCACCCAAATCTCATCTTGAATTGTAGCTCTCCTAATTCTCACATGTTGTGGGAGGGACCCAGTGGGAGGTAATTTGAATCATAGGGGTGGGTCTCTCCCATGCTGTTCTCATGATAGTGAATAAGTCTCATGAAATCTGATGGTTTTATATAGGGGAGTTCCCCTGCACAGGCTGTCTTGCCTGCCACCATGTAAGATGTCCCTTTGCTCTTCCTTCATCTTCCGCCATGATTGTGAGGCCTCCCCAGCCATGTGGAACAACTAAACCTCTTTCCTTTATAAATTATCCAGTCTCAGGTATGTCTTTATTAGCAGCATGAGAACAAACTAATACAGACACAGATTAAAAATATAACTTAATGTCACGTATGACATTCCTGGTTCTTCTTCCTCCTGTAACTCCCAACTTTCTAAAAAACATTTCTCTAGTTTAATGGGGGAAAAAAGCAAGCCTTGAGTTCACACGGGGACATAGAAGAAGGGCATTATTTTCTTTCCTAATGGCATAACCAAAAGAGGATGGTCAGGCAAGGCATCTCTCAGACTAAACAGAAATTGTGCAGCCTTGGTTGGCAGACGAGTGACACACATGATTTGTGTATATGACAGCAGGAGAAGAGAAGTTCCTTTTGGGAACAATTCTTGATTGGTGGATGAAAATGGATGTGAAACATAACCTCCTCTTGACTTAGAAAAATGACAACAAATAATGAAGAGTCAGCATCCAAGGTCTTTGAACAGACCATGACTTTAAACTCTAGATGAAATATATATATTCCTATCACATCTTATCTAAATGGTTTCAGGTTGAATTAAAATTTATTGCAACTCCTCTCTTTGCTTTTATTCTAAGTGCCTTTCTACATACTATCATGTTTAAATCTTAGGCACTCCTGTGAGATAATTATCATAAGTCCTGTTTGGCTAATGAGATGACTAAAGCTTGGAAACTTTCTTCTTGAAGACAGTTTATTTCTTTAAATGAACTAGAAATTGTTTCAAAAAGAGGTCTATTTTTATTGAGAATATTATCTGGTAAGATCCTTGGAGTGGTTACTGGGTCTCTAAAACATGAATATTGTGGAATCCTAGAGAGACTGTGGATGAATATTTTCAAGTTAAAGATGCTGGAGAGAGAAAATGTAAGCAAGATCTGGAGGCATAAAGACAGACTTCACAGCAGGTTCTTTGCCATGTTCCCCTCCCCACCCAGGCTTTGGAAAACTTACTTGAAATGCTTGAGGTGAATATGTTTTATTTTGAATTGGAGGTAGTGGGTGCCTTGTTAAATGATAATTTAATCAGTAAAGTAAAATAATGGCTTGTGCAAAAATAAAACAAACTTGTAACAAAGATTTCACAATTCACTAATTAAGGACAGAACAAATAAGATGTTAAGAGGAGTTCAAAAGAAAATTCCAAGGATATTCAGTCAAATTATAAAGACAGACAAGAATGCAGCATTTTTTTTATGAACATGTGCAAAACTGGCTTCTTCCAGTGGGAAGAGGGGAACCAATTGCATTTCCACAGATCAAAAAAAAAAAAAAATTGCATTTGTAGGCAGGGTGTGGTGGCTTATACCTGTAATCCTAGCACGTTGGGAGGCTGAAGAGAGAGGACCCCTTGAGGCCAGGAGTTGAAGAGCAGTCTGGGCAACATAGTGAGAACTCATCTATTAAAAAAAAAAGAAATAAATAAAAGAAAATTAGCCAGATGTGGTGGCATGCACTTGTATTCCAGCTGTTCAGGAGGCTGAGGTGGAAAGATTCCTTGAGCCTGGAACTTGAGGCTGCAGTGAGCTATGATTATACCACTGCACTCCGGATGGGGAGACAGAGCAAGACCCTGTTTCAAAAAGAAATGCATTTGCTCTTCAATGAAGAGGAATCCTTAGTATTATTATCATTTTCTACTACTTATAGCATTTTAAAATAGCTCAAAGACAAAAAGGACACAGATAATCCGGAAGGGTGTATTCGACAAAACATCCAGTGATAATTTTGTCCATTTCAAAGTATTTCACAATTTTTTTCTGACAGACTCAAGGTAGTACTAAAGCAACAAACTTGAAGGAGGAAGGCTGAGTCAGAGAGAAACCTGGGGAAGTAAGTAGCTGAGAATCCATACATGTCATGGGAGGGCTTTGGGCTTTGGCAAGGGGGTGGGTTTGGAGTTCCAGACAAGTTTAACAAAATTGACATATGCTTTGCATTTTGTGGTCCTTAGAATGGTAAGTAGAACTTTGGGCTGGAAACCCATTCTTTATCCCTCCAAGCCCACTTCCATTTTTACTTCATTCTACCATATCAAAATATTATAAATAAGAGCTTCCTTTTTAGTGAGACTGAATAACTGTTGAATAATACTGTTACTGGTAGAAGGTATCCAAGCCATACAGCACTGGAATATGTTAATGGTGGCAAATCCATTTGGGTCTGCAGCAACCTCGATTCTTGCCTCCTCAGAAGAAAGAATTTGACGGAGGGGCATAAGGCAGAAAGAGAGACCAAGGCAAGTTTTAGAGCAGGAGTGAAAGTTTATTTTAAAAACTTTCGAACAGGAATGAAAAGAAGGAAAGTACACCTTGGAAGAGGGCTAAGCAGGCGACCTGAAAGGCAAGTGCACAGTTTGACCTTTTAACTTGGGGTTTTATACATTGGCATAATTCCGGGGTCTTGTGTTACTTCTCCCCTGATTCTTCCCTTGGGGTGGGCTGTCTGCATGTGCATGCTTGAGCCCACTTGTCCAACTCCTGGGATCTTTTCAGGAAGCTGCTGGTCACATTTCAGGTGTTTTCTATCTATTAGGAGACCGCCTTTCCCTGGTGCCAGCTGTGACTAATATTACTTGAGAGAGACAGTTAACAACCTCGAGACCATCACCTGATGGTCGCCCAACACTTCTGCTGTGTGTGGGGGGAGCCCTCTCCTGCCCTGTGCATACCCGACTAGCTACCCACTGTAACAATACTGAAATGAGTATTTTCTTCTTGGATATAAAGCTATCTAAGCTGAAAGACTGATGGTTTTCATGCACCCATATGGGTAGTTAAATATTGTGGGTTGAAGTTCTAACCCCCAGTACCTGTGAATTTGACATTATTTGGAAATAGGGTCTTTGCAGATATAATCCACTTGAGATGAGGTTAGACAGGATTAGGATGGACCCTAATCTTGATGCTCTCAGACACACACAGAAGGAAAAAGCTCATGTGAAGAAAGAGACAGAAATTGGAATAATAGAGCTACAGGCCAGGAAGCCAAAGGATTGTGGGAAACCATCAGCAGCTAGGTAAATGCAAGGAAGGATTCTTCTTTAGAGCTTCCAGAAACAGGGTGGCCCTGCCAACACCTCAATTTCAGACTTTTATTTTCCAGAACCATAAGAGCATCAATTTCTGTTGTTTTAAGCTACTGTGTTTGTCCTATTTTGTTACAGCAGCCCTAAGAAACCAATACAATAAAGAAGATGATATCTTTTCATTATTTTCTGAAAATAACTTAAAGAAGCTTATAATGATGCATACATTCCTAAAGGATAAGCGAATTTAAAGTAGGTCGTAAGAATGACACACAGGCTGGACGCAGTTGGTCATGCTTGTAACCCCAGCACTTTGAGAGGCCAAGGTAGGAGAATCACTTGAGCCCAGGAGTTCAAGATCAGCCTGGGCAACGTGGTGAAGCCCCAGCTCCACAAAAAAATATAAAAGCCGGGCGTCGTGGCACACACCTGTAGTTCCAGTTACTTGGGAGGCTGACATGGGAGGATTGCTTGAGCCCAGGAGGTCGAGGCTGCTGTGAGTCATGTTTGTGCCACTGCACTCCAGCTTGGGTGTAAGACCCTGTCTAAAAAATATATAAATAAAAACAAAATTTGCACCTAACAAAACAAAGGAAAAAACTGTCGAAAGACAGAAATACTACTCTAGATATAGGCAGGATATTATCATTTGTCTCTTTTTGCCCCAAGTGAGAAACCCACAGCAGAAGGTGCAAAAGGAAAAATACTCCGTGACTACTCTGAGAACAGAGAGTTACATGAGTGTTCTGAAGAATTGAGACTATATAATAGTGAAAAAAATGTTGAGGGAAAGAGCTAATGGGATAAAGTGGAAAATCCAATTCAAAATTTTCTAATTCCTTTATGGACTGTGTATAGATTTGGTAGGTACGATTAGAACACAAATAAGAGACTATTTTAAAATTTCTTTCAGAATCTGTATGAACATTGACTATTTGGAGGCATGGGTTATACTGTTGACTTTAGGGCTGAAATCAACAGAAATTGCTTTGTGTGCTAATTCAGTGTTTGTATCCCCAGTAGGAGCCATAAGCTCCACGGGGACAGGAACGGGGTGGGGATACACACATTGAATTAAAACTGTTTAGTTTACCCCTGAGTCTCCCAGGACCCAGAATAAATGCTGGTAAATTGCAGGCATTCTGCCATTAATCACTGAATTAATAATAGAAAGAAATTGAATAACCTGGCGAATGTTTCAGTTAGTGACTGACAAAGCTGCAAATTTGTAATGTGGCCCGTTTAATTTACCTACCTGGTTGGTTTACAGCTTCCAGTGTCTGGCTGGTAATTACTTACCTCGGGTTCTTTTATTGGAGCAGCCTCTTTTACTTCCGTATTAATCTAAGTTTTGTTATGTTTCTCTTAATTGGTGCCATTCAATGCAATTCATGTGGTATCCGAAACTGTTAAACTACATGCAAATATATCTATTTTAATTTTTATTGTGTAACAATTCCAGATTCCAGAAAAGACGCAAAGGTATTACACAAATTTCATATACTCTTCACCTAGCTTCCTCTAATGTTAACATCTTATATAACCATGGCACATTTGTCCAAATAGAGAAGTAACTAATAGTAGCATCTTACTACTAACTATAGACTTTTTTTGGATTTTACTGGTTTTTCCATTGATGCCTTTTTTAGGTTCCAAGATCCAATCCAGGTTGTAGCATTGCATTAAATAAATACTTACATATTTTTTATATTATATATAATGTACATGATATAATAACTATATAAATAATAGTATAATTACCAGTTTTTGGTAGAAACTTCTTTTAATGACCTCTTTTCAAGTAGCATGTAGCAACCAAAATGCTTCCGGGGGCACACAAATACTGAATCCATCAATTTTCTAGTTCTATCTTACCAGGTCTAAATAGAACAGAGGCCATGATAGTGATCCACTTTGTTTTTGAGGTTATATCTTGATATAAATGCCAACATTTCATAAATTTGTCAGTTAATTTCCTTGAAGATATATAAGTAGTGGCTGAGCAGTCTATCTGTTAGGGATATTGCATTCCATCTGGGCTTTACATAGGTGAAACTGTTAGACCAAGTAGCCACTCAGGTCCCTTCAGATTTAGATACTCCTTCTTCTTAGCTCACTCAGTGATGTGGGGCCTACACATCATAGGTTTCAGACAATCTGTTTGCAAATTAGGCAGTTTAACACAAAAGTAGGGGGTGGTCAATCAGGTTTTGTCGATCTTCATTTGGGAAAGAAGATTTCTAGTTTCTCTTGAAAAAAGTATAAGCCTTGGCAAAATATGCATGGCTGCTTTGGCTGGAAGTGAGCAGCATCTGCCACTTTAGATGGACATAAACTCTCCTGGTTACCACTGTCATCATATTTCCCTAATATCTTATAATTCAGCATATTACCTGACTGGTATGCTTCATATAGCTTAATACATCGGATGGGTCTAAGTGTCAATGAATTTCTGCGGTTTTCTTAAAATCCCAGTAAAAAACTTCTTCAGGTAGTTATATATAGAAAGGACCATGGTTGACAATTTTAATGCAGAATTTGGTTCTCAGAATGGAGAGGGAAGAAAATATAATCCTTTACGGAAGGTTTGTTTGAATGTGGTCTGTTGCCTTCTAGAACAGCTCTTGTACTGAAAGGTGCTCAATATCTGTATTTGTTCAATGCAGACTTAAGCTCTGCATTTCTAGTATCCACACCACCTCTCCATGGTTTTCTTACCTTTACTTCTCACTTTATCATTGGCATTCTCTCCATTTATTACTTGTGATAGCTGTATAACTAATTAGTTAATAAGTTTGCTCTGCATGAGCAATGATAAAGACATGATTCTCCTCAGTCTTTTTGTTTTTTTTGTTTTTTTAAGTTGCAGCTTGGAAAACCTCAAAGGGTTGAATGACTTTCTTGGGCAAATTACATGAAGAAGGGATTCCAAGAACACATGCTCCTGGAGAAGTTTTATTTCTTCCAGATCACCTGGAACTGAAACAAAGTGAAACTAGCAATTTTATCCAGGTTTCAACAAAATCTGATTGCTGTGTTTAGCCATAAACCAGAACAATGAAGTATACAAAATTCTTTTATGACCTATTTATTCACTGGTTCAAGCCATCTGTTTGATATTATGTGTCTGAATTTTGAGAAAGCAATAAAAGCCAAACGACATTGAGGAAATTAATTCACCTTAAGAAAATAATCTTGCCAAATTGTTCCAGAATAATATTCATCTATGGGTAAACTGTTTCTTGTCCATAGTGGGCACACATTCTCTGCTATTCACTGTCCTGTGTCAAAAATAGGCTGGCATTGCCTGAAGTAGCTCTGTGCTATGAGCATGTTAGATATTGTTAGCAGCTTCTTGGCCTTTTTAAACTTATATTGAGAGAGAGTTGGCTTGTTTCAGCATAAGTAAGAAGATCATTGATTGGAGCCAACATGTGGAAAGCAAAACTATTATGTTTTGATTTAATGAAGGCACTCATTATCCTCCAGGGATTCTGTGGGCTCTTTTTGGAAACAAGACGTTCCCTGCTATCATGACTAATTATTGCATCCAGCACAAGCTCAGTCCCTACCTTAAACAGCTGTTCAGCCCACCTGGAAGTCCAGAGGTAAATCATGTCCCTCTCTGGCTTTATATCTAGCAGAAGTCTAAGATGTACCTATGGGACTCTGAATAAACACAGAGCAGAGAGGGGCTCACCTTGATCCTGGGCTCACAGACAGAACATTGCTGTGTTGTTGATGTAGAACCATTCATTATTTTGGATTTCCTTTTTAGCATGCTTCCCACTTTTGCCTGGTTGGATTCTGGATACCAATTCCAGGTTTCTCATTGGATTTTGCATCCTATCCCTTTCATGATAGCATATGGCTCTCATGAAATTAATCTTGACTTTGTGCCTGGAATCACTTTCTCTTTTTATTTTCCACCTTAAGCTGACATTCACTGAACTCTGTTCAGACAAAAACTTTTTTTCCTGCCATTAAGGTTTTTTATTGACATAATAATTTTACATATTTATGGAGTACATAGTGATGTTTTGATACATCTCATGTGCAGTGATCAGATCTGGGTAATTAGCATAGCTATCATCTCAATCATCTATCACTTCTTTATGTTGGGAACATTCAATACTCTTCTTCTAGCTACTTGACACTACGTTATGTATTATTGTTAACTATAGTCATCGTACTGTGGTATAGAACACTAGAACTTATTCCTCCTATCTATCTGTAATTTTGTATCTTTTAATAAGTCTCTCCCTATCACCTTCTTCCCCCATCCTTCCCAGCCTCTAGTATCCTCTGCTCTACTTTTTACTTCTGTGAGATCAATTTCTTTACTTTCCACATATGAGTGAGAACATGCTGTGCTTAACTTTCTCTTCCAAGCTTATTTCACTTAACATAATGTCCTCTGGTTCTATCCATGTTGCCATGAATGACAGAACTTCATTCTTTTTTATGGCTGAATGGTATTTCATGGTGTACATATACCAAATTTTTTTTGTATTACATCATCTACATTTTAAAATTAGTCTTTTGTGGGGTTAAACCTTATTGAGGTATAATTTACAAAGAGTATGTTGCATCCGTTTTAAGAGTTAGTTCAATGGGTTTTGACAAATATATATACAATCATATAACGACTACTACAATCAAGATATAGAACATTTCCAGCTTCTTGAAAAGTTTCCTTATGCCCTTTTGTTGTTCAGACAAAATTTTTAAAAAATATTTAATTTAATTTTAAGCTTGGGATACATGTGCAGGACATGCAGGTTTGTTACATAGATAAACTTGTGCCATGGTGGTTTGCTGCATCTATCAACCCATAATCTAGGTATAAAGTCCTGTATGCATTAGCTATTTATCCTGATGCTTTCCCTCCCCCCACCCCACAACAGGCCCCAGTGTGTGGTGTTCCCCTCCCTGTGTCCATGTACTCTCATAGTTCAGCTCCCACTTATGTGTGAGAACATATGGTGTTTGGTTTTCTGTTCCTGTGTTAGTTTGCTGAGGATAAAGTCTTCCACCTTCATCTATTTCCCTGCAAAGGACATGATCTCATTCTTTTTTATAGCTGCATAGTATTCCATGGTGTATATGTACCACATTTTCTTTATCCAATCTGTCATTCATGGGCATTTGGGTTGACTCCATGTCTTTGCTATTGTGAATAGTGCTGCAATAAACATATGTGTGCATGTATCTTGTAATAGAATGATTTATATTCCTTTGGGTGTATACCCAGTAATGGGATTGCTGGGTCAAATGATATTTCTGGTTCTAGATACTTGAGGAATTGCTACACTGTCTTCTACAATGGTTGAACTAATTTACACTCCCACCAACAGTGTAAAAGCATGCCTATTTCTCCACAGCCTTGCCAGCATCTGTTGTTTCTTGATTTTTCAATAATCGCCATTCTGACTGGCATGAGAATGTGTCTCATTGTGGTTTTGATTTGCATTTCTCTAACGATCAGCGATGTTAAACTTTTTTTCATATATTTGTTGGTCACATAAATGTCTCCTTTTGAGAGGTGTCTGTTTATGTCCTGTGTCCACTTTTTAATGGGGTTGTTTGTTTTTTCTTGTAAATTTGTTTAAGTTCCTTGTTGATTTATTAAACCTTTGTCAGGTGGATAGATTACAAAATTTTTCTCCCATTCTGTAGGTTGTCTGTTCACTCTGATGATAGTTTCTTTTGCTGTGCAGAAGCTCCTTAGTTTAATTAGATTCCATTTGTCAATTTTTGCTTTTGTTGCAATTGCTTTTGATGTCTTTGTCATGAAATCTTTTCTCATGCCTATGTCCTAAATGGTATTGCCTAGATTTTCTTCTAGGGTTTTTACAGTTTTCAGTTTTACATTTAAGTCTTTAATCCATCTTGAGTTAATTTTTGTATAAGGTATAAGGAAGGGGTCCAGTTTCAATTTTCCACATATGGCTAGCCAGTTTTCACAGTACCATGTATTAAATAGGGAATCATTTTAAAGTTCCTCTTGTTTTTGTCAGGTTTGTCAAAGATCAGATGGTTGTAGATGTGTGGTCTTATTTCTGAGATCTCTATTCTATTCCATTGGTCTATGTGTCTATTTTGGTACCAGTGCCATGCTGTTTTGGTTACTGTAGCCTTGTAGTATAGTTGGAAGTCAGGTAGTGTGATGCCCCCAGCTTTGTTCTTTTGCTTAAAATTGTCTTGGCTATATGAGCTCTTTTTTGTTTCCATATGAATTTTAAAGTAGTTTTTTGTAATTCTGTGTACAATGTCAATGCTAGTTTAATGGGAATAACATTGAATCTATAAATTACTTTGGGCAGTATGGCCATTTTCATGATATTGATTTTTCGTATCCACAAACATGAAAGGTTTTCCCATTTGTTTGTGTCCTCTCATATTTCCTTGAGAAGTGGTTTGCAATTCCTCTTGAAGAGATCCTTTACATCCCTTGTTAGGTGTTTTATTCTCTTTGTAGCAATTGTGAATGGGAGTTCATTCATGATTTGGCCCTCCACTTGTCTATTTTTGGTGTATAGGAATGCTTGTGATTTTTGCAAATTGTTTTTGTATGCTGAGACTTTGCTGAAGTTGCTTATCAGCTTAAGGAGCTTTTGGGCTGAGATGATGGGATTTTCTAGATATAGGATCATGTCATCTGCAAACAGAGACAATTTGGCTTCCTCTCTTCCTGTTTGAATGCGCTTCATTTCTGTCTATTTCCTGATTGCCCTGGCCAAAACTTCCAATACTATGTTGAATAGGAGTGGTGAGAGATGGCATCCTTGTCTTGTGCCAGTTTTCAAAGGGAATGCTTCCAGCTTTTGTCCATTCAGTATGATATTGGCTGTAGTTTGTCATAAATGGCTCTTATTGTTTTGAGATATATTCCATCAACACCTTGTTTACTGAGAGTTTTTCACATGAAGAGCGGTTGAATTTTATCAAAGGCCTTTTCTGCGACTATGGAGATAATTATGTGGCTTTTCTTATTAGTTCTGTTTATGTGATGAATTACATTTATTGATTTGCATATGTTGAACCAACCTTGCATCCTGGGGATGAAGCCCACTTGATCATTATGGATAAACTGTCTGATATGCTGCTGGATTCAGTTGCCAGTATTTTATTGAGGATTTTTTCATCAATGTTCATCAAGGATATTGGCCTGAAGTTTTTAATTTTTGTTGTATCTCTGCCAGGTTTTGCTATCAGGATGATGCGGGTCTCATAAAATGGGTTAAGGAGAAGTCGGTCCTTTTTAATTATTTGGAACCATTTCAGAAGGAATGGTACCAGCTCCTCTCTGTAGTTCTGGTAGAATTCAGCTGCAAATCCATCTGGTCCTGGGACTTTTTTTTTTTTTTTGGTTGGTAGGCTATTTATAACTGCCTCGATTTCACAACTTGTTATTGGTCTATTCAGGGATTCAACTTCTTCCTGGTTTAGTCTTGGGAGGTTGTATGTGTCCAGGAATTTATCCGTTTCTCCTAGATTTTCTAGTTTACTTGAGCAGAGGTGTTTATAGCATTTTCTGGTGGTTGTTTGTATTTCTCTGGGGTCAGTGGTGATATCCTCTTTATTATTTTTTGTTGTGTCTTTTTGATTCTCCTCTCATTAATTTAGCTAGCAGTCTATCTATTTTATTAATTTTTTTTTCAAAAAATCGGCTCCTGAATTCATTGATTTTTTGAATGGTTTTTCTTGTCTCTATCTCCTTCAATTCCACTCTGATATTATTTCTTGTCTTCTGCTAGGTTTTTGATTTGTTTTCTCTTTTTTCTCTAGTTATTTTAGAGATCTTTCTAGCTTTCAGATGTGGGCATTTGGTGCTACAAATTTCCGTCTTAAAACTGCTTTAGCTGTATCCCAGAGATTCTGGTACACTGTCTCTTTGCTCACATTGGTTTCAAAGAACTTCTTGATTTCTGCCTTCATTTCATTATTTGCCCAGGAGTCATTCAGGAGCAGATTGTTCAATTTCCTTGTATTTGTGTGGTTTTGAGTGAGTTCCTTAATCTTGAGTTTTAATTTGATTGCACTGTGGTCTGAGGGACCGTTTGTTATGATTTTAGTTCTTTTGCATTTGATGAGGAGTGTATTACTTCCAATTATGTGATCAATTTTAGAGTAAGTGCCATGTGGCACTGAGAAGAATGTATATTCTGTTGTTTCTGGGTGGTGAGTTCTGCAGATATCTATCAGATCCAACTGATCCAGAACTGAGTTCAAGTCCTGAATATCCTTGTTAATTTTCCGTCTCGGTGATCTGTCTAATATTGACAGTGGGGTGTTAAAGTCTCCCATGATTATTGTGTGGGAGTCTAAGTCTCTTGCTGGTCTCTAAGAACTTGTTTTATGAATCTGGATGCTCCTGTATTGGGTGCATGTATATTTAGGATTGTTAGCTCTTCTTGTTGAATTGATCCCTTTACCATTATGTAATGCCCTTCTTTGTCTTTTTTGATGTTTGTTGGTATAAAGTCTGTTTTGTCAGAAACTAGGATTGCAACCCCTGCTCTCTTCTGCCTTTCATTTGCTTGGTAAATTTTCCTTCATCCCTTTATTTTGAGCCTATGTGTGTCTTTGCACATGAGGTGGATCTCTTGAATACAGCACATTGATGGGTCTTGACTCTATTCAATTTGCCAGTCTGTGTCTTTTAACTGGCACATTTAGCCCATTTACATTTAAGGTTAATATTGTTATGCGTGAATGTGATCTTGTCACCATGATGCTAGCTGGTTATTTTGTAGACTAGCTGATGTAGTTTCTTCATAGTGTCATTGGTCTTTGTACGTCAGTGTGTTTTTGCAGTGGCTGGTACCAGTTTTTCCTTTCCATATTTAGTGCTGCCTTCAGGAGCTCTTGCAAGGCAGGCCTGGTGGTGACAAATTCTCCCAGCAGTTGCTTGTCCGAAAAGGATTTTATTTCTCTCCTTTACTTATGAAGCTTAGTTCAACTGGATATGAAATTCTGGGTTGGAAACTCTTTAATAGTGTTGAATATTGGCCCCCACTCTCTTTTAGCTTTTAGGGTTTCTGCTGAGAGGTCTGCTGTTAATCTGATGGGCTTCCCTTTGTAGATGACCAAGCCTTTCTCTCTGGCTGCCCTTGACATTTTTTCCTTTGTTTTGACCTTGGAGAATCTGATGATTACGTATCTTGGGGTTGATATTCTTGTGGTGCATCTTACTGGGGTTCTCTGGATTTCCTAAATTTGAATGTTGGCCTGTCTTGCTAGGTTGGAGGAGTTCTGGATGATATCCTGAAGTGTGTTTTTCAACTTGGTTCCATTCTCCCTGTCTCATTCAGGTATTCCAATCAGTCATAGATTTGGTCTTTTTTACATAGTCCCATAGTTCTCAGAGTTTTTGTTCATTCCTTTTCATACTTTTTTCTCTAATCTCATCTGCCTGCCTTATTTCAGCAAGATAGTGTTTGAGCTCTGATATTCTTTCTTCCACTTAATCAATTTGGTGATTGATACTTGTGTTTGCATCACGAACTTCTCGTGCTGTGTTTTTCAGCAGGTCATTTATGTTCCTCTCTAAACTGGTTGTTCTAGTTAGCAGTTCCTGTAACCTTTTATCATGGCTCTTAGTTTCTTTGCATTAGGTTAGAACATGTTCGTTTAGCTCAGTGAAGTTTGTTATTACCCACCTTCTGAACCTTAGTTCTGTCAATTCATCCATCTCAGCCTACGCCCAGTTCTGTACCCTTGCTGGAGAGGTGCTGCGATCATTTGGAGGAGAAGAGGCACTCTGGCCTTTTGAGTCTTCAGCATTTTTTCATTAATTCTTTCTCATCTTTGTGAGTTTGTCTAGTTTCAATCTCTGAGGCTACTGACCTTTGGATGGGGTTTTGTGGGGACTTTTTTGCTGATGCTGTTGTTGTTGCTTTCTGTTTGTTTGTTTTTAACAGTCAGGCCCCTCTTCTGTAGGGCTGCTGAAGTTTGCTGGGGGCTCACTTCAGGCCCTATTAACCTGGGTACCTGCAGATGTCACCCGAGGAGGCTGGAGAACATCAAACATGGGTGCCTGCACCTTCCTCTGGGATCTCTGTCCTTGAGGGACACGGACCGGATGCTAGTAGGAACGCTCCTGTGTATGGTGTCTGGTGAACCCTGTTGGGGGGTCTCACCCAGTCAGGGACCACAGGATCCAGGACCTGCTTAAGAAAGCACCTTGTCTGTCCCTTGGTGGAGGGGTGTGCTGCGCTGGGGGGAAACCCACTCGTCTGGGCTACTCAGTTTCCTCAGAGCTAGCAGGGGGAAAGACTAAGTCTGTTGGTCTGTGGAAACCATGGCCATCCTTCCCCTTAGGGGCTAAGGCCCTGGGAGATTAGAGTTCTGTTCCTAAGCCCCTGGCTTGAGTTGCTGAAGTTCCTGAAAGGGAGGCCCTGCCCAGTGAGGAGGGATGGGTCAGGCAGATAAAAATTTTTAAGCTACTATCTGATCTCTGTTGTTCAGGAAACTTTCTCATCCTCTGTTTGCTTTCTGATCATAGATTTTAACTTCTCAGTTAAATGTCCTGGATGCCATATATGCCCAAGGACTCAATTTAAGGATTCTTCCATTATTGCCCTGCATCGCTCAGGTGGTGTACCCATCTGCACCAGCAGCTACCCATATTGAGAGCCTTGAACTACACTGATGAAGCTGGTGGTATGGAATACTGGGAAGATTCTCCACCAGGGTGTTAGAATTAGAATTTGCTACTAATTATAATTTTCTATGTGTCACGGGGAAAGATAGTACATCTCTCTTTGTCTGCTTTACCATTTATAAACTGAAGGAGAATGACAATCATTTTTAACTTTTTGTCTATTCTATGCTTCTCTAAAAATTTTAAGGGAAAATTGGTAAAACAGATAAAAGTGGAACTTTTTGCTCAAAATGGTAGTACGAGTTAAAATCATGCCTGCTTATCCCCTCCTTCATGTGCCACTGTCTACTTTAGGGACATTCCCTGAAGTATCTCATTGGGTCTCTTTAGGCCTCATAGAGAATAAATTAAAAACCTAGCTTATCTGTAGAGTTCAATTGTATAAAATCAGCGACTCAAGGTATGATTTTTCTCTCTCTTTTTAGGAGCTTAAATGTTAAAGTAAAAAGCAGTCAGCCAATTGTTTATAAATAATGGTTTGAATATTTTAAACTGCGTCTACTGATGATTTGACTGTTCTACTAAAAACTGCAGATCAGCATATATACTTTTCATAAACAAGAAAAAATCACTGGCACTAACAAAAATGAATAAATAGGTTGTGTGCCTAAGTGAACAAATATTGAACAATGTTATTAAGTACTACCTGAATTTGCTTTGAGGGATAGAGAGATTTTGTCATCTGGTGTGTATAATGCGATATTAGTAAAAGGTATTTTCTTTATAGTAATAAAATCTATTTCTTATATGCACACGTTTTAACTCATTATGTCCTTATAACAGCCCTCCAGTGTCTTTACTCTTTTTTTTTTTTTTTTTTTTTTGAGATGGAGTCTTGCTCTGTTGCCCAGGCTGGAGTGCAGTGGTGCGATCTTGGCTCACCGCAAGCTTTGCCTCCCGGGTTCACGCCATTCTCCTGCCTCAGCCTCCCGAGTAGATGGAACTACAGGTGCCAGCCACCACGCCTGGCTAATTTTTTGTAGTTTTAATAGAGACAGCGTTTCACCATGTTACCCAGGATGGTCTCGACCTCCTGACCTCGTGATCTGCCTGCCTCGGCCTCCCAAAGTGCTGGGATTACAGGCGTGAGCCACCGTGCCTGGTCGTATCTTTTCTTGATCTGTGCACCGTACTGCCTCCCATAGCCACAGGTAAAAATCGTATGATAGCATAAAACAGATTGCCTTTTTTTACTCAGTAATAGAATATATTGAGAATTTTAATGACCATCAATCCTGTCTAAGTACACATAACCAGTTAAAACATCTTACTAATGATGTTTAGACACCAACTTATCTACTACAAATACATAAATTATGTTAAAAGTAAAGAGATGTTTGTGAATCAGAGCTTAAAGGGGTAAGGGATGGGGCTTTTGATCAGTCAAAAAAATCTTGCTGAAGGAAATAAGGTGAAATAAAGGATGACAGGACAGAAGTTTGAAGGGAAGAAAGAAGGAAGAAGGGAAAGGCAAGAGATAGCTTGAAAACCTGAGGGCATTAAGGAGGATGTCTATCACTAACTGCTGTGATCTGGAAGAAGTTTTTTTTTTTTTTCCTCTATGTGCATGGGTTACATCAACTGTAAAGTGGAAATAAGAACGACTTGCCTTACAAGGTTACTGAGATGTTAAATGATATCTTGCATGAACATGACTTAGAAGACTGCCTGGCACATAAAAAGTGGTTCAAGAACATCAGTGGTGTCATGATACAAGTGAAGCCTTGTAGACTATGATCAGGTGGGAGTGATCAAATGGGCACCAGGCAAGTTTACCAGATGTAGTGAGGTTCAGGGCAGTGGAGGAAAGGTGAGAATGATACAGCAGCTCCACTGGACTTGAGCTCTTTTATCCCTACTCCACTAAACATAATCATACCTCCTTTGCTTTTCCTCAATGTATAGGTGGAAAAGATCATTTTTTGAGACTACTCTCACTACAGAACGTGTAGAACAAAATCACCTTATTGCCCTTCAAAATCCTTCTGCTTCTCTTGAATGCTTTTTCTCCCACAAAAGAACTCATAGCCCTTTCACTACTTTCTGCCTACAAACAGCCATCGCCTCCCGCTCCTCCACTCCTGGATGCACAGGTACACAGGGTCCTGCATTGCAATCCATTCCACTCTGCCCTGGCTTTGTGTTCCATCACTCATGCTCCAAGTTCTGAGGCAGCAAAAAATCAGAGGCTGGGAGTGTCAGTCTATGCTAAAAAGAACTGTCTGTGAGTAAAGTTCAGGAAGAAGGAGGAGCAGAAACAGGAAGAGGGGAAGGAGGAGGAAGGGAAAAAAGAGTCTCATTTAAACAATAGAGGTAAGATTAGCAGGTGTCTGAGAGAGCAATTTGATGAGGGAAGTAGCGAACTTGAGCATAAAGGTAAAGTTATTGATCAGAACAAGGGAAATAGTACAACTGAAGCAACAAAGGTGGATAGGGACCAGGTAATACAATGTTAGGATATGAAAATTAATAAGAGTCAAGCACAAATCAGGTAGGCATGGAGTTGCCCAATTACTAATACTCCAGGTTGAATCTCAGAGGTGCAAATTTGATAATTCAGTACCAGCTTGATGGACTTCCACCTTGTTGGTAATAGAACCATACAAAGCCAAGCTCTCTTCAGACATAAAGATGGCAATTTGGTGTGCTTACCCGTGCAGTATGTTAATGGCTAATGCAGAGTTGTTTTTGGAATGTTTTGAATTTAGGAAAAGATTCATAGAAACTGGAGGACTTCTAATTTTTTTAATGTTACAGCTTTTGGCAAGTCAGTAGGAGGAAGAGTTGATGCTGGGTGGGATTGTGGGAGATTCAACAACCACTTCCTACAGGAAATCACTCCTCCTGAATAAATGTAATGTTTTACCCCTATCCAAAACAATAATTTGGATTGCTTTAGTGTTCTCAAGGTTTCCACAAGGTCACATTTTTATTCTATGTTGTTTTATTAGAATCTCTTCCACTAGTATAGCCTCAGTTACCACCTTTAGACTGCTGAATCCTAATTTTAAGATTTCCCTACCCTATTTCCTAGATTAAATTAGATATCTAGTAGACAGATATATTAACGTCTGTATTAACAGGAATTTTAAAATTAGAATGTTCAAAAAAGAAAAAGCTTTTCTTCTTTTAAATTTTGTATTTATTTTTAATTGACAAATAACAATTATATTTATTTACTGAATACAATGTAATGTTTTGATACATGTATACATTGTGGAATGAGCAAATCAGATTAATTAATATATCTATTACCTCACAGGGTCATCGTTTCTTTATAGTGAGAACATTTAAAATCCACTCTTTTGGCAATTTTTGAAATATATAATACATTATTATTATCTATAGTCACTTGCTATTCAATGTATCACCACAAGTTATTCTTCCAGTATAATTGAAATTTTGTAGCCTTTGACCAACATTGCCATCCAGCCCCTAGTAACCACTATTTACTCTCTACTTCTATGAGTTCAAATATTTACATTGTATAGATAAGTGGGATGTTGCAATATTTGTCTTTCTGTGCTTGGTTTATTTCTGTTAGCATAATGTCCTCTAGATTCATCCATGTTTTTGCAAATGACAGAATTGCATTCTTTCAAAAGGCTAAATAGTATACCATTGTGTATATACATCAATTTTTGTTATCCATTCATCTGTTGATAGGCACTTAAGTTGTTTTCATATTGTGGGTATTGTAAATATACTACACTGAAAGGGCAGCCTCTTCAATTCGTGGTGTTGGGAAAATTGGTTATTCACATGCGGAAGAATGAAACTGGAGCGTCATCTCACCCCTTGTACAAGCGTCAACTAAGAAAGGATTAGAGACTTAAATGTAAGACCTAAAGCTGTAGAACTACTAGAAGATAACATAGAGGAAAACCTGCATGACATTGGTCTGGACGATGATTTCTTGCATTTAACCCCCAAAGCACAGGCAACAGAAACAAAAATAGACCAATGGGATTGGTCTAATGAAAAAGCTTCTCATAGTAAACAAAACAATTAACAGAGTAAAGAGACAACCCACATACTAAGAGAAAATATTTGCAAATTATTTACTAGGTAAGGGACTCATATCAAAAATATATAAGGAAATAAAACACATAAATAACAAGAGAACAACTCTATGACAATGAACACTCTATTTTCTGTAATTATTAATTATGATTTGATAGTTATTTTATTTTTGCTTTAGAACTTTTACATGGCATCAATGCATCACTTCCCTTTTCTCTTTTACTTGTTACATATAAACTGCTTTCTTTGAGGATATATTTATTTGACTTAACAGTTATTAAGCAAGTGACTTGTTACATTGTAAACTACTCAAAGGCCCCAGCTAGCATTTTATAGTCTACTCACTCTAAGAAAGGTGTAGGTTATTGCTTCTGCCTCTTAAAACCCATAATTCCAGCCAATGCTCTGAGGAAAATCAGCTGTTAAGCTAACTCACAGCCTTTCCACCACGTTTAAAGTATTAGAAGCTGGCTGTGGGTCTCTAGGAGAAAGACACTGACAATAGCTGTAATTGAGGTTGCTCCAGAAGTAATCAAGGCAGAAGTGCAAAGTACTGGCCTGCCATTTGCGTGAGTTTACCAAAAAACCCACGTGGCCAAAATGCTAATAGACTCCTG
Organism: Homo sapiens; assembly: GCF_000001405.40. Taxonomy (NCBI): domain Eukaryota; kingdom Metazoa; phylum Chordata; class Mammalia; order Primates; family Hominidae; genus Homo; species Homo sapiens. Next base: position 122,268,905 of record NC_000008.11, on the reverse strand, counting down.
AGAGTGTTGACCTTCAAAAGATACAAAGCACTTTGTTAATTAACATAAATCTAGCTTAGAAAGCACATTTGGTATAATTGCCCTTCCAATTAAAATGAGATTTGTTTACTTGCACATTTTGTTTTTCAATTGTTCCTACCCTATTTTAGGAAAAGACCCCATTATGAAAGAAAACAAATTCTCAAGAATTCTCAGCTTCTCTTTCATGATGGCTGGCAAAGAGAAAGGCATCTGGATTCAGACAAACAGTGATGATTTCTCCTGGCTTTACAATGTGTACAAATCTTACCCCCTGCACTCTGCTCCATCAGTTCAATTTAATTTAATTCAATTCAAGCCAACAAATATTTTTAAGTAATATTAGAACCTGGGTATATGATAATTAATGGAACATGTGCTGTCTTTACAGAAATTTCATTGTGTGCTGGGGCACTTTATCTGCATCCCCAGAATAAATTTATCCATAGATACATTTGTTTAGTATTTACTATTCAGTTATCTCTCTCCATGTTCTTTTCACATTTGGCATTACTGAAATAAACCATGTACCAAAAAACGTGCCAAGCTAAACAAGTGAAACAGCATGCATTCTGAAATTTTTAGAGGTAGGAAGAACTTATTGAATGTTTTGGCAGTCAAGGAAGCCTCCTTTGAGAATGTGATTAAACTTTAAATAATGGGTCTGGGGAAGTAGTCACAATCCCTTTAAAGTAGGTAATGACAAAGTACTATTACTCTTGCAAATAACATGTAATCAGTAAGTCAGTAAATTGAGCACGGATGCATGCATGCATCCATGGGAAAATACAATTAAATAAATCAGTCAATAACTAAAATGTCAAGAAATTAAGATAATTTTGAGTATGCAGTAGTGGCATTTCTGCGGTTCTGGAACTAGTTAGGCTTAAACTTCTCTTCTGGTTCCAGCTGTTATGGGCTTTATGAAATCTAGGTTGCAAATGAGCTGTATTCACCAGGCCAGTCCCAACAGATTATTGTGCTACATTCTAGTCACAATAGTCACAAGAGTTCTAGTTACAATTCTTAAGAGTGTCAGATAATCCTTGCAAGCAGGGATTACATGTTATTATATGCTATGTTCTTCATAGCACCAAATTCAATGCCTTGCTGACAGGTGATACTCTGTAAATGGCTACTGATTGATCAGTTAGTTGATTGGTGGATTGAAAGTGAGGAGCCAGTAGAGTGGTTGAACAGAGCTATGGTTTGAATGTGTTCCCCAAAGTTCATCTGTTGGAAATTCAATCTTCAGTGCAATGTTGTTGACAGGTGGAACCTTTAAGAGGTGATTAGGTCAGGAGGTCTCCATCCTCATGAATGGATTAATTGCAGGCGTGGGTTAGTTATTGATATGGCTAAGCTTTGTGTCCCCACCCAAATCCAATCTTGAATAATAGCCCCCATAATCCCCACGTGTCAAGGGAGCGACCAGGTGGAGGTAATTGAATCATAGGGGCAGTTTCCTTCTTGCTGTTCTTATGATAGTGAATTCTCACGAGATCTGATGGTTTTATAAGGGGCTCTTTCCCCTTCTCTCAGCACTTCTCCTTCCTGCCACCTTGTGAAAAAGGTGCCTTGCTTCCCCTTCGCCTTCCGCCATGATTATGTTTCCTGAGGCCTCCACAGCCATGCTGAACTGTGAGTCAATTAAACCTCTTTCCTTTATAAATTACCCAGTCTCAGGCAGTTATTTATAGCAGTGTGAAAACAGACTAATGCAGTTATCTAGGGAGTGGGTTCATGATTAATGATGAGTTTGTTCCCATTCTCCTCTCCTCTCTGTCTTGTGAGCTCTGTTGCCCAGAGATAGAGGAGAAAAAAGAACAATTTTATGATTGAATGAGTGTTAAACCAGAATATGATGTGAATCACAGACACTTCACTAAGAGATTACAAAGATAGAAAGACAATATTATATAGCTGAGCAATTACAACTCATTACATACATGTTCTCAAGACAGATGATATGTGACCATTTGTCATACATGTTCATCCTAAATTCACCTTGTATTTGGGGTGATTCTGTGTGTTAGCCTTTATCACAGAAGGTAATTTTGGAAAGGGATTCCTACTGAAGTGAGCTTCTTACTCTCCCACAGAAACTGGGAGGTAGGGTTTTTATCATCCTTGATGATTACATTTCAAAGAGGTGGTTCCCAAATCCTTGAGAAGGACATTCTTGGATCTTAAAGAAACTTATTTGGCTTTTAGAAATATTTACATACATTTCAAAAACATAGAGAAAGAACATACAAATTTTCTAAAGTAAATGCTCTAAGAAAAGAGAATTGAAGGAAATCTCTTTGTTTTCAACAGGAAGAATTAGACCTCTTATTTTAAATGAGTATTTGCTTCTTCACCTATCAAGCATGCACTACACTTTATTATAATTGCCTGTTTACTTAGCTCTGTCTCTCCAGAGACTGTAAGATCCTTGGAGGCCAGCAAAATTCCTTGCTTATTTCTGTATTTTATTACCTAGAAGAGTTTCTGGCCCATAGCAGGTCTTCAAAAAAGTATTTGTTGATGGAAACAATAGAACTGCTTTACTTCATGTTGAATGGACTGCACAACTTGAAATTAACGTGGCTTTTTCTACTTCTAGAATTAGAAAGCTAGGAGGGGCCTTGGGGATCATTTGGTTCAATCCCTTCATATCTGAGGCTGTAGAGTTTAAACAGCTCAAATATATTAAAGCAAATATCAGAAAAAATAACTACTGACTAGCCTTCTTTACGTGCAAATCAGTGCCTTTACTTTGCCACACTGCCTTCCGCTGATATGTCATATAAATAATCTTTGGGAAGTCTAATTTTTGTAAATTTTGATTCAATATTTTTATCATCTTCCCTAAGTCTCTGCTAGAATTCTTTAAGGGATGAAGCCTTTGACCAGAGGGCTACTTAAAGCTTTTCCTTGATGTTCACATTTTCTGAGTTCATACATGTAATGTGTTTTTGAAAAGTGCCTGGCATTACTAAGTGTTCAATAAATAATAGGCATTAATATTCTTGTTTATTTCTATTCTTGTTATACTAATGATTTAACTATTTTCCTGGCATATTGCTAGAACTTGGTAAATGGCCAATAATGGTTAATTCTCTCTCTACCTGTGTGGGATAAATATACTTCCAAGTCACAAAAGAACAAAGAAAAGAGAGCTCATTTCAAACAGCTAATAAATGGTACAGCTAGGAGTATTTTCTCCTTGCATATCACTTTAAAGATCATATTTTTCTAAAAATATACTATATTTATTTCAGTAGACTAGATAAAGTATGCATACAAGTATTGTCAAATGTTAAATAAACATGGAATGGACAACTGAGTGGGACAGAAAAGTTTACATGAAATAAAAGGAAAGGTTAAGTAAGCTAACCTAAACAGAGCACTTAATGAGAGACATTTGTGATAAACACATTCTCAGACAAAATCTCATTGAATTCTCAACATGCCCCTGTGAGAAGGGTAATATCTTTACATAATCCCAAACCAGAAATCCCTGGGGACAGACATTGATATGATTGGGCTGTGTCCCACCCAAATCTCAAATAGTAGCTCCTGTAATCCCCACGTGTCTTGGGAGGGAGCTGGTGGGAGGTAATTGAATCATGAGGGTGGGTATTTCCCGTGCTGTTCTTGTGACAGTGGGTAAATCTCATGCGATCAGATGGTTTTATAAAGGGGAATTCCCCTGCACATGCTCTCTCTTGCCTGCTGCCATGTAAGATGTAAGTTTGGTCCTCCTTTGCCATCTGCCATGATTGTGAGGCCTCCACAGCTATGTGGAACTGTGTCCATTAAACCTCTTTCCTTTATAAATTACCCAGTTGCAGTTATGTCTTTATTAGCAGTGTGAGAATGGACTAATACAGATACATTATGAAATGTGGAATGTTACCTTTAGAAAGGTAATAGAATGCATTTATCACTGTGTGTGCATCAATCAGCATATCAGGCCTTACCCATTAAATACATTAATATTTATGCAGGTAAAAAGTATGAATAGTCATACTAAGTAAGTATAAGTTTATTGTTGAGCACAACAGTGTGAACTAGTTATCAATCCCAGGGGAGAACTCCAAACACTTCTAACCATTGCATGTTGTGTCCAAACCACCAAAGAAAACACAACACAGTCAGGTACTGGATGGAACACTTTGCTTATACAGCAGGTCCTTAACCTCATTTTGTTCAGTGTTACTTCATTTTAACCTTGAGATAACATTGATTCCCGACTGGGGTCACTGTCTGTGTGGAGTCTGCATGCTCTTTCCCTGTCTGTGTGGGTTTTCTCTGGGTCCTCTTGTTTCTTTTCCTGTCCCAAAGATGTGCAAATTAAGTTTACTGGTGTGTCTACATGGTCCCAGTGTGAGTGAGTGTAGGTGTGTATGTGTGTGTTCCCTGTGAGGGCATGGTGTCCTGGCCAAGATGGGTTTCCACCTTGTGCCCTGAGCTTTTAGGACTGGCTTCGCCTGCCCACAATCATGAACTGGAATAATTGGGTAATTATCTTACTTGTTTTTTTGTTATTCTTTCTTAATTGTATGCATAACTCACATTTATTTCAATGTTTGATATCAGAAGTGTTTTCATGTTTCTTTAGAAGTTTGGTGATGTTTTGTAACCAGAAATATGCCATAGGAACTTATCTTGTTTATATAAATTAGTCTATGGTAACGTTGGTATCCTTAGATGTCATTCTGCTTATTCATAGTTTCCAAGAACGTATTGAGAATGTTCAGTGAGTACTTACTGTGTAGAGGACAGACAGAGCAAGATCGGCTTCAATGATGTGTGTTGGTCTCCCATGACTAGGGTATCTCTCCCGGCAGAAGATGCAGTGCCTGTACCCCTCATACGCCTCAGTAGGACCTCAATCCCTCCCCTGTGGGGTCTGAAACACTGATGTCTGGGGGACTGTTTGGAGACCACAGACTCACAAGCTTAAGCAAAACAAGGGAACACTCATTGAGTCTGAAACAGGGAAAGATATTTCCGCACAAAGTGATAAGCTTGGCATAGGCAGTGTGGGCTCTTTCTCTCTTGGTAAGGAAATGTTCCAGGCTCAAAGCCCATTCTTATGTAACTGAGCAGCAATCAGCAGAGGTTGATAGACTGTGCAAGTGAGTCTGCCTTTTCCAAAAGTTATAAATAGTTTAAAGTCTTTTTTCTTTAAGTTCTAATGTCAGGACATGTTTGCTTTCAAATAAATCAGGAAAAACTGCTATGGTTTTTCTACTTTTTTTATTTTGAATTGTGGATCTATCATTTAAGTGTAAGAATACCACATTTTACAACACACTCAATAAGTGGCCACAAGTAAGAAAAAGTGATAAATGTATTTGGGAGAATTTGAGTTTGTCATGGACAAAATATTAACTTCATTTTTTTCTGTAGAACAACTGGAGCAACAATAGTATAATCTTTGTTATGCCCATGAAACTGACATTACAAAGCAAATTATGTAGTTAAGGCTCAGGATTCAGCCTTGTGTATGTTAACCTCAAGCTCATTCATGCATTCACAATTAAGAGGCAAGAGCAATATCTGATACTTTCCATCAGAAACCTTCTCACTATATATTTTAAGTAGCATTTGAAACATCAATTTTCTTCTTTATATTCATTTCTGATCTCACATTTTTCTACCATGAACACATTAAAAATTTTAAGGAAAAAAAAGTTATTATACAAGATGCTCATCTGTTTGTGATCCACCCTTCAACATACTCATTACTTTGTTTTTTTTTTTTTTTGGTTGATAACATTGCATTAATTTCTAAGATTTAGCATGCTATCATGTGCCATACATTCAAATGTGTAATAAAGTAAATCAACATTTTAGAAAGAAAAGCTGACCTAGCAGATCTATCAAGAGGCTTATTCTGCAGGTGAGGATAATACACATGGAAAAGTGTTGAGAGAAAGCGTTTTGACCAATGCTATATAGGGAGGTAAGAAACTTGGGTCCATGACCTGCCTCCTCCTCTAACTCTTCCCTTAGGTTTATTCACCCCTTAAGAGAACCAAGTCTCCATGTAAGTTCAGGTAGGACACATGACACAACTGGAGAAACTTCATTCAAAGCACTTTAATCATACACCTACCATGTGCTAAGAGGTCACCAAAAGCAATACTTGCTTCTATCCAAATAACCACACAGCCTCCCTACTAGGGTGTCTCAGAGGCATCCTGGTGACAACCTGTTCACAACTGAACTTAAGCATTTCTGCCATAATCCCTGCTTTCTTTGAGTCTCTTTCTCGGATAATGTTACTTCTATCTACCCACTTATTTAAGCCAAAAGCTGAGAGTCATCTTGACACTGCTTCTTCCACAACTTCCATAATCAATAATTAATTCATGGAAATTTATTGAATTCATCTCGTAAACCTCTCTTAAATAGGTCCAAGTTTCTCTATCACTCTTGTTACCACCCAAATCTGTCACCCATCATTTGTAATCAGGATAATGTAACAATCGGCTTATTATGTCTCCTTCTCCTATTTCTGTATTCCTTTAATCCTGTCCTCAATTTACTGCTGAAGTTCAATCAGAAAGGCAAAATAAGGTGTTTTGGTTAAATAATTAGTACTCCTTAATCACTTCTGTAGGCCTTTTAGAAAAACCTCTTAAAATTCTTAACCTTCTCAGCAAACTAACACAAGAACAGAAAACCAAACACCTCATGTTTTCACTCATAAGTGGGAGTTGAACAATGAGACACATGGACACAGGGAGGGGAACATCACATACTGGGACCTGTTGCAGGGGTTGGGGGCTAGGGGAGGGATAGTATTAGGAGAAATACCTAATGTAGATGACAGGTTAATGAGTGTAACAAACCACCATGGCACGTGTATACCTATGTAACAAACCTACACGTTCCACAAATGTATTCCAGAACTTAAAATATAATAAAAAACAAATTTAAACAAAATTCTTAACCTTGCCTACATCTGGTTATTCCTACCTTTTCAATTTATTTTAATAACTCTCTTCTCCTGGTTTACCATCTTAACTTTCTCTAATGATACTGCCTTTTTTTCTAATTATAGTATTTTCCATTTCTTTCTCTCTGCTTGGAATATTCTCTTCACTTCCAAATGCATCTTTTACCTTCTATTTATAATTCAGGTCTTGGCTCTTATAGCATTTCTTCAATTGTTTCCTGTCCCTCCAATCATTCTGATTCCTATATTTTATGTTTTCTTTGTATTGTATATCTTCTTCCAGTAACATCACTCTTTTGCCAAGTAGGACTTTCATAATCCATACGATTGAGGTATGTCAATATGGAACATTCTTCAACTTTTTGCACCTAAAGTGAACTAGTTTTAAAGTCTTCATTTCATAGAAATTAAACCATTAACCTTATTAAATCAAGGCAACCTTTGGTTTAAATTCAAGTATATATAGGTTACTCTTTCTTCTTATGGTTAAATTCTCAGTCTTTAATATTTTTCTTTCCTTTTCCCTCAAGAGACATCTAGATTTGTGGGGGAAGAGTAGTGGTATGTGTCTAAACCAGGAGGTGTAAAAGTTTTCTCTAAAGGGTCAGATAGGATAGTAAATGATATAGTTTGGATGTCCCCTCCAAATCTCATGTTGAGATGTAATCTCCAGTGTTGGAGGTGGGGCCTGGTGGGAGGTGTTTGATCCTGGGGGTGGATTCCTCATTAATGACTCAGATCATCCCCCTGGCAATAAGTGAGCTCGTACTCTGAGTTCACAGGAGATCTGATCCTTTAAACGTATGTGGCCCCTCCCTGCTAACTCTCTCCCTTGCTTCTGATTTCACAATGTGATGTGGCTGCTTCCCCTTTACCTTCCATCAGAATTATAAGCTTCCTGAGGCCTCCCTAGAAGCTGAGCAGATGCCAGCATCATGCTTCCTGTAAAGCCTGCAGAACCATGAACCAATTAAACCTCTTTTCTTTATAAATTACCCAGTCTCAGGTATTTCTTTATAGCAACGCAAGAATTGCCTAATACAGTAAATATTTGGCTTTGTGGGTCTCTGCCACAACTACTCAGCTCTGCCACTGCAGCCAGAAAGCAGTCATAGACAATACGTAAATGAGTAGGCATTGCTGTATGACAATAAACCTTTATTTGCAAAAAGAGGACATGGGCCAAATTTGACCCAGAGACTGCAGTTTGCTGATTCCTATTCTAGGCAATTATTGCCTTGGTACTTACTTCCTTTAAATTGAGATGCTACATATGCTTCCAGGTCTAATCTTTGTTGCATCGGAAATGATTCATGTCCCAGTTTTTAAATCACAGATTCTAGTTGTAAGATTCTAGCACTCTGCCACTTTGTCTTTCTAATTATGGAGAATACTCTGACTTTCTTGGTCAAGTTATCACTTCTGAAAGCACGAAAAAAAATTAGGTATTTTAGATATTTTCTCCTGCCACTTCAGAACCACCAAATCTTTTGGGCTGTCTCAGGCTGTCACTCTAGAGTTGTTCTACACCACTATTCAAACTCTATCCTAGCCCTATCAGCAGTACAGTTTCTCAGCTTTTGGTGTATATCCTGGAAGTGGTAATAAGGTGTAGGTGGTCCACAGTGCTATCTAAGCTATCTTTTCATTTGTCTTTTTTTCCCCCAGCTTCTATTTCTCCACTTAGTAAGATTTTTTTTCAATTTTCCATTTCAATAGATATTTGCATTTATTTCATCTCATCATGTATCATTTGTCTGAGTTATGGATTTCTTTTCATTACCTCTGTGCGTGGAATCATTTTAAGCTCTCAGCCTTTTTAACAAAAATGATGATAATATTAATAATATGTTTTGCACTAAAACCATGATTCTTGAATATCAGAAGATCACTTATTTTTAAAACCAAGGTATATTTCAGTCTCAAAACTAGAAATATGACCCGTTTAGAAGATGGTTCTTTGGAAACCTAATGCTGCTGCCAGGATTGTGAAGAAAAAATTCTGGATACAATGAAAGGCAGGAAAAATAAACTTCTATTATATATCAACCTGTTTTCCAGCTACTTACATTCTAAGTACTTATGGAATGCCTATAATCTCATAAAGAGTTTAAGCTTTTAGGGTAGAGGCAGTATCTGCCTTGACCACTTCTGATATGGTGCCTAGAATATAGCAAGTGGTCAATAATATACAATTATTTGTAAATTGTCAGTCAATATCCAAATAAGATCATTAATTAGTCATTAATTAATTTATGATCTAGTGGTTGACATATTTAGTTGTTAATTATCTACTGCTTTACATTCATTCTTTTTCAGTGGGACTTAATATCTGATTATCATTTCCTGAAATCATTTGCACAGGGCATCTGTATAGCATGCTTTATTCTAGTTACTTGTGTATGTGATCTCATTTCTGACAAGTAAGTCTTACCAGGTAAATGAGAAACCAGCCATAACCTTCTAAGTACCTCTCGTATGAAAGCCTTTAAAATTGCCCTGGCGAGAGTTCAAGAGATACAGACATTAAATGCAATGCATGGCAGTAGAGAATAGAAGCCAAATGAGAATTTCAGACATGTTACTGCAAAGTCATTGAATACAATGAAAGAATGTGAAAGATTGGAGTTAATAGTGCTGGCTTCCTGGAAGAGTGAACATTTAACTTAACCACAAAGGTTAGGAATAATTTGACAAATTCCAGTTAATTTTATAAATAAAGGTGAGGAGTCACCAGTCCCTAAAGAATGTTAAAAAATAGTGAGTGATATACAGTAATTAGAAAATAAAATGGCAATGTTAAACTTCAATGCAGGTATGTTTGCTGTATTAAGGGAAGATCTATTAGCATTGTAAATGGTTAGTAACACATAAAAGTAGAGTCTGGTAGCATCAATTCAGATAAACATTTCTACAGTCAGCTCATTAGTACAAAAGCTTATGTAGTTAAAATAGTCCTTAAAATATATAAAGAGTCGTGATATTGGATATTAACAACTTGCCTCCCAGTAAGTCCTATATAATTTCTGCAAAATTGTAGTAAGAAATTTTTGCTTTTGTGTAGAGTGCTAGATGGAGTAGCTGTCTGGAGTTGAGAGTCCAAATTGCACAGAAACACACATATTTTAAAACTGAAATTATACTAATCTCACTAGTATTCTTCTCTTACTGAGAGGTATTTTGAATACCCCAAGCACAAACACTTCAAGTAGAATAACACATGGAAGCACCTTCTATGTTCTTTTCCTCCTTTAATTTGTTTTTTATTTTTAAAATTTAATTCACTGAATTATTAACTCTTTGATTATTTTTGTTCAAGCATACTTATATGAATTCTAGTAGGTGAGAAACATGCATTTTTGTGACTTTACAGTAGAAGTAGCTCAAATCTAGCTCAATAAACATTGTTCATGTGATCATATATGGAATATTCTGTTGTGTGTTCAGGATACAAATGACTTGAATTGTTAGCAGTACTTATAGGAAAGTTCTAATGTTTTACACCTGCTTATTATAGGTTTTAATGGTTTACTGAGTTTTACTGTAGACTAGGATGGGAGCCGTTGTTGCTCTGCTGTTCCCTACAGATTGCCACTCTGGGCACCTGTTATGTTTCTGTTCCACCTTCCCTATTTACTGTCTATTGAGATTCCTGTTGTCAGCACCCCTGGGTAGTTTATAACAAAAGCATATCATTTCATAAATTCATTTTATGTGCACTCATCCACTGTATTCAATTACTAAACTGCCTCTGTATAACTGGCTGTTGATCCTCTTAAATAGTCTTTAAATTTTAGAATGGAGCTCACCAAAATTGCAATATTTAATCTCAATACTATTTGGATTATCTTTGAGTACTGGCCAAGCAATACTAAGAGGTCTGGCATATAGTTACTGAAATTGGCACTTTCATTTGATGTTGTCTAAGGGTTTTGATTTGCATTCCTCTGATGATTAGTGTTGTCGAGCACTTTTTCATACACCTGGAAAAGACAGAAATCCTAGCACATGCAATAACATGAATGAACCTGGAGGACATTGTGCTATGTGAAATATGCCGGACACAGAAAGACAGATACTGTATCATCTCACTTATATGTGATTCTAAAAATTGTGAACTTACAGAAGCAAAGAATAAAACAGTGTTTACCAAGGGTTAGGGGAAGAGAGAAATGGGGAGATATTGGTCAAAGGGTGAAAACTTTCAGTTAAAAGATGAAGAAGTTCTGGGGAACTAACTTATGGCATATGTGGTAATAAATATGTTAAATAATCTGATCATGATCATCATTATACAACCATCACATGGTATACCTTACATACATACAATATTTTTTGTCAATTAGTATTTTTTTTTTTTTTTTGAGACGGAGTCTCGCTCTGTCGCCCAGGCCGGACTGCGGACTGCAGTGGCGCAATCTCGGCTCACTGCAAGCTCCGCTTCCCGGGTTCACGCCATTCTCCTGCCTCAGCCTCCCGAGTAGCTGGGACTACAGGCGCCCGCCACCGCGCCCGGCTAATTTTTTGTATTTTTAGTAGAGACGGGGTTTCACCTTGTTAGCCAGGATGGTCTCGATCTCCTGACCTCATGATCCACCCGCCTCGGCCTCCCAAAGTGCTGGGATTACAGGCATGAGCCACCGCGCCCGGCCCAATTAGTATTTTTTAAAACCAGCATTTCCTGAGAGCTGAGTGTAATATATTACAATGTACATGCACTATAATTGCTAACAATGGTATAAATTCAACACAATTGCCTGCTCAGGGACATTTCTCCTTCGGAATCCCTGTCATTATGAAATAGAACATGTTAACCTCAGTAAAGTAAAAATAATGCAACTAGTGTATAGGATGTTATTAAGAATGTAGGAAAAGTAAACTTTGCTGATTAAAAATAATACCTGAATGCTTTAATTTTTAAACTTTCTAGTTTAGAAAAACATTTTCTTAATTAAATATATATTTTTATGATTGTCATTTCAATCCTGGAAAATCTATTACTCTACAGATGATTTTTTTAGTGTTAAATCATGGCCTTTGGTGAAGTTCTATGACATGTAGTTGACAGTGGGAGCTTTTAGATTTTGAATATTATCCTTTGTATATTTTTAAATATCCTGTCATCCCCTTGTGATCTTGTGGATAACTTTTCAGAGACTATCTCTGCTCACCGTTGGTATGTGTAAATGCTTGATCATTCCAAGTCTGAAGTCAACAACACTGTAAACGTGACAGCTGAAACCCTGCTGAGGGTCTTCATCCCAATGGATCCAAACCTCAGCCAGAGTAACACAGTTGATTCTGCCAGACCCAGTGACAATTCTTAGATTTTAATGTGTCAGCCATGGATAACGCTGACTGCAAGACAGTCATGCCTGGATGAGTGGACACAGGACCACAGTGTTTTTACTTCGACCATCACAACTGAGCTAACAGATTCATAGGAGGCAACTAGGAGTGAATTGAGTGCAAATCTATGACATAATCTTATGAGGTATAAGACAGTTTCCAGCTTGTACAAAATATTCAAGCTTAGGAAAGGAGAACAGAACTAACAATTTTTAAAGATATAAAATGTTCAAGTCTCATGTGAAGTGCTTTAGAGCTTCATTATGGTATGTGTGTGTATGTATTTTTCCCAGATGGATACGGTTTCAAAGCCAAGAAGTATAGCCTTATGTCTTTGACTTATACTTTATGGTTCTCCATTTTTATATATTTATAAAAAGAATATGGATCACTGTTTTTATATATTCAAAAAAAGAATGAAAACCACCTTTTACAAGACTTTTAACTAAATGTGTTGGCAATATTTTAGTACTATGATGAAAAGTGAAGTCTCAAAACTCAGACTGTCTGGGTTGAAATCTTAGGTCTGTCACTCACAGTTTAGTAGCTTTCTGCTTCAGTTTGTAATATATATGGTAGGATGATTTTATACTTTGGTTTTTCAGGTACTGTCAGTTTATTATTGTTATCCTAGAATAATTATTAAAAATACCAATTTTTTACATAATATGACAAGAACTATTTCAGTACTAATTAAGAGTTATTGTAAGGATTAAATGAACAATAAGTGTAAAATATTTGAAAGTTGGCTGGCACATAGAAGTGTTCAACCAAAGTTTGCTATTAGTGTTCTGGTTTTGGTCATGTGCCTGGAAGATAAGTATTACACATTATGCAAAATATAACTACGTCCTTCCTTAGTGAAAGTAGAACTAGAAGAAAACTGAGATTAAAAGATATTAAGTCCCTCCCCTATAATCATACGCCTAGTAAGTATTACAGAAGAAGTACATTCATTTCTGTAACATTTGAAGCCTTGGGTTATTCTAAAAATATACCAAAGTTTTTCCAGCATGCAATTTAATGATTATAAAATGTTAATTCAAGAAATAATGAGAAGTTCTTAATTAGTTGGACAGAAAATTTTATATAAAAAAGAAAGGGAGTAAGAAAGCAGAAATTTTCTTTCAAAGACACCTCAGACAGACACCTTAAAAACAGGTACCTCCCTGAATCCCAGTATAGCCGTGAGAAGTTGATAATAGAGTTCCATAATTCCATAGCTTAAGTTCTCAGTACTACATTGGTTTTAGAATTCAATAATTTTTATAGTATCAAAGGTAATATAATGCATATACTATATACTCCAGTAGGGTCTAGAATTCTCTTACAATCTCACTTTAATATTTAATCAGAATAATGTTTTACTCTTCATGTTCTGAGAGGCTAACATTTTAAAATGTGTTAAGTAGTTTAGGTAGGGATTTGCCTCAAAGGAGTTATAGACAGGTCAGGTTTTATTGATAAATAATGTAGGTAAAATTTACCTGATTTCAGAGCTCTTAGTATTTTACAATTAAAAAAAGTTACTGAACTTACATGCTCCTTACTGGAAGATATTCTATAGCATTCTCCATAAATGAGGGATTTTAGTAAAAATTATGAAGATGAACTTTGGAAGCTTGTGTCTATTGATATGGTTTTCATTATCATCTACTATTCTAGTTCTGACTTTTTTTTATTTTTATTTTATTTTATTTTTTGAGACGGAGTCTCGCTTTGTCGCCCAGGTTGGAGTGCAGTGGTGTGATCTCGGTTCACTGCAAGCTCTGCCTCCCAGGTTCAAGCGATTCTCCTGCCTCAGCCTCCCAAGTAGCTGGGATTACAGGCACCTGCCACCATGCTTGGCTAATTTTTGTATTTTTAATAAAGATGGGGTTTTGCCATGTTGGCCAGGCTGGTCTCCAACTCCTGACCTCAGGTAATCCACCTGCCTCAGCCTCCCAACATGCTAGGATTACAGGCGTGAGCCACAGTGCCTGGCTCTGACTTTTCTTTTTGGCTATACCTAAAGATCCTTTCAAATCATTTTTGTTATGATGATCAAACTGAGAGCCATAAGATATTATATCTAGTTAAGGATAAATCCCAAGCCTTGGCTTAAATAATCTTGTAGCTTTTATAGTCTTTATGCACTTACAATTAATAGGAGTCATAGATTTGCTATATTGTATTAATATACCTACTTCTATTAGATTTTCAAGTAGAGTTTTAGAATAAAATATTTTTTCTTTATGCTAACTTGTTTTTTTGAAAACAATTTTGCCACAAATTTGCAGAACATTTAAGATACCTGTCTATATTATTATAGATATATTTATCATATGTATAAAACAACTGAAGGTTTTGGATTCACCTCTCAACATATTCTATATTAACTTTGAATTTGTCTATGATATCGTATTGGCTTTAAAATTTAGCTTGGTGATTGTGCCATAAATTTAAATATGTAATAAACCATGTTTAATATTTTAGAAGAACATGGGCAAAGAAACTTTTGAAAAAAAAATTCTTCCAACTGATTAATTTTTTATCTAAGGAATCAAGAGATGGAAAAGTGTTGAGGGAAGATTATTTGTCCAATAACTATCTGACTTGCTACTTCTTTGTGGGTTATATGTTTCCATTTAACATTTCTTGCAACTATGAAGTTATTCTCTTATTCTGAGGTTTTTAATAAAAAGGTTAGCTTCCCAATATTATGCTCCTGGGAGTCTGAAATAAAAGCCACTTAGAAATTCTCTACCAAACTCCAGATAAACTGCTACTAGGAATAGCTAATAAAATTTTTATGTAATTTGAATGTAATTAAAGGCCTTTGTCCTCTAGGAAATGAAAATTCCCTCTGACTGTGGATTGGCATTAGGGGTACAATGATTTTTGCAGTGTGCCTCAAGGCATCTAGAATGTTCGCTTAGAGAACTTCAGTTGGATGTTAATGCTTCTAAAAGTACCATACATTAGAAATATCCTCCAATTCCACTTGTTTTTGCAAAGAGAAAGGGTGAAGGGGTAAGCAATTCCTGTACCTACTGATAATGGATTTATGTTCGCAAACCATTGAGAAGATTAGATACCCATGCTAGATTTTAAAAAGTCCACTGACTGTGTTTTTTCCTGAAATATGGCATAATAGTAGCTGGGACTTAGAGAAATTCAAAGATATTCTCTTCGAATGAATCCTTGTGTTACAGCTAAATTATTTAACAGTTTCCCCTCAATAGCCTAAGCTCCCAGTTGCTGTTTGTCTCAGTCAAAATTCAGATATTTACCATACCCTTTAAGCTCCAAAAGATATACCAACTTTCCTTATATCAGATGTACACATTTCAACTTTATGCCTATCAGACAAAATTGAGGAAATACTTTCTTCTGTTATTATCTTTAATCTTCAACATCAACCTCTCCATTTGTGCTCTTGATTTTTACTATTTTGAAGTGTTAAAGATTTTGATATTGTCTACTGTGTTTCTTTGTCTCAACTGGTACATTCTTCGTCGTCTACATATGGCTTTCCCAGCTTGGATTCTGCTTTTAATTTTCTAACAATTTTCATCGATCTTTTCTAATACTATCAGGAACACCAAATTTATACTCCAAATAATCCATTAACTTAAATGCCTATTTCACTGGTCCTTGTGACTCTTGCTGAAGAGTCTCCTCTGAGGCTCACATAGATCAGTTTGTCCATGACAGTTCCAAATTCCACCTTTTAAAGTGGTGTAATTATCAACTACATTTCACTTTTGCTTTCAGTCTGGATGACAAATTAAATAGGCAACCTAACCAAAAGTCATCCTGAATTCAGCATGCCCCCGAGTGAATTTGTCATCCATCTTCCAAACCTTCTTCTTTTGTCTTTTCCCCTTCAGTGAATGGTGCCACCCTCCATCACCTGGCAATGGGAGACCTAGAGCTTATCCGTGACTTCTTGCTCACTCTCCTATGCAGAGCTCACTGCTCAGTGTCTTTTGCTGTTTTCTCTTCTCTTTTTCATCTAGGAACTCTATTACACCACTGATAGGAAAAGATCACTCTATGTATTCTCAAAGAACCCAGATCAAATCTGTTAATATTAGCCAATTTACATTTAATGATGTTTTATGCACTTCCCTTCCACAAAGTAAGCCTCTGCATGGCACAAAAACTATAAAATTTATCAATTTTATCTAAAGCTCAGCTCCATCCTGATATTTGTGGTGTTGCGAATAATGAATAAATATTTCTTGAAGGGAAATAAACATTAGTTTTTCCTGTTTCAATACCATCTATGTATTACATACATAGTAATTAAATTAATGTGTGTTATATATCAATTTTTATATATAAACCAATGTATTATATTCATCAATTTATATGTAAAAAAAATTATTTTTATATGTCAACTATATTACATAATATAACATCAACTATATCTTACAATTTATTACATTATATGATATAACTGATATATTAATACATTATTTTATAATATATTTATTGATAACCAGTTCAATTAAATATAATGTACATTAAACCCTACTGTTTTATTAGCACTTGATGTTAAAATACTAGAGCATACCACCAAGCTACAGTGAAGTTATTGTCCTCACATTAGTATGATCAGTACATCAAACACCATTTAACAAATTTTTACATACCATGATAAACATCCTCCCCAAACTGCCATTCTTAGCTTGGGGAATGAACGTGTAGCTAAGGTAGAACATCCAGCTAAAAAAGGGACAAAAGCTGTTAACACATTTGAGGACTCTCATTGCAGAAAATAAAAGACATTTGGTTGGGAAGTCCACAACTCAGAGTAGAGCCTGAGAGGAAAACATATCACTCCCTAAATTTTGTGAGTCAAACATCAGACCAAAAAGGGAAAAAAAATTGCATAAAATCTGTGAAAGAGAATAGAGAATGAAAGGACATTTTAAAATACATTATTATTGTTATTTTCTACACTTTAAATATTTATTATATTGTTCCATTATGGATACACCATAATTATAATACAAATACATAATACCAAAGTCAAAAACATGATATTATCTTCTCCTTTACAAATACAAAGTTCAAATGATACGAGAAAGACAAAGACATTTGTGCCAAACAAATGTTTTTTGTTGAAGGCAAGTTTTTTAGTGAAGACAAGTATTATCTCTGGGATTTTCAGTTCCAAAATTAAAATGTTGCTTCACCTGATTAACCCTCCCTTCTCTTCAAATCCCTGACAACCACTGATCTGTTTTTCATCTCTATAATTTCACCAGGACTTATTTTACATTGTGACGTTTGCAACATCTTATGATATAAGTATTTATTTGCTTTTTACTTTCCCCTTCTTCTAGAAAGAATGTCTAATCACAGCAGAGGCTTTATCTATGTTGTGCATTGCTGGATGTACTGTGCCTAGAAGAATAATGAACAAATAGGTGCCAAATAAGTATTTGTTGAAGGTTATAAATGTAAACTGTAAAGCAACATTTTGAAGTATTATCACAATTGTATAATTAAAGAGAATAAACAAATTACCCAATATCACATAGTTACTAAGTGCTGTAGCAAGAAGTTTAGCATCATCCTATGACGCAAAACATGATACTATTATTCATTATGGAATATTGCTTCCTAATGTAAATAGAGTTGGTCTTTATTATAGTCTTCAGTGAAACAGGTTTCTGCTAATTCATCTTTCCACATATCTCTGTAAAACACATGTACTCACAGTGGCTCACGCCTGTAATCCCAGCACTTTGGGAGGCCAAGGCGGGCGGATCACGAGGTCAGGAGATCGAGACCATCCTGGCTAACATGGTGAAACCCCGTCTCTACTAAAAAAAAAAAAAAAAAAAAAAAAAATTAGCCGGTCGTGATGGCTGGCGCCTGTGGTCCCAGCTACTCGGGAGGCTGAGGCAGGAGAATGGCGTGAACCCTGGAGGCGGAGCTTGCAGTGGGCTGAGATCGCGCCACCACTCTCCAGCCTGGGTGACAGTGCAAGACTCCGTCTCAAAAAAAAAAAAAAAAAAAGAAAAAAAAAAAAAAACTAGGTCGAGAGTTTATTTTTATTTTTAAAATTGCATACATTTCTACTTCTTCTCAATAAAACTGAGTTTATTGAACCTATGTAGTTAGTGTGGTTCTGATAATATTTTTTTATTTTTTTTTTTATTATATTTTTAGGTTTTAGGGTACATGTGCACATTGTGCAGGTTAGTTACATATGTATACATGTGCCATGCTGGTGCGCTGCACCCACTAACTCGTCATCTAGCATTAGGTATATCTCCCAATGCTATCCCTGCCCCCTCCCACCACCCCACAACAGTCCCCAGAGTGTGATATTCCCCTTCCTGTGTCCATGTGATCTCATTGTTCAATTCCCACCTATGAGTGAGAATATGCGGTGTTTGGTTTTTTGTTCTTGCAATAGTTTACTGAGAATGATGATTTCCAATTTCATCCATGTCCCTACAAAGGACATGAACTCATCATTTTTTATGGCTGCATAGTATTCCATGGTGCATATGTGCCACATTTTCTTAATCCAGTCTATCATTGTTGGACATTTGGGTTGGTTCCAAGTCTTTGCTATTGTGAATAATGCCGCAATAAACATACGTGTGCATGTGTCTTTATAGCAGCATGATTTATAGTCCTTTGGGTATATACCCAGTAATGGGATGGCTGGGTCAAATGGTATTTCCAGTTCTAGATCCCTGAGGAATCGCCACACTGACTTCCACAATGGTTGAACTAGTTTACAGTCCCACCAACAGTGTAAAAGTGTTCCTATTTCTCCACATCCTCTCCAGCACCTGTTGTTTCCTGACTTTTTAATGATTGCCATTCTAACTGGTGTGAGATGGTATCTCAGTGTGGTTTTGATTTGCATTTCTCTGATGGCCAGTGATGATGAGCATTTTTTCATGTGTTTTTTGGCTGCATAAATGTCTTCTTTTGAGAAGTGTCTGTTCATGTCCTTTGCCCACTTTTTGATGGGCTTGTTTTTTTCTTGTAAATTTGTTTGAGTTCATTGTAGATTCTGGATATTAGCCCTTTGTCAGATGAGTAGGTTGCAAAAATTTTCTCCTATTTTTTAGGTTGCCTGTTCACTCTGATGGTAGTTTCTTTTGCTGTGCAGAAGCTCTTTAGTTTAATTAGATCCCATTTGTCAATTTTGGCTTTTGTTGCCATTGCTTTTGGTGTTTTAGACATGAAGTCCTTGCCCATGCCTATGTCCTGAATGGTAATGCCTAGGTTTTCTTCTAGGGTTTTTATGGTTTTAGGTCTAACGTTTAAGTTTTTAATCCATCTTGAATTGATTTTTGTATAAGGTGTAAGGAAGGGATCCAGTTTCAGCTTTCTACATATGGCTAGCCAGTTTTCCCAGCATCATTTATTAAATAGGGAATCCTTTCCCCATTGCTTGTTTTTCTCAGGTTTGTCAAAGATCAAATAGTTGTAGATATGTGGCGTTATTTCTGAGGTCTCTGTTCTGTTCCATTGATCTATATCTCTGTTTTGGTACCAGTACCATGCTGTTTTGGTTACTGTAGCCTTGTAGTAGAGTTTGAAGTCAGGTAGTGTGATGCCTCCAGCTTTGTTCTTTTGGCTTAGGATTGACTTGGCGATGTGGGCTCTTTTTTGGTTCCATATGAACTTTAAAGTAGTTTTTTCCAATTCTGTGAAGAAAGGCATTGGTAGCTTGATGGGGATGGCATTGA
The DNA here is from genome assembly GCF_000001405.40 of Homo sapiens. NCBI lineage: Eukaryota > Metazoa > Chordata > Mammalia > Primates > Hominidae > Homo > Homo sapiens. The sequence continues at coordinate 122,248,868 of NC_000008.11, read as the reverse complement.
ATCTGTAAATTACCTTGGGCAGTATGGCCATTTTCACGATATTGATTCTTCCTACCCATGAGCATGGAATGTTCTTCCATTTGTTTGTATCCTCTTTTATTTCCTTGAGCAGTGGTTTGTAGTTCTCCTTGAAGAGGTCCTTCACATCCCTTGTAAGTTGGATTCCTAGGTATTCTCTTTGAAGCAATTGTGAATGGGAGTTCACTCATGATTTGGCTCTCTGTTTGTCTGTTGTTGGTGTATAGGAATGCTTGTGATTTTTGTACATTGATTTTGTATCCTGAGACTTTGCTGAAGTTGCTTATCAGCTTAAGGAGATTTTGGGCTGAGACAATGGGGTTTTCTAGATATACAATCATGTCATCTGCAAACAGGGACAATTCGACTTCCTCTTTTCCTAATTGAATACCCTTTATTTCCTTCTCCTGCCTCATTGCCCTGGCCAGAACTTCCAACACTATGTTGAATAGGAGTGGTGAGAGAGGGCATCCCTGTCTTGTGCCAGTTTTCAAAGGGAATGCTTCCAGTTTTTGCCCATTCAGTATGATATTGGCTGTGGGTTTGTCATAGATAGCTCTTATTATTTTGAAATACGTCCCATCAATACCTAATTTATTGAGAGTTTTTAGCATGAAGAGTTGTTGAATTTTGTCAAAGGCTTTTTCTGCATCTATTGAGATAATCATGTGGTTTTTGTCTTTGGCTCTGTTTAAATGCTGGATTACATTTATTGATTTGTGTATATTGAACCAGCCTTGCATCCCAGGGATGAAGCCCACTTGATCATGGTGGATAAGCTTTTTGATGTGCTGCTGGATTCGTTTTGCCAGTATTTTATTGAGGATTTTTGCATCAATGTTCATCAAGGATATTGGTCTAAAATTCTCTTTTTTGGTTGTGTCTCTGCCTGGCTTTGGTATCAGAATGATGCTGGCCTCATAAAATGAGTTAGGGAGGATTCCGTCTTTTTCTATTGATTGGAATAGTTTCAGAAGGAATGGTACCAGTTCCTCCTTGTACCTCTGGTAGAATTCGGCTGTGAATCCATCTGGTCCTGGACTCTTTTTGATTGGTAAGCTATTGATTATTGCCACAATTTCAGATCCTGTTATTGGTCTATTCAGAGATTCAACTTCTTCCTGGTTTAGTCTTGGGAGAGTGTATGTGTCCAGGAATTTATCCATTTCTTCTAGATTTTCTAGTTTATTTGCATAGAGGTGTTTGTAGTATTCCCTGATGGTAGTTTGTATTTCTGTGGGATCGGTGGTGATATCCCCTTTATCATTTTTTATTGCGTCTATTTGATTCTTCTCTCTTTTTTTCTTTATTAGTCTTGCTAGCAGTCTATCAATTTTGTTGATCCTTTCAAAAAACCAGCTCCTGGATTCATTAATTTTTTGAAGGGTTTTTTGTGTCTCTATTTCCTTGAGTTCTGCTCTGATTTTAGTTATTTCTTGCCTTCTGCTAGCTTTTGAATGTGTTTGCTCTTGCTTTTCTAGTTCTTTCAATTGTGATGTTAGGGTGTCAATTTTGGATCTTTCCTGCTTTCTCTTGTGGGCATTTAGTGCTACAAATTTCCCTCTACACACTGCTTTGAATGTGTCCCAGGGATTCTGGTATGTTGTGTCTTTGTTCTCGTTGGTTTCAAAGAACATCTTTATTTCTGCCTTCATTTCGTTATGTACCCAGTAGTCATTCAGGAGCAGGTTGTTCAGTTTCCATGTAGTTGAGCAGTTTTGAGTGAGATTCTTAATCCTGAGTTCTAATTTGATTGCACTGTGGTCTGAGAGATAGTTTGTTATAATTTCTGTTCTTTTACATTTGCTGAGGAGAGCTTTACTTCCAAGTATGTGGTCAATTTTGGAATAGGTGTGGTGTGGTGCTGAAAAAAATGTATATTCTGTTGATTTGGGGTGGAGAGTTCTGTAGATGTCTATTAGGTCCACTTGGTGCAGAGCTGAGTTCAATTCCTGGGTATCCTTGTTGACTTTCTGTCTCATTGATCTGTCTAATGTTGACAGTGGGGTGTTAAAGTCTCCCATTATTAATGTGTGGGAGTCTAAGTGTCTTTGTAGGTCACTCAGGACTTGCTTTATGAATCTTGGTGCTCCTGTATTGGGTGCATATATATTTAGGATAGTTAGCTCTTCTTGTTGAATTGATCCCTTTACCATGATGTAATGGCCTTCTTTGTCTCTTTTGATCTTTGTTGGTTTAAAGTCTGTTTCATCAGAGACTAGGATTGCAACCCCTGCCTTTTTTTGTTTTCCATTTGCTTGGTAGATCTTCCTCTATCCTTTCATTTTGAGCCTATGTGTGTCTCTGCACATGAGATGGGTTTCCTGAATACAGCACACTGATGGGTCTGGACTCTTTATCCAATTTGCCAGTCTGTGTCTTTTAATTGGAGCATTTAGTCCATTTACATTTAAAGTTAATATTGTTATGTGTGAATTTGATCCTGTCATTATGATGTTAGCTGGTTATTTTGCTCGTTAGTTGACGCAGTTTCCTCCTAGTCTTGATGGTCTTTACATTTTGGCATGATTTTGCAGCAGCTGGTACCGGTTATTCCTTTCCATGTTTAGCACTTCCTTCAGGAGCTCTTGTAAGGCAGGCCTGGTGGTGACAAAATCTCTCAGCATTTGCTTGTCTGTAAAGTATTTTCTTTCTCCTTCACTTGTGAAGCTTAGTTTGGCTGGATATGAAATTCTGGGTTGAAAATTCTTTTCTTTAAGAATGTTGAATATTGGCCCCCACTCTCTTCTGGCTTGTAGAGTTTCTGCTGAGAGATCCGCTGTTAGTCTGATGGGCTTCCCTTTGAGGGTAACCCGACCTTTCTCTCTGGCTGCCCTTAACATTTTTTCCTTCATTTCAACTTTGGTGAATCTGACAATTATGTGTCTTGGAGTTGCTCTTCTCGAGGAGTATCTTTGTGGCGTTCTCTGTATTTCCTGAATCTGAACGTTGGCCTGCCTTGCTAGATTGGGGAAGTTCTCCTGGATAATATCCTGCAGAGTGTTTTCCAACTTGGTTCCATTCTCCCCATCACTTTCAGGTACACCAATCAGATGTGGATTTGGTCTTTTCACATAGTCCCATATTTCTTGGAGGCTTTGCTCATTTCTTTTTATTCTTTTTTCTCTAGACTTCCCTTCTCACTTCATTTCATTCATTTCATCTTCCATCGCTGATACCCTTTCTTCCAGTTGATCGCATCGGCTCCTGAGGCTTCTGCATTGTTCACGTCATTCTCGAGCCTTGGTTTTCAGCTCCATCAGCTCCTTTAAGCACTTCTCTGTATTGGTTATTCTAGTTATACATTCTTCTAAATTTTTTTCAAAGTTTTCAACTTCTTTGCCTTTGGTTTGAATGTCCTCCCGTAGCTCAGAGTAAGTTGATTGTCTGAAGCCTTCTTCTCTCAGCTCGTCAAAGTCATTCTCCATCCAGCTTTGTTCCATTGCTGGTGAGGAACTGCGTTCCTTTGGAGGAGGAGAGGCGCTCTGCTTTTTAGAGTTTCCAGTTTTTCTGTTCTGTTTTTTCCCCATCTTTGTGGTTTTATCTACTTTTGGTCTTTGATGATGGTGATGTACAGATGGGTTTTTGGTGTGGATGTCCTTTCTGTTTGTTAGTTTTCCTTCTAACAGACAGGACCCTCAGCTGCAGGTCTGTTGGAGTACCCTGCCATGTGAGGTGTCAGTGTGCCCCTGCTGGGGGGTGCCTCCCAGTTAGGCTGCTTGGGGGTCAGGGGTCAGGGACCCACTTGAGGAGGTAGTCTGCCCGTTCTCAGATCTCCAGCTGCCTGCTGGGAGAACCACTGCTCTCTTCAAAGCTGTCAGACAGGGACATTTAAGTCTGCAGAGGTTACTGCTGTCTTTTTGTTTGTGCCCTGCCCCCAGAGGTGGAGCCTACAGAGGCAGGCAGGCCTCCTTGAGCTGTGGTGGGCTCCACCCAGTTTGAGCTTCCCGGCTGCTTTGTTTACCTAAGCAAGCCTGGGCAATGGCGGGCGCCCCTCCCCCAGCCTCGCTGCCGCCTTGCACTTTGATCTCAGACTGCTGTGCTAGCAATCAGCGAGACTCCGTGGGCGTAGGACCCTCCGAGCCAGGTGCAGGATATAATCTCGCGGTGCGCCGTTTTTTCAGCCCGTCAGAAAAGCGCAGTATTCGGGTAGGAGTGACCCGATTTTCCAGGTGCGTCCGTCACCCCTTTCTTTGACTCAGAAAGGGAACTCCCTGACCCCTTGCGCTTCCCAGGTGAGGCAATGCCTCGCCCTGCTTTGGCTTGCGCACGGTGTCTGCACCCACTGACCTGCGCCCACTGTCTGGCACTCCCTAGTGAGATGAACCCGGTACCTCAGATGGAAATGCAGAAATCACCCGTCTTCTGCGTCGCTCATGCTGGGAGCTGTAGACCGGAGCTGTTCCTATTTGGCCATCTTGGCTCCTCCCCCCCGGTTCTGATAATATTATCTAAAAGTTGCAGAATAAAGAGAGAAGACAAACTTCAAGAAACACAGGAGAAAGATTATGTGGCACACAAGAAATTGACAATGGTTTTTTTTCCTTGAAACTGTTTGAAAGAAGCAAGTTCTTTTTTCATTATAGATTGCAAAACCTTCAAAGTGAAAGTAATTTGAAACACACATTGAAGACACTAATGAGAAAAAAACTGTAACAAGCATTCATTGACCCACATTACCCCAAAATTATTTCATATTCTCATATCATTTCATAATCCTACTTGGGAACAAAATAAATATAATTTCTTTGCTAGAACAACATGTGAATACAATTGGAAATGTGCGTAGTTCTTTCCACATTATAAAGAATTTTCAGTTTTCATCCTGAGTTATTTGCAAATCCTGTGTGAAAGGCAATTACTAATATTATTCCCACTTTATGGGAGAGAAATTTAAGGCTAAATGAGGTTAAATGGCAAATACAAATCAAATCTTATATAATACAAAGTTTCTTCCACAAATTAACTTCTTCAAAGGAATTATTTTCTGGGTCTTCCTATGGCTCCTTGTTTATACCTTCCTCATATCACTGTGTTATATATTGTTTCATGTATATGTGAGTTTCTGAGCACAATTAGTCATAGCTGTCTACTTGGTACCTGGCACAATGTTTATTATACTCTAGCGTGATTTCTTTATGAGTTAAGAATACTTCCAAGTCTTAGCTCACTGATTCCATTCTCATCCATTCATTTTCCCCCAAAATATTCAGAAAGTGCCATACATCCGTTCTACTGGGAGTAGAAGGAAGAAAACTGGCCTTCTTCAAATGTTTTACCTTTTTAATGTTTAGCTGCAATAATTTTATGTGGTGGAACCAAGCCCAATTGAGATGTGCAAGCAATGGTAGAAACATTATGGAGATTGCCTATGACTTCACACTGGAGTTATCCTGTATATTTAATGTATTCACTAAGGATCGGATTGAAATATAGGCTGTAATTTCATTGAATCATGTTCTTCAATTATCATCACCTTAGCTTTTGTCATCACAGTTATTCAGTTACCAGCTCCTGAGTTAAAAATGATTACAAAATCTTTTCTATCAGTTGTGATTCCTCTCTTAGTATCTTTGCCATTCAGCAGCATAGGCAGGCTTTTACTAATGTGTCCCCTTAAAATTATGAAATAAAAGACATTTCAGAGGAAAGACCATATGAAATATTGGAAGAAAAAATGACAGGTATTGGTGTTAATAAAACCAGTGCCATCACCTAACTTCCAAGGGAGCTTTCCTGAACTGATAAGTGACTCCTACAATTTCATTTTTAATAAATCTACATTGTGTAATTTTCTTGTCACATACAATACCATCTCAGCCAGGTTATCTTTAGTAGTGTACTGATAGCATAGCATTTTTCCCTGTTTCCTAATAGGATTAATCACATGGCCAAAAAAGCTCAATATCACTGTCTGTATTTTGGCTTGATATTTTTGGTTTTTGTGGCTTTTATCCTTTGATTGTTGGTCACACAATTTATTTTTATTGATTTTCTTCTTGATAATGAAGAAACTCTAAAGCATCACTATTTTTTTCTTACTTCAATATGCAGATTCTCTCTAACATCTTCATTTCCTCTTAAATGAGCCATCTTCTTCATTTTCTTTAATGTTTTACCCAACTTGCCAGATACAGTCAAAGGACAGACTCTGATGACCTCTTTTCTGAGGAGAGGCAAAGACAGTGAAATGGAGTAGGAGGCCAATCCAAAGCAGGATAAGAAGTTACAGACACCTTGATTCCCTTAGTGGTGAGACTTCTGCAGAACACCCTGAGCTTTCCAACTTAGCAGGAATGACTCTGGAGAGAACTAAGGTCATTTTTTTCTCCCTCAACAGTTAACTTACCTACATTTTATTTTATTTTATTGATAGTTTATTGTTTGTTCCTCTTATTCTTATATTTGAAAGCAGCATTTCTGATATTTGGATTTTTAATTTTTAAGAGAGTAAGTGTATTAGTCCATTTTCATGCTGTTGATAAAGACATACCCAAGACTGGACAATTTACAAAAGAGAGAGGATTATTGGAATTATAGTTCCACGTGGCTGGGGAGGCCTTACAATCATGGCAGAAGGGAAGGAGGAGAAAGTCACATCTCACCTGGATGGCAGCAGGCAAAAAGAGCGTGTGCAGGGCAACTCCTGTTTTTAAAACCATCAGATCTCATGAGACCCATTCACTATGACAAGAACAGCATGGGAAAAACCTGCCCACATAATTCATTCATCTCCCACTAGGTCCCTCCCATAACACATGGGAATTATGGGAGCTACAAGATGAGATTTCACTGGGGACACAGAGCTAAACCATATCATTCCACCCACGGCCCCTCCCAAATCTCATATCTTTACATTTCAAAATTAATCATGCCTTCCCAATAGTCCCCCAAAGTCTCAACTCATTTCAGCATTTACTCAAAAGTCCACAGTCCAAAGTGTCATCTAAGACAAAGCAAGTCCTTTCTGTCTGTGAGCCTCTAATATCAAAAGCAAGTTAGTTACTTCCTAGATACAATCAGGGTACAGGCATTGGTAAGTACAGCCATTCCAAATGGGAGAAATTGACTAAAATGAAGTGGCTACAGGCCCCATGCAAGTCCAAAATCCATTGGGACAGTCAAATCTTAAAGCTCCAAAATGATCTCCTTTGACTCCAGGTCTCATATCCAGGTCACGCTGATGTAAGAGGTAGCTTCCCATAGTCTTGGGCAGCTCCGCCCCTCTGGCTTTGCAGGGTACAGTCTCCCTCCCAGCTGCCTTCACAGGCTGTCATTGAGTGTCTGTGGCTTTTCCTAGCACATGGTACAAGCTGTCAGTGGATCTACCATTATGGGGTCTGGAGGATGGTGGCCTTCCTCTCACAGCTCCACTGGGCAGTGCCCCAGTGGGGACTCTGTGTGGGGGCTCCCACTTCACATTTCTCTTCTGCACTGCTCTAGTAGAGGTTCTCCATGAGGACCCTGCCCCTACAGCAAACTTCTGCCTGGGCATCCAGGTGTTTTCACACATCTTCTGAAATCTAGGTGGAGGTTCCAACCTCAATGCTTGATTTCTGTGCACTCACACACTCAACACCATGTGGAAGCTGCCAAGGCTTGGCACCCTCTGAAGCCATGGCCCAAGCTCTATACTGGCCCCTTTCGGAAATGGCTGGAGTGGCTGGGAAGCAAGGCACCAAGTCCCTAGGCTGCATACAGCACTGGGACCCTGGGCCCGGCCCACAAAACCATTTTTTCCTCCTAGGCCTTTGGGCCTGTGATGGGAATGGCTGCTGCAAAGGTCTCTGAGATACTCTGGAGACATTTTCCTCATTGTCTTGGTGGTTAACATTTGGCTCCTCATTACTTATGCAAATATCTGTAGCTGGCTTGAATTTTTCCTCAGAAAATGAGATTTTCTTTTCTATTGCATTGTCAGGCTGCAAATTTTCCAAGGTTTTATGCTCTATTTCCCTTTTGAAACTGAATGACTTTAACAGCATCCAATCACCTCTTGAATGCTTTGCTGCTTAGAAATTTCTTCCACCAGATACCCTAAATCATCTCTCTTAAAGTTTCACAAATCTCTAAGGCAAGGGCAAAATGCTGCCAGTCTCTTTGCTAAAACATGAGTCGCCTTTGCTCCAGTTCCCAACAAGTTTCTTATCTCCATCTGAGACCACCTCAGCCTGGATTTCATTGTCCATATCATTATTAGCATTTTGGTCAAAGCCATTCAACAAATGTCTAGGGAGTTCCAAACTTTCCCACATTTTCCTGTCTTCTTCTGAGCCCTCCAAACTGTTTCAACCCCTGCCTGTTACCCAGTTCCAAAGTGGCTTCCACATTTTCTGGTACCTTTTCAGCAGCGCCCCACTCCTGGTACCAATGTACTGTATTAGTCTGTTTTCATGCCACTGATAAAGACATACCCGAGACTGGGCAATTTACAAAAGAAAGAGATTTATTGAACTTACAGTCCCACATGACTGGAGAGGCCTTGCAATCATGGCAGAAGGCACAGAGGAGCAAGTTACATCTTATGTGGATGGCAGGAGGCAAAAAGAGAGCTTGTGCAGGGCAACTCTCATTTTTAAAACCATAAGATCTCATGAGACCCATTCACTATCATGAGAACAGCACAGGAAAAACCCACCTCCGTAATTCAGTCATTTCCCACCAGGTATCTCCCATAACACATGGGAATTAGGGGAGCTACAAGATGAGATTTGGGAGAGGACACAGAGCCAAACCATATGAGTGAGAAAGAAGTTACTAATGTTAAATAAACTATTGCCTCAATTTCTCCCCACATTTCAGAAACTACTGCCACCTTTATATTGTAAAGATCTTCCTACCTTGTCCTTAATGAAGTTTCAGCATATTTCTTGCAAGCTTCAGTTCCTCCAAATTATAGTCATTGCTCATTTAATCCCACTTTTCTTTTTCTGTAAGAAACATGCTGCCTATTATTTCTCTGAGAGAGAGAGAGAGAGAGAGAGAGAGAGTGTGTGTGTGTGTGTGTGTGTGTGTGTGTGTGTTGTGGGGTAGTGTATGAGTGAGGAACTCAAGCTAAATTAAACTGACTTAATTGACTTAATGTTTAATTTATAGCATTGCTTAAATTTTTTAGATTCATACATTGAGTTCTTTCCTGTGCTTTTAAAAAGTTCTAATAAGGAGATGAAGAGTGACCAGCCATCTCTGTTTATTAAAGTTTCAGCACCTAATCTTCACAAAGAAAACAAAAAAGTCTTCATAGAGAAACAGAAAGAAGACAAAGTTGGGCACAGAAATAAGAAATTGTTGCATGTGCCAGTGTCAGAAAACATAAGCCAGTCCAGCCAGCAACACCTAGCCAGAGCCCATAGGCAGAGATTTTACTGTCAGCATCATGGGTCCGGCATTGATTGGAATGTATTCTGTAACTTAAGAAAAGTAGCAACAGATAATCACATAAAAGGTGTACTAAAAACTTTGACCAGATTATGTGAGAAAGGATAAGGACTAAGTCAATCTTACAGAGTACAAGATAAGTGCTATATATTGTCCCCAATAACGTTGACATAAGAAAATTTATTACACAGTAAACTGAAGGTTAGAGCAAAACTGAACAAGTGCCTAAGTCCCAAGAACAGGGAAAAATCCAACAACTTGGGTTTCCAGCCAAATGTGGGAGAAAACCAGTTGAGTAAGTAAATGATCTAAAAAAATAGTTTATATGCCATTGTAACAACGTACAATTATATAAATTATCCTGATAACTTCTAGCTTGGGAGATGTCTGCCTTACTTTCTGTTCTCTTTCTCTTTGTAATTACACCAACATATGGAAAAATTCTAATAAATGTCATTTCTCCAAAAAGATCGAGTTTTGTATAATCAAGACAGTTTTTATATGTCATACAAATATCAGTATAGTGTTGGCCCCTTACATACAGTTTTACTTTCCATGTTTTCAGTCATCCGAGGTCAATCATGGTCTGAAAATATTATATAGAAAATTCCAGAAATAATTCATAAGTTCTAAATTGTGTGCCATTCTAATTAGCATGATGAAATCTCATGCCATCCTCTTCCATCCAGCTGTGATGTGAATGGTCCCTTTGTCCAGTGTCTTTGCACTTATACTCTGCCTGCCTATTAGTCATTTAGTGGCCACGTGGGTTACTGGATCCACTGTAGAGACAGCACAGTGCTTGTGTTCAAGTAACCCTTATTGTTCTTAATAATGCCCCCAAAGTGCAAGAGTCGTGATGCTGGTATATTGTTATAATTGTTCTTTCATATTATTTTTGCTAATTTCTTACTATGCCTAACTTATAAATTAAACTTTGTCATAGGTATGTATTTTTGTATAGGAAAAAAACTCAGTATAGTTAAAGTTTGTCACTATCCATGGTTTCAGGCATCCACTGTTGATCTTCAAATGTATCCCCTGATAAGGGAAAACTACTGTAGCTAGCTATGTCTGGACAATAATAAGCTTTCAATGATGATTCATCAGACTGATTCAAACAAATCTTTATCCATAAAATCTCTCCAACTTTGTTGCTGGCTTCACTCTAACTTTTATCAGGTACCATAATCTCTTTCACTATCCTCCATAATGAGACCTTCCATTCCTTTTTCTTCAGTTGTATTTTCTTTATCTGTTCATTTTATTTTTACAGCATTTCAGTCTTTTTACTTTTAAAATATTTGACTAACCAGTTGCTGTGGTCTGAATGTTTGTGTCGTCTCCCAGATTCCTATGTTGAAATCCTAAATCCCAAGGTGACAGTATTAGGAAGTGGAGGCTTTGGAAGGTGATCAGGTCATGAGAGCAGAGATCATGAATGGGATTGGAACCTTTATGATAGAGACCCCAGAGAGCTAGCTCGTTCCTTCTGCCATATGAAGACAGAGGAAAAGAGGCCTTCTGTGTACCAGTAAGTGAGCCCTCACCAGACACTGACTCTGAAGGCCTCTTGATTTTAGACTTTCCAGTATCCAGTACTGTGAGAAATAAATTCCTGTTGTTTCTAAGCCACTCAGCTTGTGATATTTTATTTTAGCAGCCTCAATGAACTAAGATAGCAGTTAATGTATTTGTACCATGTGAATGCACATCTCTCCATTCTCTTTTTCTTACTCTTGACATATTATTTTTCTAAATAAATATTTTTATCATGCCTCATAAAATATCAATAACTCAGTTATGACCTGCTGTACACAGGTTACTACCCAAATTTTTTAACCTGTAATTTAAATCTTTTCAATACCCTGTGATTTTACATAAAATTTTGGTCTCTGTACATCATCCAATTTACTCTTTTCCTACATTACTTTTAGTGTATCTATCTCTGAACATTCATTTTTATTTCTGCTACTACTGGAAACCTGCTATACCATTCATTTCACTTCTTGTAGTGTTAGCCAGTATAAAACCCTCAAGGTAGCCTTCATGTCATCTGGAATATTGTAGCAGATGATGTAAGTGCCTTGCCTATTCCTTTGTTACCCAATGTTCTCATAAATTCTAGTGGTTTCTAAATACAAGTATCTGTGTCCACCGCCAAAGGGTTTTCTCTGACCACAATAGTAAAGTCAGTGTTTGCACGGAGCAGATTGGAAGTGCCAGGAGGTTAACCGCCTTAGGAAAAACATCCTCCATGTTTTTACTACTTAAGGGGCACAACTCTGAGGCATGCTACAGTCTCCCAGAATACCCCCAAGGAAATTGAACCTCAGGTTCTACATTAGTACCCTGCTGATTTATACACCCTATATTGGGTTTTTTTCCCCCATCCACTTTCCTATTCATGATCCCTTGGGTCACATCCTAAATTTAAAAAAAAGAAAAGAAAATCTTTCACCATAGATCATTGTCCTAGAATCTATTTCAAGAGGAACACAGACTAAGTCAGAAAACTCCCTTTAAATGGTGCAGCTCTTCTCAATCTGCACAAGTTGGCATGTATTCTCTATCCAGGTTGCAACTACGCAGAATATCTACTTCCTCAATAAGGCTTTTCTAGGTGTTTGCCTCTCTCAAGTTCTTTGGCAATAAATGCTATGCTCTGAAAGAACATATGTATTGTATATTCTGTTCATTTATAAATCAAAATATAAGACCTTCCAATTCTGAGCATATGCAGGAACCTGGAGTAAAAGTACTAGAATTTTTACCATAGCAAGGGAGTTTCAAGCATGTGACATTTTTTCTCCTCATAGTGATTGCTGCATACCAAGTGGTATAGGAAGCTAAACACAAAACAGTATCTGAAAAGCAGAGCAGAGTAGTCTTGGGAAACTAAATTAGAAATTAGACACAACAAGGAGAGAGATTATAGAGATTACATAAGGCCCTCATTAAAAAACAAAACAAAACAATAAATTCTCAGGCATATATCAGAGGTAGACTGAGCCTTGCCACATACTTGGATTACAATAAACAGTTGCCACTCTACCTGGCCAGCAGAGGGAAGTGTAAACCCTCTTGAGAGGTAGGTGACATAGCACAGAGCCTGTTCAATTTTTATGCACAGTGTTGATAATTTGATTTTTAAAATGTACTAGGCATGTTGAAGAAACAGGCCCACATGACTCAAAATGAAAAGAAATCCAAACGCCATACACAGCATCATGTTTGATACAGATGTTGGAGTTAGCTCACCAGGACTTAAAATTTACTATGAGAAATTTGATACATAATAAACAGAAAATAAAAAATAACAGGAAGAAACAAATAAATGAAAAGTTGGAGAACCCACTAGATAATTAAATGATATAAAACAAATCCAGTGTTACATAATTCGGGCAATGTAGATGCATCCCAAGAATGCAAAAGTGTTTTACTGGAAATCTCTCTTAAGTCTCCTCACTTTCCTACTCACATAGAAATTCTAATAGGATTTCTTCTCCTAATCTTTGTTTATTTCAAAATACTTCCATTTGATCATCTCATTTGACTCTCTTATCAATTTCATTTTGATATATATGGCATGTTATTAAATGTAGTCTAAACAAGATTAATTTAAAAAATTAGCTTTATTACCTATCACAGGAGGGTCTTCTATTATGTCAACCAAAGGAAGGTCTTCTATGCTTAAAGATTATGTTTTCGTGGTAGCACATGTGATGGTTTATCTTTCAGTACATTGGGCCAGGTGCAGCCCAGCCATCATCTAACTGCATCACAAGGAAGAATTGCCCAGCAGAGTCAAACTACAGAAATGAGGGAGAAAAAAAATCATTATTCTTTTACTCACTAAGTTTGTTACAGAGTAACAGATAACCAGAACAACATGACAAATCTTCAGTTCCTAGGGTCCCATAAACTAACACAACTGTAAAGTAAAATTAAACATACCACAGGGAAAAAAGGCAAAATGTGGCATAGAGATTATGAACTGAAGGATGATGTGCTATTCTCGAAAGACAAAAACCAACTCAGCCAGTGAAATCTGGCCGCTACTCATCAACAGTGAAAGAACTGTTGTAACTGTGGGCAGATATTTTCTTGGAATCCATTCTACAACTGAAAGAGAGAATAAGAATTTCAATAGGCAATCAAATGAAGAATGCTTCATTTACTCAACTAGAGGCAAAGAGGACTGTAAGTAACTACTTAGGAAGTATAATGTTATTGACAGTTATTGTGCCCACGGATATTGACATAATGAATCTTAATGTGCAGTTAACTTAGAAGATTGGGGCAAATGAACAAGTTCTCAGAAATCCAATAATTGGAGGAAACATAGCAACAGTGATTTCTGGTCCAATCTAAGGAATAACAAATTGAGTTAGTAAAATAGTAAAGAAACAAAACACAGTGCAGTACACCATTAGACACGAAGTCTTCTCTAGACCTCCCACATATGACCCTACGGCATCTGGTGCTTACGTCAATTGCAGCATTTATCAGACTAGGTAAAATTACTCTTAAAAAATGCTCATATTTCCTAAGAATATTTAAGCTACTTGTCAACAGGTGTTGTCTTAGAATAATAACAGCCAGTCAACACCTGGTAAATTGTAAGCCTCGAATAATGATCTGTTGGTTTGAAATGTTTACAAAACAGTCTTTGTGCTTATATTTAAAAAGGAGAAGCAGGGTTGCTCCATAATTTTTCAAGGTTCTACCATGTTAATTCCTTTCTTAACTTATAGAATTGAGATATGCAGACTCCCTTTATAAATGTTTTTGAATGTTTTATTATCATTTATTATAACTCTATATCCAAATACCTACATTGCAGTTTCCTCTCTTGTTTGTTATTGCTGTAGTTTTTGTGTATTTATTATTTCATAGTCCTCCAATTTCCTTTCTTGCATCTGACAAGTCTTTCTTTGTAAACCCAGTTCCATCATATCACAGAAAATATCAATAACACTTTTAATATCTTATGACCCAAGGAGAAAATAAAATCTCATTAGCCTGTCTTTCAGAATCTGAGCATTTTTACCTTTCTTTACATTATACCCCCATATGAATGTTATGCAACCAAATTATGCCTCTGTTCTTCGTCTCTTACCTTGATGACACCTACCTTTGCATATTTATCAATTTCGATCCTATTACCAGGATGTTACTGTAATTTCCTCTGCTTTCTTAAACTTTTACATAAAGCCTCTAATTTACCTTCTTAACTTCTGAAAGTCTATCGTTGCTCACTTTAGGCATTATTCCTTCTTTGGAACTATACATCTTTACCCAGTCTGTGTTATTTATTTGGCACTTTCCAAATCACTTTTCACTTGTTGAAAATATACTTCTGGCCTTCAGCATGTCATTGTTTTTAACAAATAGATTGCTTAGTTATTATCTTTGAATTACTTGAAGATTAAAGGATGAAACTCACCTGTTGGCAAAGTAGCCACTTACTGGTGTTCCAGTCATTTACCTTGCCATAAATATAGATTGTGACAATGATTTCAGTGGCTTTTTATTACACACTAAATCCCAGTGAAAAATGTAAATAAAAATATTAAGTTCACACACAATTGAAGGCAGAAAATAGTGTTAGAAGATGTGTTGCTGGGAGGAAAAACTAAGTATTTGGTAAGAAATTTGATTTGTTTTAATGCTTTAAACCCTGGGAGACCACTAAGTTCCAGGTAGTTTTCCAGACACTGGAATTATAGCAGAGATTAAGAGAGAGACTGCTCCTACACTTATATTCCATAGATTCTGGTGGGAATAAAGACATACAACAGCAGATTGGAGTGCTATTCTTAGAAGTGAGTGCAGAATAGGAGTGTCACATGCTTGGAAAACCTATCATGAAGTGTCACATTTAGTTGTGTTCTTAACAAAACAGCAACAGCTTTATAAGAGTGAGTGGGAAACAGACAAAAGAGTGGATATAGAGTCCAGAGAGGTAAGGTTTGGCCAGTCAAGAAGAAAGGAATCACAACACAAGAAGAAAACATGCTCATGCTAGAAAAAAAAAAAGACATGTTATACATTTCTTTCTATTCTCAGGAAACCTCTGAAACAAATAGTCATAGTGTCAGTTTATATTAAGTATTGAAGGTTGACTACATACAACGTATTTTGTAAACCATGAAAAATGTCTAAGTCAAAAGGGTCAAGTTTAGGGTCTTTATCCTTCCCAGCAGGATCCTTGAAGTGGGCAAGTATCTATTCAGACAGAAACCAGCAAGGAGAGTAAGGAGACAAGCAATAAATAAGAATTAACTACTAGCTTTGGGAAAACTACTTTAACCAGTTCAATGAACAGATTAAATTTAATGTAAACCATTCAGGAAACAGTTTTTTTAAAAAAAAAACTGTAAATCTCAATACTTTTATCTGATCTTCCTTCTCTGCCCCAAATAATATATCTGGAATATTCCATCACTTTCTTTGTTAGATTTTGGTGTTAGAATAGTCAAATTTGCAGGTATTAAATAGTTCAGTAAAATCTAATATCAAAATTCAGGTTCAATTTAGATTTTCTTGCAACCAGCAGCCAATTTGGTACTGACTGTATTCCATATTTTCATGAACTAGCATGAAAGTGTGTGTGGGTGGGTGGGGCATGTTTAATTCCCTGTGCTTGACTACTTACCATATTTACTCTTCTTCTAGTTCCTCTGAATTTGGGGAACCAGGGACAAGAGAAATTTGAGAGGAAAGGGTAAAGTCTGCCTTGACTAGAGCAGGTATAAATCTGGCTGGTGGTATCTGTTAGAAATGTAAAATGCTTGCTCCCTGGTGCTGCAAAGAAATAGCACTCGAACATAAATTTAATTTTCTCAACAAGGCAATTTTTGCTTTCTGCAGAAAGGGTGCTCCTCACGGATGGAACAATGGCAACAGCACACCTGGACAGGGGAGGGGAAGGAGTGCTTATTCCTGACACAGGGCCCTACTGCTGTGTCATTCCCCTATTGGCTAGGGTTGGACCTCACAGTCTAAGCTAATTCTGATTGGCTATTTTAAAAAGAGCAGGACTACGAGCCAGAGTAGTGGGGTGAGTAGTTTGGCAGGAAGGGCGGTTACAGAACTGGTGGCTCAGGATGAGTCAGGATGGAGCGGGTGACCAGGGGTGACTCAGGTCAAAACAGGTGACTAGGGTGACTCAGGTCAAAGCAGGTGACAAGGGAAACAGACGTGAACTACTGATTAGGACTGGCGGGAAAGTTGTTTACTGAAACTAGAAGGAAGGGAGCAAAGAGAACCAAGAAGTTAAACTTTAAAATGGAGAGTCAAAGAATAAGAGAGCTGAACATACTGACATACTGATTCTTTGAAGAGAAACTTGGGGGTCACTATATTTAACAGTATCTGTGATAGAAGAGAAATCCAGTCCTCACCCTGACACCACAGGACACATGAAAGTTCAAAGGATACTAGCATTCAGACTCTGGAACATTAATTACCCTTCAGAGTTTGTTCTACATGGAACCAAAGCGTTCTAACACCCTCCCCTCACAATTTATTAATATTTCTTGCTACTTACCCACCTTATATTTTTTAAAGATATGTATATTTATATATTTGTTATATATATATATATATATATATATATATATATATATGCTATATTATCTCCTTAAACTTTTCACCACATTTATGCCAACATCTATTATTTTTTAATTTTTAAATTATGGCCATTCTTGCAGGAATAAGGTGGTATTGCACTGTGGTTTCAATTTGCATTTCCCTAATAATTAGAGACGTTGAGCACTTATATGTTTCTTGGCCATTTGTATATCTTCTTTTGAGAATAGTCTATTCATGTTTTTTGCCCACTTT
The DNA here is from genome assembly GCF_000001405.40 of Homo sapiens. Taxonomy (NCBI): domain Eukaryota; kingdom Metazoa; phylum Chordata; class Mammalia; order Primates; family Hominidae; genus Homo; species Homo sapiens. The sequence goes on along the minus strand of NC_000008.11, from coordinate 122,231,621 downwards.
TTGATAAGATTGTTTTATTCTGCTGACTTAAGTTCCTCGTAGATTCCGGATATTAGTCCTTTGTTGAATGCATAGTTTGCAAATATTTTCTCCTACTCTGTGGGTTGTCTGTTTACTCTGTTGATTACTTGTTTTACTGTGCAGAAGCTTTTAGTTTAGTTAGGTCCCATTTATTTATTTTTGTTTTTGTTGGGTTTGGTTTTGGGGTCTTAGTCATGAATTTTTTGCCTAGGCCAATGTTCAGAAGGGTGTTGCTAATGTTATCTTCTAGCATTTTCATGGTTTCAGGCGTTAGACTTAAGTCTTTGATCCATCTTGAGTTGATTTTTGTATAAGATGAGAGATGGGGCTCCGGTTTCATTTTTCTACATGCGGCGTGCCAGTTTTCCCAGCACCATTTATTGAATAAGGCCTTTTTCCCCAATTAATGTTTTTGTATGCTTTGTCAAATATCAGTTGGCTATAAGTATTTTGCTTCATTTCTGGGTTCTTTATTCTGTTCCGTTTGTCTAAGTGCCTCTTTTTATACCAGTACCATCCTGTTTTGGTAGCTGCAGCCTTGCAGTTACCAAATTTAAAGTCTGGTAATGTGATGCCCCAGAGTTGTTCTTTTTGCTTAGTATTGCTTTGGCTATGTGGGCTCTTTTTTGTTTTCATATAAATTTTAGGATTTTTTTTCTAATTCTGTGAAAAATGATGATGGTATTTTGATGGGAATTGTATTGAAATCTGTAGATTTCTTTGGGCAGTATGGTCATTTTCACAGTATTGATTCTCCTATCCATGAGCTTGGGATGAGTTTCTATTTGTTTATGTCACATATCAGGGGATCACAACCCCCAGGTGGCAGATTGGCGCCAGTCAGTGGCTTGTTAGAAACCTGCCACACAGCAGGAGGTGAGTATTACTGCCTGAGCTCTGCCTCCTGTCAGATCAGTGATGACATAAGATTCTCACAGGATTGTGACAATGATTTTTGAGTGGCTGTTCATCACACACTAAATCCCATTGAAAAATGTAAATAAAAACATTAAGTTCACACACAACTGAAAGCAGGAAATAGTGTCAGAAGATCTGTTGCTGGGATAAACGCAACTATGTATTTAGTAAGAAATTTGATTCATTTTAATGCTTTAAATTCTGGGAGACCACTAAGTTCCAGATAGCTTTCCAGACACTGGAAGTATAGCAGAGATTTAAAAAGATGGTGGGGCATGGTGGCTCATGCCTGTAATCCCAGCACTTTGGGATGCCAAAGTGAGTGGATCACTTGAGGTCAGGAGTTCGAGACCAGCCTGGCCAACATGGTGAAACCCCATCTCTACTAAAAACATAAAGATTAGCCAGGTTTGGTGGTGCATGCCTGTAGTCCCAGGTACTAGGGAGGCTGAGGCAGCAGAATGGCTCGAATACAGGAGGTGGAGGTTGCAATGAGCCCAGATGGTGCCATTGCACTTCAGCCTGGGCAAAAGAGTAAGACTCTGTCTCAAAAAAAAAAAAAAAAAGGAAAAGAAAGAAAGACACTGCTCCTGCCCTTGTATTCCATAGATTCCTGTGGGAATAAATACGTAAAACAGCAGATTGGAATACTGTTCCTAGAAGTGAGTGCAAACTCTGTTGTGAAATGCACTTGTGAAGGATCTAGGTTGCTCGCTCCTAATGAGAATCTAACACCTGATGATCTGAGGTGGAACAATTTCATCCCGAAACCAACCCCCTCCCCATCCACCTGCTCTCACTCCAGTCCATGGAAAAATTGTCTTCCACAATACTGCTCCCTGGTGCCAAAAATGTTGCCGACCACTGTCATACATAATTTCTTTCAGCAGTGTTTTGTAGTTTTCTTTTGTAGAGGTCTTTCACCTCCTTGCTTAAGTATATCCTTAGAGTTTTGTTTGTTTGTTTGTTTTTGCTGCTGTTGTAAAAGGGATTGGGTTCTTGATTTGATTCTTAGCTTGTTCATTGTTGGTATACAGTAGTGATACTGATTTTTGTACATTGATTTTGTAATATGAAACTTTACTGAATACATTTATCAGACCTAAAAGCCTTTTGGATAAGTCTTTAAGGTTTTCTAGGTATACAATCATATCATTGGTGAACAGCAACAGTTTGACTTCCTCATTTCCCATTTGGATGCTCTTTCTTTCTTTCTCTTGCCTGATTGCTCTGGCTAGGACTGCCAGTACTATGTTGAATAGAAGTGATGAAAGTGGGTGTCCTTATCTTGTTCCAATTCTCAGTGGCAATGCTTTAAACCTGTCCCCATTCAGTATGTTTGCTGTGGGCTTGTCACACATGACTTTCGTTACTTTGAGGTAAGTCCCTTCTATGCCTAGTTTGTTGAGGGTTTTTGTCACAAAGGTATGCTGGATTTTATCAAATGCTTTTTCTGCTTTTATTGAGATAATCCTGTGGTTTTTGTTTTTAATTGTTTATTTGATTTATTTACTGACTTGCATACATTAAACCATCTCTGCATCCCTGAGATGAAACCCACTTGATGATGATGTATTATCTTGCTGATGTGCTGTTGGATTCAGTTGGCTAGTATTTTGTTGAGGATTTTTGCATCAGTGTTGCTCAGGGATATGGTCTTCAGTTTTCTTTTTTTGTTAAATCCTTTCCTGGTTTGGGTATCAGGATGATACTGGATTCATAGAACAATTTAGGGAACATCACCTCTTTATATTTTGGAATAGTTTCAGTAGGATTGGCCCCAGTTCTTTGAATGTCTGGTAGCATTCAGCTATGAATTCATCTGGTCCTGGATTTCTTTTGTTGGCAATTTTTTCGTTACTGATTCAATTTCACTGCTTGTTATTGTTCTGCTCAGGGTTTCTATTTCTTCCCGATTTAATCCAGGAGGGTTGTATGTTTCTAGTAATTTATCCATTTCCTCTAGATTTTCCAGTTTGTGCATGTAAAGGTGTTCATAGTAGCCTTGAATAAACTTTTGTGTCTCCAGTTTCATTTACTAGCTGAGCTTATTTGGATCATCTCTCTTATTTTCTTGGTTAATCTCACTAATGGTCTATCAATTTTGTTTATCTTTTCAAAGAACCCGCTTTTTGTTTCATCTATCTTCTGTAATTTTTGTGTCAATTTTATTTATTTAGTTTTGGTCTGATCTTTGTTATTTCTTTTCTTCTACTGGCTTTGGGTTTTATTTGTTCCTGTTTCTCTAATTACTTGGGGTGTGACTTTACATAGTCAATTTGTGCTCTTTCAGATTTTTTGATGTAGGCATTTAATACTATGAACTTTCCTCTTAGCATTGTCTTTGCCATATCCCAAAGGTTTTGATAACTTGTGTCACTATTATTCATTTCAAGGAATTTTTAAATTTTACCTTTGATTTTATTGTTAACCCCAAAATCATTCAACAGCAGATTATTTAATTTCCATGAATTTGTATAGGTTTGAAAGTTCTTTTTGAGTTGATTTCCAGTTTTATTTCACTGTGGTCTGAGAAGATACTGGTATGATTTCAATTTTCTTAAAATTATTGAGACTTGTTTTGTGGCCTATCATATGGGTCTATCCATGTGCTGATGAGAAGAATGTATATTCTACAGTTGTTGGGAAGAATGTTCTATAAATATCTGCTGAGTCCATTTGTTCTAGGGTATAGTCCATTGTTTATTTGTTGACTTTCTGTCTTGGTGATCTGTCTAGTGCTGTGAGTGGGCTATGGAAGTTCCCCACTAACAGTGTGTTGCTGTCTATTTCATTTCTTAAGTCTAGTAGTAATTGTTTTATAAATTTGGGAGCTCCATGTAGGTATATAGAAATTTAGAATTGCAATATCTTCTTGTTGGAATGATCCTTTTATCATTATATAATGTTCTTCTTTGTCTTTTTTCCTGTGTTGCTTTAAAATCAATTTTGTCTGATGTAAGAATAACTACTCCTACCTACTTTTGGCTTCCATTTGTGTGGAATATCTTTTTCCACCTTTTTACCTTGAGTTTATATGAATTTGTATGTGTTAGGTGAGTCTTTTGAAGACAGCAAATACTTAGTTGGTGGATGTTTATCCATTCTGCTATTGTGTATATTTTAAGTGGAACCTTTAGGCCATTTACATTCAATGTTAATATTGAGATGTGAGATACTATTCTATTTATCATGTTAGTTGTTATCTAGATACTTTGTATTTTTCGTTGTGTTATTGTTTTATAGGCCCTGTGAGTTTTATGCTTACAGGGAGTTCTATTTTGGTGCATATTGAGCTTTTGTGTTAAGATTTAGAACTCCTTATAGCATTTCTTGTAGTGCTGGTTTGGTAGTAGCAAATCCCTTCAGCATTTGTTTGTCCAAAAAAGACTTTATCTCTCCTTCATATGAAGCTTAGTTTTGCTAGATATAACATTCTTTTCTGACACTCATTCTGGTTAAGGAGGCTAAAGATAAGACCCCAATCCCTTCTAGCTTGTAAGATTTCTGCTGAGAAGTCTGCTGTTAGTATGATAGGTTTTCCTTTATAGATTACCTGATGCTTTTGTCTCACAGCTCTTAGAATTCTTTCCTTTGTGTTGACTTTAGATAGCCTGATGACTGTGTACATTGGTAAAGATCTTTTTGCAGTGAATTTCCTAGGAGTTCTTTGCACTTCTTGTATTTGGATATCTAAATCTCTAACAAGGCTGGGGAAGATTTCCTCAATCATTTCCTTAAATAAGTTTTCCAAACTTTTAGGCTTCTCTTCTCCCTCAAGAACACCAATTATTCTTAGGTTTGACTGTTTTACATAACCCCATATTTCTTGGAGGCTTTGCTATTTTTTATTCTTTTTTCTTTATCTTTGATTGGGTTAATTTATTATGATTTCTAACTGCTCCCCAAATTAGTTCCAACTCTGGGTAAGGGTAAGGCCTTCTCCTATGGCCTGGATTTTCAAATTTCCCAGTGGGGATGTGTATCCTAGAGACAGTGTCTCCCCATCTTACGCTCTGGGGACTTAGTTTTTCACCTTACTCATAGAATAGGCTGCAGCCTGCCACTTCTTTCAAAGAGTTTGTGGATTCTTTTGATTTCCCTTTAAGTTCCTGTGTTGATTCTTGGGAAAATGATTTACAGTGTGTATCTCTACAGATTATTCTGTCCTTCCAAGTGGGAGAGGCACACTAACACTGCCTCCAATCTGCAATCTTGGAAAAATAAAATAAAATAAAAAAGAGGAAAAAAAAGTAGAGGGGGGAGGGGAAATTCTTTTTTGAAGGGCTTAAAATGAAACTTGAAAATATTTTGCTAACTAAAAGTAGCTAGTAGTTAAAGAACCAAATATTGTTCTATGCTCTTTGCCCATAACCCTTGGGGCTATAAATACCCAATTATGCCAGCATCATGTCTTAAAAAGGGTATCTTTCCTCCATTAAATTGCTTTTGCACATTTGTCAAAACTCAGTTGAGCGTTTTTGTGTTGGCCTATTCGTGGGTTCTCTATTCTGCTACATCTGTCTTTAACTACACAAATACCCCACAAGTTTTCTTAACATAGCTATATAAGACTGAAAATCAGGTAAAGTGATTCTTCCCATTTCATTTATATTTTTTATATTTGCTTTAGCTATTTGTTTCTTTGCTTTTCCATAAAAATGCTAAAATAATTTGTCCAAAAAAAAACCAGGATTTTGATAAAAATATTAATTTGCATAGAATTGGAATATTTACTACATTCAGTCTTCCAATCCATGAACATAGTTCATCTCTATTTAGGTCTTCTTTGATTTTCTCCATCAGCATTTTGTTGTTATAAGCATACAAATCCTGTATGTATTTTATTATATCTGCACTTAAGCCTTTCATTTCTTAAATGATTGCAAGTGCCATTATGTTTTTAATTTGTTTCCACATATTCATTGCCTATGTATAAAAATGCAGCTAATTTTTATATGTTTACTTTATATCCTGCATTCCTGCTGAATCCACATATTTGTTCAATAATTTTTTGTGTAGATTTCTTGGATTTTCTAGGTAGACAATCATGTTATCTAAAAAAAGGGACAGTTTTATTTCATACTTTCTACTGTGTAAGCACTTTGTTTCTTTTTTGCCTATTCACTAGCTAAAACTCTCAAGACTGTTAAATAAAATGGTTACAGAGGAAATCTTTGCCTTGTTGTCAGTTGTAGGAGTTTTGTTGATTAATAGTCCAAGCCTGGGCATATAACCCAAATGTCTATCAGCAGGAAGATAGATAATCATACTGTGTTATATTCATAAATTGAATCCTACCTAGCAGTGGTAAAAAACCAAATGTCAATACACACAACATAGGTGAATTTCAAGCATATTATTTTGACTGAAAGAAAATAGGTGCAATGGAATTTGATATGTGTGATTATATTTCTATTAAGTCCCCCCAAATTGGGAAAGCTAACCTGTGATGATGAAAATAAGAAAATGATTGTGCCTCACAATGGATGTTGTGAGTGAGGAGAAGGAGGGAGAAGTGATTGTAAAGTAACATGATAGATACTTCTGAAGAGATTTAAATGCTCTCTTCTTGTGTTGGGTGGTGATTAAATGAGTACATATAATTTTCAAAACGTATAACTGAACACTTAAGATTTGTGAATTTTATTATATGTAAATTACACCTCAATATTTAAAAAATCAAGAAAAAGCAGCAAGCAAAACTAAGTGATAGCTTTAGCAATCCAGTAGTGGTTTCTTTGAATGAGGAGTGTGACTGGGTGAAAAATGAGGTGAGACTGAAGAGTTCTGGTAATAGCTCTTAATTTGGGCATTGGTTACATGGGTGTGTTTATTTTATGAAAATTATGAAGATGTGTACTTATAGTTTGTTCACTTTTCTTGTTATATTTATATTAAAATTTATTTGAAAGTTCTAGTTCACTAATCAATTTTATGTTAACTATTTTCCATAGAATCCTAATATTCATTCTGAAAGCCATCAGGAAATACACATTATTATTGGACATATGTGTAAATGACATTCCTGAAGGATTTTTGGAGTTTCTTGTGATATAGCAATTAATGCAGGCCTGTGTATAATTTGGAAACTAGCTTTCCTGGTTTCAGAAATTGTCCTACCAAATGTTAAAATAAAAAGATAACAATGATTCTATTCAAGTTTTAAAGTTCAGCTCTGTATTATAGTGAGGGAGAGAAATTGGCTTGGCTGGTGTTTTAAAAACCTCTTCTTTCTTTTTATCAGTAAAATCATTCATGGGGCCTTCTTAGCACTCAGTGTTTTCCAAGAGGACATTTCTTGTTGCTTCCCTCATACAAAATCTGTCTCTGAAATGAAAGAAATTAAGAGATAGAGTTAAATGTCAGTAAGGAATGCAATGGTACCAGAAAAGCAATGTTATTTGTATTTCACATGACAGTTGGCTAACTTCATTCAGAGGTGTCGTCTCCTCATCACAACTAGCTGACCTTGCTGTAAGTTATTCCCATACTATGTGTGAGAAAACTATGTCTCAAAAATATTAAGTAACTTGGCCAAGGCCAGACTGACAATTTATCAGGAGGCAGACCCCATATCTCCTTATACAAGATTACATGCCCTTTTCCATTTCCATTTTAGCTAGTATAAAATGAGTCGAGTGAAAAACAAAACAAAGCAAAACCCAGCAACAAAGGAGGAATCAGAAGTTCATAGGAATCAGAGCATTATTTTTGTCTAAAAGAGAATTAAAATAGTTATCAAATGCAATGCATAATTTTTACTCATTTTATAACTACAACAATGAGAAACAGTAGATTGTGGATGGATGAATGGTTACTAATTTGCCATGTGGGGATAGGTAAAACCTATGTGTCTGAAGATGGGGATTCCTTAATCAGGAATCACGGAGGCCTAAGCAGCCAGCCCCAAGAAGCCTCGCCTACCCGAAGTGTAAAAGTGTTTGGGGCAAAAATACTAGATAATAAGTTGGAAGACTCACATGTCCTCACACCTAAAGCTGTTACAAGCACACTTCATTTTATTGTGCTTTGCAGATACCTCGCCTTGTTGTTGTTTCACAAATTGAAGGTTTGTGGCAACCCTGCATCTAGAAAATGTATTAGTGCCAATTTTCCAGTCATATTTTCGTAATTCTTGCAACATTTGAAACTTTTTCATTATTATTATATCTGTTATGGTGATCTGCCATCAGGGATCTTTGATGTTACTGCTATAACTGGCTTGGGGCACCACAAACCACACCCATAGAAGATTGTAAATTTAATTGGTAAATTTTCCGTGTGTTCTGACTGCTCCACTCACTGGCCATTCACCCTTCTCTCTTCTCTCTTTGGGCCTCCCTATTTCCTGAGACACACAGCTATATTGAAATTATGCCAAATTAACAACCTTACAATTAATAACCTCTAAGTGTTCAAGCAAAGAAAAGAGTCATGGGTCTCTCTAGATCAAAACCTAGAAATAATTAAGCTTAGTGAGGGCATATTGAAAGCCCAAATCAGCCAAAAACTAGGTCTCTTGCACCAAATATTTAAATTGAAAATACAGAGGAAAAGTTCCTGAAGAACATTTAAAGTGCTACTCCCATTAACATATGAATGATAAGAAAGTGGCACAGCCTTATTGCTGATATGCACAAAGTTTGTGTGGTCTGGATAGAAGATCAAACCAGCCACAACATCCCTCGAGCTAAAGCCTAATCCAGAGCAAGGCCCTAACTCTCTTTAATTCTGTGAAGGCTGAGAGAGGTGAAGAAGCTGCAGAAAAAAAGTTTGTAAGCTAGCAGAGGTTGATTTATGAGGTTTAAGGAAAGAAGCCCCCTCCATACATGAAAGTGCAAGTGAAGTAGCAAATGCTGATGAAGAAGCTGCAGCAAGTTATCCACATGATCCAGGTAAGATAGCTGATGAACATGTCTACATTAAGCAACAGATTTTCAATGTAGATGAAACAGCCTTCTATTAAAAGAAGATGCCATCTAGCACTTTCAGAGCTAGAGTGAAGTTGATGCCTGGCTTTTAAGTTTCAAAGGACAGGCTGAACCTCTTATTAGGTGCTAATGCATCTGGTGACTTTCAGATAAAACCAGTGCTCATTTATTGTTTCAAAAATCCTAGCGTCCTTAAGAATTTGCTAAATCTACTCTGCCTGTGCTCTAGAAATGGAATAACAATGCCTAGCAGACAACACATCTGTTTACAGCGTGGTTTACTTAGCATTTTAAGCCCATTGTTGAGACCTACTGCTTAGAGAAAAAAATTCCATTGAAGATATTATCACTCATTGACAATATACCTGTATACCCAAGAGCTCTGATGAAGATGTACAAGGAGGTTAATTGTTGGTTTCATGCCTGCTAACACAACCTCCATTCTGTAGCTTATGGTTCAAGGTCTAATTTTGATTTTTAAGTCTTATTATTTAAGAAATACATTTCATAAAGCTGTTGCTGCCATAGATAGTGATTCCTCTGATGACAAAGGCAATGGAAAACCTTCTGGAAAGGATTCATTTCAGATTTCATTAAGAACATTTGTGACTCATGGGAGGACATCAAAATATTAACAGGAACTTGGAAAAAGTTGGTTCCAGCCCTCATGGATGACTTTAAAAGGTTCAAAACTTCAGTGAAGGAAGTAACACCAAATTTGGTGAAAAGAGCAATAGAACTTGAATTAGAAGTGGAGCCTGAAGATGTGACTTAATTGCTACAATCTCATGATACAACTTGAACATATGAGGAGTTGCTTCTTAAGAATGAGCAAAGACAATAGTTTCTTCAGATGAAAGCTACTCCTAGTAAAGATACCATGAACACTGTTGAAATGACGACAAAGGATTTATAATATTACATAAATCTAATTGATAAAGTAGTTGAGAGTATTGACTCAATTTTGAAAGAGTTCTGCTGGGGGCAAAATACTATCAAATAGCATCACATCCTACAGAGAACTTTTGTGAAAGGAAGAGCCAATTGATGGAACAGATGTGTTATCTTGTTTTAAGAAATTGTTACAACTACCTCAACCTCCAGTTACCACCACTGCGGATCATGCAGCAGCCATCAACATTAAGGCAGCAGTCTTCATCAGCAAAAAGATTATAACTCACTGAAGGCTCAGATGACTGTTCACATTTTTTAGCAATAAAATATTTTAAATTAAATTATGTACTTTGTTTTTATAGAGATAATGCACCCTTAATTGGTGAGAGTACAGTATAAATGTAACTTTTATATACACTGGGAAACCAAAATATTTGTGACCCCCTTTATTGTGATATTCAATTTATTGCAGTGGTCTAGAACTGAAACCACCATGTATTCAAGGTATACCTATACTGCCTCCTTACCGTGTTGGGAAACTAGGAGTTATACTGCTGAAAAATTTCATAATTTTCTTCCCACTGTTTCTATTTCTTCATAGTCTGCATCCCTTGTTGGTTTGAATCTCTTATATTAATCTTCAAATATATTTCGTTTCCTATTTGATCATTTATCTTGTTATTGAACTTGTGGAAAATTCTTCTACACCAACTTCCAACCTTTCCATTTATTTTAAATATTCATCTATTAAATTCATAGTTTCCAAAATTATCTTTATTGTTGTGTCATCATCATATTTTAATGGCATTCTGTACTGTTTCTGCAATAACCATATTGTACGAGGGATTGTGCTGGAAGCAGACTGAATTCAGACGGGGATGGAAGTAGAGGGAGCTTTTAGGAAGCTATTGTAGTAATGTAGGCAAGAGATCATGATGTCTTGTACTGGAATAATTGCAGAAAAATAGTGAAAACTGGTTTTTAAACATAGTTTGACTATTGAGTCAATAAATATTACTTTGGAATTCAGGTCGGGGGTTAAGAAAAATAAAACAGTGAAGTTGTCATCAGATAAAAGGAGAATAGAGTTGTCATCAAATAAAATGAGGAGGCCTGTGAATGGGCATAACCGGGTGGATAGGGAAGATTAGAAACTTGGTTTTCAACAGGCTACATTTTAGATGTTTAACACATTCAGTAGATATGCTGATTAGGCAGTTGGATATGCAAATCTTGGGTCCTGAAGAGAAGTTTAGACTAGAGACAAAAATTCAGGAATTGTCACTGTATGAATTTATAGTTTTTATAGAAGGAGATTGGATAAGGTCACCAAGATAGTGAATCTAGAGAGAAGAAAGAAGCAATGATGGAGTCTTAGGACACCCCAATATTAAGATATTGGAAGAATAAGAAAAAAAAATCAGTAAAGGGGGCCTAGAAGGAGTGATCGATGAGTAGGGAAGAAAACCAGGAGAGTTTGATATTCTGGAAACCAACTGAAGAACGTGTATTAAAGGAGAGGAAGTGATGTGTATTCAGGTGTTTGTTTTCACAAAATTATAAACACAGTTGATAGTTTCTGTTGACACCATACCCATTCTTTGTCTTAATTCTTCTTCACTTGAGGTAGACACTAGGATGAATTTGGATGTACTGCTGTTCCAGCTAATTGTTTCTGTTATTGAGGTGAAATTCACATAATAAAAAATGAACCATTTTAAAATAAAAAGTTTAGTGGCATTTAGTACATTCACAAGATTGTGCAGGCATTGTCTCTACCTTGTTCCAAAACATTTTTATCACCTCAAAATAAAACCTTTTAATATTTAAGCAGTCACTCCCCAGTTCGTCTCCCCCAGCCCTTGGCCACTTTCTGTCTCTGAGTTTGTCTTCTAGTTTATTTTTTCTACATCTAAATTATTTATAATTTGTATTCAAGAACAATATAGAATATAGACATATTGTGTTTTTAAGTGTTATGTCTAGATAGCATGTTATACTTTTCTGTAATTTAATATTATGCATAGTATATATAATACACTGTTGGTATATGTAGCTCTAGTTCATTGTCTTATAGGTGATAAGTGATATTATGAGTCGATAATTTCATATTTATCTATTTTCTTATTAAAGTCCATTTGTGTTTTTGTATAATTTCATTAGACTAAGAACGGTAAACTAACGAATATGTTTTTTACATGGGTTAGTTTATATTTAAGACATTCTGTAGGCCATATGCTTAGAAAAAATTGCTGGATCACATAATACACATATTTTAAATTGTATTATATATTGTGAGATTAGTCTCTAAAGTTGGTACACCAATTCATATTCTCATCAGCATTTTTAATGGCTTTCATTTTTATATCATCATTAGTAGCGTAGTATGAAATTTAAAATATTGACCAATATTTAATTGTTTAAATTTGCATTTACTTCTTTACTAGCGAAGATAAGAATATTTTATAATATTTATTGGGTATTACTATATCTTCCACATATTACTTCTCATATCCTCTGCCTTTAGGCAACATTTATTATTTTTATCTTACTACTTATACATTCTTAATATCTGGATATTAATTTTTGTCTACTTTTGCAAAATTTCAATTCGCTTTTTTTAACATTTTGTATATGATTACTTTTGTTTTTAAGTTATTTTTTGAATGATAGGCAATATTTTTTATTTTTCGTTTTCTACCTTATCCATCTTGAGGTCAGTAAATATCTTATAATTTTTCTCGTATTTTAAGGCTTTTTAGTTGAATTCATTAACTATTTTTCTCTAAGTTGAAAATTAGGAATATAATTTTGTTTTTAATCTATTTAACACAATTTTTAGAAACTTATTTAGTATCTCATGCTTTTCTTGACTATTTTAATGTCTTTTTTTTTTTTTTTTTTTTTTAAGAGACAGAGTCTCACTGTGTTGCTTAGGCTGGAGTGCAGTGGTGTGATCTCGGCTCACTGCAACCTCTGCCTCCCAGGTTCAAGTGATTCTCCAGCCTCAGCCTCCTTACCTGGGATTAAAGGCTTGTGCCACCACGCCTGGCTAAATTTTTTTTTTGTATTTTTAGTAGAGATGGGGTTTCACCATGTTGGCCAGGCTTGTCTTGAACTCCTGACCTCAGGTGATCCACCCACCTCCCAAAGTGCTGGGATTACAGGCATGAGCCACCACGCCTGGCCTTTAAAGTCATCTTTATTTTATAGATTATAGGCATGAGACTGCCTTTGGTTTTTCTATTTTGTGATATTGAGTTTGTCACATTGCTATGCCGATACCATATTTTGAGAGTATAGCGTATGTGTAATAATAATTTATCATGGTACCATTCTGTCAATCTTAGCTCTCAGTTGCCCACCCGCTTCAACTTTGTTGTATATTTTCATAATGTTAATGGTTTCAATTTTATTCATGTGGATTTTAGAGAAAATAACTCAAATAACATGAGGACTCAGCCATAAATTCTTTGCCAAGGCTGATGCTGATAATTTCCTAGGTTTGTTTTCTAGGATGTTTGTAGTTTCAGTTCTTACATTTAAATTTTTACTGTATCTTGAGTTAATTTTTGTATATGGTTAAAGGTAAGGGTCCAGTTTCATTCTTTTGCACATGGTTAGCCAGGCATTCCCAGCACCATTTGTTGAATAGGGAGTCGTTTCCTCATTGTTTATTTTTGTTGACTTTGTTGAAGATCAGATGGCTGTATGTGTCTGGCTTTACTTCTGGGTTCTCTATTCTGTTCCATTTGTCTTTATGTCTGTTTTTGTACAGTAACATGCTGATTTGGTTACTGTAGCCTTATAGCATAGTTTCAAGTCAGGTAGTATTAACGCCTCCAGCTTTGTTCTTTTTGCTTAGGATTGCTTTGGCTATTTGGGCTCTTTTATGGGTTCCAAATGAACTTTAGAATAGTTTTTTTTGTACCAATTCTGTAAAAAATGACATTGATTTTGGACAAAATGATAGGAATGGTGTTGAATCTCTAGACTGCCTTTGGCACTATGACCGTTTTAACAATATTGATTCTTCCTATCCATGAACATGGAATGTTTTTCTATTTGTTTGTGTCAGCTATGATTTATTTCAGCAATGTTTTGTAGTTTTCCTTGTAGAGATATTTCACCTCCTTGGTTAGATGTATTCCTAGGTATTTGTGTGTGTGTGTGTGTGTGTGTGTGTGTGTGTGTGTGTGTTGCTATTGTAAATGGGATAATGTTCTTGATTTGGCTTTCAGCTTGAATGCTATTGGTGTATAGAAATGCTACTGATTTTTTGTACATTGGTTTTGTGTCATGAAACTTTACTGAAATTGTTTATCAGTTCCAAAAACCTTTTGGCAGAGACTCTAGGGTCTTCTAGGTATAGAATCATATTGTCAGTGAAGACAGATAATTTAGCTTCTTTTTTATTTTTCCTCTATATGGGTGCCTTTTCTTTCTTTCTTTTGCTTGCTTGTTCTGGATAGAACTTCCAGTACTATGCTGAATAGGAGTTGTGAGAGAAGTCATCCTTGCCTTGTGCCAGTTTTCAAAAGAAATGCTTCCAGCTTTGCCCATTCAGTATGATGTTGGCTGTGGGTTTGTTATAGGAGCCTCTTAATATTTTGAGGTATGTTCCTTTGACACCAAGTTTCTGGAGAGTTTTTATCAATAAGGAATATTGGATTTTACTAAAAACCTTTTCTTCATCTATTGAGATGATCATATGGTTTTTGTTCTTACTTTTGCTTATGTGGTGAATCACATTCATTGATTTGTGTATGTTTAACAAACCTGGCATCCCAGGAATCAGGCCTGCTTGATCATGGTGAATTGCCTTTTTGATGTGCTGCTGGATTTGGTTTGCTAGTATTTTGTTGAGAATTTTTCATCGATGTTCATCAGGAATACTGGTATGTAGATGTCTTTTTCTTTTTTGTCTTTGCCAGGTTTTGGTATCAGGGTGATATTAGCATTGTAGAATGTGTTAGGGAGGAGTCTCTGCTCCTCTATTTTTTGGAAGTTTCAGTAGAACTTTTACCAGCTCCTCTTTGTATGTCTGACAAAATTTGGCTGTGCATTCATCTAGTACAGTGCTTTTTGTTGTTGTTGTTTGGTAGGTTTTTTACTATTGATTCAATTTTGGAACTCAAAATTGATCTGTTCAGAGTTTCAGTTTATTCCTGATTCAATCTGAGAGGCTGTGTATTTCCAGGAATTTATCCATTCCCTCTAGATTTTGTAGTTTGTATGCACAGAGGTGTCCATAATAGTCTGAGAGGATCTTTTGTATTTCTGTGATATTGGTTGTAATATTACCTTTGTCATTTCTGATGGTACTTATTTGGATCTTCTTTTTTCCCTTTGTTAATCTATGGTAGCCCACTGTTGTTTATCCTTTCAAATAAACAATTTTGGGTTCATTGATTATTTGTATGAATTTTTGGGTCTCAATTTCATTCTGTTTGGATCTGATTTTAATTATTTCTTTTTTTCTGCTAGCTTGAAGGTTATTTTGTTCTTGTTTTTCTAATTCTGCTAGGTGTGATGTTAGATCATCAATTCCAGATGTGGCTGACTTCTTGAGGTAGGCAGTTAGCACTATAAACTTTCCTCTTAACACTGCTTTTGCTGCTTCCCAGAGATTTTGGTATGTGATATCTCTGTTTTCATTTATTTCACAGAATTTTTTGTTGCTGCTTTGCTTTCATTGTTTATCCCAAAGTCATTCAGTAGCAAGTTGTTTAATTTTCATGTAATTTTGTGGTTTTGAGAGATCTTCTTGGTATTGATTTCTATTTTCATTTTCATTCTATTGAGGTCTGAGAGTATGGTTGGTATGATTTTAAGTTTTTTTTCTTTTTTTTGAGATGGAGTCTTGCTCTGGCCCAGGTTGGAGTGCAGTGGTTGGTGTGATCTTGACTCACTACAACCTCCACCTCCCAGGTTCAAGTGATTCTCCTGCCTTAGCCTCCCAAGCAGCTGGCACTACAAGCACACACCACCCCACCCAGCTAATTTTTGTATTTTAAATAGAGATGGGGTTTCACCACATAGGCCAGGGTGATCTTGAACTCCTGATCGTGTGATCCGCCTGTCTCAGCCTCTCAAAGTGCTGGGATTGAAGACGTGAACCACCGTGCCCAGCTGATTTGAACTTTATTGAATTTGTTGAGACTAGCTTTATGGCTGAGCATATGTTCAATCTTAGAGTATCTTCTGTGTGCAGATGAGAAGAATGTATATTCTGTGGTTGATGAATAGTGTATTTTGTAGATGTCTGTTAGATCCAATTTGTCAAATGTCAAATTTAAGTTCAGAATTTATATTTGTTAGTTTTCTGCCTTGATGGTCTGTCTAATGCTGTCAGTGGGGTATTGCAATCCCCCTCTATTACTTTGTGGCTAAGTCTTTGTAGGTCTAGAAATAGTCGTTTTATGAATCTTGGTGCTTTGATATTGGGTGCACATATATTTATGATAGTTAATTTTTCTTGTTGGATTGATCCTTTTATCTTTATGTAATACCCTTATTTGCCTCTTTTTACTGTTGTTGGTTTAAAGTCTGTTTTATCTGATATAAGAATAGCAACCATTGCTCTTTCTTGTTTTCTGTTTGCCTAATAGATCATTCTCCAACCCTTTACTTTGAGCCTGTTGGTGCTGTTACTGTATGCTGGGTCTTCTGAAGACAGTAGATGAATTGGTGATGTTGTTTTTAATCCAACTTGCCACTCTGTGCCTTTTAAGTGGGGCATTTATACCATGTACATTCAAAGTTATTATTGATGTGTGAGGTTCACAGTTTCTATTATGTAGTTGCTTTATAGGGGCTGTAGGCTATGTACATAAGTGTGTTTTTGTGGTAGCATGTATCATTCTTTCATTTCTCTGTTTAGAACTCCCTTAAGGATCTTTTGTAAGGCTGGTCGAACGGTAATACATTCTCTTAGCAATTGCTTTTTAGAGTTATTCTTGACATCTTTTCCCAACCCGATATGATCGGTGTATCATTTGAATTGTGTCATTACTAAATGTATGTATTGAAGACTTACTCACCAATAGCAAAATAGCACATATAGTGATAAATGGAATTTGAATTCGTTCTTACTGCTTTTGAAACGCTTTAGTGATTTCACTCTGCCCTTAAAATAAAATTCAGTTGTGTTGCCATGGCTAACTAAGCTCTCTGTATGATTGAGTGTCTAGTCTGTTAAACTCTAGTCATGTTAACTTTCCTTTTCTCTCTCCTTGATAACTATATACCAATGATACTAACTTTCTTATGCCAAACTTTTCTCTAGCTCAGGTCTTTAATTTATACTTAAAAAATGTTAAAAAAAATTGGAACAAATGGAAATAAATTGGAACAACTGCCAATTAATCTACTGTAAATAAGCTTATCTAAGTAACCTACATCCATTGTTAATATCTTCCACCCCCTATGTCTTAGTCTGCTTAGGCTGTCATAGCAACACACCATAGGCTGGGTGTGTTAGATAACAGAAATTTATGTTTTTTAAAGTTCTGGAGGGTTGGAAGTCCAAGATTAAAGGTACCAGTCAGTTTGATTTCAGTTGAGGGCTCTCTTCTTGGCTTTCAGACAGTTGCGTTCTTGTGTCCTCACAGGGCAGGGAGGAAGAGGAGGCATTCTGATGTCTGTTTTTTAGGACACTAATTCTGTTGAATTTTGGCTTCACACTTAGCACCACATGTAACCTTGATTACTTCCATACTCCAAATATAGTCACACTGAGGCTTAGGCTGCACTATATGAATTTTGGGGAACAAAATTTAGTCCATAGCACCCACTACCTGGCTCCATTATGGCTACCTGTCTATTGTCTTCTGAGTGATTATTATGAGCTTGATTTTTTTTAAGTTTACCTTTACTTAATCCTTGTCAATTAATCTCATTAAAATTCAAATTTATTAGGTCAAGAATCTGTCTGTCTTATTCACTGATATGTTCCCAGTGCCTAACTCTGTGATTCAAACAAAGGAGGTTAAAATATTATCATTTTCCCCCACTTTTAACAGATTAAATGAATGATCAGGCTCTGTGCCATTTTACTAACATGCATTATGTAAGAATTTTGGCCAAGTACTTTTTAAGTAAGAATTTTAATAAAATTGCTTTTCAATTACAAATATCTTATTAGTAACTGGTAAAATTTAATAAGAGATTCTGGCATTATATCAAGTAATAAAACTTAACTAATATTTCATATTTAGATAGCTCTTCTCTAGTACAGATGTTATACTAGCCAACATTCCCCCAGGTTATGTAAATAAAACATTGTCAAAATACTGACATTAGGTTTCAAAATAACTCCCTATAGTTTTATCAGGAGGTTTGTGATCATTTATACATTTCATAAAATTTATTTTAGTTTAAAATGCATATAGAAAAATACATGATGAGTTTTTTAAATATGGAAACTCAATAATGGGAACAGTACCAACACTCCAGGGGGTCTTTTACTCCCTTCTAGTCACTACCCACCTTTGAGTGGTAAATGCTTTCCTGATGTCCAATATTAAATACAGAAATTTGTCTGCTTTTGGTCTCTATATATATGGATTCATACTATATACCATTTTGTATCTGTCGTCTTTCACCATTTTTCTTGTGAGATTATCTATTTTTCCACTTAGAGTTTAGTTCATTAGTTCTCAATGCTATGCATATTCTGTTGTTTGAATATATCAAAATTATATTGATGGAAATTTGGGTCAGTTTATTTTGGGAGTTAAATAGTGATGCTATGGGCATTTGAATATACGTTTTTTGGATAACATGTGTTAGACTTCTCAGTGGATAATAAACTTAACAGTGAAACCTCTGGAACACAGCGTATAAAGAGGTTAATCTAAAATAGATGATAACAATGAGTTTTGCAAAGGGGTTCTGCCAATTTTCGCTTCTCCCCAGTGTATGAGAGTTGTTCGTCATCCCTTTTAAGGGGTCCATGTTCTTCAGTTGAAAGTCAATATTGTTAAGATGTCCCATTGTTTTTCCTAAGTTTCGATTTTCTAAAATTTCTTTTACTTTTTACCTGTTCTAGTGGGGGTAAGCTGGGATCATGTTCTAAATATAATTTGCATTTATTGAGGGTAATGAGTTTGTTTTAACCATTATCAACACAATGGTTAAATTGGATATCCAATTTTGTGAAGACACATCAAGATTTTGTCCATTTTTCTATTGGCCTTTTACTTTTTGATTTGTTTTATATATGCTGATTAATCCTTAGTCAGATATAATTCATCTCTCTGTGGCCTGCCTTATCTTAATTCCACTTTGACAACCAGAAGTTCATATTTATACTTTAGTTCCTTTTATTAGTTTTTAAATTATATTTAGTGATTTTTTTGTTCTACTCAACATTTTTCTCTATTATAAAGCTATGAAAATCATCTTTTATGATTAGTTATAATTCCCTTATCTTTCTAATTTTACCTGTCACATTTAGATATGTAATCCATTTGAAATTGATTTTTTTGTGCAACATATGAGCCAAGTTTCATGTTTCTCTATAGGAATATCTAATTAGCACAGATTTTTTTTTCAAAAGACCATCATTTTCTCACTGCATTGCAATATTGTCTTTGTCATTAAATCAGACTCACACCTATGTGTGTGTTTATTTCTGGATTTGCTATTGTGTTTCATTGACATATTTGTCTATCCTTAAATCAATATTTTACTGTGCTAAATGACATTGCTTTTAATTTATCTTAGTGTGTGAAAGGGGAATTTTCTAGATGTGTTTTTCAGGATCGTGACTATTCTTGTCAGTTTGCATTTACATACTATATTTTAGAATCATTTTACAATTTTTACAAACAAATTTGCTGGCATTTCTTCTACTTTCTTTGGATATATTATGTGGTTTTCCTAGCTTTGGGGGAAGAATAACATATAGTCTACCTTTCATGTTTTCTAACACATGCTTATAAAGCTATACGTTTTACTGTAATTACTACTTTAGGTTATTTTACAAGTTTTGATGTTTCATATTTTGTTATTTCATTCAAAATCATTTTCTATTTTTATACTGTATTGTTTAAAAATACTTCCTTTAAAGAAATGTATTGTTGGTTGCTAATTTCTTAATATAAAATAATTTTCTAGTTTCTGTTACTGATTTATAGGTTAATATCATTTAGGTTCTAAATTATTCTAGCCATTTAAGATTTGTCAAATCTTGTTTTATGGACTATCTTTATAAATAAATTATGTAGAGCTTTTTGGCATAACAGTTTTATATGTAATCTGGTCAATTTAGTAAATTATGATGGTCACAAGTGATTACTTGGAGTAAACTTTTTGCCTAAGGGTGATATGTTAAAACTTCAAAATATGATTTTGAGTTTGTTTATTTGTCCATTTAGTTTTCTCAGTGTTTGGTTAATATATTTTTGAACTATGATGTCAGGTGTACATGATTTTAAGTCTTTATGTCTTCCTACTTTATTGCCTCTTATTATTATGGAATAATGCACTGTATTTCCAGCAAAATGTCTTCCATCAAATCCAATTTTATATGATATCAATATCAATTTTATATGATATCAATATTTTTCTTTTGGTTTTTGAATACCTTGTAGTTTTGATTATTTTACTTTCAAACTTTGTATTTGACACATTATGTTTTATGTTTATGTTGTAAGTGGTATAGAGTTGGATTTGTCATTTTTATACAAACTAGCTGTTCTGGATTTTTACTTGGAATAATCAACTTATATTTAATATATTTACTGATGTATTTTTTTATATCTACTCTCTTACTATTGGTATTCTATAAGATCTACATAATTTATTTTTTTCTTTACAAGTGGCATTTTCAATTAATATAGTATTTTCCTCTACTAACTTTAGTTTTCATCCATATTTTTTACATGCAAAGACTACATCAGTTTGGTTAACAAAGTTGTAAGGCAATAAATCAATGTCTAAAGTAAAATATTCCTGACTCCAAAGTCTCTGGTTTACATCCTTTTATTTTTCATTTTTTTGACAACATATTCTTAGTCACTGTGCTATGATGTCACACATTGTTTCTGCTCTCTTTTAAACTTTTGTCTCTTGAGAGGTTACAAAGAGGAAGGAAAGAAATAAAAATCAAGCAATAAAAAAACACTACTTTCTCTTCTCTATGTTAAAGAACATATTTTAGGAGTGAGACTTGAGAGTTTTGATCCAGAAAATCAAGATGTGTTATATACATATATATTAATTTAAGATTTAATTTAAGGCTAACAGCACAGATTATTATCTGTCAACAAAGCAGAGGAATGCTCTGTGTGTGTGTGTGTGTTTGTGTGTGTGTGTGTGTGTATGTGTATGTGT
Source organism: Homo sapiens (assembly GCF_000001405.40). Taxonomy (NCBI): domain Eukaryota; kingdom Metazoa; phylum Chordata; class Mammalia; order Primates; family Hominidae; genus Homo; species Homo sapiens. The sequence continues at coordinate 122,210,514 of NC_000008.11, read as the reverse complement.
ATGTGTATGTGTGTGTGCGTGAGATCATGGCGTATTGCCCTGCCTTGGAGCCTGCAATTCTAATTCCACCATTGGATTTTATCACTTTCAACTATGAAAGTTATAAGTCTCAAATTTGGTCAGCCAGGCACGGTGGCTCACGTCTGTAATCCCAGCACTTTGGGAGGCCGAGGTGGGCAGATCACCTGGGATCAGGAGTTTGAAGCCAGCCTGGCCAACATGGCAAAACCCCGTCTCTACTAAAAATACAAAAAGTAGCTGGGTGTGGTGATGCACGCCTGTGATCCCAGCTACTCAAGAGGCTGAGACGGGAGAATCGCTTGAACCTGGGAGGCAGAGGTTGCAGTGAGCCGAGATCATGCCACTGCACTCCAGCCTGGGTGACAGAGTGAGACTCCGTCTCAAAAAATAACTAAATAAGTCTCAAATGTGGAGGTCTTGATTATAAAAAGATATTAGGTGGCAATACCCTAATAATTATTTATTGTAAATTAGCTATTGGTTGTTATTTTAAAACAACCCAAGAGAATTATAGGGTCTGTAAGAATGTTACACTAAATATACAAATTCAGATGTGGGGAGGGAGGTTGTTGAAATTTCTTTAAATAGATATTTCATTTAATCTTATGTACATCGGGAAGTTCCAGGCAGACACCAGTTGCATTTCTCAGTGGAATCTTCAGCCTTACCTGATTGCAGTAGGTATGAGTTCACAACTATGGAGTCTTCCAATGCTGAAGCACATTCCCATGGATCCTTTTCCAATCATAACTATTCCAAGGTGAAGATGTGGCATATCTGCAAACAGAAGGCTAAGAGAATACAATAAAATTTCTAATACAGTATTCTTCATGTTACATGTTGTGAAATCTCTTGCATTTAAAGTACTTAGGTTCAATTTCTTTCAGTAATTTAGATGATTATTTTTCAGAGCAGGTTTTTTCCAAGAACATACAATTATTAAAAGAACTGCCATTAACTAGCATTTACTTTCAGCTAGATAACTTAAGTAATTTTATAATTAAAATTTTAAAACCCATCATTAATAAGTTAAATAAATTTGTTTGATTTGTTGCATTGATTAGAGTGTGTACATTCCACCTTAGCTCTATCTCCCCCATTTTTTACTTGCTTCATACTTTTTTTTTTCTCTTGAGGCAGTCTCGCTCTGTTGCCAGGTTGGAGTGCAGTGGCACGATCTCGGCTCACTGCAACCTCTGCCTCCCAGGTTCATGCGATTCTCCTACCTCAGCCTCCCAAGTAGCTGGGACTACAGGCGTGTACCATCATGACCAGCTAATATTTTGTATTTTAGTAGAGACGGGGTTTCACCATGTTGGCCAGGATGGACTCAATCTCCTGACTTCATGATCCGCCCACCTCGGCCTCCCAAAGTGCTGAGATTACAGTTGGTCCCTATACAAATTTGGTGTCACCCAGTGTTGACAAATTATGTTAAAATAATTGACAGTTAAAATAATAAGTGTTTGTTATTATTTCCACCATTGTAAAAAGTTTTTTCCTCCAATCATGCACCTAGAAAACAGCATATTTTTGTTTAAATTCAAATTTGTGTAACTCTCAGGACTGCACCCTAAAGTTCTTTGTCAAGCTCTACAATATCTGCACCAAACTCAAAAACAATGAAATAATCTAATTTAAAAATGGGCAAAAGATAGAAATAGACATGTTTCCAAATAAAACATGCAAATGGCCAATAAGCATATAGAAATATGCTGAATATCACTAATCATCAGAGAAATGCAAAGTAAAACCACAGTGAGATATCACCTTACACAAGTCAGAATGGCTGTTATTAAAAAGAGTTTTAAGAAACCAGATATTGGTGAGGATGAGAAAGGAGAACGCTTATACATTGTTGGTGGGAATGTAAATTAGTACAACTACTATGGAAAACTGTGCAAAGATTTGTCAAAGAACTAAAAATAAAAGCATTATTTAATCCATAAATTTCACTATTGGGAATCTGTCCAGAGGAAAATAAATTGTTACCAAAATATACCTGCACTCATATGTTTATTGCAACAGTGTTCGCGATAGCAAAGATATGGAATCACCCTAAGTGTTCATCAATGGACAACTGGATAAAGAAAATGTGGCATATGTACAGAATGAAATACTCTTCAGCCATAAAAAATAATGAAATAATGTCTTTTGCAGCAATATGGATAAAACTGGAGGCCATTATCTTAAATAAGACAACTCAGGCACAGAAAGACAAATATCTCATATTCTCACTTGTAAGTGGGAGCTAAGCAATGGGTACAGTGGACTTAGAGTGTGAAATGAGAGACAATGGAGACTCAGCAGGATGGGAGGGGTGCATGGTGAGAAATTACTTAATGGGTACAATGTAAGTTATTTGGGTGATGGGTACCCTAAAAGCACCTACTTAATCACTGCACCATCTATCCATGCAATAAAATTATACTTGTACCCTATAAACTTAAACACTTTTTAAAAAACCAAACAACACAAAAAGATTATCAGATAGCTTTGTTAATGTTCATAGAACCAGTGGAATACATATCTTAATTCAATTTAATTTCCCTCACTAAAAGTTATTCATCAATATATTCAATAACTACTATATTAGATATCTACTAGGTGCTAAACATAAATAGGTACTACTGATTAAACTGTAAATGAGAAATAATACCTGTCTTAAGTCAACTTAATATTCACTATTAAAATACAGAACAGGAAGTCAATGATTAGTTGAAATTTGAAAACCAAGAGGATTTTAGAACTGGAGAGAGTATTCATTAGACATCTGTAAAACTGAATAAAATGTAGAATACAGAAACAAGATGATGGAAAATGAGGTGGTAATGGTTCTCTGTTGTAAGCTAATTGAGGTCATTGTAATAGGGATAGATGTTATGTTGAGGACAGGAACTGAAACCATGAAGGAGACCCAGCCACTGCCACAGGTATCAAGAAAACAATGTTTTCATGGTTTTCAAGGGTTCTCTTCTTTTTGCCCTACAGTTTTCTGCCAATGTCATATTTATTGCGGTTGTCCAGAATCCAGTGGTAATGGAGAATAATTTTTTTTTCTGCAACAGAGCAGCATGTGGCTCTGAGACTATAGGCAAACATTAATGTATTAAAGATTTTAAACTTGTTTTACAAGATGAACTTTCACAGTTAAATGTATTATCCCAGCAATTACAAGCCTGCAGAATTTAAATCTGAAGTCTTTAAGGACAGAAACACATAAACAACCGCAGAGACATGTAACCTACTCCTTGGCTTTGATTCTAGAGTTTTTGTTAATTTTTCTTTTCAAGTATAGATGTCCTGCTGGGCACTAAAATTAACTCTTTTTGTCAATCCCTGATTTAAATTTTTTTTATTTTCCCCAAGATTCTGATATGCATCTGAGGGTTACACATTTCCTTCTGAAGGGCCCAGAGCATACTTCAAATTCCACATGATCAAAGTTAAAATCATCACCATCCATCAGAAAAATCCAGGATGAACAATAGATGTCATCCTTGATGCTTACTTCATATTCACTCCCACAATTTTGTAGTTCTGCTGCCTTTTTGTCTTACCCAGGAAGCTACAAATTATCTCCCAAGTTGCATTTAGTAAATATTTTTAATAATTCCCAAAAATATTTGCACACTTCACTTCTAGCTTAGCATTTACTAGTTTTAAAGTACAAATGTAAGCCTCTTCTTCAGTAGGGTTTTCAATAATACATACACATATTTTCCTTTAACTTCAGCTACTAACACAAAGCCTGGCATGGAACAGATGATTGATATACCTTTGTGATACTCAAAGACTGCCATATTTTCCATATTATTTTCTGTCATTAGAGGAAGTAAGATATTTTAATCTCTGAGTTATATAATATAAAAGTATATCAAAAGATCAAGTTTCAATGGCAATTGATAATATCAGTACAAGAAAATATTAGAAAATTTGTCATTAGTTTGAAAAACTTCTAGTCCTGTTAAAGAACAATCAAATCTCACATTGGAATATACAGCCAAGAAGAAGACAAAGGCTGTTGAAATCCTGCCACTGAAGCACTTCATTACAAAAAAAGAAAGAGACTTACTGGGGATGTCCGCAGCTCTGAATAATTCTTGAGACACAAATAAATGACTGCTTAAGTTGTATATATCCAACACTAGACCATAAAGGAAGAAACATGATGCAAACCTGTAATGATAGATTAAAGAATGGGGATATACTAAATATAGTATCTATATATTGTGCTTTATCTTCACATTTTTATATTTATTATATTATCTAGTTATAGGTATCCAAACATAAGGCAAAGACGTAATAATTCATGAAGAAAGGAAAAAATAAAAATCCCAAAATATGAAATGGGGCACACAGAAATATATATACCAAAATATCTGGGTTTGGGAAGCTGCTACAGATAAGCACAGCATATTAAATCTGGAAGGATAGGAAGATTATCTGTTAATTTGTTTGGAGTTCACTGGCATTCTCTGAATATATGTGTTCTTTGAAAAATTATATATTTTGTTTGATGTTTAATTCATAAAATCTTTTAAGTCATTGGCTTTGCTGCATATTTACCTTCCACATTTCCTGATTTATATAATGGACGTAATCATGTCACGAATCTCCTGGTGTTCTTCTGAGAATTAAAGACAACATAGCATGCACAGTGGGGTCTAGAATATTTTGATTGTTGAGTACATGTACCCATTATTATTGTGTATATTTTAATCATTGAAATATAAATACTGGAATATTTTGCCATAACATTTTCTGTATCTATGTAAAATAGTTTCTAAATATGCTTCTATAAAAAGTTTTTAGGTATATTGTTTAAAAACATGAATAATACAATATAACATAAACTTAGAAATTAGTCTCGTTCTGAAGAATATTTTTCTTTCCAAAAGAAACCATTTTTATCCCTTAGTGTATTATGTATTTTACAGAGGTTTTCTATGGATTATGGTTTTCTATGGATTATAATTTCATATATGTGTCATTTTACAAAAACAAATGCAGCCATACATACATGGTACTATGCATCTTCTTTTCCTTTAAATGCGTATATATGTTATATATAAGGTATATATGTAATTTATGTATACATACAAAGAGAATCAATATTCTCTTTATTGAATATAATTGTTTAACTATAATCCTTGGGAAACATGAGATATGTATACAACACTTCCAGAGCTAGATCCATTTCCTATAATGAAAAATGGATGGGTTATATATGCGTGTAAAAGTTCACAAAGTAATATTCAAAAGCATGTTTTTCTTCCTTTTTTTTTAATTTAGGTGAAGGTCACAAAACATACAATTAGCCATTTTAACATGTATATTTAGTGACATTTTGTACATCCTCAATGTTGTGCAACCATCATCTCTTTCTAGTTTCAAAATGTTTTGTTCATTGAAGAACACCTCATAGGCATTAAGTAATCACTCCCGATTACCCCCATTCCTGATCCCTTGGCAACCCCCTAATCTACTTTCCATCTCTAGGGATTTGCCTATTCTGAATATTTCATAAGAAATTAATTATAAAATATGTGACTTTCAGTATGTGGCCACTTTCACTTAGCATAACAATTTTAAGGTTCGTCTAAGTTGCAGCATTGTGTCAGTACTTCATTCCCTTTTATGGCTGAATAAAATTCTGTTGTATATATACATCACATTTTGTTTATATATTCATCTGTTGATGGAAATTTGGGTTGTTTATACCTTTTGGCTATTGTTAATAGTGCTGCTATAAGTATTTGTGAAAAGTATATGAGTACTTATTTTCGATATCTTAAAATATATATCTAGGAGTGGAATTACTGGATCATATGGTAAATCTATGTTTAACTGTCTGAGGAACAGCAAAACTATTTTCTGTGGAAGCTGTACCATTTCACATTCCCACCAGCTATGTAGGAGGGCTCTAATTTCTCCACATCCTTGTCAGCACTTGTTATTTTCCAATTTTTAATTGGAATGTGAAATGGTATTTCATTTTGGTTTGATTTGCATTTTCTTAATGATGCCAACAATCTTTTCATGTGTATATTGACCATTTGTATATTGTCTCTGGAGAAATGTCTATTCAAGTCCTTTACTTGTTTTTGTTTTGTTTTTTGTTTTGAGAGGGAGTTTCACTCTTGTTGCCCAGGCTGAAGTGCAGTGGCACAATCTCCACTCACTGCAACCTCTGCCTCCCAGGCTCAATCTATTCTCCTGCCTCAGCCTCCCAAGTAGCTGGGATTACAGGCACCCGCCACCATGCCCAGCTAATTTTTTTGTTATTTTTTAGTAGAGATGGGGTTTCATCATGTTGGCAAGACTGGTCTCGAACTCCTGACCTCAGGTGATCCGCCCATCTTGGCCTCCCAAAGTGCTGGGATTACAGGCGTGAGCCACCATGCCCCAGCCCTTTACTTGTTTTCTTAAGTTGGGGTCTTTGTCTTTTTGTTAAGTTTTCAGAAGTTTTTATATTCTGGATACTAAATCCTTATTAGATACACAACTTGCAAAGTATCTTCTCCCATAATGTAAGTTTTTTTTTCTCCTTTTAAATAATGTATCTTGATGCCCTAAAGTTCTAATTTTTATAATGTCCAAATTTATCTTTTTGTTCCCACTTACGATTTTCTGTGAAATCTAAGAATTTCTTGCCAAATCTTAGGTCATGAAGATTTACCTTGATGTTTTCTTCTAATAGTTTTATAGTTTATGCTCTTATATTTAGGTTGTTGATTCACATTGAATGAATTTTTATATTTGGAGTGAGGTAAGGGCCCAACTTCATTCTTCTGCATGTGGAAATAAGTCATCCCTTGAAAAGACACTATTCTTTCCCTATTGAATGGTTCAGGCACCATTGTTGATAATCATTTAGCCATAGATGTGTTGTTTATTTCTCAACTTTGGATTATCTTCAATTAGTCTGTGTTCATACTTATAAGAGTACTAGATTGTTTGGAGTACTTTGTAACTACAAAGTTGCTTCTGTAACTTTGTTGTAAGTTTTGAAATTGGGAAGTGTGAGTCTATCATCTTCATTTTTCTTTTTCAAGGTTGCTTTGGCTAACCAGGGCCCACTGCAATTCTATATGAATTTGTGGATCAGCTTTTCTTTCTTTTTTTCTTTTTTAAGAGATGTTTTCTTCTTCTGTTCCCCAGGTTGGAGGACAATCACGTGATGATATGTCACTGTAATCTTGAACTCCTGTGCTCAAGCAATACACCTGCCTTAGCCTCCTGAGTACCTAAGACCACAGGCACATGCCACCACATTTGACATTTTTTTATTGTACTTTACATTCTGGGATACATGTGCAGAACATGCAGGTTTGTTACATAGGTATACATGTGCCATGGTGGTTTGCTGCACCCATCAACCCGTCATCTACATTAGGTATTTCTCCTAATTCTCTCCCTCCCCTAGCCCCCCATCTCCCAACAGGCCCCAATGCATGATGTTCCCCTCCCTGGGTCCATGTGTTCTCATTGTTCAACTCCCAATTATGAGTGAGAACATGCGGTGTTTGGTTTTCTGTTCTCGTGTTAGTTTGCTGAGAATGATGGTTTCCAGCTTCATCCACGTCCCTGCAGAGGACATGAACTCATCCTTTTTTATGGCTGTGTAGTATTCCATGGTGTATATGTGCCACATTTTTTTTTTTTTTGCTTTTCTACATTTTTTTTATTATTATTATACTTGAAGTTTTAGGGTACATGTGCACAATGTGCAGGTTAGTTGCATATGTATACATGTGCCATGCTGGTGTGCTGCACCCATTAACTCGTCATTTAGCATTAGGTATATCTCCTAATGCTATCCCTCCCCGCTCCCCCCACCCCACAACAGTCCCCAGAGTGTGATGTTCCCCTTCCTGTGTCCATGTGTTCTCATTGTTCAATTTCCACCTATGAGTGAGAATATGCGGTGTTTGGTTTTTTGTTCTTGCGATAGTTTACTGAGAATGATGATTTCCAATTTCATCCATGTCCCTACAAAGGACATGAACTCATCATTTTTTATGGCTGCATAGTATTCCATGGTATATATGTGCCACATTTTCTTAATCCAGTCTATCATTGCTGGGCATTTGGATTGGTTCCAAATCTTTGCTATTGTGAACAGTGCTGCAGTAAACATACGTGTGCATGTGTCTTTATAGTAGAATGATTTATAATCCTTTGGGTATATACCCAGTAATGGGATTGCTGGGTCAAATGGTATTTCTAGTTCTAGATCCTCGAGGAACCGCCACACTGTCTTCCACAATGGTTGAAGTAATTTACACTCCCACCAACAGTGTAAAAATATTCCTATTTCTCCACATCCTCTCCAGCACCTGTTGTTTCCTGACTTTTTAATGATTGCCATTGTAACTGGTGTGAGATGGAATCTCACTGTGGTTTTGATTTGCATTTCTCTAATGACCAGTGATAATAAGCTTTTCTTCATGTTTGTTGGCTGCATGTCTTCTTTTGAGACATGTCTGTTCATATCTTTCACCCACTTTTTGATGGAGTTGTTTTTTTCTTATAAATTTGTTTAAGTTCTTTGTAGATTCTGGATATTAGCCTTTGTCAGATGGATACATTGCAAAAATTTTCTCCCATTCTGTAGGTTTCTTGTTCAATCTGATGATAGTTTCTTTTGCTGTGCAGAAGCTCTTTAGTTTAATTAGATCCCATTTGTCTATTTTTACTTTTGTTGCCATTGCTTTTGGTGTTTTAGACATGAAGTCCTTGCCCATGCCTATGTCCTGAATGGTATGGCCTAGGTTTTCTTCTAGGGTTTTTATGGTTTTAAGTCTTACATTTAAGTCTTTAATCTATCTTGGGTTAATTTTTGTATAAGGAACGTATCCAGTTTCAGCTTTCTGCATATGGCTCGCCAGTTTTCCCAACACTGTTTACTAAATAGGGAATCCTTTCCCTATTGCTTGTTTTTGTCAGGTTTGTCAAAGATCAGATGGTTGTAGATGTATGGTGTTATTTCTGAAGCCTCTGTTCTGTTCCATTGGTCTATATCTCTGTTTTGGTACCAGTACCATGCTGTTTTGGTTACTGTAGCCTTGTAATATAGCTTGAAGTCAGGTAGCGTGATGCCTCCAACTTTGTTCTTTCTGCTTAGGATAGTCTTGGCTATGCAAGCTCTTTTTTGGTTCCATATGAAATTTAAAGTAGTTTTTTTCCAACTTTGTGAAGAAAGTCAATGGTAGCTTGATGGGGATAGGATTGAATCTATAAACTACTTTAGGCAGTATGGCCATTTTCCTGATATTGTTTCTTTCTATCCATCAGCATGGAATGTTTTTCCATTTGTTTGTGTCCTCTCTTATTTCCTTGAGCAGTGGTTTGTAGTTCTCCTTGAAAAGGTCCTTCACATCCCTTGTAAGTTGGATTCCTAGGTGTTTTATTCCCTTTGTAGCAATTGGGAATGGGAGTTCACTTATGATTTGGCTCTCTGTTTGTCTGTTATTGGTGTATAGAATGCTTGTTATTTTTGCACATTGATTTTGTATCCTGAGACTTTGCTGAAGTTGCTTATCAGCTTAAGGAGATTTTGGGCTGAGATGATGGGGTTTTCTAAATATACAATCATGTCATCTGTAAACAGAGACAATTTGACTTCCTCTTTTCCTAAGTGAATACCCTTTATTTCTTTCTCTTGCCTGATTGCCCTGGCCAGAACTTCCAATATTATGTTGAATAGGAGTGGTGAGAGAGGGCGTCCTTGTCTTCTGCCAGTTTTCAAAGAGAATGCTTCCAGTTTTTGCCCATTCAGTATTATACTGGCTGTGGGTTTGTCATAAATGGCTCTTATTACTTTGAGATATGTTCCATTAATACCTATTTTATCATGAGTTTCTAGCATGAAGGGCTGTTGAATTTTGTCAAAGGCCTTTTCTGCATCTATTGAGATAATCATGTGGGTTTCTGTCATTGGTTCTGTTTATGTGATGGATTACATTTATTGATTTGTGTATGTTGAACTATCCTTGCATCCCAGTGATGAAGCTGGCTTGATCATGGTGGATAAGCTTTTTGATGTGCTGCTGGATTCAGTTCGCTAGTGTTTCATTGAGGATTTTCGCATCAATGTTCATCAGGGATATTGGCCTAACATTTTCTTTCTTTGTTGTGTCCCTGCCAGGTTTTGGCATCAGGATGATGCTGGCCTGATAAAATGAGTTAGGGAGGATTCCCTCTTTTTCTATTGTTTGGAACAGTTTCAGAAGGAATGGTACCAGCTCCTATTTGTACCTCTGGTAGATGGTGGTGGATAACCTTTTTGATGTGCTGCTGGATTTGGTTTGCCAGTATTTTATTGAGGATTTTCGCATCGACGTTCATCAGGGATATTGGCCTGAAATTTTATTTGTTGTGTCTCTGCTAGGTTTTGGTATCAGGATGATGATGGCCTCATAAAATGAGTTAGGGAGGAGTCCCTCTTTTTTTATTGTTTGGAATAGTTTCAGAAGGAACGGTACCAGTTCCTCTTTGTACCTCTGGTACATTTTTGGTTGGTAGGCTATTACTGCCTAAATTTCAGAACTTGTTATTGGTCTATTCAGGGATTGTACTTCTTCCTGGTTTAGCCTTGGGAGGGTGTATGTGTCCAGGAGTTTATTCGTGTCTTCTAGATTTTCTAGTTTATTTGTGTAGAGGTGTTTATAGTATTCTCTGGTGGTAGTTTTTTTGTTGTTGTTTTGTTTGTTTGTTTTTACAAGTAATGGAGTCAAATACACAAAATCTTATTTATATGAATTGACATACATGAAAAGTATTCTGTAAAATCCATGCAGGCATGATGTGCCATCTCTCCTTTTCTTGTCTTCTGGACAGATTTTGAGTTTCTAAAGGAAAAGAAGGGTTTATGAGATTCAAAGCACAGGCAGAAGTGAGTCACAGAATTGGTAAGAAGACCATTCTCCATCCCACCATGACCTCACATGCATCTGTGGAACACAGAAGATAAAGACTGGAGAGGCAGTGGCAGTTGCTGAGAACTGTTGTTTCCTTTGCAGTAGCAGAAAATTGTATGGCTCCCAGGTGAACAGTGTTCAATCAGCAAATACATGGAAAGGAAACACTTCTAAGCAGACAATCTAGGTGATCCTTTACTAAAGCAAATATGGTCATGGCAGACTCTGACTTTAATCATTCAAAGGCCTCCTGTTGTTCATAAAATAAAAAGCAATGGCCAGGCACGGTGGCTCATGCGAGTAATCCCAGCACTTTGGGAGGTTAAGGTGGGCGGATCACCTGAGGTCATGAGTTCGAGACCAGCCTGGCCATCATGGTGAAACCCTGTTTCTACTAAAAATACAAAAACTAGCCGGGTGTGGTGGTGCATGCCTGTAATCTCAGTTACTCAGGAGGCTGAGGTGGGCTAATCACTTGAAGTGGGGGCGGGGGGGAGGGGGGGAGCACACAGAGGCTGCAGTGAGCCATGCCACTGCACTCCAGCCTGGGCAACAGAAAGTCCGTCTCAAAAAAAATAAAAATAAATAAATAAAAAGCAATAGTGATCACAATTATACATATTCTCATAGTATCCCCACATTTCACCTCAGTGAGCATTAAATAATTAATTGTATGATTGGTTGTTTAATATGAATCTCCAGTACTAGAATACAGTGTCACATAAGAATAGAGACAATTATGTCTTTTACTCTGTATTCTCTCTAGAAACCCGCAAAGAGCCTAGCCCACTGGCTACATAAATGAATGAATTATTCTTTTGAATTTAATTGGGAGTTTCCAGGAAAGTAGTAGAAATGTATTCTCTATATAAAGACTAAAAGGTGGTGGAAGAGATTGACTTTGTGTAGAAATTGTCAAGGTGTGAAAGGGAGTACATCTGAACGTAAGCACTGATAAGCTTCAAGCTTCTTGTGCCAAACTTGGAGATTTGGAGATGACCTGTTTGGCGATAATTTGTGAGCTCATGGTCTGCCTTGCAGAGACTGCCCTTTAGTTCATCTGCCCCAGGGGATTCCTAAAGTGGATTTCTTCAACTTCTGTGAAAGCACACGATTTTGCAGGCTTCCTCATGTACCTCTTTGAAGTACTCCAGTTCCGGAAGCTTCTTTATAGGTACACTATGGCTGTCTTTTATCAACTCTAGTGATAAGATAACATTAGATTTTACCCTTTGTTTCTAAGTTTCTTGACATTTGTCTTCTCTCTGCTGGGGCTTTCACCCCTGCTATCTTTCTTAGATGCTTGCTAATCTCTTCTGATAATTACCATCCTGACAGGAGCCACAGCTATCCACTGAGTCTTATCTGCCCCAGCTTTTCCCACCTCATATATTTTGCCACTGAATGTTTTCAGAAATCATATGTTCAAGAGTTTCAGAATGTTCAAATTTTATGAAAAATGAACAACATAATCAAATTCTCCTTGCTCACATCTCTTTCCTCTACAGAGTTCCATGCATCTTTATCCCAGGTAATTCTCTTGTTCATGGCCTCTTTTTATAAGAATAATTTAAATAATTTAAAGAATAATATATACAAATAATTACTTTATACATTATTGAAGACCCATTATAAAATAGGCACTACTCTATGCACTTTGTATATATTACCTATAATTCTTACAAGAGTCTTGCAAGGTAGGAACTATCCCATTTTCCAGATAAGGAACAGTGAGACACTATCAATTCCTTTTGAGAGAGTTCACATCCCATAGATTCTGTGGGACAAAGTGTCTTCCCTGAGATATCCTAGAGGTGAAGGATGGTGTATCCTCCTTCTCTTCACCTCTTGGAAATATAAGATTAACTGAATGTTTCATCCTTGTCACATATAGAGGGGACTAAGAATCCCACAATATGACTTTCAGGTATCCCGGGACATACAAGAAGGAAATTGTCAGGGTTTTCTCTTTTAAACTAATTAGTAGGTAAATCCCCAAATATTCCTAGCTCCAAAGAAGGCATGGGACATGACAGAGCACAGCTGGGCTTGGTCTCAGGGTTGTTGCCTTCAGGAAGTAAAAGCAGCACTAAGTTTAAATTGCAATGTGCCTTTGAAATTGCAATGCAGCTATATCCATGTCCCAGCTGTATATGTTTCTCTCAAAAATATTATCTATACTGACACCTGATAAAAATTTCTAAATAGAAATATTGTATGATCTTGATGTAAAACTCTTCCATGAGTCTTACCTACTTTGGTTAAGCACAGACTGGACTGTACTGTGACTTATGAGATGCTTCAGAATATGTATCCCACTGGGTCTCCACACATTAGCAGCCCCTGTTTCCTCTCTGCCTTTTGGATTACAGCCATATGAGTGAGTTTTGTTTGTTCCTAGGTATCTTGTTATGTTTGTGAATGCTGCTCTCTCTACTCCCACCCCGCGTTATCTTTACCCTCAGAAGTAACTATTACTGATGGAATTATGTCTGATCCTTCATGTATGTTAGGCAAAGAGAATCGCTGAGAATCTCTGCATATGGATTTCTACACAATTATGGTAGATTGTGTAGAAATCTACCATACAATGGACACTGTAAAGAAATTATATATTTACATGACTTTCTTTGCTAGCTAAAAGCTTCCTGCATTATACATGTTTTATCTCAGTGCCTGGTACACAGTTGATTATAAATTGTTAGTAATGGAATATGTGAGGGTTGGAATGTTTTCCAGAAAGATGGCTTACAAAAGTACTTCCTTCTTTCCTTTTTAAGATATTCATCTTCAAGATTAATGGAGGCCTCTATTTGAGGTTTTGGTTCCTTAAATAAAGGACAGTATAGAAATACAAAATTGTCTTTATCAATATAGTGCTTCCAACTCAGTCTTGCTATTATCTTGATTAACTTTAAAATATTTTTAAATGTCCCAAACACCAACACAAATACAAAAGAATATAACCCTGTATAACTACATTCAGAAATGGTAAACCCAAGGCATTTTAAGAGATGAGTGGATTTGTTGGCATTTAGAACTTGATATGAGGACACTTAGGAACATGAAAATTCTTATGACCACTACAATTATTATTTAAAGTTCTATTTTCAGCAATTCATAAAATCCAGCTCCAAAAAAGAACCTCAAAGGACACATTCTCAGCAAAGATTTGCAAATTGCAGACTCTCCTTCAAAGGCTCCTTTTTACTTAAAAGGGAAACACTTGACCACAGTGGTTCCTAGTTTCCAGTAATGAGCTCACAGCCTCAGCTGTTGCATCTTTGCTAATGCCAAGTCTACTTGATGGTGACTGACATAGTGTCTCTTTGAAATTGCAGGCAAGTTACAAAGAAAGCTATTTCTTAAAACAACAGACTTGTAAAGCCGCAGATGGGTATGTGGCATCCACAATCCTGCCCCTGTCTCACAAACAATACTTGGCATTTTCATCAGCAGCCTGCATGAGTTGAGGATTGCATCATGTCAGGGAATCCTGGAAGGTCTCTATGGGCACCCATAAAGACAGCCAGCATTGTTATCTGGTTGTTCCTATGAGAGGGAGGGGAAACCACAAGTTTTGAATTCAACCTTTGAACAAATAATTGAATGAATAAAAAATGTCCCACAGAGATCAACTCCCATCCCTCATGTGCCCATAAGGGCTTCTCATTTCCTAGTAACAATTTCTATTATGTTTTTGAAGTTAAGCCTTAATTAAAACAACAGTTAAAGCTTAATGAAGTATAGTTCGGATTCTTTTTTAAAAGGCAATAAGTAAATATTTTATGCATGAAAATTTTGAAGATCCTACCATCCAGGAATTCAGTCATATAGCCAATATTTATCAAAAGCCTCTATATATCTGGTTAAGTGCTAAGGATGGAGAATACAAATGTGGATTTCTTTTTTGCTACCCTTAAGTTACTCAACGTTAGGCAAAGAAAAACATCAAGAGCAACCAACATTTTTAACAAACAATTACAATTTGAAAAGCACTAACAGGCCGGGCATGGTGGCTCACACCTGAAATCCCAGCACTTTGGGAGGCCAAGGCAGGCGGATCACCTGAGGTTGGGAGTTCGAGACCAGCCTGACCAACATGGAGAAACCCCATTTCTACTAAAAATACAAAATTAGCTGGGCATAGTGGCGCATGCCTATAATCTCAGCTACTCGGGAGGCTGAGGCAGGAGAATCACTTGAACCCAGGAAGCGGAGGTTGCAGTGAGTCGAGATCAAGCCATTGCACTCCAGCTTGGGCAACAGGAGCGAAACTCTGTCTCAAAAACAAAAACAAAAAAAAAAGAAAAGAAAAGAAAAGCACTAAGATCCAGATCTGGATGTTTTATGATGATAAAGAACTTGGTATTTAATTCTTCCCAGAAAAAATATCTAAAATTGTCAGGTTAATACGTTTTAAAGAGGGCTATGCCAACTGGAGAGGAAAATTAGAACATACTTGTAAAGTCCCATTAATTCATTATATGACAGCTTGTTGGACACATTTTTGTTATATATAAATAGAATAATAGTACTACATACTTTCAATTTTTAAAAATATGCAAGTAGATAAGAAAATGCTTTCTTAAACAGTAATAATGTTGCTAAAAAATTATTATTAGCCTATCAGCAATCTTTTTCAATCTTATTTTCCCTCTTTTATGTGGAAGAGAGTATCAACTGACAAATATAACAGCTATCACACTTTATATAATTTTATTGTGTTTTCATGAAAGTAAAAACAAACTCTCATTTTACATCAGAGTGCTAAGGATAGGGAATAGAAATGTGGATTTCTTTTTCACTACCTTTAAGTTGCTTAAGTTACTCAATGTTACTAAAAACAATGTTACATGTCTCTTTCAGGTGAAAAGACAGTATCTCTATTCAAACTCGCCCAAGAAAAAATAAATTCATCGATGAAAGCCATTTAATTTATTGGCACATGCCATATCATAATCAGACAAAACTGACTCAAGAATCTCAAAGGAGGTTAACTAAACTATTTATCTTCCCATAATTCAATTCCACTGTAGAAAGTGCTTAAAGATATGCCTGAGACATAGTAGCCATTCTGTAAGTGTTAAAGAAAAATAAATGAATAAACAAATAATTACATCCCATTGTGGATTAGTCTCATTTGACTTTATTGCAAGCATTTTAAAGGGCTACATAAGATAAATATTAGGAGTCCTAAATGTATATTCTTCTATTTTAGAAAACACAGTGGGAAGAGATCAGTTTGGCCACTGTCGTTAATTCTATGGAATCAGCCTGATTTTCCCCTCGTGTCATATGCCTATACTTGAACAAATACTTGGGTCCAGCAATATTAGATACTATAATTGGAACTCACATCATGTGGAACAAGAAGGGGTATCTCACTGCTACAAGGGCACAGACAATATGTATCTACCATATTTCACTTTTTGAATACCCAGAATCCCCATCATTTCTTATTTCAAGGGCGCAATCCCAAAAAAAAGATCACAAAGGTGAACTTCTGCTTCCAACCAAGATGGAGTAATATGAAGGAATGGGGGAACAATGTTTTTTTGTTTTTTTTTTTTTTTTGAGATGGAGTCTCGTTCTGTCGCCCAGGCCGGACTGCAGTGGTGCCATCTCAGCTCACTGCAAGCTCCGCCTCCCGGGTTCACGCGTTCTGTAGCCTCAGCCTCCTGAGTAGCTGGGACTACAGGCACCGGCCAACAGGCCCGGCTAATTTTTTGTATTTTTAGTAGAGATGGGGTTTCACTGTGTTAACCAGGATGGTCTCTATCTCCTGACCTCGTGATCTGCCCGCCTCGGCCTCCCAAAGTGCTGGGATTATAGGCCTGAGCCACCGCACCCGGCCTGGGGGAACAATTTTAACCCAATAAGAATGTTTTTAAAAAGCCAGAATCCAAACACACACAAAAACAGTTAACATCTTAGTAGTGTAAGAATAAAAACATTCCTCCTAAGATCAGGAACGAAACAGAGATGGACTCTTTAACTACTTCTATTCAACATTATACCTAAAGTTCTTGTCAGTGCAATAATGCAAGAAAAAAAGAAATAACACATTTCCAGATTGCTAAAAAGGACACAAAATTGTCTTGATTTGCAGACCACATGATCATGATACCACTTATAGACAAATCTAGGAAATTCAAGCTCATGTGGAATGACAAAATCATATCAGTGGTTTTCTGGAGACATGGAAATAGTCAGGAGAGGATTTGAAGCAAGAGATTACAAAAAGGCAAAAGGAAATTTACAGGGACGACAGGTGTGTTGATTACCTTGATTGTGCTGCTCATTTCATAGCACAATATATAAGTCAAAACTTACCAAATTTTTCACTTTAAATGTGTTTAATATATGCCAATTGTATCTCAATAAAATGGTTTTATAAAAAGCAAAACAAAATATTTTCATAATATGTGTTAGAGTTCATCAGAGAAACAGAAATACATACACACACACACACACACACACACACACACACACACACACACAGAAAAAGAGAGAGAGAGAGATGGAGAAATGGAGAGAGGTTTTAACGCACTAGCTCATGCTACTGTGGAGCTGGCAAGTCTGAATCTGTAAGGCAAGCCAGCAGGCTGAAAACTCAGGATTTTGCTGTTGCAGTTTTGAGGCAGAATTCCTTCTTTGGGAAACCTCAGTGTTTGTTCTTAAGGGTTGCTTGCAGCCCACCTATATTGTGGAAAGTGCTATGATCTGAATGTTTCTGTTTCCCTCAAATTCATTTGTTGAAATCCTAGTCCCTAAAGTGATGGTCTTAGAGGTTGGACCCTTTGAGAAATGATTAGGTTGTCAGGTCAGAGTTTTATGAATGAGATCAGTGGCCTTATAAATGTGGCCCCGGAGAAACCCTCACCCTTCTATCATGTGAGAACATCTGAGAAAATGCTAACTGTGAGCCGGAAAGTGGTTCCTTACCAGAGACTGAATCTGTCAGCACCCTGGTCTTGGACTTTCCAGCCTCCAGAAGTGTAAGAAATAAATTGCTGATGTTAACATGCTACCCACTTTATGGTATTTTGTTGTACCAGCCTGAACAGACCAAGACAGAAGTAAATGTACTTTATGTAAAGTCGACTGACTCTAAATGTTAGTCACATCGAAACAATATCTGCACAGCAATATCTAGACTATTATTTAACCAAACACTAGTCAAATACTAGTTCCTGCCTAGGAACTACCTTGCAGTACTATATGCATTATACACCATATAATACAATCATTCACACACATACACACACATACACTTGTCTCCTCCATAAGGATATAACCTAGAATCACATATATAAATGCTTTTAGCTCTAAGTAAGGAATTTTGAGATGATTTTCATGCCTCTCATCTAGGTCAGATGTGGCTCCCTGATTATCCTGAGACATATGATGAAGTAAATATAGTCACTGAAAAAATCTTCCAAAATATAGAGGTACAGGGAGAACACCATTAAAACTCCAATTTAAAAAACAAGGACAGGCAAAGCAAATACAGTAAATATCTGTATATGGAAGATGTCACATGCTATTTGGCTAGGGTAGGGAAAAATAATCCCTCTTCTGATAATAGTGTGAGTTCTTTAGTTTGGCAATCTGGTAGCACACAGTTCTCTCTGGGATAATTTTATTCGTCATTGACGCAACCCAGAGCATTTTAAGTGAACATAATAAGGGACAGACAGCAATCCATTTCAATGGGCTAAATTATGCAGGCCTAGGAACTATCTTGCGGTTCAAAGAATTTCACAGACTTTTGTAAAAAATTGTTGGGAGTTTCTCTGAATAAATATAACACCCTATTAGGCAGCTAGTCAATTTGATTATAAGAAACACCACAGATTAGAAACTAATTATAGAAATGTAACTCCATAATTGTTGAATCCGGATCATACTTTTGTTTCTTTTTCTAGGCAATAGTCTTCTGTCCTTTCTATCCTTTCCCACAGGCCTCAGAGTAATGACATCCATTAGGGCAACCAAATGAAAACCAAAGGGCAATGTAAAATAACAGGCATGAGTGATGAAGCATAGCTCAACAGTTGCCTCTTAACAAGGATGTGTCCTGTAAAATGGAAACAATTATTACCTTTGCCTTATGAAGTCAAGAGAAGGAGATGATGGAAGGGTGGGGTAAAAAGAATCAGCATTACTCATTTTCTAAATACCCCTGAATCCAAAAACTAATCCCCATTGCATTTGTTGCCTGTCTATTTGCCCTTCACCTTTGAGCAAAATGTTTTATTTTGTTGTGTTTAGTTCTTGGAGGCCAAAGGCTTATCTGATCCTCTGTACTCTAGGATTGCTGCCTTCAGGTAGAAAAGCTCCTATCTTAAGAAAAGAACTACATGTCATCTCTTTTCAAATTCAGGTATGATGCCTGAGATTGAAATGGGTTCTTTTCTATCAGAATTCTTCTAACGTCTGTAAGAAACAATTAACATATTCCACCATCATGTGATTTTTTTATTTAAGTTTTCTACCCTTCTAGGTTTGGTATGTACCTGGTCTAAACTCAACTAACAGTTGGTTTTAATTTAGCCATCTTTTCTTTTAGTGTTAAACAAGTTTTATGAAATTTCTAACCAGAGACAGAGCTTCCTGTCACCTCTCCTCCCAAATGATCTACAGTTCATTTTATTTCAATCAGTTCCTTGTTTCACGGTATGTTACTTTTAACACTGCAATCCTGGTTTAAATTTCTGTATTTTTTGGTAATTATTTGATTTTAAAGCCAACAGAATTTCAACTAAAACTAGCTGATATGAAGAGCATTCAGTAACTCTTTTATCCTGGAAGGTTAAGAATAGATAAACTTTCAGGCTGGTTGGATCCAGAGATGTAACTGATGCTGTGAACTTTCTCTTCCTCTGTGATATGGTCTGGCTGTGTCCTCACCCAAATCACATCTTGAATTGTAGCTTCCATAATCCCCAACTGTCATGGGAGGGACCCAGTAGGAGGTAACTGAATCATGGGGGTGGATTTTTCCCATGCTGTTCTCATGATAGTGAATAAGTGTCATGAGATCTGATGGTTTTATAAAGGGCAGTTCACCTGCACATGCTCTTTTGCCTGCCGCCATGTAAGACATTCCTTTGATCCTCCTTCACCTTCTGCCATGATTGTGAGGCCTCCCAGCCATGTGGAACTGTGAGTCCAAGAAACCTCTTTTCCTTATATCCCAGTCTCGGATAATTCTTCCTAGCAGTATGAACATGGACCAATAAACTCTGCTTCCTTCTAAATACTGGCCTTGTTCTAGCTCACAGTAGCTGATTCCCATGCATATAGCCTCTATCACACATTTGAAGAAAAAGTTATATGAATCATGATATGTTTTAGAGGGGACTTTGTGAGTCAAGTCAAGGAGTCAACATACAGGCAGTAAATTCTTTTGCAGAAGGGGTGGGGGAATGTAGATTAGGAGAGTGTGACAGGTGGGTGGCATAAATAAAGAATAGGGAGAGGGAAAAAAATTGACATGTTTAACAGCTAAAACTGAAGCTGATTCTGTTATTGTGGATACAAAATATTAGCTACTTCTATCTCTCTTAGTGGTGCTGTATAAGGGAAACCTAAAGAGACTGAACCTTTCTCTGATTAATATGGGACATTAATAATGATTAAAACTTGGAGGCAGGCCTTCTCCTTTACTCAATGAAAGTTTCTTCTCTTTTCCTTTTTTTTTGAGACAAAGTCTCACTGCGTGGCCCGGGCTGGAATGAAGTGGTGCTCCAGTGTTGTGACATACAACATTGGATGAATTTTGAAAAAAAATATATACACATTCTCTTATTATTTATTTATTGGGGTATTTTGCATTTTTCACCATTATAAATAATGCCTTCATGTATATGCTTGAATATGCATATATAAATATATGTCTCAAGCCACATCTTTAAGTACCCCCCCAGAACAGATTTCAAAGCATGGATTTGCTAGATAAAAGCACATAAATATTTTAACATCAAAATAATAAAACTGATAAAGAGCATAGTCAATACACACACACTTACATAGTGCATGCATACATATTATGCATATGATATACATATACTACATATATAACATTATATGTAGTATTGCATTAATACATATGTATTGGGTTTTATTTGAATTTCTTTGCTTGGGGTGAGTGGATATCTGTATAATATGCTTATATATGAATTTTATTTGTGTTTGGTATAGGTTTTAAAATT
Organism: Homo sapiens; assembly: GCF_000001405.40. NCBI lineage: Eukaryota > Metazoa > Chordata > Mammalia > Primates > Hominidae > Homo > Homo sapiens. The sequence continues at coordinate 122,189,348 of NC_000008.11, read as the reverse complement.
ATAAAACAAATTACATAAAATACATTTTCAATATTGTTGAAAGCATTTTGTCAGTCTGGGTCAAGAGTTTTAAAATGTTATCATTTTTAATTTGGCTTTACTGCACCTCCAGCCTGGGTGACAGAGTGAGACTTTGTCTCAAAAAAGAAAAAAAGAAAATTAAAAATTTTGAGGTCAATATCCTGATATGTACATTTTATCAATAAGTAAAATATACTAACCCTTTTTGTACATTTTTTTATGTCTTGGGAAAATAAAATATTTAAAAATGTGTAATTTCTACCCACATCCCCAAATTCTCCTTCCATCACCCTGACCTATATGTAATATTTATAATGTACCATACATATTCTCTGTCACTTCCAGTAAAAGAGAAAAAAGAGGGAGAGAAGCCATATGCATTAAAATTTTTATAACAGTTAATTCTGAGTAGTTTGGGCTTTGGGTAATTACAATTACTTTTTTTACCCTTTTCTTTTTAAATTTTCAATTCTATTTTATAATCAACAGAAGTAAATAAACTAAAAAAAATTCCAAAGGCTCAGAGAAGTAGGTTAGCTGGGCCCTTCTCTGGCAGGCGGGCACAGCAGATGTGCTGAATGGACATGCCTCCAGTGTGCTGAGAAATGGTAGGAAAGATTGTGCACGCCTCTGGGCCATTCTTGGACAGTCTTATAGGGACCTCCTTTAGCTCAAAACTACATGTTGTAGAAGTAAGGTCTGGATTCCCAGGAATAACAATCCAACTGATGGCACATGCAGCCAACCCCACCCCATGGCTGAGAGATGAGAGCCATGCACTGTAAGCTTGCAAGATAGAGGTGGAGAGTACTTGTAGATTGTCTCACTTCAGTGGTTTTGAACAGTGTTAACAATCCTGTCTAGAACAGTATATTTTGTGGTCAATATCTTTCCTTTTTATGATTGTTTTACCTTTATCCATTAAGAAAAGTGTGGCAGAGCTCTGCTCTCTTCGTGACACTCACAATGTATAGGCAGTAATATGGAAAAGCAGAGTCTGGGTTGGGCCCCAGTGGCTGCCATATGCTGCAGTCTGATATTTCCCGAGAAGTCCCTTGGGGTGGAGTAATGAGTGAGTGTTTCGGATGTTAGTGAATGGGAAACAACAGAAAACTTATGAGCAAGCTTGTAAAAAAAACCTCAGCCACTGGGATGAGATTCAATAAAATAAGGCTAAAATTTCTTTTCTGGGAAAAGAAGAAAATAATCTTTCATTGGACTTAAAAGTAAAGATTTTATTTAGACAGGCAAAGAACATTGCCTGTTTTTTCACTATTTTGATTAGAATGATAATACCTGGTGTGTTTAGCTTCTGGGCTGTAGTGAGCATCACACAGAGCTTCCCAGCCTGAGCATTGCCTAAATATTATTTGATAACAGGGAGAGATTTAGGTGTTCAAAGATAGGTCATACCTGATTTACAAATGTAATAAATTATGAGACAGCATCATTTACAAAACAAAAACAGAAAGTGACAGAGAGAAATGTTGAACATAATCCCATAGTCCCATAGCATTCCATTCAATTAGTTCTGTTAGACATTCATGACTGACTCAGCACACAACAATTTAAGTAGGGCAGAGGGGATGTGGAAAGAACTGCAAGAAACAGGACAAAGATGATTTAAAACATTGAAAACAGCCTAAAAGGATCTATCTTAGATATCTGCTGGTAGTATGACTGAACCTATCAGGGTATATGAGTGTTCTCACCTGTGAAAGAAAAAGTTGAAATGAATGGTGGGCTTTTCTGGCATGAAATTCATATCAGAATTGATGACTTAATCACTTCCCCAAATGCCTCACCTCTTAATACCACCACAATAGGGCTTAAGTTTTTACACATATATTTTACACATATATTTTAGTTTTCAGATCTTAGAAAAACTAGTAGACTTTCAACAGCAAAATGATTGCTTTAGATGATATATTCATAGAAATGCATATAAAACTAAAGGTTTTCAGAATGCGGTGGAAAGAGAACCAGCTTGACACACCTGGTGGTAATTGAGAAAACTGAACATGAAGAATTTTCTTGCCCAACTCACTGGTTTTATCTATTGGAATCTGTTGGAATATCTTGAGACCTGCTATGGAAGTGAAAATTCTATTTTAGCCAGAAAAAAGTCATCTTATTAACCCAGGGTGTTCACAGACCATTGAATTGAGCTCCTTTCTAATCTTAAGCCCCTTTGTTGGTATAATACAAGGCTACCTTTTCCAAAATTCTATTATAATATTAGGAGGATTAATCTTCCAGCTGGAGACTGTCTCCCTTTTCCTTTTTACCAAAAGGCAGGGATAAAAATAAGCAATAAAAGTAAGTAGATAGGCCGGGCGCGGTGGCTCACACCTGTAATCCCAGCACTTCAGGAGGCCAAGGCGGGTGGATCCCCTGAGGTCAGGAGTTGGATACCAGCCTGACCAATATGATGAAACCCCATCTCTACTAAAAATGCAAAAATTACCCAGGCTTGGTGGCATGCGCCTGTAATCCCAGCTACTTGGGAGGCTGAGACAGGATAATCGCTTGAACCCAGGAGGCGGAGGTTGCAGTGAGCCGAGATCACGCCATTGCACTCCAGAGTGGACAACAAGAGCAAAACTCTGTCTCAAAGAGAAAAAAAGTAAGCAGATAATGCACACCTTTATCTAAAAGCCTGTCTTTTCAAAGAATATAATCATTTCCAATAATTATACCTGAATGCTGGAAAAGTTTGAGATAGTTCTATAGCCGGGTCACTAACTGATTGATAGTTCATCAACTTTTTCAGTGTATCCCATAACTTCATAATTAACAAATTCAAACTAGAAATAATTTCTTTCCCATATTTGTTCCTGTTTTTAATATTCCTTTCTTTGTGATGTGGGACTACGTTATAAGCCGTGTCACCTTTGACTGTCTTCTAAATAAATCTCTTATTAGCCTGCACAAGGCAACATGAAGCCTCCTGTGTCAGTTTATCCCTGATGACATATTGCAATAATGTTTTTACTGGATGGTCTATGTAAAATCTTACTCCATCTCACTCCAATCATCTACCGCAATCTGGAATATATTCTATTCCCACAATCAAAATTATTTATTACTTTCCTTTTGAATCCACTTTTCCAACTTCATGTGGCAAAAATCGGGTCAAAAATTGCCTATTCTGTAAAACTTTCTGAACACCATCCTACCTCCTTTAATTCCTATTTCTACTGGTACAATGCAAACTAACCAATGCAATACTTTTCCTCTCTATACCCAAACAACCAGCTCATCTAAATTCATCAAGTTTACCCAAGTCTGTATCTCAGTCTACTTATGGGGTCTGCAGCAATTCATGTGAGTTGGATTGGCAAGGCTAAAGTGAAGGGTGTGGAACTTTGATTTGAGGACATCAGCACTTTCACATCTTTCTTCTTCCCCTGGCTTTCCCCAGTTCTGTCTCTGAGATCTCTCTGCATCAAAGCTTCTCTGTTCTTGGCAGGGCCAGACGTAGTGCTTTGCACTGAATCTCTGGTCTGTCTTTCTGCCAGCAGAGGGGCTCCTCACTCTGTGTGTTTCAAGGGTTTCAAGATCCAGCCTCAGGGAGCTGGGCAGAAACTAGTGAATGTTTCCTAATTAGCTGTTACAATAGCAAAAGAAAAGCTGGCCAACTGACCTTTTGCAGAAATCTTTATACACAGTTAAAACCATCTAGATTAAAAAAACATTATAAATTGTCTAAATAATTAAAATGAACAACTTTTTATTTGTAAAAATATGGAAATATGGCAAAATTTTTAATCAGCAAAATTTGGAGACAATCCTAAAATAAAAATGCTAAACTGTTGACTTTCTTCTTTGCGTGGGAAAACCAGAGCCCACCAGGGCAGACAACATGTATGCTGATGGTAGAGCTGGGGAAGAACAACTGATTACAAATCTACTTACTTTTCTAGTGTAATGCGTTGTCCATGTTGCTTCTTACAGCTGCAAAATATAAGAGAAGACAATTTTTAGATAACCAGAAATGAATAATTTCTAAATTGGCAGCACAGTGGATGAAGCCTTAAAATAAAGCAAAGTTGAGATAAATGAGAGAACAGAAACAGAACTCATGGGTCATCTGTCAGATTTACTTACTTTATAGATTAGAAATAAATTAATACATATTAATTTGAATGTCAAAAGAGTGACTTTTCCAAGGCCAAATACTAAATTTCTACAGTTAGTTTCTCTCCGTTTATCTCTCTCTCTCTCATCCTCTGCCTCTACTCCATCTAGGATGTCAAGGTTCTCTTAGACCTGACCTGAGTGGTGAATATCTACTTATCTTCCATAATTTGCCTAACATCTAAGTTAATGCTGCCAATAGCAAGCTGGTTTTGGGCGCCAGATGTGTTCTATGCCAATGAAGTTTAGGATGTTGCCATATAAAGCTGCCCTTTTTCCATTGCCTCATATTTCCTCATTATCTTCCTCACTTCAAAATCAGGGAAAGGTAAGCAACAATAATGATATTTATATTCATTTTATTGTTATGTAACAACTATGTGGTAAGTGCTTGAAATGTCCTAGCAAGGCGGTAAGTCATATGGAGTCCCCAAAAGAATCAGCAGGCAAAGGACATCCTAAGCCCACAAAAAGCCTCAGTTTTCAGACCAAAAAGCTACCTACACCATGGGAATTTCCACCACACTTTAGGCAGAGCTGTATGATACAGTCTCTAGTTTTCAGTATTGGGTTTTTTAAGAGCCTTAGGATAATCACTAAAGTTAAGGATGATATCTGAATCATGGTTGAAAAATGTTGAAACTCAAAACTTATTTTCAACATAAGAAAAATTAGCCCAGGGAACACATTACAACCAAGGGGGCCTGAGGCCCGGTAGTAAGTCATGGTCATGTTCAAGTCTTGCTATGTCGATTTGACTTTATACAATACTATTAAAATCATGTGATTTCAAAGAAAACTCTGTTATTGGAATGTTGCTGAAATAATGATGGAGAGTTAAACATGCATGGCAAGTGCTGTGTGCTGATTCCGCAAGGGCTTCTTCCTTTATGTAGATATTTAAAGGACCTTTATGTAGATATTTAAAGGACCTGAAGCTTGTCCCCTTTTTAGTATCAGTTTCTCCAGTTCTTCCTGCCACTACAGACTCTGATAAAATGCATGGGAACTTGATCTGTTCTGTGTCTCTAGTGATATCAGCGTGTTAAAGGAAGTAGCCTACCATGAACAATGCAAGCTAGGTACAGAAGCCCAAATTAGCTGTTGAGTTTATTTGTTGCAGAATTTTGAGCTTGTTTAGATGACTTAGTCTATGACATTGATTTTACATATTGTAAAATTTAAAGGTACAGAGTATAAATGACTACCTCAGGGAGAAATAGAAGTGTTAATTTTTGCTTGTCTATTGTGTGTTAAATACTAATCTGACCATTTTGAACATTTGTTTAACTTATTTTAGAAAGTAGTATTATTTTCTTCATTTTAAGGGTACAAAAGGAAGAATTTGGAAGTTTAAATAACTTGTCCAGCGTCACATGGCTTACAAATGTCAGGGCCATGTCTGGAAGTCAGATCTATTTTATTTAGTAGTTATTTTCTTACTATTGTACAAAAAGCTTGACAAATTGAACATTCCTTTATAATGGGTGTACCAAGTGCTTCAGGAAATCTGCTAACATTTTATTCAAAGGGCGTTGCTCCTAAGAGTAAATAAAGCTACAAAGCCTTCCATAATTCTCTATTCCAAATATTTCTGTTAGTGAAATCAATGTTCTGAGATCGTGATTGAGGCAGCACATGCAAAGTAAGGTCATAATAATAAAATTCCACTTTTACCTGAGATGCTGGGCTTCTGCATCATATTATATTGAAGGACTACTACTGTCGTCTGAACCAAAAAAGAAAAAACAATTTGAAAGGAAGAAAGAATGAAAAAGAGGAATAAAGAAAATGAAAAAATGTTTCATACCCCTCACGATTCTAGACAGACTTGGCTAGTGGGTGGAAGTATAACTAAGAATAAAAATTTGATTTCCTGATTTTCTTTCCTGTGATCATTCCTTTGTAACATATTACTTCCCTCAATTACCAAATTCCAGAAGTTAGAAATTGATTCTCATTTTAGAATTTATTTTTCTAATTTAATATACTCGATGCTTTTTTCTCCAAAATAAGTTTATTCAAAACAAATTACCAGTTACAGCAATTACTATGCCATAGCTGTAAAAACTAAAAGAAAATCTAAAAATTAAAGAAAAAAAATCCCCACAACATTACAGCAACAATGTCAACAAAGGAAAACTAGGTTTTCTAACAACAGGGAAAATCAAGTTTAATTTCTAAGAACTTTAAAGTTCTTTAGATTTTAGATTTTAAGTTGCAGAAATAAAAGAGAACAGGTTGATTCGGACACACTATCCAGACATAAAGACAGTAGTGAAAGACAGAGATGCTATAAAGTCCCTAGAACTAGTATTGTTCCCTCAGAGTCTAGCAACCCAGGGGATTCATAGATAGGCTTCAGGGAATTTGTGAACAAAGTATTTGTATCAGATGGATATGTGTGTGCATGCTTATACCTATATACAAGGATACATATATTTTTCAGAACAAGAGAGCTCATGGTTTTATTCAGACTTCCAAAGGAATTCATGGTAATTGTTTTTATAGATTTTTAATTCAGAACACCAATGTGCTCTAAGTCCTCTTCTCAGACTGAATTCTGTAACTTGCAGATGACCTTTTTTTTAATTTTTCCAGAATAAAAATATGAATGTTGATATTATTGAGAGTAAAGTATATTTTAGTGAAAACCACAAAGGGTTAGAGATGCCTGTTAAACCTTTAGAAGAACATGAAAGAGATGGATTAGATGAAGGAAAAATATATATACCCTGAATTAAACAAGTCTAAAATATTTGCAGACGGTAGCCTGGTTTGAGCCAATCCTATATTTGCCTGAAAGCAGCCCATTTGGCTGATAATTATGAATCATCTTTTGCTAATCACACATTGTTTCAAGTGTAAGCCTTATCCTCATAGTAGTGGGTCAATAAACATAGTCTTATTAAACTCAAGAATATAATCTTTAGCCCCTAATATTATTAGCATAACACATCTTCGCTATTTCCTTTTTTAAATAAATAAATGATAAAAAGGAATCCAACTTCAAAAATAGGAAAGGCTTTCTCTGGTACCCTGATAGAAGGCTTACCCTACTAAAGGATTGCAGTGAAAGTAGATTCCTCAGTAGCCATTCCTTCCTTGGACTCTGGATTCTCAGGCTAAAATATTATTCCTTTGAGAACTCTATTGATTCTTCTGTATGATTGCTATTAATACCTCTATTTCCCAAAACATATGTATAGAAAGCTATTTTTATGTTTGGAAATAAATATAATTTGATTTTAATTTTAGATTTGTTTTTCCTCAGTGCATGACCAACCTGAGACCTTACATTTCCAAGTCAGGATGAGAATTATAGAATATTTTGATCTTATTTTCTTCGTCGGCTCTGTGGGGTTAATGCTCAAAATATCTCTAATTTTCCTTTGTTTATTTCATTCTGTTAATAGAAGATTGTACATTATTCTGATAAAAGTTAAAAATAGTAAACCCATATTTATTTGAATTTAGACAAGTACATACTTTTTATTAACATATTCAATGGAATGGATCAATAGCTGTAACATTGACAGGCACTGTGACAAAATGGCTGGAAGGCACAAAGTGAATTTTAGGTAAGGGTGCCATTTCAGAGGTGTTTTTTATATCAAATCACCAGGTCCATCACCCATCTTACCTTATAAAAGCTACAATCCTCCCCAATATACCTACCTAAATCACCAGCCACTCTTGAGAAAGAAAATGCATATAAAATTGTAAGGACTCTCTTAACGATTCCTGTCCTCAAACATTCTTGGGAACGCAACTTTTTCCTGGGTGGTAAGCCAGATTAAAAACTAAAGTTCTGGGAAAAGGGCAGAATTTATATGAAGATTGGCAAGTAGTGGAGTCCACCATCACGCAGGGGCCAAAACTGGAGAGTAAATACTGAAGAGCAAATGACAAGTGAGGGAGTAAAGCTAGTGGGTACAGAGATTACTTGATTGAAAGTCCCATGGGGTCAGAGCCTATTTCTTGCACTGGTTTTGAACACTTGTATTATCCTCTTTTCTATAGATTGCTCTCAGTGCTTTACTCAAAGAAGATGTTCAAAGTATATCAGCTGTATGTTGTTTCCTTAAGGTAACAGCTCAGTCAATGATTAAAGGCATCTCCACCAGTGATTTCAAAGTACAGTCATTCCTGTGATGAGATTTTGGTGACTCACTGTAAAACTCCAGGGTGAAATTATGCTTCCAATATAATATCAGTCTTCATCTGCTTTTTCCATGGAGACATTCAATGTTTTGAGTTTATGCTCTGCATGGCTGACACTGAGATCCATGTATACTCTGCTTTGCCGAACTTTCTAGAGCAGGTGCTATTAATTATGTTGCACAAACATGTCAAATTATATGTGGTCATTTTGTAATGAAAAATAAATGATAGGGATTTAACTAAAACCATAAATTATTCAATACATTTTATCTCTGAGAGTCACCAGAGGCATTTTTTTTTTTTCGCCAGCAATGGTTTGCTTTCAGCTGAAAGTAGAATCAAGGCAAGTGCCCATTTTTAGCAAAAAGCAAAATTGTAATCAGTCCCATAACAAGTCATATTGGACACAGATATTGGCAAGAAGATCCCAAAAATTTACTTAGTGACATGTGAACATGTCACCAAACATGTACTGTAGTTATGAAATTAAACGTTAGTTTTTTCTTCAGCACCTAAAAGAAATGAGGGTTTCACATGAGCATTAGAGATTGTTCAACTAAAAAAATAAAATTGAGACTATTTTAATTACTCTAATACTTGCTTAAATAATTTTTTCACAGCATGTATGTTTGACTGTGACAATTCCTGTTTGGAAAACAGCCATGTGGACAAAGTGATAAATGTGTCAGGAAATAATGGGTTAAGATTTGGCATTATAAAAGCCATAATCTTGCCCTAGTGTATTTCACAGCACAGCGAGAAAGGAAAATAAATCAATACATATAAATCTATAATATGATATGTTTCATAAAGCATAAATTCAGTGAGATCTTAGATGAAAGGGGAAAAAGAAAAGTCAGTGATATATAAGCAACTTCAGATTCTATATTAGGGGAAGTGAATAGGGTTAGAGATAAAGTGAAAGATGATGGCTTCATTGGGTAGAGATTATGAAAACATATTAAGAAATTGTGGCTCTAATCTCTAATGAGTCTTTTATTTGACTGTAGGGTAGTGTAAGGGTAGGGGGTGAACACAAACTTACTACATAGGTGCACTAAGAATTGTCCATAAACTGTTGCATAATGTTATAACCCATTTGGGCTGTTACAAAAAAATGCCATAGACTGGGTAGTTTCTCAGCAACTGAAATTTATTCCTCACTGTTCTAGAGGCTGGGAAGTCCAAGATCAAGGCTCCAGAAGATTCAGTGTCTTGTGAGGGTTCACTTCCCATAGATGGTGCCTTCTTGCTGTATATGGGGAAAGGGGTGAGCAAGCTCTCTTGGCCCTCTTTCATAAGGGAACTTATCCCTTATCAAAGGGCTCCAAGGGGGATCCACCATTTGACATAATCACCCATCAGAAGATCCCACTTCCTAATACCAGAACATGTTGGTGATTAGGTTTCAACATATGAATTTTGAGGGAACACAAGTATATAGACCATAACACACACACATATCTGTTTCACTATTTCTCAAATATGTGTAGATGCCTCTGGGTTTAGTGCAGATTTATTAAATAATCCATCGTTGCTTTCATTTTTATTTTATCAATACTTATTTTCTCAATGAATAGAAACAATGACTGGTCAGTAAAATGAGGGAGGTCTGGAAATTATTGATGTATATGATAGTTGACATCTGTTAACTACTTAAAGTAAGTGCTATTTGTGCTAAACATTTGTCACCTATTAACCTAAAATCAATAAGTTTGCAAATAGCAGTTCTGGATATTGGTAAACTACCTAATAATATGAAGAAATATAATTAAGTAATGAGGTTTGTGCTTTAGAAAGATAATTTATGTAAAAGTTGGCAGTAGGAAAAGTATGTAAGGACAATATCTAAATCTAAGCACGAGGATTCGAAAGCTTAATTTGTGAGACCAACAGCAGAGTTAGATATGGGAGGACTGGAATGAGAATGTTTGAGAGATTTTGTGATTCAATCATTATGGTAGAGATGGCAAATGAAGCCATGGATAGATGTAAATAGTACTTGAACTTACATGATACAATGATGACAGTGACATGAGAAGGGAGGCAAAGGTAGATGAGAATGAGTTGGTGTAATACTAACATTTGTGTAGGCTAAACTCTTTTCCCCATCTGTATTGTGTATATTCTTCTGGCATCTTCAGCTGATTAAAACCATTGAATCTCAGAATGAGATTGGAACTTAAGGAGCTTCAAATCTGTTTTTAATGTTAAACTTACTGGCTCTGTGAAGCAAGTAACATAAGGCCACCCCCTCTTCAAAATGATAGGCTACAGGAGTTTGAAGACTGATTCTTGTTTCATCTTCTCTTCTTCAGCCTAAAATTTCTTCTATTCTTAACCTATCTGTACTTTGAACACATTCACCACCTGAAACACTATTTTATAAAGGAGTGTCTGATATCTTGAGATGCGTTTGGTCTGAGGATAGGAATATTTAAGGAATATTTCCTACACCATCGTATAAAGTCGAATTGCTTTTTCATTTTTAATTCTTTTTGGACTTGAAATAAAATGCTTAAACATTAAAGTGCATATAAAATAGAAATTAAGGCCGGGTGTGGTGGCTCACCTGTAATCCTAGCACTCTGAGAGGCCAAGGCAGGTGGATCATGAGGTCAGGAGTTTGAGGCCAGCCTGGCCAAAATAGTGAAACCCCATCTCTACTAAAAATACAAAAAAAAATTGCTGGGTGTGGTGGTGGGAGCCTGAAATCCCAGCTACTCAGGAGGCTGAGCCAGGAGAATGGTTTGAACCCGGGAGGTGGAGGTTGCATTGTGCCATTGTACTCCAGCCAGGGCAACAGTGCAAGACTCCATCTCAAAAAAAAAAAAAAAAAATTGAAATTAAAATGACCTGTAATTACCACTAAGAGATACTTTGTTGTGTTTCCCTTATCATCTTTAATGATAAGGGAAATGTGTGTCTGTGTATAATTTATTTCACAGATGCTTTTGCTTACTTATGATTCAGATAGATTGAATTTGTTTGTTTTTGTGGGGGGACAGGGGTTTCTTTTTTTTTTTTTTTTTTTTTTTTTGAGACGGAGTCTCGCTCTGTCGCCCAGGCTGGAGTGCAGTGGTGGGATCTCGGCTCACTGCAAGCTCCGCCTCCTGGGTTCATGCCATTCTCCTGCCTCAGCCTCCCAAGTAGCTGGGACTACAGGCGCCCGCCACTACGCCCGGCTAATTTTTTGTATTTTTAGTAGAGACGGGGTTTCACCGTTTTAGCCGGGATGGTCTCGATCTCCTGACCTCGTGATCCGCCCGCCTCGGCCTCCCAAAGGGACAGGGGTTTCTTAACTCAGTTTTCAATTAGGCCTTTTTCACGTGTTCTTTCATTTGTTGTTTGCTCTTCCCTGGGCCTTCATATGACAGTGTCATTCTTATTTAGTTATTAGCTCAAAGTTACAACATCAATGAACCACGGTAGAAATATGGCACAAAAAGGCTGAAGTTCTTAGTCAGTAGAATATATACCTCCTGGCACAGCAAAACATGCCAGGAAGTGAGGGGATAATCCTATAAAATGAAGGACTAGAGAAAGGGAGTCCCATGTTTCGCATGTAAATTCTGCCCCAGTCCCTGGTTGATCTCTACAACATGTTTTCGAGGAACAGACACTAACAACTTCAACTAAAAGCAAAAGAAATGCACACTACAGCACAAAGTAAAGTGGGTATAGGTAAATGGACATATTTGATTGGAAGATCGCATGATTTTTTGTGAAGTGGTACAATATTGACTGGAATTACACAGGGGAAGGTTGACTTCTAAAAATAAGGAATACATTTTATTAATATATTAATATATCTATCAATATTATTAATAATCCAAAAGGTAAATTAATCTAGGCTTTTAAAAATCTTTCAAATAATTCAAAAGAAGTCAAGAAAGGGGACCAGAAGAACAGCAACATCAAATCAAAGCAAAACAGTAGATGAGCAAAGAGAAAACAAATGTTAAATTGAAAGGCCTAAATATACTCATACAAATAATTATATTAAATATTATTGGAATGAACATTATGATTAAAAGTCAGATATTTCCAAAATGGATAATAAAGACATATCGATATGCTGTTAACAAGAGACATATTTTAAATATAGACATGGCTGTGCTAAATGGATGGATAAAGACATACGATGCAAGTACTTATCCTAAGAAAACTGGAGTGGCATCTCCAGGCAAGAAGTATTACCAGAGATGAAGAGAGATATTTCATAATGATTAAAGGGTCAATTCACTTGGCAGACTTGAGAGTTATAAGTATGTATGTATGAAATAATAGAGCTCAAAAAAATCAAGCAAAATGTGGCAGTTATCCAAAAAAAATTTAAATCAAAATATAGTACATTTTAACACTTATGTCTTTGCAAAAAATCAACAAAAAATTAGTAAAGAAACACATAATCTCAACAACCTTCTCAACCACCTAATTAATGATGCCCTGTACCCTACAATTTCAAATTAGAAATTCTTTTCAATTGTATAGGATAAGTTCACTAAAATGGACCATATCCTGGACACAAAACCAGTTCAAATAAATGTAAAAGATGTTCAATCAATAACAGAAATAAGTTAAACATTAGTAGATATTAGATATTTGAGAAAACTCTTTTTTTTTCAAATTGAGCAAATAATTTCAAAGATTTCCTGGGTCAGAAAACAAACTACAATATGATATTAAAAACAGGATAAGAATCCAAATACAAATATCAAAATTTGTGGAATGCAGCTAAAACAGTGCTTAGAGATAGTAGTTATAAATTCTTATATAGGAAGTAAGGCGATTTTAAGTCAGAGACTTTAGGTTAGAAGAAGTTTTGAAGCTAGCAAAGAAGAGCAAAATAAATTCAAAGTAGAGGAAAGCAATGATAAAGAAAAGAGCAGAAAACAACAAAATAAAAAGCAGATATAAAATATACAAAATTGGCCAAGTGTGGTGGCTCACACCTGTAATCCCAGCACTTTGGGAGGCCGAGACAGGAGGATCATGAGGTCAGGAGTTCAAGACCAGCCTGGCCAACATGATGACACCCTGTCTCTACTAAAAATACAAAAAATTAGTGTGTGGAGGCAGGCAACTGTAATCCCAGCTACTCGGGAGGCTGAGGAAGGAGACTCACTTGAACCCAGGAGGCGGAAGTTGCAGTGAGCTGAGATTGTGCCACTGCTCTCCAGCCTGGGCAACAGTGCGAGACGCCATCTCAAAAATAATAATAATAAAATAAAATATACAAAATTAATAAAAGTCAAAAGCTGGCTTTTTGAAAAGAATGATAAAATTTAAAAACCTTAGGCTGGACTCAGTGGCTCACACCTGTAATCCCAGCACTTTGGGAGGCTGAGGTGGGCGGGTCACCTGAGGTCAGGAGTTCAAGCACAGCCTGGCCAACATGGTGAAACCCTGTCTCTACTAAAATACAAAAATTAGCCGGGCTTGGTGGCGGGCACCTGTAATCCAGCTATTCAGGAGGCTGAAGCAGAAGAATCGCTTGAACCCAGGAAGCGGAGGTTGCAGTGAGCAGGGGTCATGCCATTGCACTCCGGCCTGGGAGACAAAAGCAAAACTCTGTCTCAAAAAAACAAAAACAAAAACAAAACAAAACAAAACAAAACAAAAAACTGTAATCCCAGCACTTTGGGAGGCCGAGGCGGGCGAATCACAAGGTCAGGAGATCGAGACCATCTTGGCTAACGTGGTGAAACCCCGTCTCTACTAAAAATACAAAAAATAAGCCCGGTGTGGTGGTAGGCACCTGTGGTCCCAGCTACTCGGGAGGCTGAGGCAGGAGAATGGTGTTAACCCGGGAGGCGGAGCTTGCAATGAGCGGAGATCGTGCCACTGCACTCCAGCCTGGGTGACAGAGCAAGACTCGGTCTCACAAAAAAAAAAAAAAAAATTAAAAACCTTATCTAGACTACCAAGAAAAAAGAGAAAAAACAAAGCACCTATATTAACAATGAAAGAGAATTTATTACTACACGTATTACAAATATTAGAAAGCTAACAAATCATTATGAAGAACTTTTTACCAACAATGTTAGCAATCTAGAGGAAATTAGTAAATTCTTTAATGTACACAATTTACCAAAATTGATATTTAATAAAAATATGAAGAGCTTTATCTCTATTTAAGAATTGTATTCTATATAAAATACTTTTCCCAAAGGAAAATACTAGGGTCAAATTGTTTCACTGGTGAATTTAAGAAATGCACAATGCTGATCTTCCACAATTTTCTTCAAAAAATACAGGAAAAAGAAACACTGTGAGGCCAGATACCAAATAGTAATACAAGAACATGTAAAGGCATGGCAAAAGAAAAGGACAGCCCAATATTCTTGATAAAAATACATGTAAAAATCCTTAACAAAGTATCAGTGACTCAAATTCAACAACATATAAAAAGAACAATATACCATGACCAATTAAGGGTTCCTCACAACATATAAAGTTATCTTTACAATTTTGTGGGACAATAAACATTAAGTCTACAGCAGCTTATGATAAATTTAATAGATCTGGATAAAGCATTTACAAAATCAACCATATTTATTGATTAAAAACTCTGGAAATTAAGTATGGGGGGAGTTTTCTCAGTCTGATAAAGGGCATCTATAATAAACCCAAAGCAAATGTTACACTTAATGAAAAAATATTAAGTACTTTCTCCCTAAAATTGTGGAAAAGATAAAAATGCTCTATCATACTACTATTATGCAACATTTACTGGAAATCTTAATTAGTGCAATAGGCAAATTTTTTTTAAGTAAGTATTTAAGGTAAGATAAGATTATAGAGTTTGAAACGAAATAAACAAAAATGTATGTTTGCACTTGACACAACTGTGTATATAAAAAAATCCCAGGAATCATGAAGAATTAATAAGTATATTTAGCAGGGTCAACCTGTAAGTTTATTTTTTAAATAGCTGTATTTATATATACATATTGTAATAACAAAAAAATTGAAAAGTGATATAAAATGTGTTCTATTTCAATAGCATCAAAATAAAAACATACTTAGAAACAAATACAACAAAAAATGTAACTTTTGCTCAGAAAACTATAAAATATTGCTGGGAAAAATTAAAGAAGACCTAAATAATTAGAAAAATATATATTATATTGGAAGACTCAGTATTGTTGAAGAGCCAATCTTCCACAAATTGATCTATAGCTTTGGTATAACCCCCACAAAATTTGCAGGTTTCGTATTTGTAGAAATTGAAGCTTATTCTAAAATTTATCTGGAAATGTAGATGATCTAAAATAACCAAAATAATTTTAAAAATTAACAGATACTATGAGATTTCAAGGCTTACTATACATGTATAGGAATTAATATGAAGTAATAGACATATAAGTATGCTTATATGTGTGTGTGTACGTGTGTTGGGAGGTGGGTGTAAATGGAAGAGAAAAAGGTCTAGAAATAAAGCCACACATATGAAGTCAATTGATTTTCAACAAAGGTGTTAAGACCATCAAAAGGGGAGAGATAAAATCACTTTTTTCAACAAATGGTGCTATAAATTTGGATATTTGTATGAAAAACGTTGATCAACCACTACCTAACACCACACACAAAAATTCACTTAAAATAGACCATGGACCTGACTATGGAAGGCAGAACTGTAAAACTTCTAGAATAAATTATAAAGGAAAAACTTTGCAGAGTTTTCATAGATAGGAAGCAAAAAGCACAAGCCGTAAAAGAAAATAAACATGGAAAAATGAAATTTCTCAATATTAAAAGTGGCTATTCTTTCAAAGACTTGTTAAGAAAACTTAAAGACAAGCCACTGTCTCAGAGAAGATGCATTTGCGATACACACATCTACAAAGATTTTGTAGCTAGAATATATGGAGAACTTTTACAACTCAAATACTAGAAGGTAAACCACCCAATTAAAAGGAAAAAAGATTTGAATGGTGATTTCATGAAAAAACAGAGGCAAATAATCATAAGTACATACAATTATACTTAATATCATTCATCAAAAAATACACAAAGTCCAAATGACAATGCTGCACTACCACACACACAGGAGAGACATACCTAAATCAGTATTTCACAAATAACAAGTGACAAAAATGGCCAAAATGAAAAAAGGCTTATTTTTTTGTTTGCGTGTGTGACAGAGTTTAGCCCTTGTTGCCCAGACTGGAGGGCAATGGCGTGATCTCGGCTCACCGCAACCTCCGCCTCCCAGGTTCAAGCTATTCTCCTGCCTTGGCCTCTCGAGTAGCTGGGATTACAGGCATGCACCACCACGCCCAGCTAATTTTGTATTTTTAGTAGAGACAGGGTTTCTCCACGTTGGTCAGGCTGGTCTCAAACTCCCAACCTCAGGTGATCCTCCTGCCTCAGCCTCCCAAAGTGCTGGGATTACAGGCGTGAGCCGCTGCACCCAGCCAAGGCTGATAATTGTAAGTGTTGACAGGATATGGAGAAACTGGGACTCTCAAACATTGCCAGTAAAAATGTAAAATGTTAAATTACACAGCCACTTTGAATAACAGTTTAGAAGTTGATTTTTTAAAAATTAAACCTACAACTACATTACAACCCAACCATTTCTCCTACAGGCATTTCCCTAAGAGAAAGGAAAACCTATGTACATAAGTATTTACATAGAGCAGCTTATTCATACTGCTGCTAAACTGGGGAAGACCTAAAATTCTATCAACAGTGAATAAATATATTATGGTATATCCATACAGTAGAATACCACTTGGCAATAAAAGTGCAAAAAAGCTACTGACACATACTACAACATGATAAATATACATTCTATGTGATTCTATTTATATAAGTGTCTAAAAAAATGTAATACTATTATATCTATGCCCAGAAAAAAATCAGTCAATCTTGGGGAAGAGAGATTGATTTCAAAGAGGCACAAGGAAAATTTAAGGGGTGATACACATAATCTGTAGCATGACTGTGGTGGTAATTTCCCAGATGTAACTCATAAAATTGTATGCTTTAAATGAATATGGTTTATTATATGCAAACTATATTTCAATGAAATTGATTTTAAAAATCACTGCATCAGATAGCATAGACTTGAAATCCATTTCTAAAGTATACAACAACCCTTTCTCCATAAGATTTTTCTTCATGATAATTTTATCTGTTGTTCATCAAAATTACTCCAAACACAGTGTCAGGCATGTAGGTACCTTTTTTTTTTTTTTTTTTTTTTTGAGATGGAGTTTCATTCCTGTTGCCCAAGCTGGAGTAAAATGGCACGATCTCAGCTCACTGCACCACCACACCGGGCTAATTTTTGTATTTTTAGTAGACATGGGGTTTCACCATTTTGGTCAGGCTGGTCTTGAACTCCTGACCTCAGATTATCTGCCTGCCTTGGCCTCCCACAGTGCCGGAATTACAGGTGTGAGCCACCACACCCAGCCCAGCATGTATGTACTTTTTACAGAATTAGGCTAAGTTATATTTACAACTTTCTATCTCAGATTTTTTAACATTATAGGGAAAGTATTTGTCAAGCAGTCAGATATTCAATTTATAATTGTACAAGTCATATAATCATTAAATATTTTCTCATGTTGAATATTTAGATGCTTTCAATTGCTTTCTATTAAAATACCACTTTATGTGAAGAGCCTTACAATTAAAATGTTGATGGCCCCATGACCATTTTTAATACAAACTTTTAGAGGCAGAATTATTTACATAAAGGTCATAGATATTTTAGGGCTTGTAATATATATTACTAAATTCATTTGCGGATTAAAAAGACAGTTTGCATTCAGTTCTGCATATCTATGGCAGAATCTTCTATACCTACCACATAACTATTTTTAATTCTAAACAGAAGTGTGTATGATATCCTGCTATCAAAATTCTTCCTGTAGAATACTTCTTCAAAAAAAAAAAAAAAAAAAGACAAACACCACTTTCTAAATTTTAATGGAAAAATGCAGTGGAAGTTATGTCCTGGTTGTAGAATGAGCTGCACTTTGAACAAGTCAAATTTAAGAAGGCAGAGAAAAAATGTAAAGTATAGATAAAAATTAAGTATTTGGGGACCCAGTAGACAATCATTTGATTAGAGTAGAAAATTAACTGGGGAAATAGTGTGAGACATAGTTGCATTGACTGTGAAAAAAGCAATTAAATACATTTCTCCTGCATACTTGTGTGATTTATTTTCTACCCAAAAAAAGCATAACAGTAATTACAGATATAAAGGTATTCCACAAATCCTAAACAGGGATTACAATCAGTTTGGTATTGGTTTTTCCATTGCAATGATGCCCTCCCACTTTTCATATGGCTATATGTATCATAGGCTGGCAATGTTAGAAATTTCTTACTCTCCACATGGAAATACAGTAGCTACAAATCTTACAGAACAGGTACTCAAAAACCAGATCCTACAGTGAGTTGTAAAAGCCACAGAAATATTAGAAATAGAATTGTGCATCAGTTAAGCTTCTTTATCTCTATTTTGACAGGAGAGTTGTTCTGGGTTTATAGGAGCCTGAAAGTCTAGAAAAGATTAAAAGCCGCTGTTTACCTCTGTTAATCTTCCTAATCAGCAAGTACCAGGTACCTTATGTAATGGAACTGAGATTTCTAAGGCACTGCTTCTAAGTAGGAATCACACTGCAGTGGGTTAGTGACACCCTGCTCAGAAATGGTGCCTGTGCAAAATGTTTCAACTAGCTCCCAGGAGAGCAAAGTCAGCTAGTGTTCACAAACAAACAAAAAAGATTAAAATGTATCCTGAAAGTAGAGCTATGTTTTTCAAAGTCTGGTCTGGGGACCACCTGATTTAGACCTAGAGCAATGGTTCTTAAATTTTTGTTTAGATCCAAAACATGAAGAGAGTTGTAACATCCACCCTTTTCGGGATCCCATCCTCAGAAAAATAATCTACATTTTGGACTATTGTATGATATTAATACAAGTGTGATTTATAGTATCACACTTTGAGAAATACTGGCCTACAGTTAATTGGGGTACTTTGTTCAAAGAGAATCAACACTTTCTGATTCATCAGATCTTAAGCTTGTCCTCAAAATTTAACAACTTAGGAAATACACCCATAACTTATACTAATGCAAGTCAAGTCTTTCATGAAGAGGAAGTTTCTTTTTAAAAGGCAACTCAGTTTTCACCTTAAAATCAATATGTGAGAATGCATTATTAATTCCTTTAAGTCATGATATTTTGAATAAATATTAATCATCTTCACACAAAGAAACAGTTTATGTATATATTTTACATTGATATCAATATTTTGATGTAGGCCTGCAACTCTAGGTAAGTTATTTAAATTATTTGATCCTTAGTATTTTAGGGCAAAATGAGATATTTGAACATTATTGCTGAAAACCCAAACTTTCTTGTTTTTTAATTTATTTTGTTTGCTTTTCAAATTATCTTAAAAGGAAAACATGTTAGAATTCACTTTATAAACTGTTTCTCATTACTGAAAAACAAAACAGATTCGATCAGTGGCAATCAACTCTTGCCACTTATTATAATCATGTGGGGAACTGTTAAAATAATATCTGAGTTTGGGCCTCACACCAGACTAGTTGAATCAGAATCTCTAGAGATGGGATCAGTGTATCATACTTCTTTTGTAAGTCTCTAGATGATTCCAGTGAATGACCTGCATTGAGAATTGCTGGCATGGTTTATTGGCAAGACAACTTTTGGTTCTAAGATTAAAATTTACCTTCTGCATTGAGCATTGTTTACATTTCTATCCCAGCTAAAGCTTGATTTTCAGCTCATCTTTTCTTTAGTTGTATAAAATGGTTCTTTTTTCTCTATTTGCTGGAAATAGACACTAATGAAAGAGAAATATCTAAATCAGTATTTCATAAGTGACAAGCTGCAGTTATATGACAAAATATTTAGAAGCCTACTATGAGAACAGAAAAAACTAGAGTGAAACAGTTGATTTTTCCTGAAATCCATTTTTTTTTTGTCTGAAATAACTTTCTGGTTTTTTTTGTTGTTTGTTTTGTTTTTGAGACAGAGTCTTGCTCTGTCCCAAAGGTTGGAGTGCAGTGGCACAATCATCTTGGCTCACTGCAACCTCCACCTCCCGGGTTCAAGGAATTCTCCTGCCACAGACTTCCGAGTCTGGGATTACAGGTGCCCACCACCACACCCAGCTAATTTTTTTGTACTTTTAGTAGAGACAGGGTTTCACCATATTGGCCAGGTTGAGGTCGAACTCCTGACCTCAAGTTGTCCACCCTCCTTGGACTCCCAAAGTGCTGGGATTACAGATGTGAGCCACAATGCCTGGCCAACTTTCTGTTATTTTGAGATAAGCATTTGTTTTTACTATTTTGATGTTAAAATGTTTTCTTAAGGAATTGATGGTGAAAGTGGATGATTGGTATCTTAATTGCTTAATTTAGCAAAATACACTTTGGCAACTCTATGTAGGTTACTATTTTGTTTGTGAAATTTTCTTTTTCTTTTTTTTTTTTTTTTTTTTTTTTGAGACAGTCTCACTCTGTCACCCAGGCTAGAGTACAGTGGTGGGATCTCTGCTCACTGCAACCTCTGCCTCCTGGATCCGCCTCCCAAGTTCAAGTGATTCTCCTGCCTCAGCCTCCCAAGTAGCTGGGATTATAGGCACGCACCACCACACCCAGCTAATTTTCGTATTTTTAGTAGAGATAGGTTTCACCATGTTGGCCAGGCAAATCTCAAACTCCTGACTTCAGGTGATCCACCTGCCTCATCCTCCCAAAGTGCTGGGATTACAGGTGTGAGCCACTGTACCCGGCCTGCTTGTGAAATTTTCTGATCAATGAAACCCAAAGATTTGAGAAGCATTGACTTAAATAACTGAACCAGCACCCAATCCTAGTTTGACCTGCAGTGATTAGAAAGCTGGGACTAAAATATAAACTGTTCTTATTTATCTATTGTTCTTAAGTATGGTACTTATTTGTTATTCCTGTTTTTTCACTTCACAATAATTAGAATAATATTTTTATAATATATAATACATATAATTATATAGCATGATAATATTCTATTATTAATATATTTCACATGTTTGCATTTTGTGCCAATATAACATTTTCAGTCAACATCCAATTACATATATGTTGTTGCACATACACAAGTATTCATATGAAGTACATTAAAAATATCCCTTTAGAGAGAGACCATTATTTTCAAAAAGTCAGAATTATTTTTTTAACAAGAATTTGTTAAAGTTCTTATTCTCTCAGACCCTTATACTAGATATCACCAAAATTTTTCCTAGAATTCTAACAATTTGATAAAAGAAAATTGCATCCAAAAAATTCATCTCTTGTAATTTATGTATTTGATTATTTGCCATCTTTCCTCTGAGAACCGTATGTTTTTACACTTTTTCCTTTTTGTGATTGTTTTTCTGAATCTGATTATTTTTCTCTACCATTCTGATGAGAAAAGGGATATTTAAGAGATTCATTGCTTCCTCCAATATTATACACATAGCTAGTATATTGCAAAGGTAAGATCTAAGCCCAAGCAGTCTGGCCCATCTTCAGAACCCGTTACCACTCTGCAGTGATATCAGCAACCTCCGGGGCTGGAAAGGGCAAAGCTGACAAGTGGAGATAAAAGAACAAGTTAGACAGTCATAGAAATAAAGATTAGGTTTCAGAACTTGTTCTGGGAGAAGCCGTTTGGTCAGAAATCTAGATAGGAAATGGTGAAATCAGAGACTAATTGGTGCAAAAATTCCTGGGTGACTGTGTTATATTAAAAGTCAACAGGAACAAGAAAATAAATAAACTTGGGAAATGAGGCTTGAGTTTTAGCGAGTTCCCATGGAGTTTGTTTTACTTCTTGCTTATGGAAGACACTTAACTCCATGCAACCCAGCAGGGTTGGGTTAGAAGGATGTGGTTCCGCATCACATTCAGGCACAGTTGATTCTTGCCAAATGGTCCTGTCTGAAGATTTGCTCTTCTCCTTGTGGTTCTGCTGTCACTTCCTTAGTATGTTACTCACCTAATAAATCCACATATCATTTCCTTCTGGGCAATTTTTTAAAAGATTTTACAGTAGGATTCATATTCTGTGGTTGGCTCTGCATGTTTTAAAGAGAAAGATAAAAGGGTTTTACATTTCTAGGTTTGTCCATACCTTACATTTGGTGACATCCAAGCCAAACAATTTAACCTTTAAAAAGCTTCACACAAGAGCTGGACGAAGAGTTGAAAGGAAACCCAAATTCCTGAGTAAACCAGCTCTATGGTTAGGGTCTAGCAGGCTACACCCAGAGTCCCTATTTGAAATGAAAAAGCAATCGGAAATTCTAGCAAGGAAAGAGGCAGTTTGCCTGTCAGAGAGGAAGCCCAAATGAAACACTTGTGAAAAAGATACCTCATTGTCCTCTAATTAATGTCCCCTAATACTAATCTTGGTATTAGGATTTTCATTTTATTATTTTTTCTCTTTATCAACTTAAAAGTTAACACACACTTTCAGCACTGGTACTAGCTGTACTTAAATTTATATTTAACTTAATCAAATTTATATATAACTTTAAAAAACAGTTTTAGTATTATTTCAAATCATACAAGGATATTAGAATAATGTGGGTTGTATTTTCTCCTGACTTAAATGTTACTGGAATTGAGACATTAAGTTCCATCTTATGATATGTGAATCCAAAAATTAGATATCATTATCATATTTATGACTCTTGTTTTAATATCTTGATTTTTCTTGAATTACTCAGGTATACTCTTTTTGCCCTCATCGTCCTTTCTTTTTTTATCTCTTACCTTTACTCTGACATTATTTTTCTTTTTCCCCAAGCATATTTTTAAATTTTTATAGTGGTGCCCGGTATTAGCAAACCTTTCCACGTTTTGTATGTCTGAATTCTTTTTTTTTTTTTTTTTTTGAGACGGAGTCTTGCTCTTTTGCCCAGGCTGGAGTGCAGTGGCGTGATCTCGGCTCATTGCAAGCTCCGCCTCCCAGGTTCACGCCATTCTCCTGTCTCAGCCTCCCTAGTAGCTGAGACTACAGGCGCCCGCCACCACGCTTGGCTAATTTTTTGTATTTTTAGTAGAGACGGGGTTTCACCGTGTTAGCCAGGATGGTCTCGATCTCCTGACCTCGTGATCTGCCCGCCTCGGCCTCCCAGAGTGCTGGGATTACAGGCGTGAGCCACCGCGCCGGCCTGTATGTCTGAATTCTTAATTCACTCTTGAAATGTATCTTAACTGAGAGTTGTTTTTGTGTCTCATATTGTAGACAGTATTAGACTTTTTTAAGGCTTTTTATTTACTGTTGCAAAATTATGTCTCATTCGTGGCAAGTAAACTATTTGTTTTTAATTTTTGACTACTTTTTTGTTCATCTCTTTAATGTCATAATTCTTTGGTTTATTCTAATATTTTGACGCATCAAATTTATAATATCTGTGGTTTCTGAATACAATGAACATATATGTAATCCTGTCTATCTTAAAGAGAGGACAATGTACAACCCTATATCAAATACGTCCTTTACTTCATTATTCTGACTTCTGGGATTTCAATTAGAGAGATGTTTTAAAAATGCATATTCTATTATTATCTAGTTTAATATTTATTCCATAGTGTCTATCACTTAGTCTTTCTGTGCTGCATTGTTTTGTAAAAACCTATCTTCAAATTACTCTTTATTCAATTGTGTTTAAACTGATGCATAACCAATGTGTTGATTTTTTTTTTTTTTTTTTTTTTTTGAGACGGGGTCTTAATCTATTGCTCAGCCTGGAGTACTGTGGCGACCACTCTAGTTCAAGTGACTCCTGCCTCAGCCTCCCAAGTAGCTGGGACTATAGATGCATGCCATCAAGCCTGGTTAATTTTTTTACATCTTATTTTTTGTAGAGACAGGGTCCCACTATATTGCCCAAGCTGGTCTGGAACTCCTAGGCTCAAGGAATCCTCCTGCCTTGGCCTCTCAAAGTGCTGGAATTACATGTGTGCGCCACTGCACCTGGCCTCTAATTTAAATTCTTCTGTACTTTTAAACTTTCTTGACTTTTCTGTTTAGTTTTTCAAAAGGTTAGAGTTGATAGCCTCTGGTTTAGCTAGGTCCCCTGTACAAACTTTTAAAATATTAAAATCAATTATTGTATATCCTGTATCTGATACTTCCAACATCAGTGCGCTTTTATCTCTGATTCTGTCGTTCAATATTAAAACTTAATCTTGGTTCTGTTGGCATGTGTCTTATGTATCTATTGTGAGTTAATAGTCTCTGAGATTTTATCTTTATATTCTGACTTTGAATTTTATTTCCCCACCAGCGATTTGTGTTTGCCTCTCTAGGTTCATATAGGCATATCTCTAGGGTCCCTTTAATCTAAAAGATCTACTTTCTGTATTTTCAACTAGTGACGAGATTGTGAATTCTCTCTCAAAACAGGCATGAAATCAGGTTTATAGTTAGAAAAATCTTAGGGGGGGTGGAAATTTTTATTCTTTATTTCTACTACTATCCACATGCCTAAACATAGTTACATCCTCCTCTGAGAATAAGCCCTTTACTTTTGTTTTTGTGCTTTCTGGTTTATTCTCTATGGGCTGTCTCTCTGAGGGTTCGGGTTTCTTGCAGGGGTCTCTGACCGGAGAGACATCTTATTTTGCATGGGCCTTAGGCTTTATTTCTTATTTCTATTTCCTTATTTATTTTTCTTATTTCTTTATTTCTTATTCTAGATTGATAGTCCGTATAAACCACAGTTCTAAACCACAAAGGACAATCTCACATCCTCAAGAGAAATGTAAGGTTTAACGTCTGTTCACCTGTCTCAATTAGTCCATTTCATAATTTTTTCCCTCTCGAAGCATTTTTTCTGCTAGGTCAGCCATATATTTCAAAATGTATATTTTAAACATTTCAGGTATTCTATAGCTAGAAAGTTTCTCTGAATATCTAGTCTGTATTACTAGAAAATATAACCCCTGATGTATTTGTTTCTGATTTGGAAAATGCAAGTTTCTAAAAATGTCAGTTTACTCTGTCTTTATGCATAAATTAAAAGTAAACTCACTACAGCAAGAAATTTGGAGAGCTATTTGATAACATTATTATTCTAAAATATACTTGTAAAAATAAGTATGAAATTTAAAAAAATGAAGACTTGAAAAAACTAGTAATAAAAGTAGAAGAGCCCTGCCAAATATTGACATATTTCAGAACTTCCATAATTGTGAAATGTAAGGTACTGGCACAGGAAGAAACATGCAAGATCATTAAAACAAAGTGTAGTTAAGCATTAGACCAAAATATATGGATGTGAAAAGCAAAATTCCAATATAATGTAGAAAAAGTGAATTACACAATAATTAATATTATAAATGTTGTCTGGCCATATAAATAAATACAGCTGAATCTACATAAGCCAAAAAATCCATATGCATACAATGATTAAGATAAATATTAATATTTAATTAATATTTTGCCATAGAATAGGAGATTTTTCTAGCATATCTTAAAACCCAGACTTCAAAGACAAAAATGTTAATAAATTTCATTTATATATACAACACGGTGATTAAAAGACCAGAAGAGAAAAAATTATGAGAGCTGGCAACATGGTAGATAGAAGCTAGAAAGAGTTGGAGAAGGTTGGAAAGAAAATATGATAAATAATTAAAACAGGCATATAATAGGCATATAAAAAGTGACTTAACCAAACTTAGGGATCAGCTTCTCCAGGAAAGGTTACTTGATTACTCTGGCTGACTTAAGCATTCATCTTGTTTGATTCCATAGCATAGTGTGTATACTTTATTTCTTAGCATGTATCAGGTTACTTTAAAATAATCTATTTCAAGTTCATTGGGTTTTTGTGGACAAAGAAAGGGTAATGTTTTATTTTTCCAAATATCCTTAATATTTAGGCTGGGAGTCAAGAAACATTTCCCTGTAAATGATCATATGGTAATATTTTAAATTTTGCAGGCCATTCTCAACTCTGCTGTTGTAGTAAGAAAGCGACCAAATACAATATATAAATAAGCAAGTATGGCTGTGTTCCAATAAAACTTTACTTAGAAAAATAGGCTGTGGGCAAGGTTTGGCCTGTGGACTATAACTTGCCTCCTCCTGGCCTATGTGAATGTCTAGCAAAATGTAGACGGTGAATCAGGGCATCTAACCCCCAACATTCTGCCAACTATTCACATCCTTACAGCTCCCTCACTGTACACAAGTTAGAATAAAACTGGTTTTAGTTTGTGAAGAAACGATCTGCTTTCAAATCCCTTCTGCTTCTTTTCTCCCCATCACCATGAAACATACGTACTCTCATCCTAACAAGAGGAGAGTGTATTGTCCCCGCACATTTCTTCTAATGAGATCACCAGTGTCCTGAGGACCATCAGGGTGGTGACAATGCAATGTGAACATGGCCTGTGAAAAGCTGGTTTTCTCTTGAAGCCATGCCTATTTCCTTTCTCCACTTCCATACTTTCTTGACCCATATACATCCAACTTTCTTTTGCCTACAACTCAGGGCCCAGAGAGTATGCAATTTGGGGACAGGTGCTAAATGATGATGGTCACCAAGACCTCTGAATGCATGTTTAACTGCTGTTCTTGAGTAAGTTACATAACTCTGTTCAGAAGAAGGGAGCATTTGGCCCAGTTTCCCAAATGAGGTGACCACAAAAAGGAGAAGTTCCCACATTCTGATATATTTTTATTTCTAGTTCTTTCTGACATGGCCCTTCATCCTCTCTCTCCCCCAAGCACGTCCTTGTTTTGTCCTTCTATGGCATTAAGAAATGCAGTGGCATTTCAGGATACGTGGAATATTTAAGACCCTGCCATAATAGCATCTTTGGGAAAGAGGCCCCAATCAGCTCAGGTGTCTCCTTTCAATACAATCTCGTTTTGAATTAAAACACTAGGGTTTGCTATCCTCAGAAGTCTGTCTCCATGGCACTTGCCCAGATGAATGAGTCAAAATTTGGCAGCTACTAGATCTAAAGTCCCCCAAAGCCAAATCTCTACAAGGGACACAGTGGGAAGTGGAAACTTGGTAGTTTATCCACAGTCCTTTACTGAAAAACCCTGAGAAAAAGTTGTAGTTTTTTTTTTGTTTGTTTGTTTTGCTTTTGTTTTTGTTTTTTGGGAGAATGAAAATAAACATTTTCTCACTTCCTTGATTGGTTCTCACGCTTTCTTTTCTAATATTTAGCTTTGCTTATTCTTATAGAACTGCATTTGTTTAGGTATTCAATTCATGTCAACTTTTTGCAGTTAAGAATCATTTCATGATTTGAACTGAGTATATGAATTTTAAATGTTGTTCAAAGTGCCTTCCTCAGAAAAGACAGTTTATTTTATTCAACAGGTTGTAACTGAAGCCATTTTCTTATGTCTTTAGTCAGAGAAAGCCCAAGCTCTGCATTTAAGCTTTCCAATTGATTAAGTCAGCTCCATCCAGATTATCCAGGATAATCTCCTTTACTTAAAGTCAACTGATTAAGGGCTTTAGTTACATCTGCAAAATCTCTTCTCAGCAACACCTATATTAGTGTTTGGTTGAGTAACTGGAGACTTTAGCCTAACCGAGTTGATACATCCAAAAAGCTGTCACAATTATAATCCTCAATTACTATTTTCACTCTACTCTTCTAGCTCTTTTCTGTCTTCTGTTTTCCTTTCCTCTCTCTCATTTCTTCTCTCTTCCTTTATTCTTCCCATTGAAGTCATTACTTATATTCACAAATACTCTTGTTCCCCTCTTTGGACATGTGATGAGTTTCGCTTCTTGTCCTTCTGATGGTTACACTGGATCCTGGGTCCAGTTCTGGCCAGTGAAATACGATGGTGTCACTGATGAGAAATCCTTTAGCATTATCACAGGTACAAACTATGACTTACATAGGTTGCAGTCAAGATGGGAAGATAAGCTATACAACCATAAACTATTGACCAATAAGTCTAATTAACTTATAATAACTCCTAGAGGGCAGCAGAGTTCAGAGAAGGGAGATATCCCAGTCAAAGTATAGGTGCGGCTTACCTGTGTAATGGAATATCACAAATAAAATGGGGGCAGTGGAGGAGAGAACAGAAAATATGATCACTGTGAAGCACACCTAGTTCCAATTCATTTTATTGACTTCTTCCATTTTTAAGCGTTCATTTCTTCGCATTTTCTGTGCACCTAACTTACTCTAGTTATTCCAAATTAAGACCCCATCCCCATAGAGACTGTGGAATAAAATAATAAATGTATCACATATTGTGATAAGTATTAAGTAACAGGTTGCTGAGAGGGTGAAAACTCTTTTAACCACTTTTTGATAGATAGTTCAAAGAAGGCCCTCTGAAATGTTGGCATGAAACTTAAATTTTGAGTAGGGGGAAGAAGTTGGCTGTATGAAGAGGCAAGAGAAGAGAAGAGAAGATGTAAAGGCTGTAAAGCAGGAAAAGTCTAATGTGGAAAGCTGGTGTAATGTAGTAAGAAAGGTAAACACTGGTATAATAGGACGGGAGACATAGGCAGTGGCCAAATTTATTTAGAATCATGTAGGTCACACAAGTCAAGGTAAAGACATTTATTTTTAAAGGCAAAAGGAATCCTTGCGACTAATATAAGGAGATTCAGTCTCTGAAACTCAGTTTTCGCATATTTAATATAGAAATACCTCTGTAAAATCAATGTAAAAATCAAATGAAAACACCTCTGTATAATCAGTATAAAAATTAAATGAAAATACCTCTGTATAATCAATATAAAAATTAAATAAATGAAAATGCCTCTGTATAATCAATATAAAAATTAAATAAATATGTTACAATGTAAAAATTGTAACACAGTGCTTGACCATTTAAAAGCAAAACTCATACTAGAACCTCGTTGTTTTCCTTAGTAAATATTACCCTTTTATAATTCTAGGGTAGCTTAAAAGAGAAAGTTGATCTAGTTTGTGTGGGAAAATCTTAGGGCTTTTAAAAAAAAAACTATGGTTAAAAAGCATTAACTTTCGTTGTCAGGTAATATCTCAGCTTATAACAAATATAGGAGAACAAAGTCCTTATGAATATTTTAACACTAAAATATTATTGTGTTTTAACTTCTCTTTTTAAGTTGCTGTAGAGCCACATACAAAAAAAAAGAACCTAAATTTTTCATGTCATTTATCTCCACTAATGTTCAGTGATTTGTAAGATCCAATAAGTTCCACATTGTTTATAAAATAAGTAACCTAAATTTTGTGGGTGACTGAGGTGTATTGATCAAAGATAGGAAATGTATAAAAGGGTATAGAATGAAAGCTATATTTTAAATTACTTCAGACAATAAATAGAAAAAAGAGAGAAAAAATCACCATGCAAATATATGACCATTTATAATTTTCAAGGACATTGTGGTTTGGGAAAACAATATTAAAGAATGGAAGCAGACATGAAAATTGTTTTATTTTTCAGAGTTCATTTCTTTTTGTACTTTAACATAATACCTTTATAGAATACCATTATTATGTTTCAATAAGACTCTGCTACAAATCCACTGTGGAATTTGACAGCTGATATTTCAACTCTCTCAGCCCTAGATTCATTATGTGTAAAATGAGACAGTTGGATGAAATGATCTCTAATGTCATAAAAAAATTAGGTCTCTCATTTCGTCAGTTCCCAGAGAGATACGTTCTGCTGCAGTTTAATTTGGGAAGTAATTTGACAGTCAATTCTCTTTGATGATATCTTATCATTGTTGGGGGAGTTCACATAAGAGTGGGAATCTTAAGTGATAGTAGCAAAAGCCAAAATGCACTGATTACTTCCTTCTCCTCCTTCTTTTCCTCTTTGTCTTCCTGTTCTTCCTCCTCCACATTATTTATCTTCTTTTTCCTCTTTTCCCCTTATTGTCATCGTCACCATCACGAATTACACAATTCTATCCATAAATGTTCCATTGCATAGATAAAACTCTAGAGCTAATTCATATCCCTTAAATATGCATAAGCTAAAACAAAATGGAGGACACATTTATTGTCTTTAATATATGTAGGTAGATCTAGGTCTGCCTTCACTGAGATTCAAGAAATACGTGACTGATTTACCAAGAAATGACTTCTAACAATTTCATTTAATTGCCATTCATATTCCAGGTCAGATGTAATTCCCTCTACCAAAAGCCTTTTAGAATGCCCCCAGTACCTCTCTTGTTACATGTTCCTTAGGGACCTCTCTTGAAAAGGTGAAGATCCTGTTTTTTTACCTGTCATAATCACCACCACATCACCCTAATACAATTTCAAGCACAAAGTAGTTTCTCAATAAATATCTAAATGGGCAAATGTTTTACAAGTGAAAACCACCAGTTCACATACCCAGATGATCACACAGACTATGCTCTAAATATAATTGTATTTAATTAATCTTTGTAGACATGAAAATGGGTATCAATTGGAAATAAATTTTCTTTTAAACTTTTTGACTCTTTTTTAATAACACCTAACTAACACATACAGTTGTACAAAATATTTCCTTTCTTTATATTGTTATTCTATTAACATTTTTCCTATTAATTTTTTTTTTTTTTTTGAGATGGAGTCTCGCTGGGTCGCCCAGGCTGGAGTGCAGTGGTGCGATCTTGGCTCACTGCAACCTCCGCCCCCCATGTTCAAGCAATTCTCCTGCCTCAACCTTCAGAGTAGCTGGGACTACAGGCGCATGCCGCCATGCCTGGCTAATTTTTGTATTTTTAGTACAGACGTGTTTCACCAGGCTGGTCTCTAACTCATGACCTCAGGTGATCCATCTGCCTCCACCTCCCAAAGTGCTGGGATTACAGGTGTGAGCCACCACACCTGGCCTTCCTATTAATTTTTTAAAAACCTTTTGGCTAAAAACTAAGGCACACTTACCTGTTAGCCTAAGACTACACAGAGTCAGCATCATCAATATCACACTGGCTTCCATCTCCACATATTGTCCCACTGGAAGGCCTTCAGGGGCCGTAACATGCCATGAAGTTGTCTTCTCCTATGATATAGCAATGCCTTCCTCTGGAACACCTTCTGAAGGACCTTAATGAGGATGTTTCACATTTAACCTCTTTTTTTTTTTTTATGAGTAGAAGGAGTACACTCTAAAATAACAATAGAAGGTATAGTACAGTAAACACATTAACCAGTAACATAGCCATTTATTATCATTATGTACTGTGCCTATTATGTACTGTACCTAATTGCATGTGCTATACTGTACCTAATTACATGTACCTAATTGCATGTGCTATACTTTTATATAACTGGTAGCACAGTAGGTTTGTTTACACCAGCATCACCACAAACACATGAATAATACATTGCATTAAGACGTTATGAAGGCTACGACATTGATAATAAAAAATTGTCAGATCCATGTATTATCTTGTTGGAGATCATATATGTGATCTGTCATTGACTGAAATGTCATTATAGGGCATATGGTTGTATTTATCAGACTAATTAGGACTTACGTAAGTAGACATTTATTATACATGTATATATATTTTTTACCTAATCTTTAACTGCTCTCCACATGAGAGGCTTGGATGCAGAGGCATGGAAACATGAAAAACAGCTCTCTCTTGCTTTTTCTTCAGACGTCTTAGATGCACACTGATTTTCTGAATGTAGCTGAATTGTTTTCTGGGGATTTCTTGTCTTTAGAGACCTAGGAGTGTTCTGAAGAACCAGTCCTAACATTCTGAAGTGTAAACCTTACCCAAATATAGCTATATATTTTGTGAAGGAAAAAATGATTTATTTCACATCATTATCCCCTACTTTCTATTTACCCATGTTAAAACAATCTCTTCAAGAAACTTCTGAGTTTTCTAAAGATTAAGGGGGTTTTACATAATAGGATCCCCAAAACACAAATAAATGTTACTGGCAAATCATACTTAAAAGTACCTTCAGTTAGTCCTTTAACGGAAATTTTCACAGGTGGTTTCCAGAATCTTCTTTCTTGTTAATAATTCTCATTTCTTCTTCTGTATCCCCATTTTCACCCCAGAAACTCCCAAATTCTCACTTTTATTTAAAACCTTTCAGTTCTCTTTAGTATTGCCTGACATGCTTCACTTCAGAATACTTTCTTATATCCAAATCTGTCAAAGTGTACACTAAAACAAACAGCCTTCCTTTTTCCACGATCTGCCTGTTTTAGAAAGTAATGGTATCCAGCAATATATGCCTTTTCAGTTGCACTAAGCTGCTGTTACTCATCTTTGAATTGGAGACAATAATACTTACCTGTCTGTGTTCTGGCATAAATCAGATATGATCATGTTTGCCTAAAACATTGCAGGGGAGGAGATAGACAAAACCCTCAAAAACTAAGAGGATCCTGGCTATGACCGAATCACCTTGAAGATTTTCCCCTCACATAGAGTTCAGGGAATTTTAGATTACAGCCCTCGAGTCTAAAGCATCATTTTCAGGAGCTTTTCACTCCCAAATCAAGTATGGGCAATTATTTATGAGCCTGCTTCATGATATTTCCTCTCCATATGTAAAAGATAGAGGAATCCTCTGTTGTCCAGGGCCTCCTGCGTGCTTACTGATGGACAGCTAGTGTTTCACAGCTTCATGGTAGTTTTGACAATTGGCTCCCAAAGTCTCGTCTGAACGATGCTATACAAATATAAGATCCAAATCTACATTCTTCAGCTCTGCCTGCTGAAGTCTGGAGGGTCTGTGGTCGCATTGGGTTACCTGCCCTCTAGTGAAGGTAAATAACAATCCGGATATGCCCACATCCATGCAGAATGTGTGCTCTCTAGAAGGCTAATTCATGCCCAGTGTAGCTGAAAGGATCCCCGCTATAGAAAGCTTCCTTCACTCCAAGGCCCTCAGGCTGAGAAGCCAGCCTAACATTTTGTTTTCTTTGTCTAAGCAAAATGAAAAGCTTGCTAACTTAGGTCAGACTGTGACAACTCTATTTCTGAAAGAATCTATTCATTACTCACTGAGCCAGTGTTAATGTGAGAATTTCCCAGGAAGTAGAGCAAAAAGAAGCATCAATTCTTTTCTTTCCCTGTACAGCCTTGGATCTGGCACTAACTAGATCTGTGACTGTGGGGAAATCTCTGAACTCTTTGGGCCCCGATGTCCTCATCATTTTTAAGTAAGAACAAAATCACCCATCAAAGGAATGTGGCATAGTTGGAAACATGCTTTGTAATTTACTAAAAGTCTAGAAATGTGAAATGTATTTTGGCTTACCAAAATCTCTAAAGTAAAAATAATATGTTTCTATAGACTAAAACAGCAGATATGAGAAAAAGCAAGGTGTCTGAGGAAGAATTAAGCTCTGAACTCTGACTTTTAAAAAATATTATAAATTTTAAAATGTATGCTTCTACCCCAAATTAGGCACACAATATGTGTTGCATTCATTACTTGATTTTTCTTTTTTTGTTGTTTCTTTTTTTTTTTTTTTTGAGATGGAGTCTCACTCTGTCACCCAGGCTGGGGTGCAGTGGTGTGATCTTGGCTCACTGCAACCTCCGCCTCCTGGATTCAAGCAGTTCTCCTGCCTCAGCCTCCCGAGTAGCTGGGATTACAGGCACACGCCACTACGCCCGGCCAATATTTTTGTATTTTTAGTAGAGACGGGGTTTCACCATATTGGCCAGGCTGGTCTCTAACTCCTGATCTTGTGATCCACCTGCCTTGGCCTCCCAAAGTGCTGGGATAACAGGTGTGATCCACCGTGCCCGGCCGATTTCTATCTTAATTATCTTCTATCCAAACCCATCCTTATGTTTTCTTTTACATATCCATGCATGAAATATAATAACAATTTGGTGCTATTTTTGCTTATCAAATGGATGAGAAGTTAACAAGCCAAAATGGCCAGTGTTGTGCAAAAAACATGCATTCTGAAACATGGCTGTTAGGAGTGAAAATTAATGCAACTTGCCAGCAATCGAATTCGACTCTATGGACCTGTAAATTTTATACTCTTTGATGTGGCACTTCTAGAACATTATTCAAAGGCCAGAATAGGGGTTAGTTTAAAAAGATTCAGCTAGCAGGAGAGTGATCACAACATCATATAGAATAGAATAGGGTGGTAAGGGAATGGGCGGGAGGGCGGGATGGGGTGGGGAGAGAGAGAACCAAAATGTTGGGAATTTAATATTGGTTAAGCAAAGCAGTAGCATACAAGTTAACCAAAAATTTTGTTGAGACAATTATGTATGAGGGAGAAAATAGCAGGTGAACAGGAAACTTCTCAGGTAGTCAAGGAAAAACCTAGGAAGTATGAAAAAAAAGTTATTTGAAATCATTCTAATTGAAATCAGAAAGTATTATGAATTCACCTTGAGCACTGAGAGACAGAGTGTGTGTGTAGATGGGAAATATGATGAAAATGTCTCCTTGGGTCAGAGTTATTACTTTGCAAAAAAATTAGGGTGAAATTGTGTTAATTAGACACAATTTATTGTATCATGTCAGTTAGGTACATTTTAGAAGACATGTAAGGCTGTAAGATACATGGTTTCAGTAACTTTAGGAAAATGTACAACACTTCCCAGAGTGGAAACTCCCCCACAGATTCGTCCCACATTGATGAAACACTGCACCTAACTTTACCTCATTCCCTGCACAAAACCAGCAGAAACTGGGCAGAAGAAGTCATTGATTTTCAGAGAATTCCAGCAGCTCTGAAGATTAAAATTTTGAAAAATGAATAGTAAGTGGCAACTGGAATAGTATTTTTTTCTGACCGAAGATGTGGCACATCTCAAAAGAGACTCTAATACAAGACACCAAATAGGAAAGAAAATATCAGAAGACTGCAGGTCATGATGAATGAAGGGAGAGAGTTAGGGACCAGGAGATCCCCCGTGTGGACCTCCTCCAAGGATTTAAGCAATAGACATTCTCACTTTGTGGGGTAACAACTAATAAGATAATTAGACCAGAGAGTTAATATCTTATTTCCTTCCCCTATCCTGCTGGTAGTACTATTTGAACTTTCTTTCCTTTTTTTCTTTTTTTCTTTTTTTGAGACAGAGTCTTGCTGTGTTGCCTAGGCTGGAGTACAGTGGCATGATCTTGGCTGACTGCAACCTCCGCCTCCCGGATTCTCCTGCCTCAGCCTACTGAGTAGCTGGACTTAACAGGCACCCGCCACCACGCCCAGCTATCTTTTTTTTTTTTTTTTTTTTTTTTGGATTTTTAGCAGAGACAGGTTTTCACCATGTTGGATAGGCTGGTCTTGAACTCCTGACCTCAAGTGATCCACTTACCTCGGCTTCCCAAAGTGCTGGGATTACAGGCGTGAGCCACTGCGCTCAGCCTGAACTTTCAATAAAAGACTGCTTTAACCATCATCAGAATCCTATTTATCTTTCCGGGAAGGAGAAGAAAATAGTATTAAAAAGTAATAATTGGCTGGGTGTGGTGACTCATACCTATAATCTCAGCACTTTGGGAGGCCAAGATGGTGGGATCACTTGAAGCCAGGAGTTGGAGGCTGCAGTAAGCTGTGAGTATGCCACTATACTCTAACCTAGGTTTCAGAGTGAGACCCTGTCTCAAAAAAACAAACAAACAAACAAACAAAAGTAGAAAAAGAGAAAAAAAAGTAGTAAGTGGTAACTAGGACTTCCGGATGTCAGTAGCAGTGCCATTGTCAACCTAAATATATATATAACTGGTATTTCTAATTAATAACATGAGTGATTTTATTATTATGTGCTCTCATTTCCATTTCTTACCATTTTTGCCTGTATTTTTTTTAATGACCATGTACAACATTGTATTAAGAAAAAAACATGGTCAGTTTTACTCTAGGGTTATGTTCCCAATTAAGGTTGTAGGTTAGAGAGAAAATGTAGAAGGGGAAGTCACAATACTCAGTTATAGCCAAGATTGAGGCAGGGCACATGGAAGAATGGGGGGGTGCCTTATAGATGACCAATGATATCAGTGGTGACAGCATGTTTAAAATGATTGTGTCAACAGGATATGTGAGTTAGAATGGAACTTACATTCCTCAACTTTAAAACTTATACTTTTAATAAAATCTGAAATTTACCCCAGGATATTGCCCTTCCTTATATTTGGTCTCTCATACACTATCTGGCAAAGAAGCATTTAGAGCCTGTGTAGTGGAGGTTTCTGCCAACCACTGGCACTGCGAGAAACAGCCAGGACTCTCCTTCCCGTGTGAGTTTTGTAGCAGAAATCTGGGAGGCCTGAGAAGAAATATTTTGTGCTCCCCATATACTTCACTTTGTCCAAACTTCACAACCTACTTTGTACCTCAAGGATACCCTGGCAGGAGGTCTGAAAAACTGGCAGATTTACCTAGATTGCCTCCCAGGGAAAGGTTCCCACTTCATTTACCATGAGCACGTGGCTTCTGTCTGAATTAACCCCGCCCCTTTATTCCCATGTGGGAAAGATGGGGTGTGTGTATGGTGGGGGGTGGAGAGGGAGGGTACTTGGAAATGCTCAGTTCAGGCCCAGTCACAACCTTTTCCTCTATTTATTTTCACATAAGAGGACTGCTCCGGGTGAAGATGCTAACATTTAGGTGGTCTCTGCTTTTCTTCTCCCAGCCTTTGTGTAGTTGTGAGTGGTTGGACTGAGGTGGGTTCCTTGCATAAGGAGAAGAGACAATGCTTGAGTTGATTTTCCTTTTCCTTGGGAAGGGGGTGACATGAATATGACTATACATACCATGTAAAATGGAAATCACACATCCTACTGGATTGCTTATATCCAAAGTAACATGGCACAGATCAACAGAACTGATTTTTCTAATAGTTTTTTGGAATGGACACTTGGTAATTCTATTGTTCAAGTTTTGGATGTTTGCTTTTCAAAATTACTTTCAAGTTTGCCGTGTGTGTCTTTTCCTTTCTGAGCCTTTTATTTCTTTTCTACTAATTGACTATATTTAAAAAACTTCTACTTGCCTGGATTGTTTTAAGGAATAGATGAAAGAATCTTTGTTAACTGCAATATAGAAGCTCACCATAGTCGCTTCAATAGACTTCTCATGGTTTGTTCCTTGG
Organism: Homo sapiens; assembly: GCF_000001405.40. Classification (NCBI taxonomy): domain Eukaryota; kingdom Metazoa; phylum Chordata; class Mammalia; order Primates; family Hominidae; genus Homo; species Homo sapiens. The sequence continues at coordinate 122,151,952 of NC_000008.11, read as the reverse complement.
GAATTTTCTCCTGATCCCCAGATTGGCCTGAAGTTTGGTCTTTTTTAAAGGACCATGACTCTTAATGATCTTTTAGGAGAAACACATGCCTTGTGGTATCTGTGACCACGTCCATGCTTTATCTTGTTTACTGTCTTCCTTACTGTTAGATTAGAAGCTCTTTGAGGATATGTGTCTGTTTTAATTCTGGCACATAGTAGACACACAGTAAATATGTTTAATAAGTAGATGAAAAGATGCATTTAGATTCAATGTGATGACTGCACTGTAATAGATGTAAGCAGAAAGTGCTCCAGGAACCCAAGGGAGGAAGAATTAACTCAGCATATGAGAATCAGAGTATTCCTGCATATTATTTTGGGTTATTTTGTTCTAGGACTCTATCACCCTGTGATTGCAAAGAAAGTGCTCTCCTTTCCTAAAGACTGATAAGAAGAAATGTGCCAGGTGGAGGGATCGGTAAAGCATCCGGAGTATATGTGGTCCTATTGTCACACTGGGCTATTTTCAGTATTCAGGAAGCTGTATTAGCTCACCTTCTGATTGGAAAAGCTGCCTCAATAATAAGAGAGGTGCTGTGATACTAGATAAGGAGAGGGTAAGAAGCCTGTGAATGGAGCTAAAAGTAACACAAGCTAAAAAGCAAAAGGAAGAGTAGAAAAGATAGTAGTGAAGGGCATATGTTTTGTTGTTATTAGAATGAAAGTGGTAAATTATGTGCATGCAAACACACACACACACACACCAACGTGGTCAAAAAAAAGAACATTATCTTGAACATTTAATTTTAAAAGGCCTGTGAAATGTAATTTTCTCACTGAAGATAGGTTAGGGAATCTCAACTTTGGTAAAAATTGGCTTCGAAGAGCGTGATACTGGATAAGGCATGGTACTTAGAAGAAAATTTCCCATTATGCTTTTGACGGGCCTTGGGAGCTTAGACTAAATCTCAGCCTGAAGGCCTGTGAGAAAAATTAAAATGAAGTAACAGAAATTAATGTTATGTTTTTAAAAGCACATCAAAAATCAATAGAATATTTCTTTTCAAACTGAGTGCTATATAAAGGAAGTATAATATAGGGTGGATATAAGTGGATAGAACATTATTTTTAATATTGCACTTATGAGAAGGTGCCTCACAAAAATCAGTCAGATTATATCAAATATTAGGGGCTCCAGCCAGAATTAGAATACTGAGGCCACATATATCCAGCAAAATTAGTCAACAGTATGAATTCATGAACCCGTTGCTTTGGAAACTATTACGAAATGGAAACAGACAATGCGGGTTAAATTCCCACTGCATCATAAGCAGGAACTATACAAAAGGGCTGCGTATTGTTTGCTCTGATACTTGGATGTGATTGCAGTAAACCTAGCCAAAAAGTCTTATCATATTGCAGTAACTTTTGCTCAAAAAACCAAACTTCTGTATCAGCAAACATTTTTTTCTCATGTACTTAAATTTTAGAAGGAAAAAAAAGTATGTGTACTATAAAACAGGCTGTCAGAAAATTATTTAATTATAATAAAATTTGCCCAGCAAATCCAGATGCAACTTTTACCTGAAGCCAGGGTCTTACACATTGAAGTTACTAATCAGAAGCTGAACCATGATCACCTCAAGATTCTAAACCAGCTAATGGCTAAAATTGTTGAGTATTCTCTTAGGCAGAAAAAAATAGTGATGAGCTGAAACAAAAAGTAGATTTGGAAAAACACTAAATTAAAATTTTAAGTTAATCAGTAACTTCCCATAATAATCATTATTTCAACTATTTTATTTTTCATGTTTATTAGTTGATTTTTACAAGTATTTAATGTTAAAAGAAGTTTTTCCTAACAAAGTATGTGATTTTTTTCTCAGGCTTTAGAAGTGTGGTAAAGGTGATTTTAGTGAAAAAAGACTTATTTGTTTTAAAATGCCTAGTTAATTAGGTGAATTTGGTGAGAATAAATCTTAATTTGAAAATAAATTCAACTGAAATAGAACCCTACATTTTAATTTAGGAGAGGAAGATGGCATGATATTATAAGTTTACATACGATAGAAAAAAAACCCATACAATCTTAGAGGTGAAAGTCTAAGAAATAACAGAGATTAAAAATGAGAAAAACTGATTACAAGAATATGTATAGCAAAGGAACAAGTTCTACCATGTGCAAGGCAAATTAAGAATCAGGACATTTATCTAATAGGAGTTTCATTGCCCAAGTATGATTTTGTTTTAAGATGAGTGACATTTTAATTCACTTAGAATCCCAGTCATCCAAGAGAACTTGCCAGCATCAGTGACTGGCCCAAGAGTCATCTCGTCCATCAAGTCCAGACTCAATGCTCTCTGTAGCTTGGCATCTCAAATGGAACAGCTGGCTGGGGCCTGACCATGCTCTCTCTCTCTCTCTATGTCTATCTCTATCTCTATCTCTATCTCTGCATAGCCTATGTCTATGGCTACCTTGGGTTTCTGCAGAGCATTACAGTCTTAGAGGAGTTAGACTTCCCTGACAGCAAGTGTTCCAAGAGATCCAGGTATAAGTTGCAAGGCAACCTAAGACCTAGTTTCAGAAATCATGCCTTATCTATTCCACCACACTCCATTGTTAAAATCAGAAGACCAGTCAAGATTCAAGCGAGGGAGACTATACAAGGATATAAATATAGCATGGATGGTTCATTGGGTGAACATCTTCAGAGACAGCTGCCTCACTGCCCATCATACTTTATTGTATTAAACTGCTTTTTACAGATTACTGAAACACGTCTCCTTTCGTTTTACTTATAACATTGGTTTCCATTGAATTCAGTAGCTTTTCAAATGTCTATGGCTATAATACCTCATATTGGAGATATATCATTGCTCTTAGTTTCCCTTTTATTTTGGCATCTTTTGTTCATTAATTAATTTATTAACCAACAAATGATTTATGGGTACCTGTTATTCTGGGATTGGAGTTACAAAGATAAATATGTGAAGACCTCTGCCCAGTATAATGTACAGAATCAACATGTCAATAAACAATTACAGTTATTGTAAGATAAAAACAATTTTGATGCTCATATTGTCAGTGATATGTAAGAAGCAGTTTGAACAAAAGGATAAGGTTTCTAGGTGATTGAATATAGAATGTGAAAGTTATATTTCGGGAGTTTGGATTTTGGAAGAGGAAAAAAATGAGGGACAAAATATTCAAGGGCTGTTAGTGTGATGCTGCCCTATTTCTCTTCAGCTTCTCAGTAAAATTACTGAACTAGTGAAATGTTAAGCAGGATTCTGATGAAAGACAGAGAGAGGGCCAGATCTGCATTTATACTGACTTGAGACTCAACCAATATGGGAAGCCAGAACATTAGAACAATGAAGCTGAAAGAAGCATGAAGAAATCTGGAATCCATAAGGAGGGCTTTCGGCTGCCTCAGAACCTGGAATTGAAGTTTGGGTCAATTTTACCAAACCTTCAAGCATTAAAGACACTCTCAGTCAATCATTGGAGTACCTTGTGATGGGGGACATGGAGAGTACAAAACATAAGAAGAGAGTGCCTGAGACAACGTTGTCACTCTCCTTCCGAGGCACATCTTATCTGTCTAGCTTATGTATATTAATGGTCTATAAAACAGTTCTGGCTTAGATTTATTTCTCAATAAAAACTGCAATATATTTTCAAAAGCCAAATAAACCAAGTTGCTTCTAAGTATGTTTATCTAAGTGCTTCAGGGGCCATGAGTAATGCTTTTATCTCAGACCCTTATCTGTTCTTGTGCAAGAACACCACCCCAAGGAGTGAAGGAAGGGGACAAAAAGGAAAAAGGAAAGGAGGCCAAGAGAAATGCTGATGAGAACTTTAAAAAAGAAAATACTCCCTTCCCCTCCCCAAAAAAAGATTAAAATGCAGAATAGGCTGATATACCTAATTGTTCTAGTTTTGGATTTTCTACAAATCTGTTTCAAGGGGAGTCATGGCAGAATGGGCAACCAGTATCCTGGCAGTGTAACATTGTTCTTCCAATCCCCAGAGTCGACGAATTTACTGTGCTAAAGTGAGAATCCCAGGAAGGTCACCATGATGCCATTTTTCTCACCTAAGAAATTTCTTTCGGTGTGTGTGTGTGTGTGTGTGTGTGTGTGTGTGTGTGTGTGTGTGTGGAGGATGGGGAAAGGTAGAGTTCAGGGCTTAAATCCAACAGGTCAACTATGTTTCTGGTATTTTGGGTCTGCACAAGGACTCTCCTTTGTTTATGTGTTGATTTGCTTTAGTTTCCCTACTTTGTTCCTTCTCATTAGTCCCATTTCCTCTTAAGAGACAACTACTCAAATGTTATAAGTGTGTGTGTATGCACATGTGTGCGTGTTTATCTATATGTACGTATACATATATAATGTTGGTATATGTATATAGCTTTTAATATGCACAGAAAGTATTTTGTTATATATTTCTCGCTGGTTTTTGACTCAGCACTGTATTTTTTAGTTTTATTACTGTATGAACATCTGGTATCTCCAACCTCCACATGATATTCTGCTTAAAAACCCCCCACATTTGCCTACTAGTAGTTTGCCTCTAAGTCCCCGCTACGTAAGCAAAGTCATGGTGAATGTATGTGTCTGTTTCCCTTAAATGACTTATGTCTTTAAGAGTGGTAGCACTGGGCTTCAGGGTTTATGCGTGTTATTTATACTAAATTTTGCCAGATCACTTATCAGTTTGATTGCTAAAATTTACACTGCCACCATGATATAGTTTGGATCTGTGTCTCCACCCAATCTCACGTTGAATTATAATCCTCAGTATTGGAGGTGGGGCCTGGTGGGAAGTGATTGGATCATGCAGGTAGTTTCTAATGGTTTAGCACCATTAGAAACCATAGTGCTGTCTCATGATAGTTTTCACAAGATCCAGTTGTTTAAAGGTGTGTAGCACCTCCCCATTCACTCTCTCTCTCCTGCTCCGCCATGTGAAGATGCGCCTGCTTCCCCTTCACCTTCTGCCATGATTTTAAGTTTCCTGAGACCTCCCCAGTCATGCTTCCTGTACAGCCTGTGGAACTGTGAGTCAATTAAACTTCTTTTATTCATGAATTACCCAGTCTCAGGTGGTTCTTACAGCAATGTGAGAATGAACTAATACATACCAAAGTGTAAGAGAATACTTGTCTTCCCAGATCCCTGGCAATACATGGTGGTAACCAGCATCTTAATTTTTTTCCTTTTGGATGAAGAAAAATAATATTTAACCCTCTTTTTTTTTTTTCATTGCTGCATCATCTTTTACTCCGGACAGAGCCTAGAATTTAGCAGATACTTATACATGTATATTAAACAAATACATGTTACTAAAAGGTAAAGCCCTTCAATCTGAAATAAATACTTATATTTGGGATATGAGCTTAGTGTGATTAAATTATTAAATTTGGTGTGTTGAAGGACTTCAATATTCTGGAAAGTTACATCTTTCTGGGCCAGCTCTTTGGAGCTTCCTGGCAGAAAGGTCAAGTTGAAGAGAGGTCAATTGCCATTTGAATCCAACATTTTATACACTTTTGACTTTCTTAACATCTTAACGTTTCTGCTAAAGGTTTATTTTCAATACTCGAAATAGCTGTGATTTAATATTAGATTTATTTGTGTGTGTAGTAGACCTTTTTTGGCTGTCTTGCTAACCTATGCCCCACCTTTCTGAGAAGTGGCTTTTCATGTTCTCAGAAGCATAGCTATCCAGAGGGTTTTCATCTGCAGCAAGTGATATTGTCCATCTGTCCACTGCTACTTAAACCAAGTATAGACACATAATTTAATCAAAGTGTTTCAGTGATGGCCAAAAGTCTATACAGTACTCAGATTTCACACTTTGAATATTAAGGGGATGGGAGGGGTCTTGCCAGCCAGAGGGAAGCCCCAGAAATTCCCTCATCTTTTAGTAGCTGACACAGACTAATGGAGGAGAAAGTGTTAAAGTCTATCTTAGTAGCATGTGAGTCTTGTGGGGAACTATTTCAATCTTCTTCTAGTTAGAAGAGAGAAAACGCTTCTGAGCATGTGCAGCTGAAACCATTTGGTGAGAGCAACTGTTTCTGTTGCACAGAGCTTTCCCGAAGAGTAAATGCAGTGCTTATTTCTTACGAGGCTAACTTAGCATTACTGTATTTTTTTTTAATTGCCACTGGATAGACTGTAAGTTTTACCATCCTGTTCATACTAAATATTAAAAATTTACTCTTACAACATCAGCCAATCTACAACATTGTTCAAGAGTATGCTGATCACCTTCTACTAATTTACCTGGTAGTCAGAGAATCACCCACAAAGAGAGCCATTAATGGTAGCATGTAAATTTGGAAAAGCTGGGCTGAAAGCACTTCATCTCACAGCTTCCTCAGGATGAATTTAATTAATTGCATTCTTCTCTAGCTGTATAGAATCTAGACATCCCAGTTTTAGCCAGTCTCTATAAAGAGTGTGACTTTGGTGGAAGACACATGAATTCAGGAGCTATAGGGCATCCAAGTTCAGCAGAAGATATGGAAGAAAGCTAGTTTTATAAAAAGGGAGCCAAAGGAGGTAAATATAAAAAGAGAAGTTATACCAGAAAGCATATGGAGACGGGGGAGAAAAAACAACAGAAAGACACAGCCACTGCCTTAGAATCTGCATCTGTTCTTTATACATGTGGAGGCAGATACACAAACACTAACATGTACATGTTTATTTTACTACACTACTTTGTGAGAATTTTTGTTATTTGCAACCCACCCCAAAAAAAATTAACCAAGATCATTTTCTTACAATCATGTGTACAAATTGATTGCTCAGTTAATGTAATAAAAAAAGGATAGAACAGATCACACAGCAACCTAAGTTATATCCCTTATTTCTAAGACATCCTGATTCACTCTATGTGTGTACGTATACATGTATGTGTACACACAGCTATCATTGCACAATCAATTTTGTGAATTTGAGAAATATGGGTTGCTATAGTTTTGGAAGTTTTTTGTAAGCAATACAAATTTCTAACAAAGTTTCTTTGACTGTCATATGAGATTTTATTAAATTTAGTTATTTGTAATCAGATATGTAATTCACATATTTACAAACCCTGAAGATACTGACATCTTTTTTGCATACCAAATATATTCCAAAAAGATTTTTTTCAAACCAAAAAGCAAGAGTTAATTAATGGTGACTTCTTGAGAAAGGTAAATGGTGAGCTGGAACAAACTTATTAAGAAAATGGCAAGGGAGTATAAGCGTCAAAAAAAGTAAAGAAAATGATAGAATATTCAGCAATATAATGGAATAGATTGGCAGAAGAAAATAAAAGCAGACATACAGAAAAAAAGATAATTTGGAAATTAAATAATTATGTGTATCAGTTGATTCAAAAAACAATACGAATGATAGTTACCAGAATGTGTAAGTATACAAAGTAGAAAAAATCACTAATAATTATGTATTGATTTTTAGAAAGATACACAAAGAAAATTAAACTGCATTAGAACAAAATGGTTAAGAATTTTGTCATAAAGTATATGTTTCCTATCTGAGCACTCCTCTATGGGAGCTGTAGCATTCTTTAGGAGAACTGAAGAGAAATATCTGCCTAGGATACCAAACTTCAATGCTGTCTAAAGAAATTCATTATCTCTTAGACTGAGGTTGGCTCAGGAATGTGTAAATTCCAGAGGAGCGTAAGACTCAGAGAAGGCAAGAGAAATGCCAAAGTCACACTGAAACTAAGTGTCAGAATGGGTTCTCGAGCCCAGTTAATCTTATTTGCAAATTTGATGCTAGAAGCAAGAAGGAAAGATAGACAGGCCCACAGGAAAATGTGATTCCAGGAACATACAAAGGAATAATGAGTGTTACGTGTGATAAATGACATAAATCTGTTAGCCAGATTAAAAGTTCTAGTTGGGATTTAAGTGAGAAATATATCAACTAACAAACAATTTGATTGTCAAATTCCGAAGTTTGTTCTTCCCTGCATCTAAATGAAGCTTTAGTTATGAGCAATGAATATATTACATAAAGAACTCAGTATCATGAAGGAAAAATAGAGCCTAGACAACTGGCTATGCTAGCCCTGAATGAACCAACAGAAGCATATTCTTTAGAATTCACTGGAATGCCCAACCAATTAGAAATTCTAGTTTGGGTTCACTTCTTGTCTGTTTCTAAAAGTCACAGCTACTGTATACCCAGAGAAAGCCTGTAAGTCAGAAAATGCAATGATAACAACAATCTTAAAAGCTATCACTCTGATATCTGCTCAGATATGCCGGTGGTGGGTGCCACTGAACCGAAACTATTTTGAAATTTAAATGATGCAAAGATCATTCCATGATGTCATAAAACTCAACTTTTATTGATTTGTGCTCTTCCAAAATATCACAGATCTTTTTGTGAATGTGTTTCTAAAAATAAGCTATTAATACAAATATTATGTGACAATTGGTAAGACAGATACATCTGTGGGAAATTTACCTGGAGTTCATAAATAGGTAACTTTGTAAACTATTCATAAATAGATAACTTGCTTACTTTTCCCAACATTCCATTCAAAAAGGCTGAAATTTGAACTGAAGCCTTCCAACATGAAGTCCATCTCTTCCCAAGGTAGGTCATTGGCAATATTAGCAATTTTTTTTTGTATTTAATAGACCATACTGCACATTCCCTTTAACAAAGAGGGACAATTATTTTGCTGTTCCACCAACAGAAGTCTCTATATATAATTATTGAGGAAATTAATTTTTTTTAAATAATGGTAAAACATAAGGCAGTCATGGCACATTTTCTTTTAGATTTGTATAAGTATTAACGTTAATTTAACTCACCACATTATAAACACATATGCAGGCTTTAGGCTCAGTTTCCTTATAGAAGGCACACTTTCCCTCAGGAATGGTCCATTATACTTACAGATTAATGAACTTGTGTGTGTGTCTATGTTCACGAGAAACTGGACTGTAGTTTCCTTTTCTTGTGATATCTTTTTCTGGTTTTGTACAATGAATTAAGAGGTGTTCTTTACTCCTTTGTTTTCTGAAAAAGAAGTTTAGTAGGATTTGGTACTAGTTCTTATTTAAGTGTTGTGTACTGTTACTACACTCTTAGAAACTATCCCTCCATACTTCCTGCATGAAGATGATGCAGAAACCTATTTCTTACAAAAGACTGTGAGCCACCTCCAGAATCTGCCTCCACTTTCCCATCTTGCCACTACAGCAGAAACTAAGACTGTCACAACATAATTTGTCTAGGAAATTGCTGGGTCTGGTAAAGCACCAAAAGGCACACATCCAAAGAATCTTCAGGATCTATGTGTACCATATAGTTGGACCTTGGGGAGTACAGGTGGGCCTGGACTTTGGGGGTACAGGATCAAGAGGAGTAGAACATAAAACTTAATATGGAAGTTTTTATTGATATGAGATCAATCAGATTTAATTCTTGGCAAAAGTCTTTTGAGATGGGAGTTTCACATTGTTAGGATGGCTCTTAAAAGTTTGGAGACAATGCACAGCTCACAGTGCATTAGGTAGAAATGTCAGAATGGCCATGACAGATGATGGGATAAATAAAAAAGTACTGAGCAGGAGAAGTGCTCAGCATCATGTCTAGGCCACAATACAAGTATCTCTGCGCTTGCACCGTCAATCTGGCAGAAGCTACAGGATTGAATACATCTGTAGCAGTAAAAAGCACCCTAATAGGAAAATCACAATGCAAACGCCTATTTTTCTTGGGCAATGCTGTGCCATCTGTAGTCAAAGATTATAAACCTTTTTTGAAAAATATCCCCCAGGATGTTAAGGTCCCCTGACATTAACATTAATGCCTGAGCAATTACTAGAACTGCCCATGAAAAGCTGGGTTCTGTCAGACCCAACATATACAAAATATACAACCAGAAACCAAGGTGTGAAAGCAAGAATAGTCACCTTTATCATCATTCCAATGACTTAGGTAGGAAATCTGTGCTTCTCATTTTCACAAATGGCTCTTTCAGTTTAAAGGCCCTGGTTCCCAAAGGAGGAATGCTTCTACTAGGCAAAACAACAAAAATCCTATTTAAAATTATTGTTTCTGCCTGGGTCCTCCTCCTCACCCTAAGAGAATAGAGCCCAAGAAGAGAAGTCACCCTATTAGCAAGGATAATTGACCATGATCTGGAGGCTGCTCACACAAAAAGGGAACAGAAAGGATACATTTGACACAGAGGTAATCCATTTCAGCGTCTCTTGTTACACTCTTGGCCAGTTTTTATGGCAAATGAATGAATGAATGCAGTAATTACAGTCTGAGAATGGCGTTGTGACCAGAGGCTCATACACCTCAGGGATGAGCATCTGTGTCACACCACAAGCCACCTAGACCTGTAAAGGTGCTAACTAAGGGGGAGATTAACCTGAAATTGATGAAAAAGGAAGGAGATAATGAACATCATGAAGCCAGCTTCAGTGGGACAAGGAAATTTAAGTAGAAAAAAAGAGCTCCAGGTTGCCCTACTAACTTGGTTTTATTTATTTTTCCCCATCAAGATGCCCACCAGAATACTGGAGGAGCTGCTCCAGAAGTTACTCAAAGAAGTCGATCTGGATGGTGCAAGGGGTAGACTATAGTGGACCCTGTGCTTCATTTCGCAGGTTCAGCCTGCAAGATTAAAGGATCCATTCCCCCAGTTGCTGGGAGTGCAGCTGAATGATAGCCCTCATATGTTAGCTCTCTCTCTGAAAGTTGCCCTGGCTTAAAAAGAGCTACCTTATAAAGATCACATGCACCTCCACGGGCAGCCTGCATCTCATGGTGGCTTGATGTAGGGATGTAAAACACCACTCCAGACCCCATCTCAGGAGGATTAACAATAGCAATTCCATCTTCACAGTTCTCTCTGGGTTTGGCTGAGGCCTTCAGAGTGACTGTATCATTGCCCAACTTCCCTCTCATCCCAGATATGCTTCCCTTCTCCCGGTTTAATCCCAACAGTACTCTCAGTAAGCTTCCTGCATGCTAATATCCATCTCAGAGTCTGCTTCCCCAGGAACAAAATCTTCCATATTAGCTAATTCTAAATCAATCACTCAATCGATCAATGTTCAAATGTTATTTTAAAAACATATCAAAATCCCCATCCTACTGGGAAATGCCAGCTTTGAAATAACCATATCAAAAGATCCCCTATTTCAAAAAATCTCCATAAAAATGTTACAGATTTTTCTTTATGGAACTACTTCAAAGACTCCTCTTAACATTTTTTCATCTTTTAAAATCAATTGTTGATATCTACATAAAACAGAAAAAGAAGGGTGGGAGATGAAATAAAAATTTATTTAAATGAATGCTAACTGTGCTCTAGGTGATATATTATCACATTTAATTTTCCTCACAGGTGCGCTAGATGGACATTCAACCCATATATTTCTTCCTTCTTTATGTATGTGTCTCTCAGAAGTGGCTACACTGTGAAGTGAAAAAAGGTTAATCTTCAGATCTGTAAATTATATGCACTCTTTCCAAGATCCTTTGAGGGACCATAGCACTGTGTGTGGCTGATTGGACATGTACATTTTACAAAAGTAAAGTTTTTAAAAATTAATTTCCTAAAGGAGAGACTTACAAATTAAATAAGCTTCAGACTTCGCAAAACCTGGATCTGCCTCTGGTACTGTTTGTTGCTTTGGGTTTCCTCGTATTGGTCCTATGTTCAGTCCAAATTCGGCATGGGCTTTAGTGAGAGCCAGCATTAATTTTACTCCGTTTATTTTTCCCGTAATTCGATCAAAGTCTTGAGTGAAAGCTGAGTTTCTTTCATTGGGCTTGGATGGCTGTTCCTCTAAGACTTTCATTATTTCTCAGAACAGAAATACTGGGCCTTCTTGTTATCAGCATTTCCAGGTTTTCAGCCTCAACATTTTGTAGCCTCATCACCATGCTGGAAGCAGGTTTGACAGGATGTAGAAAAAATTGGCCGGCACACCAAAGGAATGTTGCCAATAACTTCCCACTGACCTGAGGGGTGTGGGAGCAAGCGTTTGAAGTGATTCTCTCTGAGTATTGGTCATACTCCACATGAGAAACCATAGCTTTAAGGCAAATTTTTCTTCCAATGCTGTTTGTTCTTGGAAGCTTTACTTTCTGGTCCAGCAATTTCCCCTGTTCCTTGCCACTGGGATATGCAGTCATTTATACTTAAAAGTGCAGCTTTGATTGTAATGGCAATATAATAAAAGCTGTTTTGAAGTCTCTAATTAAGATACATAGATTTTTATGTTACCAAAATTTAAAAAAATAGTAATTCACATCGCATTCTTTTAAAGCAGTTATACATTTGGAACAGGCTTCCTGGTATGGTACAAGATATGATGATGAGTATAATGAAGACTATTGTTGAATTTCTAAGATAAAAATAACATTTTTCCTTAAAAAGAAAGTTTTTGATTAGGTTTTGAAACATGATGTACAATAGCTGGACTGACATTTTCTCATCGTTTTCAAAGTGTTCATTTTCAAAGCAAATGAATATGGTTAAAACAACTTGTTTTAAAACTAATGTTCTTTTTTAGGGGGAGAAATTTGGGGGAACACTATGGTCTGAGTTCTCAATGACAGGTCCTGCTCATCACCAGACCCCCTTCCAGTTTTCACAAGATGCTATAATCATTTCGCACTGGGGTCGGGCCTGTCTCCACCATTTTTACCTGCAGCTAATAGTTATAAATCTAATCTTAGACAAAATATATCATGGTTTCCTAATCTGGCATCCACCAACCCTTAGTCCAAGAACAGACATCAAGGTCTCAGTGAAACGGTTCAAATTAAATCCGAAACCATCTATATCTATGCATTATCCTTAAGTGTCTGTGAACCAGTTAATAATCTATTAAAAAAAATCTATGAAAATATTAATTCAATTCTCAAGCAATATGGAGATAACTCATTAACTCTTTCCAGAGACCATAATGCTTTGGTGTTGATGTTGAAACTCAGACATAGTTTATTGGTTCAGAGAAAAATAATACGTGTGTTTTTCTCTCTTAATCATATTTTACTCAAAATTTTAAAATTGATTATAATCACTATTTCCCGCAGAAATGGCTGATTTCAAAGGTCATGCCCCTGTGAGGTGGGTAGAAACATGGTCTCTCAACAGGGAATACGTTTTTCAACACTAATTTATCCCTTTAATGCACTCTAAATCAGGGAGTCTTAACTTTTTGTTTTTAGACTTTAGAAGGCATAAGGTATGTAGAAAGATGAGTGTGACAAGGGTTAGGAAAACACACAATAACAGTGAATATCACTGGAAAATACATTTTCTGTCTTGAGGCTACACAGTCTTTATTACAATAACTACAGAAGCAGGCATTATGTTTGTACAGGGTCACTCTATGATCTTATCCCTATACTCCAACCCCAATAATATTTTAAGGACAAGAAATCCAAACAATTATCAAGACAAAATAAATTGCATGATGGAAACATGGAAAATGAATATATGTGAGAAAGCACAAACACAACACACTTTTCTTGGTCAAATTAGAGAAAAGTGGGTTCATTCAGTGGGATAAGCCTGTAGACTGAGACTAAATATTTGCAAGATATCCATTCACTCCAAGTTAATTTATAAATGTAATATAATCCTATTTAAATTTCCAATGGGGTATTTGAGCGAAATGTTGCTGAATGGTATTCTAATTACTTTTAATTCAATAAAGGTAAAATAACATGATACAGGTAAAAGGTAAGGGAAGGTAAAATAACACGATACAATTGTGTATCATGTTATTTTCCCTGAGATAAGGCTTCAAATGTACACTACCAGCTTTCTTTTTTTTTTTAAGTACACCATCTTTATGATTTACTGAGTACTGTTCACAGGTTGTATTTTTTTCTGTAAAGCTTCAGGTAGTTTCTCCCAAATGGAAGTAATTGTTCTTCTATTTTTTGACCTCTTGGGAAATTTATCTGTGCCTTTCTTTCTGCATGCACTTCTTCCTATCAAGGTGATATTTCTGTGCATTTTACTTTCCAACTCTACTAAAAAGTCTATAATGTCAATGTCTCTCTCTGGCTGAGAGAGATTCTAATGAAGCTTTTATCATCTGTTCTCATCTGTTCCAAGTGCACTCCCGTCTCCTGGCATTTGCTTTTCTTGAAGATTGTCCTTCTGCAGTTCGCTTCCTGAAGTCCAGCTCTGCAAGAGACCTCCTGTTAGAACTTGTGCTTTCATCAAGAGCATAGAAGTCTTCCAAAAGCCCGTCCCCACAGAATGCTTTTCAGTTTACTTAAAATGCCGAAAGGCAGAGGTGTGGTTTTAGAACATTCCCCCAGCTCCCCTGCCTCGCAACTCTGCTCTATCCCGTTAAAGAGCTGGGTGTTCCAAGCAGGCAGAGCTTCCCCTACCCCACCCGCTGGTCACGGTGGGACAGGCATGTACAAATCTTGGATGTTATGCTTTGTGTCTCGCAGGGAGACAAGCCCAAATAATATCAATTTCCAGCAAGTCTCCTACTGCCATGAGGAAGCAGAGACTGGCAACTTGTTGCTTCTCCCAGATGATGCCAGAAATGTGTGTAGAGTGAGATGTCCCGGGGGTGCTCAGTGGGCTGGTGTGCACTCAGTGTGGTGAGGAACAACATGTGCCCAGGCCTTGGTGATGACTTCCTCCTCCCTGTGATGTTCTCATTTCATCAACTCCATTCTTCTGTGGCCTCCCGCGTTTGCTGGGCAATTACTCACAAGTGAATGCATCTAGGAGCTACTGGTATAGACAGGAAAATTATCCTAAAATCTGCTGATTTCACCAGGAAGGAAACTTAGCTACATTTTTAAAAGTTCACATATTCAAAATTGAATGTAAAAATTAAATTTTGTGAGTTTGTTAGAATTGAAGTTGAAACAGAAAAGTATAATGGCAAATTAAGTTCAAATGAGTTAGTCAACTAATACATTAATTCCTTTGTTCATTTAGTTAAGAAATATTTTTTGAGCCGACTCCATGTATAGGGTTACAGAGACCTCCTTATCTTATCTGTTGCAATATTTTGTAAGACAATGTCTGAGCCCTGGTGATATATAATTCATTATTATAGCTGGCTTTTTCTGTCTTATGTCAATATACAACCAATGCCACCATTTAAACTGAGAAATAGGGTCATAAGTGAGGCTTAACATTTTCTCTGGTGTTGTGAGACTTTCCTTATGTTGTTCAGTTTAACATATTTGTAGTGTGTCATTGAACTAAAAAAACCATACACACATTTTCTCAATAAATATTAACATAGTCTACCATGATGTCTAGGAGATCAGAGCAATTTTTACATGTTACTCAGGCCAACTACTTTAAAATTGTTTAATATCTAAGTCTCCCTCCCCACAAAGTTGATATCACGTTAAATACCATTATTTATACATTGATTCTGGGGACTAAAGCCAGGTTCATTTATTTCTGATCATCTTCCAATTCATGCAACATCATCCATCTATTACCTATATTACCCTGGATTCTTCACTAAGTGGTACAAGAGTTCCCTGAGGGTTTCTCATCAGTTTCCTACCTTTGAGTCTACAAAGAAGCATAATAATGACTATAAAATCGTACTAATTGCAGCATAACTCTAAAACATATTAAATGGAAGGGAGAAATTACACCAATATCAGCAGTGATAAAATTAACATTAACCAAATTTATCATTGTTGTTTGTTTTCAGACTAACACTACATTGAATACTTTATTATAGCATTATATTCAATCTTCATCATAATCTCTGTATTATGCAGGCATCGTTATTATCACTATTTTAAAGTTAAGAAAATTGGGGATTGGAGATTTTGAGTAACTTCCCCATGGTTACACATCTAGTGTCAAAGATGAAATTTGAATCTATCTGATTACATCTAACTCTGAAGCAATAGTTTTACATTGTATGTTGTATTGACTTCTCTATCCAGTGAGTCTCTTTGTTAAACTCTTCAATTTCCATAAAAGGATGTCAGCACTCCCAAATGTGTATGATCAAATATAAAAATGTACTGTAATTCCAAGATAAAAATTCACTAGAACATCAAACTGAGATAGGGATATAAAGTTCAGCTATTACCCTTTTTAAGAAAAGACAAAATAAAAGACTTTATTTTTATTTATTTATTTGTTATTTGGAGACAGAGTTTCGCTTGTCACCTAGGCTGGAGTGCAATGGTGCATATCTCTGCTCACTGCAACCCCTGCTTCCCAGGTTCAAGCGATTCTCCTGCCTCAGCCTCCAGAGTAGCTGGGATTACAGGCAGGTGCCACCACACCTGGCTAATTTTTGTATTATTAGTAGAGATGGGGTTTCACTATGTTGGCCAGCCTGGTCTTGAACCCCTGACTCAGGTGATCCACCCACCTTGGCCTCCCTAAGTGCTGGGATTACAGGTGTGAGTCACCACATCTGGACAAAAGACTATTTTTTTGGAGGATCATTTGAAAAGCATGCAGTCTACTCATTGTTTTATCTTTTCTACCATTTAACTATGTATTAAGCAAGAGTAGCTGAAATATAAGACTGCAATAAAACAGAGGTTTTGCACCTAAACACTTTGGAGAAAATCTATCATTAATTAAAATCGTACATAAAGAGAGACAGTTGAGTTGTCTTTTATGTTTAGTTTTGGTTTTGATTATGCTATAAATACGCTGAATTTGAAGCTAGGGTATAGTATGCATGTGAAAATTTCCAAGAGGTCTTTGAGTTATGTGTTTTGAAATTAGAGTAAGCAGCTCAGAGTTGAGGTTTGGGATTTGATAGGATTTGTATGGATGTGACAAATAAAGCTATCAAGGTAGAGCTTTCAGGGAAAACTAGAGAACAAAAAGCTAATTAACATATAATATATCCAAAACTTCTTTGCCTGAGATTGGAAAGGAAGTAGAGAAATGTAAGACTCCTTCCTGCTGCAGTTTCTGTTGACAAGCAATAGCATGAAATATGAGTGTTTAGAAACAGCTTAGTCATCAGATTTGGTTTTCTCATGGCTAGGCCACAGGTGGGAATGGATGCGAATGGTATTTGTAGTGGTGAAAAGTTGCAAGGGCAGAAGCCACATCCTGACCTCTGAGTCATATCATTGAGGAAGTGCTCTGGATGCAATAGTAAGGCGATGTCCTTCCTGACTTGCACTCCTCTAACCCCTCAGATACTTTTGTAAGAAACTAATTCCCAGTATTCAATCCCATTCTTCTTGAATTATGTAGGTGATTTCTGTTTATGCACTGGACTTTTACTGACACGGTGGTCACCAGGACCACGTTTTAAAAATGCGAATTTAAGAAAATAAAAGTTAACAAATTTCCACTGATTCTAAAAATTATGAGTTACCTAAGTGTTATTGATAATATAGCTTTGGTAGAATGGTGAGAATGCATATAATAATGATGGTGATAATGAGCATCTACTGCAGAAAATCACTCTTTTATTATTTATTTTATTTTACTTTTTTGAGACAGGATCTCACTCCGTCTGAGTACAGTGGCGCTATAATGGCCCAATGCAGCCTCAACCTCCCAGGCTCAAGGGATCCTCCTGCCTCAGCCTCCCAAGTAGCCGGGACTGCAGGCATGTACCACCACGCCTAGCTAATTTTGGATTTTTGGTAGAGCTGGGGTCTCACTATGTTGCCCAGGCTGGTTTTGAACTCCTGGACACAAGTGATCCTCCTACTTTGGCATCCCAAAGTGCTGGAAGTGCACTATATATGCATTATATTCCTGTTTCACAGGTGGAAAAACTGAACATCAATGATTCAGTGCCTGATCTCACACAAGTATGAAGAGCTGAGGCTGTAATGGAAAATCCAGCAATCTGGCACCAGAATTTGTGTTTTTAATCACTATGCTATCCTGCCTCCAAATTCCTTTACACAGCATGTAAAAGAATAAAATAAATCATGAGAAAGCAAAGATGAGAATAAACACAAGAGTTTGTATAATGACAGTAAAAGAAATAGAAACGTAAGCCATAGTGAGAGGAGATGTAGAAGAGTAACTTTTTAAAAATTTAATTGTTACTGGCCCGGCATGGTGGCTCACGCCTGTAAATCCCAAGACTTTGGGAGGCGGGAGCGGGCGGATCATGAGGTCAAGAGATCGAGACCATCCTGGCCAACATGGGGAAACGCTGTCTCTACTAAAAATACAAAAATTAGCTGGGTGTGGTGGCACACGCTTATAATCCCAGCTACTCAGGAGGCTGAGTCAGGAGAATCACTTGAACCCAGGAGGCGGAGGTTGCAGTGAGCCAAGATTGTGCCATTGTACTCCACCCTGGTGACAGAATGAGACTCTGTCTCAAAAAAAAAAATTGTTATTGTCATTTATTCAGCATATTTGAAGGTATTGTGTGACAAGGCAGTGCAATGGGAAGGATCCAAGCAAGAGAAGAGAGAAAAATACTGGATCCATAACAAAAAGGGAGCAGCCTGTGGGAACCAGGGCTTATTGTTATGGAAAAGAAATGGTAACTCCTCTCAGAGTGGATAAAAACATGAATAATATGAGTGATTAATGGGAAGATAAACATATATCAAACACTGAGGACAAAAGACAAATAATTCATACATAATGGACTCAAGTAAGAGGCTGCTGAAACTTACCTTACTTACTCTTGTGAAAATCCAAAATATCCCAGTCACTTTCTTGCCTCAATAGGCAGAGTATAGGAAATAACAGTGATCCTTTGTTGAATGATTGTGGATATATTACAGTGACTTGTGGGAGGAAGGGTCACAGTTAAGAACTTAAATTTCTTCATACAGTTCTGCAGCCACTGAATTTAAAGCCCTAGGAAATTGAATTAAAGGCGTGCAGCAATCAGGGTAGCCCAGGAGGTTTACTTTCAAGTACATTTGCCTGCTTTTTGTATTGCCATTCTTCTTTGGTGGGTAAATGGATAACAGGAGAAACCACTTTCTCCCAGACATTTGCTTAATAGAAGTTTCCAATTCAACTTTTGTTGATAAAGGTTTTAGAAGTAAAATTGCAGACAACTGAAATGCTTTGCCAAGATCACCCAGACTGTGATTAGATATTCATATAGAATATCCCTATTTATTTTCAGATGCCTAAGCAAGAGAGTACTGGTAGAAAGGCAAAAAATAATAATTTTCTAAATTTCTTCATTGTATGGTCAGTGTATGTACATATTTTTTTATTCATGACATTGAATACCTGCTATGTGCTAGGTCTGCTCTAGGCAGTTGGAATGCAGTGGGGATTCTAAGCTTGTCTTGAAAAATTACCAACACTGATGTGGTGATGATGTCAGTAGTCACACTTAAAGGCAATGATTGTGTAATGCCAGACATCAATAATTTAAGCATTAGATTCAGCCAACACAGTTTTATACGACTTATACATTTACCTCCTCATTTCAATTTAAATATCCCAGTCAGAAATTTGAAGCTGACCTAACATTGTCTGGCAGGTAGGACTGCCTTTAAATTCATATTTCATGAGAGTACCAATAGCTGATTCAAATTATTTGCAGTGTCCTTTTGGGACAAGTCATACCAGAGCAGAAAGAAGAGTTTGAAGGTCAATAGAATCCAGAGCACCAACTTAAGATAACAAATCAAAGCAAACCCATGATGGTTTAAGGGGAAAATGTGCATAAGAAAAGAGAAAAGACCAATAATACTCACAGGTATTGCATAGCAATATTTTATGCTGCACATGGGCTGGTATGCAGTCTTAACACAGATTCATATAGGGTGGCAAATTAATGACTGCTTAAATTTGTTGATCTCTTCTCTTCCCTACCCAGAATATTTTCAAAGAATGTGTCATTTATATTTCCATCAGTAGGTAATTTTTCTAGAGCAGCATTTGCTGAGTGCAGTCTGAAAATCACCAGCACTGGAAACATGTAGGTGTTTAAAAACAAACAAACAAAAAACCTGCATTTTTTTTTTTTTTTTTTTTTGAGATGGAATCTTGCTCTGTCACCCAGGCTGGAGTGCAGTGGCGCCATCTCGGTTCACTGCAACCTCCACCTCCTGGGATCAAGCAATTCTCCTGCCTCAGCCTCCCGAGTAGCTGGGATTACAGGCTCCTGCCACCATGCCCAGCTAATTTTTGTATTTTTTTAGTAGAGACGGGGTTTCACCATGTTGGTCAGGCTGGTCTTGAACTCCTGACCTCGTGATCTGCCCACTTCGGCCTCCCAAAGTGCTGGGATTACAGGCGTGAGCCACCACGCCTGGCCTGAGAAACTGCATTTTAACCAGAAAATTTGAAGAATCATTGGAATTTTTAACTTAGACATATAAAATATATGGTCATCAAGAAAGGTTTTATAAAACCTTATGCAAATTTTGTGTCTGTGAATATTTCTAATTTTTAGAAAAAAAGAGTTATACATTCCCTCTTTTTTAAGTTGTATCTTTTTTAAAGTTAATAACATTTTTAATGGACAAATCATAATTGTATACATTTATGGGGTACAATGTGATGTCTTAATATACGTGTACATTGTGGAATGATTAAATCAAGCTAGTTAACATATCTGTCACCTAGCATACCTATCATATTTTATGATGAGACATTTGGAATTTATTCTCTTATTTTAAAACATATAATACATTCACTGTAGTCATCCTGCTGTGTAATTGATCTTACAACTTCTCTGTTCTATTTGAAACTTTGTACCCTTTGAGCAACATTTCCCGTTTCTTCTCTCCCTACATCCTCTGGTAACCATCATTCTACTCTCTGCTTCTATGCATTTAACTTTTTTAGATTTTACATGGTATTGAAATCATATAATATTTGTCTTTCTTTGCCTGGCTTATTTCACTTAGCATATTTCACTTAACATGAATCTCAAGGTTCATCCATGTTGTTGCAAATAACAGGCTTTCTTCTCATTTTAAGGCTGAATAGTATTCCATTATGTATATACTACATTTTCTTTATCCATTCATTTGTTGACTGACATATAGGTTACTTCCTTATCTTAGCTAGTGTGCATAATGCTACAATGAACATAGGAGCCCAGGTGGTCTTTTGACATAGTGATTTTAATTCCTTTGGATACGTATAACAGAAGTAAGATTGCTGGATCATATGATAGTTGTAGTCTTAGTTTTTGGAGGAAATTCTATAATGTTTTTTTCCATAAGAGCTATACTCATTTACATTCCTACCAACAATGTACATGAGTTCCTTTTTCTCTGCATCCTCTCTAACACTTGTTATTTTTCATCTTTTTGATCAAAGCTATTCTAACAGGTGTGAGGTGATATCTCATTGTGGTTTTAATTTGCATTTTCCTTATGATTAAACTTGCTAAGTATTTTTTAGTTACCTGTTGGTAATGTGCATGTCTTCTTTTGAGAAATATCTATTCAGGTTTCTTCTAACTGTTCTGTGGCACCAAAAGATTAATAAATTGAAAACAAATCTAAGCCTTTGACCTTAAGTTCACAGTTTCGCTAACAATCTACTTCTGTTATTTCTTGTTCACTTTAATTCAGTCTCAAAATAATCTGATTTAATCTAAGGAGTCAAGAATGGTTTTTTTTTTTTTAAGTGATTGTAGACCTAAAGAAGTGGTCAGTCTTAAGATTTAAAAAAACAATTCAGGCCGGACACAGTGGCTCACGCCTGTAATCCTAGCATTTTGGGAGGCCGAGGTGGGTGGATCACCTGAGGTCAGGAGTTGAAGATCAGCTTGGCCAATGTGACGAAACCCCATCTGTACTAAAAATATAAAAATTAGCCGGTTGTGGTGGCACACACCTGTAACCCCAGCTACTCCAGAGGCTGAGGCAGGAGAATCACTTGAACTCAGGAGGTGGAGGTTGCAGTGAGCCAAGATTGTGCCACTGCCCTCCAGCCTGGGGACAGAGTGAGAATCCATCTCAAAACAACAACAATAAAAACAATTCAGGGTCACCTGAGGTAACTAGGAGAAGGTCTCCCCAAGTAGAGGAAGTATTATGTTTTTTATGTGGAAAGAAACACAACTCATCTCTTTTGAAAAAATAGCGGGGCATGCTGGCTCATGCCTGTAATCCCAGCACTTTGGGAGGCCAAGACGGGCAGATCACGAGGTCAGGAGTTCAAGACCAGTCTGGCCAACATAGTGAAACTCCATCTCTACTAAAAATACAAAAAATTAGCCAGGTGTGGTTGTGTGCACCTGTAATCACAGCTACTGAGGAAGCTGAGGCAGGAGAATTGCGTGAACCCAGAAGGCGGAGGTTGCAGTGAGCCGAGATCGTGCCATTGCACTTAGGCTTGTGCGACAGTGCAAGGCTCTGTCTCAAAAAAAAAAAAAAAAAAAAAATTAAAAAGAAAAGAAAAAAGAAAAGACCAGAGAAGCTGAAACGCCTTGAAAAATAAAAGACCAGAGAAGCTGAAACACCTCAAGGCAGGGGTTCAGAGGCATCAGGCGACTCTGGAAATGGAGGCCATACCAGATAATTTGTCACTTCTGAAGAATGTTAAGGTTTCCTCTGAGAAGCCACTTAAGTATTTTTGGCAGAGCTATATATGTAAGTGTAAAGGCATTGTGATGAGGAGAGCTTTTAGGGTTGAATGTGTCTAATTTTCATTTAAATAAAAACCCCAAACTGTTGCCACACTATTTAACATTTTAGAGGAAGGCAAGTGTGAATATATGAGGAACAATCAGAAGGTGATTTCGGTGTTCCATGCAAGATATGATTGTAACTTGAATTAGGAAATTTATGAATGGGTGATGAATAAGAGTAAGAAATAGAAGGACACTAGAAATCTTTAGGTGCTGTAGGATCACACACAGAGAGAAAAGTGCCAATTTTGATGACTGGCTTTTTGGCTTGTGCAACTAAAGTGAAGACAGTGCCTTTATAAACACAAGGAACTCTGACAGAGTTCTGTGATACAGAAAGGAGAATGAAGTGTTTGGTCCTGGGTACACTGAGTTTTAATTTCCTTTGAGAAAATAAAATATACACATGTAGTAAACAGATATGTATGTATGAAAATAAAAGAGAACATCAGAACTGAAGTTACACAATTTGGAAACCATGTGGACCTCTAATTTTGTCTTAATCATACCTCATTAATTACACCAACTGCAAAAGTGTCCAGTCATTTCCCTCCCCAGTACTGCTAGAGCCCTCACAATACTTTCTATCCAGTGTGCTAAATAAAAATCTATATTCTTCCAAAGTCATCTGGTGAGGCATCATTTCTTTTTAAGTTTTCCAGTTTAAGCTCAGTCTCAGAGCACCATCAAATTTACTGTGAATTCCAATAATCAAAAGTTCCAGAATCCATACTACCAATGTGTGTGTATGTGTGTGTGTGTAAATAATTTTCCCCACACTCTATTAGATATCATTTTCTGCCTCTCCAGTGAGATTTTAAAACCTCTAATGAAAAAAAAAAAAAAACAACCTTGCATCTTTTCCTTCTACAGCATCTGTCATAAAAGTGGTTTCAAAGCAGATGCCTGAGATGGTGATTCTAGTTTCATGTCACTAGCACAGCAGGCATTGACTATGCAGATATTAAGAAATACTTAATATAAAATGTAGTCAGTATGTGAAGTGTGATCAGAATCAGAAGAAAATAGTAAATGTTGAGCCAGATTTAGGAAGACACAGTATAAACAGTGGACCATAAATGGCTACAGTCCATATCAAATAAAGTTAGTAGGGATGTGCTTTGGAGAGAATGAAGTGAATTCAGTATGATGGAGCACAGACTATATGGTCAAATCAGCCTAGATTTAAACCGGGCTCCTATTCCCTATCATCTGCATTATCTTGGGTTTGTGAGTCAACTTTATGGGTCTATTGGGAGCAGCAGTTCTTCCTGGCCCCTGGATGTACTGGTAAGTCCTTGCTGAGTATTCCAAACTGCAAAGCCTAACTGTCCTCTGACCTTAAATTGTTATTTTATCTAGCTGTGTGGGCTATTCTGAAAAGTAGGTGAAAAACCCCAAACTGTTGCCACACTATTTATCATTTTAGAGGAAGGCAAGTGTGAATATATGAGGCACAATCAGAAGGTGATTTCAGTGTTCCATGCAAGATATGATTGTAACTTGAATTAGGAGATGTATGAATGGGTGATGAATAAGAATAAGAAATAGAAGGACACTAGAAATCTTTAGGTGCTGTAGGATCACACACAGAGACTGGGAGAGAAAAGTGCCAATTTTTCTTTTATCTAGTTGTGTGGGCTACTAGTACTGTATTACTACTGTATTACTACTTGTTCCCATCATCTGTCAAATGGATGTAATAATTCTACCTCATAGTATTGTAAAAATGACACAGTGCCTAACATTTTGGTAGTCTTTACAGAAATTCTGGTTTTAAGAAATGCAACTTTCCCACATAATTATAGCAGAGGTGTCCTTCCATGAAGTTCAAACATAATCAGCTGGGAGAGTCTAGGCATTTATTTGCTTTTACTTCAAGAAAGATTGGCAGTAGAATGTTGAGCACTGGAGCCTACGAAGCAGAGAAAGGAAGAATGAGTTTGGAAAATGCTGTTTTTAAAAGGAAAGGCTTTTTGCAAAGGCAGAGGCTTTGAGTGACTCATTTTATAATTGTTCACACATTACATCACTGTTGGGTGCTGTGTGCATGCTGGGCTTTAGTGATGTTAGTTAAAGATGGCTTCTGAGAATAGATGAGCATTTATCCCTGATGAATGACACTTAGCCTAATTTACAGAAATAATCAAGTGAGAGCATGGATTTCATTTCCAGAGTCAAAGAAAGAAGTTTACCTGGCTAAGGCATGACACCGCTTCCCTTTCAGATTCCGGTGCAGTCCTCTGACCATATTGGGAAGGATATGTAAAATGATACGAGTTTCAGGGAATAAGAATGGGGGTGAGAGGAATCACTGAGGATGCCCAAGGACAAAGCAGCCGGAACAAGGTAATCACAAGTTACCAAACAAACACCACCTTGAAACCTTTGTCTACCTGACTGCAAAGCTTTCTTTTTGTAATCGTTGACTTCACAAATGCCTAAGCATTTATATACTATGCCCTTAGTCATTTTTAGTTCTTATAAGAATACGATTCACTTCAACAAGATCTCCTAAAATCTATGTTTTCTAAAAACCCTCACTTATAATTTTCCTCTCCCAATTCATTTGCTTTAATTTCAGAGCTTAAAACACATGTGTTTTCCAGGTGGCTTACTTATTTCCTTAATTTGGAAACTTTAAACTATTTTTCCTTCTACTTGAAGACTCAATGAGTTGTACTCTATTTCTCATTATTAAAATTCCCTGAAATATCATATCTCATCCTTTATTCTCAAAGATGATTGTGCCTGTGGGCAAGCAGTAAGAAAAACATGTGTCCTATAACTGTTTTTCCAAAAATAAGGTGAAGCAATTCTATAGAGCTCTCTACACTTTCTTACCTAGAGATTTGCACTCAGTAGAACTTTCTAGGCAAGGTAAGGAGACTGTCCTATTTTTAAAAGATAATTAGTTTTTTTGAAGAATCATTATAAAATTTAACCTAGTCATAACTTGAAGATTCCAAGAGAAAATTAATCCATTTATTCAACAATGATTTATACAATGACTTCTATATCATAGCTCTATTCAAAGCATTGATTATAAAATTAATTATACAACCAGTTCTCAAAAAAATGTGAGACAGTAGAAGAGATAATCATCAAAACATATGTTACTATGTGGTGAGAGTAATGATAGTGGGATATACAAGTTATTGACAGATATTAAGAATAGAAGAATATAGAACTGAGAATTAAGAGTTATTAAGATTTCACCAAGATTAAAAATGCATAAATTGAGTTATAAAGCATGCAAAATAAATAGCTCAGAAGAAGAGTCTCTTCCAAACAGAGATGAATAAGTACCTATGTCAAGAAGCACTGGCAATCGTGTGGAGGTGGGAGTGGACGCAGAGTGAGTGAGGAACAGTTGCATGCTTCAAGAGTGAGCTATAAACCTGGAAAGGTAGGCAGAGGCTGTATCTTGGAGAACCCCACAAGCTACCTTAAGGGGCTTAACTTGTTTATGGCAGGTGATGGGAAGTCATCATGAGGTTCTGAGGAAAAATGACACATTTTGATTTGCATTTTAATTTAAATGCAGTTTATTGTGGATGATATAGTTTGGATGTTTGTCCCCTCAAAATTGCATGTTGAAATGTGATCCCCAGTGTTGGAGATAGGGCCTAATGGGAGGTGTTTTGGTCATGGGGGTGGATCCTTCATGAATGGCTTGGTGCCCTCCCCATGGTAATGGGTGAATTCTCACTCTATTAGTTCATGTGAGAACCGATTGTTAAGAAGAGCCTGGCACCTCCTCCACTCTCTCTTGCTCCCTCTCTCACCATGTGACATGTCTGCTCCCCCTTTACCTTCTGCCATGAGTAAAAGCTTCCTGAGGCCTCACCAGAAGCTGAGCAGATGCTGGTACCACGCTTGTGCAACCTGCGGAACTGTCAGCCAACTAAACCTCTTTTCTTATAAATTACCCAGTCTCAGATTTTTTTTATAGCAAAGCAAAACAGATTAGCACAGTGGGGCACCAAATTAAAGGTAAGGTGGTTGAAGGCAATCTATAAAAGAATTGATGGTAACATTTAATCTTTAATATTGTTTGGTACATATACTTATAACACAAGCTTAGTATAGTGGTTCATCTCTATTTGAGATTCAATTTAAGAAAATATATTACAGTGGAAGAAAACAACAACAATTGAATTTGGGTAATCACTTAATAGCTAAGCTTCTAATTTCTTATATGTAATTTGAGGATGATACCTACCTTAATTTATTTATGAAGGTTTAAGAAACCAATGTATAGACAGCTCCTGTTCAGTGGTCACTGGACTGAATAATCAAAAGACATAGCAGAGTCAAGAGGGTAAGTGTTCTCAGAATGTAAATGTTGGATATGATAAGCTAAAGTCAGTGTGGCTACAGGAGAAAATGAGAACAACACTTAGAAGGAGGAAGTTTATTACATTCGTAGACCCCAGAATGGGAGTCATACATGCCATGCAGGGCTACAGGGAAAGTGCCAGGTTTTGATCGGAGAGCTGTTAAAAGAAAAACTTCAGCTGAATTAAATTTAAAGGAGTTTAATGGAGCAATGAACGATTCGTGAATTGGGCGGCCCTCAGAATCACAGCAGAGTCACAGAGACGCCAGTGCAGCCATGTGGTGGAAGAAAGTTTATAGACACAAAAAGGGAGATGACAAGCAGAAATTGGAAGTGAGGTGCAGAATAACTGGATGGGTTACAGCTCGGCGTACGCCTTATTTGAACACAGTCTGAACACTCAGCAGTGTATGAAGGGTTGAAGTATGGCCACAGGGACTGACCAAGACTTAGCTATTGTTACAGGTGCATACTCCTAAGTTAGGTTTGCAATCTTGTCTATCTATTAAGCTAGGCTGCAGTTCGTCCACAAAAACTCAAATATAGAAGTAAGAAGTCATTCTCAGGCCATATTTAGTTTGCTTTAACAAAGCAGAAGACAAGAGCCAGGGGAAAGTCTATGCCAGAGCCTTTATTGAGTTTTCTGCAGGAAAAGCAAGGTAGGGCAGAGTAAACAGCTTAGGGCTGGCTAGTTTGAATAATTCCAGCATGATTTGGGCTATAGGGGTAGTCTAGTTGCCTGGTACCTGACCCTGAGATGATTTAGGGCAAAGGAAATATTGCCTTGGTGCATGAGAGTCAGATAAAGAGGCAACTGGGGCTATCGGCTAGGGATTGACAGGTTTGTATATGAGAGATGTACCCTTAGCCAAGTCCTTTCTTGTCTCTAAGAAAGGACTATCTCTGACAGCAGCAGTCTATCTCTGGTCAGTAAGCTTTGTAAAATGTCAAGACCTCATAACATACAGAAAGCAAAAACAATAAGTCTCAGGATCACACCATGTCAAGGAGTGCAGCCCATCTGTTAGAATTATACGTATTGGAATTTCACACAAAATTTTACATAGTGGACTGCCATGTATAATTTGTGTTGAATGAAGGTTCATCTATTGAAGCAAAGAAGAAAAAAAGAAAGGGAGGAAGGGAAAAACAAATAAAAAGAGGGAGGGTTGGAGAGAGCAAGGAAGGAAGGAAGGAAGGGAGGGAGGGAGGGGAACAGAAGAACAAGAGCAAAATGAGCCAAAACTCTAAAATCTCTTCATTAGATTGTTCCTTCAATAGTTTAATTACATAAAATTGTATTTTTACATTTAGATTAGTTGTTCTCATTACTCCCACCAGGGGACATTTGATACTCTGGGGACATTTTTGATTATCACAACTTGGGGGCTACTAATAACATTTGGTGGCCAGGGATGTTGGTAAACATCCTATTATACACAGGACAACCTCTTACAAAGAATGATCTGGCCCCAAATGCGAGTAGTGCCAAGGTTGGAAAACCCTGGTTTACATTAATATTATTTTAGATTAGAGTGGGATGGCATTTTGTAAAACAGTTATTCGTCTTTACCTGCTGCAACTGAAGAAATTAAGGCCAAAATAATGAATTATAGAAGCATTCATATATATTAGAATGTTTTGCTTCTAAAAACACATTTAGTCAGAACAAAAATTTATTTCTTAGTTTACATTATTTTTCATAATTTGTTGAAGTCCTAGTGCCATTTGATTTTCAATTTTCTAATCAGATTGGTCACATGTTTAGCTGCTTTTCTTGCTCTTATTTGAAAGGAGTAGGATTTTTAAAAAATGTTGGGGAGAAAAACCCAAAGTCGGCTTTCTCCATAAAACTGTAGGCTTCTGAGGACCCAGTTCACCAACCGGGCAACTAACAGCTTCCCCCATCATATGTGAAATTTATGGTTGTAAAGAGAGAAATGAGTAAGAGTAAGATTTAAGAGGTGGACAGTTTTATTGCTCACTATAGATTGAAACAACAGGAAGGCAAGATTACTACGGGGCAACATTCCTTTTGATTCTGTTATCATGGAAAACAATATTTTAAGCGTAAAAAATAAAAGGGAATGTTGTAATCTTAAAACAAATTTTGGTCATCGTTCAACAAATATAGCCAGTTTGGGCATGTTCTGAGTCAGATGTAAAGGATAAAAAGTGGCCTGATGAAAACAAAGATTTCACTTTTGGGTAGCCTGCAGTAATAATGGATACAGATAAGGAATATGATATTCTGAATAAATTGTGTGTTAAAAATAGTGCTTGGGTGGCTTGGCTGTGTAAATGTAATAATGACAATGTATTAATTTATATTCACAGAAATGTGATGAAAATATGGTTAAATGCATTTTGTAAATTCACCCAAAGAAGTCTCACATTACACTTCTTTTTGCAAAGTAATGTAAAAAGTTTGAGGTTGGTTTTCCTCCTCTTCCTCTTTAATTTTCGACTTTCAATCTTTTGCTCAAATTCTACACCCATCCTAGCAAATACAAAGCACTCAGGGAAAAATCAGTTAGTTGAATTGAATTGACTTGCACACACTGTCTTCTTCTGGCTATTTGTAACTTTCTTAAATAATCCATAGGCTTTTCACTTTTTTCTACTCCTGTAGGTTAAATTACCATTTATCTGCCATTGATTCTTAAAATTGCATTTCTTTCTGGTATAAATCACTATTTATAACATCTTTCTGTGAACTCAACACCTCCTCCATTATTTCATCTAGGCAAATGACTTCCAAACTCTCAGTAATTTGTAAAGGAAACCTTGACTATCCTTGGTTTCCTGAAAGTTAAGTTTAAACTGTCCATATAAAGAGAGATGAAAGTTCTATAACACAATACAGTGACTATAGTTAACAATAATTTATTGTATATTTCAAAATAGCTAGAAGAAAAGATTTGAAATGTCCCCAACCCAAAGAAATGATAACTGTTTGCAGTGATGGATATCCTAATTACCCAAATTTAATCATTATACATTGTATGCATGCATCAAAACATCACTTGCACTCCATAAATAGGTACAATTATTATATATTAGTAAAACAGAGAGAGAAAGGAAAAGAGGGATGGAAGGATGATTTTAAGGTCTTTAGAATGTGGGTCCATCCAGTCTATATATGTGTCAATATGCTCAAAATTTGCCAAAAGAACAAATAAGATACAAGACAGTACAGTGTTCAGGGCATTTATCAGCAATGATCTTGGCAGGAGCTGCTTTGCTTTAATCGTGTGTTGAGGAAAACAATCAGACATCACAAGCGGGAACAAGAATGGAAGAACAGAGGTAATTCAATTTCTATAGTGTTTTTTATTTTACTACCTTGCAAAGAACCTGGTATATAATAGACGCTTATTAAAGATTTTTTGAATAAATGACTAAGCTGGAACTCTGTAGTTCCAGTCTCTTTAAAAGATTAGCAAATATTTATCCAAAAAGGTCCAAACAGTAGATATTTTAGGCTTTGAGGATCATATTATCTCTATCATGTAGGGCAAAGACAGCCATAAAACACCGGTTTCTCATACAGTCATTCATAACAGAATTTCCATAAACTCCTACTTCTGTATCTGTTTAGTTTATAATATCAATGTCTGCATAATCTGCTTTCTCCCACTTTAGAGTGGATAAGCCATTCATACCCCTAGTTAAGCTTTGCCTCTTCCTCTCTTAGCGATTACTTTTTACATACGCAAGAATGCTGCCCTATCAACTGCCCCCCACCTTGTATCTCAATTTTATCTCTTGAATTAATCCTATCAGCATACACACACTGTTATTTCTCACATTTTATTACAAGGGAACTTCTCTTGATTTCACTTCCATCCTCCTGACATCATCTCAATTCTTCTGCTCTCTTTAAAGCCAAGTTCTTTTAAAGAATCATCCATATTGACAGTCTCCAGCTCCTCATTTCCTATTCTCTCCTAAATCCACCACTACAAACAGAATTTTGCCTTTCTTACTGCATCACAAAAAAATTACCCTTGTCAGTGTCACCAATGACTTCGATATTGCTGATGTAATTCTCACTCCTCACATGTTTATCTATCAAAATCATTTAACACTCCACCCTGAAACACTCCTTCCTTGGTGTCCAGGACATCACACTGTCCTTATTTATTTATTTTTTTTCCTACAGTGTTAGCTCTTAATTCTCAGTCTCTTCTCCTTTTCCTTTTTCATGCCTTAAAAGATGAGGTGAGACTTTAACAACTAAGTGCTCTGAAGCATTTCCTTACGCTTCTTAACTTGTCTTTCTTCATATACTTCCTTAATGATCTCATCAAATTTCACGTCTTTAGATAATATATATTTACTGAAAGCTTCCAAATGCATGTTTATAATGAGAACCTCTCTGTTATTCTTGAGACTTATATATTCAATATATAAACAATATCTCCACTCTTTTGTCTAATAGAATCTCATACTAAACTGAACTCCTGATTCCTTCTCATACCCATGCCACACCAAAAAAGAAAAATCCTTACTGTGTTCATCAAATTTATAACAAGTCCATCCTTTCACAAAACTTGGAGTCACATCATCTTTGACTTCTATCTTTGTCCAATATCTCATATCCAATCTATCCTTATTATTGCTTAAGTTTACATTCAAAAGAAATGCATAATGCAATCACTTTTTGTTACTTACAATGCTTCCACTTTGGCCACATCATCATTCTGTTTCACCTAGATTACTACAAATATTGCCCATGTAGAACACCTTCTTCTGTCCTTTCCCTATTCTGCCACAGTCTAATTTCAACAGAGGAGCTAAATTGATCTCTTTAAAATCTCTAATCTAAAACTCTATAATGCTTCTTTCTTTCTGTTGCTTAGAATAAAATCCAAAGTCATTACAATGTACTCCAAGCTCTATATGATCTGGCTCCTGTTAATGGCCAAATGATCATCTTTCTTAATACTTCCCTACTTTCTCAATCCATTCTAACCACATTTGATCTGCATACTCTTCCCAACTATTACATTTCAAATGTATATTTGAAATACTCTTCCCAACTATTCCCAACTCTTCCCATATTCCCAACTATTCCCATACTATTACATTTCATGCTATTTCATCCCATGCTATTACATTTCAACTCTTCCCATCTTCTCAACTATTCCCATACTCTTCCCAACTATTACATTTCAAATGTATACTATTACATTTCCCATGCTATTACATTTCAAACTCAGGGTCTTTATACTTGCAGCTTCCCTTGCCTTCAATTACGCACTTCCCCCGCCCAAGGAACACATACACATCTATATGACTCACTTTCTTATTTCAGGTGTTTGCTCAAATGATACTTTCTGATTAAGACTCTTCCTTATCACCGTATTTAAATTTGCAATCCAGGATCTAGAACTTTGCCAAAAACATAGGGAGTGATGAATTAATATTCATAATAAGTGAAAGAATATGTGCATGTTTGGAAGGAATCAATTAAATTGAACAGAATACTAGTCATGACATGATCTGACATTCCTCCTCCAAATATAGGCTTTTCCCTGTAACTTTTTTGTACTCTTAAGTTTTTAAAATTTTATTTTATTTTAGGATACATGGACATGTTTGTTACGTGAGATGTTGCATACTAGTAGAAATTGGGCATCTAGGGTACCCGTCACCCAAATAGTGAGCCTTGTACCCAAAAGGTTATTTTTCAACCCTCACCCCTTCCCACCCTCCTTCCTTTTGTAATCCCCAGTGTCTTTCAATCTATATGTTCATGCATATCCATTGTTTGCCTCCCACTTATAAGTGAGAACAACTAGTATTTTATGTTCTGTTTCTGAATCAGTCCATTTAGGGTAATAGCCTTCAGTTCCATGCATGTTGCTGCAAAGAACATGATTTTGTTCGTTTTTATTATTGAATAGGGTATCCTTTCTCCATTGTTTATTTTTGCCAACTTTGTTGAAGATCAGTTGGTTGTACGCATGTGGTTTTATTTCTGCGTTCTCTATTCTGTTCCATTGATCTATTTGTCTATTTTTGTACAAATACCATTGCTGTTTTAGTTATTACAGCCTCATAGTATGATTTGAAGTCAGGCAATATGTTACCTCCAGCTTTGTTCTTTTTTATTGCTTTGGCTAATCAGCCTCTTTTTTTGTAGGGGACTTTATACTTGTTTTTTTCTTTTTTCTAATCCTGTGAAAAATGAATGAATTGGGCATTTTAATAGGGATTACCAGTCCCTGTCTAAATGGCTTTGGGAAGTATGGTCATTTTAATGATATTGATTCTTCCAGACTATGAGCACGGGATGTTTTGCCATTTGTTTGTGTCACCTATGAGTTCTTTCATCAGTAGTTTGTAGTTCTCATTATGGAGATCTTTCATCTCCTTAATTAAATGCACTCCTGGATATTTTTTGGTGGCTATTGTAAATGCAGTTGAATTTTTGATTTGGTTCTCAGCTTGAACATTATGAGTATACATAAATTAAAAATCAGAAAGGCTACTGATTTTTGTAGATTGATTTTGTATAATGAAACTTTACTGAAGTTGTTTATCAAGTCTAGGGGTGTTCTGGAAGAGGCTTTAGAGTTTTCTAGGCATATAATTATGTCATCAGCAAACAGAGATAATTTGACTTCCTCTTTTCCAATCTGGATGCCTTTTATTTCTTTCTCTTGTGTGATTGTTCGGACTAGGACTGTCAGTACTATATTGAACAGGAGTGGTGAGAGTGAACATCCTTGTCTTGTTTCAACTCTTCAGGAGAATGTTATCAACTTTTCTCTAGTAAGCACAATGTTGGCCGTGGGTTTATCTTATATGGCTCTTATTTTGATGTGTGTGTGTGTGTGTGTTTTTTTGTTGTTGTTGTTTGTTTTTCTTTGAGATGGAGTCTTTTTTTTTTTTTTTTTTTTTTTTTTTGAGATTGAGTCTCACTCTGTCACCCAGGCTATAGTGCAGTGGCGTGACTCACTATGCTCACTTGGCTCACTGCAAACTCTGCCTCCCAGGTCCAAGTGATTCTCCTGCCTCAGCCTCCCGAGTAGCTGGGATTACAGGTGTGCGCCACCACACCTGGCTAATTTTTGTGTTTTTAGTAGAGGTGGGGTTTTGCCATGTTGGCCAGGCTGGTCTTAAACTCCTGACCTCAAGTGATCCACCTTCCTCAGCCTCCCAAAGTGCTGGGATTACAGGTGTGAGCTACCACGCCAAGCCAGATGTATGTTTTTTTGATGCCTAATTTTTTGAGGATTTTTATCATGAAGGGATGTTGGATTTCATAGAATGCCTTTTCTGCATCTATTGAGATGATCATATGGTTTTTATTTTTAGTTCTGTTTATGTGGTGAATCACATTTATTGATTTGCAAATGTTAAACTATCCTTGAATCCCTGGAATAAAACCCACTTCATTGTGAATAATTATCTTTTTGGTTTGCTAGTATTGAGAATTTCTACATCTATGTTCATCATGGCTATTGGCGTGCAGTCTTGTTTTTTAGTTGTGTCTGCTTTTGGTATCAGCATGATTCCGGTTTTATAGAATGAGTTAGGGAGGAATGTCTCCTCTTTGATTTTTTTGTAATAGTTTCAGTAAGATTGATACCAGCTCTTCTTTGTGCACTTGGTAAAATGTGGCTGTGAATTCATGTGATTCTGGGCTTATTTTTTGTTGGACAATTTTTTATTATGGATTAAATTGCATTATTTATAATTGATCTGTTCAGGGTTTCTATTTCTTCCTGGTTCAATCTTTGGAGGTTGTGTATTGCCAGGAATTTATCCATTTCCTCTAAGTTTTCTAGTTTGTGTATACAGAGGTGTCCATAGTAGTCTCTGATGATCTTTTATATTTCTTTAGTTTCAGTTGTAAGATCACTGTTATAATTTCTGATTGTACTAATTTAAATTTTATCTTTCTTTTCTTGGTTACTCTAGCTAGTGGTCTGTCAATTTTGCTTATCCTTTTAAAGAACCAACTTCTTGATTGGTTGGTCCTTAAATATTTTTTTGGCCTCAATCTCATTTAGTTCTGCCCTGATCTTTGTTATTTCTTTTATTTTGCTAGCTTCAGGTTTGATATTTTTCTAGTTCCTTGAGGTGCAATATTAGGTTGTTAAATGCCTATCTTTTTGATGTAGGCATTTAATGTTATAAACTTTCCTCTTAGCACCGCTTTTGCTGTATCCCAGAAGTTTCCATGTGTTTCTGTTTTCAAAAAAGTTTTATTTCTCCCTGAATTTCATTGTTTACCTAAAAGTCATTCAGGAGCAAATTGCTTAGTTTCCAGGTACTTGTGTAGTTTGGAGAGTTCTTCTTGGTGTTCTTTTATATTTTATTTTGCTGTTGTCTGAGGAGATACTTGATATGGTTTCAATTTTTTAAATTTATTGAGATGTGCTTAATGGCCAAACATATGATCAATTTTTGTGAAGATTACGTGTGCAGATAAGAAGAATGTATATTCTATAGTTCTTGCATGGAATGTTCTGTAAATGTCCTTTAGGTCCATTTGGTCTATAGCTCAGTTTAAGTTCAGAGTTTCTTTACTGACTTTCTGCCTTGATG
The DNA here is from genome assembly GCF_000001405.40 of Homo sapiens. Lineage (NCBI taxonomy): Eukaryota > Metazoa > Chordata > Mammalia > Primates > Hominidae > Homo > Homo sapiens. The sequence continues at coordinate 122,116,466 of NC_000008.11, read as the reverse complement.
CTCAGTCTAGTTACCTCAGTGGGGTAATGATGTCCACCACTATTCACAGTATTGATTTCAGTCTCTTTTCTTAGGTTTAGTAGTATTTATTTTATGAGTCAGGATGCTCCAATTTGGGGAACATATATATTTACAATAGTTAAATCTTGTTGTATTGAACCTTTCATCATTCATTATATGATACCCTTTTTAATCTTTTTTTTAACTGTTGTTTGTTTTAAGTCTGTTTTCTCTGAGATGAGGATGTCTACTCCTGCTTGCTTTTGTTTTCCATTTGTGTGATATATCTTTTTCCACTCCTTTATTTTAGTCTATAGCTGCTTTAGCCAACAGGTAGGTCTCTTGTAGGTAGCAGATGATTGGGTCTTACTTTTCTATCCAATTTGCCACTCTGTATCTTTTAAGTGGAGCACTTAGGCCACTTACATTCAAAATTAATATCAATATATGAGGTTTGATTTCTGTCATTGAGTTGTTAGATAGTTGCCTTAGACTTTTAATTGTATAATTGCTGTATAAAATCTGTGAGCTTTGTATTTATGGGTCACTTTATGACGGCAGGTATTGTCTTTTCTATGTTTAGAACTCCTTTGAGCATTTCTTGTAGTGCAGGTCTAGTGGTGATGAGTTCCCTTAGCATTTATTTGTCTGGGAAAGACCTCTTTTCTCCTTCAGTTATGAAGCTTAGTTTGGCAAGATATAAAATTCTTGGCTGGCATTTTCTTTCTTTAAGGTGGCTACTATAGTCTTCTGTTCTACCAGCTGTGCTATTGATGGAAGCTATAGTCTTAAATCTTTAAAAAATGTTAGTTGTTCCCCAAAATGTTTCAACAGAAACCAAGAATAAAATATGTACGGTGCTGTGTTTCTACACCACTCTTAGTTATAGAGCTCATTATAAAATCAAATTCCTTAACATCTTGATTATATTTAGCATTAATTTTTTGTAATAATTATATAACTATAAAATCACAAAGGCTCTAAGTAATATTTTACAGCCTATAACAGATTCAAGTACTAACACTGGATTTCATAAGCTTCTAAATATTGAATATTCAATCTTTTCAATTCAGTAGTGTAGAAAATTAGTTTTTCTTTTGAAGTCATTGCCCCTTGGGTGGAAAATAAGTATATCTGCCTGATGGCAGTTTAGTAGAAAGGCAAGATAAATGCATCTTGAACGGCACCAGTAGTTGTTTCCTTCTCTAGAGAGTAATTCATCTCTAATAACCTCCAACTCCTGTTGCTATTTGAATCAGAGTAGGACCAGAGAGGACCTGGGTTTGAGGTTTAATATTATTTTGATAGGGACCTTAAAAACAAATCTTTTCAGAGATTCTCTTCATCTATAATTATGCTGTTTGTACATTTTCCAGACAGAGTTCCATTAATCTAAATGTTGCCCTACAGTAACCAGAGATTGGATAAATTATCAGCAAGTGCCAGATGGATCTGAGTTTGAATTTTTATCTCTAACAGCCAGATATATGATCCTGAGCAAAACAAATTTTCTCTCTCAACCTCAGACTCCTCATTTGAAAAATACATAGTATAGCCACTTCACAGTGTCTTTATGAGCATTAAGTACAATTTATGTCATGTACTGACCACATGACTTTTTAGAATATTTGTTAATTTAATTCTTTCCTTATATTTACAAAGAAAGGTGAGTGGTTTAGGCCTAAAACCCAGAAGTTAGCATTGGTCCATAGAGGAAGAAATGGTAGAGATTGAAAGTTTTTGTTCTCACCAAAATGTATATAACAGCTTGAATTTTTGTCTATTGTTTTCAATATGAGGGAACAGAGTTCCCAGAGCAAAAGATTCACATTCCCATCATATTAGTTTTCTAAACCAAAGCTTATTTATCATTTCAGTACATGTTATATTTCCTCTTTGCTAATTTTTTCCCTAACACACAAAATTAATAAAGGATCAAAGTAAAGATTTATATGCACATTTTAACAAAAGCTGATGTATATGGAATTCTTAGGTAATGATCAGTTATATTCATTCTTTGATCCTCATAACAATTGAAAATGGATATTAGTATTATTACTTCCATTAATAGTTTTAGGAAATGGTGAAAAATATCAGGAGACATGCAAGATCCTAGTCACACTGTCACAGAACTGAAGTTTGAACCAGTATTTTGTTTCTAAGGAAATATCTCATTTAAATTATATGATTATCTTTCAGTAACCTAAATTACTGTTCATTACTACAGATAAACAGCAACCTAAAATGAGGAATGCTATGTAAGACATGACTGGTTTTAAACCCACTGTCCAACAAACCTTGTTTAATATATTTTCTGAGGTCAACAAGTATCTCTGAAAAGTTCCCACATGTGTATTTTGAAAAAATTAATTCTGAGTTAATATAATTGTAGGATTATAAGATGCTAGAACAGAAAGAATCCTGAGAGAATATCTGGACCAATATCCTAATTTTACAGATGGAAAAGCTAATGCCCAGTGATAGCAACTATCTTGCCTAGGATGTCCCAGCCAGTTAGAGGCAGAAGCAAGAAAAAAGCATGGATTTACTGCCACTTAAACATTGCCTCCATCATAGCCCACTTGTATCTGTGAATCTGTTCAACATACGTCTAATGCTATATTCTCAGGAAAGCTCTACAGCACAAAGAAAAGAGATTTGTGTCCACCTACTACTTATCTATCTGCGTGAAATTGGGCACGTTCCCTACAAACTATTTTCCGCACAGCAAAAAATTATATAAAATATAAAATACATTAAAATAATACCAATTTAAGAAATGCTTTAATTTAGGGTCTTTAAAAATCGGACCCCAGGACCAGAGTTTGTGTACATGTAGATCTTAGCGAAGGTGATCCTGGGAAGCATAATGAGGAAGTAGGGACCTAAAAGCAGGAAGGGAGGTGCAATACACCACAGCTCTAAATGGTGTATTAATGGAGAGTTTACCAGAGTGGGTGACTAGGTCTCCATCTCTGGGCTAGTCTGAGAAATCATATGGAAAATAGCTTAGAATTGTCCCACAAGATGGCAAGAAAGTTGGGGATTTATACAGCAATTCTCATAGTTTATTGTCTGCATTCTCTCTTTACCTCTGGCTTTTTAAGCCTGCCCCATGTGATAACTGATCATGTCCCTGCAACCAAGGAAAACCCTAAGGCAGCAAAATGCAGGGGCATAAGGTACAAATCCACTTGAATATATAGAAACTGCAACAAATTCGTAAGTGACCTAGAGGATTTGCTGACCTGCATGGTTAGAACTGCATGGTGTTGTGTTGAATATTGACAACACAATCTTTAATAAGTTATGTCTATGTTCTTGGAATAACTTGTACTTATCATAGTATAACATACATAAAATTTTACAGTAGTGGCTTCTTAGAATCTATATTCTCCATAAGATCTGAACCTATCAGGACCATTCCGTCTTACTAACCTATCACCTGTATCTTGGATAGTTCATGTTAGATGCTCAGTAGATATTTATTGGTTAAATGGAAGAAATCTGACATTTCTTTAACGGGTTTCTTGAGATACAATCGACATACAATGAATTGCATATCACATACATTCTTAACTGTTGATATATATTCTCATGAAATTACTGCTATAATCAAAATAAAGGTCCTTGAGACCTATTCACTGCAAGCTGTGACTTTAATTATTACTCTCCTCTTCTGAGAGGCATTTCCATTTTAAATGAAAACCTGAAAAGGCTTACTTAACATAAAGCAATGGGTTACATATGGTTAAATGACAACTAGTATTACATCTTAGTAGAATGTGGGTTGATTTGGGGAAGGAGGTCTCCAGGGGTCATTTTCATTGATCAACAAGTAACATAGTCTTTTCTAAAGTTGGCTTTGAGTCTTATTAATAACAATGAGTTATATTTGTATAGGATACTAATGATTACAAAGTGCTTTCACATTATCTCATTCAGACTTGCAAAGAGCTTTTAAGGTGAAATTAGCGCCAATTTACCAATAATAAAGTTGACATTAAGGCTGGTCAACAACTTGTTTTCTATTAAAAGCCAGAAGTGGAATTTGAGCTGAACTATTTGACTTTCAGTTCAACAATCTGTCCTTGAAACATAGCTGCATCTAGTTTAAATAACAAATTCCTTGAGAGCAATGAACTCTTGCCTCTTCTTACATAAAACCTTCCTGAAGTAATCATCAACACTGCCTGATTTATGGATGGGAATTTTGTGCATTTTAAATAAACATTTAATTTCAAGCGTTCAGAATGGAGAGAAAAAACCTTGTAAAATAATATAGTGGCTTTTAAAGAAAAAAATGCCATCAAACCCTTGGTCTGAACCACTAGGATTCATGTTTGATTTCTTGTCCTGTTGAACAAAGAAGAGGTGACACAAAGCACTGTGTCTTATTCAAGAGTGTAGTCACATCCCAACATTCTTGACATCCCTTGAGCCTGGATTAGTTTAATAATTTGCTTACACATCATTGATCATTCCCTTCAATACCTTCTTGGAAGACTCAAACCTCCTTCAGTGTCTTCACAACTTCTATGCTGGAGTTTGTGGCTCCTGTTGTAAGGGTAGCAAAATTAGCCCCTGTCTTTAAGAGGCTACCAATCTAATTAGGAAAGAAAGATTCACAAATTGTTAGAAAGAAACAGACATACCAGTATTTTGTATCTGCTAGACACAAAAAGAATTGATGTATCTTACTTGTTTCACAGACTTTTTTTAAAAAACCTCAAAAGTCACATATTATACTCACCTTTTCCTAGATCAGGACACAGATTTATGATAAACGGACTTGGAAAAACAGCTAGAAAATGATAGAGACAGGGTTTAAATTCTAATATAATTCCAAAATTTTGATCTCTCCACTAATCCAAAATGAAAGGTAAAAACCTGTACATATATATTCTATTGTTTTACAAAAAATAGGTACCAAGGTAATTCAAAGGGGGAAGAATGGTTTTAAGCACTAAATAGTACTGAAACAAATAGTACTGAAACAACTGGACATCATGTACAAAAAAATGAGCCTCAGCCCTTAACTCATGTCTTAGACAGGGAACAACTAAATGGATGATTAACTTGAATATATAAGAGCTGAATTTACAATAGTTCTAAAACAAAACATGGGGGAAACTTTCATGGCTACTGATTAGGCAGAGGTTTCTTAAACAGGATATGAACATAAATAACTTAGAAAAAAATAAATTGTGCTTCTTCAAAAGTAAAAATTTCTGCTTCCCAAAATATACTGTTAATAGATTGAAAAGACAAGCTATAGACTAGGAGAGAAAAATGGGCAAAACACCTATTTAATAAAGGCATTTTAGAATATATACATACTTTTAGGAATTAATATGAAGATAATTCTTAAAATAAGCAATAGATTTGAATAGACACTCCACCAAAGAGTATGAATGGCATGAAAAGATGCTCAAAATCATTAGTCATTAGGAAAATGCAAATTAAAACCACAATGACATGTCACTACATACCTACTTGATATCTAAAGTTTGAAAAATATCATTGACAATACCAAGTTTGGTGAATATGTGGTGCAACTACAACACTCATACATTGCTTGTGGTAATGCAAAATGGTACAGGCATTTTGGAAAAATGATTGGCATTTCCATATCCTGTTACACATACACCTACTTTGTAACCCAGCACTCTAATTCAGAATTATTTCCAAAGAAAAATTTCTCCATAAAATGATCTGAATGTAAATACATAAACCTTATTCATAGGAGCCAAAATCTGGAGCAAAGCTGAATAGCCATCGGTTTTGTAAATATATAAACAAATTGTGGCATTTTTGTATAATGAAATGCTACTTAACCATTAAAATAAACTATCAATACATAGAACAATATGGAAACATCCAAAAGGCATAATGCCAGAAGACACATATATTGTACAGTTCCATTTAAATGACATCTGAACAAGGCAAAAACTATGGAGACAGAAAATAGGTTCAAGGTCAGGTGTTGGGGTGGGAGAGTACAGGAGTAACTACAAAGAGTCATAAGGAAACTTTCTTTTGTGGTGAGGGAAATGTTCTATAACTTGATGGTAGTGTTAGTTAAAGGACAGTGTAAATTTGTCAAAGTTCATCAAATGGTACAATCAGAAGTAGAATTTTACTATATATAAATTACTCCCAAACATCTGATTTAAAAAAGAGGATACAATGTATTAGTAAATGCTAAAAGACTTCAGAGAATATAAAGAAATACAGGAAATGAAATAATGCATAGACCCCTTGTGTGCAAAAGGGATAAAAGACATTCAGATGTGGCTCTATAAGAAGGAGGTGACCATTCATTTCCTGGAGTAGACTAGTGTGGACCGTCATACTTCGTGGCTGGAAGGAGAAATTGATGTGGCAAGCATAGGAAAGTGAATAGACCATGGCCACTACAATTGAGGATATGTTAGAAAGTCATTAATTCAAAGTTGGTTAGGAAGTCATAAATTCAAAGTTTGTTAGGGAGAGTAAGGCCAGATTGGTCATGAATATGGTCATTATGTGGCTATGGATGTCTGATCTTACAGAGTGGCCAATTTAAACTAACAATTGACATTCATTGTACAAAGTTGAGGCCATAATGATCATTTTTGTAGTTAATTCATGGCTTATTCATATCAGTCTCCAAGCTGGATTCAGGCATTAAAGCTCACATAGAGGAATTTGCAGTAGGCAACTTGAATTCAACAAGCAGTGACCACATGATAAACATTAAGAAAAGCACTTAGCACATCTTAATTTATTCACACAATCATAACACAAGGTTAATATTATGTGCACTTAGGAAGAAACTGAGGATCATGTAGCTAGTACTGCTGGCTATTTCATGCCTCCTGCTCTTCAGGGCTATTGTATGAATTTTCCTTTTATTAAATTACTTATTCAGGAAACATTTTAAAATTATCAATTATATACTGCATCCAGTTAATAGTACAGGCCCATTTTAAACTCAAATCTTTGACTAAAACCCACAACTTCAAAAATTATCTGTGCTAATAAAGTAGAAAATAAGAGTCAAGAGGTCAAGAAAAAGTCTACATCATTTTGATTTTAATCCTGTATATATTTTATGTCCTTAAAAATATACTTAATGTTAATGCATCAATCAAATGAGGACGTGGAATTAAATAATCTCCAAGGTTCTGTCATGCTATGTTGTTCTATGATTTCAACTTTACTCAGAATAGAAAAAAATTGGTGAAAATTATTCTAGATTTAACAGAGATTGGCTGGGTATGCTATATAGATTCTTCCTCTGGACTGTGATCTATTTTTCTCTCTCTGCCAGAAATATAGGCTACTGTTAAGCAAAAGCCGAGTCCCTCCCAGGTATTTAGGTTGGTGCAAAATTAACTGCGTTTTTGCCATTAAAAGTGGCAAAATACCTTTTGCGATTACTTTTGCACCAATCTAATAATACTTTTACCTGAAGGGAGCCCCCTCCCTGGATTGTATATTCCCACCCTCACATCTGTGTTCATTCCTGGACTGTATATTCCCACCCTCACATCTGTGTTCATTCCTGGATTGTATATTCCCACCCTCACATCTGTGTTCATTCCTGGATTGTATATTCCCACCCTCACATCTGTGTTCATTCCTGGATTGTATATTCCCACCCTCACATCTGCGATCATTCCTGGATTGTATATTCCCACCCTCACATCTGTGTTCACAGAGTGGCTGGTTGATGCTGAAATATAAGTGGGCCTTGTACTTCCACTTAAACTATCTCTGAACAGTCACTCCAGTTTCAGAGCTTCCCATGGATTTCTGAGGCTTCCTTTTAACTTGCATTGCAGTTCACCTTCTCTTTCTTCCCAGTCCCACTTCTCTCACATGAATTCAGGTGGAATCCCCTGGTTCATTCCACTCTAAAGTCCTTGCATCCAGATCTCCATCCAAAGTCCATGTTCCAAAAACTTGGGCAAGGATCTACGGCATAGATCAAATAATAATTAATTAATTATACGTAAGCACCATTTAAAACATGGTACAATTTAATCATTATATAGGAAAAGTAGAACTGATCTGAATTTGTCATCTTTTTCCATATATATCTTTATTTAAAACATTACGTAAGATAGTATGTCATATTTTTAAGCTAATATTGAGAACAATTGGTCAAAAATAACTAAACACCAATATCCATTTGTATACTGCTCTATAGTTTACTTATGTGCAAAGCATTTTACAAGTGTAGTAAGAGATATCATGAATTGCATCATATAGCCTCCTGAGAACTCTCAAAAATAAAATAATCAGAGAGGGAGGCAGAGAAAGATGGCCAAATAGAAGCCTCCAATGATTGCCACCCCCACCCCCACAGGAACATCAAATCCAACAACTATCCACACAAAAAAGCATCCTCATAAGAACAGAAACCCAGATGAGCAATCGCAATATCTGATTTTTAGCATCATATTAAAGAAAGAGGCACTGCAGAGGATAGGAAAGACAGTCTTGAATTGCCTACATCACCCTCCCCTCCACCCCACAGCAGATATGTGGCATGGAGTGAGAATCTGTGCACCTGGGGGAGGAAGAGCACAGGGATTGTGACATGTTGCCTCGGAGCTCAGCTATTGTGTAACAGTGGAAAGCAATACAGTGAAGAACTCGGTTGGTGGCTGACAGAACATTTAGACCAGTCCTAGTCGGAGGCAAATCATCCATGCCAGTGAGTGGAACTTGAGTTTGGGCAAGCCCTGCCATCATGGGCTAAAGTGCTCTGGGGTCCTAAATAAACTTGAAATGGCAGTCTAGGCCATATGGATTACAATTCCTGGACGAGTCCTGGTGCTGTGCTGGTCTCAAAGGCGGTGCACTTGGGGTACATTTGACCTAGTGAGGCACCAGCTAGGGCAGCCAAGGGAGTGTCTGCATCACCCCTCCCCCAACCCCAGGCAGTGCAACTCACAGCTCTGGGAGAGACTCCATCCCTCTGCTTGAAGAGAGGAGAAGTGGGAGTAAAGGGGACTTTGTCTTGCAACTTGGGTCAGCTCACTGACAGTAGAATAGGGTACCAGACAGAGTTCTAAGGCCCACATTCCAGGCCCTAGCTCCCAGATAGCACGTCTAGACACACCCTGGGCCAGAAGAGCACGTGTAGACACACCCTGGGCTTCCCTGAAGGAAAAGACCCAGTGCTGGCAAGATTCATCATCTGCACATTAAAGAGCCCTTGGGCCCTGAATAATCAGCAGTGGTAGCCAGGCAGTACTTGCTTTGGGCCCTGGCTCAGAGACTCAAAGAGACCCAGAGCCTTGCTGGCTTCAGGTGTGACCCAGCACATTCCCAGCTGTGGTGGTTATGGGGAGAGACTCCTGCTTGAGGAAAGGAGAGGGAAGAGTAAAGGAGACTTTTGCAGCTTGTGTACCAGCTTGGCCACAGTGGAGTACAGCACAAAGCAGACTCCTTTGGTTTCCCAGTTTCAGACTTTGGCTCCTGGATGGCATTTCTAGACCTGCCCTGGGCCGGAGGGAAGCCCACTGTTCTGAAGGAAGAGATCCAGGCCTGAAGGCATTTACCACAAGCTGATTAAAGAGCCCTCTGGCCTTAAGTGAATATCGGAGTAGCCAGGCAATGCTCACTGTGGGCCTGGGGCAGTGGTGGCCATGGAACAAGACTCTTCAATTGAGAAAAGGGGAAGGAAGAGTAGGAGGGACTTTGTCTTGTGCGTTGGGTGCCAGCTCAGCTGCAGTCGAATAGAGTACCAGGTAGATTCCTAAGGTTTCCAACTCCAGGCCTGGGCTCCTTGACAGGATCTCTGGACCTTCCCAGGGCTGAGAGGAACTCACTGCCCTGAAGGGAAGGACCCAAGCCTGTCTGGATTCACCACCTGCTAACTGGAGAGCCCTTGGGCCTTGAGTGAAGATAGACAGGCAGTGGTCACTGCGGGCTGTGGGCAAGACTCAGTGCTGTGCTGGCTTCAGGTCTGATGCAGCACAGTCCCAGTGGTGGTGGTGGACACAGGAGAGCTTATGTCACCCTTTTCCCAGACCCAGGCAGCTCAGCATAGAGAGAAGACTCCATTTGTTTGGAGGAAAGTAAGGAGACAGAATAAGCGTCTCTGCCTAACAAGAAATTGATAACCAGAATATATAAGGAGCTCAAACAACTAAGTTTGAAAAACTCTGTGAATTGGATTTAGAAATGAGCAAAAGATCTAAAATAGACATTTCTCAAAAATGGCAAACAAGTATATGAAAAGGTGCTCCACATCACTGATCATCAGAGACATGCAAATTTAAACTACAAGGAGATGTCATCTCACCCCAGTTAAAATGGCTTTCATCCAAAAGACAGGCAATAATGAATGCTGGTAAGGATGTGGTGAAAAGGGAAACCTCATACACTGTTGGTGGGAATGTCAATTAGTACAAGCACTATGGAGAACAGTATAAACAATAAGGAGTTTCCTTGAAAAACTAAAAGGAAATCAGTATATTGAAGAGATATCTACACTCTCATGTTTATTGCAACACTATTCACAATAGCCACTGTTAAGCAACCTAAGTGTCCATCAACAGATGAATAAAGAAAATGTGGTACATATACACAGTGGAATACTATTCAGCCATAAAAAGTACGAGATCCTGTCATTTGCAACAACACTGTACTGGGTACAGTGTGATGGCATTTGAAGCTCTAAAAAAACACAGTCAAATAGGATGCCTCTCCTACCTTCAAATATTCACCAAAAAAAACTATGTGTAGAAGGTTAAGATAACTGTTGTTATACTGTTTAATTTTACCTGGGATCCAAGGATAAGGATTTTATCATGAGCTAAATATTAACAACATGATAAAAAGAATATCATTGTAAAATACACTGTTGAAAGGTAGGATCCCCAAAATACTTCCTAGCACAATATAGTATTTTCTATTCCTCTACCAATAAAACTCATATTTAGACTACAAAGGAATCAAAGCAAGTGAAAATCAAGCTCTAAAAATTATCTTATTCAATTTTTAAAAGCATATTGAGAAAATATTTGTGGCTAAGAATCATAAGCATGAAAACATGAATAAAATAGGAGTCATAAAAATGCTTTTATTTTTAGACCATCATTGTCATATCCATATTCAGTTAAAACAGCTGGAAGATTCCAATGCAATTAGAAGTGGAAGAAAGAATGTACAGGTCTGGGCCGAGTCAGGATGATGTAGTTCATTATTAGCTTCAGTAACTGGTAATTCATTCATTCAACAGCATCCATTTGTTGATCTCTTTCAAAGTGTCAGGTTTTTTACCAGAAGTTATTTCCATCATAATCTTATGGAATCTGGGCCACAAATTTTTTTCAAGCAGGATGCTATGGAAGCATACTTACTTTCAGAGCCTTAAATAGCATTATGTACTAAGAAAAGATAGAAAGAATTTGGCTAACAATATTTTAAAGTGACAAGAAATTACTATTGATTTTTAAACATTTCCATATTTGAGTGTTTTTATATTTAGCTCAATTCAACTAACAACTATTGGCATTTATTATATGCAAAGTGTGATGAATAGGCTGTTAGATGTTCAAATGTGATTAAGACAAAGGTTATTCAAAGTTTATTATTTTTGAGGAAATAAAAATATATAATTTTATTAAAATATAGAATGTGATGAATATTCTTAAAACCTATATATGTAGACGTGCCTGAAATGGTTTCAAATGCCAACCCTGGAGAGATAGAATGATTAATGATGCAAAAGAAAAAGTAGGCAGAGAAAAATTTTGTTTTGTTGTTGTTCTGTTTCGTGTGTGTGTGTGACTAAGTGCAAGTATAATAAATCAAGACTTAATATCTGAAAATGCCTCTTTTCCTTACAAAAGCCAAGGAAGGTAATAAAGTCCACTCTTTTAGCAGAAATTCAAAAGCTGCTTCTGAATTTTTGGGTATCTGCTAAGAGCTATAGCTAACAATTTTGTAGAAAATAAAGGATCATATTTTTTCACATTGAAAAGATTTGAACTTAAGATGAAATTGACATCTATTGAGGGGAAATGTATATACAGAGTCTAAATTTTAGCTTTCTGTATAAAAAGGCTGAAAAATCTTGGCAACTATATTATTTATGATATAAACAAGTAATAATTCCAATACAGAAAGGTATGGAATATGGTAACAAACAAACTATAGTAACACACAAGCAAGTGAAACCAAACCAAGGAGTCTGGAAAAAACAAGTATAAAGAAAACAACTGTGTGTGTGTGTGTGTGACGGAGTCTCACTTTGTCACCCAGGCTGGAGTACAATAGTGTGATCCCAGCTCACTCCAATCTCCACCTCCTGGGTTTAAGCAATTCTCCTGCCTTAGCCTCCTGAGTAGCTGGAATTGCAAGCGCCCGCCACAAACACCTGGCTAATTTTTTGTATTTTTGGTAGAGATGGGGTTTTACCATGTTGGCCAGGCTGGTCTCAAACTCCTAACCTCAGGTGATCTGCCCACCTTGGCCTCCCAAAGGTCTGGGATTACAGGCGTGAGCCACTGAGCCTGGCCCCCGAAAGAAAATAACTTTAGGAAAAATCAAGGAGAGTGTGGAAAAAAAAAAAAGACAGAGAGATAGAGAAGAATCAAGACTGAATAAGGGAAATACGTTTGCCTTTAGACCATCGTTATGATATCCATATTCAGTTCAGATCAGCTGGAAGTTTCCAGTGCAGCTAGAGGTAGAAGACATACAGGCCTAGGACCAGTCAGGAAAACACAGTTCATAGCCATAGTGTGGTGGAAGACATTTAACACCAAGAATAGCTATACAAGTACTGGAAATGCCAAAAAGCCAGAGGAGAGTGAAACAACCCAAAGATTAACAACAGAAGAGAGCTGGTAACACTCCTAGCACTGGAGTGTTAAAAGAGGTGGAGGTGACAGTGACCATGAGCCAGCACCCTCTAAAAGCCAGACTCATGAAGCTGACTCAGCCACTGTTGGAACTGCTGCATGGAGCCTAGGGGAAGCAGTTCCCTGGACGGTCCCTTCCTTCCTGTCTCCAACCTATGGCTAACACTTCCCATTTGCTAGTTAAAACTATTCAGGAGCCAGAGAAATATAGTTTGCAGAGATCAGACTTCCGTGACACAGAGCAAAGCAAGGAAAGAGTGGGAAATGGATGTCAAAGCAGAGAAGAAGAGGAACACCACAGGACCAAAGACACCAAAACTCAGCAACGATCAGCAGTCCAATAACAAGTCTCTCTGGCCTTTGTGAGGAAACCAATCCGAAGGAGAAAGGATGAGTACAAAATGGATAGTTCTTAGAATAAAGTGACGAGTCAGGGTACAAAAATCTAGATATGTCCAAAAAAGCAGATACTTAAAGAATATCCCAGCCTACTTCGGGTAAGGGCAAGGTAACCTGAAATTAACCTAAGATAACTTCAGTTTATCAAGGAGAATTAGAAAGAGAACCAGGGGGCCCAATAAACAATCCCCATGAGCAAGAGTATGGGAATACAGAATTTAAATTGTGAAGAGACCATTCAAATAGCATTACCTTAAAAATAGGATATAGACAGGAAGTCAGAAATGTTAGTCTGAAGATTTCTTCAAACAGGAGATAGGGCATGAAAGCAACAAGATCTTTGTTAACCTTGCTCACTGTTGGAGAACTAACTTTCCATAGACCACCGTGTCAGGATTTCACGGATGAAGATTCAGCAGCAGTGGGAGCAAGAAGATGGCCCTTCGGCCGGGTGCGGTGGCTCACGCCTGTAATCCCTGCACTTTGGGAGGCCGAGGCGGGCGGATCACGAGGTCAGGAGATCGAGAACATCCTGGCAAACACTGTGAAACCCCGTCTCTACTAAAAATACAAAAAAAAAAAAAAAAAAATTAGCTGGGCGTGGTGGCAGGAGCCTGTAGTCCCAGCTACTCAGGAGGCTGAGGCAGGAGAATGGCGTGAACCCGGGAGGCGGAGCTTGCAGTGAGCCGAAATCGCGCCACTGCACTCCAGCCTGGGAGACAGCGAGACTCCGTCTAAAAAAAAAGACGGCTCTTCTTGCTGTGTGGTCTCAGTATACAGAGGGGCAGAGAATACATTGAGGTTAGGTGTCTATGAGTTGGAGCTTACTTTGGTTAACTGCTTGTATATGTGTCTATATTTATATTTAATAGTACCATTTTGGGCATCCGTTGTAGCTAGCTTAACATAAAATAATTAAAATATGAACTTTGGCGGCCAATATCTAGTGTGATACTAGACATATGGTAATCATTAATACATGTAAATTAATCACATAGTCTCAGGAAACTTTATATGTAATTTGATTCCATCCTTGGATTTCTAATCAAATGAGGATCCTTTATTTTATGTATTTGAGCTGCTGTAAAGTGGGACTACTATTGAGTTTCAGGGTAGATTAAATGACATAAAAAGAAAATGATTTAAAATAATGCCTTGTTGATAGTTAAGTACTTGACTGTGTATATTAGGTTTTTTTAGATTTTATATCACCTTTTTGGTATTTTACTAAAATTAAATATATCTGTTCCAAATAGAGAACTCCTTGATATATTTGATCCCAACTTGGTGCCCAAACTAGAAAAGGCAAATGAGATAAACGGCACCCTTTTTAGCATCCTGCCTAAACAAGGCTCCATTCAAGCATCTGTGTATTCATTCAGCAGCTGCTCCATTTATACTCATGACACTTAAGTGTCTATGTTTCCTGAACCTCTGGCATGTACATTAAACTGCCCATGAGACATCTTCCCATTTGGATGTATCCACCTCACACCCATCATTTCCAAATTGAAACTTAACCCCTGTGTTATCAACTCAGGAAAGAACAGCATCATAAACTAGTTCTCAAGTCAGAGTTACTGAATTATTCTTGATTTCTAAAATAGTCACTTCTACTTCCAATTGTTAACCATATACTTTAACTCTACTTGCTGTATAATTTCAAACAGCAAGCAACTCACCTTTATGTACCCCATTGCCAATACTTTAATGCGGAATACCATAATGACTTGACTAGATTACTGATGCAGACTTTCAAATTATCTCCTATTCTTTGTACTGTACTGGTTTCCCTATGCACTATTATATTTTCTTCACTTTATAACCTGAGTGTGGTGTTTGAGGATCCATATTTGATTATGCCATTTTCATATGTAAAGCTCTTAAAATGCCCTTGCTTTTAGAATAAAGTTCATGCCTTCAGGATAAATCTTCCTTGGCATAGAATATAAATAGCTATATGCCCGCTGCTTTCATCTTTAGCCTCATCTCATACAACTCCTTATCTTCTACTCCAATCTCCAGTAACACTGAACAAGAATACTCCAAGCTGGCATTCTCTTTCTCTGGAACATTCTTTTTATTTGACCAATCCCTTGTAACTGTCTAACTCCTGAACACAATCTAAAAGGAGAAGAGAACATAGCTAGGGAGAACATCTGAAAATTTATGGAAGTAATCTAGGCAGGTGGAAAGGATTTGTGGTCTAGAATGCTAGTGCCAGAGATGGAGTATAAAGAAGAAATCCTATGAGAGCTCAGTGGATTCTACTGAAAAGTAATGAAGAGATGAACTTCCAAGGGAACACTAAGGTCCTCTGCTTGGGAAAAATACTGGTGACATTAGGAGCAATATGGAAATTGAGACAGGAACTCTATGCTGGTCTTCCTATCTGTAAAATGAGAATGATACTGTCTGCTTTACACGTATCCTACAGGGTCATTGTGAAAATAATATAACAACTGTGAAAGTGCTTTGAAATAACACATTTCTATAAAATTTGAAAAGGCTTGATTTCGTGAATTGGCCAGGCCCACACCATGCTCTTAGGACTCTGGCATTCTTCCCCCTCTCTCTTCCCCTTTCCATGAGAATCTTCTTCTAGAATGTAGCACCAGTAGTAAGTTCTGCATAGACACAGAGGGTAGCTGCTGCCAGAGAAATTACGCGAGCTCTTAAACTTTTCCAATTGGTACTCTTTACCAGAAATGATGGTATTATGGGTATATTGACAAATGGAGTTTTTTCTGGGCAAAAGAGTTTTTTTCTTTTAGGTGATTAAATAATACTTGGTGCTAAAGTACAATCCTGCAGAGTATACCTGAAGCGAGAGTACAGGACAGTTAAATAAGCTGCTCAACTGCTGTACCAGCCTTCAGAGGCAAGAGCAGAAAACTTATGCCAGATTATTCATTTGGCTACTTTTCAGCCAGTTGAGAGACTACAAAAGAAAAATTATGTCACCTAGTGGCTCTGTATTACAGACACACAACTATGACAAAAGAGAGCAAGGAATTAAGGAACTATTTATTCATAGGTAAAGATTTTTAAATTGTGGAATGCACTGTTTTAACTCTGTTTCTGATACTTCATCCTTGGGGGCTAAAACATGCAGTGAGCTTCTAAAAACAAATCTGAGATTTTTTCAAGCTACGTATCTATGGATCGATTTGTTAAAACACCGATTTAAAAGCAAAAGATATAAAGTAGATGTCTCTTTGAAGATATTATATTTTAGAGTCTCATAATTTCTCCTTTCTATTCAAAAGAAAGTGAAAAGTGTAGCTAATTATAATTAAGTAGACAGAAGAAAATACGAACTATAGAGGAAACTAATCAGACATTTAATTCATGACCATCGCAATAAAAGCTCAAAATTAAAGATACTTCAAATAAAGGCAAAACCTGAAACAAACAAAACAACTCTATTCAGTATTTTCTATTGTACAGTAGCATTATCTTTCATTGTATTATGCCAAAATTAAATCAGACAATTTGAGTGAGAGATTTATTGAGTTCCTACGGCAACAGGTATTACTCTTGGATTTGAGGAAAGTGAGAACAATGCAGACGTGGTTTCACTATTCACAGAAATCACTTCCAGCAAGAGAAACATAATAAACAAATTGAAGACCAACAGGAAATATCTATGCTGTTCTAGATGAAAAATATAAATGTCTGTTAGTGTAGCAGTGGAAATACAGTGATCAGATTCAGGATCTATTATCCTGGATTTTCCAATTTATTAAATGTACAAATGAGAGAAATACATTAGTCAAAGATGATAGAAGTTCATAAACAAAGAAGAAAATATGGAAAAAATTCAAATTATAGTGAGAACACAAAAGAAAATCCAATTAAGCACAAGAACAACATAGATGTTTCCTATTGGTCTCTGTGCCATATTGCAGCCCTTTATTCTATCATCCATGTAGGAGCCATGGCATCTTTAAAAAACAATCATTAAATCATAAGCAGTACTGATTAAAATATAATGGTATTCCATTATACTATATTCAAATATAATGCCCTAAAATAACAGAGTCCTGTTGTACTGGCTCATCTAATCTTTCTTTGCTCTTCATTCTATGAGTTGATTTTCAGCCACACTGGCAGACATGTGTTCTAACACAGAAAACATTTCATCTGCTCAAGGCCCTTTCCCTAGTTAAGCTTTTTGTTTGAAATGCTCTACTACTTTTTTTTTTTTCATTTCTTATTTATTTATTTATTTATTTATTTATTTATTATTATACTTTAAGTTTTAGGGTACATGTGCACATTGTGCAGGTTAGTTACATATGTATACTATGCAGCCATAAAAAATGATGAGTCCATGTCCTTTGTAGGGACATGGATGAAATTGAAATGCTCTACTTCTTATCAATCTGGTCTCTCTCTGCCTCAGAAAGATCTTCCTTTACTATCTTTGGTGAAGCAATGCCTCTCATTCCCTCTGGCAACCACAAATCACTTTCTACCACTTAACCTACTTACAGTTTCTATACAGTGTTATCAGTCCTTGAAGACATTTATTTGTTTATTATGTTTCCCTTGCTAGAAGTGATTTCTATGAATAGTGAAACAATGTCTAGATTATTCTCACTTGTCCTCAAATCCAAGAATAATGCCTGACATGGTAGGAACTCGATAAATTTCCCTCTGAAATCTTCTTATTTAATTTTGGCATAACACAATGAAAGATGATGCTACTATAAAATTGAAAACAATGCAGTTTTGTTTGTTTCAGGTTTTGCAATACTTCATTTGTCAGGCTTACTATGTATTAGGCAGTCTGCTAAGCACTTCATTTCCCTTATGTACTTCAATTTTTGCAACACCCTAGAATTGTATGCTATCCCCTAGCCTTCCCTTCATCCAAAGATAAATTTTTAACACTTCTGGACAAATAAAACATAAGCTTCTTGGAAAATGTTTGTTTAGGGAATACACTGGAGCTGTTCTTTCTTCTTTCCATTTTAAAATCCAGGAGTGAGTGTGATACCCAAATCTGTAGCAGCTAACCATGAGTAAAGGATTAAGAAAATCTGGATGTCACTCTGACATAGTTGAGCTGTTGACCTGATGCCAGCAGCTAGCTATCTTCAGACTCTTCGTTATTTGAAGAAAAAAATAAATAAGCCCTTATTTGTTGAAGATACTGTTGGATCTACTTGAAACCAAAATTATTCTGACATCATCCAGTTGTCAAGGTAAAAACAAAAATCATGCTAATGAATTGTCTTTATTCCAAAGAATAAACTTGGCTGGGTGTGGTGGCTCACCCTTATAATCCCAGCACTTTGAGAGGCTGAGGCAGGCAGACCACTTGAGGTCAGAAGTTCGAGACCAGCCTGGACAACATGGTGAAACTCCATCTGTACAAAAAATACAAAAATTAGCCGGGCATGGAGGCACGTGCCTGTAGTCCCAGCTACTCAGGAGGCTAAGGCACAAGAATCGCTTGAACCCAGGAAGTGGAGGTTGTAGTGAGCCAAGATTGCACCACTGCACTCCAGCCTGGGTGACGGAGTGAGACTTTGTCTCAAAAATAAAATAAAAATTAAAAAGTCTTTCCAAACTTATTTAAAAAAGAATAAACTTGCAGATGTATGTCCATGTACTTTATACATGTATATCAAGTAGGCATCTGTCTTTCTAAAATGAGTTAAAGTGCAATGAAGTGTCCCATCCTTCAATTTTGGTCATTCCATAATGGAAATATCAGTACAAATTAACATTCCTTTGGGCAGTATTTCTCAAATTTAAGTATTCTTCATCATTCCCTGTGAATATTTTGCAAATGTAAACACTTTAAAATAATCCAGTATATTAAGATTTATATAGATGAACGAACTAATTCTGAAATATACTGTAGCCTGAAAAATCTCTAAATTTTGCATAGCATAATTATATGTAGATCTTCACTTTGATAACATTACACCAAAGTAAGTTTTTTTTTTTTTTTAAGAGATGGGGTCTTGCTATGTTGACCAGGCTGGTCTTGAACTCCTGGCCTCTAGAGATCCTCCCACCTTGGCTTCCCAAGTGCTGGAATTACAGGCATGAGCCACTGCGTATGCCAAGGGAGTATTTTATTGGATTAATCAATTGGTTCTACCTGAGAGGGAGACTGTAGGAGAACTAGATAGGGCTTGGTAAAATTCAAATAAACATTATAAAGTGGGGCATAACATTTGTAGATCATCTCTAGAAAAGGGGGCTTACCTTAACAGCTGTTAGCAACAAGTACATAGGAGTACTGAATGGAACTAGGAAATAGAGGAGAGGCTAGTCGACAATCTACATTGCTCTTGCTCTTGCTATTTCTTAGCTTTTCAAATATATCCCAAGTATGCACTTATTGCGATTCTTAGTCATGCCTCAGCTAGTTTGTTTGGCAAAGAGAATGAACATAGACAGCTGTTTTATATCAATTAGCTACAATTAGTTGTGCCATGTAACAAACCACCCTGAAACTTACTGGCTTAAGACAACTATTTATGGTTTCTTGTAAGTCTGTAAGTCAGCTGGATTGCTCTGCCCATCAGGGACAGCTGGGGCTGATCTCAGCTGAGCCTGCTCATTTATCTATGTCAATT
The DNA here is from genome assembly GCF_000001405.40 of Homo sapiens. Classification (NCBI taxonomy): domain Eukaryota; kingdom Metazoa; phylum Chordata; class Mammalia; order Primates; family Hominidae; genus Homo; species Homo sapiens. The sequence goes on along the minus strand of NC_000008.11, from coordinate 122,096,596 downwards.
GTATAACGGTTAACTCTTCTAGGATATCCTCAGTTGGGATGGGGAGGCTGGGAACACATGCTTCCTCTTTTTCCAGGAGACTGGTCTGGGCCTGTTCTCATGGTATGACAGGGGTTCAAAAGAGGAAGCGGCAACACACAAGTACTTTTAAAATCTCTACTAGTGGCAAGTTTATAAAGAATCCATCGGCCAAACAATTCACGTCCAGCCTAGAGTCTCTGGAAAGAAACTATCAGAAGGCATGAATAATGGATGGCTGGAAAATTAGGACCAATCAACACAATAGTAATTTAATCCAACACTTTAGATTTATAGTAATTGTTGAAGAGATTGATGGTTTCCCACAAAAGTATCCAATCTATCTTTTCTCCTTAGTAACACAAATTTTGCTTTTAGCTGGATATATGCCCACCCAGGATTAAAGACTCTATTTCCCTTCATTTCCCTTCAACTTTGAAACTAAGTATAGCCACATGACCATGCAGCAGCTAAAATAATTAATAATGTCCAGTAATAATCGGACATTAATAATGTCCAATAACAATGTCTAAATGTCTCTTAAAAAAAGAGTTCATCTAGATTTTACCATCCTACCATTCCTCCTTCTTCTGGATTCCAGAACTAATGTGGGTATCAAAGCACCATCAGCCTTTTTTTTTTTCACTCTGAAATGATTGTGAAGAGGAAAGCCCCATATTACAATGATAGAAACGAAATACAGGAGTTTGTGTCCCCATTGATACTCTAGAGTCATGATATTAGCAATGTAATGCCTACGTTTGGACTTGTTTTACCATGAGAAATATACTTCTTCTACCTTTTCCAACCAACTACAATTTTCCTTTTTTTTTTTTTTTTTTTTTTTTTTGAAACAGAATCTTGCTCTGTCGCCCAGGCTGGAGTGCAGTGGCGCGATCTGGGCTCACTGCAAGCTCCGCCAATTTTCTCTGCACTGTTATCTGAAACAGAATCTATTTTTGTAAAGATTTGCAGATCTTTAGCATCTTGTAAATGCTATTAAGCTGTTAATTTTTAAAAACTGAGAGGAGTCATATAGGGCAAAAAAAAAAAAACCTGGTTATGAAAATATTTTAACAAGTTTCTTCTATGTAGCACTTCTTAAAACTTTAAGATACTAATGAGCAGTTTGAAACTCTAAGAACATAGCATTTCATGTTTGCCATTATATTGTGGAGTCTTGTCACCATGATGAGTGCTTTCTACAATAGAGTTTTAGAATAGGTATTTTATAGCTATTTTTAGATAAGTTGTACCCATATACTAGAATGTCTATAGTTTCAACTTTTTTTTTCCTGATTGTCACCCTAAGTATTACTTATATCGCCAAATAATATTCTAAGAAAATATGGCCATTAATACCACGTTGCAGTTAGTTATATTGTTGTATGAGAAGCAGGGGCAAGAATGTATCTCCATTTGTTTAGAAATAGAAATGGAAAGACAAAAGATTTCCTTGTAGCAAAGTGCTTGTGAAAATCTCGCCCCAGAGTCTGTGACATAAGAAAAGAGGGCATTTAATGAGAATGAACCATGCAATCATCTGTGCCTATTTTTTCTAACACCATAGTACACAAAACTAAAGGAAAAAGATCAATGCTAAGAAAAAAAACTCACAAGGATCAAGAAAAGGGCATTTTTCTAGTTCACGTTGGAATATTTATTTTTTCATAGAATTTATTTCAGCTTGGCATCGGTCTATGAAAAAGGTGATATGTTGAACTAGGACATTTTCTCAGGCTTTCCCAGCTATAAAAATAATGACTGTGTCTTAGAAAAAGACCAAGTGGTTTCCGAATATGGCCTCTGAGGATGTATACTCTGGCTGCAATATTTTCTCTGGTGAATTCTTTAGTATTTAATAACTCGATTTCACAATTTCTAACTCTTTTCAAACTTCGTTCAGTGCAAGAGTTTACATTTTAAATGCAACGCGGCAGTAATTTATTCAACATTTAATATTTCTAGAGCCCTGTACAAGATTCTGTGGAGAATATATTGCATAAGGAATTGCATGTTAACCCTCAAGGAGCTTATGTGCTCATTGCATTGGCCAATATGATGCAAGGCAGAGTGTGCTCTGGGCTACCTAAGAGTAAAAGCGAGCACTGGAAATATAAGAGATGGGTAGAGAGAAAGAGAGAGAGAGCGAGAAAGAGAAACATCTAGGAGATAAATGAGGGCAAGCATTAATAAGGAAGGATTATGAGGAAAACTTGGGAGTATAAGAAGGATGCATACTTCAGAGACTAAGCGAGGACGTGTCAAGCAAACAAGATCACATAAACAAAGACATGGAAACTAAACAGCCAGGGGTACATTTGGGTAATATAAAGTAAGATTTTTTTTTTTTTTTTTTTTTTTGAGACAGAGCCTCACTCTGTCACCCGGGCTGGAGTGTGGAGTGCGGTGGCACGATCTTGACTCACTGTACCCTCTGCCTACCAGGTTCAAGCAATTCTCCTGCCTCAGCCTCCTGAGTAGCTGGGATTACAGGCGCCCGCCACCATGGGGTTTCACTATGTTGGCCAGGCTGGCCTCACACTCCTGACTTTGTGATCCGTCTACATTGGCCTCCTAAAGTGCTGGGATTACAGGCATGAGCCACAGCACCTGGCCTAAACTAAGATATTTTAGAAGATCATATTTTTGGCAAATTTTGGTTGAAGCCAGATTTTTTTTTGAAATAAGATAGCTAACAAAGAAATATTAAAGGTTTGCAAGCATACTTAGATCTGTGAAATAGATGCTTCAACCTGCTGTAACTCACATAATAGAAATAATTAGAGGAAACCATAGACAGGAATTAGAACTAGGAGGAGACTGAAGACTGCTGCATTTTGAAAAGTTAGGGAATCACAGATTGAACTGGGAAGTTATCAAGGGAGTGTCAAATAATAGCTGAAAGTGAGAAACATTAATGGCATAAAATTGCATGTTTGATTCCCATTTTGTGAGATTCAGTGCTGGTGTTGGGGTTAGAAGAAGCATGGCAATATTGGCAGAAGACCCAATGCTATACCTGGTTATCTGAGATAATTAGTAAGTGTAGAGCACAGAATAACAATATACAATTGAAACAACACACACACACACACACACACACACACACACACAAACACACAAACCACAAAAATATACCCAATATACACACTAAAATGGCTGTCTTTGGAAAGGAGAAGAAATGTGGGAGGATATAATGACAAAAGGACATAAACAAAGAAGAAAAATATGGAAAAATGTCAAATTATAATGAGACCACAAAAGAAAATCCAATTGATTAAGCACAAGAATCTTTTAAACCCCAAATGCTTGTTGGAGGACTGTAAACCACACTAAATGTGCTCTTGGCCATAGGTACTTTCTGTGGTATGATCTTATAATATTCAGAATAAAGGATGTAGTATTTAAGCCATGAAGAATGCCCTGTGTCTTCTTCCTAACCCAAAATGAACACATTCAATATATACAAACAGAAAACTTAATAAACACAAAACTATTGGAAGTAAAAAAATAATGGTTAAAGGAAAACAACAAAGTAAAAATAAAAGGTATTAAGCATCTTTGTCTGTTTTGGCTGCTGTAACAAACTGCCATAGATTAGGTGGCTTATAAGGAATTGAAATTTTTTTACAGTTCTGGAAGTGAAATCCTACATCAAAGTGCCAGCCAACTTAGTGTTTGCAGAAGGCCCACTGGTTTATAGACAGTTGTCTTCTCAATATGTCCTCACATGGCAGAAAGGTGAAGAATCTCTTTGGAGTTCCCTTTATAACAGTGTTAATCCTAGTTATAAAGGCACTTTCATGACTTAATCACCTTCCAAAAGCCCCGCTTCCTAATAATATCTTCAGTTTGAGGGTTAAAGTTTCTTTTTTTAAATTAAGGCCCATTTTGTTTATGAACATAGATGCAAAGGATTCTAAACAAAATAGTAACAAAGCAAACTCAGCAATAATATTAAAAAGAAAATACAATGCAACCAATTCAGATTTGCTTCAGGAATGGAAAGTTAACATTCAAAAATCAATCAATGGCTGTTATAAGCATTTTTTAAAGAATCAATCAACGTACTTCACCACATTCACAGAATAAAGGATAAAAGCTATATGATTATCACAATAGTGCAGAAAAAACAGCTGACAAAGTCCAACACTCACTCATGACAAAAAATCCCAGTAAACTAGGAGTAAAAGGGAACTCTCCTGATCTAATAAAATGTATCCTTTTTAAAAGATCTATGGATAACTTATGTCCACACAAAACCTGCTAACAAATGTTTATAACAACTTTATTCATAATTGCCAAGAATTGGAAGCAACCAAGATGTCCTTCAATAAATGAATGAATACACAACTGTAGAGAATATTATGCAGCAATAAAAAAGAAATGCGTTCTCAAGCCACAAAAAAAGACATGCATATTAAACTTAAATGCATATTGCTAAGTGAAAGAAGTCAGTCTGAAACGTCTACATACCATATGATTCCAACTATATGACATTCTGGAAAAGGCAAAACTACAGAAGTAGTGAAGAGATTAGTGGTTGCCAGGGTCTGAGAGGAGGAAAGGGGAAGGGAATAATAGGTGGAGCATAGGGGGATTTTCAGGGCAGTGAACTATTCTGTATGATATTGGTAGATACATGACTTTATGCATTTTCAAAACCTGTAGAACTGTACAACACAGACTGAACCATAACGTAAAGTATGGACGTTAGTTAGAAATCATATAACACTCCAACACTGGTTCATCAGTTGTAATAAATGTACCATACCAATGCAAGATGTTAATACCAGGGGAAACTAGTGGGAGGGGGGAAATACAGAAACTCTCCATACTTTCTGCTTGATTTTTCTTTAAACCTAAAACTGCCCTAAAAAGCAGTCTTATTATTATTATTTTTGGAAGTCCCTTATTGTAAAGGTAATTATTTTGTCTGATGACAAACAGCAGCCACAGTGATTATTCTGGATCTTCACAGTGGACAAATTCAACTTCTTCTTAAGACACAAGTTTCTGTATTTCTGAGGTAATGTTTTCATTATTTCTGCAGTGTCTGGTGGACCCTGATACGTCAGCAAATCTGGTGATTTACTTCTAGGGGTTAAAATTTCAACATATACATTTTGGATAGATGTGAAGTTTCAGTTTGTAGCACCAGAAGAGAGAAAAACAAAATGAAAAAGAGAAAACAAACAACAACAGGAGGCCGTGACAGAAGACATTTGTAGTGGGCACTGCAATGTGCCACCAAATCCCTTTTCAACAAAGGACCTGCTGCAGTCACTAAGGATGTTGGTGGTTACAGCTTATAGATGTCAGACTCTTTAGAGGTTGCTTGCCACTGAGGATGTTGTACATCCTTGTACAGAGGATGTTGATGGTTACAGCTTATAGATGGCAGGCTCATTAGAGGTTACCTTGCCTGTGGTAAGAGGTAATCTTTAATCAAAGACATCAGTGCAGAAGTAAAAGCCTAGGTTTCCAGCCTAACTCAGGATGTCTCTGAAGAATGATTCTAGCTCCAAAGCTCCCCACTGGGTAGTCTGAGGCCATTTCTAGGTCTTCTTTGCAGTTCAACTTCTCTCTTTGTCCACTTATGCTTACTTTCCTTTCTTTACTCAAATGTTGGTTACAAACGCTTACTTTTCTTTCTTTACTCAAATGTTGGTTACAAATCCTTAATAAATACCTTGCCTAAAACCCTCCATCTCAGAGCCTACTTTCCTAGAAGTCAACCTGATACAATAACATTGTAATACATATTAAGTAACATTATACCCACTCTCACAGGCAAGAAAGAAAATTAGTTTAGACAATTAATTCTGAACCATGAATCTATTCTAGAACATAAGAATAAAGAATGGCATTCAGTAGGCAGAAATGTGAAATGAAGAAAAGTCACAAACAAAACTGCAAAATGAATCCTGGGAACAATGTTAAATGGGGTGGTGGGGAATATTCATCAGAGAGATTGAGAGATTGTATGCTTGTGGTAGGCAAAATAATGTCCTCAAAGATGTCCATGTCCTTATCTCTGGAACCTATGAATGTTACCTTACATTATGGTAAAAGGGGTTTTGCAGATACAATTAAGTACCTCAAGATGGGACAATTATTCTAGATGACTTAGGGAAGCCAAATGTGGTTACAAAGATTCTTAAAAGTGGAAGAGGGACACAGAAAACTAGAGTCAGAGGGAAATGTGATGAAAAAAATAAAGGTCAGAGAGATGCAACATTGTTAGCTTTGAAATGGAGGGAGGTGGCCATGAGCCAAGGAATGTGGGTGGTCCTAAAACTGGAAAGAAAAAAAAAAAAAAGGAAGCAGATTATCCCCTAGAGTCTCTATAAAGGAAGACAGCACTGCTGACATCTTCATTTTATCCCAGTTTGTCAGACTTTTAATGCAGAGAACTGCAATATAATAAATATGTGTTGCTTTAAGCCACTACGTTGATGATAATTTTTTCATGGCAGTTATATGAAACTAAGACAGTGCTGACACTAGCTGCAAGGCAGATATGGGGAACATGAATAATACATTGGGCTTGTAATACAGTAGCTGATAATCAGAATTTTCATCTACTACTTAAAACTATATGCTTCATCTGATCACATAGCATATCTGTATTGAAATTTCCCCTCTGGAACCTGAAAAAGTAACTAACTTAACAGAGCTTCCCAGAGCATTAACTAAGGAATGAGATAACCAATAGATGAGTCAGGCATTTGCTGGCCACATAGCAAATGCTCAGAAAAATACTGGTTGAACCCACTTGGGTTTTTTTCATTTCCTCTGGGGTTCTTGATCCGTGTGCTCCTCCTTTGTAAGGAGTTCCAGGGAAGTGATACCACAGGGATATTGGGCCTTCGTTATTATGGTCCTTGGATTTTTAAAGCTCAGGTAAGTTGGGGTCATTGTGAATCCTGATCATGTCTAAGAATATAGGTTTTGGCCAAAATAAAAATGAAAGATGAGGACAGAGAAGAAAGGAAAATGCACTTTTTTATAATCATTATTTGTCTCAATTGGCACTGACTTTCCCCCTGAAGAGCATAGAATTGCTTATTAAATTAAGTTGGTATCCATGCTCTTTAACTTCATCTGGCAGCCCAATGCCTCCATTTATTATTCTCAGAGTGGAAACTTGCCATCCAACATCTGGTATGCATTAATTTTTCTTTAATTCCCTTTACCCTCCTCCACTCCCTTACCCATTCTATCATCTATGCTTTTCTAAAAAACCAGTAATCTGAGTGGGTGTGCATATTTCTTAGCATTTTACATTCAGACCTCCAGCCTGCATTCTGTACAGATAGTAGAGACCCACCTGATTAACTCAGAGATGTGTCAAAAATAAAATGTTTCTACCTACATGTAATTGCCAAAGGATGCTATAAAGAGTAGTCATCACAAACACATTAGAGTTATTTTTTTTAAGTCTGAAATGGAAGATGCTCTGTAAAACAAAATTTACAAATTCACAAATTTATATATGCTGGGGTAATATAATGCATTTTCCTCTAAGGTAAAATAATAGGTATAGGTCAGGAATATTTAAATAACAAAATGGACTTCCATTCAAAAATATATATCTCAATTGTCACTTGGGCACCTACGGGAGAGTATCTAGTTATTTGCAGGGACATCCCCTGAGTCCCCGAAAAGTTGTTCATGGACAGAGGAATAAGGCAGATACGTGACTGTCTCAGAGGCCAGGTCAAATTTTGTCCATAGTTTGAATTAGTCATATCATGAAAAAAAAAAAAAAAGAAAGAAAAAAGGGTAAATATAAAATATTCAATTGAAAAAAAACAAGATTGGAAAAACATCTGTGTTGAGGAAAAGGGAGCTCTTGGGAAATGTGGCCACTCTGTCAGCACTGCATAATGCAAGGAAAGGAATAAGCAACCGGGTGGAATTAGAATTGTTCTACATGTATGTGTCAGAACTCTATTGATGTCCAACTGGTCTCAGCATTTTAAAGGCTGGATTTCATATGGGGCATTTGCAAATCTTGCTTTTTTCATGCCAAAAGAGAAAATTTGAGTAACTCTTTTCCATCACATAATTCTTGTGCGTGGTTAAATGGTCTCAACTTCAAACTCCAAAAAGAGTTTATATTCGTTAACTTTTATGATTTGTATTCAACAATGAATTAGGCAAATCTTAACTGACCCATAGGCATGCACTGTTTGATGACCACTTACAATGTTCTTCTGCTTCTGAAGTGCTATCTCACATATGATCCCTTTCATTTCCATTCATCATCATCCCTACCTGCTATCCTTAGCTGGAGTGCTCTGTGCCAACCCAGCTTCTTTAGCCTCAAGGATTTCTCTGGAAGAGAGTATTCAGCTTGACGATTCCAGGTTGGTTCTTGGGCCAAGGAGGACAGCAATACTCCTCTTTGCACCTTTATACTTTGTACCTTAATGAATAGATCCAGGTCATCTGGTGTGAGCTTCTTTATCTACCAGCTTTTGACCTTTAATATTCTCTAACTATATACATTTCTTACATCTTTCTTGACTTAGAAAAAGATATATCCCTCCTCCTAAATTTTACCCCTCAATTTAACACTAAATTCACTTTCTTTCCATCCCTTTAGGGACTTTGCTTCAGCAATTATCTCATTTTTTGTTTGTATCTTCAGCCACCTCCACCCCTTTTCCAAAGGTTTGCCTGGCCTTTGCCCTGCCTCCAAATCAAAAGCAAGAGCAAAATCAAAAATGTTTTATGATCTTGCAACACCCGCCATTTAGTGCCTGATACTTCTCTTTCCAATCACTGCCAACAAGTTCGCTCTGTAGTTACTGTTTTTATTTCTTACATTTTCCTCAATGATATTTCCAAAACTTTAAGAAAATTGCACTTTTGTTAATCTTCTTCTAATTATCCAGTTGATGAAGTTTCTCAGGTTTATTTTCCCTTAAAACTTTTAGGGTGGTGGTGCAAGGGGAGGGAGAGCATTAGGACAAATACCTAATATGTGCGGGGTTTAAAACCTAGATGATAGGTTGATAGGTGCAGCAAACCACCATGGCACATGTATACCTATGCAACAAACCTGCACATTCGGCACATGTATCCCAGAACTTTTAAAGTAAAATTAAAAAAAAAAAAACAACAAAAAAAAAAACTTTTGTCTCTGTAACACTTGAATGTTACCATATTGTTATAGGTCCATTTCTGCTTTCCAATAACTCCTGTAACTCCTCTTCTGGTCTGCCTTTCTCTTACTATTAGCTTCTTCCCCAAGGATAATTTGTCTGTCCTATTACATTCCCTCAGCAAATTTATTAGTTACTTTTGAAAATTTTATCTTAGAAGTCCCCCATACTCTGAAAGAGTTTCAAAATGTTATCACAATGTATGACCTCATTCAGCCATTCAGTAATAACACATTCATACTCACTAAGCACTTTTTATGATCCAGATATCATGCTAAATATATTATATGTTTTAGCTAATAAATAGTCAATTGAAATCTAATCTCATTCTGTTTACTTGCAGAGCCTATGCTCTTAACAACCACCATTACAGAAACTCCAGTTAGTACACCTTGCCCTTAGTATGGCAACCCCAAAATTATTAAATCCCTGACTAGGGAAGCTGTAGTCTAACACTCGAAATTTCAGTTCTTTATTTCCAATTTCTCAATGACCTTCCCAGTGACCTCAACGCTACAAACTGGATGACCATAAACTTACTTCTCTAGAAACATGTATTTTAATTTTTATTATAAAATACTCATATGTTGCTCAATGATGGAGACACATTCTGAGAAATATGTCATTAGGCAATTTCATCATAGTGCCAACATCATAGAACTTACACAAACCTAGATGGTGTAGCTTGCTACACACCTAGGCTATGCAGTATAGCCTACTGCTCTTTTTTTTTTTTTTTTACTTTAAGTTTTAGGGTACATGTGCACAACGTGCAGGTTAGTTACATAGAGCATGTTACTATACTGAATACTGTAGACAATTCTAATGCAATTAAGTATTTGTGTAATTAAACATATCTAAATATAAAAAGATATAGCAAAATATGATATACGAAATTTAAAAACAGTACATATATAAGAACTTTCAGGATTGGAACTTGCTCTAGGTGAGTCAGGGAATGAATGTGAAGACCTAGGACATTACTGTACATCACTAGCAACTGTTTAAACACTGTCTACTTAGGCTACATTAAATTTATAGAAAATATTTTTCTTCAATCATAAATTGACCTTTGCTTGCTGTAACTTTTTTTATTTTATAAGCTTTTTAATCTTCTTAACTTGATGCAATTGCAATAACATTTAACTTAAAACACATACATATACGGCTGTACAAAAATATTTTCTTTCTTTATATTCTTATTCTATAAGGTTTTTCTATTTTAAAATTTTTGTATTTTTTTACTTGTAAAACTTTTTGGTTAAAGCTAAGACACAAAAACACACATTAATCTAGGCCTACACAGGGTCAGGATTATCAATGATTGTCAATATCACTGTCTTCCACCTCCACATCCTGTCCCACTGGAAGGTCTTTGGGGCAGTAACACACACGGAACAATCATCTCCAATGCCTTCTTCTGGAATACCTCCTGAAGGATCTGCCTGAAGCTGTTTTATAGCTAACTTTTTCTTAATAACTAGAAGGAGTACCCTTTAAAATCACAACACAAATACATAAACCAGTAATATAGTTGTTTATTATCCTTATCAAGTATTATGTACTGTACATAATTGTATGTGCTATACTTTTTCTTTCTTTCTTTTTTTTTTTTTTTTTTTTTGAGATGGAGTTTCACTCTTGTTGCTCAGGCTGGAGTGCAATGGTGCGATTGCAGCTCACGGTAACCTCCACCTCCTGGGTTCAAGCGATTCTCCTGCTTCAGCCTCCGGAGTAGCTGGGATTACAGGCATGCGCCATCCTGCCTGGCTAATTTTGTATTTTTAGCAGACACGGGGTTTCTCCATGTTGGTCAGGCTGGTCTTGAACTCCCGACCTCAGGTGATCCGCTCTCCTTGGCCTCCCAAAGTACTGGGATTACAGGAGTGAGCCACCATGCCCGGCCTGTATGTGCTATACTTTTATACAGCAGGCAGTTTACACCAATATCACCACAAACATGTGAGTAATGTGTTGCCCTAAGATGTTGACATGCCTACAATATCACTAAGCAATATGCATTTTTCAGCTCCATTATAATTTTGTGGGACATCCATTGCATATGCTGGCTGTTTACTGAGACATTGCGTTGAGTGACTGTATAAGATGGAGAAGTTATCACAATATCTCTTTCTTCTATGTGTTATTTATTTATTTATTTATTTGAGACAGAGTTTCGCTCTTGTTGCCCAGGCTGGAGTGCAATGGCACCATCTCAGCTCACCGCAACCTCAGCCTCCCAGGCTCAAATGATTCTCCTGCCTCACCCTCCCTACTAGCTGGGATTACAGGCATGTGCCACCACGCCCGGCTAATTTTGTTTTTTTGTATTTTTAGTAGAGATGAGGTTTCTCCATGTCGGTCAGGCTGGTCTCGAACTCCTGATCTCAGGTGATCTGCCCTCCTTGGCCTCCCAAAGTGCTGGGATTACAGGTGTGAGCCACTGCGCCCGGCCTCTTCTATGTTTTAAAGTCTGACGCAAACCCCCTACGTGCCACCTCCCAGAAACAAAAATTAAAAGCATAATATCCAAGTGTAGGTCACATCACAGAATGATCTTGTTGTTACCTTCTGAGTGAAACAGAAAATGTGGTTTCTTTAGAATATACGAAAGTGTGACTAATACTTTAGAATTTTCAAGGCTGATTTTATGCACTATCATATTTCGTATTCTATCATGTTTCAGACAATTACAGATTATGTTGTATTCTAAAGGGGAACACAATGTAATTGCAATATAGTAAAAAAATGGAAGAACATTATGTTGTAAGCCCCAACCACACTCATTGTGCTTTAGCTTTCCTATTTATATTAATTTTCCAAGAATCTCTAGTCCAAATTCTTGCATCAAACTTTGGCTCCCCTTACTCTCTTGAGAAATATATCAATTCTTCCCTCTCACTATATTAAAATAACCTATTCCATCTATATACTGTTACTGATGCTTTAATATGAGCTCCCTTTACCTGAACAGAGATAACTGGCTGTAGAATCCACCTTTAAGAAAACATATTTTGCTGGAAGAGATAGAAATGCAAACAAGTAAATATATCACAAGGCAAAACTGAACTTACATCACATAAAAGTATAAGTAACCAATTCTAGTAAAGCTTGTGTTTGGCTTGGCACATTTTAGCTATGCATAAGTTGGTGTTTAATTTAATTTCAGTATAGTCAACAATTTCTTGTTTAGTTCCTACAAGGGCCTGAGAATGAGTTCATTCTCTGTAGGAGGTATAGAGAAAGAATAAGCTATGTGTGCTTGCTCTGATTTTACCAACTAGTTTCAACGATAAGATAGATGATAAGGGATTCAATGAATATATAATAATAAGTCATAAATCAAGGGTTCTCAACCTAATGGAATTCAGGAACCATTAGCGGTTTTCATTAACCTCTAACTTAATTTAGCATTTTGAAATTTCCCATTATGAATGTAGGAGGACACACCACACCACACACAGACACATGCACAGACACACACACACACACACACACACACACAGTGGTTTAGTAATACCTACACATTCTCACTAGATTTGTAGTTTGTCACATCACATAACATTGTTGCAAACATTTGAAATTATTAAGTTCATCACTATTTTGAAATTATAATAATTAGACTTGCTACTAGGCCTTGTTTTTTAAGTTTCTTAATCATATATATGTCACACACTGATTTAATATTTGTATAACTATATTTCTATAAAATTGGTCTCTGTTGTGATGCTATGTATGTTATTTAATAAAATTTTTAAAAACCTTTTGCATTCTTTCTAAGAGAGGCTCTTCATTGAGACCAGAATGTGAGTGTGTCCACGGCACTTTAAAGGCAAATAACTTCCATACAAAATTTTGTGCTTTGGAAGCTCGAAGGAGTAAGAAACTAACCAAATTGGAATGGACCTAACTTTCCAGAGGCAGTAAAACTCCAGTAACAGAAGAGCTTTTGTATAGACACAGAATGTAGAATACTGGAAAGGGTAATCAAAATGGGCTGAGTGAAGTATAAGTAAAGACAAAGAGGCATGAATGGGAATGATTCCTTCAGGTGAAAGGAGTAATTGACATATTCTTAGGGCACAGGCCACTTCTGCTGGCATAAAGGAGTTGGCAATGCATCTCATAATCGGAGAAATGTTTTTTTCCAGGAAGCCACAGCCACCCTGGGAGAACTGGATTCAGCTTTAGGGTTGAATCCTTGTGTTAGCTCTGTTTTCTGACTCATGTCATATATAACTTTTTTTCTAAAAAGAGTTTTGCATCACCCCTACGTGGTTGCTGTGCGGTCTCAATTATGTAGAACAAGAGGTGAGCAGAGATGTTTTAAGAATGCAGAGGAGTGGAACGATGAATGGGGAAGTGAGACCTGAGGGTGAATACCCACATAAAGAGATCAAACCAAGACATGATGCCAAATGGCAGGACCCACAGGCTCTTTTTAAAACGGCCTGCTCATTCATTCTTCTGCGCTGATCCCTAACCACTAAGATCAACCTCTCACTCTTCTTGGATAAACCCACGCCCCAATGTCCTCTTTAACTCCATTTACATGGCATAAGGCCACTGGTAGACCTGAGTACACAGTAGGCAGGGGGAAGAATTTGGCTCTGGACTAGATTGCAATTCAGTTGAATGCCCACCAGACTAGTGTTTTTTTTTCTAATCTAATCTTCTTTATTATAAATATGCTTAAGAGAGAATCTATAAAGTTTTCTTTGCAACTGTTTTTTGTTGTTGTTGTTTGATTTTTGACATGTGTTTGTTATTTTTGAATAGATTGTATATGCTTTTTCCAAAATCCACACTAGGCTTGATTAGCCACATGCCAACTTGGTTACTAAACAGATCCTGAAATTTTACTTTGCATGTTTGTGATTTCATCTGGAATCAATGAGCAGAGATAGGAAAGAGATCCCCTTCTGCCTTTGCCTTGAGTCTGGATTTTAAATAGCACATACAGAAGTAATGGAAGCTTCTGGAAAAATATCTCCACCATGGATTCATTTGCTTTACATATTCTTAGATTTTAATTGTTCACTCAACTTTGAATCCAGTTATTTTTGCCCTGCTCACCTGCATAGCTTAACCCAGCCAAAACTTCCCCAGACAGAAAGCTTGTAAACTAAATGCTCCTTGCTACCAGAGGGAATTCTGACAGGAACACTGGATGCAGCAGTATTGCAGTTACGAAACTGAGACCTTTACTCCTGGAGCCCAGAGAGAAAGCAAACACTGGAGACAAGGTTGCTAAATAACGTTTGGAAACTGATTCTAGAGCAATGGTGTGTGTACCTTGCTTATGTGACTCCTGGCTCTTGATTGTACCATCTCCTGCTTGCCTGTCCTTTAGGTTAGAGTGGGCATTAGGAAAGACACAGACTCTGCTGACATTACTGATTTTTTTTCTGTTTATTCCCACGGAAATGTATGTGTCACTCTTTCATAGGTGGCTTGTAATCACGCTGAATTACACCCACCTGTTCTGGGTGCCTCCCGTAAGTCATCGAACCCCCCAGTCCACTTTCGTACCATCTGTCACTACCATGTAGACTCTCCACATAGACACTAAAGAAGAGTTAGTGGTGTCAGTGTTTTCGTATGAAGTGGCCGTAAAGATCTCACCTGGTTGATATTTGACAATGAAATTCAGGGTCAAGTGTGCTTTCAAATGCCTTCTGAAAATCCACTCATTCTTAAGTCTATATTGAGTATAGAATGAGTTTAGCCCTGGACCCTATGTCATAGAGTAGAGGAAAGAAGGATATATTTCTAGGGACAAAAGTCCATCAAAGCAGATTGTTAGTAGAAGTAGAACATACATGAGCAATATATGAGAGCACTTAATTAAGCAAGATCTACTCTAGAAGGTTTAAGATAATGTGAAAACCTACATAGCAGAGTATTGTGAGGAATCTGCTTAGCAGTAAGATTTTAACGAAGAGGCATAAAGAGATATCCTGACCCTTATTGTTAGAGGAACAATAAGAGTGAAAGCATGAAGACAGGATGCAAATGGTACCTTTTTTTTTTTTTTTGGAAATTGACTAGTTTGACTGTGGATGGGATGGGATGTCCCAAGAGGATGGGAGTTTAGTGAGAAAAACAGGAGTCAGTCTTCTAGGGAAGGGGCATTCCAATTCCAGCTCTACTACTTGCTAAACTTGTGTCTCTAAAACTTTGTGCCTTGTTTCTCATCTATACAATGAATATAATAACAGTACCTAGCTTACATGATTGCTGTGAGTAATAAATGAGATAATTGAGGTAAATTTCTTAGAACAACACTCAACACCCAGTAAGCACTTAACAATAGCTGTTGTCATCATATTAAAAACTGGCTAGGTGTGGTGAAATCCAATTGTGCAGATTCTGGAGAACCTGCAGAAGTTACAGTTTGTAGTAAAAGGATATGGGGGGCTTGGAAACTTTAAAATAGGCATTGTGGCAGAAGAAATAGACACCCTATCTGTATACATTAGTCAACCATTAATTCTCCATTTCAAAGCTTTGCAAGGAAGTGTTGTTCAGCATGTATTTGCTGAACACCTGCTTCAGGACAGCAATTTTCTAGGTATTGTGGCAGGCAGGTATTGTGGCAGAAGTAGAGAAGAGTCTCTGCCAGTGAAGAACATGATGTTCTGTGGAAAGACGAGTCAGAAATATAGGTAATGTCTGGTTAAGAGTGTGAGACCATATATGAGGAGGTGCCACAGTTAGTGATTACAATGAACATTTCCAAATGTTTGACCCTAAACCTTTCGTTCCGCCAGGCTTGGCTGAGACTCCTGTGCTACATGAGTGACAGATTGGGTAGTGAACCTGAATCACTGCTGGTCAGTCACTGGGAATTGTCTTCTGCCCTTGTCAGGAAGTGACAGATTTCAAGTCACTCAGGAGGCACTTATCTGGAAGACTCCTTCCCAAAAGAGTGCTTGTTTGAAAGACACAGAGA
Organism: Homo sapiens; assembly: GCF_000001405.40. Lineage (NCBI taxonomy): Eukaryota > Metazoa > Chordata > Mammalia > Primates > Hominidae > Homo > Homo sapiens. The sequence goes on along the minus strand of NC_000008.11, from coordinate 122,080,444 downwards.
AACTAATTAGAGAGAAACAAAATAACCATATCTACTGCAAGTTTTATTGAAAGGGAGATGAGAATTAAAAGCATTTTCAAATTCAGCTTAATAACAGTAACAACAACTAAAACTTAACCATTTAGTATATTCCAGGTTCTGTTCCAAGTCCATTATACGTATTAAATTTGGAAGATCATTGGATCTTCCAAATGTGAAAGGAAAATAAATCTGGGGACCCCAAAATCACTAAGCCAAAGGAAAAGTCAAGCTGGAAACTATGTCAGGCAAACCTGCCTCCCATTTTATTCCTAAATAAGAAAGCTACAAAGATTAAAAAAAAAAAAAAAAAAGCTACATACCTCCCTCACAATTTGCCCACAAGGAATTCCTTGTGAGCCTCAAGATCTTTACCCCAAAAACAGTTCTGTGGAATTTCACCCTGGCAATGTAAACTGATAGCTTATCTTCACAAGACAGAAGGTCATCCCACTGCTCACCTGAGACAAACACATGTCTGATGGCTTCCTCTGCCCTATTGTTTATGTAGAAATGCAGATTCACTGAGCCAGACTAAATTGTGTATTCAGTGGAAGGCTGATCAAGGACTCAAAAGAATCTAATCTTTTGTCTTTTATCTACTTCTGACCTAGAAGCCCCACTTCCGGTTGTCCTGCCTTAACAAACCCAACCTTTGGGTATCTTATACATATTTATTGATGTCTCATGTTTCCCTAAAATGTATAAAAGCCAGCTGTACCATGACCATTTTGGGCATATGTCGTCAGGACCTCTGAGGCTGTGTCATGGACAAGTCCTTAACCTTGGCAAAATAAACTTTCTAAATTGATTGAGACCTGTCTCAAGATATTTTGGCTTCATACCAACAACCCTATGATGAAGGTACTTTCTAAATCCTATTTTATAAATGAAGGGCTGAGGCACAGAGAGGTTAAGTATGTTGCCTAGGTCACAGTGAAAAATGAATGGAATGTCCGGGTGCGGTCGCTCACGCCTGTAATCCTGGCATTTTGGGAGGCCGAGGCAGGCAGATCGCCTGAGGTCAGGAGTTCAAGACCAGCCTGGCCAACATGGTGAAACCCCATCTCTACTAAAATACAAAAATTAGCCAGGTATGATGGTAAGTGCCTGTGATCCCAGCTACTTGGGAGGCTGAGACAGAATCACTTGAACTCAGGAGACAGTGGTTGCAGTAAGCCGAGATCGCACCACTGCACTCCAGCCTGGGCAGCGGAGTGAGACTCTATCTTAAAAAAAAGAAAAAAAGAAAAATGAGTGGAAATAGGATTTTGAACCCAGACTCCATGGCTCCGGATTCTAAGCTCTTAACCATGATGCCACACTGCCCCTTTGTGGTATACCTGGACCTGTTCCCTTCTAAAAAGAATTGTGTTTAGAGTAAATTATGCATACAAGACATTTGAGCTAACTTTTAATCTTAATTTTGAGGATTTTAAAGAGAAGATAAGGAGAAAATGTTATCACACTATTTGGCATTCTGTAGATAATTAATACCAGTTCAATACATAACTTTTCTCATTAGGAATAACACTGCATACTGCAAAATTGTGTTTCCTAATGCTCTGTGGAAATGAGCAGACTTTTAAAAAAGACTTTCTACTTTTGGCTTTCCTTTAAAGGATTTGCACATTGGAAACCTCTCCCCACTTCTCATTTCTCCTTCTCTTCCCTGCTTCTTTCTTCTCCTCCTCCCCCTCTTCCCTCCCTCCCTTCCCCACTCTCTCTGCCTCCTACAAGTCTAATGGCAGAAGGACTAGAGTGTGTTTCATAGCTACCTCAGGTCCCATTTCTTAGGCAATGGGACCATACTTTTGATTCGGGCACAATCTTCCCCCATGTTTACACTTTGCTTTTTGGCATCCAGTGCCCTAAAAAGCCTTCATCCAGGGTGCTTTGGTAAAACATGAAGATCCTTTTATCCTTTCAAATTTTGCTTATAATTTTTTTCCTTGACTCATTTATCTGGAACTGCCCCCTATCCTGACATGCTCACAAAACATACTTATTTTGTTTTTGATACCAAGGTGGGGTTTTTTTTTTTTTTTTTTTTTTTGCCATTATTCAAACATTTCATGATGTTGTGTAATGCCCTGGTTTTGCATGTGCTGTTCCCTTTATTGAACTTTCTTTTCTGCTTCTTCATCTGGCCAATGCTACTCATTGATAAAAACACAAATGAGATGTCTTCTATGTTGAGAACTCCTTGACCTCTATAGGCAGGAAGAAGTGTTCCTAGAGGACTTTGTTCTTTCTTTATCACTGGATGTAGCACATCATAATGTTTTATTGGCATGTCACTGATTCCCTGACCCTCCTGTCATGGAAACACCTATTAGTCTATGAGCTTTTAGAAGATAAGAATGATGCTTTATTCACTTTCCTGTCATTGAATCTTGGCACTAGAGTTGCTGGTTGTTTTGGGATCTGTCCATTTTGAGAATTTTATATGACAACTCTTAAGCCTGAAAAAAGTGATCTCACAAAACTAGGTTTTGTATTTATCCTCCCTAACATTAAACATACCCAAAGAACTAAGAATGGTTGTAAATTAGTCTAATCTAAATATAATCTTGAAGGGAGGTCTGCTGCTACCATTTAATTATTTAATCAACTCTTTTACACATACACACACACACACAGGATTAAAAGTTGACAAAAAAAGTTGTTAAATTTAATAAGGATTACAGATGTTTACAATGGGAATTCTAACCCACCATGAGGTTTGTACCTCAGCAAACACTTCCTAGAGTTCCTCATCTATACTATCTACTCATCTGTCCATGTATGGGCTTGTTTGTGCTCCATTTCCAAAATATCTCCCATAACCCATGTTGACCGTAAGGATTGAACCAGGAATTGATATCTGGCCACAGCTGAGGCAATTATCTCTCTTCTTGTACTCATAGCCTCAAGTAACCTCTTCTTGAATGAAGAGACCTGAAGATAAAGACTTGCGAAGAAACAAAAGAGTGAGCAGACAAATAGAGAAGAGAAGCTTATTTTCTGAAGAAACCATCATAACAACTGTGGTTTCTTATATTAGAGTTCTTGATTCTAAGCCCTCATATGTGCAATAGAAATGCTGGACAGTGGTTCCATGAAATACACTATAGTAATTCAGTAAAGACACTTCATTGCTCAAAATTAGCTTGAATAGGTTTTTGTTATTATAACTAAAATGTAAAATTTAAATTACTACTGCAATGTTGCTTTCTCAGTCTGACATACCCATATGCCCTAAACCTACTAAATTTTTTCAAGGCCAAACACAAATTCCATGTCTTCTCTGAAGTTTCATCATTCTAATGAAATACTTTTTTGTATTATACTTACAAGCCGTGTTATTTATTTTTGTTCATTAATTTATTTCTCAATTCAACACAAACTGCTGAGCACCTGTCGTATTTATTGCGGGCAGTACACCAGAGGTATGAAGGTAAACACAACTAAACCCTTGTGTCCAAAATGCTCATAACTTCTTGTAAGAGACCGCCATTAACAACAAAATGATATGATTTATTATGATATGATCTAAGTAGAAGTCTGGAAGCAAAGAAAAGGGACAACAGAATTCTGCTTTGCAGGAGAAGGAATGGCCTTTTTAAAAAAAAAAAAAAAAAACAGTACAGTAGATGCTTATCATTCTGTCTCTTCTACTACATTGTAAGCAAGCAGAGGGCAGAGTGAGTGAGTATCAATCTTTATAACAAAAAACAACCATCACCGTCCAGTACCAAGAATAGTATCTTTCTCAGATCAGGTTCCCTGGGAACAATTCTGCTATGGAGATGTATAAGCTGGAGATTATTGAGCAGTATTATTGACAACAAGATCCCTAAGGAAATGACTGGACAGAAGAAAATATTGAGCTGTAATACAATTGTAATGGAGGTCTCACTCATCCCACAGGGAGTTCTAGAGATAAGATGGCCCTTCCAAGTTGTCCTGCTTGAGGCAAGCGGGGCAGGCTATTGTGTCTTCTGCATGGGTGATTCATTGGAGGACCCAGAAATTTAGGCAAGACAGCTTCCATCATCTAAGGCAATACCCAGAGAAGTAGTCCATTATGAGTTATCTGCAACCTACATTTACAGCAGCTGGGAATTAGTGCCTCAGGGCTAAAGAGAGAGCTGGGTATTACAGCACTGGGTTCTGTAGTATCTACTGCAGAACCATGCAAATATTAGACACTTAGTAACTATTAGTGGAAGTTCAGTTTTATATATTAGTGCTCACTCTTTTAAAATTCTATTTTTCAGTCCTGGCATGCATATTCCTACCTGAGCACTGAATTCATTGCTATTTTCTGAGCTTTAGCTCTGAGTTCACTGACATTTACAATTGTGGGGAACTAAGTTCCCTAGGATTGGGAAAAGATTCATATCCACATTACATATCTTGCTAGTCAATGGACAGGGCCTCCCTGCCTGTGTCACTCAGTAATTGGAATTTTAATCAAGTCATGGCCTCAAGGAAATCAATCATGATCAAGACACCCACAGTTGGCTGGCAACAAAAATAACAGTTAAGGGTAAGTGGCGTTATATGCTAATTAGTTGGAAGTTCTTTGGAGTTCAGCCCAAGTTAGACAGAATGATAACTCTTTCCAAAAATCTAAATCAAAGCGATTGTTTCTTTGTTAAAGGAAGTTTAATCAAAACAAAACTAAAAAAGAAAAGCAGCCAGTGAATTGGTTGAGAAGAAAAAATATAGTACTTTATATTCTACGCCAAACTAGCCAGCTTAATTTATTTTACTGAAAAATAAATTCTGTTGGAAGAGGATCCAATAGCTTTGAGTAGATGTCAACCTTCATCACTACATAACCAGGTATATGTTACACATTTGGCAAGGGAGTAGCAAAGTGAACACATTCCCAGTTGTCAAAATGGTTGGCTTACTAAATATAATCTCAATCCTATTTGAACAAACTTTCTGACAGTTACTTGGTTTCTAAACTCTGAAACTCCCAGAGAACTTCACTGGGGACCACCTTTTTGCATGGGAATGAGGAAATCCGATCTTGGGAAGTTAGAAGTCGTGTGTTGATATTTATTAAATTATATGTGTCAATAGAGGGGAAATTTGTGGGGAAGCCAGTTTCGAACTATTTGGAGTGATCATGGGAGGCTGGGTGAATTCCATCATTGCCTCAACTTCTTCTATAAATTGAAGATACATCAGTTGCTCCCTCCCTTCAAGGTAGAATAACCCCCACAAGACAGGTCTGGCAAAGCTATAAGAAGATAGGCTATCTACTCCTATCTCTTGGAAATACTTGAACATTAGTCTTGCAAATCTCAACTCTCTCTCTCCCTCCCTTATTTTCTTTCTAAAAATATCTAGATAATCATATAGTCATAAATTAATTAGATCACAGGTTTGGAAAACAGCTACAGGCCATTTAGTTTAATCTTAAAATCCAAAGTCCCCCTCTCCAACATAAAAAGAATTGTTCAGCCTCAATTTGAAGAGTTAAAATAGCAGAGCCTCACTGTATCTGTAAACTTCTAAATATAATCTCAATTTGTCAGAAAGCTATTTGAAAAAGCTTTCTGACAGTTGACTTGGTTTCAAAACTCTGAAACTCCCAGAGAACTTCACTGGGAAAACACCTTTTTGCATGGGAATGAGGAAATCTGATAATAGGAGATTAGAAGTCTGTGTGTTGATATTTATTAAATTATATGTGTCAATAGAGAGAGGGGGAATTTGTGGGGAAGCCAGTTTCTAACTATTTGGGGTGATCGTTGGAGGCTGGGTGAATTCCATCATTGCCTCAACTTCTCCTTCTATAAATTGGAGATACATTCGTTGCTACGTGCCTTCAAGGTAGAAAGTTTATTTTGCTAAGATTTGAGGACACGCACCCGTGACACAGCCTCAGGAGGTCGTGAAGACTTATGCCCAAGGTGGTCAGAGCACAGTTTGGTTTTTATACATTTTAGGGAGACATGAGACATCAATCAACATATGTAAGCTGAACATTGGTTAGGTCTGGGAAGGTGGGAAAACTCAAAGTGGAGAGAAGGCTTCCAGGTCATAGGTAGATAAGAGACAAGTGGTTGCATTCTTTTGAGTTTCTGATTAGCCTCTCCAAAGGAGGCAATCAGATATGCATTTATCTCAGTGAGAAGAGGGGTTACTTGGAATAGAATGGGAGGCAGGTTTGCCCTAAGCAGTTCCCAGCTTGACTTTTCCCTTTAGCTTAGTGATTTTAGGGGCCGAGATACTTTCCTCTCACAATGTCATACTAGGAGCTTTCACTAGTCAGAAAATTGAAAGTCTTCCAGTCTAACCTTGCTCTTTGCTATGAAATAGGCTAGATACTGAAATACTTAATGCTTTGATTTTGTTCCTCTTTAAAACATGAGTTTAGTACTATTTATCTCATCATTATTAGATAATATCTGTTGTAGACAATAATACCAAATAAATAAAATGATTCTTGTTCTGATAAAGATCACATTTTAGATGGTGAAACAGATACCCATCTATACTATAAGAAGGCAGTAATGCATAAGGAATCTGTTTCAGTGATAAGAATTTTCTAAAACACTCCAGAAAACTACAAAAATTACACCTCTTTGTGGAGGAAGGTTGACGATTTTGCATGGAGTTAAAAAAAAATGGTTTTTATGCAAAGTCCTAAAATAGTAAAAACAAAAGCTTTCCCAAAATGTTATTTTTTTAATGTCTTTTTTTTTTGATACTTGGGGATGCATATAATAAATACTGGTTCCATTTTCCCCTGTTGCTAAGTTGTTACCTCCCAAAACGTAGATATGTATAATTCCCCTCATTTTTCTCCCCAGAACAGAAGTGTATTTGGGTAATGGCTGTTGACATAGTCAACTGGATAAGTAATGCACTATTTTGTAAGGTCATGAGAGTGAAGTAGCTGATTTTGCTGTAGGACAAAGCATGCCTACAATCCAGTTAAGGAAAGGTTACAGGATTTCTATTTACTCCTGCTCAATATTTTTGTGCAAAACCATAAAATGTCAAAGTCTTTTAGGAAAGAAGCATAATATGTCTTTGTTTGTTGCTGAAGCAACTCTTTAGGGACTTAGATCAATCAAAGGGATGCCTCTGGGCCATGCATTCTGGGAGAAAATCTTTGAAGGTATTGTTTTTAGAGGCTATAAATCTACCCTTGGGTTTGCTGTCTGTCCAGACAAGCTTTAATCACTTAACAAACAGAATCATTTGTAAGACCAAGGAAAAGACAGTCATTTCCAGAAGAACTTTTCTCTCAAATCTCAACTTCATCTCTTACAGATCTCACCAGGATATGACAAGAGGCTTAGTTTCTTAGTAAATCAAATATATCTGGCTAGACTGTGAGACCAGGGAATTAAGAATCAATATGATGCAAAGATACGAAGTCCTCTGGATGATACAAAACTACCTACATGATAGATTCAGCAGTAAGAAAAGCAAATAATACTACATAGGGCCCAGAATGGCATACTTTACATTAACATGGAAGAAACAGTCCCAAATCCTTTCAGACTAGAGGGCATGAGGTTCGTATTAGCACTAAGGGGGTGGAGCATGTGAAGAAAGCCAGGCAGAAGTGCTTCCAGAGGAAATTTAAATACTGAGAGTGGTAACCTTGTACAGAAGAAGCTCTCATAATTACTTGCAAAGGGCATTTCTTATGTCAGTTTCCAAATATCTTAGAAGCAATTAGCTCCTTCATACCTCTCCTGTGATGCAAGCTTTGAAAATCATCACCTTGTATAACAGAGAATATGAGTTACTTGGGATCTCCTTCCATAAAATCAGGTTCTAAGAGTAAACAGAAGTTGAGGGAGGGGTAAAAAAACCACATCACCAAAGACAAGTATAATGAACAGTTTTGATTGGTAACTTTGTAAAGAAAGGGTGATCAAAAGACCAAGTCATTTTATGATGCTTAAGTGTAAAGCTGTTAATTGGCAGGAACTGGCTGACAATCAACTGACAATTGTTGCAAGAATATATAGGGAGGTAAAAAATAATAGAAAAACTTTTCAAAAATTAAAAGAACTAGATCTCAGGATAGCTGTAAGTTTGTTTAGGACTCAATTACATCTTTATTAGGCTGATCTTGTTTTGACTCAGTTTCTCTGCTGTTGTTCCTCTTCCCAATATTCTTATTAAGAATATTGGCCTCTGCCAGAGAAGAATATTGAGAAAGTATGCATACCAACTTTTCCTGATAATATAGGAAAAGGCAGGCATACCTTCTATCTAAATTCTAAGCTATTTAGGATAGATTCTAAGGTCCTTGGGGTAAAGGGTTAAGTCTTCCTTGTAGTACTAATCAAGAGGTTTTTGCATATTTGGATTATGGAAATATTTATTTAATTAAATATATTTTTCCACTCTTTTATTAAATACATAAAATGTTCATTTCCTTCTATAGTGAAATATTTAGATAAGGTTGACAGTTAACTGGATGGTCTGAATGGAGTCACGCAAAAGCCCCTTTGATCAAAATTAACTCTTCGATTTTATTCACTGTCTGGTATTGCAGCATTGAGATTTCCTTAGGCTCTAGACATTTCCTCCCCCATCATGATGGCCTTGATTTGCCACCATGAGCAAATTAGGCTGGAATTGACATGAGATTGTGCAATATTGTAATGAGAAAAGGGATTTTCTCTAATTTATATAAAAACACTCTGGGGCTGATTCTATCAGTTTTCTTACTCCCACAGGATTCATACAGAGACTATGGCATCAAAAAACATTAAAAATATTCTGTGATCCTGACATTTTGGTTCGTTAAGTTGTTCCACAACATCAAGATGCCATAGCTCCAGTAAGGACTATACTAGGATGTAGTACTCATAACTTAGAGCAGTATATGCATTGAGCTAGACTGGGATGATACTATAGTGGGAAAATATGGCTCCTTTCTTCAAGGCTCTTGTATCGGTTCGAACCCTGAGAGCGCACCAACAAACAACACAAGGCAGTGTGGATCAACATGCTGTTTTAATAAGCACCCAGGTGCATAGGGGCTGAGGCCTAAAATGGCGTCTGCACCAAATAAGGATGGGGCAGAGGTTTTATAGTCTCCTGTAAACAGGAAGTGTCTCAGTCGGATGTAACTGCTACACGGTACCCGGATGGCCTCTCTCTTGGTCTTCAGCGGGTACATGTCTTCTGGCTAGCTCTCTTCCTGCTTATGCTGTCTTTCTGGTGAACGCTACTGGCACAAGTGGCCTTGCGCCTTGGGACTGAGTCTGAGGAGGGAGGAGTTACTCATCCCCTTCAGCTTTCAGGCCCTGGGGAGAATTTTTCACTTTCTTTGAAATGTGTTCTAAGCCTGTAGGCAGAATGATCTTTTCTGACCCTTATAATCTGACAGCAAGTTATACGTTCCTGTATTTCTTATGTATGCCAGTCAGCTTTGTTTTACACTCAAATGCTTTCAAGTCAGTGTGTTGCGTTAGATATAAGGTTTCAAGAAAACAGATATTATTTCTTACTCATTTTTTAATCTGTCCCAACTTGTCTTTATCTGGAATTTTTCTCTATATGAGCTCTCAGGGTAAAATAAGAAAAGCAGTTTATTAATAAGTAAATCAAAATCTTAATGTCAATATGAGGGTTATAATATAAAGAGGTCATTATAGTAATCCTTTCATGATCTTTGCAATGTGGTGGTTGCCAAAGTAAAACACATGCAGACTAGGAGATGTGTGAAAATCTGAAAATCATTAAGTTGAAGGAAGAAAATATTAGAAACTCTATTTATACTTATTTTCAGCTCATTCATTATACTTTTCATTAGAAGTTTTTCAGTTCTTCAAATGTATACTCACTTAGCATTATTAATTCAGAGAAGGCCCCTAATAGAAGAGGAAAAATACATTTATAAAAAATTAAGCTTAATGGAAAGTTACATTTGTATATTCTCCAATATCACATCTTATTCTTGAGGACTAAACTCTGACCTTTTCCTTTTCTTGCCCAGATTCCTATATAAGAGGCCTGGGGAGTCATGCCCCACAAACCATAAAGTCTCATCAGAGGGGTTTTATTTAACCCTATATAGCATGGCTTACTTTCCAACCTGACTCTAGCATAATATCACATGACAGATAAAGAAAGAAATCTATTGTAACCCCAAATCTGTTTCTTTGTCATATCTTGAAATAGCCTGCAAAGCTGTCTCTCCTGGGGAAAATCTGCATTCTGTAGAGAATCACCTTCCCTTTTTAGGTATTTTACCTGATCCAGGAGAGAATCAATTAAGAATCTGGCACCTTTTTTTTTTTTTAAGTTTAATAAGAAATCTAATAAGAAATATTTGCAATCTATTCTCTCTGAAGCCTGCTACCTGAAGGCTTCATAATAAAAAACCTTGGTCTCCACAACCCCTTATTTTAGCCCAGACATTTCCTTCTATTGATTTCCGGTCTTTAGCCAACTATTTAACTCTTTCAACCAATTGCCAGTTAGAAAATCTTTGAACAAGGCTGGGCGTGGTGGCTCACACCTGTAATCCCAGCACTTTGGGAAGCCGAGGAGGGCGGGTCATGAGGTCAGGAGATCAAGACCATCCTGGCTAACATAGTGAAATCCTGTCTCTTCTAAAAATACAAAAAAATTAGCCAGGCGTGGTGGTGGGCACCTGTACTCCCAGCTACTCGGGAGCCTGAGGCAGGAGAATGGCGTGAACCCGGGATGTGGCGCTTGCAGTGAGCTGAGATTGCGCCACTGCACTCCAGCCTGGGCAACAAAGCAAGACTCTGTCTCAAAAAAAAAAAAAAAAAGAAAGAAAGAAAATCTTTGAACATACCTATGACCTGGAAGCCCCCACTTCGAGTTGTCCCACCTTTCCAGACTGAACCAATGTATATCTTACATGTATTAATTGATGTCTTATGTCTTCCTAAAATGTAAAAATCAAGCTGTAGCCCAACCACCTTGGGTACATGTTCTCAGGATTTCCTGAGGGCTGTGTCACGAGCCATTTGTCACTCATATTTGGCTCAGAATAAACCTCTTTAAATATTCTACAGAGTTTGATTCTTTTCATTGACATTCTTAATATTAATTTAAAAAATGTTTTAGTTTCTCCTCTTTCCTTGAGTTAGGTCAGGTTCTCATTGTAGAACACCCAGTAGAAAAAAAGATAACATGGTATGTACTACTAATAGTTTTTTTAAGTCCATATGAAAAAAGCTCAATGACATTTGTCTGGGAAAAGATTTCTTAGATAGGACCCTAAAAGCACAGGCAACAAAAGCAAAAATAAACAAGTAGAATTTAAACAAATTAAAAAGCTTCTGCACAGCAAATGAAGTAATAAACAGAGTGAAGAGTAAACACACAGATTGGGTGAAAATGTTTGCAAATCATGTATCTGATTAGAGGCTAATATTCAAAATATATAAAAAACTCAAAGAACTCAATAGCAAAAATACAAATTACCCCACTAGAATATAAGCAAAGAACCTGAATAGATAATTCTCAGAAGACATATAAATAGTCAACAGATACAGGAAAAAAACAAACAAACAAACAAAACTCAGCATCACTAATTATCAGGGAAACGCAAATTAAAACCACGATGAGATATCACCAACCAGCTGTTGGATTGGTTATTATCAAAAAGATGAAAGATAAGTGTTGAGGAGGATGTGGAGAAAATGGAATTCTTCTACATCGTTGGTGGGAATGTATATTAATACAGCCATTATGGAAAACAGTGTGGAAGTTTCTCAAAAAACTAAAAATAGAATTACCATATGATCCCACTACTGGGTATATATCCAAAGGAATTGAAACCATATGTGAAAGGACATTCACACTCTCATGTTCAATTGTAGCATTATTTATACTAGCTAAGAAATGGGTGCACAACCAAAGTATTCGTCAACAATTGAATGGATAAAATATATATATTTAGACTATGGAATACTATTCAGACTTCAAAAAGAAAAAAATTCTGTCATTTGTGACAACATGGATGAATTGGAGGATATTGTGCTAAGTGTAATAAGCCAGGCACAAAAAGGCAAATTTCACGTGATCTCATATGTAGAATCTAAAAAGTCAAACTCATAGAAGTAGAGAATAATATGGTGGTTATCAGAGGCTGCAGAATGGTGATATGTTGACCAAAGGATGATAAGTTTCTACTAAACAGGAGGAATAAGCTTTAGGAATCTATTGCACAGACTGGTAACTATAATTAATAACAATGCATAGTATATTTCAAAATTGCTTAAAGTTTAGATTTTAAATGTTCTCACCACAAAAATTGGTAAGTATGTGAGGTGATGGATATATTGATTTGATTTAATGATTCCACAATGTAAATATATATCAAAAGATCACAATGTATCCCATAAATGTGTATAATAATTTGTCAATTAAAAATAAATTTTAAATTTAAAATTATTAGGTAAATCAGAAATAACCCTAACCCTAATGTCCATCAACTGATAAGTAAGTAAACAAAATGCAGTAAATGAAAAGAAAGTCCCAATCAACAAGTATACAGGGGCAATCAAAATTAAAAATGTACACAAAAATAAAGGAAAATTATCTTATGTAGAATATATGTATAAGCAATATACATGTGTTATATATATATATGCATATTTATCACATTTCCTTCATCCTAAGATGTCTTCAAATGCTAAAATACACTAGCGATTTAATATTTTCTGACAAAAAAGAATTATTATAGTAAATGAATATATAAATTATAATTCAGTTACCAGTTTTTAAAATGTTAAAATGGGGAAAAATGCAGTTTGCTTTAGCACAGGTTCTTTAGCAGCCTTACATGGCTCTGTTTTTCTATTCTTTGATGTCCCTGGCCTCTCCACTATCTACTTCAACTTTTTCTAGACACAGTTTAAGTATTTAAATAAATAGAAATGTATTACTATCTCTCCCAATTTTCCGTATTATTTAAATGTATCAATATACTTCAATATTACTTTAGAATCTACTAAAACTTTACGAGTTTTAATAACATTTTTTAATCTTTACAATTTCTCCAAAGACAAATTTACTGTTTGGGATTCCAAACCAAACAACTCTTATGTTGCAAATATTTTTAAACACAAATAAGTCATTGATTTATAAGTTTGGGTGACTTGTAGGCATATTTAAAGGCCCATCAAGTCAAGTCAAAAATTAACAAATCACAGTTCAAAGCTATAGATTATGTAAATGTTTTCTAGTAAGGATATTTAATTAACTATTAATAGAAACAATGAAATGTGATTCTTAGGAGAATTTTGAAAATCCTTAATTTTTTAACTCATTGTGCTAAGCTACTGTTTAATTAATTAAGAAATATATTGTTGGTAACAGAGATGCTGTAATTGCTCCGACCTCAGGTGATCTGCCCACCTTGGCCTCCCAAAGTGTTGGGATAACAGGCATGAGCCACTGCGCCCAGCCGAGATTATGAAGCTCTTAAGCATTAAACTACATCCACAAAGAGAACTGTTTATAGATTTTCAGTAATGCAGCAGTATCACTAGATTTTTTTATTTAGAAATATCAGTAGGTATTTGTATAGTACATTTGAGCTTTTTTTTCTTTTTTTAACCTATAGTATGTAAAAAAAAAAAAAAAAAAAAAAAAAGAAAAACTTTGTTTTAACATATAGTTTAAAAAAAAAAAAAAGAAAGAAAAGCCGGGCACGGTGGCTCACGCCTGTAATCCCAGCACTTTGGGAGACCGAGGTGGGCACATCACGAGGTCAGGAGATTGAGACCATCCTGGCTAACACGGTGAAACCCTGTCTCTACTAAAAATACAAAAAAATTAGCCAGGCGTGGTGGAAGGCACCTGTAGTCCCAGCTACTCGGGAGGCTGAGGCAGGAAAATGGCGTGAACCCGGGAGGCGGAGCTTGCAGTGAGTCGAGATTGCGCCACTGGACTCCAGCCTGGGCGACAGAGCAAGACTCGGTCTCAAAAAAAAAAGAAAAAAAGAGAGAGAGAGACAGAGAAAGAAGCATAAATCCTAAATTAAGGAATAAGTTTTAGAAATGTACAAGAGAAAGGAAAAATCTAGTGATACCTCCCAAAGCACTGGGATTACAGGCGTGAGCCACCGCACCCGGCTTTTCTTTTCTTTTTTTTTTTTCTTTCTTTCTTTTTTTTTTTTTTACTATATGTTAAAACAAAGTTTTTCTTTTTTTTTTTTTCATACTGTAGGTTAAAAAAAGAAAAAAAAAGCTCAAATGTACTATACAAATGCCTACTGACATTTCTAAATAAAAAAATCTAGTATACCGCTGCATTACTGAAAAATCTATAAACAGTTATCTTTGTGGATGCAGTTTAATGCTTAAGAGCTTAATAATCTTGGCTGGGCACAGTGGCTCATGCCTGTTATCCCAGCACTTTGGGAGGCCAAGGTGGGCAGATCCCCTGAGGTCAGGAGTTTGAGACCAGCCTGGCCAACATGGTGAAACCCCATCTCTACTAAAAATACCAAAAATTAGCTGGGCATAGTGGTGGGTGCCTGTAATCCCAGATACTAAGGAGGTTGAGACAGGAGAATCTCTTGAACCCGGGAGGCGGAGGTTGCAGTGAGCTGAGATCATGCCATTGCATTCCAGCCTGGGCAACAAGAGTGACAAAAAAAAAAAAAAAAAAAAAAAAAAGCATCATAATCTCACCACCAACCTTTGAAATGAAGTGGTGGTTGAGTCTGGGCTCAGGAATCAGATTCCGGGGACCAAATCCAGGACCCTATGCATATTCACTGTATGTGTATAAACAAGTTTGTTATAAAATTTCACTTTTGTCTCTGTTTTTTGTTTTGTTTTGTTTTTCGTTTTAGTTAAAAATGGAGACAATGATAGTACCTGTTTCACTATATCCAAAAAGATGATACAGGAATTAAATAAATTAATGAAGGTAAAGTAGTTAGCACAGCATCTGGCAAATGTGTTACTTATTATTAGCCTTTACTCCTGGCATATTAGGCTAGTCAGTATTCCTCAGAGAGTATGCACATTTGCTCAAGCTCTTTGCCACCTGAAAAATAACTCTTCTGTTCTTGCATTTTATCTTGTTGAATTCTATTCAACTTTCAACCTCAGTTCAAGTATTACTTGATCGGGTATCCTTCCCAAGCTGCTGTCTGAAGTAGATTCGCTTCCAAAGCAAATTTTGAACATAAGATCAAAGCACTTACTGAGTTATACCAATAATTGCATTCACTGATTTATTTGTTAATTTTTTCCAATAGATTCTAAGGTCCTTACAGGCAGGGTCATGACTTATTCAGTGTTGATCCCACCATGGCAAGCCCTGGACCTGGCACATATTCAGGGCTTAATAAGTGTTTGTTTATATATAAGATGCTCATCATAGTGTTATTTACAAGTACAATAAATCAAAACAATATACAAATAATAAATGTGTTACATTTGGAAGAATGGCTAAATAAAATATGGAAACTACATCTACTGAACTAATGTGTAAAGCCATTAAAATTGTTTGACACACTATATAACAACAAAAAGTGTGATACATAATTATGTAAAAAGTTGGCAGGGCACGGTAGCTCATGCCTGTAATCCCAGCACTTTGGGAGGCCAAGATGAGTGGATCATGAGGTCAGGAGTTCAAGACTAGCTTGACCAAGATGGTGAAACCCCATCTCTACGAAAAATACAAAAATTAGCCAGGTGTGTTGGCAGGCACCTGTAATCCCAGGTACTTGGGAGGCTGAGGCAGGAGAATCACTTGAACCAGGGAGGCAGAGGTTGCAGTGAGTCAAGATGGTGCCACTGCACTCCAGCCTGGGAGAAGGAGCAAAACTCCATGTAAAAAAAAAAAAAAAAAAAAAAAAAAAAAAAAAAAAAAAAGTTACAAAATTATCATATGCATACAAAAGTAACATAGAAAAACAACAGGACAAACACCGATGCAGCAACATTTATAGCACAAAATGTTAAGCTTGCTTTTCTTTGAATATTGGCACTACAAATAATTTTATTTTCCTTTATTTCCATGAAATACATTTTTCCAGTGTTCTCTCATAGGCACAAATTTTAAGCACTAATAGATATTTAAAAAGTGTATGATTATACAATTCCAACCATAAAAACATTTTAGTGTCAGCTGGTTAACTTAAGTAACTGTCTAGTCTTTGAAGTTATTGAAAAAATTTAAAAATCCTGCACTCAGAGGAGATGAACAAAAGCCATGTTTTTATTTGTAAAAGGAAAACCATCCCATACATCAGTTATCAGCCAATAAAGAGAATACACAAAGCAAACTGTGTGGAAGGCTAGCTTTTCCTGGGAAGACTATTCACTCTGATTTTAGCCACTTGTTTCCTTTTGCATCATCTTCTGCGTGCTTACCATGTTCTAGATTTATCCATTTGGAATCCCTTCTCCAAACTATGGGTAGGAGGATACAATTTGGTAAATTTATTCACAATAAGTTTGCAAACCAAGACAGATATTCCTCTCAGAGATATTTCCATTCAATGAACAGACCACAGAAAACTAGAGACTTAGGATCTAAAGGAAATGTATGATGGAGAGATTTCAAATTAAATGACCAAAGGTGGGAGATGTATAATAATAATAACAAATTAAAATAAATATAGTATACTGTAAATAATAAACATATGTTGTGCAATGAGAGCATTAATAAACAGTATAATCATAAATATGTAGTGCAATATATTATAATTAATATTTAGTCAAATGCTATATTCTGAACAATATATTCTGCCTTTCATATATCTACTTAAATCTTCACAACTACCTTATGAAGGACATAGCTTTAAAATTTTCATTTTAGAGATGAGGAAACTGAGACAGACACACAGCTGTTATGTAGTATGCCTAAGGGAAAGAAAGAAAGAAGGTGAACCAACCAAGTTAGCAGGTTCTGAAACCTACAATCTATGCTTTCCATATATTTCTGGACCAAAGCAAGTCCCCATGCCCATAAAATCTAGTAAAAACCACTCATCTCTAATCTAAACAGACAGCCCATCAAAAACCATTCTTTTCCTGATAATACTTGAAAATATTGTAAGGCACTAAAGAAATATAAAGTAAAAGATAGCAGTTCAGAGATTTGAAATCAGATGTGAGCTCAAAACTCCACTCTGAGTTATGAGTTATATAGTTACAAAATTGACCGAGGTGTTAGCCCTTTTAAAGCTCACTTTTTTATTGTTTCTTTTGTTGTTTATCTAGAATAGGGATACAATACATAACAGTGTTTTATAAGGAGTGAAAGAAAATTCATGTAAAATATTTAACAAAATCCAGATTATTTATGTGTGTGTATATATCGTGTGTGTATACATATATATATATCTTATATATGATATATATATATATCTTCATCCTTTGTAACATACATATAATAATGAATTTCTTGCAAACTTAAAATGTTTAGGTATATTAAAAGCCAAAAATGTTTTAAATAACTTAACGAAAGTCAATCTTTGATAAACTCAGTGAGTGCAGTTGTAATTAGAAAATAGAAACATAATTACCAGGCTGGGCGTGGTGGCACATGCCTGTAATCCCAGCACTTTGGGAGGCTGAGGCCAGAGGATCACTTGAAGCCAGGAGTTTGAGACCAGCCTGGCCAACATGGCGAAACCCGTCTCTACTAAAAACACAAAAATTAGCCAGGCATGGTAGCACACACCTGTGATCCAGCAACCTGGGAGGTTGAGACAGGAGAATCGCTTGAATCTGGGAGGTGGAGGCTGCAGTGAGCCGAGATAGCGCCACTGCACTCTAGCCTGGGCAACAGAACTGTCTAAAAAATAAAAACAATAAAAAAAGAAAGAAACATAATTACCTTTTTATCTTTGGTTAATGAAAGTTACGAAACATTCCTTGGTTCAGCCTAGAAAAATATAGTTTCATTAGTTATTCAATTTTAACATTTATTTATAAAGTTAAACTTTCTTAACTATGCCCCTCAAATAATGTTTTTGTTAGAGGCTCTTTTTCCTTTTCCTTCCAAAGTCACAGCAACATTCATGCAATACTGACTTGGAGCCCAGAATGATTGTCCAGAAAGTGTGGTGAAAAACCCTGTTGGAGTCTACATGTGAAACTGGAAAAGAATTGAATGAATATGTTGTAGCAACTCCTCAGTTCCCTGGAGGTAAAGTTAGATGACCCAGTACAACTTATT
The DNA here is from genome assembly GCF_000001405.40 of Homo sapiens. NCBI lineage: Eukaryota > Metazoa > Chordata > Mammalia > Primates > Hominidae > Homo > Homo sapiens. The sequence goes on along the minus strand of NC_000008.11, from coordinate 122,062,258 downwards.
CATTTGCAGTTTCTATGATTCTGAAACAAAAACAAAACGTTGTCTCAAGTGAAATGGGAGCAACACTGTTTTCTAAGAAATGTTTTTGTGTGTTCCTGCCCTGTGTGGTCACTCTTTGGTGACCCTGCCCACAATTTCAGCAGCACAGATGGCAGGCTTCCCTTCCTTATTGGCAAAATATTTAGAGACATCCTCAAGGCAGGAACTCAAGGCAGAAAAAAAAAAGAAAAAAGAAAAGAAATTTTTCAGGTTTCTCTATTCAAATAGGGTGCACGTTTAGTCATAGACTCTTCCTTGCAATGGTGTAAGGTCTTATTCCAGACCTCTTCTTTCTACTAAACTGGTTCTGAGTATGTCTGTTTGGGAGAACGGTCATAGCAGAATGGTGGTGTTAAAGACTGTATCCAAAAAGATGATACAGGAATTAAATAAATTAATGAAGATTAAGTGTCATACAACAAGCACAGCACCTGGCAAATGTGTTACTTATTATTAGCATTTTCTCCTGGCATATTAGGCTAGTCAATATTCCTCAGAGAGTATGCACATTTGCTCAAGCTCAAGAGGTGTCAAGACATGTCAACGGATGGGAGAACATCAGCTTATGGGCATCTTTTGTAATCTATAAAAGGGTAAAATAATAGATGAAAAGAACCTGAGAGATCTTCAAGCCCTGAATAACACAGCTTAAGAAACGAAATTTCCAGAGAAACTTTTTGACCCCTGAGCTCATTCATCAGGATTCTGCCCAAGCATCTCCTCCTTTCAGAAGCTGCCTCTGCCCTCTTGTTAGCAGAGTTCACCATACCCTTCTGCAGTCCACCACTGGGACTAATACATACCTTTAATATTACCAATTTCTCTTTTCCATTACTTCAGGCTGATGTGATTTACCTAGGTGAGGTTTATAGCTCTCTGGAGAATCTATGGATACCTTTCATTTGGGAAGAAGGGTGTAATCTGTAAATCCTTGAAATTGTAAACAGAATTTTATATACAAGTCTACGTCATCTCTATAGTTTTCTTGGCCAGAATCCTCGAGAAGGAGATACTGATTCATAAAGGCTAAAAGATTCACTGCAATTGACCATAATTCCTTGAAAACAACTAAGTCCATATCTCATTTATCTTCTTATTCTCCTGTCTTATTCAGTATTTGTCATATAACAAGCTCTCAAGTTTTTGTTTAATGAACGAGTTAAAATTTGACCTATAGTTACTTGCTTAGTTGATAGCAAAATCTGTGCTTATAACATAGTATTTATATTCCTTATAAAGGACATTTCTATTAAATGGATTCTTTTTTGCTTAAGTCATTATCAAAATTAAATGTAATGCATTTCTAACTTCCTTGTACATTACTTCCACCATCTTTACAGTTTATTACCTAGGAAGTCTTAGCAGTATCTCTAAAACAAGATACAAAAAACAAAATTCAGTGTCTACTGGTACAATATTTAAAAAGAAATCTGAGATTTCAGGCCAAAAGAAAAACACTCAATCCCAGCTCTTTCACTTTTTAGCTTTGAAGCCCCCTCTAAATCCTGTAATTTTCAGCATTTGCATCTCAATGGATATAATTACTCTAATTAATATTGACTTGCAAAAGTTAATTGACATGAACATAAAAGTAACATATACAAATTTAAGGTCTTGTTAGAGAACAAAAAGTCTTAAAGTTACACCCATGCCTAGACTTATTATCTGTGAAACCCTACTTCTATTACAATTGATTATCTATGAAGCCCCTATTCTACTACATGCAAACATATCACCTTCCATTCTGTTCTTTTTGTTTTAATCATTTTAATTTTGTTTTGTCTCATTATCTCTGGGTAAATTTCCTACTCAGGATAAAACCTTGGCCATAATGCTGCAGTAGCCCAACTATGGTTAAAAGGTCTTTAGGCATAATTTTATAAGATATTTTCTAAAATTAAATATATATATACTTTTTTTTTAATATAGTGATTTTCCCCACTCTTAAGGACCTGAAAGCAGTACCTTTCTGTCTTAAGGATATAGTTTTATAAGTTTGCAAATGATCAACTCTCAGCCTTTTCCAGAAAATCTAGTAATACCTCCTAAAAGATTATAATAATTTATAAGTCATGAATACAAAAGTCTTCAGAATACTGTATAGGGCAGTTTGCATCCCTGCTGTCTAGATTCTAATTTAAACTTGGAAAAAGTCTGCTGAGTAACTCTGCTCATTTCCTTTTACGATGTCCACACTGTTTATTTTTACTCTAAATAGAATATGCATGTAATATATCTACATTCTCTGAGTTAAAGGTGATTCCGCATAAATACAATATCTAAGTCTGATCATGATTCCATGAGGTTGGAAGAATAGATTTTTTTAAATTCCATTTTATAAATAAAGAAGTTAACTCAGAAAATCTTAGAGATTTTATCAGCCTTAATTAGCTAGGAAATGACAGAATATTCTTCCTGAATCTGTGTCCAAAGAGCTTTCTAATACATTGCAATAATCCTAAAGAATCTGACAAAAGCACAAATACTACCCTATCATTTTCCTGATCAACACCCTTCAGAAGCTTTTTATTGGACTGAGGTAAAGGTTTGGCTTTTATTTGACCAATCAATATTTTTATAATCAGGCTGGAACTGATAACTAGAATTAAGTCTGAATGGCCTCTGTTGAGATGTGAACTGTCACTGTTTAATCAAATTGACTTAAAAACAATTTATCTCTGTGTCTGTTTATGTTTTATGCCTCATCTTTGACATTCTCCTTGCTCATTAAAAATATGCCTTAGAAAGATTTTATCTTTTATTAATCCTTTTGAAGACATACTGTGCTTCTTAAAACTGAAGAGCTGTATCTTTCTTTATTGAAAAGTTTTAATATTTATCACTTTGACTATTGCACCATCCTCAATTTCTATATTTTCTTCTGAAACTGATTTAATTAGTTTGTTTTTTTTTTTTTTTTTTTTTTTTTTTTTAGACAGAGTTTCACTCTTGTTGCCCAGGCTGGAGTGCAATGGCGCAATCTCAGCTCACCACAACCTCCACCTCCTGGGTTCAAGCGATTCTCCTGCCTCAGCCTCCCAAATAGCTGGGATTACAGGCATGTGCCACCATACCCAGCTAATTTTGTATTTTTAGTAGATATGGGGTTTCTCCATGTTGGTCAGGCTGGTCTCGAACTCCTAACCTCAGGTGATCCACCTGCCTTGGCCTCCCAACGTGCTGGGATTACAGGCGTGAGCCACCATGCCCAGCCTAATTAGTTTTTTTTTCAACATTACCATTTTAATCTACATGTCTCTTATGCTTGCTTTATTTCTCTGGGCTATGTTCAACATGATGTCTTCAGATCCATCTTTCCATTTACTAATACCTTCCCCAGCTGTATCTACTCTGTGATTTAATGCCTTAAGATTTTAATGTTATGAAATAAATTATTTTAGTTTTATTTTAAGTGTTTAATTTCAAATGTGGTTGTGCCTTCTTAGGATATGTATTTTTTTTTTTTCTTTTCGTTGTTGTTGTTGTTGTTGAGACAGTCTCACTCGGTTGCCCAGGTTGGAGTGCAGTGGAACAATCTCGGCTCACTGCAACCTCCGCCTCCTGAGTTCAAGTGATTCTCTTGCCACAGCCTCCTGAGTAGCTGTGATTACAGGCATGTACCACCACGCCGGGCTAATTTTTGTATTTTTAGTAGAGATGGGGTTTCACCATGTTGGCCAGGCTGGTCTCAAACTCCTGGCCACAAGATATCTATCTGCCTTGGCCTCCCAAAGTGCTGGGATTATAGGTGTGAGCAACTGTGCCTGGTTGATATGTAATTTTCTTTGTTTAAATTTCTCCTTTTGTTCTTCCAATCACATAAACCCATAAGAATTTACCCTTAGTGGGGTTTTTCTGTTGTTGTTTATTTTGTTTGAGTCAGAATTTACTTTATCAAACGTAGTATGTTCTAGAACACTTTTTAAATGCTCTCTCTAGACGTATTAAAATATTACCTGTCTAGAATGACATTTTATATTAATTTCTCTGACTCTGCAGGTAGCATAGATGTGAATGCCAAGTATACACAAAAAGACACCCACACTTTGATTTTGTAAAGAAATACCTTCTATTCACCAATATTACAGCAGAAAAAGAGAAGTATTCTTGTTATCTGCCAAAGTAGTTGGCAGAATTTTTTTCTATTACACATTCCTGAGAACACAGCTCTTTGAAAACCTCATCATTGTCTACTGGTATAATTTCCATATTTCCTGTTCCCTGTCACATGTTGAAACACAAGCCTCTGAGAAAGCTACTGTAAACTCACCAGGGCAGCCCAAGCTTTAGGCCACAGGCTTAACCTTCTACTTTTCACTTACATCTTTATTTCTGGTTCCTAGCAATTTCTCTCTCTTTTTTTTCCCTAATAAACACAACAGTGCATTTTATGTTTTATAATTTTCTACTGTATAGGTTTTTTGGCTACTTTTGGTAGGGGAGGTTCCCAATACTTTATCTTTTCTGAACCATGCTCCCATTCTATAATTTTTTATTTTTTTCTTTTTAAATAATATTATATCAATAGCTTTTATTTCATGAATTCTAGGGTGGTAAAGGTGAGAAAAATCTACCATGTAATTCACTCCATTAATAGGTTAGGGGAGACAAAGTGGTAATCTCAATAGATATAGAAAAACATTGGTAAAATCCAATGCATTATTTGTAGACATAATTCACATACCATAAAATTCACAATTTGAAGTGTATAATTTAGTGGGTTTTATTATACTTTAGATTCTGGGACACATGTGCAGAACTTGCAGGTTTGTTACATAGGTATACAGTTGCCATGGTGGTTTGCTGCATCCATCAACCTGTCATCTACATTAGGTATTTCCCCTAATGCTACCCCTCTCCTAGGCCCCCATCCCCTGACAGGCCCTGGTGTGTGATGTTCCCCTCCATGTGTCCATGTGTTCTCATTGTTCAACTCCCACTTATGAGTGAGAAAATGCAATGTTTGGTTTTCTGTTCCAGTGTAAGTTTGCTGAGAATGATGGTTTCCAGCTTCACCCATGTCCCTGCAAAGATATGAACTCATCCCTTTTTTATGGCTGCATAGTATTCCATGGTGTATATGTGCCAAATTTTCTTTATCCAATCTATCATTGATGGACATTTGGGTTGGTTCCAAGTCTTTGCTATTGTGAACAGTGCTGCAATAAACATACATGTGCATGTGTCTTTATAGTAGAATGATTTATAATCCTTTGGGTATATATGCAGTAGTGGGATTGCTGGGTCAAATGATATTTCTGAGTCCAGATCCTTGAGGAATTGCCACACTGTCTTCCATAATGGTTGAACTAATTTACACTCCCACCAACAGTGTAAAAGCATTCCTATTTCTCTACATCCTCTCCAGCATCTGTTGTTTCCTGACTTTTTAGTGATCACCATTCTAATTGGTGTGAGATGGTAACTCATTGTGGTTTTGATTTGCATTTCCCTAATGACTAGTGATGATGAGCTTTTTTCCATATGTTTGTTGGCCACATAAAATGTCTTCTTTTGAGAAGTATCTGTTCATATCCTTTGCCCACTTTTTGATGGGTTTTTTTTTTCTTGTAAATTTGCTTAATTTCCTTATAGATTCTGGATATTAGCCTTTTGTCAGATGGATAGATTGCAAAAATTTTCTCCCATTGTGTAGGCTGCCTTTTCACTTTGATGATAGTTTCTTTGTTGTGCAGAAGCTCTTTAGTTTAATTAGATCTCATTTGTCAATTTTGGCTTTTGTTGTCATAGCTTTTGGTGTTTTAGTCATGACGTTTTGCCCGTGCCTATGTCCTGAATGATATTGCCTGGGTTTTCTTCTAGGATAGGGGTTTTATGGTTTTAGGTCTTACGTTTAAGTCTTTAATCCATCTTGAGTTAATGTTTGTATAAGGTGTAAAGAAGGGGTCCAGTTTCAGTTTTCTGCTTTTGGCTAGCCAGTTTTCCCAACACCATTTATTAAATAGGGAATCCTTTCCCCATTGCTTGTTTTTGTCAGGTTTGTTAAACATCAGATGGTTGTAGATGTGTAGTGTTATTTCTGAGGTCTCTGTTCTGTTCCATTGGTCTATATATCTGTTTCGGTACCAGTACCATGCTGTTTTGGTTACTGTAGCCTTGTAGTGTAGCTGGAAGACAGGTAGCGTGATGCTCTAGCTTTGTTCTTTTTGCTTAGGATTGTCTTGGCTATATGGGCAGTTTTTTGGTTCCATATGAAATTTAAAGTAGTTTTTTTCTAATTGTGTGAAGAAAGTCAGTGGTAGCTTGATGGGAATAGCATTGAATCTATAAATTACTTTGGGTAGTATGGCCATTTTCATGATATTGATTTTTCCTATCCATGAGCATGGAATGTTTTTCCATTTGCTTGTGTCCTCTCTTATTTCCTTGAGCAGCAGTTTGTAGTTCTCCTTGAAGAGGTCCTTCACATCCCTTGTAAGTTGGATTCCTAGGTATTTTATTCTCTTTGTAGCAATTGTGAATGGGAATTCACTCATGATTTGGCTGTTTGTCTCTTATTGGGGTATAGGAATGCTTGTGACTTTTGCACATTGATTTTGTATCCTGAGACTGTGCTGAAGTTCCTTATCAGCTTAAGGAGATTTGAGCTGAGATGGTGGGGTTTTCTAAATATACAATCATGTCATCTGCAAACAGAGATAATTTGACTTCCTCTTTTCCTATTTGAATACCCTCTATTTATCTCTCTTACCGGATTGCCCTGGCCAGAACTTCGAATACTATGTTGAATAGGAGTGGTGAGAGACGGCATTCTTGTCTTGTGCCAGTTTTCAAAGGGAATGCTTCCAGTTTTTGCCCATTCCGTATTATATTGGCTGTGGGTTTCTCATAAGTAGCTCATATTATTTTGAGATATGTTCCATCAATACCTAGGTTATTGAGAGTTTTTGGCATGAAGGGGTGTTGAATTTTGTCGAAGGCCTTTTCTCATCTATTGAGATAATCATGTGGTTTTTGTCATTGGTTCCGTTTATGTGATGGATTAGATTTTTTGATCTACATATGTTGAACAAGCCTTGCATCCCAGAGATGAAGCTGACTTCATCGTGGTGGATCAGCTTCTTGATGTGCTGCTGGATTTGGTTTGCCAGTATTTTATTGAGGATTTTCGCATCGATATTCATTAGGGGATATTGGCCTGAAATTTTCTTTTTTTGTTGTGTCTCTGCCAGATTTTGGTATCAGGATGATTCTGGTCCCATAAAATTAGTTAGGGAGGAGGCCCTCTTTTTCTGTTGTTTGAAATAGTTTCAGAAGGAATTGTACCAGCTCCTCTTTGTGCCTCTGGAAGAATTCGGCTGTGAATCCATCAGTCCTGGGCTTTTTTTGGTTGGTAGGCTATTAATTACTGCCTCAATTTCAGAACTTGTTATTGGTCTATTCAGGGATTCGACTTCTTCCTGGTTTAATCTTGGGAGGATGTATGTGTCCAGGAATTTATCCATTTCTTCTAGATTTTCTAGTTTATTTGTGTAGAGGTGTTTATAGAATTCTCTGATGATAGTTTGTACTTCTGTGGGATCAGTGGTGATATCCCCTTTATCATTTTTTATTGCATCTATTTGATTCCTTTCTCTTTTCTTCTTTATTAGTCTGACTAGCAGTCTATTTCATTAATCTTTTCAAAAAAACAGCTCCTGGATTCATTGATTTTTTGAAGGGTTTACCATGTCTCTCCTTCAGTTCTGCTCTGATCTTAGTTATTTCTTGTCTTCTGCCAGCTTTTGAATTTGTTTGCTCTTGCTTCTCTAGTTCTTTTCATTGTGATGTTAGGGTGTCGATTTTAGATCTTTCCCGCTTTCTTTTGTAGGCATTTAATGCTACAAATTTCCCTGTAAACACTGCTTTAGCTGTGTCCCAGAGATTCTGGTACGTTTTGTCTTTGTTCTCATTGGTTTCAAAGGACATCTTTATTTCTGTCTTAATTTCGTTATTTACCCAGCAGTCATTCAGGAGCAGGTTGTTCAGTTTCCTTGTAGTTGTGCAGTTTTGAGTGAGTTTCTTAATCCTGAGTTCTAATTTGATTGCATTGTGGTCTGAAAGACTCTTTGTTATGATTTCTGTTCATTTGCATTTGCCGTGGAGCGTTTTACTTCTAATTATGTCTTCAATTTCAGAATAAGTGCGATGTGGTGAGGGAAGAATGTATATTCTGTTGATTAGGGGTGGAGAGTTCTGTAGATGTCTATTAGGTCTGCTTGGTCCACAGCTGAGTTCAAGTCCTGTACACCCTGGTTAATTTTCTGTCTTGTTGATCTAATAATCTAATATTGACAATGGGGCATAAAAGTCTCCCACTATTATTGTGTGGGAGTTTAAGTCTCTTTGTAGGTCTTGAAGAACTTGCTTTATGAATCTGAGTGCTCCTCTATCAGGTGCATATATATTTAGACTAGTTATCTCTTCTTGTTGCATTGACCCCTTTACCATTATGTAATGCCCTTCTTTGTCTTTTTTGATCTTTGTTGGTTTAAAGCCTGTTTTAGCAGAGACTAGGATTGCCACCCCTGCTTTTTTTTTTTGCTTTCCATTTGCTTGATAAATATTCCTCCATCCCTTTATTTTGAGCCTATGTGCATCTTTGCATGTGAGATGGGTCTTCTGAATACAGCACACTGATGGGTCTTGACTCTTTATCCAATTTGCCAGTCTGTGTCTTTTAATTTAGCCCATTTACATTTAAGGTTAATATTGTTATGTGTGAATTTGATGCTGTCATTATGATGCTAGCTGGTTATTTTGGCCATTAGTTGATGCAGTTTCTTCGTAGTGTCAATGGTCTTTACAATTTGGTGTGTTTTTGCAGTGGCTGGTACTGGTTTTTCCTTTCCATGTTTAGTGCTTCCTTCATGAGCTCTTGTAAGGCAGGCCTCGTGGTGACAAAATCTCTCAAAATTTGCTTGTCTGTAAAGGATTTTATTTCTCCTTCACTTGTGAAGCTTAGTTTGGCTGGATATGAAATTCTGGGTTGAAAATTCTTTTCTTTAAGAATTTTGAATATTGACCCCACTCTCTTCTGGCTTGTAGGGTTTTTGCGGAGAGATCCACTGTTAGTCTGATGGGCTTCCGTTTGTGGGTAACCTGACCTTTCTCTCTGGCTGCCCTTAACATTTTTTGCTTCATTTCAGACTTGGTGAATCTGATGATTATGTGTCTTGGGGTTGCTCTTCTCAAGGAGTATCTTTGTGGTGTTCTTTGTATTTCCTGAATTTGAATGTTGGCCTGTCTTGCTAGGTTGGGGAAGTTCTCCTGGATAATATCCTGAAGAGTGCATTCCAACTTGGTTCCATTCTCCCTGTCACTTTCAGGTATACCAATCAAATGTAGGTTTTGTCTTTTCACATAGTACCATATTTCTTGGAGGGTTGTTCATTCCTTTTCATTATTTTTTTCTCTAATCTTGTCTTCACGCTTTATTTCATTAAGTTGATCTTCAATCTCTGATATTCTTTCTTCCATTTGATTGATTTGGCTTTTTATACTTATGTATGCTTCACAAAGTTCTTGTATTGTGTTTTTCAGCTCCATCAGGTCATTTATGTTCTTCTCTAAATTGGTTATTCTAGTCAGCAATTCCTTTAACCCTTTTTTCAAGGTTCTTAGCTTCCTTGCATTGTGTTAGAACATGCTCCTTTAGCTCAGAGGAGTTTGTTATTATCCACCTTCTGAAGCCTACTCTGTCAACTTGTCAAACTCATTCTCCATCCAGTTTTCATCCCTTGCTGGTCAGGAGTTGTGATCTGTTGGAGGAGAAAAATCGTCTGGTTTTTGGAATTTTCAGCCCTTTTGTGCTGGTTTTTCCTCATCTTTGTGGATTTACCTACCTTTGGTCTTGATGTTGGTGATGTTTGGATGGGGTTTTTGTGTGGACATCCTTTTCGTTGATGTTGATCGTATTCCTTTCTGTTTGTTAGTTTTCTTTCTAATGGTCAGGCCCCTCTACTGCAGGTGTGCTGCAGTTTGCTGGAGGTCCACTCCAGACCATTTGCCTGGGTATATCACCAGTGGAGGCTGCAGAACAGCAAAGACTGCTGCCTGTTCCTTCCTCTGGAAGCTTCGTCCCAGAGGGGTACCTGCCAGATGCCAACTGGAGCTCTCCTGTATCTGTTGACCCCTTTTGGGAGGTTCTCCCAGTCAGGAGGCATGGGGTTCAGGGACCCTCTGGAGGAGACAGTCTGTCCCTTAGCAGAGTTTGAGTGCTGCGCTAGGAGATCCACTGCTCTCTTCAGAGCTGGCAGGCAGGAACGTTTAAGTCTACTGAAGCTGCGTCCACAGCCACCCCTTCCCCCAGGTGCTCTGTCCCAGGGAGATGGGAGTTTTATCTGTAAGCCTCTCACTGGGACTGCTGCCTTTCTTTCAGAGATGCCCTGCCCAGAGAGGAGGAATCTAGAGAGGGAGTCTGGCTACAGCAGCTTTGCTGAGCTGCAGTGGGCTCTGCCCATTGTGCACTCCCAGCAGTTTTATTTACACTGTGAGGGGAAAACCACCTACTCAAGCCTCAGTAATGGTGGACGACCCTCCTTCCACCAAGCTGGAGCATCAACTTCGGACTGCTGTGCTGGCAGCAAGAATTTCAAGCCAGTAGATCTTAGCTTGCTGGGCTGTGTGCAGGGGGACCCACTGAGCTAAACCACTTGTCTCCCTGGCTTTAGCCCCCTTTCCAGGAGAGTGAACTGTTTTGTCTCACTGGCATTCCAGGCACCAGTGGGGTATGAAAATGAACTCCTGCAGCTAGCTCAGTGACTGCCCAAATGGCCGCTCAGTTTTGTGCTTGAAACCCAGGGCCCTGGTGGTGTAGGCACCTGAAGGAATCTCCTGGTGTGCAGGTTGTAAAGATCATGGGAAAAGCATAGTATCTGGGCCAGAATGCACCATTCCTCAGGGCACAGTCCCTCACTTCTTCCCTTGGCTAGGGGAGGGAGTTCCTCAACCCCTTGTGCTTCCTGGGTGAGGTGACACCCCACCGTGCTTCAGTTCACCCTCTGTGGGCTGTACCCATTGTCTAACCAGTCCCAATGAGATGAGCCAGGTACCTCAATTGGAAATGCAGAAATCACTTGCCTTCTGCATTGATTTCGCTAGTTGCTGCAGACTGGAGCTGTTCCTATTTGGCCATCTTGCCAGCCACCCCTATTCTATGACTCTTATAATCAAACAAGGTGATAAGAAATCTGTTCATGGAGCCCAGACCTTCAGCTCAAGTCAATCTTTTACTTTAGACAAATCAACTAACATATCTGGGACCCAAAGGTCCACATATAAAATATGGACAATAATTTTACCCTCTTTACAGGACTGCTGTCAGTATCAAATGATAAAATATCTGCAAAAGGACTTTGGACAATACAAAGTATAACACAAATATAAAGAATTGTTGTATTTTGGTCTTCGATTATTCAGTATTAGAAACATTGCAAACCTTAATTCTTTTCAATGCAGTCTAGTGGTTAAGAGAGTCAACTCTGTATCTTGAATTCAAATGCTCCCCAACATTTAGAAGAGGCATGACCTTGAACAAGTCAATACCTCATGCTTCATTTTCCTTGTTTGTACAATAGAAGAAAAATAAAAGTACCTGTCTTATAAGGTAGTTTGAGGATTAATTATGTTAATATGCATACTGTGTTCACAGCAGCACTAACCATGTATGGTTTACACATAGAGCTAGTTCACATATGGCTGCTTCTCTGTTATAAGTATAAAAATTGAGGGCCAATACTCAGAAATTTTTATAAAAGTTTAATAGTAATTTTATGTCTTAAATCAAAAAATTAAAAATGGGCATGTATTTTGCATCTCATTTTATTTCATTTCTATATTTCATTTTTATTTTATTTGGGAAAAAATGGATATTTTATCACAGACAGCTTAGGAAGCACTGATATAGAGGCTGCTACACAGGAAGCGTTATGCAACCATTACCCATTATTATAATTAGTACTTTTCTATGTGAATATGAGAATAGCCATGAAACTGGTTTTATAATGGGACCTTTCTACCACTCCCTCTGTAGAGGCTGCAATAAAAAGGAGAGTGAGACAGTCCCCTTTGTGAGTTGATATTATCTCAGATGGCCACAACAGACTTGCCTCAAGCATGCAAGAAAGAAAGCATTTTCATCTAGGACTCGACAGTGTTCAGCAAGGACCAATTTCTTGACAAAGCCAAGATATCTCCCCATTTTGCCTAAACCCTGGGAAAAGTCACCAAGTGGGAATGAATTGTTGAATCTTATGAAGCATACGTTTTTGCCTCTTTGGGGGATAACAAAGTAAACTGAGAAAGGGAAAAAAAAAATACTGTATGTAGAAATTGATTAGGACATTGTGAGGAGTTAAGATGGCCTGCAGGCTATTCCCATTGCTATGGAAGGAGGGCTAGAGTGGAAGAGGCCAAAATATGCTCTCCTCCTACCAAGTGAGCAGAAAAACAAAGGTCTAAATATCAGACAAAGTGACACTGCTTCCCATGCAGTAAACCACCATTTCCTCATCTCATCCATGTTCTTTCCTCTGAAAGTGCTTTTAATGCTCCAGCCGCCTGTGATGATTAACAAAATCATTCAGAAAAATGCCCATTTTTCTTTTGTATTAGAATTTACTCTCAATTAACCAGGGGAAAGCTACTTTTAGAAATACTAATTCTGGCGCTATTGCCCTTTTGCTTTTTGAGCCTTTTATTGTAAAATAGGATGACTATTTAGTGGAGACTGTACTGTGATTTTTGAAGCCCTGATTACATTGGAATCATTGTATTGAATGAAGAGCTAAATTCTAACCATAATTTTTTAAAAAGCAAGAACTACAACAATTCTAATAATATTTTAATAAAACTACTATCTATCAAGTTCCTATTAAATCAGTTACTCTAATATGTTACCTTACTTTATCCTCAAAGTATCATATGTGGTTGGTGATAGATCTTTATCTTACATTTGAAGAGACTGTGCTTCAGAGATGCTAAGTAGTACGTCCATGGTCACAGAGTTAACAATTTTATACTGAATCTTCCAGATACCAAACTCAATATTATTTTAACAATACTACTCTTATTTTCTCTTCATTACCTAATGGAAACCTCTGTTATGAAACTTTTTAATGGACATCAATAATAAGGTTGACAGTGATAATGATGATGAGGATAATAATAATCATTGCATACATTTGTTGATAGTTTTATATGTGCCAGATGCTTGTTAAACATGTTTTCTTCATGATTTTATTTAACTTCATAAATCCCTAATAAGGCAGATATTATCATTCATCTTTTACATGCAAGGAAATGAATACACCAAGACCGTTAAATGACTTGCCAAAATGCCCACAATTGGTAACTGGTGGATCCAGAAATTCAATCCAGCCAATCTAATTACTGCTGCTACGACACGTAAACCTTCTAAAATCCATTTTATCTTCCACACACTGTAAACTCTCCGCACCACTCCCTCACACTAATGAACAAACATTAGGCACATTAGATTCATTGTCTTCACAAATATATAATCACATTTGCCTTCATAGTTTGTTCATAGTTCTTTTTTCTCTTACAATCAATTACTATCTTCTTGACCTATCAAATACTACTGATTTCAGGCAAAGATTGACATATGAAGGCAAATCAGTGACTGGGGCATCAGTCATGATAAGAAGTATTTAGGAATGATCTAGTTATTCACCAGGAAGGGATTTGCATAAACATTTCAAATTTCACATGAGTGTTATGAAACTCCTAAAATTATGCTAATAATATTAGAAACACATTAGATGCATACAAAAACGATCACCATATGCACCTAAAAAGGGTATAAAATATTGACTTTAGACATCACATTTTAAAAAGGAAAGGAATTATAATTAGAAGTGGCCACTTTGATTATTACACCTAATGCAGGACTCATTTTCCTTCTCTTCTTTGTCCTGATAAATGATACTTTTGAAGTTTCTTGTTTCTGAGTGGAATATTGCTCCAGGGATAACTCATTGTTTTAATAAAGCTGAAGTAAATTATTTTCCTCTGGCATTTTGAATTCCTTATACTGCTAAACTAATAAGCTGAGAAATGGTAACTTGATGGGAATGAATGCTGATCCTGATTACCAAGAAGAAACTGGTTGCTGTACTTCACATTGCATGCCTGTACCAAAATGTCTCATGTACCCCATAAACAGATATATCTACCAGGTACCAAGAAAAATAAAAAAATTAAAAATTAAAAAATAAAGAAATTGGTTGCTGATACATGGTGTGGCAGGGAGGACTATGAAAGACATGCAGATGGTTCCTTGTGACGCCAACTGGAATAATAGTCTAGCAATAGAAATGAGACCTCTTAGGATTTGGATCTTACAGAAATAAGGTTGGAGATTACTCTCCAGGTAAATAACCTTCACAAGCTGAGGTTCCATAAGAGGGGAAGTGAGATATAGAATGATTGGTGGAAGAATGAAGCTATAATGATCATTCAGGCTTCAGACTACATAGGAAAGGGGAAAGAAAACAGTAAATGGACATGATATATTGTTGCTAAAGTCCCCCATTCCTAGCTGTCATATATGAAGAGTACTGGTGCCAAGTGAAATATAATACAACTTACGTTCTAGGTAAGAGTGTGACTGGGCCAGGCGCAGTGGCTCACTCTTGTAATCCCAGCACGTTGGGAGGCCGAGGTGGGTGGATCATCTGAGGTCAGGAGTTCAAGACCAGCCTGACCAATATGATGAAACCCCATCTCTACTAAAAATACAGAAATTAGCCAGGCATGGTGGCATATGCCTGTAATCCCAGCTACTCGGGAGGCTGAGGCAGGAGAATCACTTGAACTCAGGAGGCGGAGGTTGCAGTGAGCCGAGTTTGCGCCATTGCACTCCAGCCTGGGCAACAAGACTGAAAACCCATCTTAAGAAAAAAAAAAAAAAAAAGAATGTGACTGAAATTGATATCACTTCATGGTGATTCAGTGGCTGATGGAAATTTGTGCCATTTCCTGCCATATAGACATTGCCAACAGTTTGGCATGTGTCCTCCAAATCATTTTTATAAATGTATATCCAGAGATAAATGTGTATATATGTATGCAAATCAAATCATATATATTGTATACAGTACTCCATTACTTGTATTTTTCTTTTAAAAATATGTCATGAAGATTTTTCATTTCTGTTCATTTGAAGCTATATCATTCCATAACAATAGGATATTCCATAAAGGATATTATCATTATTAAGATTGAATTCTATTTTGGATGTTATTATTATTGATATAACCCTTAATATCTATAAGTTACATTCCGCTGTTGAGTGAATTGTATCTCCCCAAAATTTGTATGTTGAAGCTCAAACCCCCAATGTGCTGGTATGTGAAGATGGAGGCTTTGGGAGACAGTTAGTTTAGATGAGATCATATGGGTGGGACCCTTATGATGGGATTAGTGCTTTTATAAGATAGGACACAAAAGAGCTTGCTGTCTTTCTCTCTCTCTCTCTGCCCAGTAAGGACAGAGTGAGAAAACAGCCATCTGGAAGCTATGAAGAGAACCCTCACCAGAACCCCAACATGCTGGCACCCTGATCTTGGACTTTCAGCTGCCAGAAGTGTGAGAAAATAAATTTCTGTTGTTTAAGCCACCCAGTCTATGCAATATTGTTATGATCCGAGATAACCAGGACACATCCTTTTATTTTCAAACTTCATGTTGCGTTTCTAAATTTTTTGTTTAGTTTTACCTTTTGTATATAGAATATAGTTAAATATTGTTTCCTTGACTAATAAAATAACTTATTTTTACTATGATAACTTAATCCATTCACATTTAATCAGTTTATTGATATAGTTGAAATTATTCTTGACATTTATTTAATGGCTTTTATTTTGTCATGCTTTTTAGCATTTTTCTAGCGTTTTTTCTTGCTTTTCACTTTCTTTGGATCAACAAAATTTTCCTTCTCTATTTACTTATAATTATACAAAATGTATACATTTATTCATTTTCTCTAGTGGTTGCCCTGAAAGAAGTAAACTTAGTTTAACATTTATTTTTCTATTGTATCCTATTCACTAACAAGGTGAGAAAGAGAACATGACTTTAAACCCTTCTTTATCACTGCTCCATCCATGCTGAGATTAACTCAGAATTTAATT
This sequence comes from Homo sapiens, assembly GCF_000001405.40. Classification (NCBI taxonomy): domain Eukaryota; kingdom Metazoa; phylum Chordata; class Mammalia; order Primates; family Hominidae; genus Homo; species Homo sapiens. Next base: position 122,046,062 of record NC_000008.11, on the reverse strand, counting down.
TAGAGATGTCTATGTTTACACATTATGTACCCTGTATAATTCAGTAATGTAATAGTAATAATTTATTTGCTAATGTAATAGTAATAGTAAATGTAATAGTAATAATTTATTTGCTGAAGACCTCATCTTAAATCTTGTATCTTCTTTGCTTTTGAATACATTTGTAATTTTTGTGATATTTACCTCCAACATGTCTTCCAGAAAGACCTTCTGAGTGTGAAATTTTTGCATCCTCACATGCCCAAAAATGTGCGTGCACACGTGTGTGTGTGAGTTCATTTACATTTTAATGCCAGCTCAGTGGTAGAATATTAGGGAAGTATGTAAAATAATCAGCTAAAATACTGTCTATTTTCTAACCAAAACAAAACAGGACAGCCCTCTTGAAAGAAAGCATTCAGAATAGTATGATCTGACTTTGTTTCACCCCTTTGCACTGAAAACACAGGTGTCTTATTTGATTCCCTCATTTGTTAACTTTTATTAAATATACATCAAGCTGCCTCAATTATATATCCCAAGGCATCCAAAATCCATTGACTTTTCTTAAGTACATTGACGAGATTTTTTTCAAGCCATTATTAATCATTATGGTGATGTTCTACATGATTACATGATTGACCTGCTTCCACACATGCCCCAGCAATCAGTTCTACAAACAGGAAAAAAAAAAAAAAAAAAAAGACTACCTTGTAAAATAAGTTATATCATGTCTCTCACCTGCTCTTTTCAGTTCATTTAGCTACATTACACATTTTAATGACTACATCATGGTTACAAACTAGAATAAGGAATTCATCCTGACTTCCATTCTGGCTGATGTTACTATTGATGTAGTTCACACCTTCTAATGTATTTGCCTGATATAAACTTTATTTGAAGCCTTCCAATGGCTTCACATTACACTTAGAGGGAAAAATACAAACTTCTTTTTATTTTAATTTTGGGAATTTTCTGTGTTTTCCTGTGGCTAGTCCAGGACAGTATCAAGAAACAGGGAAGGTAAATTGAAGCAGAATTGAGTGGGTTTGAATCCTGGTTCTATTATACCTTGGACAAACTATTGAATCTCTTGGATGCAATTTCTTCAAGAAGCAGCTACTCAGTCTAGGAGTAGGGTTGTCTTTGGGTTTACTTATTTACACACATGATAAATTTTCTTGAAGCTATTTTCTGAGAAAATATACATTTTTTAAACAACAGGAAATAATATGGAAAAACATTGTTTATTCACTTATTCCTTTTTTCAATGAATATATTTTGAGCTCCTATTATTTATCAGGAAAATGAATAATTTGAAAAGCAAAAAATCATCAATAATCACAAGAAATATTTATATCATGACAAATGACACAAAGAGTATTTGAACCTATAGAGACTGTGGAAAAGTACCTGCATTCTCTTAGTTGATTAGTGAAAATCTTTCTTATGAAATCAAATTTAAAATGACACATGAATGACAAGAAAGAGTAGGACCAGGGCAAGATAAGTAGTGTCAACATTTTGCGGCAGAAAAAAAACCTTGTTGTACTCGGGAACAAGAACAAAACAAGTACAGCCAAAGCAACTTGAGCAAAGAGAAGGGAAGTACCGGGGAAGTTCAAAGAGGTAGTCAGGAACCTGTTCATGCCAGACATTGTAAACTAACAAAAGGAATTTATTCCTGATGCATGGAAAATCCTTTGGAGGATTTTAGTTGAACAAGTAATTTGTTTTGATAAATATTTTATTAAAATATTAACTTACCTTTGTAGAGAATGGATGATTGAGAAGTCGGGATACAAGTCTACAATTCTTTTATTTAAAAAGTCAGTTGCAAATGACTCCTACTGCTTTGTAAATTTGTTTATAATTTCCTTAGGATTGGATTTTATAATTATCTTTTGTGTTAGGAGAGTAGCCATGAATTGGTGGGAAGGTTGAAAATGGATATATGATAGACACATGCTCTTAGCTGAATGCTTTTTGTTAGGGTAAATGTTATGGTGTATTTCCCCTTTTAAAATGTTGCTCTATTATAATATGCTAGGCCTAGTAATAAAGACTGCTGACTCAGGACAACAGGGTCTTATTTGGACCCTGTCTTATGCATAAACAGCTTAGGTCTTGTTCTTATTCAACTGTAAATTTATAATAATAATAATAATAATAGAGCCAGAGTATTAAATGGTTCAATCTGTGTGATTCCTAGAGCATGGTAAACATGCAATAAATATCACACTCTCAATATGGAGAGGATTTTTTTTCTTTTTGTCTAAATATAGAATACTGCATTTTATTTATCTGCACTTCAGATTTTATTTTATTAATTTTGGTGTAATGTTCCATATCTATTCATGTGCCATATAAACAATTATCACACAGGAGAAAGAGGGACTTATCTCTCTGCTCCAGAGAACAGAATTGAACAGAAGTAAAGAGTAAGGATTTAACTGAATGCAAGAAACACTTCAGGCCATTAGACTAATCTCCCCCATAAAACCCAAAACCAAATTGAACTGACTTATGAAATCATGGTCTTTCAGTTATTATACATGTTCAAGGATAAGCTAAGGGAACATCAATAAAGAATATGTAGTAGTAATATTATTATTGATTACTTAGATCTCTAAAAATCTTTGTAAATTATTTTTATATCATTTTATTATCAGAACTTTTAATAAAAGTATTAATAAGGATTCTGAAAAATCTTCTTAGATGTCAGAGAATTATTGTATCTGATTCAGCCAGATCTTAGTGTCTAAAGTATGACACTTTAGTTCTTGTTCTTTATCATTTTTATAATGACTCTATTAGCTTATAAGGACTTAATTCAAAAAAGGTGTTTTTTTCCTAAACATGTTCTATAGAGCTCTTCATGTTTTTCTTAAAATTATTTATTAATATTGAATAAAAATCTAGAAATCAGAGCTAATATGCCTGGATATCATAGATGTGTTGCATTTCTTCTTAGGGCTCCAATTTCCCTATTGCACCAGAATGTATTTTTCAAAAATGGCCACAAAAATATGTCTCATTTCATATGCTCTTCCAAGATCTTGCCACATCTCCCTCACTAGACAGACTCTATGCTCCTTTCCTTTGAATGTGGATGAATCTTAGTGGGTGACTCAACCAATAAAATGTGGCAGAAATGGCATAGTGGGCCTTCCAAGGCTTGGTTAGAAAGAGCCCCACTCTCTCTTCAGAACCTTTTCAGTTCTGAGTGGATATGTAAGAACATTCACTTCCTCGAAGCCATCACGATAGAGAGAATATGTAGATGTCAAGGATGCCTAGAGAAAGAGATGCCCAAGGAGATCCAGCTGTTTCAGCTCCGAGCTGTTTAGTCATTACCAGATATGTGAGTCAACAAACACTCCAATGATTCTAGTTTCTACCATTGTCTGACTGCTACCATCTAAGAGACCTCAAGTAAGAACCAACTAGCCGATCCCAGTCAACTCCTGGAAACATGAGAAATCATAATAAAACAATCGTTGTTTGAAGCCACTTAGCTTGGGGATGTTTTGTGATACAGCAAGAGATAACCAGAACACTTATTTTTTACAATGTTAATTAATCAAGAAAATCAGTTTTAGCAGTAAAACACCCAATTTTTAAAATGAGATTTTAGGTATAACCTTAATTCATAAAACATCTAAAAGGAAATCCACTCTAATTGAACCGGCATTCCCTTTGGGATGCTACAACATATAGAATGGAAGCTACTAAAGCACCTATCGGTAAGTTTCCTTTAAATACTCATGTTCTATAATTCTTTGTAAAGGACTGAAATAAAATGGAATGTTGGACTAAATCAGGCATATTACCATATTTGAACAACTTTTAGAAGACTAATCCTTCTACCATTAACAACTATAAAATCTGGGTAAAAGGTAAAAATGAAAGTTAAAAAGGAATGACTGTATAAGGCACCAGAGAAAAATCAAGGCAGCCAGAGAATCAGAAAACAGTAGTCTGGAAATAGAAGGAAAGTACTTTGAGAAGTGATGCAAGGCAGAAGACTTTGGGATGGCATCCCTAAACTGCTGAAAGAAAATAACCATATTATTGTACAACGTTATCATTGGAGAAAGTTGGGAAAAATATCCAGGAGACCTCGCTGTATTATTTTTATAAGTGCCTGTAAATCTACAATTACCTTAAATTAAAAATTTGACTGACAATACAAACCAATAAATTCGATAAATCCCTGATTTTTATCAAGAAATAAAGTCACAAAATATCAGTATCAAAAATTAAAACCAATACATTCTTAGATATCTCAGATTGCAAAGAAATAAGAAGACATTAAGGAAGACTTCATTGTACTACATCTGACAATTTAGATTAAAACACAACTTACTGAAGCTAACGCAGAAAGAAATAGCAAAAGTGAATGAAGTTGCTGAATTCTTAACTGAAAACATTTTGCAAGAAATCTCAAGCCCCAAATGTCTTCATTGGTGAATTCTACCAAACTTTTAAGAGAAAGATAATATCAATCCCAAACAAACTCTTCCAAAAAATAGAAAAATAAAAAACACTTGCCAACTTATTTTATGGATCATACATGACCTTAATGCAAAACTTGACAAAAACCATGCAAGAAAGAAAAAATAAATTATAGGTCAACATCTCTAATGAATATGAACACAACAAATTCCAAACAACATATTAGAAAATTAAAGCCAGAAATATAGAAAAGCAATACTATATTATGATTACATTGAGTTTATTTCAGGAATGAAATGTTGGTTTAACATTTGGAAATGAATCACAAATTAAGAGAAAAAAGATAAAAAACCATATGAAGTTTTCAACAGATGTATAAAAACCATCAAAAACATCAAATGCCTTAGACTAAATTTAATAAAAGTCACTCCATACGTCTACAATGAAAACTGTAAAATATTACTAAGAGAAAAAAAGTTTTAAAGATCTAATAGATGAAAATATATAACAGGTACATACATTGGAAGACTTACTATTTTAAAGATGTCAGTTCTCCCCAAATTGATTTATAGAATCAATACAACTCTAAATATAAATCCCATTATGTCTCTTTTAATGGAAATTAGAAAACTAAGTTCATTTCCAATATATAGAAATCCAAAGGTTTAACAGTATCAAAGAAAATCTAAAAGAACAATGTTGAAAAACATTGTTTTAGACCTATGCTAGCAGGTCTAAAAATAAAGGAGCAACAACAAAACACTAATTAAAAAGCACAATTTTAGCATAAAGATAGACAAATAGACAAACGGAAAATAATAAAATACCCACAAATAGACCTAAATGTTGTCATTCATTTATAGAAAAGTACCATGGCAATATAGTGGGAAAAGAGGGATCTTTTTGATAAATGGCTTAAGATTAACTGTACATACTTATGAAAAAATTAATTTGACACTTTTCTCACACCATACACCAAAATTTATTCCAGATGTACCTTAGACCTAACATAATTGCAAAGCTTCTAAAAGAAAACATAGAGGAAAATATTCATGGTCTTTGATTAGGCAAAGATTTCTTTCCTTTTTTTTTTTTTTTTTTTGAGACAGAGTCTCAGTCTTTTGCCCAGACCGGAGTGAAGTGGCGCGATCTCAGCTCACTGAAGCCTCCGCACCCCTGGGTTCAAGCAGTTCTCCTGCCTCAGCCTCTTGAGTAGCTGGGCTTATAGGTGTGCACCAACACGACTGGCTAATTTTTGTATTTTTAGTAGAGACAGGGTTTCACTATATTGGTCAGGCTGGTCTGAAACTCCTGACCTCAAGTGATCCGTCCGCCTCAGCCTCCCAAAGTGCTGGGATTACATGTGTGAACTATTGCTCCTGGTCAGATTTCTTAAATGAGATTATAAACACACACACACACACATACACACACACATTGCTAGCCACAGAAAGATTGATAAATTAGATTTAATTGAAATTAATAATTTTTACTCATAAAACAGCATCATTAAGAAAGTTAAATGCAAACTACATAGTGAAAGGAAAATATTTTCAATCCCATATCTGACAAAGAACTTGTATCCAGAAAACATAACTCAATTCTACAAATTAACTAGACAAATACAACAGCTTAATTTAATCACACGTCAAAGGGCTCCAATAGGCAGTTCACAAATGAGGTCATCCAAGTAGCCAAAAATCATTAGAAAATGTGTTAAATGAGACTGGGTAAGAAATGAACAAAAATATTAATAGTAACAGAAGGCAGAGTGCTATGAACCACGTAAGGATGACAAAGCAGACCAGCAAAAGTCTTCAAGAGAGAGGTGGCATCTGAGTTTGGCTTAGAAGTTTCAGTAAAATTTCAGTCAGTATAGATAAGAAATATAATTTCAAGGCCAGGCATGGTGGCTCACACCTGTAATCCCAGCACTTTGGGAGGCTGAGGCAGGCGGATCACCTGAGGTTGGGAGTTCAAGACCAGCCTGGGGTGAAACCCTGTCTCTACTAAAAATACAAAAATTAGCAGGGCGTGGTGACGTGCACCTGTAATCCCAGCTGCTGGGGAGGCTGAAGCAGGAGAATCACTTGAACCCAGGAGGTGGAGGTTACAGTGAGCCGAGATTGTGCCATTGCACTCCAGCCTGGGTGACAAGAGTGAAACTCCATCTCAAAAACAAAAACAAAAAAAAAAAAAAGAAAGAAAAGAGATAAAATTTCAGCAGAAAAGAAAAAAAAGCTCAAAAAACTGTGCAAGTATGAAAATCTAAGTGTTGCTGGTGTGTGTCCTTTATGTTAAAATGCAAAGTATGAATATGATGTATGTGAAAACTTAGATGTGGTATCTTCAGTCCAGCATTTGAATTTATTGTCACTTAAACATATCAATAACTTAAGCATCAAGAGTTAGAAACCTACTAGATAATTTCTAGTGGCAGAATACTGACTTTAATAATAGTTTCTCTAATCATAATTTCAGGGTTTGGGGAAATCATAAACTGCATGTCAGTGATCAGAGTGTTGAGAAGGAAGCGGGCTTTCTAAATTGACAAAATTGGAAAGTATTTCTAATATAAGAATACATAGGACAATTTTTGTTGGAATGTAGGGCTCATGCCCAGAAGAAGTAGGCAATAGAACTTGAATAACAGCTTGCAATTAGTTTGCGGAGGGTCAGGAAGTCCAGGCTAAGGATTTAATGTTATAGTGATGATCAAGAGTGACTGGTGGCTTTTGAACAGGGGCATGACACAGCAACAGCCACATTTAAGGATAATTGACCTGGCATTGAACAGAAGAATAGGTCTTCTCTAACAATCACTAAATAAGGCCAGGGCATAAGTAATTACACAGTATGTGATTTCTACCTGGGTGTCTCCTCCTGCACATCAAGAATCCAAGAGAACTCAATTTTGTAGGTAGTAGAACCAGGCCTGCTCTCTGCCCCAATCATCTGGGGTCCTCAGGCATGACAGCTAGTGAGAAAGCCTGCTAAGTAACAGGCCAAATCTGTGTCACATAAACAGAATCATGTGCATGGCTCAAGCCATGCAGCAGGAGCTTGCCAGTGTTTTTCTAGAAATAGGCTGCATTACAGGGGGCCTTCGCTGCTTAAGCTATGATTTAGGGCAGGGGTTAAGAATGTTGTCATGGAGCAGAGGATAGGACAGGGAACAGGGAAGAGAGAGGGAAGGAGACATTGTGGTTGTAAAAAAGGCTTCTTTGTGACTTTACCTGATGTTATGACTCTGGCAAGTCTCCCGAAAATGATTTTAGGAATTGTTCTTCAGGTCATCTTCCTTGTAGTGGTTGTTTTAAAAATTCTTGGAGGATGCCTTTTGCTCTTTCCACAGCTCTCCACAGCATGAGCCCTGGGCAATGGGCCAAAGTTGTTTTAAATCTCAGTTGAAAATTCTGGCTCTTAGCATGTGAATATGTGCCAAAAGGAAGTCTAATAACTTATCAAGTTGAGGAACCTCAGGGAGGTCCAGAAGCAGGAATTTTTGAGAAGGGGTTTAGGGAACACGGTTATTAACCCTTGACCTGACCGTAGCCCTTTTGGAGCTACTATTTGTATTTGGTTAGTTGAACTTTTTTTTTTTTTTTTTTTTTTTTTTTTTTAGCAAGGACAATCAGCCTAACAGTCCTGAGGCCTAGGTTAATTCATTGAAACTTTTAAGTTAATTGTGTCACTGACCAACTGCAATGATCAAGCTAAGCTTCAATTTTATCTTCTGTAAAATAGAAATAATATGAGTCTGGTGTGTCTCGTTATTATGTCTTTAAAGTGAAAGTTCTGGCTGGGTGTGGTGGCTCACGCCTGTACTACTAGCACTTTGGGAGGCCAAGGGGGTGGATCACAGGAGACCAGGAGTTCGAGACCAGCCTGGCCAACATGGTGAAATCCCATCTCTACTAAAAATACAAAAATTAGCAGGGCTTGGTGGTGCACGTCTATATTCCCAGCTACCTGAGAGGCTGAGGCAGGAGAATCGCTTGAACCCGGAAGGCAGAAGTTGCAGTGAGCCAAGATCGTGCCACTGCACTCCAGCCTGGGTGACAGAGAGAGAGACTCTGTCTCAAATAAATAAATAAATAAATAAATAAATACATAAAAATAAAGTGAAAGTTCTGTAAAAGAGCAGGAAATATATTCATCTCAGCAACTTATTTACTGAGCACCTCTTTTTTACTATACTAACAGCTGCAAGGAATTCAAGAAATATTGAGGACACAATTTCCAGTTGCCAGGAGATAAAAACAGGACTGACAAAACAGAGTATGCCAAATTCCATGTACATTGATGTAGAAGATACTGTGGTGTGGCACTTACATTTCTACTCCCACCTCCCATCTTTTTCAGGAAAGAAGCACTCATTCCCCCGGATACTGGGAGTGTTGACAGCTGACAATTCCCAGCTAAATCCTTCCTCTCTGCTACTGCACTAAATAGGAGACAGGCACCTTACCCAAGGTCCTCATATCTAGTGACTGGTAGACAGAGAGATGTAAAGGCCCAGCTCCACTTGCAATGATTTAGGACAATTCTAAAAGGGCATTCCAGCTCCAGAGCCCTCCATGGGGTTGGCTGTGCCCTTGCAGAGACAGCATTGCAGCCAAACTCCTGTTTTGCCCAATCCTACCTCCTTCATTTCTTCAGACCTGTTGCTCTGTAGCGAATGACCCACTAAACTTCTTTCATATAAATCTCCATGTCTGAGTGCCCTTTTCAGGGAACATGACCTGTAACAATTAACCAGAAAAAAAAAAAAAGCGTTATGGAAACTTACAGAAAGAAGAAAGCAAATCCTGTTTTAGGAAGATGAGACAGGAAAAGGATGTGGAACATAGGAGCTATAATTTGGTTTGATGGATATGTGGAGTTTTGTTGTTTTGTTTTGTTTTTTGAGATGGAGTCTCACTCTGTTGCCCAGGCTGGAGTGCAGTGGCATGATCTTGGCTCACTGTAACCTCCACTTCCTGGGTTCAAGCATTTCTCCTGCCTCAGACTCCCAAGTAGCTGGGATTACACATGTGCGCTGCCACACCTGGCTAATTTTTGTACTTTTAGTAGAGATGGGCTTTTACTATGTTGGCCAGGCTGGTCTTGAACTCCTGACCTCAGGCGATCCACCTGTCTTGGCCTCCCAAAGTGCTGGGATTACAGGCGTGAGCCACCACACCTGGCATATGTGGAGTTGCTTTTTTTCTTTTTTTTTTTTTTTTGAGATGGAGTCTCACTCTGTCGCCCAGGCTGGAGTGCAGTGGCACAATCCAATCTTGGCTCACTGCAACCTCCACCTCCCAGGTTCAAGCAATTCTCCTGCCTCAGCCTCCTCAGTAGCTGGAATTACAGGTGTTCACCACCATGCCCGACTAATTTTTTATTTTATTTTTTTAGTAGAGACAGGGTTTCACCACGTTGGCCAGGCTGGTCTCGAACTCCTGACCTCAGGTTATCCATCCACCTCGGCCTCCCAAAATGCTGGGATTTCAGGCATGAGCCACCACAGCTGGCATATGTGGAGATTTTTTATGGAAGAAATGGTGGAACAGAAAGGAAGGAAAGAAATATTTATTGGTATATTAGGAAAGAATAGAATATCTGAACACTTAGAGACAAATGAGATATGTGTCTAAAAAGTGAAGCTCAGAGAACCTAGCTGTTGTACTGGACCATTCATGGGACACTAACAGATCAGAATGGGGAGGATGAGTTTACAGAGTGGACAGTCCTAAAACCCAGGCTTCAAGTAACACACAAAATCAGACAGGGAAAGGAAAGGGTATTAAAGGTTTATTTAGTAGAGGAGTTACACAACGTAGGCTGTGCTTTCAAAGAATGATCTAGAAGCTAAAACAATAAAGTGCTCTAAAATGTAAGACATTTTTATGACACTTAATAACCTCAAACCATATAGGAAATGAAAAGGGTTCCAAATGAAATGAAGATAGATATATCTTAAATATTGAAGCAGGTTGAAAAATATAATTCCAATATCTGGAGTATGCTTTTTTGTTGTTTTTTAAAACTTAATAATTATTCAAGCCAGCTGGCTTTAGGATCACTGGCAGGGGAGAGAGGGAGAAAAATGAAGGGAGAAAGGGTTGGGGCAGTGGGGAGAACAGTACAAAGGGATAGATTCTGTCTTTCTCTCTCTCCCTCCCTCCCTCTTTTTCCCATTACTAGTACTTTCACCCCATGACGTTTTATGTTATAGGACCACAGATCTCCAGTTCTGTTGCCTCAGAAAGCAGTCAGCAAATTGGGTGCTCTGGAGTTCTAACCTAGAACATAACACCTGAGTCAGTCATGGCTGGCTCATGTCACATCTTGAGGTTGAAACCCATCTCTGTGATTTACTATCATTTAGGCGAATCACTTCAATTCTGTAATTCTCACTTTCTTAATTTGTAGATGATGGATTATAATGAAAATTTTAAAGAACATTGTACAAAGTGCTTTGCAGTACCTGGTGCATAATAAACAACTTATAAGTGTTGCCATCATTACTAGTTGTGCGACTAAGGGTCTAGGTGACCTTGGGAAGAGTTTTTTGCATCTGTGGACCTCAAATTCCTCATCTAAAAAAATTAGAGGTTTTCATGGACACACGGAGGGGAACATCACACACTGGGGCCTGTTGGGGGATAGGGGGAAGGGGAGGGAGAGCATTAAGACAAATACCTAATACATGCAGGGCTTAAAACCTGGATGATGGGTTAATAGGTGCATCAACCCACCATGGCACACGTATACCTACGTAATAAACCTGCATGTTCTGCACATATATCCCAGAACTTAAAAGTAAAATTTAAAAAATAAATTAGAGGTTTTTTCTCTTTTTCCACTTATTACCTGCTACACTTTCAATGGGAGGTTGCACATATGGTTTTATTAAAAGCTAAATCAAAATAAAAACACAGTTTATCTTGACTCAACAAGACAGATATACTCAATGAACGCACTTTCCAGAGACACATAAGGGAATTCAAAAAGGGAGAACAAGGTGTCATTGACTTTAGTTCATATTACAGCTAGGATGTAATTCAGAATTGTCTGTTTAAAAGCACATTGTTCTTTGAGACTCTGTGGGTGTTGGATCTGACAAATGTTGTTGCTTTTTCTTTTTTTCTACCAAGGAAAAAGATAATATCTACTCCAACTAATCAAAAAACATTTGCATCCCTTGCTGCTTAGTTTTGAGCTAGAGCCAAAGATTCGTAAAGCTTCTTTTTCATGGCATCTAGCTCCTTTTGGTGAAATACTGCAGTAGTCAGACACTGGCTCAGACCTAATCCATGAACAGATTCTTGTTTCTCTGCTATGCCTCCAGTATCTTCATCCTGGTGTCAGGAAATGCTTCACAGGCATCCAGTATGTCAACACATCAACACAGTATGGTATTGAGGCCCTAACAGACTATAAACAATGGCTAAGCTTACTGGGGCAGAATGAGGACAGAATCCCTTTCTTAGTTCCCACCCTAATCCCACACAGCTCATCCAGTACAGACTTGTACGGTGTTCATTCCAGATAGAAAAGGGAATCTGAAGGCAGCCCATTTTCCCAGCACCATTAACTTCCTGTTTTATGTATAGGGGACTAGAAACAGAAGAGAACGTGAGAAGATGATATCTGTAATCTAGTGTAGTAAAGATTTTCTATTATCTATGATGGGGGTTCTGGATTCTGCGTGAGCGCTTGGATTTTTGTTATATATCTTTTGTACTCTGTGATTTTCATTCATATATGTCACATAGTTTCTACTCAATGGGGAAAGACTGCTTGGGGCATGTAATCCTTGTGAGTCTGTGGAAGAAATTAGAGAAACATTTATACTAAGTTGCTGTTCAAATTTTGGTCTTATCTCCTATCCTCCACTTGGCTGCTACTGTAGAAATAGTTGATTCATATTTGAAAGCCATGGAATGTAAAATCAGAAGGCTTAGGCTCTTGTCCTGGCTCCATCTGTATGTGACTTTGGCAAGTCAATTGACCACCCTCAATCTGGGGATGCTCATCTGAAAATGGTAAACCGTAGTGAGCTTTGAATGCGATGACAAAAATGTTCTGCAGATTTCAAAAATGCAGCAGTCATGTGAAGTGGTGTCAGGATTTCACAATTTTACATTAGATTGTTCTGACCAGAACTTCCCAGCCTTGGACCTGCATCAATAGGTGTCTTTCCAAAACTGAAATACACAGAGGAAAAAGTGAAACTCATCTTTTCATTACTCATTGACTGCTATCCTTTATATGGCTTCCAGGACATATAAATGGTTTATCTGGTGAGGTAATTATGTCTTTAGTCAATGGCCAGAGCCTAAAACAAATATCTTTACTGCCTTTCTGAGATATTCTTGTAAAAGACAAGAGTTGATGCCATGAGGGATGCGTTTCTATTCAGAAAGGAAAAAAAGAACTTCCACTTGACCCCTGAGCCCACTGTCTTCCAGATAACACATGGAGGGTCGCTTACCTCCTTAGTGGAATGAATGTTACCTAGTTTTAGGAGATCAGCCTGTCCTCAGTGGAGGGAAGCAGGGAAGATGTACACAGTTCTCTAATTTACTTATCTTCCTACCATTGAACTTTGTGTCTTTGAAACCAGTTTTGTAACTTGACTTCTTTATTATTCTTAGATCATCATTGGAAGAGAAGAAAAGAACTGTAAGAGTAGAAAAGAAAAGCTAAAGAGCACTATAAATATAAATATACTGACTTTAATTTCCAGCATGTCATCTTCCTTCTGGATCTACTACTGCTATGTAGGTCCTGGTTTTCTTCCACGAGGCAGAAAGGTCCCTAGGACAGGGAACACTTTCCTGAACATTTAAACACCTAAGTGTTGTCCTGTTTTCCTGCCTGTGGCCTATGAGTAGTCAATAACTGTATGAGGACTCTGCCTCTACACAGAATTCTAATGGCACAAATGATTTTCCCATTTAGGAGCATGAGTCACCTGACTAGTCAAAGTGATGTGGCCACCATATGATGGACATTTCTGAACATAAGCAATAACCTCACATTAGCCCCATTTCATCCAAGCAATGCCCTCATAGAACAAGGGATGGGTTGTTCTTAGACAAAGAGACAAAGATATAGCTGGAGCCAGTGAGAGGAAATCTAGCATGGGTGATTTAGTCACCAAATTACAAACTATTTTATGCCTAGCATGCTTTTAAATTTTCAAATACTTCTTCAGTGTTCAAATCATGTTCTGTGATCAACATGAACTCTAAATTGTGACCAAGGATGTAATGTAATATATCTCCATTTTGCTGATAAATAGTATGAGGTTCATAGAGCTTCAGTGCCATATCATAACCAGAATGTATATATAACCTTCTGTCACTGGATTTTAAACATTTTCTCTGAAACCACAATGTCCCAATTTCTAGATCAACTTATTCTTACAGAATTTATTAATATTTCTCATTCACCTTGAGAACTCACCAAAGTTTGTGGACAAAAACAAAATAACTCCACCCTAAGGACAGGGAAAAATAACATCTTAAAGCATAGGAGAAACAAAATTTTATTCATTGTATTACATATTACCCTTCATGATCTCTGTCCAATGAGAGGTTAGTGAGTAGTACAACACAACATCCATCCATGGTCAAATGATTTTTCAGTCTTATGTTGGCCCACTATATAGATATCAAGCTAATTGAATCCAATGAAAACCCTAGATGAACTAATAAGACATGCATTCTACACTGATTAAAATTTTAAGGGTCCATTGGTCTGGGGCATGTCAGCAATCTCCTCTGACAAATGAATTTCTCTACCTTGTACTTCTTATCACCTTCGATTAGCCTTTTTAGATTTTAGAAGTGACAGATACTGCACTCAGGAAGACTACCATACCACGTTATTGGGTAACATGGCAAGCTGCTAGTTTGAAGGCTACTCTGCCTCTTGAGCAATATGATCTAGCATATCTGATAGTTTAAAATGTATCTGTGCTGGATAAGAATGCTGTAAGAATTCCCTAAAAAGACCCAATAAGAAAGTCACAATGCAGACCTGTAGTTTCAGAGCAGAGCCATGCTTTCTATAGTAGAAAACAAGTTTTCTTTTGCAATATGTCTCCTGATGTGCTAACAGAGATCGAAGCACCTGGACATGGAATATCAAATGACTATGTAACACTCAGCTGCCCATGATGACCTAGGTGTTATTCGATCTGTCAAGTCCTAACACTGAGTATGCACAGCAGCAAATCCATTATGCCATAGAAGTAATGCATTTGAGAGAAGACTCAAATGGCTATGAAAGGCATTAATAAGTGCATAAACAGATGGTCCAGGTTTCTATCGCACCTAAGTCTGCTACACCACTGTGGGAACTATAAAATGTCCAATTGGCCAGAAGCAGAGACTTAAACAGCATTCCTCAAAGGGAGCAGCCGGCAATATGATGACTTTAGAATGGGCAGCCATTTTTCTTTAGATCATTCAATCCATACTTTATATATGGGTTTTTCTTACTAAACGCCTTATTCATAAGTGTGTTCTGCCACATAACATTGCCTTGGGGTAAAGTATACTTTTATTAACAAGATTCAACAAAGGGCCCACGACCACATACAAAATCACACAGAAGCAGCTGGACTGATAGAATAATAGAACAGTTTGTTGATGGTTCAGCTAATGCACAGCTGAGGGACAACCAGCTGCCTTCAGGATGTGTTAAACACCAGAGCACTCCCCGAGAGGGAGGAGAATCTGAAATAAGTAGTAGAGGAAGGATCTAATGAATACCTACAGTCTTAGAACCAACTCATGAGCATGCACTGGAGCTTTTTGTAGTATTTTATCACCTTAGGCCTCCAGGAGATGATAACTAGGTGAGGTATTGAAGGTGGTAAAGTGGTCTTGAATCTGATTGGACTTGTAATTTTCCTTTTTTGGAAGGAATGAAGTTGTCTTTATTCTCTCTGAAAAAATTCATAAATAAATTTTAAAATGTGTCTCATAATGTAGTATAGCAGCCAGACAAACTCTATTGGAGAGCTAGAGCTGTGGTTCAGCAAAGCATCTACTCTGTTAAATACAGCCAATTGTTCCACCTTGGATGTCTTTGACCACCTCATTTTTCTATAATCAGACACCACCTGCCTCCCATATGGAACCACTGCCATTTGTTCCAGCACTCTTAAGCCTCAGGTTGAACTTTATTCATATATTCATACCATGTGTCCTTCTTTGGACTTAGGTGAAACATCACACTAGGGACATGGGATCTACCCTACTGAGTGGCCACTAAAGGGATCAGAAGATATGACTAGGAAGTTTAAAAGAACGAGGCCTCTATGGGGCAAATCCTGACCAATGTAAAGCAGAAGATGAGAGGGATCCAGGCATATAAATCTTTCTTCCTTTCCTGTGGACTACTCTGAGATGCAGTTTTCTATGTAGCCCCTCCAGATAAAGTTCTTTGTGCTAGAAGATATTCCTTGCGAACATCCAGTGGTTTTTATTTGAGTCTTATAGTAAGGATGTGGCCAGCAGTGTAACTCAGAGAATTTCATCCTTACTTGCTTTACTTTTATTTTTCTTTTGCATATCAATATAGCCTATTTCCAAATGTAGTGTCAGTGGTTTTATCCTTTCTCTGAGCTTTGCTTTTAGACGCTCTAGGTTAAGAGCATATCTCAGTTACTCCTAGGCTGTGGTACCTCGCACAGTAACAGGCACATTGTACTCCTCAATAAATTTGGAAATACTAAGTTAAATTAAATACTGAAGTAAAATATGACAGCTATTATCAGGGACGTTGGCATTTGCAATTTGTGTCTCAATGTCAGATGAAAGGCTAGCATTCATAATAGGAGAGGAAGTATTATTTGGAAGCAAGTTCCCTTTCCTGTACTTTGAAATAATAGTCCTAAGACCAGATCCATTTCAAGTAGCCAAAGCTGAGGATTGTTCTGGATAGACTTGGGCAGCTTAGGGGTTTATTTCCTCAGCCCCTCTCTAGGAAAATCATGCACTCAAGCAAATGACTGACTCTCCTCTAAAACTTGCTGGAAAAATTCCCTTTCCTCAAGCCAGTCGTGAAAAGTCTCCCAGTCACCTCTTCTCTTGATTTACTGTGATTGACTTCTTCATATTCCAGTCTTTTCTTAAAAAAAAAAAAAATTTTTTATAAACACACATACACACACACACCACCCGTTATGAACACCTTAACGTAAAGTCCTGTTAGTCCGTAAAGTTCTCTGCAAGTCAATTTTCTTATCTAATTAGGGGTCAGAGTGACAGCTAGCTTGAGGCTATGTTACGCTTAACCCACCACAAAGGGTATGTATGAGAAATAATCTAACAGCTATGCATGGCTAGGTGGACACTTGCTATCTCATGCTCAATTTCCTTCTGTAACAGAGAGCTCTATGAGTAGTTTGCCAAAACAAGAAAGTTGGTATGTGATATCTATTTTTTGAGGTTAGATTTTTATCATAAAAATGACACAGATGAGTTCTTTATAATCAGGGTAAAATATGTCAATGTTCTAAACATATCTTCATAATGATTCTATGTTTTTGTTACTACCTTTCTGATCAGCTCTATGGAAAATTGTCATGGATATTGTCAGTCCTTTAGTGCTATCTCATACAATTTGATAGTTTCTTCTCAAGGTACCTAGCCACTTTAGACCACACTGGTGACAGTTTAGAAAACAAATGCATGGCACTTTCATGACTTGTGTGAAAGTCAACTAAATATGGCCTGAGAAGGATTCCTCACTTCTATATTTGAGTCCTTGTGAACAAAATGTACCCTAACTTAATAGATAGACAAGATTGAAAACCTAACTTAGGAGTATGTGTCCGTAACAATAGCTGAATCTTGGCAAATCCCAGCAGCCATACTTCAACCACTCATTTATTGCTGAGTGTTCAAACTGTGTTCAAATAAGGCAAACACCAATCTCAGTCTGTAACCAATCCAGTTGTTTTTGCACCTCACTTCTGATTTCTGTACATCACTTCCTTTGTTTTTGTTTGTTTGTTTGTTTGTTTTGTCCATATATTTGTTCTGATCATGAGGCATCCCTGGGGTCTCTCTGAATCTGCTGTGATTCTAGAGGCTGCCTGATCTGTGAATTTTTTTTTGTCTTGCTCAATTAAACTCCATTAAACTTAATTTGTCTGAAGTTTTCTTTTAACACTTGTTACTTAATAGCTGGGCCATCTTTCTTAATTTCAATTAATCTATGAAACAATTGGTAAATTCTTATTAGCTTTAGAATTATTGAACTTTATCTATGATTTATTCAATTTCCATAATGAGACTGCTGTCTTAGCTCATAAGACATTTATAATAAAATATTATTTCAGTTCAGTCTCAAGTTTTATCACAATTGTAACAGTTCAATAAAGGGATATATTAATTATAGTCATGCAACTCAACAGGTATTAATTATAGTCATGCAACTCAACAGGTGCTCTACAGCCTGGCCACATCAGCATTACCTGGGATCTTATGAGAAATGCAAATCTCAGTACCAATCCGGGTCTACTAAGTTGGAATCTGCAATTTAACAAGATATCCCAATGTTCTGACACACATTAGAATTTGGACTTGAAGGCTGTCCCTTAGGAGATCTTCCAGGTCTGAAGTCAAGGTTCACTACAAGCCATTCCTTTCATAGAAATGAGGTTAACTCACAGAAGCATCTCCCTTGGTGCCAAACTGAATACCTAGAGGGCATGAGGTGCTTGCAGGGAGATTAGAGTTTCTCAGCTGCAACTGCCAATGAACAGATTGTTTTAACTGCTGCTGATGACTCAATCCCCTCCTCCACAGTTGACTTGATAACTGCACATTTTTGCGTCTATGAGAAAGGTTGATGGCTATATATAAGTCTGCATTTTAGCCAATTCTCAGCCTTCCTATGTGTATAATGCCTATTTGGTTGCCACTTTAGAAGCTTTCCTTACATAGCATCCAAAGGTAACATTACATTACAAGGAAATGTAGCCTATTTACTGAGCTAAACCAATATTTTCATTACAAACCATTTATAAATAAATATATAGTCATAACATAATAAACAACATTGACTTTTATAGCTGTACCAAAGAGTAGATCTTTCTCAGCTCTCAAATTTAAGACATTCTCAAATTACCTAGAGAATAAATAAAAAGTGTTGGTTGAAAGATAATTCAGGAATACACGCTAGCTAGCTTACTTTGTTTGGGATTATTTGGCAAGTAACCCTTTTCAAATCAAGCATCATATTTTATTTCTCCCACCATACATCAGTCAAAATTAGATTTCTAAAAATTCACTGTGGAAAAAAACTATTGGAAACCTAGATTTCAGGTTTGGAATTAAACATAAGTGAACAGACTTTTGTACAGAGGCATATTTCATTTATAATTAAAAGGTTCAAATAAAATCCCTTCAGATTTTGATAATTTAGCTACTAAAACTTATTGATTTCTTAGGTAATATTTCAGATTAAAGTAGAAATACTTACCCTCGCCAGACACTTATTGTCAGCCTTTGTCCTTTCCCCAACCTGTGCTCTATGCATTGAGTAACCATCCAGTTGCAGATTGCCCCCCTTTTGTTGTAAACCCAATAAGAAGCCAACTACAATGACACTCCTCCCACTCTGAATCTGGATATGAGCTGTGATTCATTCTAATTAATAGAATATTGTGGGCACAGCACTAGATTGGCTTTCAGACCAATTCTTGAATATTGGCAACTCCGCTTCCTTGGAGCATTCTCTGTTGGAGCCCTGAGACCACCATACTAGAAATGTACAGAGTCATATGGAAAGAGAGAGAGAGAAAGAGGGAGAGAGAGAGAGAAAGAGAGAGAGAGAGAGAGGGAGGGAGGGAGAGAGACGGAGAAGGGGAGAAGGAGAGAGGGATAGAGGGAGGGAGGGAGAGAGACGGAGAAGGGGAGAGGGAGAGAGGGGTAGAGAGAGGGAGAGAGAGAGAGAGATCTCACCAGATCCCAGCTGTTCTAGCCATCCTAGCCCAGCACCAGATGTGTTTAAGAAGCCACTAAATGACTCAAGCCCCAGCTGCAACCTCACTACATCTCCATGGGAAATATGGGAAACACCAAATGAGAAATATCCATCTGAGCCCCCAACCCCTCCAGAACCAGGAGAGATTAAACTACATTGTTGCTTTACGCCACTACATTCTGTGATGGCTTGTTACATTGCAATAGATATCTGGAATCATTGGCCTATGTCTAAAGGCCGAAACTCTTGGTGGCAATTGATTCTTCACATTTCAACGTTGACATGAGTTGTAAGCCTCCTGAAACTTCGTGGATAGTCCATTCTATCTGGATGGAGATGATCAGACATAGCCTTAGCAATGAGTAGGAAGAAATTTGGGGGAAATCGTCCAATAACTGCATAGGAAAGCTGTGTGAAGACTGCTCCAACCCCCTCCCCAGTACCAGAAATAAGATAAGAAAAGAGATATTGGGTGCCCACGAAACCAAAACCTTATTGACTTTCCTATTTAGTGAAGATGTTCTGATATCTATTTTATGACAACAGTAAACATAACAAACAAGATCCCACTCCTCGTAGAAGACATAGGGAACTAGACTGAAAATATACCAGTAACCAAACACATACATAAATAAAATAAGTATAGCTTGTGACTTGTTAACAATTAACAGTGTGCCATTTATCAAGATGGTGAAGACTTAAAAAGAAAGATTTGGGCAAGAGTATCATGTAATATAGCTGACCTCTTCTTTTGTAAACTGTCTTCAAAGTCAGTTATCATCCATACAGTCCTTAATCCTTAGTTTGCAATCTCACCTTATTTTTGACCTAAAATGATATTAGCCAGGTCATCGGCCTATCTTTATGCTGAGATACTTTGAATCTATTTCAAAGTATGATACATACCATTAAAAATGATGTTTACATTATGAGCCTGTTAAAAGTAACATTGTTTGGAGTCTAAGACAATTTTGTGAGAAGACTCACAGTTTATTTGGAGTAATGGCCACAGTATTTGATTGAATACCTTACTACATACTATATACTTAAGGGTATATATTTAAATTGACAAAGTTAATTAGAATTTCTAGGTACACCTCATTATTCTGCCTTTAGGAGGCAGATCATATAGTCTTCTCTTTTTCGTGGTTTCATTTTCCAGTTTCAGTTATCTGTGGTTGACTGCTGTCCAAAAATATTATAGTGTTTTGAGAGCTAGAGAGAGAGATGACTGTCACATAACTTTCATTACAGCATATTGTTATAATTGTTCGATTTTGTTATTGTTGTTAATCTCTTATTGTGTTCAATTTATAAATGAAACTTTATCATAGGTATGCTTGTATAGGGAAAAACATAATATATATAGGGTTCAGTATTATCCTCAGATTTAGGCACTCACTGGGAGTCTTGAAACATGAGTAAGGGGGAACTACTATCCTTCCTTCATTGACACTGAACCTGAAATTTTGTATATCAATTTATAGTCAAAGAAAACAGATACTGAAAATAATTAAGTTTTTATCTGAGCCCACTGACTGATGCCATGAAAATATGATTAGAAAATAAAGCTTCACATAATTAATTGTTTTGGTAGTAAATAAAGTCAATGAGAAATATCTGGAGTAAGAAACTGGGCTCAGTTATATGTAAACCTGGTGAACTACCTTCATTCCCTATCCCAAAATATCAGGAGTTTGAGGGGCTTTACTGACCCTCCCCCAGAATAAATCTGCTTAACAAATAAGAAGGATGTATGTTGATTGGCCAATTGAAACTATAGGGTCTTTATTTCCAGAAACAGTGTTAAATCAGTAAATATGTATATTGCAAAGTATTTATATATATGTTACTCAATACCCTCATTTGGTAGATGAGAAAACTAAGGCACAGGGAGAAATTCTAATATGAATGTTAAGGTTAGAGTATACATCTTCTCAATAGTAATTCAATGATTTCTCTAGAATACTGCTTTGCACTTCATAAAAAGGAGAAAAATATTTAGAGGCTTAGTTGTATCTTTTATAAAGATTGCAAATTATCCCTGTGCATCTATTGTTTTGTGGGAGATTTTTGTGGTTAGGAGCAAGCCTGGGTCACATTGCATGGCTGGATGGAAACCTGAAGTTATTTAGTTGCACCATTTTTAAGGTAAACAATCCATTCAAATATGTCTAAAAATCAGAGCACAGGATGGCATCTTGATGTGGATCTGACTACAGTAATGACTGTATCTCTGTGTGGGGTTAACAAGAAAATCTTTCTTTTATTCTTTCTACTTTTTTCAAAATATTTCTTCACAGATGAGATGAGGAACTCACAGAGCCTAATTGCTGTGATTTCAGGTCACAAGGTTGACAAGCAAAAAGAGTTCTGAAGACCCTGACCTTTCAGGAAGTGTATCATATGTGAGGTAAAACTGGTGGATGGAGCTGAAATATAAGCCAATATGCCGTTAATTATTAATTTCAACATTGGAGGTGTGTAGGATAATTTTCAATTAGTTACAGTACTAGCTCACAAAGAGAGTTCTGATGGGAAGATGGAAAAGAGAAGGTCAGAACAACATTTGAGAACGATTAAATTGAAAGAAAAACTTAAAGACTAAGTTTAAGTAGGCTTTAGTGGGGTAAGTATTACTCATGTGACAGAGAAACACAATTCCACAAACCAGAAACCCCCCAAAAGTAATATTTAAAGAAATTATAATGGACATAAAAAAACATGAAACATAAGGGAAAAGCCTGATAAATGTAACCACATTAAAATTAAAAACAAAGGCTCTTGATCATCAAAAGATACCACAAAGAGTGAAAAATGCAAGCCATGAAGGAAGAAGATATTTGCAACAAATATAATTGACAGACATCTTATGTTCAGAATAAATAAAGAATTCCTATTTATTAGAAAGAGATGAAAATAAAATAAAGACATAGACATTTCTCAGATGTAGAAACAAAATTATCATAAGCATATGGAATGTTAATCATCTTATCAGATAAATAAAAATTAAAACCACTAAGTTAATATTTTACTTAGACAAGATTAGTAAAATTATATAGGTATAAAATTAGGACGACGATGAGTATGTAGAGCAATGAAAACTATTACCCACCACCAGAATAATAGATTGGTGCAATCACTTTGGGGGAGAAAATAAAATTACCTAATAAATTTGAATATTTTCATGTCTTAATATACAACAATTTCTCCCTTTAGTGCATATTCTAGATAAACCTAAAACATGTGCTCTAAATCAGGAGACAAGCAGCAGAATATTTTCAGTGATAGTATTAATATTAGTAAAATACCGGGTAAAACCCTAAATGATCAGCCCAGCTGAATGAGTTAACTGTGATGTATTCATAAGACAAAATAGTAACCATGGGAAACAAGAATTGATCCATATTTATAGGGATGAGTCTAAAAATATAATGTTGGGTAAAAGAAGCATTATTAACCTATTCAAACAAGAGTAAAAACCAATCAAAACCTATCTATTAAATAGAGATACACAAGTAGATGGTAAAATGATAGAAGAAAGCAAGGAAAGAAAGCAAAATTCAGAAAATTCAGAGGAAAAAAAGATGGGTAAAAATTGGATACAAAACTGTTGGGTTAGTATTGGCTACTCAGTTGTTTATTTTGTTATAATTATTTAACCCATTCAAAATGTGCTCCATATATTAATGTTTGATACCTTTCAAATATAAAATTTCAGAAAAATTAGTAAGCTGGAGATGAGATAGGATAACAGAAGTAGTAGATTGGGAAGATGAAAGCAAACAAAGGAAAGGAGAGGAGGGGAGGGGAAGGGAAGAGATGGGTGAGGGGAGAAAGGAGGAGAGAGGAGGTGAGGAGAGGGGAGAGGAGAGGAGGGGAGGGGAAGGGAAGAGATGGGTGAGGGGAGAAAGGAGAAAGGAGGAGAGAGGAGGTGAGGAGGAGAGAAGAGGAGATGGTAGGAGAAGGAAGGAGAAAAGAGGGGAGGGGAGGAGAGGGGAGAGATGATAGAGCGGGAGGGAGGTAGAAGGCAGGCAGGCAGGCAGGCAGGCAGGCAGGCAGGCAACTGTATGTCCCATACACCATTCTAGTAACTCTATTGTAGTTGCTGTTTCACAAGGAAGTACTGTCTTGGTCCAGCGGTTCCATTCAGCCTCATCCCATGCATTCCAGGTTAAACACATTAATATTTCAAGAGCAACCACAGCAAAGAATTATACTCTCTACTGTTTCCAACCAGCCCATCATGATTAGCTTTACTGGTTAGAATATATGTATTTTACGTTCAGTATACCATACAGGAACAATTCTGACTAATGGTGCATTCCAAAGGAGACACAGGGATCAAAATTAATTTTGCCTACTCTGATGATCAGAATCTTGGTTGTATGTATTGGCAAAATGGGTTTGAATTTAAATTCAATGCTAATGAGTTGCATTATATTGGAGAGTTTGTTTAACATATATGAAGTAGATTCTTTGTCTGTAAATGGGAATAGTACTTCTAAACTCATCGTGCTGTTCTGAGAAAGCATATAAAACCACACAGCACTTTCATTATCTGGCGTACCTAAAAGACAGGTTTAAAGAAACTGTCAGATT
Organism: Homo sapiens; assembly: GCF_000001405.40. Taxonomy (NCBI): domain Eukaryota; kingdom Metazoa; phylum Chordata; class Mammalia; order Primates; family Hominidae; genus Homo; species Homo sapiens. Next base: position 122,022,020 of record NC_000008.11, on the reverse strand, counting down.
CATTCCACTGGGACTTCATGTCTGTGTGCATGTGTGTGCGTGCGTGTGTGTGTGTGTGCAGAATATTTCATGAAGAAACTTTTTACTTTAGACTGACTGAATGTCATATTATTGAGAATTTTACAAAGTTTGCTCTAGGATTATCCTAAGTATGTGTGTGTGTGTGTCTTTCTGGGTGAGGGGGTATGTATTCACAAAACAAAGTATAAAAAGCATATAGTAGTAACAATGTTAAATTTCTCAGCACTAAGAATTAAAACCCTGTCAATTTCTTCTACTTTTCACATTCTGCTGCATTCTTCTCTATCTCAACTGTTTTTGCATAGACAGACCTGTTTTCAGGTATTAGAGCACACATCAAGGATTGCAGACAATTCTCAATCCTTTAGTCTGCAATTGTTCAAAGTTCACTTCTCTGGTCTTTACTATTCTGGGATCTCTGTTTAAAAGTCACTCAATGTAAGAAGGTTGAGTCTGTCTTCAACATATTCATCAATAAGGCTGTGGTCAGTTACACACTATCACCAGGGAGTTGCATTGGTTTGCATCCTCCTGCACTGTTTTGCGCTCCCCCCTTCTGCATTATATCTTCATCTCTTAACAAGGATCTCTGCATTCTGTCTTTGAGCCAAGACAGCCAGTTGAGGTTTATATCGATTATTTTAGGCAGGAAGAAAATATAAGAGAATGCCCGTTACAGAGATGCCTGAATTAAATATGAACACCCATTAAAACCTGATGATTTTATCCATAAATATTTTATATTAATAGTAGTAGAATAAAAGCAAATATAATTTAGAATAGCCCAAGGGTCATTTTTTTTTTTTGTCAAATAAAGATAAAAGATTAAATTTAATTAAACCCTATAAACTGTTCATTAACCTGTCTCCTGTGTTTGGCACAGTGTCTGGTATGTGGTGTCTTATAAGACAGCTACTCAACAATATTTGTTTGAATTAATGCATTAATGAGTGAATAAAACTGACACATATGTCAATGGCAAAAGAAACATTTTGTGGCCAGGTGCTGTGGCTCATGCCTGTAATCCCAGCACTTTGGGAGGCCGAGGCATGTGGATCACCTGAGGTCAGGAGTTCCAGACCAGTCATGGCCAACATGATGAAACACTGTCTCTACTAAAAATACAAAAATTAACTAGGCATGTTGGCATGCACCTGTAAGCCTCAGGCAGGAGAATCACTTGAGCCCAGGAGGCAGAGGCTACAGTGAGCTGAGATCGCGCCACTGCTCTTAAGCCTGGGCAACAGAGCAAGACTCTGTCTCAAAAAACACACACAAAAAATTTTGTTCTAAGCCTTGACATGACCCTAAAAACCCTAATTATTACTCAGAAAATATATGATTCCCTAGGAATTATCAAGATAATATTTTAAATAAACTTTTAATTTTAGAGTAGCTTTCAATTTACTGAAAAGTTGTGAAGATAGTCCAGAGAGTTTTCATAAACCATGCACTGTTTTCCTTATTGTAAACATCTTACATAACTAAAGTATCTTTGTCACAACCAATGAATATTGATGCATTATTATCAACTAAAATTAACACAATTTGGATTTCCTTAATTTTTAACTAATGTGTTCCAAAATCCTACCAAACGGCTCCTTCTGCTAAGTGACACAAATCACTTTGATCTCCATTCCATTGGCCAAAGCAAGCTCTGCAGCCATACCTTACTCTAGGAAGACAAGGAACTGCAATTCTATGAAGATTGTGGAAAGATTTTTCATATATATATATATATATATATATATATATATATATATGTCTCTATATATGTCTCTATATATAGTCTATATATGTCTCTATATATAGTCTATATATGTCTATATATAGACATATATATGTCATCTATATAGACATATATAGAGACATATATATGTCAATAGTACTAGATGATTACTAAATTTAATAGTTCACAAATGTACTGCATCTTTGCAGTTCACATAATTGTTCAAGAATATTTATCATCTTTCATCCTAATGTCAGAGATAAAAGTTGAAGGGATTTTAGAAATTGAAGATCCCAAGGTTAAATAACTTGTCCAGAGTTACACAGCCAGCAAACGCCCAGCTAAAATCTAAACCCAAAACTTTTGACAATAAAAAATCTTCTGATAAAAAATCTTCTTCCCACTAAACCACAAATGTCTCCTGTCTTTATTTGCTACTTTTGTTCTCACTGGCCCAGCCAGAGGAAATCTAAGGACCAAGAAAAGGTGTCAGCAAACTTTTCTGTAAAGAGCTAGATAGGAAATTTTTGAGGTTGTGTAGGTTACTTGGTCTCTGTTAAAACTGCTCAATTCTGCCATTGTAGAGCAACAGCAGCCATACAACATACATGAATAAATGGATGTGGCTGTGTTCCAATAAAAATTTATAGATAAAAGCATAGGGTGGGCTAGATTTGGAGCATGAGCTATAGTTTGCCAAGTGTAACTTTAGAAACTGGAGTAACTTATATAACAGTTTATGATATATTGACAAACATAGCTTAAAATATATACAGCTGAAAAGTCATTGATTTTTCATATCCAATCTTTTAAAAAACCATTGTTTTTCAATGTTCTTTAAGTACTTATGATTGCATCATGAAAATTTCTCTATTCTGGACAGGTGCGGTGGCTCATGCCTGTAATCCCAGCATTTTGGGAGAACGAGGAGGTCAGATCACTTGAGGTCAGGAGTTCGAGACAAGCCTGACCAACGTGGTGAAACCCAGTCTCTCCTAAAAATACAAAATTAGCCGGGCATGGTGGCACATGCCCGTAATCCTGGCTATTCTGGAGGCTGAGGCAGGATAATCACTTGAACTGGGGAGGCAGAGGTTTCAGCGAGCCAAGGTCGCGCCATTGCACTGCAGCCTGGGCAATAAGAGCAAAACCCCATCTCAAAAAAAAAAAAAAATCTCTATTCTTTGATAATCTCTTCTTAACACCATTCTATATCTCACTGCAGCTTTTAATTATCTCTCTGGCCTACCTGTCAGGCCTCTGAGCCCAAGCTAAGCCATCATATCCCCTGTGACCTGCACGTACACATCCAGACAGCCTGAAGCAACTGAAGATCCACAAAAGAAGTGAAAATAGCTTTAACTGATGACATTCCACCATTGTGATTTGTTTCTGCCTCACCCTAACTGATCAATGTGCTTTGTAATCTCCCCACCCTTAAGAAGGTTCTTTGTAATTCTCCCCACCACCTCCTGCCTGCAAAACATTGCTCCTAACTCCACCGCCTATCCCCAAAACCTATAAGAACTAACGATAATCCTACCACCCTTTGCTGACTCTCTTTTCGGACTCAGCGCGCCTGCACCCAGGTGAAAGAAACAGCCTTGTTGCTCACACAAAGCCTGTTTGGTGGTCTCTTCACATGGACACGCGTGACACCACCAGGATTACCTACCTCTCCCTTGAAGCCATAATTAGGGACATAGGAAACTGAAGTAAAAGAGATACAGGAACAGTGAGTCACAGTCAATTTAATCTATGGAGGGTTAGCAAAGCACATACTGAAGATTCAAAAAAAAAATTCAGCTTTTCTTTTTGCTTTACAATGCTCTTTGTGCTTTTGCTAGCTTATCCCATGAGAAAAAGTCACACTAACACTTTGAAAAAAAACTTCCAACCTTTTCTCTTTTTTTAAAATGTGATTTTTAAAAAACATATAGATAGGGTTTCAGAGGATCATGGCACATGGAAGGCAGGACTAGATTGCAGCTCCAGACAGAGCAGCTTGCGGAGGCTTGCATTGTGAATTTTAGCTCTAGATTGAGTGCAAGAACAAACCAGCAATCCTGAGAGGACCCACAGACCCTCTGAAGAAAGCAAGCTGCTCCTGCAGGACCGAGGAGACACCCCAAATACTGTGAGTGCCCCAACTGCGGACGTGGGAAAGGTAGACCCTCTTCTCCCAAACACACACCCCCACTGGAGAAGCTGAAGGTCTGTTTGTGGGAGGTTTCCAACTTTACCTGGAGCTGAGTCAAGTTAGAAAGCTGAATGAAATACAGGGGTAGAGGAAGCAGCAGAAAGGCCCTGGGAGCTTGCTTGGCCCCCCGAGCAGCCCATTTCTGCTGGCACCACAGGGATCCATTGGGAGGGTGGCCAGAGGAGCAGGGGGTAAAACTCCACAGAGAGAAGGAATTTTCTAGCTGAACTTTGTGACAAATTGAACAGGGTGAGAAGGAAAGTACATGCATATGAAAGTATTTTGAAGCCGTAATTCGTGCCTCGGGGGAGGACACGAATCAGGTGTGCAGACTACAAAGGCGGGGGAAGAACTAAAGCCCTTTTCTCTCGCAGCTGAGAGGAGGATAGCCTCGGGCAAGTTTTCAAGCCTGTCTCGCCCTCTGCCTGGAAATACTCTGGGCTGTTGAGAAGAGGGCACGGTGGAAGTAAGGCCCTTCGGTGTGTGTGGGAGCAGGGTGAGGCCTGTGACTGCCAGCTTAACCCCACTTCCCTGACAACCTGCATGACTCAGCAGAGACAGCCGTAATCCTCCTAGGTACACACCTCCAGTGACCTGGGAATCTTACCCCCATCCCCCACAGCAGCCACAGCAAGACCCACCCAAGGAGAGTCTGAGCTCAGACATGCCTAGCCCCGCCCCCACCTGATGGTCCTTACCTATCCACCTGGTAGCAGAATACAAGAGGCATTTAATCTTGGGAGTTCTAGGGCCCCACCCACTGCTGGTCCCTCTCCACGTTACTATAGCTGATGCTTTCTGGAAAGTGTCACCTCCTGGAAGGAGGCCAACCAGCACAAAAATAGAGCATTAAACCACCAAAGCTAAGGACCCTCACAGAGTCCATTGCACCATCTGCCACCTCCACTGAACAGGCACTGGTGTCCATGGCTGAGAGACCCATAGACAGTTCACATCACAGGATTCTGTGCAGACAACCCCCAGTACCAGCCCGGAGCCGGTGCCTCTAGCAAAACAAAATATTTTCATAATGATTAATGAATAGGTCAATATTCTCATTTTAGTTTCTTTGGTTCAATCAAGGATGTATTTTAACTTCTTTTTCTATTTTGACAATTGTTTAAACGGCTGAATGGAACCTCATTAGAACTTGGTTTCAAATCTAGCTATAAGAATTTGAATTAAAATTGGCCTCAAGTTATTTTTAGTTCCTCCCATCAAGAAGTCTATTTCTCCAACCTGTGACTTTCTTCTGACCATGTAATATGCCTTGACCAGTAGAATACAGAAGTGATTTTGTGCAACTTCTCAGCAGGGCCTTGAGAGGCCTTGAAGCTTCCGTATTTGCATTAGTGAAACAATGAGACCATGTGGACACAGCAGCCTCCACAATAATCAGCATCCATTATCAGACACGTGAGTGAAGTTTTCTTGGACCATTCAACCCCAGGCAAGCAGCTAGATAACTGTAGCCCCAGGTGACCCCAGCAGAAGAACCAACCAGCTAAGCCCAACCTACTGAATATGAGATGTGATAAAAAATATACATACATTTTAAGCCATTTATTTCTAATGATACGTTATACAACAATAGGCAATTATTAAATGGAGTTCACATAAATTTTAGAAACACCCTCAGTGGAATAATTGCCATAAAAATACCTATTTACCTCAATGCTTAGATATAGTTTAGCTACATACTGATAATGGCATCTGAGCCAATGTTTTGGTTGAACTGTCTTAATTGAAAAATACAAGACTATGATTTTATAATCAGGTAAAAAGCACAGATTATAGAACTGGAGGGCAAAGTGTTTTACTAGTTTCTGAGACCAAGAACTAGAAATGGAGCAATTTTTGAGCTCAATTTACCCATATGAAATTACAAATTTTTTTACTCCCTTCAAAGGCAGACAGAACCTAAGGTGGTATTTGTGAATTCCGTCTTTTGTTCACAGTTTCATGCAATCCCCTCTCCTTGACTTGGTGGGGTGGGGGAGGCACTGTGATTTCATCTAATCAATACAATATGGCAAAGGGGATGTATTATCCTACCCATGATTATGTTAAAATATATGAAACTTCATTTTGCTAGCCACTGGCCCTAGAGACTCTCCTTGCTAGATTGCGGTTCTCTGTGTGGACAGGTCAGGTCCTCCATAATACAAAACTTTCTGTAGATGTTTTTTTAATTTACATTTTCCAGCATAATCTTTAATGGTCTGTATAACTTATCTGTCTTTTGGCCCTCCATAATGGTTTGGTAACTCAGATTCAAGTTATAGAAATACCCTTCAGCAATAGATTTAAGTATCTTTGTTTTCAGTGCCAAAACTCAATTGTTGAGTAACATTTCTAGGACTGTGGCTTATCTATCAACCAAAATATTTTTTCTCTGTTGCCATAGATCTCATGCCAACACGGTAAAGTTCTCAAAATCCTCTGAATGCTTTGATTGATTTTAATTACAGTGAGGTCTATTGACATGAAGCTACATATCATTTCCAACAGCAGCATGTTGCCAAATAATAGCAGATATCTCTGAGATCCCAGGATGAGCGGCTTCCAAAAGCACGGCTCATTCAGTAGACTTTTTCTCAATCAACACCTACTCAGGGAGCCTCTTATTGTATCATATTTGAAGATATTCTTCCATTCTCTAGCTCACTTCATTCTCTTCACTGAGTGGCATATCTTTAGCCTTCTGATTTTTTTTTCCAGTTGTGAAATTCTTCTGATTTTTTTTTTTTTTTGAGATTAAGATAACTTACGTATGCTCATCAAGAATATTGGCCTGGAGTTTTGTTTTTTTGTTGTGTCTCTGCTAGGTTTTGGAATGAAGATAACACTGGCCTCAAAGAATGAATTAGGGAGGAGTCTCTCCTCCTCAATTTTTTGGAATAGTTTCAGTAGGGATGGTACCAGCTCTTCTTTACACATCTGGTAGAATTTGGCTGTGAATCTGTCTGGTCCTGAGGTTTTTTTTGGTTGGTAGGCTTTTTACCACTAATTCAATTTTGGGACTTGTTACTGGCCTGTTCACGGATTCAGTTTCTTCCTGGTCCAATCTTGGGAGGTTGTATAGTGTCCAGGAATTTATCCATTTCTGCTAGGATTCTTGTTTATGTGAATAGAGGTGTTAATAGTAGTCTCTGAGGATTTTTAAATATTTCTGTGGGGTTGATGGTAACATGTCCTTTGTCATTTCTTTTTTTTTTTTTTTTTGAGACGGAGTCTCGCTCTGTCACCCAGGCTGGAGTGCAGTGGCGCGATCTCGGCTCACTGCAAGCTCCGCCTCCCGGGTTCACGCCATTCTCCTGCCTCAGCCTCCCGAGTAGCTGGGACTACAGGTGCCCCTTTGTCATTTCTGATTGTATTTATAAGGATCGTCTATCTTTTTTTATTAGTCTAGCTAGCAGTCTCAATCTTATTTATTCTCTCAAAAAAAACAACTCCTGGATCCATTGATCTCTTGTATGTTTTTTTGCATCTCAATTTCTTTCAGTTGAGCTCTGAATTAGGTTGTTTCTTGTCTTCTGGGGTTGGTTTGCTCTTGTTTCTCTAGTTCTTGTAGGTATGGTGTTAGGTTGTTAATTTGAGATGTTTGTAATTTTTTAATGTGGACATTTAGAGTTATAAACTCTGCTCTTGACACTGTATTAGCTGTGTCCTAGAGATTCTGGTATTTTGTATCTTTATTCTCATTAGTTTCAAAAATATTCTGTTTTATTCCTTAATTTAATTGTTTACCCAAAAGTCATTCAGGAGAAGGTTGTTTAATTCCATGTAATGGAATGGTTTTGAGCAATTTTCTTAGTGTCGATTTTAGTTTTTATTGTGCTGTGGTCTGACAGTATGTTTGGTATAATTTTGGTTGTTTTGAATTTACCGAGAATTGTTTCATGGCCAGTTGTGTGTTCGAGTTTACAGTATGTAGATGCAAGTTTGTTTCAATATAGGCAAATCAATAAATGTGATTCACCACATAAACAGAACTACAAACAAAAACCATGTGATCATCTCAATAGATGGCAGAAAAGGCTTTCAATAAGATTCAATATCCCTTCATGTTAAAAACCCTCAACAAACTAGGCATTGAAGGAACATATCTCAAAATAATAAGAGCCATCTGTGGCAAACCCACAGCCAACATCATACTGAATGGGCATTGCCCTTGAGAATCAGCACAAGACAAACATGCCCACTCTTACCACTCCTACTGAACATAGTCCTGGAAGTCCTAGCAAGAGCAGTAAGGCAAGAGAAAGGAATAAAAGGCATCCAAATAGGAAGACAGGAAGTCAAATTATCTCTGCAGACAATATGATTCAACACCTAGAAAACCCCATAGTCTCTGCCAAAAACTCCTAGATCTGATAAATAATTTCAGCCAAGTTTCAAGATACAAAATCAATGTACAAAAAGCAGTAGCATTTCTATACATTAATAATGTCGAAACTGAGAGCCAAATCAAAAATGCAATTCCATTCAAACTTGCCACAAAAAGAATAAAATATCTAGGAATACAGCTAACCAGGGAGGTGAAAGATCTCTAAAATGAGAATCATAAAACACTGCTCAAAGAAATAAGAGATGATACAAACAAGAAAAAGCATTCCAAGCTCATGGATAGGAAAAAGAAATATTGTTAGAACAGTCATACTGCCCAAAGCAATTTACAGATTCAGTGTTATTCCTATCAAACTAACAATGATATTTTTCACATAATTAGGAAAAACCATTTTAAAATGAATATGGAACAAAAAAAAGGGCTCAAATAGCCAAGGAAATCCTAAGGGGGAAACCAACCAACAAACAAACAGAAAAGCTGGAGGCATCACGTTACCTGAATTCAAACTATATTACAAGGCTATAGTAACCAAAACACCACGGTACTGTTACAAAAACAGACACATAGACCAGTGAAACAGAATAGAGAGCCTAGAATTAATGCCAAAACACCTACAACCATGTGATCTTTGACATAGTCAACAAAAACAAGCAATGGGGAAAGGACCGCCTATCAATAAGTGCTGCTGGGATAACTGGCCAGCCATATACAGAAGACTGAAGCTGCACCCCTTCCTTACATTATATACAAAAATTGGCTCAAGATGGATTAAAGACTTAAATGTAAAACCTAAAACTGTTAAAACTCTGGAAGATAACCTAGAAAAGAATATTCTGGACATAGACTCTGGCAAAGATTTCATGACAAAGATGCCAAAAGCAATTGCAACAAAAACACAAATTGACAAATGGGACCTAACTAAACTAAAAATCTTCTGCACAGCAAAATAAACTATCAACAGAGTAAACAGACAACCTATAGAATAGGTGAAAATATTTGCAAACTATGAATCTAACAAAGATCTAATATCCAGAATCTATAAGGAACAAAAAAAAATTTACAAACAAAAGCCAAACAATGCCCTTAAAAAGTGGGCAAAGGATATGAACAGACACTTTTCAAAAGAAGCTATCACTAATCATTAGAGAAATGCAAATCAAAACCATGATGAGATACATTTCACATCAGTCAGAATGGCTACTATTAAACAGTCAAAAAATAATAGATGCTGGCGCGGTTGTGGAGAAAAGGGAACACTTATACACTGATGGAAGAAATATTGTAGAAAGCAGTTTGGCTATTTCTCAAAGAACTCATTTGACCTAGCAATCCCATTATTGGGCATATACTAAAGAAATATAAATCATTCTTCCACAAAGACACATGAACACAAATGTTCATTGCAGCACTATTCACTATAGCAAAAACATGGAATCAATCTAAATGTCCATCAATGGTATACTGGATAAAGACAATGTGGTACATATACACCATATAATACTACGCAGCCATAAAAAGAATGAGATTATGTTCTTTACAGCACCACAGATGGGAGCTGGAGGCCATTATCCTAAGCAAACAAACACAGGAATAGAAAACCAAATACCACACCTTCTCACTTATAAGAGGGAGCTAAACATTGAGTACACATGGACAGAGAGAAGGAAATAATAGACACTCGGTCCTACTTGAGGGTGAAGTGTAGGAGAAAAGAGAGAATTGAAAAATTTCTTATTGGGTGTTATGCTTATTACCTGGATAATGAAAGACTCTGCATACCAAACCCACATGATATGCAATTTACCTATATAACAACCCTATACACGTACCCTGAACCTAACATAAAAATTGAAGAAGAAAACCAAACCATTCAATCAATAAACAAAAAAAAAAGAAAATTCACCAGCAAGACAATTATTATTTAATATTCATACTGCATCAGAGAGTTACAAAGACAGAAATATGTTGAAAGGAAGTAAACATGACCCATTGAGAGCAAATTCATCAGAAGGCTACCATCCCACTATTTCTGGATCATTACAATAACCTTCTCTTGGCAATGGCCATGCCACAAATATCTCTACATCCCTGATTCAAGGCATAATAACTAATACTAGTAGGCAGTCTGTTGTTTCTTGACTTTTGATCAGAAAATGAAAAATTTTCCAGAATGAGGGTTACAGTCTTCTCCAATATGCTATGAGAATTCTGTACTTTCCAACAACAACCATAGGAGTTGAGCCTGGTTTTGTAAAAGAAATCAACCTTGAACAAGATTTGAAATGATGAGTAGGATTGAGAGAGACAGAAGTTTTAGAAAGGATGAAAATGCAGTGAGGTTATAATTGCCTGAAGGAAACTTTAAAAATCTCAATAAGAATTCTAAACTTGATATGAAATAAATGTCTCCTTAAATTTTAGCTTTCCTACAAAGCTTTCATAGCATTCCTGGATGACTTAAGAGCCACTCCTTCATCTGTAATTACTGCATTTTTCATATGATAATATAAATGTCAATTTACTTGCCACTTTCCTCCACTGAATTATAATCAACTCAAAGACAGACATATGTCTTCTTTTGTCAAAAACAAAGGAGTTGGGCCTACAGATAAGAAGATGGGAATACAAGAAAGATGTATGATACTAGAATTTCGAGTTTAAAAAAGCCTCTAATAGCTCCTGAATTTCTATATACTAGCTTGGCTCTTAAGGAAGCCAATCCAATTGTAAGCCTCAGTTGAATTGACTTCCTTTTTGTCATCTAAAAAATAGAGTTAATAACAGCCATCCACTCATCCTCAAGAAATAGTTGTGAAACTCAAAAGAGAAATTGAATGCAAGAGCACTTTATAAAAAGTGTAAAACTATACCAAAGTAACTTTGGTAAAGTGATGCCATTATAAATGCAGTGTTTTGTGAAAATTAATATATTGTGCAAAGGAAAAATAACTCTAGTTTTACAGATGGTCATGAAAATGCTATTTGTAAGTTACAATATTGGAAATAAGCTAAATGATCAATAGTAGAGAGTTGCTTACATATAGGTCTATTTGGACATAAATTAGAGTATTGCATGGCCAAAATAATGGGATAAAATAATTTTAAATTGTAATGAAAGTTAGTAATACTATATGAACAAGTCACAAAATATTGATTTCAAGTGACCTTGTATATATATATATGTATGCACATGTGTGAGCTCACATGTATTTGTGCAAGTGCATGCATGTAAATAAATCTAACAAGATAATATTATAGATTTAAAGAATTTGCAAATCTTTTAAAATGAAGATTCTGTAAATTGCAAGTAACAGAACACATCCTCTCATGTACCATCAGCCAACATTAATTTCATTCCCATGTCCTAGCTTCAGGAGAGTCTGGGAAAGGAAGTAATTATTATTTCAGTTTCTATGTGCAGTGATGACTTTCTCAGAAAAGAAGATGAAAGGGATGACTACTGTGTGAGCAATCAACGTTTTCTGCCCCAAAAATGCAGTGATTGTATAATAAACATTTTACAGAAAGAAAATGAATATAGTAACAGAATATAGCCTGATAAGAGACAGATTGGACCTGGCTAGCCTGGTCTCCACTTCTTCTTTGCACTGGCTGTCTATGTTCTAAAATTGACTCTCTAGAGCAATGAAGTAGAAAGAGTATTGGTAGAGAATTATTGAGGCTTTAGTTACAGCCAACTCTCAACCTCAATTAGCTGGATGACTTGAGGCATAGTGCTTAAGGTTGCTTATTTTCCAATCTATGTAGAGTGAGCATCCCTTCCAGCTTTGGAACATTTGGCTTCTATGAGCATGGAACTATATTATCTTACCCACAGACATTCATATATTCTTTCAATATTTATTTATTCAGGGCACATAGAGTGTTTAGCCACCTTCAGAGGATTATTTGAGGCAAGTAGGAAAAAAGCAAAGTTATGATGTGTTGAGTTATGTGCTAAGGTTTATTAACTAGTTTATATATCACAACAACGTTGTGAAGTTAAAAAAAATTACATTTGTTGTTGTATAGATGAGCAAAGGAGGCCTAGGGAAGTGAAACAATTAGGAAATGGTAGAGAAGCATCTACAACCAGACATATCTTACTCCCAAGCCAATGCTTTCTCCACTAATCATGCTGCTGTGTTTCTGAGCTCCTTTTAAATTGGTAATTTTAAATTCAGAAGGGCATATACTGGATGTCTGTCTTGTTTATCTTATCACATGGGTACTGGAATGTACTAAATAAATATTTAAGGAAGAAAATAAGTAAACAATGAAAGAAGGAAGGTAAGGAGGGAGGGAGGGAGGAAGGAAGGAAGGAAGGAAATTCTGAGGCTTTCTGAGCCATGTAAGCCCCCATCCCCTAACAGAAAAAAAGAAAAAATAGAGAAAAAGAAATTCAGAGGGGGAGAAGAAAAGAAGGAACAGAGTGAAGGAAGAAAAAAAAGAAAAGCAGAGAAGTTTTTAGGAAAGTAATGATTCACATCTTTCTTCAGTAGTAATGGATGGATGAATTGAGGTTGAATTAGTCCCATTGTTCAGCATTTTTCCACATAGGTTTGATGTCAGATTCTTCCTTTTTCTAATGGGGTCTATGGTGGGAGGCCAAGGGAGACTGCTGATTGTATTTAATTATGTTCAAAGAAAGTTACAGAATACTCAGCAGATGTCAGTTTTGCAGCTGGGATCCCATAACAAATGCTGCTCTCCTATCTTGCCTTCCTCATTATTGCACCAAAGCAGGGCCCAGAAAATGCCCAGCAGACATACTGGCTGGGGCTGAGTGAGGAAAGATAACAAATCTTAAGGAAACATGTTGCCTATTATTCCTCATAATGAGAGCTGCCAGAGTGTACATTGAACAGGCCTCTGGCTGATACCAGGACACAAAAGGTCTTAATGCAACCCACACAAGGATGTCATTTGCAATCTGGAGCAACAAAAGAGATGGAAGCCTTGGAAGGTAGGCGGTGTTTCTTGATACTGCATGTCCCAGGGAGGACAAATAACAACCACACAGTTTGCTCTCCCAAGCCCCATAGGCATTCAAAGGAAGCCTGTTGACTGCAATTAGGATGCCCCAGCTTTTAAAAGCCGACACTCAGCAGACAGTAGGCTTCATCATGGGTGACACAATTTGGGTATGTTTCGGATTTACCATGGAAGCAGACTCACTGAAGGAGATGACAAGCAGGAAAACTCTAATGACTTAAAATTCACAGCGGCCCCAAGGGGGTCTCTACTGGTTCCTCCCAGCCAGAATACACTGTTTTACATTTTGTAGAAAGAAAAATGATCCTCATTCTAGTGCTATTAAATTGGCCTACCTAAAAGACTGCCTATACCTGGCTCCCCTACAGTTTAACAGATGATTTATCTCTCTACCTGACGGCTTTCTCTGATGAGTGTGGTCTTAGTATAGACCAAACCAGAAGTCCAGAGAGTTAATGCCCCAAGATTTACCCTTAATGGTTGAAGAGTAAAGCATGTGAATAAAGGCCTCAGCTTCCTCACACTTGGTGGGACGACATTATGGTATGCTCTACATCTCCCAGGGAATCCCAAGCAGAATTGAACCCCAGATGTCACAGGGCTAACCCATTCATTTTGACATCCACTAATTGTTTTCCTCCTGATAGAGTTTAGATATGTGTCCTCTCTAAATCTCAGGTGGAAATAGAATTCCCAGTGTTGAAGGTGGGGCCTTGTAGGAGGTAGTTGGGTCACGAGGGTGGATCTTTTGTGGCTTAGTGCTGTCTGTGCCATAGTGAGTGAGTTCTTATGAGATTTGGTTGTTTAAATGTGTGGCACTCACCCTCCCCCACTTTACTACTGCTTTTGCCATGTGAAGTGCCTGCTCTGGCTTTACCTTCTGCCATGAATGAAAGCTCCCTGAGGCTTCCCCTAAAGCCAAACAGATGATGTTTTGCTTCCTGTACAGACTGCAAAATCATAAGCCAATGAAAGGTCTTTTCTTGAAAATTACCCAAGGTCTGATATTTATTTATAGCAACACAGAAACAGCCTAATATACCTCCTTTCCCTGAACCCCTTCTGCATTCCTTCACTTTGATTCCTGAAATTGCATCCTAAATAAACTACTTGAACCAAAATTCTTGTTTCGGGCTCTGCTTTCAGGAAACCGAATTTAATGAGTTGTTTGGAAGATTTCAGGATCTCCTTTAATGCTGCCATTTAAAAACCTTGGAGGGTTCCCATTTCTACTTATTCCCATTGGAATAAGTAGAAAAATCTCAGGGGAATATCTGTGATTTTTCTTATCATGGTCCTAAGCTAACTTCCAGACTCATGCATAATCTTCATTCTCTACAACACACCAGTTTTACAGTTTTAGAGTACTGCTTATAATTTCATTTTAAGCCATAATAGGCAGACTTCTTTCAATCTTAATTCCTCATTTAGCAAATGTACGTCTTTCTCCTTTACCGTCTCTATGTGCTTTTAACAATTTTTTATTTTATTTTATTTTATTATTATAGTTTAAGTTCTAGGGTACATGTGCAAAACGTGCAGGTTTGATACATAGGTATACATGTGCCATGTTGGTTTGTTGCCCCCATTAACTCGTCATTTACATTAGGTATTTCTCCTAATGATATCCCTCCCCTAGCACCCACCCCTCGACAGGCCCCAGTGTGTGACGTTCCCCGCCCTGTGTCCATGTGTTCTCATTGTTCAATTCCCACCTATGAGTGAGAACATGCGGTGTTTGGTTTTCTGTCCTTGTGATAGTTTGCTAAGAATGATGGTTTCCAGCTTCATCCATGTCCCTACAAAGAACATGAACTTATCATTTTTTATGGCTGCATAGTATTCCATGGTGTATATATGCCACATTTTCTTAATCCAGTCTATCATTAATGGACATTTGGGTTGGTTCCAAGTCTTTGCTATTGTGAATAGTGCCGCAATAAACATATGTGTGCGTGTGTCTTTAAAGTAGCATGATTTATAATCCTCTGGGTATATGCCCAGTAATGGGATTGCTGGGTCAAATGATAATTCTAGTTCTAGATCCTTGAGGAATCGTCACACTATCTACCACAATGGCTGAACTAGTTTACACTCCCAACAGTGTAGAAGTGTTCCTATTTCTCCACATCCTCTCCAGCATCTGTTGTTTTCTGACTTTTTAATTATTGCCATTCTAACTGGTGTGAGATGATAGCTCATTGTGGTTTTGATTTGCATTTCTCTGATGACCAGTGATGATGAGCATTTTTTCATGTGTCTTTTGGCTGCATAAATGTCTTCTTTTGAGAAATGTCTGTTCATATCCTTTGCCAACTTTTTGATGGAGTTGTTTGATTTTTTCTTGTAAATTTGTTTGAGTTCTCTGTAGATTTTGGATATTAGCCCTTTGTCAGATGGGTAGATTGCAAAAATTTTCTCCCATTCTGTAGGTTGCCTGTTCACTCTGATGGTAGCTTCTTTTGCCATGCAGAAGCTCTTTAGTTTAGTTAGATCCCATTTGTCAATTTTGGCTTTTGTTGCCATTGCTTTTGGTGTTTCAGTCAGGAAGTCCTTGCCCATGCCCATGTCCTGAATGGTATTGCCTAGGTTTTCTTCTAGGGTTTTTATGGTTTTAGGTCTAATATTTAAGTCTTTAATCCATCTTGAATTAATTTTTGTATAAGGTATAAGGAAGGGATCCAGTTTCAGCTTTCTACATATGGCTAGCCAGTTTTCCCAGCACCATTTATTAAATAGGGAATCCTTTCCCCATTTCTTGTTTTCATCAGGTTTGTCAAAGATCAGATTGTTGTAGATGTGTGGTATTATTTCTAAGGCCTCTGTTCTGTTCCATTGGCCTATATATCTGTTTTGGTACTAGTACCATGCTGTTTTGGACTGTAGCCTTGTAGTATAGTTTGAAGTTAGGTAGTGTGATGCCTCCAGCTTTGTTCTTTTTGCTTAGGATTGTCTTGACAATGCAGGCTTTTTGATTCCATATGAAATTTAAAGTAACTTTTTCCAATTCTGTGAAGAAAGTTGTTGGTACCTTGATGGGGATGGCATTGAATGTATAAATTACTTTGGGCAGTATGGCCATTTTCACGATATTGATTCTCCTATCCATGAGCATGGAATATTCTTCCATTTGTTTGTGTTCTCTTCTATTTCATTGAGCAGTGGTTTGTAGTTCTCCTTGAAGAGGTCTCTCACATCCCTTGTAAGTTGGATTCCTAGGTATTTTATTCTGTTTGTAACAATTGTGAATGGGAGTTCATTCATGATTTGGCTCTCTGTTTGTCTGTTAATGGTGTATAGGAATGCTTGTGATTTTTGCACATTGATTTTGTATCCTGAGACTTTGCTGAAGTTGCTTATCAGCTTAAGGAGATTTTGGGCTGAGATGATGGGGTTTTCTAAATATACAACCATGTCATCTGCAAAGAGGGACAATTTGACTTCCTAATTTCCTAATTGAATACCCTTTATTTCTTTCTCTTGCCTGATTGCCCTGGCCAGAACTTCCAACCCTATGTTGAATAGGAGTGGTGAGAGACGGCATCCTTGTCTTGTACCAGTTTTCAAAGGGAATGCTTCCATTTTTTGTCTATTCAGTATGATATTGACTGTGGGTTTGTCACAAATAGCTCTTATTATTTTGAGATATGGTCTATCAATACCTAGTTTATTGAGAGTTTTTAGCATGAAAGGCTGTTGAATTTTGTCGAAGGCCTTTTCTGCATCTATTGAGATAATCATGTGGTTTTTGTCTCTGGTTCTGTTTATGTGATGGATTATGTTTATTGATTTGCATATGTTGAACCAGCCTTGCATCCCAGTGATGAAGCTGACTTGATCATGGTGGATAAGCTTTTTGATGTGCTGCTGGACTTGGTTTGCCAGTATTTTATTGAGGATTTTCACATCAATGTTCATCAGGGATGTTAGTCTAAAATTCTCTTTTTTTGTTGTGTCTCTGACAGGTTTTGGTATCAGGATGATGTTGGCCTCATAAAATGAGTTAGGGAGGATTCCCTCTTTTTCTATTGATTGGAACAGTTTCAGAAGGAATGGTACCAGATCCTCTTTGTACCTCTGGTAGAGGTATTTGTGTAGAGCTGTTTATAGTATTCTCTGACGGTAGTTTGTATTTCTGTGGGATCGGTGGTAATATCCCCTTTATCATTTTTTATTGCGTCTATTTGATTCTTCTCTCTTTTCTTCTTTATTAGTCTTGCTAGCACTCTATCAGTTTTGTTGATCTTTTCAAAAACCAGCTCCTGGATTCATTGATTTTTTTGAAGAGTTTTTTGTGTCTCTATCTCTTTCAGTTCTGCTCTGATCTTAGTTATTTCTTGCCTTCTGGTAGCTTTTGAATTTGTTTGCTCTTGCTTCTTTAGTTCTTTTAATTGTGATGTTAGGATGTCGATTTTAGATCTTTCCTGCTTTCTCTTGTGGGCATTTAGTGCTATAAATTTCCCTCTACACACTGCTTTAAATGTGTCCCACAGATTCTGGTATGCTGTGTCTTTGTTCTCATTGGTTTCAAAGAACATCTTTATTTCTGCCTTCATTTTGTTATTTACCCAGTAGTCATTCAGGAGCAAGTTGTTCAGTTTCCATATAGCTGTGTGGTTTTGAGTGAGTTTCTTAATCCTGAGTTCTAATTTGATTGCACTGTGGTCTGAGACAGTTTGTTGTGATTTCTGTTCTTTTACATTTGCTGAGGAGTGCTTTACTTGCAATTGTGGGGTCAATTTTAGAATAAGTGCGATGTGGTGCTGAGAAGAATATATATTCTGTTGATGTGGAGTGGAGAGTTCTGTAGATTTCTATTAGGTCTGCTTGGTGCAGAGCTGAGTTCAAGTCCTGGATATCCTTGTTAACCTTCTGTCTGGTTGATCTGTCTAATATTGACAGTGGGGTGTTAAAGTCTTCCATTATTAATTGTGTGGGAGTCTAAGTCTCTTTGTAGGTCTCTAAGGCCTTGCTTTATGAATCTGGTTGCTCCTGTATTGGGTGCATATATATTTAGGATAGTTAGCTCTTCTTGTTGAATTGATCCGTTTACCATTATGTAATGGCCTTCTTTGTCTCTTTTGATCTTTGTTGGTTTAACGTCTGTTTTATCAGAGACTAGGATTGCAAACCCTGCTTTTTTTTTGCTTTCCACTTGCTTGGTAGATCTTCCTCCATCCCTTTATTTTGAGCCTATGTGTGTTTCTGCACGTGAGATGGGTCTCCTGAATACAGCACACTGATGGGTCTTGACTCTTTATCCAATTTGCCAGTCTGTGTCTTTTTATTGAGGCATTTAGCCCATTTACATTTAAGGTTAGTATTGTTATGTGTGAATTTGATCCTGTCATTATGATGTTAGCTAGTTATTTTGCCCGTTAATTGATGCAGTTTCTTCATAGCATCGATGGTCATTACAATTTGGCATGTTTTTGCAGTGGCTGGTACCGGTTGTTTCTTTCCATATTTAGTGCTTCCTTCAGGAGCTCTCTTGTAAGGCAGGCCTGGTGGTGACAAAGTCTCTCAGCATTTGCTTGTCTGTAAAGGATTTTATTTCTCCTTCACTTATGAAGCTTAGTTTGGCTGAATATGAAATTCTGGGTTGAAAATTCTTTTCTTTAAGAATGTTGAATATTGGCCCCCACTCTCTTCTGGCTTGTAGGGTTTCTGCCAAGAGATCCACTGTTAGTCTGATGGGCTTCCCTTTGTGGGTAACTCGACCTTTCTCTATGGCTGCCCTTAACACTTTTTCCTTCATTTCAACCTTAGAGAATCTGATGATTATGTGTCTTGTAGTTGCTCTTCTCAAGGAGTATCTTTGTGGTGTTCTCTGTATTTCTTCAATTTGAATGTTGGCCTGCCTTGCTAGGTTGGGGAAATTCTCCTGGATAATATCCTGAAGAGTGTTTTCCAACTTGGTTCCATTCTCCCCATCACTTTCAGGTACACGAATCAGTCATAGATTTGGTCTTTTCACATAGTCCCATATTTCTTAGAGGCTTTGTTCATTTCTTTTTACTTTTTTCTCTAACCTTGTCTTCTTGCTTTATTTCATTTATTTGATTTTCAATCACTGATATCATTTCTTCCATTTGATTGAATTGGCTATTGAAGCTTGTGCCTGAGTTACGAAGTTCTTGTGCCATGGTTTTCAGCTCCATCAGGTCATTTATGGTCTTCTCTACACTGTTTATTCTAGTTATCCATTCAGCTAATCTTTTTTCAAAATTTTTAGCTTCCTTGCGATAGGTTCGAATATCCTCCTTTAGCTCAGAGAAGTTTGTTATTACCGACCTTCTGAAGCCTACTTCTGTCAACTTGTCAAAGTCATTCTCCATTCAGCTTTGTCCTGTTGCTGGCAAGGAGCTACAATCCTTTGGAGGAGAAGAGCTGCTCTGATTTTTAGAATTTTCAGCTTTTCTGCTCTGGTTACTCCCCATCTTTGCAGTTTTGTCTACCTTTGGTCTTTGATGTTGGTAACCTACAGATGGGGTTTTGGTGTAGATGACCTTTTTGTTGATGTTGATGCTATTGCTTTCTGTTTGTTAGTTTTCCTTCTAACAGTCAGGTCGCTCAGCTGCAGGTCTGTTGGTGTTTGCTGGAGGTCCACTCCAGACGCTGTTTGCCTGGGTATCACCAGCGGAGGCTGCAGAACAGCAGATATTGCAGAACAGCAAATATTGCTGCCTGATCCTTCCTCTGAAAGCTTTATCCCAGAAGGGCAGCTGCCTGTATGAGGTGTCTGTCAGCCCCTACTGGGAGGTGTCTCCCAGTTAGGCTACATGGGGGTCAGGGACCCACTTGAGGAGGCAGTCTGTCTGTTCTCAGAGCTCAAAGGCCATGCTGGGAGAAACACTACTCTCTTCAGAGCTATCAGACAGGGATGCTTAAGTCTGCAGAAGTTGTCTGCTGCCTTTTGTTCAGCTTTGCCCTGACACAGAGGTGGAGTCTAGAGGCAGTGGGCCTTGTTGAGCTGTGGTGGGCTCCACCCTGTTCGAGCTTCCCGGCCGGTTTGTTTACCTACTCCAGCCTCAGCAATGGTGAACACCCCTCCACCTCGCAGTTCAATCTCAGACTGCTGTGCTAGCAGTGAGCAAGGCTCTGTGGGCATGGGACCCACCGAGCCAGGCACAGGAGAGAATCTCCTTGTCTGCCAGTTGCTAAGACCTTGGGAAAAATGCAGTATTTGGGCGGGAGTGTCCCATTTTTCCAGGTAGTCTGTCACAGCTTCCCTTGGCTAGGAAAGGGAAGTCCCCCGACCCCTTGCGCTTCCTGGGTGAGGTGACGCCCCGCCTTGCTTCAGCTTGCCCTCCATGGGCTGCACCCACTGTCTAATCAGTCCCAGTGAGATGAACCAGGTAACTCAGTTGGAAATGCAGAAATCACCTGTCTTCTGCATCAATCACGCTGGGAGCTGCAGACTGGAGCTGTTCCTATTCGGCCATCTTGGAACATCCCCTTGTTTATGTGCTTTTTTATGACTCCATGAAACTTTTTATGCTTCCACTAATACAGTGGGGTTCTCTTTCTCTAAGCCCCTATAACCTTTTGAGGGTATCTCTGTTAAAAATATTTACAGCTTTCACCATTAGACTTATGAGCAATTCAGAGTAAACATTGTCTTTTTTTCTTATCTCTGTACTCTCCATTTCTATCACAGTACCTGATACTTAAGAGATGCTCAACCAAACTGTGTTGCTTCAATAAATGAATACAGCAATGAAATCATTGTGCTGCATTTTCATTATTTAGGTTTAGTGATTTTGATACTTTCTTCTCCCATGTTAGGTAAGGGGAGATAAGAGAATTTTCTGTCCCAAGTTATCTAGTAAGTGAGTAATGCTTCTAAGGGTTATGTAAAATATAAGATATTATAATTTACCAGATGGGGCACTCAGTTGAAATTTTAGTTTATATCATCTTTTTATAGTACATATTTCAATTTTAATATACTCCATACTTGTAAACAACACAGAGAAGGGGTGATGACTAAGGCAGTAAGCTTGGTGAGGGGAACCTGTTGAAACAGCAGGAGATTTGAAACAATGGGACCTAAATTCAGTTTTTGTTTTGCTAAAGTCTCATTCAATTGAGATTTCTGTTTCTGTATCTATAAAAATGAAGATAATATTCAACCTACAGTACACTTCGAGGCTTTTAATAAAATATTATATGTAAATGTACTTTATAAGATGTTACGTGACTATACGTGTGTCTATATATACATATGTTTATGTATTTATAATTCTAATTTTAATGACAAATATTGTATGTGACATAAGATTTCAGAAGCCAAAATGCATATGACAAAATGCAATCTAGAGATACAGAGCTTGATATGAAGCCGGAAAATCAGGTTAGAATTTTGCCTTTGTGCTAAATCTGAAATAAGTGAGAACATATTCTAATTTCAAAGACTTCTGAAGAAATAAACATTTCCATTGCTCAGATGTCTTCAAAATTTTCATGGAGAAATATAGACACTTTACCTGAATATATGAAGCAATATCATCATGTGTATATTTTGAAAACAGGCAGGAAGAAATTCCTGTGATCAAGACAGCCCATATACACTTTTCTTATTCTAATAAAAATCAGTCCCATGACTGACACTTGATATCTTCTTCACTCTCACAGAATTATTCAAGTTGTTTCCCAGAGTGTTGCAAAATTTGATGCTTCTGGTTGTGATTATTTCCAGGAAGAGGAATTGTTCCTAAAAGAGAATGTGCCAGCAGTGATATAGGTCATGTGGAATTGTGCAACCCCACACACTAGCCAGAATGGAATATTTGTCTGCATATTCAGCAGTTAGGATTTATGGGGTCCTGTGTGTCATATGTCTGCTCAAGGTTTAGTGATGCAATGGGATGGGGCAAACAGAAAAAATCCTGCGAGTGATGGGTGCAGGAAACAGAGCAGCCATAGGTACCAGAAGAAAGTCCAGTCCACCCAACATAACCCCCAATGCAAAGGATTAATGACAAAATGGTACTCAGAAGGTATTTATTATGAGGTATGGGTTGGGGGAAGCGTACCTAGAGGCATCCCTAGTGAGGGATGGGAGCCTGAAGCAAATGATAGGAATCAAAGTAGCTGGTAGGTATCAGGGAAATCTATGACTGGCTAAAAATGCCTCCGGCATTAGACAAAGAGCCAGGGCCAGAACTTCAGTTCCTGGCAACTGGTTTGAAAAAAATAAAGCTAGATCCCAGTTTTAGAGGTATGGGACCCCAAATAAATTTCCCAAATAAAAAGCCAAGTACGAAGAACAACATAGGGATCTGGTTAGTAAATATTAAGTTACAAATGTGAATCACGTTGCAGAAATAGGGTAAAACTGAGTACACAATCAAAGATTGTGGGTAAGTCTCAGGATTGGTTATGCAATTATATGCAAAAAGTAGCAGCCAGGCAGGGACTTATATTGTGCATATTACTATATGAAAATAATAATTGTCTATCAATAACTACAGAATCATCAGAGCATAAGGCATTTTATGTGCCTCCCTTATCCATCTTTCAAAATCACTTTCTTTGAGAAACCAGGCCTCCAATATACTGCATCCTTCTTTTAGGAAGAGTATTTTATTTTCTCTACAGTTTTGGGATTAGATCTCTGTCAGTGATCTTGCCTTGAAGGCTAAAGTGATGACTTGTTCAAGTTTCATGGTGGAAATTATCCTTTCTCAAATCCAACTACATTCCAGCTGGCAAATAGCACTGACTATCTCAAAACCCAAACATCTGGAAGAAGGTTTGAATTGGCTATCTCCCTGCCTCTTATGTCTGAAACCTTTCTTAGATAGTAGGTTACAAAACATGTTTTAGGCTGAACAAGATCAATATATGTATTTTTTAACAACCAAATCTCAGAAGTAACATAAACTAGACCAAATAAGATAAGAAGGCACAACAGACATTGTTGTTTTAATTTATTTAAACATTGTATATCAGTTCCAATGTTAAGATCAATGGCACTATGGAAAGATGATCAATAAACTGTATGTTTTGATCCTACAGAGACCAAACTAACAATTCACTTACTTATGATCAACTATTGGTTAGTCAGTAATTTGATGGTTCAGTTGTCCAAAGTCTAATCTGAATGGAGTTGCTGTCTGGACATTATGTAGATCCAGGGATTGGAAAGAAAAATTGAAATTAACATGCTCACATTTAAATTTGACTTTTATTCTTTAATGATTTCTTTCTAAGGTTTTGTAGAAAATATTACTGCAAGAAAACTCTCAGTTTGAGTCTCTAGTCTCTATTGAATTGTTTACTTACTCTGTGAACACAATCTCCTTATGTTTTCTGGTTCTTGATTTGTTTCTTTATCTGGAAAATGTAGATAGTGACAACTATTGCTAGTTTTTCTGTAATGATTACAAAAGATAATGTATATAAAGATGTGCTGAACAGTAGACACTCATTACGTGACAGTTATTTTATCATAGTTATTAATATTAATAGTTATTATAATAATAGTATTAATATTAAGCTGTGAAGCAGAGATCAGACTGGCGCCATACATCAAGATCTGCAAGAACCCTTGCCTAAAATGATGCGGGTTCACAATGCCCAGTCTGTAGTAATTAGTGAAAGAAGTCAGGAGACAGTTGACATCAGTGACAGTAAAATGTGTTCCTTTGGATACATCTGGAACTCAGCTGTGGAAAAGTCCATTCCCTTCCTTTCTTTTAAGGACACCCACATAAATATCAGACAAGGACTATCCAATGTTCTTTTTCCAGTTCTCATATGGCGGCAAATCTTTGCTAGAAGCTTCCTGCTGAAGTTCCCAAATCTGTTTGCCTGTTTCCTGCTGGGAAAATATATTTGATAATATCCCCCACTGTTTGGAATTCTTTTTCTTATTCCAGCCACTCTGAGAGTCAGTGTTTGAAGGGCTAGAAGATTAATGGTAGCTAATTTCCTCTAAAATTCTTTACTTGTAATTAAATTTAATTATCATGTATGATGATTTTATGAGAAATAAAAATTACTCATAATGCAAATTTATATTCCCAAACAACTATGGAAATATTTGTTTGGGAATAAAACTATATTGAGTTTTAATATATTAAAACTAATAAAAATATTGAGAACTAATATAAAATGTATATCTTTCTGTACTCTTTCCACATCAATTTTTAAATAGATAAAATATTCTTTTCTTCTTTATTCTTTCAATTTCTCTGCAATTGTAAATTCATTGACTTATTCAACAAATGTTTATGAGTGACTAATCTCCTCAGGTGCTATTTTGTTGTCTTTTTCTCTTCTAAGAAACAATAACAAACAAGACACAAACCCTAATCCTGTCCTCATGAATCTTAGAATCTAGCAAAGGAAATAGAAATGAAAAATGAAACAATAAATCAACCTAATACTGGGGGAAGAATATTTTTTATTAAAGTCAGGGAGTCAAGAAGTGTCAGAGGAAGGTGTCAGGTGGAAGTCAGAAGTGACTTTCTGGTGGAGAGAATGTATTTATTTACATAAATACCTTGGTGACCTTTCTTAGTATGAAAAAACATACCCTCAGAGTGATATGCTGGATGTATTGAATGGTTCTTAAACCTGGCTATATATTAGAATAATCTAGGTAAATTAAACAACAATAAAGACCACAACAAAAACTGATGACTGAGCTGTACTCCAGAACTTCTGATTTTATTGCTTTGGTAGGACCCTAACACTGGCATTTTTGTAAGACTCACCGGATGTTTCAAATGGTTAACTATGATGGAAAACCACTAGACAAAGAATGAGCAAGAAAAAAAAAAGAAAACATGAGAGGAAAATAAGTCGGTGGAGTTGATGAAAAGGTAGAAGAGGCTGAGGGTAGATCAGATGGCTGAGAGAGTTTTAAGGCCAGGTGAATCTAAGAGTATATTTAATTTGCTGTGTTGCAGTGTGAAGAAGCTCCACCCCTACTACCATCACTACCACTACCCTCAACTTTTCAGCAAAGTCTGGATCACACTAGCTAGTATTCTGTTCAGGAAACGATTAGCCTTTATATCCTATGAGGATGAAGGAGTTGCAAAAATGGGTCAGAATGTACAGACAACAAGATGTAGCAACAACTTGCATGCAGCTATTTAGAGATTTGGATACAGGAGTTATAAAGAAATTTAAGTTTCTTATTAATTTCTAAAACATTTAGAATATTGTGGACTTCTATGTGTAGAGTGAAAGTTCAACCCATTTATATTAAAATACTACAGAAAGTCATGACCCTATAATTCCAAAGGACTTGGGCAATGCCAGGGAGCTGGCATCTACTTTACCTATAAGCAATTAACCAGATTGCATTACCTGGAAATGAGTGCTGGAAATGAGTGCTAAGAGTTTATGTAGTGGGATTAGGTCAGAAAGAACTTCCCAGGGAAAACAAAATTTGATCCTAGACTGGGCAAAATCCTTGCAATGAGAAACGTGTGTGTGTGTGTGTGTGTGTATGTGCATGTGTGTGTGCAGCAAGGAACTAAATAAATATGATAAAACATTAAAAGCTATAAAGAACAGAGCAAAGGTAGGATACAATATAAAGGTTAAAAAGAAGAAACTTCCAACCATCTATGATACCTACACACACACACGCACTAAACATTTTAATCAAACCATACCTATTAAAAAGTCATCTTTGTATCGCATTATTTCATACCTATGAGTAAAGAGATTAGTCTAGATCATTTCTGAAAATCCAGATATAGGAGTGATATGGTTTGGTTCTGAGTCCCTGCCCAAATCTCATGTCAAATTGTAATTCCCAATGTTAACGGTGGGGCCTGGTGGGACGTGATTGGGTCATGCGGGTAGATTTCTCATGAATGGTTCAGCACCATCCCCTTGGTGCTGTTCTCAAGATAGTGGGTGAGTTCTTGTGTGATCTGGTTGTCTAAAAGTGTGTGGCACCTTCTCCTTTGCTCTCTTGCTCCTGCTCCAGCCACATGACATGCTGGCTCCCTCTTCCCTTTCCACCATGACTGTAAGTTTCCTGAGGCCTCAGAAGCTGAGCAGATGCCAGCATCACACTTTCTGTGCAGCCTATGGAACCATAACCAATTAAACCTCTTTTCTTTATAAATTACCCAGTTTCAGGTATTTCTTTATAACAATGTGAGAATGGCCTAACACAAAGAGAAAGCTTAGCACAGTGGTTAAGAGCATAGGCTCTGACATGTGTCTGATTGGGCACACATCCTGAATTTAATAGTGACAGGCTAGGGGACAGTGAGTGATTTGCCCTTTCTGTGCCTTGGTTTCTATAGCTGAAGAGGAGAATAATAATGCTAGCCCTTCAAAATATTTAGGAGAGATTGACATAAAACATATATTATGTGCTCATTTTAGGCCATTAATATCAAGATTATGTTAGCATGTGATTATATCATGTATAATAGTAAATTTTTTAATTATTATCCTCTAACGAGTACAAGGTGTTCTGTATAAGGTAACATATGTTGACTAAAAAATACTGTCATCATGTTAGCCAGGATCCCCTAGTTATGGCATATGGACAGGAAGAATTTAGCACACTTTTAGCCCCAGGTGTTCTCATTATTTTTTTACTGAATCAATTATTCCAGTGTTTGTTAAGCTCATGTTTGTGAAAAATTCTCCTACGTGTTGAAGGCACCACAGTAATGAATTGCAAATAGCTCCTCCCTTTAAGGCACTTGCAAGCTGAAGTGTGAACTGCAGAGGTATAAAATTACCAAATTATAAACTAATACATAGGTAAATGGCTTAAGAAAGCTAAAATAAATGAAGTCAAATCTCACAGTCGGAAAAACAAGGAGTGATTACATTCTGGTAAACTATAGTAAGTAAGACTTTAATGTTTTTCTTTTAAAATGAACTTCTGGAAAACTTTGTTCTACTGTTAATACCTGGGGACTCTAATCTCGGCCCAGAAATAATTTAAACAATATTGTACTTTGAGAATTAAGCAATAAATCAACTTTTTTGACAGGAGAAAACATATGACCAAATTAGTTCAAAGTAGTGTAATAGCAGATATAAACACAGAATAAGTGGATCAGAAGAATTATAAGAAAAGAGGGCAAAAATATGTAGTGGAAATAAACACAGTGTAGAAGCAGAGGTGAATCCTTAGCCTTTGCTTGGACTTTGAGTTTTTTTGATCCTTGTTATAAAGCCACTCTAAATCTGCAAATGCAGATAGCATTGTGACGATGATCTTAGTTAAAGCTGTCCTATCTCATGTCTGTCCCTATTGCCAAGAACATCACTGTTGTGTGATGCACCATTTGACATATGAATCATCCAACTCCCCACATCTGCTTCCAGGTTCATGAAGCAATCTCCTGATTAAAATTTGGCTTCCTATGTACATCTGCCTTCAGGGACTCAAGGTGCTGATTTTATAGACTTTGAGTAGGTTCAGTTCTCATAAAACTATGCAGTAGCCTCTGATTACTGTCTGGCATCTTGTTTATCTTGACTACATGAAGAAAATAAATTGGTTGCGTGAAATTAAGTATGTCTCATTGCATGACAATGATTTCTCATTGTAAATGAAAAATTTAATGTTTTTACACATTTGTCTTATGATCTTGGTTAATTTTAATCCAGCCCAATAGATCTTGTGTGATGACAAAATTAGATATACAAGCCTATAACAGAGCAATGCTGAAACATGATACATTCAGAGTATATATACTTTCCTGGAAGAAATGACATGCCACCATTTGGCTGCTGTGACAAGATGGTGATGTTGCTTATGAAGATCTTCTTTCATCTGAAACTTTAGTTTAGTTCTACCTAGTTTGATAATTTTTTAGCCATCCCCAAAATAGTAAATAAAAGCCACTTTATTTATTGAAACAAATAAGGTAGTTTATTTGTTGGAACACCAGGCAATGTCCTGTAATAAACTGACTCCTAACTACAGTGGCTTAAATAAGATAAAAAATCATTTCTCTCAGATGTAGAGCCCCCAGTTAGGTGGTTGGTCAAGTATGGGTAGATTTTCCCACTCGACAAGGTTATGCAAGGATCCAGGCTTCTGCAGTGACTCTGCTATCCTCAAAATGTGGCTCACATTTCTGGATTCATGAAGGCTGGCTCTACTGTCGCCATTTACGCATTTCTATGGAGGTGGGAAGTGAGGAGAGAGAAAATTTACAGTGAGCAACCAAGTAGTTGTGTGACATTAAGCTACATGTACCTTTCTAAGACTCAGTTCCTACTTTAGGATGATGAAAAGTATACATACTACATCATTAGATCTTTGTGAGGATTAACTAAGTTAATTCATGCATATATTTTATTAACACAGAGTACTTAGCTAAATAGTGGGAACCACATGAGTTATTATTAACCTTACTTTATTGTTTTGAAATGGGGCTAATAATTATAGTTATCTCACAGGTTCAAATCAGAGAATGGGCATGTATTACTGAGTTATAAAGTAATAATGAGGTTTGGACTTTTTATTGTTATTTTATATTTAGAAAAGCTATTTTAATATCTTCAGGGTTTCATCAGATATGGTATTTGTTTTCTCTTTTTTTGAATTTCTTCTTTGCAACAAATTAATTATTGCTTCTTAACACTTTGCTTCTCTCTCTGTCTCTCTATGTCTCTTTCTCTGTGTGTGTGTCTCTCTCTCTCTCACACACACACACACACAGACACAGTTGCTTTGTATATAGGTAAAATAGATATCTCAGAATTCCTCTAAAAATAATTACAATTAGGAATAAACTGAAGACTGATATGATTCTTAAGACCACCAGTATGGCAAATGTAGTCAGGAAAATTGCCCTGGAAATTCTAGAATTGGGGGGGAATTGCCAAAATGGCATTTGATTGCATTTTGCTTTTTACTTATTGTTGATTCAACAAGTATTTATTAAGTATCTACAATGAGCCCACATTTGTGCATAGCACTGGAAGCACTCCAACCCTTGCCCTGTTGGAGTGTATCTGGAAAGGATACAAGGAGAGAATAACACATGCAAATGTCAAATGGGAAATGTGAAATGGTGACACTAAAGAAATTCTATGTACATTCTATTCCATCGCACCATGAAGGCGAGTACGTATCAGACACGGACTCTGGTTTTAGGGACAACTCTACTAAAGAAGGAAAACTGAGCAGAAATCTTTGTTTGTTTAAAGAATCCAAGGGAGGGGTGAAGAAGTGTCCCAGATGATGGGCTTATGGTTGACTCCCAGGCTGCATATCGTCTAGGTTTTTATCTGTGGTTATTTATATATAATTTCACATTAAACTACATATATAATTACATAGTCTATCCTGTAGCCTGGATGATAGACAACATTTATAAATACAGGACCTTGGTTTCTTCACTTATAAATTGTGGAGTTACACAAAGTGTTTTCTCAATTCTCTTTCAGAATTAAAGTCCAAAAACTTACGACTCTATAAGTCTTTACAGATCATGCAAAAAATTTTATACTGGAATAACAACACAAGTTAGATTAATTTTTCATTAATAACAAATTTAAGCCTTAATAAGATTGTTCGGTTATTATTAACATCTGATTATCAAGCTAAATCAAAATTTTCCAAAATGTCTATATATTATATCCTGTTCTCACATCCTAATTTTCCATATAACTGCAACAGTGCCTAGTAGTAGAACCAATATATGAGTAATAATTAGTACAATAAAAACAAAATAATTTTAACATAGACAAATATAAATGAAATATATTTATCAGAAATATAAAACTAAGAACACAATTTTAATTAGTTATGTATTAAAAGCACCTAACACCCATAATGATAATTCTTGAGACTTCAGCAGAATTGAAAATAACGTAAATTATTTTGGGTAAGGTAGGGTAAACAACATTTTGTAGAAGGCTATTTTCATAGACTGTCTCAGATCTCTTCACAATTCAATGGAGTATGTATTATTATTACTTATTTTAAAGGTATGGAGATTTCATCCTGATAGATTACTATCTAGCACAATATAATGCTAATAATCATGGATTTGAATTCTTGAATTGAATCGATAGCTATCTGATTTAAGTAACTTCTTTCCATCAAATTCCTGTTTTGCAACCTATATCTACATTCTAAAATTCCAATCTTATTTCAATTATTTCCTTTCCACTAAAGGATTTCATTTTCCTCTCTTAGGAAAAAGCATTTTCAGAAAAGGAAACAAAAACTTATAATGAAATCTAAATGTCTGCAACCAGAAAAGCAATCAAGCAGACTTGTCTTGGAATTAGCACCTTTACCTAAAAATTTAAGTTTTATTAATAAAAATCTCAATACTCCCATTTCAGAAGACCAGAAGGATGTCTGCATAACATCAGTTCATGTTGGCATACTTAAAGCCTTCCCCCTTGGACAACTGCTCAATCAGATGTGCAAAACCTCACAAGATCCACCAAGAAAAGTACCCAACCCATCTCCCTTAAGTTTAACCTTCAATTTGTTAACTTACATTAATATATCATCACCTGAAGACCATCGTTTAAATTAGGGTTCCATCTTGCTGTCGCACATTTTATGGATTTGGACAAATGTATAATGACATGTATCTATCATTACAGAATCATACAAAGTAGTTTTCACTGACCTAAAAATTCTCTGTGCTCAGCCTTTCTTTCCCACTAACCCTTTGCAACTGCTGATCTTTAAGCTGTTTTCATAGCTTTGCTCTACTTAGTTAATGAGAATGTCATATTCCCATTAATGAGAATGTTGGAATCAAGCAACATGTAGCCTTTCGGGACTGGCTTCTTTCGTTTAGTAGTATGTACTTAAGCTTCCTCCATGTCTTCTCATGGCTTGATAGCACCTTTCTTTGTAGTGCTGAATAAGATTCTATTGTCTAGATGGACCACAGTTAATTTATTAATTAACCTACTGAAGGAAATCTTGGTTGCTTCTAAATTCTGGCAATTATCAATACATCTTTTATAAACATTTATGTGCAGGGTTTTTCGTGAACATAAATTTTCAACTTGTTTGGGGAATGTGCCAAGGAGGGTGATTTCTGGATTGTGTAATAAGACTATGTTTAGTTTTGTAAGAAATTGTCAAACCATCTTCCAACAACACTGTAGCACATTGCTTTCCTACCTGCAGTGAATGAGAGTTCCTGTTCCTCCATACCCTTGACAGCATTTGATGTTGTCAGTGTTCTAAACTTTGGGTATTTTTAATAGCTGTATAGTGATATCTAATTGCTGTTTTAATTTGTGTTTCCCTTATAACATAGATGCAGAACATATTTTTATATAATTATTTGCCATCTTTGTGTCTTATTTGCTGAGGTGCCTGTTAAAAGTTACTGACCAGTTAAAATTATTGTGGTTACATAATACGTGTGTATATTTGTGGGATACATGTGATGTTTTGATACAGGAATAAAATGTGTAATGATCAAATCAGAAGAGTTGGGGTATCCCTCACCCCAAGGACTTATCCTTTCTTTGTGTTGTTAAAAGAAAACTTCAGACAAATTAAATTTAACAGAGTTTAATTGAGCAAGAAAAAAAAAAAAAGACTTGCAAATCAGGCAGCCTCCAGAATCACCGCAGATTCAGAGAGACTCCAGGGATGCCTCATGGCTAAAACAAATGTATAGACCAAAAAGGGAAAATTACGTACAGAAATCAGAAGTGAGTTACAGAAACAGCTGGATTGGTTACAGGTTGGTGTTTGCCTTATTTGAACATAGTTTGAACACTCAGCAGTGTATGAGTGGCTGAAGTATGCCTGCTTGGATTGGCCAAGACTCAGCTATTGTTAGAGATGCATACTCCTAAGTTAGGTTATCAGTCTTGTCTACCTATTAAGTTAGGTTACAATTGGTTCACAAGGATGCAAATATAGAAGTACGAAGTCCTTCTCAGGCCATATTTAGTTCGCTTTAATAGTGTTAAGAACATTCTAATTCCACTTTTTCAGCTATTTTTAAATATACAATATATTATTGCTAACTATAGACACCCTATTATGCTACTGAATACTAGATTTTATTCATTGGCCAATTTTTTAAATGAATTGTTTCTTTGCTTATTGTTGAGTTCTAAGAGTTTTTGGTATATTTTGGATAACAGTCCTGTATCATACATGCAAAAGCCCTTTGTTAATATTTTCTCTCAGTCTGTGGCTGTCTTTTCATTCTCTTGACAATGTGGGGGTGTTTGTTTGTTTGTTTGTTTTTGAGTCAGGTTCTCACTCTGTCACCCAGGCTGGAGTGCAGTGGTAGTCAGGCTCACTGCAACCTCCACCTCCTGGATTCAAGTGATCCTCCTGCCTCAGCCACCCAAGTAGTTGGGATAACAGGTGTGTGCCACCATGCCTAGCTAATTTTTGTATTTTTAATAGAAATGGGGTTTCACCAAGTTGGCCAGGCTGGTCTCAAACTCCTGACCTCAGGTGATCCTCCCGCCTTGGCCTCCCAAAGTGCTGGGATTACGGGCATGAGCCACCACATCCGGCTTGACAGTGTCTTTGGCAGGGCAGAACATTTTATTTATTTTATTTTATTTTATTTATTTATTTTTTCTGAGATGGAGTCTCAGTCGCGCAGGCTGGAGTGTAATGACACGATCTTGGCTCACTGCAACCTCTGCCTCTCGGGTTCAAGCGATTCTCCTGCCTCAGCCTCTGGAGTAGCTGGGACTACTGGCGCCCGCCACCATACCCGGCTAATATTTGTATTTTTAGTAGAGACAGGGTTTCACCATATTGGCCAGGCTGGTCTCGAACTCCTTACCTAGTGATCCGCCCACCTCGGCCTCCCAAAGTGCTGGGATTACAGGCGTGAGCCACCATGCCTGGCCAGGGCAGAACATTTTAACGTCAGTGTGAAGGCCAGCTTATTAGTTCTTTCTTTCATGGGTCATATTTTTTTATGTCATATCTAAAAAGTCATCACAAAGCCCAAAGCCACTCTATAGTTTTCTACTACACTATCTTCCAGGACATTTATAGTTTTGCTTTTTACCTGTAGGTCTGTGTTCCATTTTGAGTTAATTTTTGTATACGAAGCCTCTATCTAAATTCTTTTTTTCTTTTTTTGCACGTGGATGTCCAGTTGTTTCAGCATCATTTGATGAAAAGATTGTCAACTTTGTCCCTTTGTCAAAGATCACTTAACTACGTATGTGGGTCTATTTCTGGGCTCTCTATTGTGTTGCATTCATTTGTCTATTCTTTCACCGATACTGGACTGTCTTGATTACTGTAGCATTATAGTAAGTCTTAAAGTCAGGTAGTGTCAGTCTTCTGATTTTGTTCTCCTTCAGTATCGTATTGTCTATTCTGAGTCTTTTACCTCTCCATTATCATCTTTACAATCAGTTTGTTGACAGCCACAGAAAATAACTTGCTGAGATTTGACTAAGATTGCATTGAATCTATAGATCAAGCTGGGAAGAAGTGATACCTTGGCAAATTGAGTCTTCCTTTGCATGAACATAGAATACCTCTCCATTTATTTAGTTGTTTGATCTATTTCATAAGAGCTTTATAGTTTTTCTTACGTGAATCCTGTATGTATTTTTATTTAATATTTGAGAATACTATTTCTATAATTATTGTAATAAGTGGTGGAGACAATATTTGACCCTAGGGTTACCTTTTTGTTCCCTTCCCTATATGTTTTTCTATTTACCAAGTTAAAATGGATCCCTCTTTCAAGGAACAAGATGTAAGAAATGAGAGATTTGTTATATTACCTCCATTACTTTCCAGCAATAAATCAGTACATCTTGGGCAATACACACACACACACGCACACATACACATTTTTTAAAATGAATTAATAGTATAATTTTAAGCACCAATGAGATTTAATGGGAGGCATACTTATTTTGGGTGGAGTTATTTCTAGAAACCTTTAACTTATACCAAAAAAAATATGGACTAATACTTCTATACATATGTCTGAGGCTGTTTGCCATGTTTGAAATCATGAAATGGATCCAGATGATTTTATCAAAACTGGTTTAAATCAAGAGTTTGGGTTTTAGGGCTTTTACCTAGTGTTTTACCAGCCTATGATGGAACATTTTTATTGAGCATAATCTTAAAACTTTTGAAGACCTGAGATTAAAAGGTGATGATAGAGACAGGAGGTAGCCAAGGGTCTCCCGGTGAAACCCTGCCTTCAAGCCTAAAACAGCCTGAAAGCTGAAAAACCAGACTGCCGGTCCCAGAGAATCTGACCAGCCTGTTCACTGGGAGGACAGGGTAGGGCCTCAGGAAGTTCACACCTTTTGCAGCAGGGAGAAGCCTGGTCTCTCCTGTTTCTGGGTGGTAGCCTGGGATTCAATCTGCGAGATGGGGGCCCATTAACAGGAACCCCTCTAGCTTTGCTGGATTTTTTGTTTCCTTTTCGCCCAATAAATTCCATTCCCCCTCACCCTTCAAAGTGTCTTTGTGTCTCTTCCTGGTTGTGTGACAAGAACCTTGTTTTTCTGCAATAGTGACATTGCATATGCAAGGTTGCAGTTGCCAACAGCCACAAAAATTAGGCAGGAAGAGTACTGAATAGTGCAATCCATTTTCATTCACGGCATTATTAAATGCAACATTTATTTGTTTAGTTCTAAGACGAACATAAATATAATAAATCACAGAGTGCTGGGCTTGAAAAACTTTTCATCCAACAGAGTAAGTTGCCTGAAAATAGAATGATTTAAAAACAATGAAGTATACATTTTTTCATTGCTATTTCATAAAATTAAAGAAGAGCATCCCACAGTTCAGTTCTTTCCATAAGAGTACAAAAGACAAGCATGTAGTTTGCTCCCTCCTCTTTTAGCATGAGCAATTGCTGATTATCTTTTCAGGATAATAATAGCAAGAATTCACAAAATAGATCTGCTGAAAGCCCTGGATATGAGGATCTCTTTGGGCATAAAACATACAAGAGAGGAATGCTCTGGAGCCATCACTACATGGGGTCACAATAACTATAGTAACTACAAAAAATATTATGATGCAAAGTAAAATTCTGTGCTGAAATGTTGTATGGCTTCCATAAACAATTGTATTATGTGAAAACTAACAGAGCTGCATGTCTCTGATATATGCAAATTTTTGGCATGGTGCTTCTTTCATTTTTAAGAATTTTGACTCTTTCCCTCATACTTAATTATGCAGCAAATTGAAGAATACCAAAAACGGTTATTTTGTCCCACTGACAAATCTCAATATTATACAGTATATATTAGCTCCTCTTTTTTAAACAGAAAAATAGAAACAGATTTATAATGCTCTCCAATCTATTTCTCAAACAGCCAGAATGGCCAGAATCAACTTTGCAGAACGACAACTAAAATTGCTTTTCTAGTGGAACATATAATTCTATGTGTAGATCCTGAAGTAAACAAGAAAAATATTTTTAAAATTTCAAAGAGTTTTCAGCTATGAAGAAAATAAAATAATGCAGTGGGAATAATGAAAGTGGCTCTGGGTATAAAAATTTTCTATTTCTGCATAATAAATTTCCAGAAATAGTGGCTTAAGCAATAGAAATATATGAACTCATGGTATTCCTGGGCTAGGATTCTGGGCATAATTAGCCTCTCTGTTCAAGGTCTCACCAAGGTAAAATCAGGATGTTAGCTGGAGTTACAATCCCAGGTGGAACTCAAGATCCTCTTCTAAGCTGATTTATGTTGATGGCAGAATTCAATTCCTTGCAATTGTAGGACTAAAGTCCTTGCTTTCTTACTGGCTATAAGCCAGAGGTACTGTCAGCACTTTGAAGCTGCCGCAGATTGATGCCCTATGACCTTCTCTATAGACCCCCACCATCAGATGATCATTTGCTTCTACAATATAAACAGAAGACCATTTCTGCTCTTAAAGAGCTGGACTGGTTAGGTCAGGGCCACCCAAAATAATTGCTCTTTGAAATTTGTAGTCAACCGATTAGAGACCTTAATCATATTTGAGGCTGGGCATGGTGGCTCACGCCTGTAATCCCAGCACTTTGGGAGGCCAAGGCGGGCGGATCACAAGGTCAGGAGTTCGAGACCAGCTTGACCAACAAATACAAAAATTAGCTGGGCGTGGTGATGGGCACCTGTAATCCCAGCTACTCAGGAGGCTGAGGCAGGAGAATGGTTTGAACCCGGGAGGCAGAGGTTGCAGTAAGCCGAGATCGTACCACTGAACTCCAGCCTGGGCGACAGAGTGAGACCACATCTCAAAAAAAACAAAAAAAAAAAACAAAAAAACCTCAAACATATTTGCATACACCCTTGGGCCACATAACAACATGATTATAACAGTAATATCCCATCATATTTATAGATCTCATTCATTCTCAAAGGGAGGGTATTATACAGGGGTATCCTTCATTGTGGGTCATCTTAGAATTCTGACTAGTACAGTGGGTAAGCTTACAATGTTAACTAGTGTGGTCAGAAAAGACTTCCCAGAGAAGTGATATTTTAGTTGAAACTTGAAATCTGGGAAGGAGGTAGTCATGCAATAATTAAAGAAAAACAAACAAACAAAAAACTATTCCAGAAGAAGAAATGGCTTGTGCAAAGGCTCTGTTGTAGGTGCTAACTTTGTAGGTATAAGAAACAGAAGGCCTAAGGGCCAAGGGAAGAAGGGTAAGACACGATGTTGGATAGGCAAGGGCTAGATCTGGGACAATCTTGCAGGCCATGCAGAGTTTAAATTTTAACATAAATAATATGACTGCTTTACATGAATCATGTGAAATTCAAATTCAAAATTCAATAGAATGTATTATAATGGTTTAAGCAGTTAAGTGCCATGATCTGATATATTTCTTTGTAAAAATTCAAAACCCTTCAGGTTGCTTTTTATGATTTGTGTTTTACTGGAGTCACGAAACATTCAATATCTTTCTTCTAGCTATTTGAAACTATACAATATTTATTGTTAACTATAATTCTTATAAGAAGGGAAATAACTGTAGGAAATATAACTCTTAACTTAGTCAACAAAAAGGAGTTTGCTACTGTTCTTGCTTTCCACTATAGGCTACACTGATTTCTCTCTAAGAAAATAATGATAGGTTAAAAAAAAAAAAAAAAAAGTCTTCTTATTTCAAATTTAATGTCAAGTTAAACCATTTCCATACTACACTTTTTTCAAAGTTTTCAAATGATTTTTCCTATGTGGTTGAACTTTCTAAAGAGGGAAGCAAGGATAAAACATGTTGATTCATTACAGAGCATAGTATCATTATGTGCCTTCCAATTGGTCCTAGCCACTCACACCAATGTTATATATGATTTGGGAAAAAAATGTTTGGAAAGTAGATATTCAACCTTCATCTGAATCAATGAATCATTTTATTATG
The DNA here is from genome assembly GCF_000001405.40 of Homo sapiens. NCBI lineage: Eukaryota > Metazoa > Chordata > Mammalia > Primates > Hominidae > Homo > Homo sapiens. Next base: position 121,984,392 of record NC_000008.11, on the reverse strand, counting down.
CTTACTGACTTCTAGAAAGTAAGGAAATAATAGAACTGGAACTAATAACCAGATCTGATTTGTGACTTTTACTTCTTGCCAAATGGGGTAAAAGGGACAGGATTTACCTTAATTCAAGAAAAAAAAAAAAGAAAAACTGTCAAAAGATGTAAAACCACACTTCTCAGCATATTGGACATGACATAATGAAGGACAATGATAACTGAAAGCTGGAAGACAAAATTGGTGAATCTTCTGACTGTCTTGGATTATTCCCTGGAGAGAGTTTCCAGGCTGTATTACAGGGAAGGGGGAGCCCAGGTAGAGCTCTGCTATCTATCTTCCTGAGTGGAGAGGCTGAAGTAAGAAGTTTAGGAAGAAGCAAATGGCAAGAGTTCACAGGGAAGTATCAGAGAGGAGGGAGCTTAACGGAGAAAAAACGTCAGAGAGAAGCACCCAAGGCTGAGGGATGAATCAGTGAAAGAATTCCCGGGGTTTACATAGTACCAATAGTGTCTGTTTCAACCAATCAAAGTGGAAAACCTCATAGTATACTGGGCATTGGGCAGTGTACCAAAAAAGTTATGCCTCGGTAGTGGGGAAAGTCAACCTTATATTAAAGATGGTTCTGTTCCTGCCAAATAAGACTTAAAATAAAGACTCAAAGGAACATACTGTTTTCATATAACCTAACCATGTCTCAGTACAAAGCTCTAGAACATGTATAGAAGGAAAAATTATCCAATACTTAAAAATAAAATTGACAATGTGGGGTACCCAATAAAAAATTCCAAAGCTTGTAAAGCAGCAAGAAAATATAACCAATACTGAGGAAAAAAAAGTCAATTAAAACTGATACAAAATAAGCATAGAATAAAGTGACATTTAAACAGATATCATAACTGTATTCTGTATGTTTAAGAAACCAGAGGAAATATTGAAAACATTACATAAAGACATAGAAAATATTTAAAATGTCAAAATCGAACTTTTACAGATGAAAACTACAATGTATACAGTGAAAAATACAATGGATGGGATTAATAGCATATTAGACACTGCAGAAAAACAGATTAATAAGCTTAAAGACACCAGTAGAAACTATACAAAGTGAAAACAGGCAAAAAAAAAAAAAAAAGCCTGAAAAAAATGGAGAATCAGTGAGGTGTGGGACAATTTCAAGAGGCCCAATGAGTCCTCAAATGAGAAGAGAAGAAACAGAAATAATTTTTGAAGAAATAATTACTCAAAATATTCCAAATTTGCTGAAAACAATAACTCCACATATCCAGGAAGTTCAGTGGACATCAAGTGCATCACACATGATAAAAATCTTGATATGGCCTATCATAATCAAATTGCTTAAAATCAATAAAATATATGGAGCAAAAAGTAACAGAACCTCAAGAAGAAGTAGGTGAACCCACTATTAGAGATTTTAATGGTACTTCCACATTAGTTGAAAAAATACACAGAAAAACAGTAAGATAAGGAAGATGCAAACAATACTATCGAGCAACTTAATAGATACTTATAAATCATTCTACCAAACAATAGTGCAATACGAATTCTTTTTATGTGCAAACAGAACATTTACCAAGATAGACTATATTCTGGACAAAAAGAAGTAAAAGAATTCAAGTAATAAAAAGTATGTTGTTTTTTCACAATGGAATTAGATTTGTAATCAATAACAAAAAGATATCTGAAAAATACACAAATGTGGGAAACTAAATAGTACACTTCTAAATGACAATTCATGCACCAAAAAGATTAAAAGAGAAAATTTTAAAATTCGGTATTTTGAAATGAATGAAGATGAAAATACCAAATGTCAAGATTTGTGGGACACTGCTAAAGCAGAATTAGAGATGTGGAGAGCCCCAAATAACTGTATGAGTAAGGAAAACTTTCTCAAATCAGTAACAGCATCCATCCTCAGAAAGTAGAATGAAGAACAAATATCAAGGAAGCCTTAAAGGAAATAATAAAGTTAACAGTGGATCTCAATGAAATAGAAAATAGAAAAACAATAGTAAATGATAGAAAAATAATTTTAAAAATAATAGAAACCAGGCCGGGCATGGTGGCTCACGCCTGTAACCCCAGCACTTTGGGAGGCTGAGGCGGGTGGATCACCTGAGGTCAAGAGTTTGAGACTAGCCTGGCCAACATGATGAAACCCCGTCTCTACTAAAAATACAAAAATTAGCCAGGCGTAGTGGCACACACCTGTAATCCCAGCTATTCCGGAGGCTGAAGCAGGAGAATCACTTGAACCCAGGAGGCGGAGTTTGCAGTGAGCCGAGATTGTGCCGTTGCACTCCAGCCTGGGCGACAAGAACGAAACTCCGTCTCAAAAATATAATAATAGAAACTCAAACCTAGTTCTTTCAGACTGTCAGTAAAATTAATATACTTCTAACCAGACTAATAGCATATAAGAAGAAAGACACAAATTAGCAATGTTACAATGAAAAATGTGGTATCAATATAGACTCCATGTATATAATGGAATACTATTTACAACTTTATGCAAGTAAATTCAACCATTTACATTAAATGGGAAAAAAATCCCTGAAAGACAATAAATTCTAAGATTCATGAAAGAAGACACAGATAACCTAAATTGCATTATACTGAATTATACTTTTTTTTTTTTTTTTTTTTTTTGAGACAGAGTTTCTCTTGTTGCCCAGGCTGGAGTGCAATGGCGTGATCTTAGCTCATCGCAACCTCTGCCTCCCAGGTTCAAACAATTCTCCTGCCTCAGTCTCCTGAGTAGCTGGAATTACAGGTATGTGCCACCACGCCTAGCTAATTTTGTATTTTCAGTAAAGATGGGGCTTCCCCATGTTGGTCAGGCTGGTCTCGAACTCCCGACCTTAGGTGATCCATCCGCCTTGGTCTCCCAAAGTGCTGGGATTACAGGCATGAGCCACTGCACCTGGCTGCATTATACTTTTTAACAGAATTACAGTGAAAATCCTTCCCACAAAGAAAACTCCAGGCCCTGAAACTATTTGTGAATTATACCAAGTATTTAAGGAAGAAATAATATAATTCTGCAAAAATTCTTCCAGAAATTTAAAGAAATATATCCCAAATCATTTTATAAGGTCATCACTCTTGTGATATCAAAACAGTAAGAAATTAGAAGAAAAATGTAGCTAAACTACAGACCTATAGCCCTCATCAATATAGATTCAAAAATTCCTAACAAGACTTCGCTGACTTGAATCAAACCATATATAAAAAAGGATAATACATCAAGATCAAAAATAATTTAATATCAGGAATGTAAGTTTGACTTAATATTTTAGTATTTGATGCCATCAATTTAATTAACCATACTAACAGATTACAGAAAGTGATCATCTCAATAGACGCAGAAAAAATTGTCAAAATCCAACATCTATTCTGGACAAAGGAAGTCTCATCAATCTAGAAATAAAAGACTTTTCTTTTCTTTTTTTTTTTTTCTTTTTGAGACAGAATCTCACTCCGTCACCCAAGCCTCAGTGCAGTGGCACTGTCTCAGCTCACTGTAACCTCTGCCTCCCAGGCTCAAGCAATTCTCGTGCCTCAGCCTCCCAAGTAGCTGGGATTACAGGTGCGCGTCACTATGCTCAGCTAATTTTTTTGTATTTTTGGTAGAGACGGGGTTTTACCATGTTGACCAGGCTGGTCTCAAACTCCTGACCTCAGGTGATCCACCCTCCTCGGCCTCCCAAAGTGCTGGGATTACAGGTGTGAGACACCACGCACAGCCTAAAAGACATTTCTTAGTCCAAATGCGTCTACAGAAATTATACAGTTAACATCTCACTTAATGGTGAAAAAATAAATGCTTTCCCCTGGAAGTCAGGAGCAAGACATGGATATTCAGTCTTATCACGTCTAGGCAACACTGTAATTAACTCAACAAAAAATAGTAACTGGTATGTCTGCATATACAAAATATGTATTAAAAGCTTGAGTCGGCCAGGCACGGTGGCTCACACCTCTAATCCCAGCACTTTGGGAGGCCGAGGCGGGCGGATCACGAGGTCAGGAGAGCAACACCATCCTGGCTAACATGGTGAAACCCCGTCTCTACTAAAAATACAAAAAAAACTAGCCAGGCGTGGTGGCGGGCGCCTGTAGTCCCAGCTACTCGGAAGGCTGAGGCAGAAGAATGGCATGAACCCGGGAGGCGGAGCTTGCAGTGAGCCGAGATTGCGCCACTGCACTCCAGCCTGGGCGACAGAGCGAGACTCCGTCTCAAAAAAAAAAAAAAAAAAAAAAAGCTTGAGTCCTTTTCCTCCATGAAGAGCCCCAGCATGCTTGGATGTGTGTGTAGGACCTTCAGTCCTCTTTGGAAAAGGAGAGAGCTTGATCACCCTTAATCACTGTTTTTCCCTTAAAGTAGAGGAGATTCAGGTAGAGAAGGCGGAGGGAATCAGGGTGCAGAGAGGACGAGTGGCACCATGCCAGTGAGCAAAGCACATTTCCTTTCTTGTTTCCAGCAGCAGGGCAGCTGCATACCATTTAGTATTTCAAATATACTCTATCTGTTCTCTTCTGTTTAAAAAAAAATTAAGTAAATCAAAGACAAATGCTTTCAGGAAAAAGAGCCAGTGTTTATTAAATTTAGACTATATTACAGGTATTAGTAAATAGATATTATCCATACAATTTTCAAACTTATTAAATCATATCTACCCTGTGACGCATTACTATCCTTGCTTTTCATTTCCTAACCCAAATATCACAGACATCATAAGTGGCATAGCTAGGATTTGAACCCAGGTCCATTTGACTCCAACTCCCTTACCTGTTCTTATATACAACCATCTCACTACAGAGGTCAAGGTGCTTGATCAGCTCTCTCCAGCTGAAACTTTAAATATGTGTAACTATTGCTTCTGACATAACTGTACTAAAGCAGTTTGAAGTTAAATGAATTAGATGATGTATATTAAATCACATATGCGTGGGGTTTCCAATATCCTTCTTTCATTTTTAGCCTGAAACAGAATCCTTGCTATATAGTATTTTTATATTCCTTGGCTATTACAGTAGTATATTTTCTATAAATATGCTTAGTCTGTGCTCTGCCTTTAATAGCTTAGGAATATGATATAGAAGATATAAATTATAGATTGGACATAATAATATTATAGAGCACCTCAGGTGGCCTGGTGGATCAAACACGAGATTAAGTGTCAAGAAACCTGAGTCAAACGTCTCTTGAAATCTGATGCTTATTCTCCTCTGTTTTGTTTCTTTTTCTTTTCTTTTTTTAATTGCATAAGCCTTTTCTCCTGACAACATCGTTAGCTACCATCTTGGCTGTTTCCTTAGCTCCATCCCTTAGCAAATCTGCCAGTAAAAACACTGTGAGTTCACTCTCTTGTTCCACCACGAGAAATCTTTCATTTCATTTTTCCAGAACATTTGCATCCCCATCCTGGGTCTGTCATTCAGACAAGTCATTGCTAATCAGAACAAGTAAGAAAGCAATATGATTATGCCAAGCATTGTAAAATATACTAAATTAGCTAAATAAATGTTAGTTTTGTTTCCATTTCTATTGCCTTAAAAAATTCATTTTATAATCTCTTCTGTCATTCCATTGTGAACTAAAGGAGAAAAGAAAGGGTGAGATAATTGCCTTTAGCACTGACTTTCTTTTTACTTCAGATTTTCCACTTGTAGGAAGAGATATTGATGTTTTTGGGCAATATAGAAATCAATTGTTTCATAGACTGGAATTAGAATTTCAGCAAATAGACTTAAAAGACATGCATGGATTTAAGAGTGTATTAATAGTACACAAGCACCATATATAATTTTTGTCTCTTGTAGAACTTACAACCATCCTCTCAGTTTCTATTATCTGAATTTAACAAGTAAAGGAAAAGGGAACAAGAGATGGAAAGAAAATTACCCAAGTGAATAAATGACAACGCTGAACTTTGGGTTTGAATCTCTCTGACCCCCAAAAGTCTTTTATTAGTACCATGGCAATGGGCATGTTGCTCTGAGCCTCAAATTTCTCTGTTGTAAAAGGGAAGTGAGTGACGGTCATTCATTTAATATTCAGATACTTATTGAGCCATTATATGCTAGACATGTGCTAGAGATACAATAGTAAGCTAAACACAGAAATAATGTTCAACCTAATAGAGTGACAGATATCAAAGTAATCATACTGAAAAAAATGACTAATTAGAAACTGATTTCAAGTAGTCTGGAAAATAGAAATATGATTCTACGATTGTACATAAGGAATGTTGCAGGGAGCAGGTGATCAGAGAAGACTTCTCTGAAAAAATGTGCTTTGGGCTCACAACAGAAGGATAAGATGAAATTAACTAGACAAAGGTGGAGAGAGTGGGCAGGGCTCTGTTGGGAAGTCCTAACCAAGACAATGGTGGAAGTAGATGCTGGTGGTCAGAAGAAACATGGTTCTTTTTAAAGACCTGAGTGGTCAATGGAGCTCAGAGCAGGTTGGGGGGCAAGATTCCCATGGCAAACTCTTCCTAACTGATGACGCTGTTCTGTGGTTTAATGTCTAAGAGGCAAGGCCAGCCAGTGGAGGGTGCTTTGTAAATCAGAAAGCACTATGGTAAATGTGAAGGTTTGTGGGAGTTCTGCTGGTTTCTTATTTAAAAGACTATAACATCTCTATTCTTAAAGTCTTAGCATGGAGAGGAATCTTTTCATGGCGTGAAATTGGGTTTTACAATAGCTTCTGTATCAACATTAACAGAGCTGAAGAAAATTCTCAATGCAACTTAGCTTAACTCCTGGTGTGGAAATGTGCTTCAAAGCATTAAATACGCAGCCCCTAGCTGTTTCTAAAGAAACTGCCCTCAGACTGACAGTATGCATCCAAAGTTGAATTAATCATATATTTTTTGGATTTTCAATGTGTGCTCCTTGGCTAATGAGGGGAGAGCCAGAGAAACCCAGGCTGCCTTATAGTCCAGAGAACAGAGGAGACTTTCTCCCTGGGAGAGGAGGGCAATGGAGAGGAAAGCCTGGAAGCTGGTGTTGGTGACCTGAAAATTCCTGCAGCAAAACAAAACAAATCCCTGTCTGGGATTTTTGCCCACCCGCCTTCAATGTTTGCTTTCTACTTAGGACTGGACCATGCCCTCCCAGCAGAGCAGGTGTTAGGAATGGCGGCCCATTTCCCTCTTCATCAAAACTATTTTCTTTCACTCAGGACACCTGAGAACAATGGCCTATTGAATACAGGTTCCAAAGAGGTATGGAAAAGTTATTAGGACCCTGGGTTTGACTGCCTCAGTGGTTTAGGAGTCCTGCCATGTACTACTTAAAATGTTGAATGTTGCTTATAAATATGATTATCTCCTGGTAAACTTGGTCCTCGGTCACAGAAGGGCAGAGTGGGGTCTGCGGGTGTGCATCAGCAAAGAACTGTGGTACTGACTTTGCAACCACAGTTCCTTTATTACCAAATGAGTCATGTGTCCAACACTCAGAGCCTCAGGATTCAGATCTGTGTGATGTTTAACCAGAAAATTCCCCTCTAAACATAAAAATAAATTCCTTATTTAGATTGTTTAACATTAGGTTTAAATGAAAATAAAACATTCTACTTAAATAAGAAATATAATAAACAAAGTTACCCTTTTATAATAAAACACTCAAGTTCACATATTGTTGTTGCTATCAGAGACAATCTGGTTTCTAAGGATGAGGCTTGGAGAAGTGAAAATAAAAGCAGACTAGGGTGAAAGTCACAAAGCTGGGCTCTAGAACTCTGCCACTCATAAACTGTTCCATAATCTCTGGTCCTTGGCTTCTCTGAGAATGCGTTTCCTTATTGGAGAAATATTCTCCTATCATAAGGACAACATAAAGATGAGAACCCAGGCATGTTTCTGTAGCATTGGACACTCTGTAAAGACTCTCCCTCCTCTGTAACCTCAGTTCCATCACACACTGCCTTTCTAACAAAGATGGGAAAATAGAAGTATGGAAGGTTAGGATTTCTCCCAGCTATCAAAGTCCTGTAGTCTTACTGTGGCCAGAGCACACCTTAGCCCAGGTCCCAGTGCTGTGGCCCTATGGTGAAAAGTGGCATTCAGATGTAGAGGATTCTTACTACAGGAGAGGAAAGTGTTTAATATGTCCATCAGAAATGAAGGTGGAGACAGCAGGGAGGGGCTCAGTGAGTGGCATGGGGGTGGCACGGGAAGGCTGATCCTGGTGCCTGTGGGTCCCCGTGGTCCACTGCTCCAGCTCTGCTTTTCGTCCTCTTCCAGTTCCTCCACCACTCATGCCTGCCGTCTGTTTTACCTCCCTACCTTGGCTCACACCCCCCTCATCTGTTTGACCCTCTCCTTGTTTCTCTCCTTATCACTTTATATCACTGCACTTCCAAACCCCTTAAAAAGGTAGTGAAGGGGAAGAGATTACAGTCATAGTGAGCCACGTGGTCAGAACCTAACCTTAGTCTCTAGGTCATCAATCCTACTCACTGCAGATCTCCAGTGAGCAATGCATGGGGACAAAAAAATGCCATCATCAAGGTCATTGATGCTGGACTTCAGCTGCTAGAATTAAGGGTCATGCAATAAAATGTCTGTCTCATGTCACAAGATCATTGAAAAGGCATACAAGTAATGAGGGAGGGTCAGGAATTATAGAGCTGTACTCACAAAGCTCGCACATTTGCACTCCTGCTATTTATCAGCTTAGGCAAACTTCATTCACTCACTCGTTCATTCATTCAACAGCCCTTTATGGATCATATACAATGTGTCAAGTAAAATACTGAGGGTTTTAAGATGAAAGATGTAAACCCTGTTTAAGGGGAGTACGGCCATGCCAAGTATACATCCCATGTGCCACCACTCTTTCTTCTCATGCTTCTTACAGGCTTCATGACTTGTTTACAGCACTCTAACCTAAAAACCTTCTCAGCATAGTGTAACTGATTCCAGTTTTTAGAATTGGCAGGAGTGGTGAACCCTTTGGTCTAGCATCACTGCAGAAATGGTCATGAATAAATCTCTACACCTCTACACTGGATTTGACATCCAATGGATGCCCAGTTTCTGCTACATGAATGTAAATATCAAGAAAGGGCAACTTCCCCTATCAGTCTTACCCTCAGTGTTCTCAGTGGCTTTCCGCCTCTAGTACCCAGTGTCTAACCATTCAAGGGCTCTTCAAATTGGGAAGTATGCAAATGATTTTAAAGAAGAGCTGCAAGGTTATTGAAGACAAGCTCTTTACTCCTTGGAGGAAGATTGCCCTCTCTTTTCACATACAAGTTTCCTCGATGGGAATTTATAGAGCCCACTCTGTGCCAGCCTCTCTTTTGGACCCTGCAAGTTTAGTGACAATGAGAAACCATTTTTACCTTAGTTCGATGGAAGAAACATACATGAAAATAAATACCAAGCACAATAAAGCTATAATAGAAGAATGGACAAAGCTCTAGGGGAATCTAGGGGAAAATAATCAGTTCTGCCTGGAAGCACCATAAAATGTGTTTAAAAGGAGGGACATTTGAGCTGCATCTTAAAAGGTAAGTGGAGCACAGAAGGCTGAGGAGGTGAAAACAAGCTTTCCAAGGAAAGGAAGAACAGAAGAGCCAGATGCCCTGAGGTTTGAAATGCATCAAGCCAAACAGGCCAGCTCAAGTGGTGTGAATCCAGATTATGAAGAAATTTGAATGCCAGCTTCATGATACTATAAATTAAAATACAAATAATATCCCTGACTTGTTTATTAACACAATTTCAGTTTGTGTTTTCTAAGTTAACTAAATGTCTACAAGCCAAGGAGCTATTGGTTTCTGCCACTAAATGGGGCAGTTCATTAACACAGGAAATATTTTATAACATTCCAGAAGGAAAAAGAAGAAGAAGGAAGGAAGGAAGGGAGGGAGGGAGATAGGAATAAGGCATAGCTGAAAGAAAAGAAGGAAGAAGAGAAAATAAATAGAGAAATGAAAAGTAAGAAATAATTTGGGTCCACTGCCAGCAAGAGTTAGGAAAGCTGATTTCTTAAGATAAACTGAAGTAAAACAAAATATCCTCCATATGTTGAAACTGTATACTTAGTTTGAGATAAACAAAAACATGTTTGGTGAATAGCTTCCATAATTAAAAAGAAATTAAAAGAAAGAGAAACCATCTGGGGATAGATTCATATTTAAACACACACACACACACACACACACACACACACACACACACACACAAAATGACACCAAAACTTGAAGTTTTTCTTGACTTAACTCACTTGTTGCAAAAGTACATTGCAACAGGCTTTGCCGAAAGCACCCCAAGCTCCAGTTCCATGTAGGAGCTATACAGGGTTATTCAACATTGCTCAAAAACAAAAAGACCTTTCTAAATCCTGTCCTTTGCTCCTGCTTTCTTCTCTGCTGTGAATGCACCTTCTCCCTTTTTCCTTCTGAAGGATGCCTACTCACCTACTCACCCCTCAGTGCCCAACTAAAAGGTCACCTGTTCCCAGGGGGGTGTGCCTGGAGCCCTGGGGTAGCTAATAATGTCTTCTTCATCTGTGAACTTCATGCATGTGTATCAGTTTTCTAGAGATGCTGGAACAAAGTACCACAGACTGGGTGGACTAAAACAATAGAAGTTTGTTGTTTCACAGTTCCGAAGGCTAAAACACCAAAAGCAGGGTGTGTGTCAACAGGGTTGGTTGCTTCTGAGGGCTCCGAGGGGGGATCTGTTCCATGCTTCCCTCCGAGCTTCTGGTGATGGCCAGCAATCCTTGGTGCTCCTTGGATTATACATACATCACACCATTCTCTGCCTCCACCTTCACATGACCTTCTCCCTGTATCTCTGTCTTCACATGGCCACCTTCTTATAAGGATAACAGTCATGTTGGATTAGGGGAACAGCCTACTCTAGTGTAACCTTATCTTAATTCAATGAATCACATCAACAATGACCCTATTCCACCTAAGTTTGTATTCTGATGTGCATGGGGTAAGAACCTCAACATATCTTTTGGGGGCACCCAATTTAATCCATAACAACATACTCTAATATAGCTCTCGCTTCACTGAAGGAGTCAGATGTATGCGTGTCTGTGTGCCTTGTTCCCAAAAAAGTCAGTGAGAAACTCCATTGCAATGACTATAATACATATATATTTAACCTTATGTCTCCAAGGCTGAGCACAAACATTTTTGTAAGCTCATAGTTAATGTTTTCTAAATTGAATTTAATATAGCCCAGAGAAATGATGGACAGAGAGTTTCCAATTTAGGATAAAAGGAGAAGGCTTGGAGGCAGTTAAGTCTGCTCCTGAGAGGAAACACTGGGCACATGGTGACCCTCATGTCACTGTACTTCCCAGATGTCCCTAGTATGGGCAATACGGCAGAGAAGTACTGTTGCCTGGAATAACCTAATGGGATGGGCATCTGAGAAGAGTAGAGCCATGTTGAATTTAGTTCTGTCTAGATAGCTATGTTGTATTGATACTGTCTTCTCCTCTGTGGGCCTCAATTTAGCCTCAAAAGATGAAAATTAGACAAGAAGGAGCAATTTTAAGGCTTAATGAAGCATAGTAACTCTCTTTTCAAAGAAATTTCATGAAAAGTTCCAATCTATATAACAGATCTATGTGAAATTGCCAGAGATCAGGTGAAGAAATTGAGCCCGGAAATCCATGGGCTTCATCATCCTTAAGGAGTCTCCACAGGAAGTTCTAAAGAAATCTGGAAACAAAGACTGTGAACTACTTGGTCAGATGAAAGTCTATGTTGGGTTTGCTGTCATAGATAGAGAAGGTCGTGCATAAAAAATTTAAAAAGAGAAGAAGAGATGGAAAAGCTTATTAGAAAACAAGAGAGAGGCTGGGTGCGGTGGCTCACGCCTGTAATCCCAGCACTTTGGGAGGCTGAGGCGGGTGGATCACGAGTTCAGGAGTTCAAGACCAGCATGGCCAACATGGTGAAACCCCGCCTCTACTAAAAATACAAAAAAAAAAAAAAAAAAATAGCTGGGCGTGGTGGCAGGCACCTGTATGCCTAGCTACTCAGGAGGCTGAGGCAGAAGAATGGCTTGAACCCAGGAGGTGGAGCTTGCAGAGAGCCGAGATCATGCCACTGTAGCCTGGGTGACAGACGGAGACTCTGTCTCAAAAAAAAAAAAAAAAAAAAAAAAAAAAAAAAAAAAAAGAAAAGGAAAGAAAGAAAATAAGAGAGAAGCTAGGGGAGGAAAATGGTAAAGAGAGGCAAAGCTCTTGGACAAAACTTACTGTGGTCATAGAAAGAGAGTTCAAAGTGGTTTTCCAATCTTATCTTTGTAGTCATCTATTTAATTATAAATTAAATATGTCCATATGTTTTCCAAGAACATTATTGTTTTTAACTGTATCATAAGATTGCAAAGGTAACTAGTCTGAAGGACTGAGAATGTGGAAGACCCCATGCAAATTTCAGCTGATGATACACAAAGTCAGTGCTTTGTCCTGCTCAAGGTAGTAATATCTAAAACAATTTGATTGCTCTGCCCCTTTGCACTTTTTGCTCCAGCAATCAGGAATTGATTATATTTCCCAGGGCACACCATTTCGCTGTTGGCTTCTGCTCTGTGGATCATGCTCATCCTTCTGTCTGACATGTCCATCCTGCCTTAAACCCCTACTCTTCTTTTCTAGTGTAACTTAGACTTAACATTCTCTAGGGAACCCTCTTTGAGCTCACAGGTCCAATTAACCTTACCCTGCTCCAACTGCTTTTGTGCACCCTCTGTGCTTCAGATGTACTATCACACTGACTTGTAAGCTATTTCTTCAATTGCAGCCTATCTTCAAATAATGAGTTCTGTAGGACATTCTTATTTGTGTCTTTACTCCCTAGTACTTAGCACTGTGACTGACACATAAAAGGTATTGATCAATGTTTTCTGAATGAATTAATTAATATATGAAAGAGTTTATTTCAAACTGTTCTAAAGTTTTCAGATAATCTTAGAAAAGTATCAAGATGAGAGTAGGCATAATTTGAATGAAATGGAATGCTGTAGTTAAATCTCTGGTGAATTTACTTTCCTCTTTCAACACAGTATGAAGAGGAAACATAGAAAGTGGACATTTAAAAAAAACAAACCTATCTTGGAAATTAGCCCAAGAACCAAATGTTTTCTTTTAATGGTATATTTCTTCTCTCATATCACACTAATATACATTTCAGATCACACATATGCACAATGTTTGTTTGTTTTTACCATAATTCCCTATGCAACTCCAGATGCTTGGACCATTTAGGCATCTAATACATGTTTGATGAATTAAGGAATAAGTAATAGAACCCTTGAATAAGATGAACTATGATTCCAACATCCATTAGCAAGCTGTTAACAGTTTATAGCTGTCTAGTTTGAAATGTAGGTCCATCCACTTGGAGAGGGGAATGGAAAAATGTGATACGAATACCTGATCTGTCTAATGATTTTGAATCAGTACTTAAAATGTAATCACCTATAAGACATTTGCTACACTGAGATGGAATGCTGAGTTCTGGCTCTAGGTCTGCCCCTCATTGCTATGTCAGATTAACTTTTTGGCTGATAAAATTGAGCTTGATCCCACCTGTCTTAATATACACTCACTTTAAGGAACACAGACCAAATTTTCTTTAAGTCTAATATAACCCAGTATGATTCTGACATGATTATACGTGAGGCTGCATTGCAATATATATATATACATCCTAGGCAGGCTTGTAATTTGGAATCTTTGTCAGGCAGGAATCATCTGAGCCTTAATTTAAAGAAATAAAATCTTGCATCTTTGATTAATTTTCAGGAAGAGTAGCTGGAGAAAACTCATCCTCTGTGACCTTAAGCAATGAGCATTTTGACTCCACACTTACAGACCACTCTATTAACAAAAGGTTTGCAATTATGTGGAGACTTCCTGCTTAGAAGAGAATTTCACTGAGCATTATTTGAAAGTGGAACATGCATTTTGGGGTAGGAATGATAAGGAATCCCCCACTCACTACCTCATGTAGTTCATCAAATGTTTCTTCTTAACTACATATTTTACTCCTCTGAAAATTCTAGCAAATTAAGCTCCCTCCACCTCCTTACATTCCCCACTCATTCATTTTTATTTTCCTGATCATTGTCAGGGTAACTTGCTATGTCTGATCATGCATTTATACAGCACCTAAAAACTCAAGTGTTCTCCCATCTGCATTACCTTGACAGATCCTCAGAACAGCTCTTAGAAGGGCAGGCCAAGTTGATTTCTGCTCATGTTTCAGATAAGGAAATGGAGACTCAGAAAAGGATAATGAAAATGGCTGGAACTGTACCTTTAACCAAAACACTTTAACCAGTGTTTGATGTCTAGTTCAAGGTTAATTAATTGTAACACAGTGTTCTAATGCTCTTTCAAGAAAAAGCTCTTCTGCTTATGCATTCTTTTTTATTATTTGCAGATAGTGCAAAGTGTTGATGTTATAATGGTAACCCAAACATAATCTCTTTCTTTATTGAGCTTATAATAGGAATGAAGCAATTGCAACCTTTACTGGCTCATCCAGAAATGCAAATAACCAAACACACACAACTACTCATTGCATTCCTACAGTGTGCAAGTCATTACTCTGAGCCTTTTGGCAAAAAGTGAGCCAGAAAGCCCATCATCCTTGCAGAAGTCTGTGAAAAATTAAGCAGCTCAGAGACTTCAGCCTCCATTTAGAATATGCCATATACCTGGCATGAGGACGGAGGAAAAGCTGAAGCTATTTGCTTGATACTTAAGAAAACATTCATATTCAGTCATTTAATCAATTAACAGACCATCTCAGTGAAAACATACTACTTCAAAAAACCGTATTATCATTTAACTGAACTTCTCATAAGAACCTGATTTTCCTCATGTCTTTTGTTTGCCAAATTCTTTTTGCTTTAGTTTCTAATGGATGGTAGTTATTCTCCTCCAAATGCAATGCCTAGATGGGGAGAAAAAAACACCATTCCTAGAGCTTTTCTTTATATTTTTATGTTTCCTTTTTTAACAAACTTTATTATTTAGAGCAGTTTTAGGCTCGCAGCAAAATTGACAGAAAGTACAGAGTTCCAATATACCTCATGCCTTCAAAATCCACAGCCTCCCCACCACCATCAACACCCTGTACTTGAATGGCATATGCGTTACAATGAAGCTACACATTATCACCAATGTCTGTAGTTTACACCAGGGTTCACTCTTGCTGCTGTATATTCTACAGGTTTTGACAAATGTGTAATGACATGTAACCGTCATTTTTTGTTTGTTTTTTGTTTTACTGTTTTGTTTTGTTTTTTGAGACTGAGTCTCGCTCTGTTGCCCAGGCTGGAGTGCAATGGTGTGATCTCAGCTCACTGCAACCTCCGCCTCCCACGTTCAAGTGATTCTCCTGCCTCAGCCTCCTGGGTAGCTGGGATTACGGGCACGTGCCACCATGCCTGGCTAATTTTTGTATTTGTAGTAGAGACAGGGGTTTCACCATGTTGGTCAGGCTGGTCTCGAACTCCTGAAATTGTGATCCACCTGCCTCGGCCTCCCAAAGTGCTGGGATTACAGGCGTGAGCCACCACGCCCAGCCCCTGTAATCATCATTATGGTATCACACAGAAGAGTTTTACTGTTCCAAAGTCCTCTTTGCTCCAGCATTCCTTTTTTCTCTCAATCGCTAGCAACCACTGATTTTTTTCCGGCTTCCATCGTTTTCCTTTTCCAAGACCACCATGTATTTGGAATGGCACAATATGTAGCCTTTTCAGATTGGCTATTTCACTTGGTAATATACACTTCAGTTTCATCCATGTCATCTTATGGCTTGATAGCACTTTTTTTTTTTGCACTGAATAATATTCTATTGTCTGGATGTACCACAGTTTATCCATTCATCTACTGAATAATATTTTGTTTGCTTCTAAGTTTTGGCAATAATGAATACAGCTGCTATAAACATTTGTGTGCAGATGTTTGTGTGGACACAACTTTTCAGTTCATTTGGATAAATACAAAGGAATGCAATTGCTGGACTCTTCGGTAAGAGTTTGTTTAGTCTTGTAATAAACTGCTAGCCCATCTTCCAAAGTTGCTGTACAATTTTGCATTTCTACAGCAATGAATGAGATTTCCTGTTGTTCCACATCCTTGCCAGAATTTTGTGTCATCAGTATTTGGAATTTTCGCTCTTCTAATAGGTATGCATTGGTGTGCCATTGTTTTAATTTTCAATTCCCTAATGGCATATGATGTTGAGCAGTTTTTCTTATACTTATTTTCAATCTATGTATCTTCTTTGTTGAAATGTCTGTTCAGATATTTCACCTGTTCTTGACTGGGGTTTTCATTTTTTTTATTGTTGAGTTTAAGACTTGTTTGTACAGTTTGAATAACAATCCTTTATCAGATATAGCTTTTGCAAATATTTTCTCCCAGTCTGTGGCTTGTTTTCTCATTCTCTTGATTTTTTTTTATTTTTATATACTTTTCTATGTGCAGAAGAAACTTGTTTATTTCAGTAATTTTAGGTATTATAAATAATTAGAAGAAATAATTGATGCCTAAAAAGTCCTCCTTAGTAACTGGCTTGGTATCTGGTTTATGACTATGGAGAAAGCCTTGCAGGAAGCTAAAAAACATCTCCTAGCAAGTCACAAATATAGACAAGCTAAGAAATCTCAGAGTAAAAAAGGTTATTCCTACAGTAAGTGGTAGATCAGGTTAAACTTGGAGAAGTAAACTGGATTATTATCAGTTCTTGATATCTACAGACAGGCTAATAAACACAATTAGATATTTCTGGCACACAAAAGCCAAACTTATAGCCACAGAGGATATTAAAATTTTTTCAGATAAAGATTCCTTTTCTAGTCTTAGTATAATTTAGGACTATTTTATTTACCACACACTAGGAAGTTCTTCATGTATCAATCAGCAGCAATTTTTATGTTCATGTAAATAAAACAAGCCAAATAAAAGAAAGCACCAAGTGAATCATACTGATTCCAAAAATTGTTAAATTAATTGATGTTGTCAAATCCTTGCCTTAGGGACAAAAACTTGAACACCAACAGAACTAATACCTTGTGCTGTCCTCATTAGAGTCAGGGTGCACCTCTCAAGCTATGTCAGAGAGAGAAAGAGATTTCTGTCTGAGACAGACCTAATCAAACCAAAACAAACAAAATAAACACACAGAAAGTGTTATTTTGTCAGTCACTAGTCTCCAAAATAAATACAACCTTGAGCCTTTTCCTGTAAATTTTTATCTCCCTAATGAGAACAACTTTATCCTTGCGGACAATTATATAAAAAGAACGGCTATTTGTATCCATAAGGAAAAAAATCTATAATGGGTGTAATTTTTATAAGCCTTTTTCGGTGAATTTTGTTTCTATTTAAAGTGCCTGACATGGGGCCCCAAATAATTTATTCATTTGACACGTGTTTACTGAGCAGCTTTTCTGTACCTAGGCACTAGGATCAATCTGTGAACAAAATGCAGTGGTCAAAACATAAGGCAGTCTAACTATGTAAAGATGAAAAGTAGAAACATTGAAAATCAGGTGATTAGGGAGCATTTGTCTGATGAAGTGAAATCTGAGTACAGAAGGTGAATAAAATGAGAAAGACAAGCAGAGATCTAGAGGAGATTTCTAGTACAGTAAAGTGAACATTCCAAATCCTAAGGAAGGAATGCAAGGATCACGATGGAAGCTGTTATAGCCAGACTAGAGAGAATAACAGATGACAGGTGCATGAGATGAGGCTGGAGAAGCAGGCCAGGGCCAGATGGCCAGAGCTTTGTAGGTCATGACCAAGATTTGACATTTCCTTCAACTATAATAGGAAATTGTTGGTATTTAACAAATATTTATAATTTATGGAAGCAATAACATTTTAGGGAATAAAAAAATCTTAGTGTTAATAAATATTTCTAGTGATCCAAGGTTTCTTAACTATTGCACTATGGCATTTTGACCCAGTTTGTTGCTGTTGTTGTTGTTATGGGGGACTATCCTCCTTATTGTAAGATGTTTAGCAGCATCTCTGGCCTCTTCGCACTCAATGCCAATAGCACACCCCTTTCAGTTGTGGCCACAAAGAATGTCTCAGAAAATGACGAAAGTCCAATTACTCCAGTTGAGACCTAGTGACCTAATCCCATTCATTTTACAGATTTGGTAACTGTGCTTGGTGAGATTCAATTACTTAGTTATGGTTGACATAGTTAGTTTTAGCCTTGGAGTTGATTCACATATATTTATAGATAATAATATAATATTATCTATAAATTATTATCTAATATATAGATAATATATTCTATTATATCTATATTAGATCTAATATATTAGAATCTATATATTAGATCTATATATATTTATAATATATATAGATCTAATATATGCTTTATGTACTTTATATATATCTTTACATACACATAAAATAGTGTTTTCAATTATTTTTTGAGGTCGTTACTTTTATTCCCATTTACAGGTAAAGAACTTGACACTCAGAAAGGTAATGAAATTTGATGTCAACTTGTGGCTTGAACTCAGAACTCTAAATCTCATCTATTTCAGTAATAAATTGTCAGCTTGAGATTCACTAGAAATGATAATTTGAACTGACCATGAACCAGAAACTTCCTTGAGCACAACATTATTTAATACCAGTTCTAGGAATATCAGGGACTCTTGATCTTCCAACCCCAATTTCACTATGAAGGGGAAACAAGAGTTTGAAAGTTAAACTGAATTCTCATTTCAATTTTTTAAACTCTAAAAATAATATAAAGTACTTTATTCTTTGATTAGGCCACGCAGATGAGCTGCTGTGTTTTAAGCAAGGTTGTTTCAAAGGAGACTGTCAAAAACCCCATTGAAAGGAAGCTCTCACTCTCTGGGTCTTCTATTAAGGAGGAGCTTGTTCTCCTTGTTTTTAATTCAATGGCTATTTTATGACTTTGACACCCACCAGGTCTATGAATGGGTCCCGTAGGGGGGCTTCAAATCAAAATAGTATGTGAGCTGGGGATTTAGAGCTTATGGTACTTATTTTCTTCATTTCCTCCTGAAAGAAACCAATGTGTTTAAGGAGCAGAGGGAAGCATCTCTGAATCTCTGTTTACAGTGCTGAGTCCTGCTGGAGGCATTTCTAAGTAATATAGAGGGCTAGCATGAGGAGGGAAAGGAGAGAATGGGTAGGAGAATAGCATTAAGGTAGTCAGAGAGAAGGTTTGGCGGAAACTTTTGGGACCCCACCTCAAATTTACTTCTACATTGAGAAGGCTGCTTACTGCAAACACTTGCAACTCTGACCAAAGTCCTCTTTTCACTGCTACAAAATAATTGACCCATGCACAAAACAAGCCAGAACTGCCAGAACTAGTGCTTGTATCCAATGACGGGAGGATAATTAGTTGATAAATGCCCGGTTTGCTCAGCCCCTGGTAGAATCCATGCAGGCTTCCAGAATGTATAGTCCATTCAGTCTTCCAGAATGTCCTAATAGAATTGAGATCCAGCTGCCCACACTGATAAATGGCCACACAATTTACCTTTTGGTAGCTTCTTTCCCTTCCCTACCTATTCCCCTATTCCCTTAAATGTGTTTCCTGGTATCACACACCCAGTAAACTACATGTATTCTCATCCTTGCTTCAGGCTCTTTTTCTGGTGGAATCCAAATTAAGATAGAAAGTTATTCTTCTCATCTCTGCAAAGCTAAAAGCCATAATTTAAGGCTCAACTTAAATCAGTTTTCAAAGCAAGCCTAGGGATTTTACCCTTTGTGCCTTTGCAATCTCTATTTCTTTTACGTTGATCTTCCTTCCCCATTTTTATCCAAATAGAGGCATCATCCTTTAGAATCTAACCCAATTATTCTCAACTCTGTAAAACTTTCTCTGCCCCTTTCCAGGCTGTATTACTGCTTCCTTCTTTTCCTT
Organism: Homo sapiens; assembly: GCF_000001405.40. Lineage (NCBI taxonomy): Eukaryota > Metazoa > Chordata > Mammalia > Primates > Hominidae > Homo > Homo sapiens. The sequence goes on along the minus strand of NC_000008.11, from coordinate 121,964,438 downwards.
TAGTTGCTAAGCCCAGTTGGTTCAAAAGCGAGAATGCATGCACATGTGCATACGAACAGACCAAAGTGGTGAGTAGATCATGAAAAGAGATTAATGGCATAATTCCAAAAGGTTTTTCTTCTATTGACTGTCACTCTGGGAAAACACTTATTCTTCCTACATACATACAAAAACAGAGGAAAATGATTAACCTACTTTTAGTCTATATCCCTCTCT